>NT_187607.1:1329850-2659700 GCF_000001405.40 Homo sapiens | reverse complement strand
GAATTCCCATTCAGTGTATTAAAGCAGATAGAGTTCTTTAAAAATCCAGAGTTTGACCAGGGGTGGTGGCTTACGCCTATAATCCCAGCAGTTTGGGAGGCTATGGTGGGTGGATCACTTGAGGTCAGGAGTTCAAGACCAGCCTGGCTAACATGGCGAAACCTCATCTCTACCAAAAATACAAAAATTAGTCAGGCGTGGTGGCACATGGCTGTAATTCCAGCTACTCAGGAGGCTGAGGCAGGAGAATCACTTCAACCCAGCAGGTGGAGGTTGCAGTGAGCCGACATCATGCCACTGCACTCCAGCCTGGGCGACAGAGCGAGACTCCATCTCAAAAAAAAAAAAAAAAAAAAAAAATCTCAGATTTCTAGTCCTATTAAAATGTCAAAGAAAAAGTCTTGCCCTACTGGTCCCAGTTGCCATTCTGCCATATTGGCTGGACCTGAGGACTAGATGTCTCCTCTAGTCTAGGTGAGCTGCCTCCAGTCTGCCCCAGTTACCACCACCTTCTATTTTGATGACCCGGTTCACATTTTCCCAGTACCTCCCAGGGCTTTGTGGGGATTTTTTAGTTTATGACTAATGTTCTAGCTCATTGCACCAAAAACAGTTGCTTTAGACATACCCTTGCACAACAATAAAAGTCTATCCAAAATTATTTGTCTTTCAAATCATTTTAATGAGGAAAAGACTAATGAAATGTGATTTGCATAATCAGCTATGAATACAGTATGCAAAAGGGTGAATATTGCTGCTGCTCAGAACATATCAGCGGAGCTGTTCCATTTAGAATAGGAAATTGTGCTCTGCTGGCCAGAATTAGAGAACCAGGCTGGGCGGGCATTGGACTAAAGTACTGATCAGGCGCAAACCCACCATCGTGAAGAGCTCAACCCACAGAGGCAAGATAAGGAAGGCACTGCATTTTCATCTAATAGCCCTGTAATTGGCTGATCTCCATCTGACTCCTATGAACAGGGCAGGCGTCTTTTACACCTGGACTGGCTACAAACATGGAAATGAGTGGCTGTGGATAGTGATTACTTAATGAGGAGGAGTGTTAGGCATGTGGTGGAAAATCACTTCTGCTGCAGCATAAAGGAAATGGGTGGGCATTTTGGGAGGCGTGGAGGGAAGAGGGCCGTAGTGGAGCTTCTGGCCCATCTGATCCTTTCCTGGAATTGCTGACCTCATCAACAGTTTCCATTCACAGCTATGTTCTATTTAGCGCAGAGTTTTCTACCTAAGGCACAATTGATGTTTCCAGCCAAATCATGCTTCTTTGCAAGGCGGGGGGAGTGGGGCTATCCTGTGCGAGGCAGGATTTATTTTATTTTTTTATTTTTTATTTTATTTTTTTGAGACGGAGTCTCACTGTCACCCAGGCTGGAGTGCAGTGGCGCGATCTCGGCTCACTGCATGCTCTGCCTCCCGGGTTCAAGCAATTCTCCTGCCTCAGCCTCCCGAGTAGCTGGAGTTACAGGCACCTGCCACCATGGCCAGCTAATTTTTTTTTTTTTTTTTTTTTTTTTTTTTGTATTTTTAGTAGAGACAGGGTTTCTCCATGTTGACTGGGCTGCTCTCAAACTCTTGACCTCAGGTGATCCACCCACCTTGGCCTCCCAAAGTGCTGGGATTTACAGGTGTGAGCCACTGCACCCGGCCGCAAGGCTGGATTTCAGCAGCATCCTTGGCCTCTATCCACTAGGTGCCAGTAGCATCTGCTTCCCGGTTGTGACAGCCACACATATCTCCAGATGTTCTGTGGGAGGCAAAATTGCCTGCAGTAGTGAACTACTGATTTTAGCCTATGCAGTGTTTAATTATTTTTTCATATTAGTAGACTTCCTTTAAAAATTAAGAGATACCACTTTAAAATCCTGATTTCCAGCCTCTAAGTTTGAATGAGTTGGCAATATTGAGTTCAGCTCATTCTCTCTGCATCTTGGCCTATTACCCCTCTAACCTCATCTCCTGTACCCCTTCCCCTGCTAACTCCTAGCCTTCAGTCACACTAGTTCCTCTCCAAGTGTGGTGCAACCCCAGGGGCCTTTGCACCTGCTGTTCCATCTGCAGAGAAAGTTATTCCCAGATATTTGCATGGATTGCTCCTCTCTTCCTTCAAGTCTTCACCCAAGTAGCATCTTCTTGGTAGGGACTTCTCTGGTCACTCCACCTACAACCTCAACACCTCTCTCCACAAAATTTCCTGTTCCCATTCCCAATTCTTTTTTTTTCTCATAGCAGGCTGTATAACCATCTTGTCTTTACTGAAGATTTTGATGTTTTGTCCATTGTGGATATTTTTGCATTGTGTTTTAAAAATTGCATTAAAAATTGCATTAAAGTTGTAAATTGCATTAAATTATTTATCCTAATTACTCCAGTTTTTTGCACTGCCTTAAATTTTGCACCCAGTCAGTGCCTCATGTGTATCACCCTAGACCTGGCCCCATTATGTATGTTTACTTCTCTTGCTTGTTATTTCTCTACGTCTAGCACGATATAAGACTCTTGAGGACAAGGATATTTTTTAAATCTCCTTTGTATACTGCATTCTTCCTAGCACCTAGGTTAGTGTCTGGTATATAGTATGCATGGAATAAGTACTTGATGAATGAAATTTCTGCACAGCAATATTTGACAAAAGCTAACCCTCAGCATCCTGACTTTATTCCCAAATTCTTTCATTCATTCATTTTACAAACAGAAGACACTTCTTATATGCCAGGCCCTGTGCCAGGTTCCAGGAAGGAAGAGGTGAGTTCCTTCTGCTCTGAAGCTTCGAGTTGGATACAGCCAATTATAATGCAGAGAAATTAAGTATCTTGATGTGGAGAAACAGAAGGGCTGCCCAGAGCAGGGGATCCTAACCCAGTCTCAGGCAGGGGTATCAGCTTGCTGGACCTGCCATTAAAATAGCACAGACTGTGTGGCTTAAAGAGAAAATTACTTTCTCTCAGTTCTGGAGACTGAAAGTCCAAGGTCAAGGTGTCTGCAGGTTGGTTGTTTCTGGGGTCTCTCTCCTTGGCTTGCACATGGCTGTTTTCTTGCTGTGTCCCCTACGGACTTTCCTCTATGCACATGCACCCCTGGTGTCTCTCTTCTTATAAGGACAACAGTCATATTGGATTAGGGCCCATGCTAATGACCCCATTTTAACTTGCCTCATTAAAGACTAACTCCAAATGTAGTCACATTCTGAGATATTGGGGATTAGGACCTTAATATATGAATTTCGGGGAGACACTATTTTGCCGATAGCAGTGGGGTTAGATATCACAGAAGGCTTCCATGAGAAATACACACTCAACTTCAATGGAACAAAAGCTTTTCCCATCAATCAAAGGAGACGCAGTCCATATTCACAAAATCATCTATTCTGCAAATGTCTATTGAGGATCCATTAGCTGCAAATCACTCTTCTAAGCCCTAGGCATACAGCAGTGAGCAGCAGACAGAGGCAAGCATAAAAAATAACCGATTCCAAAATTGCCATTTAGTTACTATTATGATAAGTTCTCTGAAGAAAACATAAGCAATGTGGAAAGGGGTTCAGTTCATTTCCTCTCAAAAGAATTGAGAATGGGGGAACCAACCTTTAGATTGGAAATCAGTGAGACTTTCCTGAAGAGGTGACGTTTAAGCCATATAAAAAGAGTTGGCTAGGCAAATAATAGGAAGGAGAAATGGCATTCCAGGCATAGCTACAGCCCATGCTAAGCTCCTGGGGTGGGAATCAACAAGAAGTTAAAAGCAAGTCAGTAGAGCTGGATCACAGAGTACAAGCTGAGATGGAGACGCGATGGAAATGGAAAGGCAGAGGACAGATCACATGTGACCCTGGGAATACGTCCAACGCCCTCAACTTCATCCATGGAGAGTAAGAATGGAAACCATCTATTAATGCCTCACTCTCTGCCTGGACACTGAGAACAAAAACAGCACCTTCTTAGGCCGGTCGCGGTGGCTCACGCCTGTAATCCCAGCACTTTGGGAGGCCCAGGCAGGCGGATCACAAGGTCAGGAGATCGAGACCATCCTGGCTAACACGGTGAAACCCCATCTCTACTAAAAACACAAAAAAATTAGCTGGGCGTGGTGGCGGGCACCTGTAGTCCCAGCTACTTGGGAAGCTGAGGCAGGAGAATGGCATGAACCCAGGAGGAAGAGCTTGCAGTGAGCCAAGATCGCGCCACTGCCCTCCAGCCTGGGCAACAAAGTGAGACTCCGTCTCAAAAAAAAGAAAAAAAAAACAGCACTTTTCTGTCCACATGAACATGACTTCGTGCTATTCCTCTGTCTTCATTAGCACGACTTTCTTTTTCCATCAGTCATCTGCCAGGTAGAGGAATTGGTGTTCATTTTAAGAATCTGCAAAAGATCAGCTCCTCCATGGAATACATCAATAATTGATACTCTAAACATCTTTAATCCCTTTTTTCAAAATCTACGTCTTGGTGTGTGCACCAATCCTGGGTTGTTACGACAAGCTCTCTACCTGATCCTTCATCAAGCCCCCACTTTGGAAGACCCTGTCTTCCGTTGAGCTTCCGATTCTCATTAAATTCTCACCCTGGCCGGGCGCGGTGGCTCACGCCTGTAATCCCAGCACTCTGGGAGGCCAAGGCAGGCAGATCACAAGGTCAGGAGATCGAGACCATCCTGGCTAACACAGTGAAACCCCGTCTCTACTAAAAAATACAAAAAATTAGCCAGGCATGGTGGCGGGCGTCTGTAGTCCCAGCTGCTCCGGAGACTGAGGCAGGAGAATGGCGTGAACCCGGGAGGCGGAGCTTGCAGTGAGCCGAGATTGTGCCACTGCACTCCAGCCTGGGCAACACAGCGAGACTCCGTCCCCCCCAAAAAAAAAAAAATCTGACCTTACCATCCCTACTGAGGCATGAGGTGGTGTCCTTTTTTTTACTGCAGTAAGCAATAAACTCATAGCTTTATCTTATAAACAGGTTGTGTTGTGATATTAGGGGATGCTTGGGACTGGAGCCACAGAAGGAATTTGAACAGGAGACTGATAAACACATATAAGAAGTCAGATACGGAGTGAAGTCCAGAGAACATCTAGAGATACAACCCTGCTTGCAAGTAGCGTTGGTTTTTTACAGTCATTACCTTCTAGCTCTCTAGACAATTGGAAAAAAGCACACAGAGCCAGCGGAGGGATGAAAGAAACAAAAACCACACAGGAAGCTGCCGTAAGGGGAAGGAAACCCATGAACAATACCCACATTCCCATTTTCATTTCTCTCCAGCAGGAGCCAGGCTCTAAATTCTTTAAAGATGTTTTTAAGTTGCTATCTTAACACATACACTGGAGATTGCACAGGTTTTAGTTTTGTCTTTAATCAAGTAAAATTACACCATAATTTTGTTTAGTCATTAAGATGTTCTATAGTAAATCTTGTCAACAAGAGCCATTTTAAACGGTTTTAATCAGTCTTAGTGGATCTTGAACAAGGTAGAGTTACGATATTTGCAACAAGGCAAGTGAGGCGTGAGATGCCCAAGACAGGCAGACCAAGCTTCCTGCTTCTGTTACGCTGCAAGCAGTTTCCGCTCTGCTGGCTTTTCCTGCCTTTCAGACTTGCCAGGTTTCACATCCATCACCGTGTCAAACTTAGCTTGTACATAAAGTTGTTTCAGGGGTCTTAACATGTACGTGTCTGGGCCAGGCACGGTGGCTCACGCTTGTAATCCCAGCACTTCAGGAGGCCAAGGAGAGCAGATCACAAGGTCAGGAGTTTGAGACTAGCCTGACCAACATGGTGAAACCCCATCTCTACTAAAAATACAAAAATTAGCCGGGCTTGGTGGCACATGCCTGTGATCCCAGCTACTCAGGAGGCTGAGGCAAGAGAATTGCTTGAACCCGGGAGGCAGAGGTTAGAGGTTGCAGTGAGCTGAGATCACACCATTGCACTCCAGCCTAGGTGACAGAATGAGGCTCTGTCTCCAAAAAAAAAAAAAAAAAAACAAAAAGTACATATCTGTGTATGGATGGGAAGATGAAGACAGGACTCTGTGAATGGATGGTATTACCGCCATAGTAGGCAGTTGCTTTTTTTTGGATTTTATTTAAGACAGGGTCTCTCTGTTGCCAAGTCTGGAGTGCAGTGGCTCAACCCTGGCCCAATGCAGCTGTGAACTCCTGGGCTCAAGTGATCCTCCTACCTTAGCCTCCTAAGTAATAGGGATCACAGGCGTGAGCCACCGCACCTAATTTTTAATTTTTTGTACAGACAGGGTCTCATTATGCTGCCCAGGCTAGTCTCGAACTCCTGGCCTCAAGGGATCCTTCAATCTCAGCCTCCCAAAGTGCTAGGACCACAAGTGTGAACCACTGAACCCAGTCTCGATTTAATTTGTAAAAAAATCATGCCCTAAATGTCTTTGTCCTTCAGAAGAGGCTACAGTTCAAGGAAACCTTTTCAAGATGAAAGACTACTGAGAAGAGGATAGCCCAGAATGCATTGCCGGAGGTAAAACGTGAAGGTTTTCCTTAGATTGAACCCAGCCCAGCCTTCTCTCTTGAATTTTACAACTTCAGACGTCCGTTCACATTTGTATCTGTTGCCAGCAAATAACAGAAATCCCAGCTCAAACGGTTTAAAATGATAAGGAAAGTGTTTATCCAATTGTCACCAGAATCTTCAAATGAACACATCTAGGTAAGTCCCCCAGAGAGAGCCTGTATCATGTACAGTGGTAGAGAGGGTGGATTCTGGCAGTCTGTCTGGATTTGATATCCTGGCTCTGTCTCTTGTTAATTGTGGAGACTTGGAAAAACATGTTAGCCCCTTTGGCGCCTCCATCTGTAAAATAAGGATAATGCTGGTCCCTCCTTCATAAGATCGCTGTAAGGATTATATGAGCGGATGGTTGAAACCTGCTTAGAATGGTGCCCAGTGCACATAGTGAGTTCCACAGGTGTTTGATTTGCCTCAACCTCCAGAGTAGCTGGGATTCTAGGCGTGCACCACCACAACTGGCTAATTTTTTGTATTTTTAGTACAGGTGGGGTTTTGCTATGTTGGCCAGGCTAGTCTTGAACTGCTGACCTCAAATGATCTGCCTGCCTCGGCCTTCCAAAGTGCTGGGATTACAGGTGTGAGCCACTGTGCCCGGCTAGTGTTTGAGTCTTATTTACCGTTTTAAAGCCCCTCTACACCCAAACCTGGTCTTCCTCCTGAATTTCCCATCCCAGCAAACTGATCATTCTCTATCCAAGACCTGAGACCAAGCTGGGCTACATCCCCCAGTGCCCTGTACTTCTTTCCTATAATATTTATGACAATGCCAATTTAAAATAATTATTTGGATATCATTAGTTTAATGTCTGTCTGCCTCTTCCACTTGACTCTAAGCTCTAAGGCCACTGAGATTTTGTGTAGTTTTCTTCAATGACTGGCACACAGCATTGAATGAATGAATGGATACATGAAAGAGCTCTATTAGAAATTTTAAAGAAGTTACAAAAATTGAAATCCATGATGATATGAAAGAAAAATAATTGTGCTGCTTGGCTTGATGACATAGCAGAAGAAGGTAAAGAAGGATTGTGTGGGCAGCTAGGAATACCTTTGTCTAGGCTGCCTGACTTTTTCTTTAGGATGGTGTGAAAACTGCCTAAAAATGTAATTTGGAGCTGTGGGCTGTATTCTAGGAATTTTTTTTTTTTTTTTTTTTTTTGAGACAGAGTCACTCTGTGGCCCAGGCTGGAGTGCAGTGGTGCCATCTTGGCTCACTGCAACCTCCGCCAAGTGATTCTCCTGCCTCAGCCTCCCAACTAGCTGGCACTACAGGCGCCCGCCACCACACCTGGCTAATTTTTCTATTTTTAGTAGAGACGGGGTTTTGCCATATTGGCCAGGCTGGTCTTGAACTCCTGACTTCAGGTGATTCACCTGCCTCAGCCTTCCAAAGTGCTGGGATTATAGCTGGGAGCCACTGTACCCGGCTGGTACTAGGTATTTCTACCTATCTTCCAGGGAGATTTTAAAGATGGGAAATTGGCTGTTTCCAAGAAGAGAAAGGTTTCCTAGACAAAGTTGCTCAAACATTTCTGAGTCTTCAAGCACCCAACTTTCTCAAGCCCAGGCTCCGATCTCCAGCTACCTTTTGGGTATCCAACTGGATGTTCTTCAGCTCCTCAAACAAATCAAGACAAAAATTGAGCTTATTGGTTTCTCCCCTAAACCTCTTCTTGTGTTTATGCCATTAACATCCACCTAGTCACTTGGCCCTAAACAAGGAAGTCATCCTTGGTTCCTCCCTCTTTCTCAACCTCTTCTTGCAGAGGTGATATTAGATTGGAAGCAGTAACTAGAGCTCTTCATAAAATATCTAGATGGGAGGTAGGGGCAGTTTGCCCCAAAGAGAGGGCCCCCTGTATGGGTTCCCTTCTCTGCCAGACAGAAAACCCAGTGCTCATGGGCAGGGATCTGATCCTGTGCTCCAAACCTGGTCATCCTTCTGGGTTTCCTGTTGCAGAAAATGGCATCACTCTACCCAGACACCGAGACCAGACTGGGCTATATGTCTCAGTGCCCTGTACTTCTTTCTTATAATATTTATGCCAAACATGGCCAGGCACAGTGGCTCACGCCTGTAATCCCAGCATTTTGGGAGGCCGAGGTGGGTGGATCACTTGAGGTCAGGAGTTCAAGACCAGCCTGGCCAACATAATGAAACCTCGTTTCTACTAAAAATACAGAAATTAGCCAGGCGTGATGGTGGGTGCCTGTAATCCCAGCTACTCAGGAGGCTGAGGTAGGAGAATCACTTGAACCCTGCAGGCAGAGGTTGCAGTGAGCCTAGATCATGCTACTGCATTCCAGCCTGGGTGACAGAGCGAGACTCCATCTCTCAAAAAATAAGTAATAGTGTTTATGCCAAATGCAATTTTAAATAATTATTTGGATATCATTACTTTAATGTCTATCTTCCTCTCCCATTTTACTCTAAAGCTCTGAGACCACTGAGATTTTATGTAGCTTGTATGAGGGCTCCTTGTATGAGATGCTTTCTCTGCCAGACAGAACACCCTACACTCATGGGCAGAGATCCAGGAAAGAGAACAGCATCATGAAAACAGGCACAGCACTGAAGATATCCTGGCTCAATTAAGATCCTTTCCATTTGCTTATGGAAATTGAAAGACATTCCAGTTCTGGATTGTATTTCCTTCTCTCCTGGAACAGGCTACACAAAGACGCCCTCATGATCGACTTTTCTCTGTCACATCTTCCGCTGCATCCCAGGGTGGTCCGGGTGATCCAACTTGTAAAAACACTGATCCACACCCACATCATTAATGCACATGCCATGAGGGCAGAAAGGGGCCAGTTTATCTGTGTGGAAGACCAAAGCCTCCAGCATTCAGGAATCTGAGGAGATTCAGGGAGCCCCTTATGTTGTGCCGAGCACACAATTGTGGGATGAAGACCCATCTTTTAGCCACGGCTCATCAATTCTGAGCTTCTGAGACACAGAAGCACTACTTCCTTGTCTCTCTTTGACTCTAGCCCCTTTTGCTTTGGCTACAGTGAGCTTTCTCTCACTTCCCCTAGCATGCTGTACTCATCTCCAGCCCGGGGCTTTACACCATGTTTCTTCTACCTGGAATGTTCACCTGGTTAGGGCCACTCTCCCTGCAGATCTCAGCTCTAACATTACTTCCTCCTGAGGCTTCACTGACCTTTCCAACAAGCTCTAGTCCCCTCCCATGTGCTTTCAAAGGCTTATGTACCTCAGGTGTCAGTTTAAATGTATTTGTGTGATTATTTTACTGATGCCTCTCTCCCACACTAGACTCCAAGTTTCTTGGGACAGGGAACTTATTAATGTATCCCAGACTCTAACATAGCATCTGGCACATAGAGGCACCCCTTACATTTTTTGTTTAATGAATGAATTATTTAATGACAGGCAATTCACTAAGCACTGGACACCCCCAGATGAATCAGATACACAAAATCTTTTCTCAGGAAGCTCACAAACCAGTCAAGGCAATGACAGAAACAAAAAGCTACAACAGTGCCATTAGAGCTTACAGGCAAGAGGAGGGGATTTCTCATTTTTTTTTTCATAGAGGGAATTGGAAAAAGAACAGCAGATGAGCTGAATCTTGATGGATAATGAGGAAGAGAGAATGACCCAGAAGATTAAGAAAAGATACAAGGATGGGAAGATGCTGAAAGTTAAAAATCAAGGGAACGTAACTAGGCATGGTGGCTGGCACCTGTAATCCCAGCACTCTGGGAGGCTGAGGTGGGTGGATCACCTGAGGTCAGGAGTTCAAGACCAGCCTGACCAACATGCTGAAACCCTATATCTACTAAAAAATATATATATATATATATATATATATATACACGTGTATATATATATATATGTACACATATATATACGTGTGTGTGTGTGTGTATATATATATATATATACACACACACGTGTATATATATATATATATATATATATATAAGCTAGGCATGGTGGCAGGTGCCTCTAATCCCAGCTACTCAGGAGGCTGAGGCAGGAGAATCACTTGAATCCAGGAGGTGGAGGTTGCAGTGAGCCGAGATCGCACCATTGCACTCCAGCCTTGGTGACAGAGCAAGAGACTCTGTCTTAAAATAAAATAAAAAATAAAATAAAAATCAAGGGAAAGTTTTCATGTGCTGTCAACAGTCATCCTGGCCACCCTGAATGTTCCCAAGGGGACTGGATATGGAAGGTTTGCAGGAAAACATCAAAGCACCATTTTATCAACAGCTTGACCTGGTGACCCCAGTGCAGAGCTCTGACATGGCTCAGTTGGAGCTTACTGCAAGGGTCTGGAGGCCCCACCTCAGCCCAAATCCTGCACTTGGATCCCCACTACCTTCTATGCGGCTGCAAGATGCCCTCACACTCAATGATCTTCACGCTCAGGCTTTTCGTGGCCAGGGTACAATAAGGACCTTAGTTTGGGAGCTGGCCAGATGGTGTAGGAGAAAAACCAGAGAGGGAGGGGAATGAAAAGGGTTAGGTCTGAGCTTTTTATGAACATCACTGAAACTGACCCAATAGTCAACTAGTTTTTTTTGGATAAACACAGAAATTGATCCTTCTGTTCTTAAAGCTTGAAACTTACATTTGTTGTTTTCTGAGACAGGGTCTCACTCTGTCACCCAGGCTGGAGTGCGGTGGCGCAATCTCAGCTCACTGCAACCTCTGCCTCCCAGGTTCAAGCGAGAGGTGGGATTTGCCATGTTGGCCAGGCTGGTATCAAACTCCTGACCTCAGGTGATCCACCCACCTTGGCCTCCCAAAGTGCTGAGATTACTGGCATGAGCCACCAGGCCCCACTCTTACATTTCTTTTATCTGAGTTTCTTCCTCAGGAAAAGACCTTCAGGCCTCTTTTTAAAAAACTATTAAAGAACTGAAACTCACCAGATCACCACATTCAGACAGCAAAATGTGGGATCCCTCATTCATGAGATTGCTTCCTTGCCCCTCACTATAACTGCTTTTTCACACATTGTTACATTTCTTCCCTGCTATATAAACCCCTTAGTTTTCATTGGTCAGGGAGATGGGTTTGAGAATGAGTTCCCATCTCCTTGGCACTGGATCAAAGCTTTCGTCCTTAGCAATACTGGTCATCTCAGTGATGGGCTTTCTGTGTGGTGAGCAACAGGACCCAGACCAAACCCCCAGTTTTTCAGTAGCATCGCCACCCACTGGTAAACAATGTCTCAAACAAACCTAGCTGGCATTCCATTCCCTCCAAAAGCAGTGAAGAAAGGAATAGGTAGAGAGGGTAAGAGAAGGCAGATAGGTATAGGAAGACAAGAAGAGAAAGGTACTATTCCCTCCATCCCTGACATAGGGGAAATAATGGGGCATGGAGTTAATCTGTTTCTTCTGCCTGATGCAACTTTCCCTTTTGACTTAACTTTTTTGAGACGGAGTCTAGCTTTGTCCTCCAGGCTGGAGTGCAGTGGTGGGATCTTGGCTCACTGTAATCTCCACCTCCCAGGTTCAAGCGATTCTTGTGCCTCAGCCTCTTGAGTAGCTGGGATTACAGAAACCCACCACCACACCCAGCTAATTTTTGTATTTTTAGTAGAGACAGGGTTTCACCAAGTTGGCCAGGCTGGTCTTGAACTTCTGACCTCAGGTGATCTGCCCCCCTCAGCCTCCCAAAGTGCTAGGATTACAGGTGTGAGGCACCACACCCAGCCAATTAACTCTTATTCAAACCTCAAAAGCAAGCACAGGCCAGGTATAATTTGAAGTAGCTCATCAGACCTCTGTGAGGGTCTTCTTACTAAAGACTGTCTCCTCCCAGGGCTTATATCCTGAGGTTTCTGGGCTAAGACAAAGAGCTGTTGCCCTTTACTTCTCCTTTGCACATGGGTACAGGCAGCACTTCATTATATTGAAGAAAATATAGCACCCAGGGTGAGACTTGGAGCTGGCCCATTTCAAACTGTAGCAGTTTTTATTATTTTGATTTTAGATTCAGGGGGTACACGTACAAGTTTGTTACATGGGTATATTGTGCAAGGCTGAGGTTTGGGCCTCTATTAATCCCATCACCCAGATAGTGAACATAGTACCTAATAAGTTTCTCAGCCTTTGCCCCCCTCTTTTCCTCCTTTTGGAGTCACCAGTGTCTATTCTCATTTTTATTTCTGTGGGTACCCAAGATTTAGCTCCCACTTATAAGTCAGAACATGCAGTATTTTGTGTTTTCCGTTTGTGTTATTTCATTCAGGAGAATGGCCTCCAGCTGTATTTATGTTGCTGCAAAGAATATGATTTTGTTCTTTTTCATGGCTGCATAGTATTCCATGATGTATATGTACCACATTTTCTTTATCCAGTCTACCATTGATGGGCACCTGGGTTGATTCCTGCCTTTGGTATTGTGAATACTGCAGCAGCAGATTGTATACAATCAGTCTGCAGGCCCCTCTGTCCTGCCTATTTCTGCCTCAAACTCACTGGCCCTTCAACACTGAAACCCACTATACAAGTTAGGGTCTCGAAGCTGGTTAGTTTCCTATGCAGCCCAGATTCAGCCCTTTTTCTTACTCCTCCCCCAACCTGCTAGTCCACCCTTGTCCTTTGTTCAAGCTTATGTTTGCTTGTTTCCCCATCTTTAGCCATAACCATGCTTTCAGCATCTTTGACACAAGGAGTTGAGCCTTATTTATCTGTATATTATCTCCCATGGCATGAAACTGTTTCCAAATCATTATTTTGCACAATGTAGTGAAGCCCTAATTCTGCTAAAGTTGAGGGACCTTGGGAAAGTTGCTTAACCTGAGATTTCATTGTCTGGCCTCTCTAAAGGGATGATAATGGTCTCATCTCATAGGGCCATTGTAAGAATGAAATGCATTATATGTGCAAAGGCCTAGCTTATGGTTAAAGCACAAAAAGTATTAGCTATTATTAGGCACTCAATCCATGTGTTTATCAAATGAAATAATTAGCAGATCTCCCTTTTTTGAGCTCTGTTTGGCAGCAAATGGATAATGAGTAAATGTTGAGGCTAGGATGGGGAAGGAGAGGGGAAGGCAGAGAGAAGCCCCCAGGTTTCCTTTACCCTAGCCTATTAAGAAAACCTGTCGACTTAGGTTTGGGATTTAGAATAACAGCAGTGAGCAGAAAGATAAACGGGGATATGTCAGTCTTCTCTGAAATCTAGGGCATTAGCTCATTTCCTCTTTAAAATAAAATAGGTCAGCTAAGTGAAATTGTATGCTCAAAGATATGCTGTGTGTATATCTAAGTGTGAATGCATGAGAGAAAAAGCAAGAGATCTAGCCAGGAAGCTTAGAAGGGGAGGGCGCCCTGTACCTGCATCCTTATAACAAGGGTCTCCTTGTTGGATTTCACACTATTCATATCTCCTCACATGGGAATTACAGCCATTCAGCAGGTGAATCGTCTGCTATGGTTTTCTTCTCTCCCCACCGCCACCCCCAGTAGAGCATCCTGGTTGAGAAATAGAGTCAGAAATCTGGCTTCACACCCCAGTTCTGTCACTCACTGGGTGATATTAAACAAGTTACCATAATGTTTGAGCCTCAAGATCTTCATCTGAACAACAGAGTTAGTATTCCTCACACTGGTTGGCAGGTTTTTTTTTTTTTTTTTTTTTTTGGAGACAGAGTCTCCCTCTGTTGCCCAGGCTGGAGTACAGTGGCGCCATCTTGGCTCACTGCAACCTCCACCTCCGGGATTCAGGCGATTCTCCTGCCTCAGCTCCCAAGTAGCTGGGATTACAGGCGCGTGCCATCACGCCCGCCTAATTTCTGTATTTTTAGTAGAGACGGGGTTTTCACCATGTTGGCCAGGCTGGTCTTGAACTCCCGACCTCAGGTGATCTGCCCGCCTCGGCCTCCCAACGTGCTGGGATTACAGGCGCGAGCCACCGCGCCTGGCCGGCATTTGTATTAAGTGACTTCACACATATAAACTGATGTGCACTCAGGAGGTGTTAAAAATAAAACGGCGACTGCTGGTAGCCGCGGCAGTAAGAGCAGTAACCATCACGGTAGTGGTAGTAATACCAAAAGTAGTGGTGGCAATAATAGTAATAGTAGCAGCAGCAGCAGCAATACTAAAGGTAGTAATAGTAGTAACGTAGCGGCAGTCAGAGTAATAAAATAGAAGCAGCAGCAACAGTAGTTATCATGGTAGTAATGGAGATAGTAGTACGAAGGGTTACTGGATCGAGTTGTCCAGGTTCTTGGCGTATTGAACAACACAGACAGTAACAAAAGAACGAAGCAATGGAGGACAACGCAGCAGAATGGAGTGATGAAAGCACAGATTTATTGAAGACAGCTCACAGAGTGGGAGGGGGCTTGAGCAAGCGGCTCAAGAGCCTCCTTAGAGTTTTCATGAAGCCAGAGCCCAGCAACACCCCTCGGTCCCTTTAGAGGCCTCCAGTTGG
Source organism: Homo sapiens (assembly GCF_000001405.40). Taxonomy (NCBI): domain Eukaryota; kingdom Metazoa; phylum Chordata; class Mammalia; order Primates; family Hominidae; genus Homo; species Homo sapiens. The sequence goes on along the minus strand of NT_187607.1, from coordinate 2,644,721 downwards.
CTACACCCCATGAAGGCTTGGCCTGCCACCAATCAGAGGCTGAAGTGGAGACCTGGCCCGCAGTCAATCAGGGCCTGAAGTAGCTTGTATTCCAACAGCCTTAGCAACCGCTTGAGTTATTTGGGAGATAAAAGATGGGCTGTTATTACTTTGGAGACTTTGTGGTGGAGGCTTTGGGGTAATCCAAACCAGGAGATGATTTCCTTCAAGAGAACCTTTATAACCTTCTTAGCCTTCTCTGTTCTGTTAGGGTAGGCTTCAACCAAGCCAGCAAAGGCGTCTATTGGTACTAGCGAAAACTCGTCTGAATATTGTTTCCCATAGTGATCTGGCCTAAGGAGGGCCTATCTGTTGCTGATGCCTCTGACCCTAGGGGGTCAGGCATCTCTGAGGATGTTTTTCCTCCATAGGCAATGGAATGGTCTATGATTCCCTTGGTCAACGGATGCAACGCTCAGCTCTTTGCGTCTCACCAAGTGAAATAAGCTTCTTCGGCCTGAAACTCATGAAACAAGCAATCTTGCAATGTACTGTGAAATTATTATGGGGTTTATCCCTACAAACAATGGAAAATTCCACGCTCTTATGCATAAAGAATTCATACATGAAATGAGAGTCCCTCGCCCCACTCAGAGAAGAGGAATATTAAAAAGTCCCAAAATATTGTCTTACCTCCTGACTGGTTCGCCAAAATATGTTATCAGAAGGTCCTAATCGTGAGTTGTCCAGGTTCTTGGCGTATTGGACAAGGAATTGAACAAAATGCCACACGATGGGCAGAGATATTGAACACAACTCACAGAGAGCAGGCTCGAACAAGCAACTCAAGTGCCTGCTTACTGCAATCCTCCCAAGAGTTTTTATAAAGCCAAAAGAACTTGGCAACACCCCTAGGTGCCTTTTAGAGGTCTCCAGTTGGTTACACCCTTTGAAGGACTGGCCCGTGACCAATGGGAAGCTGAAGTGGCTTGTTATCATGGGAGCAAGGATGTGGCCTATGTGCTGCACCTGCTGTTTTTTTGCTTATGCAAACTGGCTGGACCTGCTGTTCTTTTGCTTATGTGAACTGGCTGCACCTGCTGAACCTCCGTTACCCTAATTCCCTGTTCTCCCACCACAGAGTAATATTTTTTACTCTCTTCTAGTTTATCCTCTCGCTCATAAGTTTCTACCACCTGAGACCATCTTAGGAACCCCTGATGATCTCCTAAGTAATTCAGTGCACAACAGGGACCTAGTTAAAATGTGTGATCTTCCCAGAAGTGTTTGAACCTGAGCGACTCCATCTTGAATAGGCGCTGGGTAAAACAAGGCTGAGACCTACTGGATTACATTCCCAGGAGGTTAGGCATTCTTAGCCACAGGACGAGATAGGTCGGCAGGACTGGTATCACAAGATACAGGTCATAAAGACCCTGCTGATAAAACAAGATCCAATAAAGAAGCTGGCCAAAACCCACCAAAACCAAGATGGCAACAAAAGTGACCTCAGGTCATCCTCGTTGCTCATTACACACTAATTAGAATGCATTTGCATGCTAAAAGACACTCCCACCAGTCTCATGGCAGTTTACAAAAGCCATGCAATGTCTAGAAGTTACCCTATGTCGTCTAAAAAGGGAGGAAACCTCACTTCCATGAATTTCCTGTCCCTTTCCTGCAAAACTCATGAATAATCCACCCCTTGTTTAGTATATAATCAAGAAATTACCATTCGTATACTCAGTTGAATAGCCCACGTCACTATTCTGCCTATGCAGTAGCCATTCTCTTGGTTCTTTAATTACTTACTTACTTTTTTTTTTTTTGAGACAGAGTTTCACTTTTGTTGCCCAGGCTGGGGTGCGATGGTGCGATCCCGGCTCACCGCAACCTCTGCCTCCCGGGTTCAAGCAATTCTCCTGCCTCAGCCTCCTGAGTAGCTGGGATTACAAACACCTGCCACCATGCTTGGCTAATTTTAGTATTTTTAGTAGAGACAGGGTTTCACCATGTTGACCAGGCTGGTCTCGAACTCCTGACCTCAAGTGATCCACCCTCCTCAGTCTCCCAAAATGCTGGGATTACAGGTGTGAGCCACCGCTCCCAACCTGTTCTATACTTTCTTAATAAAATTTCTTTCACTTCACTCTATGGACTTGCCCCAAATTCCTTCTTGTGTGAGATCCAAGAACCCTTTGTCGGAATCTGGATCGGGACCCCTTTGTGGTAACAATAGAGCACCTTGTCACAACTGAGCTTCACGTTGAGGAAACAAAGGAATGTTGCTTTATTGCATGTTTGTACCTGGGTTTATCTTAAAAACAGGTTAAGGCGGGCTGTGTGCAGTGGCTCACGCCTGTACTCCCAGCACTTTGGGAGGCCAAGGCAGTTGGGTCATCTGAGGTCGGGAGTTCGAGACCAGCCTGACCAACATGGAGAAACCCCATCTCTACTAAAAGTAACAAAATTAGCCAGGCACAGTGGTGCATGCCTGTAATCCCAGCTACTCAGGAGGCTGAGGCAGGAGAATCGCTTGAGCCCAGGAGGTGGACGTTTCGGTGAAAGGGGATCGCACTATCGCACTCCAGCCTGGGCAACAAGAGCGAAACTCCGTCTCAAAACAAACAAACAAACAAACAAACAAACCAGGTTGAGTCTGGTTAAAAAATAAAAATAAAAATAAATTCTTCCATGGGCTGGTAACCTATTTGCAAGTTTGTCTTAAACACCATATTGTCGCATCATCCTCTAAAGGGTGGCAATGACCTTGGCAGTGCGTATGTGTTAGAGTAAATCAAACCCTAGAAAGGCAGGAGTGTTGAGTTCTTGAGCTTGAGATCCTCACTGGCGGGCTCTAACTCCAGCCAAGCATATCCACTCTGGCAAGATGATAAAACACTTCAAAAAATGCCCGCTGTACAACTGGGATCCCAAATCATTTTCTTTACCCACTGATTCTTTGTTCAAACTTCCAGGGAAACTAATGTGAAAAAAGGTCAGTGTTTTAAAGGGAGGAGCTTATATTTCCTGCACATTCTGTTTAAGCTGTTTGAAGACAATAAAGAGCATCAGGAGTTTTGAAGCCGTCTCCTTTCCACCAAAATTACTTTCAGTATGAAAACCACTTGTGACCTCAGACCCAAACCTCTTTGGAAGTCTCTCCTATATGTCATTGGGAGAATAGGGCTAGCAGGCGGGTTCTGGGGGCACTGCTGTCTAAACGAAGATCACAATGGTGATTTCTGGGTGTATGCAAATCTTGCCATTTGCCAACCCTGCAGAGTTGACTTTATCCCCTACAGACACCGGTGGCAAAGTGTGAGCAGATCTGGAGGCTGCAAAACGTCTTGTGTCTAAAGTCTGTGTTTGTTTTTTGTTTGTTTGTTTTTTCCTCCAACTAGAATTCACAGAGAAGTTGCTGGAAAGAATGAGCAATATAAAGTGATTTTGTAATGCCTTCATCAAGTCCAAGTTGTAAGCCAGTGCTTGGGTTCAAAGACTACTGCCTGTCTGTCTCGATCAGAAGTGGTTCTGCCAAAGGCTTCTTAATTCCCTCTGGGAGCCATCCAAACAGGATGACCCCAAATCCAGGAATGAGCACACCCGTGTCCCCAGAGTCTCTCCCCAGATCAGAGCTTACCTCCACTGGAATTCCTGTTCCTCTGACACCCTGAATCCTGAACCCAGAATGTAAAAACGGTAGGGCATGCCTATGTGTGTATGTAAATGTATTACTTTAACAAAAATGAAAAATAGACTGGTGTGGTGGCTCACAACTGTAATCCCAGCACTTTGGGAGGCCGAGGCGGGTGGATCACTTGAGGCCAGGAGTTCAAGACCAGCCTGGCCAACATGTCTCTAACAAAAAATACAAAAATTAGCCAGGCGTGTTGGCATGTGCCTGTAATCCCAGCTACTTGGGAGGCTGAGACAGAAGAATCACTTGAACCTGGGAGGCAGAGGTTACAGTGAGCCGAGATCCTGCCATTGCACTCCAGCAAGACAGAGTCTTGCTCTGTCGCCCCCCCCCCCAAAAAAAGTAATAATGTTTGTTGTCAAAAATAGAAAACGTAGAAAAATGTAAAGAACATGCAAAGTACTTAGAATGTCACAATCCTGAGATAATCACCATTCCTGTTCCTCTGAATTTCCTTACAAACTTATTATTGCATTTTTAAAGAATTGATGGTCATAAAATATTATGCTTTTCTTATTTTACATATTTCATCTAATATTATACCATAAGAACGTTGTCAAGTCATTAAAATGGTTTAAAACATGATTTTAACATCTGCATTATAGTCCATTAAATAGATTTACAATAATTTACTCAATCAGTCCCTTATGATTAGACATTTAAGTTCTGTCCAATTTTTTACTTTAATTTTTTTAAGTACCACAATGAACATTTTTGTACATAAACCTTTTTCCTCATCTCTATTTCCTTAAAAGTGAAATTACTGGATCAACAATGAGAAAAACAGAAACAATGAATGAGCAAAAAGCAGTAGAATTGTTATATGAACTTAAAAAACCCCTGCATAATTGTTATAGGTTGTTTAAACACCACATTTAAAATATCTTTCTTAAGATGTTCTCTACCCTGGGGCAAGTCACATCTGCCAACTTTTAGGCAAAATAGCTAGACTGCATTTGGAAAGGAATGCTTATTTAGACGATGACTTCTGCATTGAGAGATTACTGAAAATAGTTAACGTCATTAAATGATTTGCCCTGTGGCTTCCTCAGCCTTTTTTCTTGTAGATTACCCCCAGAGAACATCACTGTCTTGTCCACACTTAGTGACAGAGCTGAGACTAGAATCTTGTACTTCTTCCTGATTTCCAGTCTCGTGCACACCATAGTGTCACTTGATTTGAATAGATGAGTAAACACTTAACTCTTTTTTTTTCTTTTTTTTTTTTTTTTTGAGATGGAGTCTCGCTCTTTCGCCCAGGCTGGAGTGCAGTGGTGCGATCTCGGCTCACTGCAAGCTCCGCCTCCCGGGTTCACGCCATTCTCCTGCCTCAGCCTCCCGAGTAGCTGGGACTACAGGCACCCGCCACCAAGCCCGGCTAATTTTTTGTATTTTTAGTAGAGACGGGGTTTCACCGTGTTAGCCAGGATGCTCTCGATCTCCTGACCTCGTGATCCATCCGCCTCGGCCTCCGAAAGTGCTGGGATTACAGGCGTGAGCCACTGTACCTGGCCAACACTTTACTCTTTTAACGTTTCTTTTAGATTCAGGGGTACATGTGCAGTTTTGTTACATAGGTAAACTCATGTCACAGGGGATTATTGTACACATTATTTGGTCACCCAGGTACTAAGCCTGATATGCAATAGTTATTTTTTCTTATCTTCTCCCTCCCCTAACCCTTCACCCTCAAGTAGGCCTAGTGTCTATTCTTTCCCTCTGTGTGTCCTTGTGTTCTCATCATTTAGCTCCCACTTACACGTGAGAACATGTGGTATTTGGTTTTCTGTTCCCACATCACTTGCTAAGGATAATGGCCTCCAGCTCCATCCATGTTCCTGCAAAGAGCATGATCTCATTCTTTTTTATAGCTGCATAATATTCTGTGGTGGATATGTACCACATTTTCTTTATCCAGTCTACCATTGATGGGCATTTAGGTTGATTCCACGTCTTTGCTATTGTGACTACTGCTGCAATGAACATATATGTGCCTGTGTCTCTATGATAGAACCATTTCTATTACTTTGGGTATATATCCAGTAGTGGCATTTCTGGGTCAAATGGTAGTTCTGCTTTTAGCTCTTTGAGGAATTACCACACTGCTTTCCACAAGGGTTGAACTAATTTACACTCCCCCTAACAGTGTATAAGCGTTCCCTTTTCTCTGCAACCAATACTTAACTCCTTAATTATCTTGACTGGTCATTGACATTTAAAGATGAGTCAATATCAATACACATTTCACCTTCAGCCAAAGAGTTTCTGGAGACCTTGAATAAAAAGTACATGATTTTCTGAAAGGAAAAATGAGTCACTGGTGGAACAAATCTATGATTTTGTCAAATAGAAGGAAAAGAAAGAACTCAATCTTTACTTGGATTGTAGAAAATAAGGTCAATTCAAAAGATTTGAGATATGAATCCAAAAGAGAGAAAACTGTATGTTTCTTGGGTACCTTTTGTATATATAAGTGGTCTCAGATTCTTTACCTCTTCTTACTTTGCATGGTAGGTGACATTATTTTTCCCCAAATCTGTCTTGTCTCTTACGCTAAATGGACTATACTTCTCTGCCCCACTAGTATTGGTTTTGACGATGTGACTTGCTTTGGCCAATAGTATGTAGGAAAAGGTGTCAAAGTGTGGGTTAGAGTTTACAACGTAAGAGGCATCCTGTGTTTCTTCTCTTTTATTTCTTTTTTGAGATGGAGTCTTGCCTTGTCACCCAGGCTGCAGTGCAGTGGCACGATCTCAGCTCACTGCAACCTCCGCCTCCCGGGTTCAAGTGATTCTTCTGCCTCAGCCTCCCAAGTAGCTGGAACTATAGGCATGCACCACCTTACCTGGCTCATTTTTGTATTTTTAGTAGAGACGGGGTTTCACCATGTTGGCCAGGCGAGTCTCGAACTCTTGACCTCAGGTGATCCACCCTTGTCGGCCTCCCAAAGTGCTGGGATTACAGGGATGCGCCACCGCGCCCAGTCATGTTTCTGATTGCTGTTCTGGCACCACTGTCATTGCCCATGAAAGAGCACACCCCGGGTGGTACACAGGGAGTAGACCTAAACCCAATTTGCAGCCTGAAGCTGAGCTGTATTGACTAACCCACAGGCCTATGAGCAAAAATAAACAAGTAGGTAAATTTATATGACAAATATACTATTTAATTAATATTGTTGTAAACCAATGAAATTCTGAGGTTATTTGTCACACAGCATTGAGGCAGCAATAACTGACTAATACATGTTAACTGACATTTTTTTATCTGCTCACAATCTGTGCCTTAGCACCCTCCTCAAAGAGAGCTTAATCTTACACAAAGAAATGATAGCGACTTCTTAAATTATAATTAACAGACTATATGATAACCTGTTGTTGCATTTATAGTCATTCGTAGCTTAATGACAAGAATACATTCTGGAAAATGCATTATTAGGCAGTTTTGTCAATGTGTAAACATCACAGAGTATACTTACATGAGCCTGGAAGGTATAGCCTACTACATACCTAAACTATATAGTATAGCCTATTGCTCCTGGGTTGCAAACCTGTACAGCATATTACCGTACTGAATACTGCAGGCAATTGTAACACAGTGATAAGCATTTGTTTACCTAAACATAGAAAAGCTATAGTAAAAATACAGTATAAAAGATTAAAAAGGTACACCCCAACAGGGTACTTACCACGAATGGAGCCTATACCACTGGAAGTTGCTCTGGGTGAGTCAGTGAGTGAGTGGTGAGTGAATGTGAAGGCCTAGGACATTACTGTACACTACTGTAGACTTGATAAACACTGTACACTTGAGTTATACTACATTTATTTTTTAAAAAGTTATTTCTAGCTGCGCATGGTGGCTCATGCCTGTGAGCACTTTGGGAGGCTGAAGCGGGTGAATTTCTTTAGTCCCGGAGTTCGAGACCAGCCTGGCCAACATGGCAAAACCCCATCTCTACAAAAAATACAAAAATTAGCCAGGCATGGTGGTGCATGCCTGTAATCCCAGCTGCTTGGAAGGCTGAGGCAGGGGGATTGTTTGAGCCTGGGATGCAGAGGTTGCAGTGAGCTGAGATCACACCGTTGCACTCCAGCTTGGGTGACAAAGTGAGACATTGTCTCAAAAGAAAAAAAATTATTACCCCAATAACAAATTAATCTTAGCTTACTGTAACTTTTTTACTTTATAAACTAATTTTTTTAACTTTTTGACTCTTGTAATAACACCTAGCTTAAAACATAAACACATTGTACAGTTGTATAAAAATATCTCCTTATTCTATATTTTTTTTCTACTTTTAAAATGTATTTTTTTTCTCTTTTTAAACTTTTGTGTTAAAAATTAAGGCACAAAGAGAAGCATTAGCCTGGGCCTACCCTGGGTCAGGATCATCACAATCACTGCCTTCCACCTCCATATCTTGTCCCACTGGAAGGTCTTCAGGGGCAATAACAGGCATGTGTTCATCTCCATGACATGGAGACCTGCCGTCTCCTATGACAACAACGCCTTCTTCTGGAATACCTCTTGCAGCACCTACCTGAGTCTGTTTTACAGTTTTTTTTTTTTAAATACATAGGAGTATATTCTAAAATAACCATAAAAGTATAGGATGGTAAATACATAAACCAGTAACATTGTCTTTTACTATCATCAAGTACTCTGTACTGTACGTAATTGTATGTGCTAGACTTTTATAAAAGTGGCAGCAAAGTAGGTTTATTAACACTAGCATCACCACAAACACGTGAGTAATGTGTTGCATTACCATGGCTATGTATGACATCACTAGGTGATAGGAACTTTTCAGCCCCATTTTTTTTTTTCTTTTTCTTTTTGAGATGGAGTCTCAGCTCTGTTGCCCAGGCTGGAGTGCAGTGGTGCAATCTTGGCTCACTCTACAACCTCTGCTTCCCAGATTCAAGCAATTGTCCCACCTCAGCCTCTAAAGTAGCTGGGACAAGCATGTGCCCACCACCCCTGGCTAATTTTTGTATATTTAGTAGAGACAGGGTTTTGCCATTGTTGGCCAGGCTGGTCTCGAACTCCTGACCTCAAGCGATCTGCCCACCTCAGCCTCCCAAACTGCTGGGATTACAGGCTTGGCCACTACACCCGGCCTTTTCAGCCCCATTATAATCTTGTGGGACCACCGTTGTCCATGTGGTCCATCACTGACTGAAACGTTGTTATGCTGTGCATGACTGTAATTCTCACAACAGAAAATAAAGTCCAGAGAGGTAATACAATTTGTATAACATCATACATTGACTAAAAGGTAGGGCTGGGGCTTGAACTCCAGTCAAATCAATTAATAAGACACCCCCATGCACACAGAACTACAAAGAATAGTCATATAAATAGTCTAATAAAATTAAGGTGCTGAGATGTTGACAACAGATACACTCTGAAGACAACTGCCAGTTGAAATGGAAAACAAGGAGAATCACATCAATGTGGTCAGAGAATGTCACTGGATTTTCATTGGTAGTCATTTCTTACATTCCTCTGTATTTGGGGAGGAATCTGACATGTCAATGTTATTTGAAAAGCAAACCTTGCATTTCCTAGGGAAATTTTTCCCCTGTGACATCGGGTACAGCTCTGTGGCCACATAAAATGTCGCAGTACACAACTCAATATATATTTCAAACGTTAATTGTCTTCCCAGACCTTGGAATTTCTCACTGAGCTCACTCACAAGTTTTATTGAGGGCATAAAATTTATTGTGTTGACATACCCTCTGAAGTGCTGAATTCATCAAGGCCAAAGCAAGCCTGGATGACATTATGGAGACTGAGTCCAAATTTTTTTATTGGAAGTTTTGTTCTATGCTTCTTTTTTCACATCACAATCCCAATTAAGTGGCTGGAAGGAAAAAAAAAATGCCAACGCTTTTTAAAAGAAATGCAATGATCCTTTTCCAGGCACATTCACACAGAACCGTAATGAAGCTGCATTATCTATTCTAAAGAAGTCTGGGGCCCCAGCAACCAGACTAAATGATGAGAGTCTGTGTTTGAAATGTCTCGGTGTGACAATCCAGTGTCAGAGGGGCCCCTGGAGATCCTCAGATAAAAGGAGTTTGCTATGGGACTTTTTTATTTGTTTAAAGAGAAGTTCATTGTGACATGATGTCTTCAACTGATAATTGTTCAACATTTTGCTTCTCAGAGGCTTTGCTTGCAACTCACATGTCAACATGCTTGGCGAAGAGAATATCTTAAAATATAAAAGATCCCAACACAGAGAGAAAGGCCCAGCCTCCTGTGAAGGGCTTAGCAAAGAAAACAGCGAGATGAAAAAGGAACAGGATGCTTTCGGAATATATTTTAGACAGCAAGATGTCGACAACAAATACCACACAAGGGGTTACGAAAACACCAATGAAGAAATGAAGGACAGGAGTCATCCCACAGTTTTACTCCCTCATTTACTCCAACCCAAATATTTATTAAGAACTCCGAAGCCAAACTGCCTGGGTTCAAATCCTGCCTCCTCCATTTACACATGACATCACTTTGGGCAACTTAATTCTTCTCCGCCTCAGTTTCACATCTGCAAAATGACGATTATAATAATACATTTATCATAGGATTGTTCGAAAGATAAAGGAAGTCGGTGAACATACAATGCTTAACTACATGCTGGACACGGGCTTACAGTATATGAGTTATTACAAGTATGCAAGTTTCCTTGTGGATCTTACATTTTAGTGATGGAAATGATCCACTAAATGTACATTTATGACCCAGTGTGAAAAGGCCTTGGGATGCCTATTTTATCTAAGGAAGAGTATTTTTCTGGATACCATGGCCATCTGCCCCACTCAGTAGAGAGAGGCAAACCCATACAGACCCATAGATGATCATTCCAGTTTGACTGTGTAGTAGTTATCTATTGCTGTGTAGCAAATTACCCCAAAATGTAATGGTGTAAAATACAAACATTTATTATCTCACTATTTCTGTGGGTCTGAAACCTTAGGAGCAGCTTGGCTGGGTGCCTCTGGCTCAAGGCCACTTAGGCAGTTGCAGTTGTCAGGGCCGAAATTTCGCTTGAGGACACAACTTGAGAGAATTCACTTTCAAAGCCACGCAGGTGGATTTGGGCAGGCCACAGGCCTCTGTTCCTGCCACGTGGGTCTCTTCACAGACCTGCCTCATGACATGGAATCTGGCTTCACCTGGAGTGAGTGATCTAAGAGAAAGCAAGACAGGGAATACCTAAGGTAGAAGCCATGGTCATTTTATGATGTAAACGTTGAAGTGACAGCTCATCCCTTCCGCCATTTTTTTTTTTTTTTTTTTGAGGTGGAGTTTTACTCTTGTTGCCCAGGTTGGAGTGCAATGGCATGATCTTGACTCACTGCAACATCTGCCTCCTGGGTTCAAGTGATTCTCCTGCCTCATCCTCCCGAGTAGCTGGGATTACAGGCACCCACCACTACACCCAGCTAATTTTTGTATTTTTAGTAGAAACGGGGTTTCACTATGTCGGCCAGGCTGATCTCAAACTCCTGACCTCAGGTGATCCACTTGCCTCGGCCTCCCAGACTGCTGGGATTACAGACGTGAGCCACCACACCTGACCTCCCTTCTGCCATATTTCATTTGCAAGAAGTAAGCCAATAAATCCAGCCCACACTCAAGGTGTAGGGATTCCATGGAGCATGAATATCAGGATGTAGGAATTCTTGAGGGGCTCTCTTACTGTGTCTACTGTGGTCTGTTGGATCATTTCAGGCAATTTGGAAGAGATTTGGCAAAAAAGCACAGAAAGCAAGGAAGTTAAAAATTCTACTGTCCATTGTTTTTATCACAAGCCACCAAGCTAACACCAAAAAGAGGGAGAGAAGCCAGTCAGTCCATTCAAGTGTCTACTCAAATGCCATCTTTTCAAAGAAGCCTCCTTTGGCTACCTTATTAGGGTTTCCTCTCTTCCCATTGCCCATTATCTGATCTTGTTCTTGTTTTCATCCTTACATAGTATCTATTTACTTGTTTATTGTATTTTCCCACCCACTATATTGCAACCTTCACGAAGGCAGGGACCTTGTCCATCTCGAATCTCAGCACGCAACAGACATTTATCAAATGACTACCGGACTCTCTATATAAACAAGAGGCACATCTGATATACAGCCCCTAAAATGTGGTTGGAAAGACCAGGGTAGAAACAGGAAACAGTAAGAAATAAGTATTTGCCATGATTTCTGTCTTTAATTGCAATCTGGTTAGAAGACCGAAGAAGCCAGAAAGCTCTCAGTGAAGAAAACAAAGCTGATCAGGGATTCGCAGGGTTGTGGATTTGATAAAGCAGAGAGATGAGTTCTATTTAAGGGAGGAAAGAGTGACAGTAGCAGTTGGATAGGTAAGGAAGGATCAGGTTCAAGCTTAGAAAGCTAAGCAGGGCACATGCAACAAGCTGAAAGCCAATCCCAATTCCTTGCCAGTAGCCCGGCCAACTGATACACTGAGGCCATGTGTCTCCATGCACCACTCAAAAAGCTGAGCAAAAGCATTGATATTGCCAGGGTTTTTCCAAGAGTCTCCAAAATGTCCCCAAATGAGAAACACTGCCTCTCTCACAAAACTAGATATGTGTCCCTTTAGAAGAATTTGCTGCCAACTTGTCTTGTCTTTCCAGCATGAGTGAACATCTTTGAGGATCACCTAATTCCCTTTACTCTGATGTTGTGCTTACCCAGCAACCTGTTGAGGAGTGATTGACAGCCCAGGGATTTCTACAATGATCCAGCTTGAGCCAAGTGCCCATCACTGAACCAGTCTCTTGGGGCCAGGGCAATGGTGTTCCCTGATTGGCCAGCCAAAGACATGTGACTGCCCTGTTGTCATGGAGTGAGGTCAGTCACAGACACAACAAAGTCACATAATCTAGAAACTGAAGGAAGATGGTGCTCCCAATTAAAGCTGGGATGACTTTGTCCAGAGATGTTGAAGGATCCTGGGAAGATAAAAAACAGAGGTTCACATAACATCCTGAACCACCCTAAGCAAATCGCATTGCATTTCTAAGTACAGTTCTCTGTATCACAGTCCCTTAAGAGGAATTTTCACACACTCAGACTGTGTGGAAGAACAGAGATTGTTTAAACTAGATGTCAGGGAAGGAACCTCACGGTGTGTGAACCACCTAAAAAACACGCCATAAAGAAAGATAAATAGGCCAAACGTGATGGCTCACGCCTGTGATCCCAGCACTTTGGGAGACTGAGGCAGGCAGACCGCTTGAGCCTAGGCATTCAAGACCAGGCTGGGCAACATAGTGAGACCCCGTCTCTACAAAAAAAACAAAAATTAGCCAGGCGTGATGGCACGTGACTGTAATCCGAGCTATTCAGGAGGCTGAGGTAGGAGGATCACTTGAGCCTGGGAGGTCAAGGCTGTTAGTGAGCCATGATTTTACCACTGCACTCCAACCTGGGCAACAGAGGAAGACCGTGTCTCAAAAAACAAGAAAGAAAGAAAAATAGTATTATTTACTGTATCTCTCTAAAGAGTAGGCTCAGGGATACAGTAGACACTCAACAGATGTTTGTTATAAATGGCAGAAATCCATGAGAAAGAGGGACCTCTAACAGATTAAGAGATTTAGAAGCATTTATGTGCTAATGTACGTAAGTCCTCATTTCTCCTGGATAAATAATTAGAAATGAGATGGCAGGATTATATGTAGGAATATGTATCAGTTTGCTGTTGCTGCTGTAACAAATTACCACAAACTTAATGGCTTAAAACAATACAAATTTACTATGCTACAGTTGTAAAGGTCAGAAATTTGGAACTCATTTCGCTGGGCTGCAATCAAGGCATAGGCAGACCTGTATTCCTTTTGAAAGCTCTAGAGAAGACTCATTCTCTTGTCTTTTCCAGCTTCTAGAAGCCACCTGCATTCCTGGCTCATGGCCCCTTTTCCTCATCAAAGTCAACAATGTAGCATCTTCATATTTCTTTCTCTGGCCCTCCTGCCATCCTCTTATAAGAATATTTATAATTACATTGGACCACACAGATAATCCACATAATCTTCCCATCTCAAAATCTTTAACTTAATCACAACTGCAATGTCCCTTTTTGTTTGTTTGTTTGTTTTTGAGACAGGGTCTCTCTCTGTTGCCCAGGCTGGAATGCAGTGGTGCCGTCTTGGCTCACTGCAACCTCCACCTTCTGGATTCAAGCGATTTCCCCTGCCTCACCCTCCCGAGTAGCTGGGACTACAGGCACATCCCACCATGCCCGGCTAATTTTTATATTTGTAGTAGAGACGGGGTTTCACCATGTTGGCCAGGCTCGTCTCGAACTCCTGACCTCAGGTGATCCGCCCACCTCAGCTTCCCAAAGTGCTGGAATTACAGGCGTGAGCCACCGTGCCCAGCTCCTTTTTCTATGTAATATATTCACAGGTTGCAGGGATTAGCACATGCACTTCTTTGGGAGGTGGGACATTATTCTGCCTACCACAGTGTTTATTTAACTCTGAGAAACTGCCAAACTGGTCTCCAAAGTAGCTGTATCATTTTACATCCCCACCAGCAGTATATGAGAGGTCCCATTGCTCCTCATCTTTCCAATATCTGGTATGGTCAGTTTTGTTTTTTGTTTTTTTGTTTGTTTGTTTTTTGAGACAAGGTCTCACTCTGTTACCCAGGCTAGAGTGCAGTGGCACAATCTCTGCTCACTGCAGCCTCAACCTCCCAAGCTCAAGTGATCTTCCCACCTCAGCCTCCCAAGTAGCTGGGACTACAGGTGTGCACCACCGTGCTGGGCTAATCTTGTTTGCTTTTTGTAGAGACAAGGTCTCACTGTGCTGCCCAGGTTCATCTCGAATTCCTGGGCTTAAACGATCCTCCCACCTCAGCCTCCCAAAGTGCTGGGATTTGAGGCATGAACCGCTGTGCCCGACACAGCGTTTTATATTGTAGCCATTTTAATAGTGGTATCTTATTTCCGGTTTTATTTTGCATTTTCCCAAAGTAAAGATGCTAAGTATATTTTCATGTGCTTATTTGCCATCTGTATATCTTCTTCGGTGAAGTAGCTGTTTAAATCTTTTGCCCATTTTTAATTAGGTTGTTCAATTTCTTCTCATTGAATTTTGAGGGTTCTTTATATACTCTGGATATAAGTCTTTTGTTAGATCTATGCTTTGCAAAATTTTCTTCCAGTCTCTGGCTTATTTTTTTTTCATTCTTCTAACAGCCTTACTTATAATAGCAAAAAACTGGGAATGATCCAAATATTCACCAACAGATGAACAGATAAATTGTGGTATATCCATCCAACAGAATGTTACTCAACAATACAAAGGAATAAGCTATCTATACCCAACAACATGGATTAATCTCAAACTAATTATAATTATAAAAGAAGGTCAGATAAAAATCAGTACCTGTTATATGATTCCATTTATATAAAATTCTAGAAAGTATAAACTAATCTAAAATGACAGAAAGCAAATTACTGACAGCATGGGGCTAGCAGGTAGGTGAGGTGAGGTGGGGAGAGGTGGGAAGGAGGAATTTCAAAAGGCTACAGAGAAACTTTTGGGGTGACGGAAATGTTATCTTGATCGTGTTGATGGCTTCATGGTTATAAACATAAGGCAAAGCCTATCAAATTGTACACTTTAAATACTGTGTGCCAAATTACACTTCAATAAACCTATTATTTAAAAAGAAGACTTAAGAGATTTACTGACTAAATGCAATGCCCAGATCTTATTTTGATCTGGGTTGAAAGAAATTAACAATCAAAGAACATAAGTCAGGGAAGTTTAGACACTGGCTGAACATTAATGATTTTAAGGAATTACTGTTAATTTTAAAATCAGGTCACCTTAAAATGTTTTAGTCCTTATCCCTCAGAGATGTGTATGGAAGTATTTGCTGATAGAGTAATATGAGATCTGAGATTTCCTTTCAAAGAATCTATGCAGGGTGGCAGGTGGAGATGAGACAAGATTGGCCACGCGCTGATAATGGTCAGTACTGGGTGATGGGCACCTAGAGGGTCATTACACTGTTCTCTCTAACTTTATGTATATCCCCAAACTTCCATCCTATAAAGTTGAAATGTTTAAATTTCTTTACAAAGTGTTTGTTGGATGAATGATACAAGAAGGCATATTTTGACTCAATACATGATTGATGCTTTCTAAAAACAGCACCTTTCTGAAAGCAGAATAATCTGCCTTAGGATGCAGTCTGTTGGCTGGAGTTAAAAAAGGAAAGATTCAGATGCCAGAGGACCATTGATGAGGAATGATACAGGCACAGTCGATGATCTATGGCCTGTAGGTCAAGTCCAGCCCTCCTCCTGCTAGCTAAGGATGTTTTCCTACATTTTTAAATAGCTGGGAAAAAATTATTAAGAATATTTTCTGACAGGTAAAAACTATATGAAATTTCATTTCAGGGTTCATAAAGTTTAATTGGAACACAAACACATCCATTCATTTACTGATAGTCTCTGGCTGCTTTCGTGTTAGAATAACAGAGTTGAGAAGGCGCCACAGACACCGTGTGACCCAGAGACTAAACTATGTACTGTCTGGCTCATTACCGAAAAAGTCTGCTGATTTCTGATATAGGAGATCACCTTGACCCCTGAAGGTGTTTTCCTAAATAGACTCCACTCCAGAGAAAAAAAAGTGAGTGGAAAAAGTCAGATATGAATGAATCTAGCTTTCAGCTCTGTCTCTGTCTGTAATAGGGACCCCAAGGATGATGGGAAGATGTTACGCTCAATTCATCATGATAAACACTTGGTCATTCCTGGGAACAGAGTGAGTTGAGGGTGGGAAGCTGAGTTTACCCTCCAGCCTCAGGGTTCAGTATCTCCTTGTGGACGTCGTTAGAGCCAACAGATATGTTTCAAGAGGAAGGTGCAATACTTAACCCTCACCTCTGTCTGGACCACTTGTGTGTTTGCTCACTGGTTTATTACCTGTCTCCCCCACTAGAACATAAACTCCACATGGACAGGGACTTGGTCTGTCCTGTTCACTGCCATATTGCATGTCTGGAGCAGTGCCTTGCACATAGTAAGTTCTTCATCAATGCAGACGGAGGGAATAAATTGACTGTGAAGGAAGCCTCAACAAATCAAGAATGAGTGAAAGTCATGGCACTGAATCTCAGAGATTAAAAGTAGTTTTTTTTTTCTTGCACAAGGAGAACTATCTTTATTCTCAATTGAGGCTTCTTCATACATGTCTAAATACAGCACCTAGAAATAGTGCAATATGAGTATTGAGGGAATTTTGCCTATCTAGATTTCTGTGCAAATCAGAAGTTCAGCTCCTGTTCTAGAAGGCAGCCACTGCTCAGAGTTCTGCTGCATAATATACACACACTTCTCCTCTTCGTGACAAAGAGTAATGTGCCCTGATTTGCTGTGTGACCCTGGGCAGGAGACTCACCCTCTCTGTTCTTCACATCTGTAAAAATGGGGGAGCTTCGTGGGGTTACTGTGAAGATCAAATGAGATAATATATGTGAGATGACTAAGAACAGTGTCTGTCACCAAAACAATCTGGATTTCTCCCCTGTCCTCAGTGATACAATCCTTCTCCACCTTCAGTATAAAAAAAAAAAGCTTTGGGCTCACATCAGTTTTATTCACAATAGCTAAAATGTGGAAGCAAACAAAGTGTCCATCAACAGACACATGGATAAACAAAATGTGATCTATCCATACAATGGAATATAAATCAGCCATAAAACGGAATGAAATTATGACACAGGCTACGTCATGTAGAAACCTTGAAAACATTATGCTAAGAGAAAGAAGCCAGATACAAAAGACCACAGATCACATAACTTCATTCATATGAAATATCTAGAATCGGCAAATTCATAGACACAGAGAAAAGATGGGAGGTTACCAGGGGCCGAGGAGAGGAAAGAATGTGTGGAATGACTGCTTAACTGGTTCAGGGCTTCCGTTTGGGGTGGCAAAAATTTTGAAATTGATGGTGGTGTTGAACGGGTTTGCACGACATTGTGAATATACTTAATGCCATTGAATCGCACATTTTTAAATGGTTGAAATGGCAAATTTTACATGTGTTTTGCTACAGGAAAAAAAAAGGCTTTGGAGACTGAAGTGCTATGGAAGCATAAAACGCTGATTCAAGGAATTAAAGCCAGAATTCCTGCACTGGAATCCTAATTCTGCTAACTTTGTAACTTTGGGCAACCCTTGATCATCCTATGCCTCAGTTTCCTCATCTGAAAAGGGGGAAGGAAACACACTTTTATCTCCCACCTGTTGTAAGTATTAAAAGAGTTCATCAATGTGAGCACTTAGAAGCATGCCTGCATATAGTAAGTGCTCCGTAAATCCTAGTTAGTAGTAATAAGGCTACTACTGGTAAGTGATTCTATCCACACGTACCCTTAGAGCAGGGTTTCTCAACGTCCACACTATTGACATTTGGGGCCGGGTAATTCCCTGTGGTGGGGGACTGTCCTGTGCAATGCAAGACACTTAGCAGCACCCCTGGCCTCTACCCATTAGACGCCGGTAGCACACGATTTCTCCACAAAGTCGTGACTATCAAAAACGTCTCCAGATGTTGCCAAATCTCCCTTGAAAAGCAAAATTGCCCCTGCTTAAAAACCACCATCTTACTGACACCATATTGCAAAATTGCAAGGGGCCTTAGCTATTACCTGCTCTCATGACTTCCACGTTCTTTTGACCATATTCCATGACCTATTACACCTGTAAATAGTGTATGTTACATATTTATCATACATATCATATGTATCAAAAGTTTACAACATTTACCCTTACTATGTGCACTGCAATGTATCCTGATATTTGCTTTGCTTTGCTTTGCTTTCTTTCTTTTTTTTTGAGATGGAGTCTTGCTCTGTTGCCCAGGCTGGAATGTGCAGTGGCACAATCTCTGCTCACTGCAACCTCCACCTCCTAGATTCAAGCGATTCTCCTGCCTCAGCCTCCTGGGTAGCTGGGATTACAGGTATACGCCACCACACCTGGCTAATTTTTTTGTATTTTTGGTAGATGGGATTTCGCCATTCTGCCCAGGCTGGTCTCGATCTCCTGACCTCAGTAGATCCACCCGCCTTGGCCTCCCAATGTGCTGGGGTTACAGGTATGAGCTACCATTCCCGGCCTGCATCCTGACAGTTTCAATTCCATTGTGTTGCATTCTATTTCTTTTTGAAAAACAAGAATACTACTTATGACCCTTCAAATTGATTTCATGATCCATTTACAGGTCACAACCTACAGGTTGAAAGATACTGATGTGGTCAACTTTATAAAGAAATGTTCAGGCATTTCAGACCAACGCTTAGCCCCCAGCACAGCTCAGCCTGCCCATGAACATTTCACACTGACCCTCACTGGCTCTCCAACTTCCAGAATGGGCTGGCATTCCATGAAGTGCAGGGGAAATGGGGATCCCAAACCTCAAAATGGACATAAGTTTGAAATATTGAGGGGAAAAATTTAATTCCAAAGGATAGAATCAGCCCTGAATTGATTCTATATTAAAAAGCATTCTCCCTCTCCCTCTCCCTCTCCCTCTCCCTCTCCCTCTCCCTCTCCCTCTCATTCTGTTTGTTTTTGTTGTTGTTGTTGTTTTTGGTTTTTTAAAGAGAGGGTCTCACTCTGTCACCTACGCTGATGTGCAGCTGCAATCTGCATGATCATAGCTCAGTGTAGCCTCGAACTCCTGGGCTCAAGTGATCCTCCTGCCTCAGCCTCCTGAGTAGGTGGGAGTACTGGCATGCATTACCATGTGTGGCTTGACTTTTTATTTTTTTGTAGACATGGAGTCTCCTTATGTTGCCCTGGCTGGTCTCAAACTCCTAGGCTCAAGCGATCCTCCCACCTCAGCCCCCCAAGTAGCTGGGACTGCAGGTGCACCCCACCATGCCTGGTTAATTTTTAATTTGTAGAGAGAGGGTCTCGCTATGCTGCCCAGACAGATCTCGAACTTCTGGCCTTAAATGATCCTTCTGCCTCAGTATCCCAAAATGCTGGGATTACAGATTACTGGCTACCACGCCTGACCCTCATTCTGTTTTTGTTCATAGCAAGCAGCAGTTTGAAAGGAGCTGTGCCTATTTCCTAGAGGCAGGACTCAGCCCTACCCCCAGCGACCTGCCTTTACTGGCCCCTCAGAAATTTAACACCCAGATACACCACCCAGAGATCAGTCAAATCTGGCCCTGAGTGGGGTTGGGAGTTGTTGGAAGAGGAGATTTTAGATGCAATCAACCAATCCATTCTTTATAATCTACTATTAAAGAAATGAGAGAGGGCAGCTTCAAGGACCTTTTCAAAGAGGAGAAATATTCCCTAGTTTAAAATTTAAAAGGCTGAATCATAAAATCCTTTCAAAAAAAAAACACTCGGTATAATGCTTTTTTCACCCCAAAAGTTACTCACCTGAGGATAATGGTGAATAATAACAGCTGACATTTCCTGCGTGCTTGCTACAGGCAAGGCTCTGTGTGAAATCCTTTATACGATTACTTGATCGTCATAATTACTTTAGGAGACAGCTGGTATTGTTACCACCCCCATTTTGTAAGTGGGGGATACTGAAACTCGGAGAGCCAAATGATGGGCCTTAAACAGCATGGCTCCAGAGTAACAGCACTGAGAGTTAAACCCAACAGGGTTGCCAGACATAGCAAGTAAAAATACAGGATGCCTCTGACATGGAACTTATACTAAAAAATTATTTGTTGTTTCTGTGAAATGCAACTTTAACTGAGCGTATTTTACCTGGCAACCCTAAGCTCAAGTTGTTTGAATCCAGAGTCCTTGTTCTAAGCCAATTGGCTGGTGGTTCTCAATGTGTGGTACCTGGACCATCAGCGTCACCATCGCATGAGAAATTGCCAGAAATGCAGGTTCTCAAGCTCCACCCTAAACTTACTGAGTCAGAAACTCTGTGGTTGGGGCCCCACAATCTGGGTGTTTTTTTTTTTTTTTTTAGATGGAATCTTGCTCTGTCTCCCAGGCTGGAGTGCAGTGGAGTGACCCTGGCTCACTGCAACCTCCGGTTCCCGGGTTCAAGAGATTCTTCTACCTCAGCCTCCCAAGTAGCTGGGATTATATGTACCCACCATCATGCCCGGCTAATTTTTAAATTTTTATTAGAGACTGGGTTTCACCATGTTGGCTAGACTGATCTCGAACTCCTGACCTCAAGTGATCTGCCTGCCTTGGCCTCCCAAAGTGCTGGAATTACAGGTGTGAGTCACTGCGCCTGGCCAATCTGGGTTTTAAGAAACCTCCCAAGTGATTCCAATGCACGCTCAAGTTTGAGCATCACTGCAGAATGTTGCCCTACCCACCACAGTATTCTAAGGGAAGTGGGGATGCAGGCAAGCTTAAAATTGGGCCCCCAAATCTGAGTCTTAAGGTTTTTCCATGACCCCTTATCTCTTTTTTTATCTTCTCTTTCACTCAGTGAAGTCCTGCATACATCAACCCCCAATTCTCCGTAAAACTCCTAACAATATACTTCACTAAAAACACACCCAAGTGTCTGGCACTTTCTCATGGACCTTCATTCATTCATTCCTTCATCCATCCATCCATCCATCCATCCATCCATCCATCCACCCATCCATCCATCCATCCATTCCTGCAAACATTCAATCATTCCACACAACTTTATTAAGTGCCTATGATGGTTAATTTTATGTGTCAACTTGATCAGGCCAAGTGGTGCCCAGATAGCTGGTAAAACATTATTTCTGGATGTGTCCGTGACAGTGTTTCTGGAAGAGATTAGCATTTGAATCAGTAGACTGAGCAAAGATGATTACTATCACCAATGTGGGTGGGTAGTATCCGATCTGTTGAGAACAAAAAGACAGAGGAAGAGTGAATTTGCTCTCTCTGCTTGAGCTGGGGCATCCATCTTCTCCTGCCCTCAGACATAAGCACCCCTGGTTCTTGGGACTTGAGACTCGGACTGGAACCACACCACTGGCTTTCCTGGTTCTTTGGCTTGCAGATGGTATATCATGGGACTTCTCATCCCTCATAATCAGGTAAGCCAATCCTTACAATACATTTCTTCCTACACTTTTTTCTTTTATAAATTTCATTTCTTCTGGTTCTCTGAAGAGGTGCGGCTAATACAGTGCCCACGATGGGGCAGGCACTGTGCTGAGTCCTAAGCACAGTTTACTTTGTATTAAAGTGGCTTATTTAAACGTACCTATTTCCTGCACCAAATTAAGAGCCCCTGGGAGGATGGGGAAGAGGAGTCTTTAATTTCTTGAGTCCCTAGTTCTTAGCCAAGGCAAGCTTAAAATTGGGCCCCCAAGCCAAGGGTCATAAAATGTGTAATAGGATTGAATGGGAAAAAACTGAAAAGAATTCTCACGCCTCTTTCATTTTTAATTCAAAGTCCTCCAGGTCTGAGAATGCTGCCTGTCCTTCCTCTTCCCCAAGGAAAAACATAAAAACGGTCTCATTAATTCTCCTGCACATGTTTGACAACTCAGTTGTCCCCCCGCCATGATGCTAAGTGGGTTTCTCTGTTTGTGGTTAAGCAGGGAAGAGGGTTATTCAGGTTTCACGCCAAGAGTTCACCAGTTTTTCTTCCTGTCACTCAAAACAACCATCTTTGCTTGCCCACTGAATAAGGATAGAGAATTGGCATAGTGAAGAGATGTAATTGAAGATGGGATTTTTACAGCTACAAGACACCCACACACACACACAAATGTCATTAGTCTTACAATTTGCCAAGGGCCAATCACAAGCCTTTGGTCAAGAAAAAGATTCTAGGAAATGATGTCAAAATCCCTCTTACAGAGAAAACACATCTGTCAGGACCCAGGGCTGTCAGACAAATTGGCAAAGCAGAGAATGGAAGTTACCACCAACCAGGGTTGGAGCCAATGCTGTTGTTGAATAGGCAGGAGGGACAGGCATGAGGAGTGAGGACACTGTGAAAATGGCCTCTAGCCTGGAGCATTCTTCACACACCCCACCTTGCAGATCTCAGTTTAAATGTCACTCCTCCCAACCAGGTCAGATCCTCACCCTTAGCCCTCACACACCGCCACCATCCGAACAAAGTCTTAGTTGCACCAGGAATTGGTGCAGGTGTCTCCACTGGAATGTAAGTGCCATTAGGACAGAAAGCTTGTCCTACCTATTTACTCATTGTTGCCTTCTCTGTTTCTAGTGCAGTGTGTGGCCCAGTAGATGTTCAATAATTATTTGTTGTAAGGGATAATGGAATGAATCCCAGCCCCACACCTGCTAGAGGTGCGACCTTGGGCAAATGACTCAATGTCTCTCTTTAAGCCTCAGTTTCCTTATCGACACAATAGGGATAAAAACAGTACCTGCCGGACACGGTGGCTCACGCCTGTAATCCCAGCACTTTGCAAGGCCGAGGCGGGCAGATCACAAGGTCAGGAGATTGAGACCATCCTGGCTAACACGGTGAAACCCTGTCTCTACTAAAAATACAAAAAATTAGCCAGGTGTGGTGGCAGGCGCCTGTAGTCCCAGCTACTGGGGAGGCTGAGGCAGGAGAATGGCTTGAACCTGGGAGGCGGAGCTTGCAGTGAGCCGAGATCGTGCCACTGCACTCCAGCCTGGGCCACACAGAGAGACTCCATCTCAAAAACAAAACAAAACAAAACAAACAAACAAAGAAACAAAAAAACAGCACCTGCCTCTTATTAGGGTTTCTGTCTATTAGAATGAGATATGTGTGTAAGATAAACACAGGCCAGGCGCAGTGGCTCACGCCTGTAATCCCAGCACTTTGGGAGGCCAAGGTGGGTGGATCACCTGAGGTCAGGAGTTTGAGACTGGTCTGGCCAACATGGCAAAACCCCATCTCTACTAAAAATACAAAAATTAGCTGGCTGTGGTGGTGTGCGCCTGTAGTCCCAGCTACTTGGGAGGCTGAGGCAGGAGAATCGCTTGAACCTGGGAGGCAGAGGTTGCAGTGAGCCAAGATTGTACCACTGCACTCCAGCCTGGGCGATAGAATAAGACTCCGTCTCAAAAAGCAAAAAAAAAAAAAAAGATAAACACAGTGGCTTGGCACACAATAGACATTTGATAAAGGTCAGTTGCTGTGACTATTAGCTGTATCTCTCACCCAATGGGAAAAAGCAAGGTTATGTAAAGGATGGTGGTCGGGCACGGTGGCTCACGCCTGTAAACCCAGCACTTTGGGAGGCTGAAGTGCGCGGATCATCTGAAGTCAGGAGTTCAAGACCAGCCTGGCCAACATGGTGAAACACCATCTCTACTAAAAATTAAAAAAAGTTTTTTTAAATTAAAAAAAGTTTTTTTAAATTAAAAAAAATTAGCCAGGCATGTTGGCACTTGCCTGTAGTTTCAGCTACCCAGGAGGCTGAGGCATGAGAATTACTTGAACCCAGGAGGCAGAGGCGGAGGCTGCTGTGAGCTGAAATTGCGCCACTGCACTCCAGCCTGGAAGACAGACGGAGACCTTGTCTCTATCAATCAATCAATCAATCAATCAATGGTTACCAGAGGCTGGGAAGGGTTGTGTGCGGGGGCATGGTTAATGGGTACCCCCCCAAAAAAGAATGAATAAAACCTACTCTTTGATAACACAACAGGGTGACTATAGTCAATAATAACTTAATTGTACTTTTTAAAATAACTAAAAGAGTATAACTGGATTGTTTGTAACAGGAAGGATCAATGCTTGAGGGGATGGATACCCCATTCTCCATCATGTGATTTTCACACATTGCATGCCTGTATCAAAACATCTTGTGTACTCCATAAATATATACACCTATGTACCCACAAAATATAAAAATAATTTTTTAATCAAAAAATAAGAATAAAAAGAAATTCCACAACAGAAAAAAGCCAGGTTATACAGCAACTAGAACATTGCCTGGGACATAGTGAGTGCTCAATAAATCTGCATTAAATACATGTAGTACCTTTTACATGCCTCCTTCCCGCTAGTCCTAATAGTTGATGCTAAGTCATCAATAGTCTTTTCTTCCCACTTCATAGAAGAAGCAGAGGCTCAGGGAGACTGAAATTTGCTCAAATCACCCAGTGATTTGAGAAGCGGCAGATCCAGAATTTGAGCCTATTTGTTTAAGCGTGGCACCGGACTGCCAACCCAAGCTCTCTGTCCTCTCTAAGCCTTGGTTTGCTTATCTGAAAACTAAAATAAAATAAACAAACACAATGAGAACCTTAGCCTTGTGGGTCTCAGAGACACCCCACAGAGCAACCATTCCCTGAGAACAGTGGGTGAAGTTCTTCCGAATCCATTTGCCTTCAGCACATGCAGTTGGGAGAACTGTTTACATTTTAAGTGCTCATTTTCACGGCATGAAAATGTAGCTGGGCTCCGTGAGGCTTCCTTTCATGCCTTAAGACCAAATCAAGGCCAATGGGCTGAAAGAAGAGGGAGAAAAGAAAGTCTGATGGGCTCTATCCTTATTTTTAGGTGCAGCCATCTCTTGATTGAGACAAACAATCAGTCTCCCAGCCTGTTTCCTGGAGCAGCTTAACATCTCTTGGTGCTTTAATTTCCCACCACCTTGTTCCTGAAGTACTCGACTTTTCCTTCACAGATGTTAGGTCTGTTCTTTGCACCTGTCAGCAGGTGTGATGCTCTCCTGATTCCCCGAGATCTCTCTGCTTCATTACTCTTCTTTTCTCTGTTAGCATCCCCCAACCAGTGCAAACTTGAAACGTAAATGTTTCCTATCCCAGAATGTAATTAAATCTCTTTAGCCTATATTTTGAAACAACACACATTTGGGGATGTGAGCATGGTAACCAGCTTAATGGGTCCTAGAGTCTGTGTGTCTATTTCTATTTGTGACTGACATTCCCATACCACTATCAAAATTAGTAGCCATCAGTCAAGCAGAAAGTTATTGTCAGTGAGTGCTAAACAAACCCCAACTTCAAGTGGAATTGAGGTTTTTCAATAATGAATGTCTGAGCAATTTAACTAATCGCTATATTCAGCCTAGCTGAGCTTTTTTTCCCCCTCATACATAAGCAAACAGAAATCTGGAAAGTTATGAGTCTGGTGCAAGCAAATTAATCCTTAGCTAGAAATTTAACCTGGGAAGAAATCCTATTTCTTTTAAACTATATGCTTGTTTCTATTTCTTTCAACCTGTGTCATGTAGAGTTCTATACCAGGAATTTAGACTGAAGCTGAAGATGAAAAGAAAGCAGTTAAGGAAAAGAAAGAAGCCACCCATCTATCCTATTTGGCAATTTCTAAAATTATCACCCTTATTCTACTGTCCTAGAAAGTGCTTTTCTCACATTATAATATACCTGTTGGCCTCTGTCCATTTTAACATGTATATTTGCAGCAGACAAAAAGGTAAGGTTTCCCCTTAGATCAGAGAAAGCTATCATTTGGGGAATGCAGTGATTGAAGTTTGAATATTATAAAATGTTCAACACAGCCTGCACTGGGGCAGGTATTCTCCATGGACAATGACGGGTTTTTGCTTATAATTTTACAAATACATCAGCCCTTTTCCTATGAGATTATAAATAGAAAGAAGTTCAAATGAATTGTCCAATAAGGCTGGGAAAACCAGCAGAAAAATATTCTCAGGATTACATGTAAAAAGGAGTACAATATAACAGAAGAACTGGCCCATGATCAGAATTCAAGACTTAATGTTCCTTAAAATATAAGAGAAGCACATGGATTGGGATATATCACAGTGCAGAGATTTCAAACATGAGCTTTGGCACAAGGCAAACCTGAGCTGAGTCCAGACTCTGCCTTTTATTGGTTTTGCTGGAGCAAATTACTTAACGTTTTTTGGCCCTTAGTTTTCACATCTGGGAAATGGGCATAATCACTGTAATTAACTAATAGGATTATTCAGATAATTTAATGAGAGAATGCATGTAAAGTGCTTCACCCAGGACCCAGCCCATACAGCACTCCAATACATGTCACTATTATTATCAATATTAATGTACAGGATAGTTCCACATGTCATTGTTGTCATGATTGTTTTGACTGTATTTATTACCCTTAATGATATAGGTTGGTCTCTGGGGTAAGGATTTTGAAGCCTCATAGCTTTATTAGAATATTGCCAAGACAGTCACTGAAGCAGGGCTATGAGAAAAAGCCTTTTTTTCTTTATTTTTAATATACAGACTCAGCCAAGAAGAAAAAGCCTTTTTTCCCCCACAGAATACCAAACATAATTCTGTGAAATAGATGTGAGATTGTAGAGGAATTTGAAAGGTATTTGTTCAACAGTAATTTTTAAATGACATGTTGTTATTACAAAAATAATGCATTTTCCTCATCTACAAAAATTTAAAGAATGCTAAATGGCATGCTCCACTCACATCCCCTAAAATCCCTTTACCATTTCTTCACATCTCTTCCTCAACATTGGTAAGCTTTTGCTCCCAATGGCCTGCACCTGTGGCTTTGCCTCGAAGGCCTGCCTTCAGGCTACTGGAGCAGCTGCATTCATCATGTCTGGGATTTTTACATCCCCGTCCAGGGTGGCCTTTAACCAATGACTGCTGAGTGAAGGAGTTTGAAAGCCCAGCTTCCTTGCCTTGGGTTAGAATAAACCTAAGGTGTAATTTACACTTAGAATTTCTCTGTGAGATCAGGCTGAAGTTATCCTCTATGGCAGGGGTCCCCACCTTTTTGGCATCAGGGACCACGTTTGTGGAAGACAATTTTTCCATGCATGGTGGGGGCATGGTTTTGGGATGATTCACGTGCATTACATTTATTGTGCACTTTATTTCTATTATTACTACATTGTAATATATAATGAAATAATTGTACAACTCGCCATAATGTAGAATCAGTGGGAGCCCTGAGCTTGTTTGTCCTTCACTAGAAAATCACATCTGGAGGTGATGGGAGGCAGTGACAGATCATCAGGCATTAGATTCTCATAAGGAGCTCACAGCCTAGATCCCTCACATGTGCAGTTCACAGTAGGATTTGTGATCCTATGAGAATCTAATGCTGCCACTGATCCAACGGGAGGTGGAGTTTAAGCAGCAATGTAAGCAATGGGAAGTGGCTGTAAATACAGATGGAGCTTTACTCGTTCACCCACCACTCATCTCCTGCTGTGCAGCCCAGCTCCTAATAGTCCATGGACAGGTATTGGTCCCATAGACCAGTTGGGGACCCCTGCTGTATCGGACTTGGCCTAAAATTGCATGCTGGCTTTGCTTCCTATCCTTTTCTGCCCTGTTTCTCCCACTCCCTTACCAGTTTCTCCTGGAAGCACTCCCTTAATAAATCTGTTGTGGCCGGCGTGGTGGTTCACGCCTGTAATCTCAGCACTTTGGGAGGCCGAAGCAGGTGGATCACAAGGTCAGGAGATTGAGACCATCCTGGCCAATGTGGTGAACCCCGTCTCTACTATCTCTACTAAAAATACAAAAAATTAGCCAGGTATGGTGGTGCGCGCCTGTAATCCCAGGTACTCAGAAGGCTAAGGCAGGAGAATCACTTGAACCCAGGAGGCAGAGGTTGCAGTGAGTTGAGATCGCACCACTGCACTCCAGCCTGGCAACAGAGCAAGACTCCATCTCAAAAAGTAAATTAATTAATTAATTAATAAAAAATAAATCTGTTGCACGTGAATCCTTCTCTTAGGACCTGCTTTTGGAAAGCCAGACCTAATATAACGACGATTAGTAATAGCATCTACCCTTCCAGAGTGTGTGTGGGTGTGTGTGTGTGTGTGTGTGTGTGTGTGTGTTTGGATATTTTATGATCTCCAAATCTGACAATTGTGAAATTGCATAGTACATATAATGGTGTTTTTTTTTTCAAATTTAAATACTTATCATCTTTTCATGTCTACAAATAGGCTTCAACACGTGTTTCTAACAGCCAACGGGTATCCCATTGTATGGTTGCACCATAATTTAGCCAGTGCCACTCAAACTTTTTTTGTTGTTCATTGCTATGCTAACAATGTGGGTTGAACATCTTTGCAGGAAAATTTCTGTGCAAGTCCATTTGTTATTACTCTACCTGAAAACATAATTCCTGGGTCAAACAGTAACCCATATCCAAGTGTTGTGATTCTTATTCCCAAATGCCCTCCAAAAAGGTCGGACCAATTCATACCCTTGCCAGCACTATCCTTGATCTCCATCCCTACCCTTCCTCCATTTGTAATATTAAAGATTGGTGGGCATGAGCTCTGAGGAGGACTGTGGCTTAGATGATGAACTTTGGTCTTCAAAATAGCTTGAGTGCTACTTCCTCTGCGTTAACCAATCTAAGACTTACCCACATTTTAATTTTCATCTCATGTGAATTAAACCAACTTTTCTTGGAAGAAAAGTTTCTTTCTGATTGCAAAACTTACTGCAAAGCTACAGTAATCAAAACAGTGTAGTACTGGTATAAGGACAGACATCTACACCAAAGGAATACAATAAGGACCCTAGAAATAAACTCTTACATATATGGCCTAATGATTTTTAATAGGGGAAAAGGGTCATCTTTTCAGTAAATGGTGCTGGTAAAACTAGATATTCACATACAAAAACATAAAGTTGGCTCCTTTATACTATTTACAAAATGTAGCTCAAAATGGATCAAAGACCTAAATATAAGAGCTAAGACTACAAACCTCTTAGAAGAAAACATATAGGAAAATTTCTATGGCATTGTATTTGGCAATAATGTCTGAAATATGATAGCAAAAGCACAGGCAACAAAGAAAAAATACATGAATTGGACTTCATCAAATTATAATTTTTTTGGATCGAAGGACATTATCAAAAGAGTGAAAAGACAACCCACCAAATGAGAGGAAATATTTGCAAATCATATACCTGATAAGAATTAATATTCAGAATATGTAAAGAACTCCTATAACTTAATAGCAACAAAAAACAAACAGCACAGTTCAAAAATGAACAAAGGACTTGAATAGACATTTCTCCAGAGAAGATACACAAATGGCCAATCAGCTCAACATCATTCATCATTAAGGAAACACAACTCAAAACCACAATGTGGACCAGGCAGGGTGGTTCACACCTGTAATCCCAGCATTTTGGGAGGCTGAGGTGGGTGGATCACAAGGTCAAGAGATC
Organism: Homo sapiens; assembly: GCF_000001405.40. Classification (NCBI taxonomy): domain Eukaryota; kingdom Metazoa; phylum Chordata; class Mammalia; order Primates; family Hominidae; genus Homo; species Homo sapiens. Next base: position 2,614,894 of record NT_187607.1, on the reverse strand, counting down.
AGGACCATCCTGGTCAACATGGTGAAACCCTGTCTCTACTAAAAATAAAAAATTAGCCAGGTGTGGTGGCAGGCACCTATGATCCCAGCTACTCAGGAGGCTGAGGCAGGAGAATCACTTGAACCTGGGAGGCAGAGGTTGCAGTGAGACAAGGTCGCGCCACTGCACTCTAGCCTGGTGACAGAGTGACACTCCTCTCAAAAAAATAATAATAATTCAAAAAAACAAAAAACAAAACAAAACAAACCACAATGGGACACCACTTCACACCAATTAGGACGGCTACCAAAGAAAGGAACATGCCTTGGAATATCATTCATCATAAAAAGGAATTAAATTCTGATATATGGGGTAAGAAAAATAAACCTGGGACTCGGCCATGGGCCACGGGGTCAGTGCCTGCTTCAAGGGATGGGGCTGCGGGGTGTGTAGGAGCCTCGGGCCTGCCATGTTCCACAACACGGGATGGTGAACCAGGAGGCCACGGTTTAGCACCGATGTCTGCGGAGGAGGTGGGTGCTCGCCCTGGTCTTTGGGCTGTCACTCATCTACTTCCTCAGGAGCACCTTCAAGCAGGAGGAGAGGACAGTGAAAGAGAGGAATCTCCTCTAGGTTCAAGACCATGATCAGCCCATTCCGTGTAAAGTGCAGTTTAACTCGGGCAATGGCAGTCACCCCAGCAATCAGTGCCACCACTCCATTTGAGGGGAGCACCACATCATAGATGAACTATGTTTGTGAGAGGAAGGATTTGCTGGTGGATGGCTGCTGCAACGTCAACGACCCTAGCACAAAGCAATACTGCTGCCATGGCTGCTGGCCCAATGGCTGCTGCAACATCAACATCCCTGGAACAAAGCAATACTGCTGCCATGGCTGCTGGCCCAACTGCTGCTGCAACATCAATGTCCCTAGCACAAAGCAATACTGCTGCTACAGCTGCTGGCCCAACCGCTGCTGGCCCAGCAGCTGCTGCAACATCAACATCCCTGGAACAAAGTAATACTGCTGTGATGGCTGCTGGCCCAGCAGCTGCTGTAACACCAACGGCCCCAGCACAAAGCAATACTGCTGTGATGGCTGCTCGCCCAGGGGCTGCTGCAACATCAACGTCCCTGGAACAAAGCAGTACTGCTGCGATGGCTGCTGGCCCAGCGGCTGCTGTAACATCAATGTCTCTGGCACAAAGCAATACTGCTGTGATGGCTGCTGGTCCCGCGGCTGCTGCCCAACAAGCAGCTTTTCTTGGAGTGCTTCCTCCGTCGGGCAGCTGTGGCTTTCCAGAACCTCTTCATGGCAGTCGAAGAACACTTTGAGTTGTGCCTGGCCACATGCAGGACCTCATCTCAGAGCATGCAACATGAGAACACCTACCAGGACTCCATAGCAAAGTCCTGCTAAGTAGAAAGCCCACCCAAACTCTTCCCTGCATGACAGGTACAGGGTACTTGCTCCAGCTTGGGCAAAGAGGCCCCACCAAAGAACTTGCCTCCTAAGGCCTGGCTTCAGCGCGAGGAAACCTTGGCTTTGACATCTTCTCGTGTTGTCTTCTTTGCCTTCATTCACCACCTGGGCTTACCAGATGCAAATCTTCTGCAAAGCAGCATGGACCCTCTACCTGATCCCATTCGGGAAAGATGAAACCTCAGGCTGGGCTCAGGGAGTGGCTTTCTTGGACCACTCAACCCTGGGACTGCACAAGGACCTGTGACTTGTGTTGTCAGGGGGCTGGTGTCACTTTCAGGTTTTTTTTTTTTTTTCTTTTGGAGACGGAGTCTAGCTCTGTTGCCCAGGCTGGAGTGCAGTGGCGCGATCTGGGCTCACTGCAACCTCTGCCTCCCGGGTTCAACCCATTCTCCTGCCTCAGCCTCCTGAGTAGCTGGGATTACAGGCACCTGCTAATTTTTGTAATTTTAGTAGAGACAGGGTTTCACTGTGTTGGCCAGGCTGGTCTTGAACTCCTGACCTTGTGATCCACCCACCTCAGCCTCCCAGAGTGCTGGGATTACAGGCATGAGCCAACGCACCTGGCCATGACTTCCAGTTTTGATTATAATTTTGTAAAATTATTTATTGGATTCCTTTGGAGTAGCAGGAAAATTACAGTGTTTTATGTTGGAAAATGCCTTGCCATTCTAGTTGAATATGTTCAAGGAGATTATTTCTGTTGTTGTTGTTTTGTGTTCTTGAGTTTCCTGAGTTAAATCATCCCTTCACCCAGAAAACATGGTTTGTCTTTTAGGGCGTGGATGTTCTCTAGGCAGTTATTTTTGTTTTTTATTTCAACAGTAGCAAGAGTAGCCCTGAACATAGCCTCCTAACCATATCCTGGCACCTAAAATTATCTAAAAACTCAGACACTCTTCTATTCTAATCTAACTGCAAGATTTCTAGCAGCTGGCACCCCGTGCCTGCCCTCTGGTTCTTTTCTAGAGGGGACTGAATGTGTTCATATACCCTGTGGGAGAGCACTGTTTTAGCAGAAATGTACTTCTCATCCTGGAGGAATTTGTTCTCATTTCTTTTGCCAATTAAAATTAACTGTGGGCTGCTTAGCCTCAGGTACCATGGGAGCTTCAGAAAAGTCAGAGGCAAACTCCTCCCCTGTTCTGTCAATAGAAACCCAATGTTAAGGCAATTTCTAAACAGAGATGCACTTAGCAGCTTGCTATGTAAAAAAAAAAAAAAAAAAAAGAAGGCCGGGCGGGCGTGGTGGCTCATGCCTGCAACCCCAGCACTTCGGGAGGCGGACACGGGCAGATCACCTGAGGTGAGGAGTTTGAGGCCAGCCTGGCCAACATGGCAAAACCCCACCTCTACTAAAATACAAAAATTAGCCAGGCGTAGTGGTGCACACCTGTAATCCTAGCTACTTGGAAGGCTGAGGCAGGAGCATTGCTTGAACTTGGGAGGCGGAGAGTTGCAGTGAGCCGAGATCGTGACACTGCACCCCAGCCTGGGTGACAAAGCCAGATTCCATCTCAAAAAAGGAAAAAAAAAAAAAAAAGAAATAAAATCCTTTACAGACGAGCAAATGCTGAGAGATTTTGTCACTACCAGGCCTGTCTTACAAGAGCTCCAGAAGGAAGGACTAAACATGGAAAGGAACAACCAGTACGAGCCACTGCAAAAACATACCAAATGGTAAAGACCATTGACACTACGAAGAAACTGAATGAATTAATGGGCAAAATAACCAGCTAGCATCATAATGACAGGATCAAATTCACACATAACGATATTAACCTTAAATGTAAACAGGCTAAATGTCCCAATTAAAAGACATAGACTGGCAAATTGGATGAAGAATCAAGACTGATCAGCGTGCTATATTCAGGAGATTCATCTCACATGCAAAGGCACACATAGGCTCAAAATAAAGGCTCAAAATAAAAGGATAGAGGGATGTTTACCAAGCAAATGGAAAGCAAAAAACAAAAAACAAAAAAGCAGGGGTTGCAATCCTTGTCTCTGATAAAACAGACTTCAAACCAGGAAAGATCAAAAGAGACAAAGAAGGCCATTACATAATGGTAAAGGGACCAATGCAACAAGAAGAGCTAACTATCCTACATATATAAGCACCCAATACAGGAGCACCCAGATTCATAAAGCAAGTTCTTAGAGACCTACATTGAGACTTAGACTCCCACACAGTAATAGTGGGAGACTTTAACACCGCACTGTCAATATTAGACAGATCAATGAGACAGAAAATTAACAAAGATACTCAGGTCTTGAACTCAGCTCTGCACCAAGCAGACCAAATAGACATCTATAGAACTCCCCACCCAAATCAGCAGAACATACATTCTTCTCAGCACCACATCACACTTATTCCAAAACTGACCACATAATTGGAAGTAAAGCACTCCTCAGCAAATGCAAACAAACAGAAATCATAACAAACTCTCTCTCAGACCACAGTGCAATCAAATTACAACTCAGGATTAAGAAACTCATTCAAAACTTCACAACCACATGGAAACTGAACAACCTGCCCCTGAATGACTGATGGGTAAATAATAAAATTAAGGCAGAAATAAATAAGTTCTTTGAAACCAATGAGAACAAAGATATAATGTACCAGAATCTCTGGGACACAGCTAAAGCAGTGTTTAGAGTGAAATTCATAGCACTAAATGCCCATAAGAGAAAGCAGGAAAGATCTAAAATCAACACCCTAACATCACAATTAAAAGAACTATAGAAGCAAGAGCAAACAAATTCAAAAGCTAGCAGAAGACAAGAAATAACTAAGATCAGAGAAGAACTGAAAGAGATAGAGACACAAAAAACCCTTCAAAAAATCAATGAACCCAGGAGTTGTTTTTTTTATAAAAGATCAACAAAATAGATAGACCGCTAGCCAGACTAATAAAGAAGAAAATAGAGAAGAATCAAATAGACACAATAAAAAAGGATAAAGAGGATATCACCACTGATCCCACAGAAATACAAACTACCATCAGAGAATAATATAAACACCTCTACACAAATGAACTAGAAAATCCAGAAGAAGTGGATAAATTCCTAGATACATACACCCTCCCAAGTCTAAACCAGGCAGAAGTCAAATCCCTGAATAGACCAATAACAAGTTCTGAAATCGAGGCAGTAATTAATACTCTACCAGCCAAAAAAAGTCCAGGACCTGACGGATTCACAGCCGAATTCTACCAGAGGTACAAAGAGGAGCTGGTACCATTCCTTCTGAAATTATTCCAATCAATAGAAAAAGAGGGAATCCTCCCTAACTCATTTTATGAGGCCAGCATCATCCTGATACCAAAACCTGGCAGAGACACAACAAAAAAAGAAAATTTCAGGCCAATATCCTTGAAGAACATTGATGCAAAAATCCTCAATAAAAGACTGGCAAACTAAATCCAGCAGCACATCAGAAAGCTTATCCACCACGATCAAGTTGGCTTCATCACTGGGATGCAAGGCTGATTCAACATATGCATTCAATAAACGTAATCCATCACATAAACAGAACCAATGACGAAATCCACATACGTATTTCAATAGATGCAGAAAAGGCCTTCGATAAAATTCAACACCCCTTCATGCTAAAAACCATCAATAAACTATGTATTGATGGAACGTATATCAAAACAATAAGAGCTATTTATGACAAGCCCACAGCCAATATCGTACTGAATGGGAAAAAACTGGAAGCATTCCCTTTGAAAACCAGCACAAGGCAAGGATGCCCTCTCTCATCACTCCTATTCAACATAGTATTGGAAGTTCTGGCCAGGGCAATCAGGCAAGAGAAAGAAATAAAGTGTATTCAAATAGGAAGAGAGGAAGTTAAATTGTCTCTGTTTGCAGATGACATGATTCCATATTTAGAAAACCCCATTGTCTCAGCCCAAAATCTCCTTAAGCTGATAAGCAACTTCAGCAAAGTCTCAGGATACAAAACCAATGTGCAAAAATTACAAGCATTCCTGTACACCAATAAGAGAGCCAAATCATGAGTGAACTCCCATTCACAATTGCTACAAAGAGAATAAAATGCCTAGGAATCCATCTTACAAGGGATGTGAAGAACCTCTTCAAGGAGAACTACAAACCACTGCCCAAGGAAATAAGAGAGGACACAAACAAATTGAGAAACAATCCATGCTAATTGATAGGAAGAATCAATATCGTGAAAATGGCCATACTGCCCAAAGCAATTTATAGATTCAATGCTATCCCCATGAAGCTACCATGGACTTTCTTCACAGAATTTTAAAAAAACTAAATTTCATATGGAACCAAAAAAAGAGGCTGCATAGGCAAGACAATCCTAAGCAAAAAGAACAAACCTGGAGGTATCACGCTACCTGACTTCAAACTATACTACAAGGCTACAGTAACCAAAACAGCATGGTACTGGTACCAAAACAGATATATAGACCAATGGAACAGAGCAGAGGCCTCAGAAATAATACCACACATCTACAACCATTGGATCTTTGACAAACCTGACAAAAACAAGCAATGAGGAAAGGATTCCCTATTTAATAAATGGTGTTGTGAAAACTGGCTAGCCATATGCAGAAAACTGAGACTGGACCCCTTCCTTACACCTTACACAAAAATTAACTCAAGATGGATTAAAGACTTAAACATAAGACCTAAAACCACAAAAACCCTAGAAGAAAACCTAGGCAATATCACTCAGGACATAGTCATGAGCAAAGACTTCATGATAAAAACACCAAAAGCAATGGCAACAAAAGCCAAAATTGACAAATGGGATCTAATTAAACTAAAGAACTTCTGCACAGCAAAAGACACTATCATCAGAGTGAACAGGCAACCTACAGAATGGGAGAAAATTTTTGCAATCTACCCATCTGACGAAGGTCTAATATCCAGAATCTACAAGAACTAAAATTCACAAGAAACAAACAACCCCACCAAAAAGTGAGTGAAGGATATAAACAGACACTTCTCAAAAGAAGATATCTATGTAGCCAACAGACACATGAAAAAATGCTCATCGTCACTGGTCATCAGAGAAATGCAAATCAAAGCCACAATGCGATACCATCTCATGCCAGTTAGAATGGCCATCATTAAAAAGTCAGGAAACAACAGATGCTGGGGAGGATGCGGAGAAATAGGAATGCTTTTACACTGACTGTAAAGTAGTTCAACCATTGTGGAAGGCAGTGTGGTGATTCCTCAAGGATCTAGAACTAGAAATACCATTTGACCCAGCAATCCCATTACTGGGTATATACCCAAAGGATTATAAATCATTCTACTATACAGACACATGCACACACATGTTTATTACAGCACTGTTCACAATAGCAAAGACTTGGAACCAACCCAAATGTCCGTCATTGATAGACCAGATAAAGAAAATGTGACACATATTCACCATGGAATACTATGCAGCCATAAAAAACGATGAGTTCATGTCCTTCGCAGGGACATGGATGAAGCTGTAAACCATCATTCTCAGCAAACTAACACAGGAACAGAAAACCTAACACCGCATGTTCTCACTCATAAGAGGGAGTTGAACAATAAGAACACATGGACACAGGGAGGGGAATATCACACATCGGGGCCTGTCGGGAGGTAGGGGGCTAGGGGAGGGATAGCATTATGAGAAATACCTAATGTAGATGACAGGTTGATGGGTGCAGCAAACCACCATGGCATGTGTATACCTATGTAACAAAACTGTATGTTCTGCACATGGATCCCAGAACTTAAAGTATAATAATAATAATAATAATAATAATAATAATAATAATAATAAAAGGCTGGGCACAGTGGCTCATGTCTGTAATCCCAGCACTTCGGCAGGCCGAGGTGGGCAGATCACCTGAGGTCAGGAGTTCGAGGCCAGCCTGGCCAACATGGCAAAACCCCATCTCTACTAAAAATACAAAATTAGCCGGGCATGGTGCTGTGCACCTGTAATCCCAGCTACTCAGGAGGCTGAGGCAGGAGAATCGCTTGAACCCAGGAGCCGGAGGTTGCAGTGAGCCGAGATGGAGCCATTGCACTCCAGCCTGGGCAACAAGAGTGAAACTCTGTCTCAAAAAAAAAAAAAAAAAATACAAAATTAGCCAGGCGTGGTGGCACATGCCTGTAATCCCAGCTACTTGGGAGGCTGAGGCAGGAGAATTGCTTGAACCTGGGAGGCGGAGGTTGCAGTGAGCTGAGATCGTGCCATTGCACTCCAGCCTGGGAGACAAAGCCAGATTCCATCTCATAAAAAAAAAAAAAAAAAAAAAGGAGGAGGAAGAACCTTGGAGACGTTATGCTAAGAGCAAGAGGTCAGACACAAAAGAACAAATACTGTATGACTCCACTTGTATAAGATACCCAGAATAGGCAAATTCACAGAGACAGAAAATAGAAGTTACCAGGGATTAGGGGAAGAGAGGAATGGAAAGATACTGTTTAATAGGCACAGAATTTCTGTTTAGGAAGATGGAAAGTTCTGGAAATAGTGTGATAATTGCACAACATTGTAATGTACTTAATGCTGACTTGTACACTTAAAAATGGTTAAAATGGTCAATTATGTGTTGTATATATTTTGCCACATTGAAAAAATTGCAAAATAGGCCAGGTGTTGTGGCTCATACTTGTAATCCCAGCACTTTCAGAGGCCAAGGCAGGCAGATCACTTGAGGCCAGGAGTTTGAGACCAGACTGGCCAACATGGTGAAACCTTGTCTCTACTAAAAATACAAAAATTAGCTGGGCATGGTGGCACATGTCTGTAATCCCAGCTACTCAGGTGGCTGAGGCAGGAGAATCGCTTGAACCCGGGGGGCAGAGGTTGCAGTGAGCCAAGTTCGTACCACTGCCCTCCAGCCTGGGATACAGAGCAAGACCTTGTCTCAGAAAAAAAAAAAAAAAAAAAAAAAAAGAAGTTAAAAACAACAGCAAAATGAATGTTCTTTCCCTGATGACTGAGAAAGAAAAGATACACTTCCTCTCCTATACTCAACATGACATTCAGAGTTGACAATAGGAAAAAAAACTTTAAGAGGCATTATAGCATAATAGTTCAGAGGACTGGACTTTGCATTTTGACAGCCTGGGTTCAAATTCCAGCTCCACCCCTCACTTGCTGCATCACTGTGGACAACTGACAAAGCTTTCCAAGCAGGTCACCTGAAGTCATCTGTAAAATGGCAAGAAGAATAGTTTCTACCTCATGGTGTTTTCTAGGTATTAAATGGGACAAGGCTTTTGACATGTTTAGTACAGTGTCTAGTATGAGGTTTAAAAACGCACAAATAATATATAACTCTGGTTATTGCAGTGGTTGAATGTTATTGTCATTATTACCTAAAGTACTTAGGACACTTTGATTTTCTTGATTACTTATCTTGATTGCATTTCATATCATTAAGAGACAGGCTGGAGGAAATTAATCAAGGGGCATTTCCAACTCTGAAATGGGGAAATCCGATCTTTGTCCCTTTAAGAAAATACTTTCTAATTATGGAATTTATGGTGTTCCTGGCGGTTTCTGATCACTTTCAAATGCATTTGGGTGCCATCAATTTGGCCCTCTTTATTCTCATCAATTTAATTAATTTAGAGAAAACAATTCTTTAAAGGAGGGAGAACTCAGCAAAGGCTTGCTCCTGGTGACAAACCCATCTCAAACAGCAGAGGAAGCCAAAATGCTCTGGCCCAAATGTCCTCTCCTCCAGGTTCATGGCGGCTGTAAACCCCATGCTGGGTGAGCGGGCTCATTCTCCGTGGGATCCACTCCAGTATCTACACAAGGGGCTGCCATTGGCTGAATGTCAGCCCCTGGCTGAGTAATGGTGCATTTCTGATGTGCTGACTCCCTGCAAGGCCCTTTCCTTCAGCTAATTGTGCAGCAGGTTTACTCTGAAGGACTCTGAAGGCAGGCTCAGCATTTTCCTTCAGATGAATTAGCTTCTTCTTGGTCATGGCTGAGAGAGTTGACTTGCTCAGAGCTTCTGCAATGGAGTTGGGAACGCTAGAAGACCAAAGACCCTCATGCTAATCTGACCTTGCCATTAATTTCTACGACTTTGGGGAAACCTAATCTTTGTTCCAATAAAACAATACTTACTAATTATAGAATTTAACTCTCAACCTGTAATTTCCTAAAGGGTAAAAGGTCTGTTTTACTGGATGGTAGAAGTCATATATACTTGGGCATCTAGAAAAGCATAAATATATATACACAAATTTAAGTGTTGTGATTTGCCTGCTTTAGGGAGAGAACATTGATGTAATCAAAGATTCATGAGCATATTTGAGTTGTAAGGTTTCTTAGAAATTCAAACAGTTAATTTTACAAGTAGGAAAACTGAGGATCAGAAAGACTGAGTTTTCCAAAGCAGGGACAAAGCTAGGCTTAGACTCCAGCTTCACCACTTGGAGTCAGAGTTCCATAATGTGCTATGTGATGTGCCTCCTCCAATTATCTTTCATAGCTTTGTTGGCTCCCACAGTCACTCTTGCTCACATTGTTCCAAGCACATCATCCTCCTTGCTGTTACTCTACCATGCCTTAGGGCATTGTGCCAAATACTCTACTTGGGACTGTAAACAGGAACACGTGAAAAGCCAAAAGAAGCCCTCAGAAGTTAACGCACATGCGTTAGTAAAAAGGATGGAAGATGAGACTGACAAATTTTTCCAGAAGAGAGCAAAAAGACAAAGGGATGCAAAAGAAGCCCTCAGAAGCTAACGCACAAATGAATGCGTTAGTAAAAAGGTTGGAAGATGAGTAAAAGTAAAAAGGTTGGAAGATGAGACTGACAAATTTTTCCAAAAGAGAGCAAAAAGACAAAGGGATGCAAAATAAGAGAGAAGAATTTTTTTTAAAAAATAGTGAACTGACATCTGAATAACAAGAGTTTTAGAAAGAGAAAACAAGAAAAAAAAATGGAGAGGAGAAAATTATCCATTAGATAACTCAAGAAAATTCTCCAGAATTGAAGAGCGTGTGTTCCCAGGTTCAAAAGACCAGCACCATGACCAAGGTACACTGAGGCACATTGCTGTGGCATTTTCAAAATCCAGGATCAAAGAAATTTTACACATTTACCAAGAGAAAAAGCAGATTATATGCAAAGAGTCAGAATCAGAGTGGCTTTAGACTTCTCAGCAGCAATTCTAAAAGCTAGAAGACAGGGGAGTCACGTCTTCAAAATTTTGAGGAAAGCGATTTCTGTGAAAAGAAAATAAATCTTGAGACTCCAAAATCACTAAGCTAAAGGGAGAAGTCAAGCTTGGACCTGCTTAGGGCAAACCTGCTTCCCATTCTATTCAAAGTCACCCCTCTACTCACTGAGATAAATGCTTATCTGATTGTCTCCTTTGGAAAGGCTAATCAGAAACTCAAAAGAATGCAACCTTTTGTCTGTTATCTACCTATGACCTGGAAGTCCCCTCCCCACTTTGAGTCATCTTGCCTTTCTGGACCCAACCAGCTTTCAACATTTTTTTTTTTTTTGAGATGGTGTTTCGCTCTTGTTGCCCAGGCTGGAGTGCAATGGCACGATCTCGGCTCACTGCAACCTCCGCCTCCCGGATTCAAGTGATTCTCCTACCTCAGCCTCCCCAGTAGCTGGGATTACAGGCATGCACCACCCCGCTCGACTAATTTTTTTTCTTGTATTTAGTAGAGATGGGGTTTCACCATGTTAGTCAAGCTGGTCTTGAACTCCTGACCTCAGGTGATCCACCCGCCTCGGCCTCCTGAAGTGCCGGGATTACAGGCGTGCGCCACCGCGCCTGGCCCACGTTCATCTTACATATATTGATTGATGTCTCACGTCTCCCTAAAATGTACAAAAACCAGGCTGTGCCCTGGGCACCTTGGGCACCTATCATCAGGACCTACTGAGGCTGAGTTGTCATGGGCACACGTCCTTAACCTTTTTTTGCTAAAGTTTATTTTAGCAAAATAAACTTTCTAAATTGACTGGGACCTGTCTCAAATATTTGAGGTTTATATTTCCAACCTAGGATTCTATAGCCAACACCTATATGCAACATCTCCAATAATAATAATAAGTCCTTTTTCAGAAGGCTAGTAAGAGAAGTACTCAACGAAATTGAGGGGATAAACCAAGAACATAGAACATATGGTTCTTTGAGAAATAGGATCTCCACTACAGAGGATGGACAGAGGGGATTGCCCAGAATGAGTTTGCTCCCCTGGTGTAGGGAGCAGAGAGCAGGCTTGAAGCCCCAGGATCTTCATACTCCTGGAAAGTAGAATTAATAGCTTTGTGATACAGAGGGATACAATCAGAGGAGAGTTACAGAACTAGCCAAAAATTGGAGACTGAACCAGGGTTGAGATCATACAAAACGTTAAGCAAATTTTTAAAAGGCAACTATTATTAACTTCATGGAAAACAAAAAGTTGTGCAGTAAAGGAAAAAAATATCACAGAACATGATGCAACTGTGGAAGGCATTTGGCATGGTCATGACACAGGGAAATAACGAATATTAAACTATCAAAAATCATTGCAAAAGACTCAGACAGGAAGTGTGTGCGTTGTGGGTAGAGGTCGTGGAGGCAGGGAGGGAGGGGCAAGAAAGCGAAATTCTCATTTTCCTTGAGGAAAAAAAACAACAGTTAATACCTGAATATGAGAAATCAAGACATCACATTATAAACATGCCATTTAAGTATCCGAAGGTACCAAAAGAATCAGCTACAAGAGACAACAGTGGTTGCCTCCGAAGGGAGAGAAATGGAAGGAAATGAGGAGAAGCAAGTTATTGCTCTTTATAACAAGCTTTTTAGAACCTTGGCTCTTTAAAGTAGATGCATGTATAAATTTTGGTCATATGTATGTTTATGTATGTGAAGATATATAAACATATGCAAAATAATATGTGTGTATATGTATATGCATGTATGTATGTGTGTGTATGCATGTGTATATATATTCAATCAATGGGCGTACATAGTATAGGAAATTTTGGAAGTTCTCTGAGCGACACTGGACATGGTAGCCATCAGAAAAACTAAGCTTGTTGGATAATGAGACATGGTTAGCAAAGCTTGACATTTGAAGGCACAGCCTGTAACATAGACTAGGTAGATGTCGTTTAGTTCTGGATCTTTTGCCCACAAAGCCTTGGTATGCAAAAACCTGCAAGGCACAGCTAAGATGTTAGGGCATGGTATAAATACCCTAGATACTTTAGAGGAGTCTTATGGGTAGAGGTAGTTTGGGCTCCCTCCTCTAAACATCGCTTGTTGTTAAATGTGTATCAAACACTCTGGAGCATGAAAACACAGGTAAACTGAGTCCTAATTGGTACATTTGCCGTCTTGTAATTTTGCTTTCCTTATGAAGGTGTTAACTGGGGAGAGTTGTGAGGCTTCTTAACCAAAGCACTTTAAAAAAAAAAAAAAGAAAGAAAAAAGATGGAAAAACAAAACCCATTATAAAATAGTAATGGTCGTCTTGTTAGGTAGCAGAATCATCAAAGTGTATATTCTTCCTTATTTCCTATAGATGTGTTTTTAAATTGGGGCACACTTTTAAAAAAAATCCTAATATGCTTACTTTATTTTATTTCTGACTAATTCTTTTCTTACTGAAACTAACATATTATTTCAGATAACTCTACGTTCTATCTTCTGTATACATAATCCATACCCTGTGTACAACATGGTTGCCAGGGAGACCTGTCTTTAAATTGATCAGCAAACAAGTTTTAGAGGGTTGGCTTTAAAACACAAACTTACAAAGTGACTCCAAAGCCTCAGTTTAAGAGAAAATGTTCCAAGAAGTCTCACTTCGAGAAACACTTATTCTGCAACACCCAGATAAATGTTAGATAACGGACGACATTTCAGGACTTCTCGAACGTTGCCACAGAATCCCCCTCCCTGGCCGCCATCTTGTAGGACTGTGGGAGTCCTCAGCAGTCACTCAGAAACTACATTCTTTCTTCATATTCAGCACCACAGCAATGAAATTAACGGGTTGAGCATTTTCTCCTTAATAAGTGCTGCAGATATAAATGTCTCAGCCATTTGTCTTTCAGTGGGGGTTAAAAAAACAACAAAACAAACACTCCTACTATAGCATTGCATTCTCCCGTTTTGGTTAACATTATCATTTAAATTGCATCTCCCCATGTTTCTAGATTAAGGAAGAGGGGCTGTTAGAATAGGTTACACTTTGCTTTTTCATTCAGGAGACTGTTTAGAGCCTCAAATCAATTCCAACTGACTTTCTAAAATGCGTTGGGGGAAAAATACATTGTGATAAATAGTATTTGCAATGAAAATACCAAGAAGGAAAAAGAGACGTTTCTGTTCGCTTCAGCAAGAAGCCATTCAATTTGTGGACTATGCCTGTCCCTTGTTTTATTTTCCTTCCACTGGAAGGAATTTTAACCATTTCACTGCTATTAACCCATTCCAAAGTGGGCATGGGAAAATGCTGTATGTCAGAGGCTTGCTGTCTTATCAAAAAATCTGGCTCCTCAGGCTGTGTAACTTGGGGCAAGTCACCGAATGTCTTTCCACATCTCTATTTCCTCAACCGTAAAATGCATGTAATAATGAGACTTACTTTAGGTAGTTAAGAGCAGGACTTTTCAAACTCTTATAATCTGCAATAAGATACACACTTCACATTGAAACCCAGTACTCACACGCACACAAATACATACACACCTATATCCATATGCATATATGGTTTTACATACACGCACATCTGAAATTAAAATTTCACCAAATAGGAGTTATCCATATTAGAGGTGATGCATTCACATAGTTTTTATTCTTTTTCTTTTCTTTTGAGACAGAGCCTCACTTTGTCACCCAGGCTGGAGTGCAGTGGGGCAATCTCGGCTCACTGCAGGCTCGCCTCCTAGGTTCAAGGGATTCCCCTGCCTCAGCCTCCTGAGTAGCTGGGATTACAAGCATATGCCACCATGGCTGGCTAATTTTTTAGTAATTTTAGTAGAGACAGGGTTTCACCATATTGGCCAGGCTGGTCTCAAACTCCTGACCTCAAGTGATCCACCTGCCTTAGCCTCCCAAAGTGCTGGGATTGCAGGTGTGAGCCACCATGCCCAGCCACATAGTTTTTATTCTATTTCATGTTTTTAAAAAATGAGTTTTGCAACCATCTACATTGATTCTGTGACTAAATAAATCACAATATGAAGTCTGAGAAACACTGATTTAAAGTAGGCGTTAGCAAACTATGGCCAACAGCCGAAATCTGGCCAAATGACTGTTATTGTAAATAAAGTTTTATTGGAACAAGTCATACTTAGTTATTTGCCTATAGTCTATGACTGCTTTCTTAATACAATCAAACTTGGGCAGTTTCAACAAAGACCGGTCCCCAGAACTACAATATTATCTAGCCCTTTAAGAAAATGTTTGCCAACTGTGGTGTAGAGGATTCAATGTTATGTGTCCAATGTAAAGTCTTTAACACAATGCCTGGGGTATCAAGAGGCTTTAATAAATACCTTGTCTAGTATTATTGTAGGTGGTGTTATTGCTACTACTACTCTAGCTAAAGCTAAGTAGCTGTGGGAGGAGTTTTCTCATCAAACAAAGATGACAAACAGGATTAGCTCAAAAAATATAAAGCAGATAGAGGATAGTTAGAAAGAATGTATAAGACCTACTATGTGAGCACAAAGGGGTGACAATAGACAATAACTTAATTTTACATTTGAAAATAACTAAAAGAGTATAATTGGGTTGTTTGTAACACAAAGGATAAATGCTTGAGAGGATGGATACCCCATTCTCCATGATTTGATTATTTCACATTGCATGTCTGTATCAAAACATCCCATGTACCCCATAAATGTATACACCTACTATGTACCCACAAAACTTAAAAATAAAGAAAAGAATCAGATAGAGGGATAACAGAAACATTCAACCTCTTTTTTCCCAAGTTTGAGATAGGTGTATCAGACCAGCCAATTCCCCAAATTGGCATTATCAGCCTCCTCACTGCCAGGCAAACCAGCTGAAAAAGAGAGGTTAGAGCACACTGAAGCTTTTAAACCCTTTCTGATCCCTCCTCTGAAGGTGCCCTGTTCTTCTTCCTGTAGTCATTAGAAAATAAATCTCTGATAAGCAAAGTAAATTAGATGGAGTGACATTCTGCTAATTGAGTCATCTCCTCTGCTTGACTGGGCTGGGCTGTTAATTACCAACTAATCTTATCAATATAAGATATTCTAACTGGCAGATCAAGGCTCCTGGAGAGAGGGTCAGGGGCCCCAGTTTGCCCCCAAAGTCTCTCATTGGTCAAAGTGGATATCAAACCTTCCGATCCTACCCGAAACGGTCTGAATGCTGAGGCAAGAGAGTTTAGAAGAAGGACAAGACTGTCGCTCAAGAATCATGTAGGGGAAGCAGAGGGAAATGGCAAACCTCCAAATAAATGTTAAGGCAAAGTAAGAAAGGGCCAAGATTACAGATCGTGAATTATTAAAGCTGCATTCTGACCTCTCTACATCTCGATCAAATTTTCTTTCAATGAAGCACAGGGGCTTACAGAGAGATAAAAAGACTTTAAAATATAAATTAAGTCCTATTTATTTCATCACCCTGAGCCAAGAATGCTGGGTTCTGTCTGAATGTGTTGCCCAGAAAGACTGAATAGGTTGGCTTTCAGCTAGATGAATGTCTGTGATTTGCTGACATCTGGCAGAGGGGGTCCTGGAGCCATTCAAATCAAAGCCCCCCCACCCCCACCAACCCAGAAAACATTAGGTTCTGTGTGGGAATCTCTGCCCCCACTTCTTTTCAGAATTACCCTGATAACCATTTGTTAATCTTCCAAAGAGCCTAAATCAGTGTGTGGAAAATTAGAGGGTTGGAGTTTTTGCTTCATTTGCCGACAGCCTTCTCAAAGGCTCCTACACACCAATTTTATGACAGGTCCCAGTTGTAAGAATTTCAGTTGTAAAGGAGGATGAGCCCATCAGATTGGCAAAAGGTAAATTAATGGATAGTACCCAGTATTGGCAAGGGTACAGGCAAACAGGGAGTCTCAATGGCTGTTGGTGGGAATGGAAATTGAAAGAGCCTCTCTTCTGGAGGGTTTTGGAGGGTGGGATGAGGGGTTTGTGATATTAAGATCTAAAATGCACATAACTTTTGATTCAGCAATCCTACTTCTAGGATACTAGTAATAACAGCAAATTCTTTTTTAGTATTCCACAATTTATCAATTTTTACACTTGATAGACATTTGGGCTATTTCTGGGTTTTCACTGTTACCATAGTTTCGCCTTTTCCAATATGTCATATAGTTAGAATCATCCCATATGCAGCCTTTTCAGATTGGCTTCTTTCTCTTAGTAATAAGCATTTAAGGTTCCTCCGTATCTTCTCATGGCTCAATGGCTCATTTCTTTTTAAAGCTGAATAATACTCCACTGTCTGGAGGCTTCACAGTTTACCAAACTAAAAGGCATCTTGGCTGCTTCCAAGTTTTGGCAATTACCGATAAAGCTGCTTTAGACATTTATGTGCAGGTTTTTGTGTGGCCCATTTACTTTTTAAAGTAGTGTGTTTTGTGTACATACACATGTGTGTTTAAATCTCAAAAAGATCACACTATGAGCTGTTTGACCTCTGGAGAAAAAAACTGGAATCTAGTACAAAAGGAATGTGAAGAATAACTTACTTTTTATTCTTTATAGCTGTGTGTCATTTTAATGTTTTTATGTTGAACATATATTCATGAAATTATTTAAATAATTAAAGAGTTAAAAACTGGAAAGCCTAAGATAAAATAAAAATAAAAAACATATCATGCAAAGTCCATAGGGTAAGCCATATATATATATATATATATATATTTTTTTTTTTTTTTTTTTTTTTTTTTTGAGATAGACTCTCACTCTGTCACCCAGTCTGGAGTGCAGTGGCACGATCTTGGCTCACTACAACCTCCACCCCCCTGGTTCAAACAATTCTCCTGCCTCAGCCTCCTGAGTAGCTGGGATTACAGATGCCTGCCACCATTGCCCCACTAATTTTTGTATTTTTAGTAGAGACAGGGTTTCACCATATTGGCCAGGCTGGTCTCGAACTCCTGACCTCAGGTGATCCGCCAGCCTCTGCCTCCCAAAGTGCTGGGATTACAGGTGTAAGCCATGCACCCAGCCCAATCCTCATTTTTCTTTGTATTGGTGAACTGGCCTACATACTAAAATTTATCTGTAACCCCAAAATCAACGTTTCTGGCATTTTCACAGTTATTCACAGACATGCATATGTGCAGAGCACAAAAAGTTGAGTCATTTAAGATGCACTTCTAAGCCTGTCAAACAAGGCAACACCCTGACTACTTGTTTTAGCTCGCACACAGTGAACAATCATCCTTTTTTTTTTTTTTTTTTTT
The DNA here is from genome assembly GCF_000001405.40 of Homo sapiens. Lineage (NCBI taxonomy): Eukaryota > Metazoa > Chordata > Mammalia > Primates > Hominidae > Homo > Homo sapiens. The sequence goes on along the minus strand of NT_187607.1, from coordinate 2,596,998 downwards.
AGACAGAGTTTCACTCTTGTCACCCAGGCTGGAGTGCAGTGGCATGACCTCAGCTCAGTGCAACCTCTGCCTCCCGGGTTCAAGCGATTCTCCTGCCTCAGCCTCCAGAGTAGCTGGGATTACAGGTGGCCGCCACCACGCCCAGCTAATTTTTGTATTTTTCATAGAGACGGGGTTTCACCATGTTGGCCAGGTTGGTCTCGAACTCCTGACCTCAGGTGATCTACCCACCTCAGCATCCCAAAGTGCTGGGATTACAGGCGTGAGCCACCGCGCCTGGCCACAAGTGTTCTTTTTATGGGGTCTAGTTAGTGACGCATTTTTGTGCTTTCTTTCTCTTTTTGGTACCTTCAGTGTTTAAAGTGACACTCTCCTCCAACCCCCCAAGCATAGAGTGGAAGTGCTCTTTAGTGTCCCTTAATGCAAAAAGGCTATGAGATGCCTTTCAGAGAAAATATGTATGTTAGATAAGCTTTGTTCAGGTGTGAATTATATTGCTGTTGGCTCTGAGTTCAATGTTTATGAATCAAAAACATGTATATATTAAGTAAGTTGTCTCTAAACAGAAACACACATAAAATGAGGTTATGTATTGATTGGCTGAAAAAATGTTTCAACCAGAGGCTCCCAGGAACCTAACCTTGTATTTCCTCTAAGAGCTGTATTTTGGTATTTGCTATTTCAGTGTTCGTTGTGGCTTTATGGAACATAACTACCATGAATAATAAAAATGGGGCCGGGTGCGGTGGCTCACGCCTGTAATCCCAGCACTTTGGGAGGCCAAGGCGGGCGGATCACAAGGTCAGGAGATCGAGACCATCCTGGCTAACCCGGTGAAAACCCGTCTCTACTAAAAATACAAAAAATTAGCCAGGCGCGGTGGTGGAGGCCTGTAGTCCCAGCTACTCGGGAGGCTGAGGCGGGAGAATGGTGTGAACCCGGGAGGCGGAGCTTGTGGTGTGCCAAGATCGCGCCACTGCATTCTGGGCAACAGAGCGAGACTCCATCTCAAAAAATAAAAATAAAAAAAAAATAAAAAATAAAAACGGACTGAGCTTTGCCAAATTGGTGGGCAGTAAACTTGTACACAAATCCTGGCAATGGTTGTAACAATCATTATAATCACATAAACCAGGGATCAGCAAACCACGACTTCTGGGCCACTTCTTTTTTTTGTCAATAAAGTTTTATTGAAACATACACACGCCTGTGGCTGCTTTCATCCTAAAACCGCAGATTTGAGTAGCTGCAACAGGAACCATATGGGCCTCAAAACTTAAAATATTTCTATCTGGCCCTTTTTAGAAAAACGTTGCCAGTCCCCGAATTATAAACACTCACCATTTACCTAGCATTTATTATGCCAGGTGCAATGCAGGCTACTATGCATGTTGCTACTCTGTGTAATAACTACCTCTAAGTATGTGTCAAGCACTCATATATGATGTTGTATTTAGTCCTCATTTCTGCAACCCTGAAAGGCGGCTATTCCATCCCCATTTTACACTTGAGGAAACTGAGGCTCAGAAAGGTGACAGTCACCTGCTCACATTCACACGAACTAGAGAACTGGAGCCAAGTCTGGCTTGTTCCAAAGCCCACACGCTTGCCCTATGGAAGAAACACAGAAAAGACAGGTGCATGTAATCAAATAACATTTTTTAAGTGAAAGGCTATGACCTTACGTCTTAGAGATTGAAATAGAGCCTGAATGGGACAAGGAGAGAGAGAAAAAGAAAGACCAGGGCTTAATGTGTACAGTGATAAACCCTCTCACCCCATGGAAAAATGGGCACCAACAAAGAAGTGAGGGAGTTCAGTGCTCACACAAAGGAGTGTCCATTTCAGCTAGAGGAAGATCAGACACTGCCCAGGCTCCACCCAGAGCCCCTCATCACTTTCTCTCATCATGCAGTTGGCCAGTTTCTGACTGTCAGCATGCAGACCCTCCCACCAAGGGCTTTCCAACTGTTTAGCCTATACACGCAGGGGGCGCTGATGCCTCTGTAGCAGCCTCCAGCCAAGGATACCAGGGATTGGAACATCAGTACCCCAGCTTTCTCATCCTTCTGGTGGCAAGACCCTGAAGCATGTCTCCAAGTGGCTCCTAGAGGTTCCCAGTGAGACCAAGACCTGGTTATCCACAGGAGTAACCAGCTCAACAACACACCCTGTCCTGGCTGCTATACTTCCTTGCTTCACCCTCCCTGCCTCACACCCTTACTGGTGCTTCCTGGGATCCCTTCCCACATAAAATACTTGTACATAAATCCTTGTCTCAGGTTCTGCTTCTGGGGAAGCAGCCTCTAATCCATCAGCTATCAGTCATGGGTGGCAATGTAATATATGGAGGTATTTATTACATTTCTGTTCACATTCTAATGAACAAGTTGGCCTCGTTAAGACAAATGTAGAACATTACTTTAATCTCTCCTTTCATCCTTCTTTAAGCCTCTTGTCATGTTCAGTTCACATACTGCCATATACAACAATGTGAAGAGGGTAGCAGAGTAGAAAATGGAAAGAATCCACATCCAATCTGGATCTACTAACCACCAGATTTCTCGTTCTTTATCCAGTGTTAGTTGAGTCTTTTACTTGCCACCAAATGTACCCCTACTGACACCAGCTTTAAGATGCTTTATAAAATCAACAGACAATGCCTCAGTGGTATTTCTGCCAAAAATGCATAACTTGCATACAGGATGAAGAAACAGCAGAAAAATCCAAATTCAGAATAATTTAACAAAGTAACTGGCTTGTGCTCTTCAAAAATGCCAAGGCCAAGAAACACAAAGAAAGAATGAAGAACTGTTTCAGAGTAATGGAAATTAAAAAGACAAAACACATAAGTAGCATTTGTGATCCTAGATTGGATCCTGGGCTGGATTAAAAAAAAGAACTTGACATTTGATGAAGTTTGAAAATACACTATGGAATAGATAATAGTAATATATCAATGTTACATTTCCTGACTTTGAAAGCTGAACTGTGGTTATGTAAAAGGATGACCTTGTTCTTAGGAAATACACACTCAAGTATCCAGAAATACATATACAAAGGCACTCTCAAATACTTCAGAAATACACAGAGAGAGGGAGGGAGGGCTAGGAACTGATAGAGTCAATGGAGCAACATAAACCATGGTTGAATCTGGATAAAGGCTATAATCAAAGTTCTTTATATTATTCTTAAAACTGTTCTGTAAATTTGAAATTATATCAAAATTTAAAGTCACCAAAATATAAGGCACCATAAGCATTTATATTTGTTAGGTAAAACCTCACCTTACTTCTGCTCTTTCTCCCTCGCTTCGACTACCAGCAGGAAGGTAGAAAAGAGCAAAACAGAAAAACCAGATTGAGGGGATAGAGGGAACATGGATTGAGGAGAAACTGTTAGGTGAGAAAATGCCACTGTTTTTCCTTGGTCTTACAGTCGTCTCCCCAAAAATGATGTGATTTTGAAGGAGTCACTCCAGAGAGTTCAAATATTATCAAATTAAAAAAATAATTAGTTGAGTGTATATCTGATGTTGAGTCCTGTTGTAACTGCTTCATGTATATTAACGCATTTAATTTAATTTTAACCCATTTCATCAATCAACATATAATTCTTAGTTGTTGCAGATATTTTTAAATGTAATTAAGCTAATCATTTAATGTATATTAATAGATATCAATCTATTAGTGACATGTAATCATTTATTATGCATTAATAAAAGTTAATGTCTTAGACCTCATAATATTTAATCGTTTAATTCCCAAAAGTGAAGCCTCAGGGTTTGGTTTGCTTGTTGTTGTTAAGTTTTGTGAAAGCCAATAGTTGATGAAAATAAAAACTAACATTTAATGAATGCTTAGCATGTGCCAGGACTAATTCCAAGCATTTGGCATGCACTTTCTCGTGATTAGATTAATGCTTCCAGCAACCCTGGAAATCAGTACCATCATTAGCCCCCATTTCACACTTGAAGAGGTGGAGAAATTTGTTCAAGTTCACGGAGAAGCTATGCAACAGAAATGGATTCAAATACAGGCTGCTGTGCTTTAGAACCAGCAAAGGGTTGATATTGAAAATGTCATTCAACGATGAAAGGGACGAGTGGGTTGAGGGTTAATCAGAGCAGGTGTGGTTGACTGCAGGACCCAGCTCTCATTTTGTACCCTTTTTTTGTGCCTTCGGTAAGCAATACTACGTACCCAAAAAGAACCCAAAAAATTTCCAAGAGAGCAAAACAACTGCCTTTTCCTCAAAATCCACCACAAATCACAAAGTAATTCCCATGGGACTAACACAGGGTCGCTGCCAGCAGGTCATTTTAAGAAATGAAGAACCAAAAGACAAGAATAGAATGAGAACAGGTAAAAGTAGACCTCATTCTTCTAAGCTTCATTCTGGAATCTTCTCCAGTTCAGAATCCCAAATTATGAGCCCACACGCCTGAGTGTCAGCAACTCCAAAGAGCAGCTTATTTAAATTCTCTCGTACTTGGCTTGTTACTCTCGTGTTATGTGTATTTAAACCAGCTTCAAAAAACACCTTAATCTTTATGATTCGTAGGAACTTCCCAGGGCTTGCAGCAAGCGGCATCAAACATCCTATCTGCTGAACGAGCGTCTACGTTGGTGGAGTCTTAGCAAACCCCACGGGTTCCCAAGGCCTTTGGATAAAATGTGGCTAAAGATTAAAGCATAGGTTTGTGACCAACGTCTTTCACAAAAGGACCTCAAAAACACTGTAGTGATGCTGAAAAAGCGCAGTGCACATGTTTAGAATGGATATTTCATTTCAAGGTAGCGTTTTGTTTTCTTTCCATTCTGCTGGAATTTGTTTTTATTATGTATCCTTTGGCTTCACACTTGCAAAGGAGTTTCTTATCTCATCCTATGTCATACTTTTCCCCCTCCCTCTCCACTGCTCTCTCTTCTCCCTCTCCCTCTGTTACCTCCCCTGACTCTACTGCCATTTTTTTTGTAAAGAACTATTGAACCTCAAAGAGATTTCCATCCCAGGAAACTTTCCACTCTTTCTGATGTTGAAGATAAAATGAACTGCATGTGATAAGCGCTAACAGTCAAAAACGAACATAAATACCCAAGAAGTGAAAAAGGGATTTTCCATTTCTATGAGTTTCCAGCTTCCTTGATGTGCTTTGTGGGCCTGGCTTATACCACCTTGGCCTAGATTCTTGCAGCAGCAGCCCAAATAGCAGGACTAAGATTTGGATGACGCAATTGGCAACTGGAGCACAAAGTTGAAGGAGAGGGTTACTCTCAGGGCCGTGCAAGTGCAGTGCCCTAGGAACCTCACTTGTCTCACCCTAGTCCCAGCCCTGCCACACACTCCCCCTACCTCCATCCTTAGCACCTTCTCTTCTCTCTCTCCTCAATAGCCAGAGTGAGCACTTTAGAGGATAAATCTGATCTTATCACTCCCTGGGCAAAGCCCTCTGATAACTCACCAGTGCCCTTAGGATGAAAGCTGCACTCCCTGGCAGCCTGGTAGATCTAACTCTTGCTCAACTCACCCCTTCCTGTACCACTGCCCTCATCCACTGCCACCACCACAGTTCTGAACACCTCCCAGCTCCTGAAGCTCTGTCCAATTCGGGTTTCATAACCACCGCCTCCTCTTTCTCGAACAGTCCCCCTCCTGTTTTAAAGCTAATTCCAACTATTTTTCAGACCTCCCAGGGGAAGACTCAGCACAGTAGATTAGGAGAGGGATTGAATTACAGCTACAGCTCAACTTTGAGTCCATCTCTGCCACTTACTGTCCTGACCTTGAGTGAGTTACCTTACATCTCTGGGCTTCAGTTTCCCCATATGAATATGGGTGGTGAGAGGTTTGCTTTAGGAATTGAAAATTGGTATGAGGATTTTAAAAGGTGAGTCATGTAATATTGTAAGATCTGTGCTTGACACATGGCTAGCACTGTATGTATTAGATATTCTGATGCCATCTCCATCAGTGTTTTCTGTAAGCCCCTAGGTACCCTTCTTCAGCACCTCTGTAGCATCCGCTCTTAATTGACATATGCAATTAAGCATATGATCAATTGCTAATATGATCTTCTGCTCAAGTGTGTCTTCCCCTCTGGACTACAAATCTAAAGGCTGGGACTGGGTCTTTCTGTTGACTGCTATCCTGCAACCATACTGCCTAGCATAGAGTAGGTGCTCAATAAATAGTGTTGAATGCATGTGCTAATAATACAAGGGACACAGCCACAGGAACAATACTCAACCTGGCTCCAAGACAAGCAACTAAAGATTTAGAAGAACCCACAATTGCTCTGCAAGCAGAGTTCACTGCTGGATTTAGAAACCTCACCAAATATTAATTCAGCTCAATGTGAACTGATTACATGTCAGGTATTATGCAATGCAATGGAAAAGATAATGATGAATAAATTCGAGTTCTTGCCCTTTTGAGTGAGGTCAAAGAAAGGTTAGGAAGATGACTGAAACTCTTAGTTGCCATCTTTTCCTGCTGAAAGGAAAGGCCTTGCTGGCCTCCAATGCACAGGTTCAAGAGTACAATGTCTTAAATCAGACATACCTGGGCTCAAATCCCACAGCTGCATCACTTGCAAAGCATGTGGCCTCAAGCAAGTTACCTAACTTCCCTGAGCTTCAGGACTGTCATCTAAGAAAGGCAAATGAAAATGGTACTGATCTCAAAGGTTGTTTGTGCAGAGGAAGTGAGAAGAACCACATGTCACCTAGGCACAAAGTCTGGCAAATAGAAAATATGCACCAAATTTTCATTGTTACTATTATTGTCATTTTCAGCCCCACTATTGGACTAGTTTCATGGACCTTATTTTTTCCTAATCTTTTCTATGAGTTTTCTCACTGCTTCAACTTAAAGTTGGAAAAATACACATTTGAGACTTAGCCACTTGGCAGCATGAGGCAAAGCTAATTTTCGTAACTAGAAGAGTGTTGGAACACTTTTATTTCAAACCAATTCCAACATGGCAGAAATCCAGGCCAGGTCCAGGCTATTGTTATTTTCCTTTAGCTGTTTTTGGATGGATTCTAAGACTCCACATCTTAGAATGACCTGTGGCTCATGGCCCTGTGATAGCCCCATGGAAATGACTTTGCTGTTTTTGGTGGATTTTGAGGAAGTTCAAACAGTTGTTTTGCTCTCTCAGAAAGCGTTTTCTTCCTTCTGGGTATGTAGTATTACTTACCTAAGGCACAAAAAAGGGTACAAAAAAAGAATAATATATACGACTCATCTCCTATGCCACCTCTCATTGATTGTTGGTGGGTACCTAAAGCATTGTCTTAAAAATTCTAATGCAGCTTTAGGGTTCAGTGGGAAAGAGTATATTGATTAGTAATGTCTGCCCTGGGCGTGCAGTGGGTGAGTACCATAACAGAACATTCCCAGATTAAAAGCACTTTTTCCTGAGGCCTGAAAGACTATATTTCCTCTCCATATTCCCTATGCTATTTATTTCTCTCTATTTTACCTTACTGTCAGATTCCACTGCAGTATGGTATTTCAGAAATAACGTTGTTATTGGTTCAAATTGATTTATGTCCATTTGAGATGCAGAATACTTCCAGGATGATTCACAGAAGAAGAAAACCCTCTGGGTACAATTTCAATAGGAGTCATACATTTACAGTGACATCAGTAGGCACCTCTCCCATTCAGAGCATCCCTTTTCAAAATTAAGGTACTTAAAGCAAAGAAATTTCTAATTAGAGTAAAAGTAATAATAACAGCTAAATCTGTTGCACAAGTACTATGTGCCAGACATTGTGTTGTCCCAATAACTCTTTCACCTTTAAGAATGATATATTCTACTGGGTGTGGTGGCTTACGCCTATAATCCCAGCACTTTGAGAGGTTGAAGAGTGTGGATAGCTTGAGCCCAAGATTTTGAGATCAGCCTGGGCGACATAGCAAAACCCCATAACTACAAAAAATACCAAAAAAAAAAAAAATTAGCCAGGCATGGTGGTGTACACCTGTAGTCCCAGCTACTAAGGAGGCTGAGGTGAGAGTATTGCTTCAGCTCAGGAGGTTAAGACTGCAGTGAGCTATGTTGTGCCGTTGCATTCCAGCCTGGGCAACAACAGAGTGAGACCCTGTCTCAAAAAAAAAAAAAAAAAAAGGTGATATATTTCAATGTTAAAATCTTGATAAATGTTCAGTCTACATTATGCTTATGTGAGAACTATCTATCACTTGTATGTATCTTTGAAATGTTCTTAAATAGAAACGTTTAAAGACACAAGGCCAGATTTAACTTATCTGTGAGAGTCTAGTCCTCGATAGTCTTAAAAATCTCCCCCATTTGTGGGGATGAGAACCATTGTGCCAAGCACTCAGCATATTTTGTTTCACTTTGTCCTCACAACTACATGATATGTGCATTATTGTCCATCCACATTTTACTGATGAAATTGATGTGAAATGACTAGCCCCAAATCCCACAGCTGGTAAGTGGCTGAGCCATAGTTCAACTCAGACAGTACTGAACCCTGAGCCTGGGCTCTTAACCTCCTGTGCTAAGTTAAGTATAACATTTATTTTAAAATGTGGTAAGATACACATGACATAAAATGTACCATTTTAACCATTTTTAGTATACAGTTCAGGGGCATTAAATACTTTTGCATAGTTGTACAACCATCACAGCCATCCATCTCCAGAACATTTTTATCATCCTCAGCTATAACTGTATGCTTATTAATCAATCATTCCCATACCTCCCTCTCCCTAGGCCCCAGAAACCACCATTCTACTTTCTATCTATGTGGATTTGACTGTAATAGGTACCTCACATAAGTGGAATCACACACAATTTATCATTTTATGTCTGGCTTATTTCACTTAGCATAATGTCCTCAAGGTTCATCCATGCTGTGGCACATGTCAGAATTTCCTCCCTTTTTAAAGTTGAATAATAAATATAATTTTTCCAAGTTTCATGACATGAGGATGTGGCAATAAATAAAACATGATTTCTGCTATTAGCCAATGATATCACAGCCTGCTAGAGTAGACAGACAACAATATGTTAAGGGCCCCAGACAAGGCACAAACACACCTCTGTGGAAGCTTCTGGTAGAAGAGGTCACAAGGTCGCGTCATGTTATCCATGATTATCCATGTGAACCCAGACCCCTAACTGTCTGGGTAAAAATCCCACTCCACCACCTTTTTGCTGTGATCTACTGGGCAACTTATTTTTCTCTTCTGAGGCTCAGCTTCTCCTGTAAAATGGGAGTAAAAGAATAGCTAGCCCTAAGTTATAATCAGGCCTTAAGTGAATTCATTTATGGAAAGCACTTAGAACAGACACATTGTAAGTGGTCAATAAATAATATTAATTAAAGTAATAACTTCTTTCTGGAGCAGTCTATTGGAAATATACTTCAATTTTGGAGGATAAAGAGGATTTCTGTAAAGCAAGGTTGCCAGACCAAATACAGAATGCCTAGTTCAATTTGAATTTCAGATAAACAATGTATGATTTTTTAGTACAAGTATGTCCCAAATATTAGATACTACTAGCCGAATACTAATAAAAGGCAAGGTTCTGGGTGACTATGCATTTGATACCTTAGAACATTTTAGTCAAATTAGTAAGTATAATAAGATTCGCTAGCTGCTCTCAGCTGAGCTGGAGAAAGTGGGGAAAGAAAAGAATAAGCTCAGAGTTTCAAATTCTCAGCTCAAAATACTGCATAAATTACTTGAAAGCTTCTGTGTCTGCCCCGGCGGGGGCAGGGGGGGGAGGAACAAACCCTTATCTCTTGTATCTCCTGCAAGGCTGAGATTGCTGAAAAGTGACCCAGAGTCTCATCTTGAGAATAGCAGAACTACAATGGAAATTGAATTCACAGCCTCACAGGGTATTTGCTGTTAAAGTGAGGGTTTGGATTAGGAGAGAATGAGATCCTGAAATTTTGAATGGGGTCGTATGGGCAGATCCCAATGAAGCTGGGTACACTGAACCCATAAATTGTGCCAAGTCTTTTTGCCAGTAGAAACAGCCCTTCATCCTCCTTTCCTCCTGTATCAGTTCATTCTCAACTGCTATAAAGAACTGCCCAAGACTGGGTAATTTATAAAGAAAAGAGGTTTAATTGACTCACAGTTCTGCATGGCTAGGGAAGCCTCAGGAAACTTACAATCATGGCGGAAGGGGAAGAGACACATCTTACATGGTGGCAGGTGGGAGAGAGTGAGTGAGTGTGTGAAGGAGGAACAGTCAGACACTTATAAAACCATCAGATCTCATGAGAACTCACTCACTGTCATAAGAACAGCATGGGGGACACTGACCCCATGATCCAATCATCTCCCACCAGGTCTCTCCCTCAACACATGGGGATTACAATTCAAGATGAGGTTTGGGTGGGGACACAAAGCCTAAGCATATCGCCTCCCTGCAGTTTGAGGTTAACACTGTTTTGCTTGCAGCATCTGTAATGGCCACCTCTGAGGTAGTTATCTTTTGAGACAGTGCTGATTCTTCTTCGGAACCCACTCCCACCACCCCTCTTTGCTTCTGGACCTATAACTAGTCTCAAGTCCCAGCAGGCCCCAAAGTTTGAAGTACAAAGAATGACCTATGGTTGGCGGCAGGGTGCTACACTCCAAAAGAAATGCATGACTTTTCCAATGTATACGGACATAAATCTAGGGAATATATGTGGGAATGGATATCAAGGGTGTGGGATAATAGTGGAAGGAACATAAAGTTGGATTGGGCTGAATTTACTGATATGGGCCCACTAAGCAGAAATTCTGGATCTCATGTTGCAGCTCCTTGAGTTAAGAGTTTTAACAGTGTGGCTGTTTGGTTGGCTGAAACATGGAGCAAAAGGGGTCCTGCACTAAATGAAGTTGAAATACCAGAACTGCATTGTTATTCTGTAAAGGAAGGTAGAAGAAGGTGCCCAAAGGCTTAGAGAGATTGGAATTGGAATGTTAGAGTGAATTTGTCATGTAAAGCCTGCTCATTCACCCTGGTAGTTTCACTACAACTGTGAGAAATAAATTTGTCAGGGGAGCCCAGCATCTTTGAAGAGTTCTGGGGTCATTTTTATCTGAATGTCAGAAATTACAATGAGAAATGCTGCTACTAAGCTGGGATTCTAAATGCAATGGGAATAATTGGATCCTGGAGCAGGGGACAAATGACAGCACTTAATCACCAAAGGCAACGTGGGTGTGGTTACAGTCACGGACAGGGGGTCAAAACAGGAATCATGAGTCTGAGTCACAGAGATCACAGCATTGGCTGGTTGATCATGCAGCAGCTAAAAAAGAAATAGAGGGGCAATCTACTAAATTCGTATGTGATCTGTATATACAGAAGAGTTCTAGGCTGAGTGAACAGAAGTCTAACTGGAATCACCAAAACAGAGTCCTTGCCCTTCGATTAATTCCTAAACTTGAGTCAGTTTACAGAACCAGAATCCTTTGAATGAAAGGGAGGCTGAGTCCCCTTGAGGAAGGACCATGCTATACTGCCCAAAGTGTATATTGCTAATCTTTCTTCAGCCTTCCCCAAAGGGACCAAGGGGTTCTTATCAGGGTGACTATGCATTAGGAAAAAGGAAATAATCAGAACTTTGAGTGATTACTGGACACTGGCTCTGAATTGACACCAATTCCTGGGAACCCCAAACATCACTGTGGTCCACTAGTCAGAGGAAGAGCTTATGGAGGTCAGTCAAGCAATGGCGTTTTAGCTCAGATCCATCTCACAGTGAGTACAGTGGGTCCCCAAATCCATCCTGTGGTTAGTTCCCTGGTTCCAGGAGGCATCTTAGAACAGACACATTTAACAAGTGGCAGAATCTCTTAAAAATTATTTGTTATTTATATGAAATTCAAATTGAACTGGGCACTCTGTGTTTTGTGCTGTTGTTGTTTTTGCTAAATCTGGCAATCCTACTTCAAGGAAACACCAAGTGGAAAAACCACCATGTGAGCAACAGCTTAGAGGACAGGAGAGTGAGGGTTTATTAAGAAGACTGTGAGTATCCTGAGTTGGATGGTAAAATCCAAGGGCCAGAGGACATGAAATTCAGTGAGCTGAGGGACTTTGCAAGACTCTGGAAATTTTCCTTTTTTAAAAGAGCCAGTTTGTCCCTAGCCAAAACAACCACCCAAAACAAAACAAAAGCTTTTCAGTCCTTCCTCAGCTGATTAATTTGTAGGACATTATTTTTATGAGGTTTGTAATTATAAAACAAATTGTCTGGAAGTGATGACTTAAACTGCCCATTGGCAGAATGGTATATTCACATGAAAGAAGTGTAATTTTTCTTTGAGCTGAGGCAATAGCCTCTCCCTTTATGAATGTGCTGCTTGGACTATGTGCCTGAGGGCAGGAAGAGTTTAAAATGCTTAAAGTAGTCTGAAATTGGTTGTTAAAGAGCTCATTGAAAATGTGTGAAAGGGTTTGGCTTTCCCTAAGGCCCCAGGTTGCATCTTCTCTAACAAGGGTCATTTAATGCCCTGAGGCTGTCCTGCCCAACCTTGGGGGCAATTACAACCACCTGGAAATCACTTTAAAACTCCAAGTCCCCTACCTAATAGCAGGGATTCTAACTTAAATGAACTGGAGTAAGACCTCAGCATCAGAATATATTAAAATCTCTTCCAAGTGATTCTAATTTGCAGTTAGGGGTGAGAACCACCACCCTCAGGACTCTATCTTTAGGTACCAAAAATCGCCCAAAGCAGTCATTGTAAAATGATGGGGGCTCCTGAGCTTCAATCACAGGAGGTTTGGTTTCTCTTTCTTTCTTTCTTTTCCTTCCTTCCATCCTTCCTTCCTTCTTTCCTTTCTTTCTTTTCCTTTTTTATTTATTTGTTTTTTTTTGACAGTCTTGCTCTGTCACCCAGGCTGGAGTGCAATGGCACGATCTTGGCTCACTGCAACCTCTACCTCCCAGGTTCAAGCAATTCTCCTGCCTCAGCCTCCCAAGTAGCTGGGATTACAGGTGCATGTCACCATGCCCGGCTAATTTTTGTGTTTTTAGTAGAGGCAGGGTTTCACTATGTTGGTCAGGCTGCTCTCAAACTCCTGACCTCAGGTCATCCACCCGTCTCAGCCTCCCAAAGTGCTGAGATTACAGGCCTGAGCCACCGCACCTGGCCACAGAGGTTTATTGTTTCTAAAGCTGGGTAACTGGAGGGGGTGTCTTCCTTGCCTTTTTGAAGGACTAGCAGGCACTTAGGACCCGAGAAGGCTGGGAGAGCTTCCCAATCTCTTTTACCCCACCCTGTTCACATCATGAGGGTACAAACGTGGGGTATGGAGATATAGGAGAGAAGATGGGTTTGAACACCTTTGTCCCAGGTAAATCAGCACCTTATAGCAGAGAATTAGACTTCATCCCATCAAGTGGAGAGAACCCTAGAGCAGCATGATCCTTATTTATCTATATAGATAAAGCTGCATTGACTAGTTTAAGAGTAATTCCTCACACACTCACATTACACCACGGGGAGGGCTAATCACAGGGTAGTTTGGTGCTATGAATCAATAGACCTAAAAATGTACACACCTTTTGTTGCAGCCGTTCCACTTGGAGCAATGTTTCCCAAAGCAAAAATCAGCTAACTGCATAAAGATACATGTATGAGGATATTAGAGCAATGAAAATAACTGAAAAACTGAAAATTGTCTATGTGTTTATTACAAGGGAATTAAGTCATGCCGAAATATTCATACAATAAAACATTAGGCAGTCATTTAAAAGGATCATGTGGTTTTTTCTAACATAGAAAAAAATGGTCCCAATTTATCGTTAAATGAAAATGTTCCTAATCTATTGCTAAATGAAAAAAAATTACAAAACCTTCCTAAATGCACACAGCATTTTGTATAGTATGTCTCTCTTTTGCTGTCATTCAGAAGCATATTAGGGGTGAAAAGAATCCATCCTGTTCCCTCAGATTAGATCTAGTATAATCTTTTTGTGTAAGAAGAAAAAGTATTCCAGGAACAGTAGCTCACGCCTGCAATCCCACACTTTGGGAGGCTGAGGGATGCAGATAACTTTAGCCCAGGAGTTGAGACCAGCCTGGGCAACATAGCAAGACCCCCATCTCTACCAAAAAAAAAAAAATACAAAAATAAGCTGGGCATGGTGGCTTGCTCCTGTAGTCCCAGCTACTTGGGAGGCTGAGGTGGGAGGATTGCTTGAGCCTAGGAGGTCAAGGCTGTGGCTAGCCCTGATTGCACCACTGCACTCCAGCCTGGGTGACAAAGCAAACCCACCTCAAAAAAAAAAGAAGAAAAGAAAAAAGAAAAAGTACACTCAGAGCAGAGGAAAGATAATGGGAAAGAAATAGACAAGACAATGGGAAAGAAATAGATCTGGCTTTGGTGGTGGTTTTACATAGGACTGTTGAATTTAGCTTTGGTCTTGTTCTGCTTTTGCTCATCTGCCTTTCTCAAGTTCTTCTATAATAAATATGGTGTTCTTAAATAACCCAGACCACTTTAAAGATAGTGATGTGAAGCTGCCAAAGCTTCATGTGAAGTGTGAAGATAGATCTTGCTTTTCACAGCTCCCCACCCAAGAGCCACACACCCTCAAAAATGCTCCAGGGACTTTGTAAAAGGCTGCAGTGTGGATCCTAAGGAATAACTGCTCTATTAGGGCTGTGCATTTTCCTCCCTTTGCTGTATTTCTAACCTCTTAACCCCACGCTCAATGTTTAGTGAGGAAATGTTGCAATTCCTCCATGGACTATCTTGCTTTGTTTTGATCTTTTCCTGTGCTCTGTCTTCCATCGCCCCTTAGGCGATGGTGATGGTGATGGCTTTGGGATAGTCCATCACGCTTACTACGCAGTTCATCTCTAGTGTTGCTTTTTTGCTTTTTTTTTTTTTTTTTTAATCTCCTGGTTTTTTACGTTTTCACCCAATTTGGGTTATTCTTCTCTTCCTCCCTCTCTGTCACTACTCAAATCATTTCCCAGACCCTTCCCCTTTGCATATTAATAGGGAGAGCTCAGGGTGACTGCATTTTTTGTCATTTCCCCTGCCCCTTCTGAACCCTAAACTTAGCAGTCTCCATCTTGCTGCATCTTAGAATCATCTGGAAGAGCTTCTCAAACATAATGCCAGGGTCTTAGGCCCAGAGATTCTATTCTATTTGATCTACAGTGGAGAGTGTTTTAAGCTCTTTCTCCAAGTGATTCAATGCACAATCAGGGCTGAGAAACCCTACCTTAGCCCCTGTGATCTGCACAGCATCTGCAGCTTTGAAATCAGTAACCTGGGATAAAACTGCCTCTACAGAGGGGCCCCACTAGGCTACTATGCTTCATGCTCAGGTGGTCCTCATTACCAAGCCCACCGCCCCAAATCAACCCTTACAACTAAAAGTGCTGCTCTTACAAAGGCCACTATCCAGATTAGGAGGCCGATGAAATTTCCAACTGACTTGTTCCTGAATTGACTCATGTATTTTCCTTCCTAAATGCACCAAACATTCAGTATGTCTCTCTTGCTGTCATTCAGAAGCATATTGGGGTGACAAGAATCCATCCTGTTCTCCTAGAACACTCACCAAGTTCTTCCAGGTTCATTCACTCTTTCCTCTCCTCTTTTTTTTTTTTTTTTTTTTTTTTTTTGAGACAGAGTCTCGCTGTGTCACCAGGCTGGGTGCAGTGGCACCATCTCAGCTCACTGCAACCTCTGCCTCCCGGGTTCAAGTGATTCTCCTGCCTTAGCCTCCCAAGTAGCTAGGAGTACAGGCACACACCACCATGCCCAGCTAATTTTTGTATTTTTAGTAGAGACAGGGTTTCACCATGCTGGCCAGGATGGTCTCGATCTCTTGACCTCATGATCCACCCGCCTCAGGCTCCCAAAGTGCTGGGATTACAGGCATGAGCCACCATGCCTGGCCCTTTCTTCTCCTCTTCTACTCAGGATCTTATCACCCTATGCCTGGGTGAGTCCCAGAGCCTCCTAACCACCTCTCTTCACTGCTTGCACCATGCAAGCCATCTTGGGTGCCACAGCTATAGGGATCCTTCTAGATTCTTCTTGTCCTGACCATGTCATTCCTCTGTGTCAAAATCTTCAGTAATCCCTGTCTGACTTACAACACTGTCAATAAGTTAATGATTACAAAGTTAATGTTAATGGTTACACATTTTTTTGAGATCTTATTCAGTGCCAGACATGACACTAAGCACAACCTCATTTTTAAATGTTTTATTATGAAGATTTTCAAACATATAAAAAAAGCAGTAAGACTAGTACAGCCTTCGCTTTCTTCTCAATAATTCTAAAATCCACAGATCTCTGAAATCCAGATGTTTTTCATATGTTTGGTGCTAAAACTCATTGGGTGGCAAAATCTGACCAAATTAAGTGTGGAATTATTTAGATTTTTATTTACTCCACTTAGTATAAATATCCAAACATATCATAGCAGACATAATATGTTTGATTATGGGATGCCACCCAGACCCCCACTAAGTGTGTGATGTAATAAATAGTACATGCGCCTGAATGTTTTTCTAAAATCTAGAAACATCTGAATTCAAAAGCATATTTGATTCCCAGGATTTTTGGATAAGGAGTTGTGTGGGTGCACAATTCCTTATTACACAGCTGTAATAAAAGCAATTATTCCTTGGGACACAAGCTACAGCCTTTTAGAGTCTCTGGAGCATCTTTGAGGGTGTGTGGCTCTTGGTTGGGGAGCTGTGAAAAGCAGGAACTATCTTCACGCTTCTCACAAAGCCCTGACAGCTTCACATCATTATCTTTAAAGTGGTCTGGTTATTTAAGAACACCACATTTATTATAGAAGAACTTGAGAATACAGATAAGCAAAGGCAGAACAAATGTCTGTATATATATACACACACACATGGAAAACTTAGATTCAGAAATGGTTAGCATCTTAATATTTTTGCTTTTCCATCAATATATAGGTATAGATGGATAGCAGAGACACGGTTGTGGCCAATTTATATACATGTGCACATCAAATCCCTGGAACATGTGAATGAATGTCACCTTATTTGGAAAAGAGATCTTTGCAGATTTTTTTTTTTTCTTGAGATGGAGTCTTGCTCTGTTGCCCAAGCTGGAGTGCAATGGTGTGATCTCGGCTCACTGCAACCTCCACCTCCCAGTTTCAAGCTATTCTCTTGCTTCAGCCTCCTGAAGTAGCTAGGACTGAGTAGCTAGGACTACAGGCGCACGCCACCACTCCCAGCTAATTTTTGTATTTGAAGTAGAGGCAGGATTTCCCCATGTTGGCCAGGATGGTCTTGATCTTCTGACCTCATAATCCACCCACCTTGGCCTTCCAAAGTGCAGGGCTTACAGGCGTGAGTCACCACACCTAGCCATCTTTGCAGATTTAATTGAGCTAAGAATCTTAAGGTGAGGAGATCATCCTGGATTATCTGGGCAGACTCTAAATCCAATGACAAGTGTCCTCATAAGAGACACAGAGGAGAGACACACAGAAGAAGAGGGTATGTGCAGACAGAGGCAGAAATTAGAATGATGTGGCCACTAGCCAAGGAAGACTAGGAACACCAATAGCCATCAGAAGTGGAAGCAGCAAGGAAAGATTCTCCCCTCAAGCCTCCAGATGGAATGCAGCCCTACTGACACCTGCTTTCAGACTTCTGGCCTCCAGCACTGTGAAAAGAATAAATTTCTGCTGCTTTAAGCCACCGACTTTATGGTAATTTGTTTCGGTAGCCAAAGCAAACTAATATAGATTTAAATATAGGGATAGATGTACATGTAGACATAGATAGAGATAAACATAGACTGAATCGCTTAAAAAGTACTTAAAGTCTGGGCACGGTGGCTCATGCCTACAATTCCGGCACTTTGGGAGGTCGAGGCAGGAGGATCGCTTGAGGCCAGGAGTTCAAGGCCAGCCTGGGCAAAACTCCATCTCTACAAAAATTTATTTTTAAAATAGCCAGGCGTGGTGGTAAAAAGTGAGGCAGGATTGCTTCAGCCCAAAAGTTCGAGGCTGCAGTGAGTCATGATCAAGCCACTGCATTCCAGCCTGGGAGACAGATCCTCTTTCAAAAAAATAAAAATAAAATATAAAGGTACGTAAAGTCCTCACAATACCCTACTCCTAAATCCTTTGGTGTATGCACCTTATTTAACCCTCCCAGAATTCTATGGGGTACTTTATTGTGCCCGTTGCAGAGGCCAGACAATAGAGGCACATAGAAAGCACCTCCAATTCCACTTCTTGCCACTCCCAGAGTCAGATTCAAAGCAAGGGGATTGCCCCTATCCTGCCACAGAATCTGCCAGTGAGCATTCCAGATGGAGAACTTAGGGAAGTCCAAAATCCCAGCAGGAAGAAGGGACCGAGTGTAGGCAGCAGCCCCATCACTTTGAAAGGCAGACGTTATTCCAAGTCTTTTTGGCAGGGAAGCATTTAGTAAACACAGGGAAACTCGGCTTCTGAGCCATGCTGAAGCCGACACGGAGAGGTTCACTGACTATGGGAAGGGAGCCTGCTCTATGATTTCGATGCTTTCAACGGAGTCAGCCAGGGTCAGTCAAAGAGATGACAGAGCTGGGACTGCCTCCTCAGCGGAAACGTCTGTGTTTGTCTGAGCAAGATGACACAGGCAAATACTGCCACCGGGTCAGCAGCACCAAGGTGGGAACTGGCTGGGGAACTAACAAGCTCATAAATTGGAAATGAATTAGACTATCAGATGGCAGAGGCAGGACAAACACAGCCACCCACTGGAGTCTTTGCCATAACTCAGGGAAAGCTTCACATTTTCCCCAGGAAAAGGTCATATGAAGAGCAAACCAAATCAGAATGCTCATTTAGGGGAGAATTTATGGTTTCATTAGACAAGTGCCCTACAAGGCTGAATCAGGGACCTGGGAGGAGAGCACACACCATCAGTCTTTCAACCCACAAAGAAGGGCTTCCTGGGTGAAAAGACCCTTCTGGTTTTCTCAAGATCAGGGCTCAGAAAAGTTTGCCAAGGGGTGGGCTGGGAGATGCCTCTGGAAGCTTCTTGGGAAAAGCAGGGAGAAGTCAGGCCAAGCAGATCCTCCCCAATCACACGTCCTCCCCAGTGTAACCGGAGCCATGTGTTGGTTTATATAAGGGAGTCTGGACCATTTCATTTAATAAAAGGAGTCTTGCTGTTAAATAAAAGAAGGAAGCCTCTGTAGAATGTCTTTCAGTCAAGCCACTGCATTAAGCAGCAAGATTCATTCCATGGTGATAAATGAACACTTACTCTGTGCCAGGCACTGGCAATAAATTATGAGCCAAACATGCATGATGCTTGATTGGACTCTTGGAGTTGACTCTCCAACAGACAGACATTAGAAAGAGTGAATTCACCGATAAATACATGATTATAAGTTGTGATACGTTTAATATCTCATGCCTGTAATCCCAGCACTTTGGGATGCAGAGGCGGGAGGATCACTTGAGGTCAGGAGTTTGAGACTAGCCTGGCCAACATAGTGAAACCCTGTCTCTACTAAAAGTGTTTTAAAAATTAGCCGGGCATGGTGGTAGGCGCCTGAAATCCCAGCTACTTGGGAGGCTGAGGCAGAATTGCTTGAACTCGGGAGGTGGAGGTTTCAGTGAGCCGAGATGGCACCACTGCACTCCAGCCTGGGCGACAGAACAAGACTCTGTTTAAAAAAAAAAAAAAAAAAAAAAAAAAAAAAAAAAAAAAAAAAAAATTTCCTGTATGGAAAAGGGGTAATACGAGGCAGAATAGCAGCAGGGAAGGGGCAAAGTGGCAAGAGAAGGTTGCTCAGAATTGTCATTTAAATTGAAACCAGAAGTTCACTGTGAATTAGTGGGAGAAAGAAAATGGATTTGCAAGGAGGCCTGGATATTTTCTAAAATATAAATTACCATTTTCCCTGACCAACTACTCCAGTGTAGAGGGAGAAAGGTAGTGCTTCTGAAATAAACATCCCACATTATTTGAGTTTTTTTTCTACCAGTTGGGCTGATTTTCCATATACCTAGTGCCAACATCCTGGGTAACATCAGATGGCAGCAGATGACTCAGAGATGATGACCCTGAGCATGATACTGGCACAGAGCAGCTTCCAGGAACCTGAAGCCACTCATGCATGCATCCATTCCGTTGTTCAACAGCAGTTGCTATTGACTTACTATGGCCCAGGAGCCAGGCTAGAGCTGGAGGAGTACGAAGAGGGAGAAGTGAACTTAGCTCCTACAAAGCTTAATACAAAGTAGACAATGGGTAGTGTAAGAGGGGCCACAGGGTACATGTAAGGAACCCAAGTGAGAGATTACAAGCCACGGATACCTTGTGGCACGTGCTTGAGAAGATGGACTGTGTGTCAGGCTACCTGGGTCTGATGCCCGGCTCTGCTCTTACCAGCTGTTTTACCTTGGATGAGTGGCTTAGCCTCTCTGTGCCTCAGTTTCCTCCCTTCTAAAACAGTACCTCCTGGGGTTATTAGGAAGGTTGTAAAATCTGATACCTAGTAAGAGCTACAGAACTGTTTGATAGATTGTAGCCAAATGAAAATAATGTCTTAATTTAAATGTAGGAAGTAAAAACAACTATGTTTAAATAAATATGTATTTACCAAAGTTGAGAAAAGTTAGAATTTTATCAGATTTGTGTAAGAGTGTGCTTGGGTGTGTATGTATGTGTGTGTAAAGCCACCCAATTTGTGTTCCTCCTCCCCAGAACCCCTTCCCTGCCTATTATCATGAATACATATTTTTCTAATGTCTTTATAATCTATTACCTATATATATCTATAAACTATATTCAGTTTATTTAGTATATTTAGTATTGATAAGGACAGAATCATGTCATACATATCATTTTGGAACTTGATTTTTTTCAACCAACATTATGTTTCAAGATCCTTCCATGCTGACACACATCTAGTTTATTTTAACAGCTGTCTAGCATACCACTGTGTGAGTCTACAATAATGCCATTATCCATTCTCCTCCCGATAGACATTCAGGTTGTTTCCAGTTTTTCACATTTACAAATGCTACTGCAATAACAGCCTTTGACCATATTCCTCATGAACATGTTTAAGAGCTTCTGAACTCACACTTGGACATGTACTTGCAAGTGGCATTGGCAGGTCAAAGGGTCAGTTCCTTCTTCAATTTGACCCCATAGTGCCAAATTGCTCTCTGCAGTGGTCACACCAATTGCTACTCCCATCAGCAAGCAGTATGTATTAAAGGGTTAAACTTGCATCCTTTCAGCCTGGAATAACTGTGTTCCAAGACTCTTCCAAGGACACATGGATCTGTCTTAGTCTCTGTCTTCATCACACCTTTGCAAGATAGATCCAGGGGGGCTCCAGTTACAGGAGACAACCAAGGCAGAGGGGAGCTTAGAGGATTCCCTACAGTTGCCAGGGGTCTTTGGATGGGAATCAGGGCATCCTGTGCTCTACCAAATATGCTGACCTTTAGACCAGTGGTTTCTCAGCTGTGTTCCTGATAGCAGCAGGGTTCTGTGGTGTTGTCAGGGTTAAAGGGAGGGGGTCATGGAAAATAAGGTGGAAAGAGAGGGGGCTGCAGAACGCCAGGCCGCCTCTCCCCATCTTAGCCCAAGCAGCTCTGCTCTAGCCTGTCTGTCTGCTGAGATTTTATTTAGGGGAAGCAGGGAGATGAGGAAGGGACCACTACTTTTAAAAAATAGGGATGGAACTGTGGTTTTTTAAAGTATGTGGTTCAAGTTCTACTGGTAAGATGATTTTGGGTGGCACATTTTCATTACTTTGTATTTCTTCTAACAGTTGTATATGTATTCATATGCAGGAAAACATATAACTAGGAGAACATCAACCATGTGATTCCTTGGATATGATATTCTTTTTTAATAACAGATGTTTTTTTTCCGAGCAATTTTATTTTACAGAAAAACTGGAAAGAACAAAGAATTCCCATATATCCTCTTCTGCTTCCCCTCATAGTTTCCCCTATTATTTATATTTTGCATTAGTGTAGTACTAATTGTTAGTGTAGTAGTAATCGTTATAATCAATGAGCCAATATGGACACATTCGTATTAACTAAAGTGAATAGTTTACATCTCGGTTCGCTCTTGGTGTTGTACATTCTAAGAATTTTGACAAATGTTGATGACATGTATCTACCATTACAGTATTATATAGAGCAGTTTCACTGCCCGAAACATCCTCTGTGCTCCACCTACTCATCCCTCCATCCACCCACGCCCAGCAACCACTAATCTTTTACCTGCCCCCATAGTTTTGCCTTTTCCAGAATGTGCTATAGCCGGAATCATACTAGACATACCTTTTTCAGATTGGCTTCTTTCACCTATCAATATGCATTTATGATTCCTCCATGTCTTTTCACAGCTTGTTAGCTCATTTCTTTTATTGCTGGATAATATTCCATTGTCTGGGTGTACCATAGGCATGCATTCACCTATTACTGAAGGGGACATCTTGGTTTGTTCCAAGTATCTTAGTCTGCTTTGGCTGCTATAACAAAAATACCATAAACTGGGTGGCTTATAAGCAACAAATATTGATTTCCCACAGTTGTAGAGACTGGGAGGTGCAAGATCAAAGCACTGGCTTCAGTGTCTGATAAGTGCCCATTCCTCAAAGACAGCACCTTCTGGCTGCATCCTCACTTGGTGTAAGGGACAAACAAGCTCCCTTGGGCCTTTCTATAAGAGCACTAATCCCACTCATGAGGGCTCCGCCCTCATGATCTAGTCACCTCCCCAAAGCTCCACCCCTTTCACTTTGGGGAACTAGGATTTCAACATATGAAATTTCGGGGATAAAAAACATTTATATCATAGCACCAAGTTTTGGCAGTTATGAATAAAGCTGCTATAAACATTTATATGCAGGTTTTTGTTTGGACATAACTTTTCAACTCACGTGGGTAAATACCAAGGAGTGAGATTGCTGAATCATATGGTAAGAGTATGTTAGTTTTGTAAGAAAGTGTCAAACTGTCTTGCAAAGTGGCTGTACCATTTTGCACTCCCACCAGCAGTAAATGAGAGTTCCTGTTGCTCCAAATTCTCTTCGGCATTTGGCATTGTCCATGTTTTGGATTATAGCCATTCTAATAGGTGTGAAGTGGTATCTCACTGTTATTGTAATTTGCAATTCTCCAATGATATATGATGTTGAGTATCTTTTCATATGCTAATTTGCCATCTGTATATCTTTGGTGAGGTGTCTGTTCAGGTATTTTTCCTATTTTTAATTTGGGTTCTTTGTTTTCTTATAACTGGATTTTAAGAGTTCTTTGTATATATTTTAGATACCAGACCTTTCTTAGATGTGTGTTTTCAATTATTGCCTCCAAGTCTGTGGCTTGTTGGATAGTCTTTTCAGGTTGAAGCTACGTTTACAAAAAATGGGTCAATTTAAAGAAAACATGAAAATGTATCCCTGTAAGAAAGTAAGTACAGATGGTAGTTGAATATAGCAAAAATCTTAAAGGCAGTGAACAAATGAATACAATTCAGGAAACACTCCTTTGGGCTAAGGTCTCTCCCTCTCTCTTCCTCACTGCCCCCCCCCCCCACATACACACATACACAGACACACACACACACTCACACACACACACCACCCCTTGCACACACAGAACACATCCAATCACACCTCCCAGGAATATTTTTGTCTCAACAGGTAACATTTCAGACACAGTTTACCTAGCACAGGTAGATTACTATTTCCAAAGCTTGCACATTCAGGGAGCTCATTATTCCAAGCCTGTAAGAAATTATTTTCACCAAAAACCACATACAAAACACACAAACACATACAGAGACGTAAATCAGAACTTAAGTTTTAAGCCCAGGAACTGATAGCTCCATTCAAAAATGGAATGCTTTAGATGAACTGGACTCTCACTCATATGCAAAGTGCATTCCTCAGGACTGTAAACTCTTGGGTTTTACACCGTCTTTCCCTTTGCTAATTCAGAGGCCAGAAAAGTGCATTCCCTTGTGTGTTAGTCCATTTTCATATGCTACGAAGAAATACTTAAGACAGGGTAATTTATAAAGAAAAAGAGGTTTAATGGATTCACAATTCCACATGACTGGGGAGGCCTCACAATCATGGCAGAAGGTGAAGGAGGAGCAAAGGCACATCTTACATGGCAGCAGGCAAGAGCCTGTGTGAAGGAGAACTGCTCTTTATAAAACCATCAGATCTCATGAGACTTATTCACTATCACAAGAACAGCATGGGACAAACCCGCTTTCATGATTGAATTACCTCCCACTGGGTCCCTCCCATGACATGTGGGGATTATGGAAACTACAATTCAAGATGAGATTTGGGCGAGGACACAGCAAAACCATATCATCCTGACATCTTTCAGAAAACCTTAAAGCTTCTGAACCACAGCAGAACAAATGGCACGTGCTAAAGCCAGAGGCAGAAAGAAGATGGGTGTGCTCAATGGCCTGTGAGAAGGCAGGTGGCTGGACCATCTTGGGGCTTAATGAGGAGTGGGATGAGGCCAGGGAGGTGGGCAAGGACCAGTCATAAGGAACCTTGAAAGCTACCTTAAGGATTTTTGAAACCAATGAGAAGGTCAAGGTGTAGTGCCAGGGGGTGACATAATGACATTTGGCTTTTAGATTAAAAATGGAGGTAGTTTCCCTTCACCATGTATTCCTAGAGTTGCATAATATCCTTAGGTGATTTCAGTGTTAGAAGATTGGGTCACTTGAGGTTGCTATAGTTGTTTGTCAGAGAACTGAGAGTGAGGGAGGTATGTAGTAGGCTATCAAGAAAAAAGTAAGCCTCTAGTGCCAGAGTTGGGCTAGTTGGAGCCTTTTGTTTCTCAAAAACACAATGCCTACCTCTCTTTCTTATGTGTGAGGTGTATGTGTAGATTGTTGTATTATCTTGGCCATTTTCTAGTGCCTACAGTGGGAACATAGCCCTGCCAACACTTTGATCTTGGATTTTGAGCCTCCAGAACTCAAAGTACCTTTCTGTTTGTACTTGAATACAATTGAGGAAACATCCTTTAGGTTAAAAGCAAGACCCTAGTAACAGAGTTGGGCTAGTCTCACAAACTGGGAGGCTTAAACCACAGAAATGTACTGTCTTACATTTCTGTTGAAATGTAATCCTATCTTCCATCTGGCTGCTTTCTTGAAGGTATCACTTTGCCAAGACACACACACACACAACAGTACATTTCTGCTGTTTAAGTCCCCCAGTTTGTGGGACTTTGTAATGGCAGACCTAGCAGATTTATACAGTGACAACAAACCACATTACTATTTGCAGTACCTAGGACTTTGTCACCAATAGAAATCAGGGATATTTTCATAACACGTTGCAGGTGTTACAGATATTTCAAAATATCATTTATGCTCATCAGTACTTTGAAATCACAGTTGTTATGAAACCCACTGCTAAATCATGTTCTTTAATGTGTTAATAAAAGGGCACAAAAGTTATAATACCACAACTTTTAAAAAGATTTTCAGAACTGCATTTCAAAATATTGGTTTTCTTCATAACCTTACATATTTTGTTATTCATTTAAAAAGAGTATTCTGAGGAGGGGTCCATAGGACCACCAAAGGAGTCCAGAGCACAGAATGGGTTAAAAAGCCCTGAGTTAAGCAAAAGGAAAATACATAAAAGCATATTGCCATGCCTGACATCCCTTCACAATCCAGGACAGAGATTCAGGATAAAGTGGTGGGAGGTGTGTATTGAGGGGATTGCTTTTCCAGTTAGAGATTATCATGGAATTAAAAGTGCTGTGAAAATTTGTTATAATCCATGAAAACGCAAGTGCAAAGACCTACCTCCCTCCATCCACTCACCCACCCTCTCACGCTAAAATATAAGCACCCAAGGGCAGGAGATTTGTATATTTCACTTCTGTGTTCCCAGGGTAAATTTAAGCCATACTTAGCACATCACTGGTGCTCAATAGGTATTTGTGGAATGAAGGAATGAGTGAATGAACAAATAAAGAAAAGGCATGCTAGAAATATACAAATAGGGCCAACAGGGAAGTAGAGAAACAGCCGGAGATCTAAATTGGCCTCTGTGGGTACCACGTCTGGCTTCCTGAGGATAAGGTCAATGAATGAAAGGCTTCTCTTCAGGGTGATCCTATCTTCCATTTGGCTACTTTCCTGAAGGTATCACTTTGCCCAGCCACACACGCGCACACACACACACACACACACACACATGCACATGCATGCATGCATGCACGCATGCACACACACACATATGCATGCACATATACAAACACACAAAATTATTATCCTCCCAAGGGAGGAACCGGAACTTTGTTGAATTCTGTGTGCACATCTTTGACAGATGCCCCGAGAAGCCACAGGGACTGCTCAAGGCTGTGTCTGTCCACTAGCAAGTTTGGTAAACTGCAGCAGAGCAACTGAGCTGGAAAGCAAACTTTGCACAAAGCTGGCCATGGACACATCACTGGGCAAACTGAAGACCCTAGCAGGAAATCCAGGTGTTCAGGGCAGATTCCAGAGGATTTATGATGCTTGGGACCACCCAAGACAGACTCCAAGGTGGAGGACCTGAGTTGTGCCAGGAGACTTGAACAGATCTCTGCTCCGAATGTCCCCTTTCTCATCCACAAACACTGCCTCCCACGTCTTCAAGGCCCAGAGGACACTGAAGATGGCTTTCAGGCAGATGACTCAGTGAGTCATGTGCCCCTTCGAATAGCAAAAATTCACATTGCTTTCACATTACTGCCTCCTCTTCCCATGACAAACTTCCACTTCTGACACATCTGAGGGGTCTCTAGGTGGGTAGCTGTGAATGGCCCAGACACCAAAGCCCAAGAGGCACAATAGATAAAATCTGCCTTCAAAACCTGGAGGAGAGAGAATCAAGAGGATTTGAAGTCTGCAGAGTATTATTCCCATCTGCTGGGTAGGCAGGAGGAGCCAGTTGAAAACTGCCAAGGGCTGCACAGTCACTAGAATGTGGGTTGGCCTGAGACAGAAAATCCAAGTGTGACCCATTGGTCAATGAGTGAATGGCTTCCCTCTTCAGGGTGATCCTATCTTCCATTTGGCTACTTTCTTGAAGGTACCACTTTGCCCAGACACACGCACACACACACACACACGTGTGCACGTACATGCACATGCATGCATGCAGGTACGCACACACACATACACACACACACACACACACAATTATTAGCAAAAAACTCCTCTTTGGGGATTTACACAGCAGCTGAAGCACAACAGAGCTGTCCTAGAAATGAGGAGAGAAGAACATGAGCTGACCCTCGCACCCCCTGGGTTATCTCTTCCCAGCCAGTGGTTGCCATAGCAAAACTTGTTCTGCAAAGTGGTAAAGAAAGAGAGAACTGAATGTAGACCAGCACCTTTCTGCAGCAGCACCTCAGAGCTGAGATAAAGAACAGGAAAATATGGATGCTGCCACAACTGAGATGACAGCAAATCTATTCAATTGAGGACCCTTCGTTGGAGGATAAACTTCAGCAGAAATTTGTACAGTCTTGGGATTTCCTCACTGTTTGTTTATATCCACTACCCAAATAGACGATTTGGGAATTACTGTGGGCTGAATTTTGTTTCCCACTTCTGCCAAAATTCCCCTAGCACCTCACATGTGACTGTATTTGAGATGAGGTCTTTAAAGAGGTAAATAAGTAAAAATGAGGTCACTAGGGTGGACACTATGACTAGTGTCCTTATAATAAGAGGAACTTAGGACACAGATGTACTCAGAGGGAACACCATGTGAGAACACAGCGAGATGACAGCTAAGTAGGGCAGCCTCAGAAGGAACCGATCCTGCTACTACCTTGATCTCAGACGTCACAGAGAGACGCCTCCAGAATGAGAAATACATTTTTGTTGTTTCAGCTACCCAGTCTGTGTCAATTTGTTAAGAAGCCCTAGGAGACTCACACAGGTACTCCACAGCCAAGAGTGTGAACACTGTCCAATCAGTGGAATCATCCCTTCAAAAGAGTCCCAAGCCAGAGGGCTTCCTACCCTTGCCTGGGAGTCTCCAGCCAATTTTGTAATTTCTCAGTTATAGTGTCTAGAGGTAAGACCTCAATTCCCCTACTCTAATTTCAACTTTGAGATTGAGTGGAAATCTAATCTAAACCTGACTTTCTTAAGATCTGCTGTCATCCAGAATGTCTTATTCCATATGCAGTTCCCAGAGATGCTTCAGATGCTGGGGATTGAAGGACTGGATGAAATGAAAAGGGACCAGGAATAAACAGCCCTTTGCACTTATCCACACTGAGCTGTAAAGGCTTTCACCACATGACATTTCCACTCTCTGAGCAATCCTGGGAGACACCGAGGGACAGTTGCAGCTGTTCCCATTCTACAGATGAGAAAATTAAGGCATTAGGAAATGGAGCAGCCTAAGACATTGTTTTCCAGCCCCAGTGGTGGGCATACTTTGGTGCTGCTTGCATATATCTTTGGTGTGTGTGTGTGTGTGTGTGTGTATGAGTGTGTGTGTGTGAGAGAGAAAGAGAGACAGAAGGAGAGAGGGAGAGGGAGAGAGAGGGAGAGAGGAAGAGAGAGGGAGAGAGAGGGAGAGAGGGAGAGAGAAGGAAAGAGGCAGAGAGAGGGAGAGAGGGAGAGAGGGAGAGAGAGGGAGAGAGGGAGGGAGGGAGGGAGAGAGGGAGGGAGGGAGAGAGAGCAAGAGAGTGAGTACATATGCTTGGGCCCTAGTGAGTGCATGTGCTTATGTTAAAATAGCCACCAAACTGGTGTCCTCATTTCCAACCTTGACCCCCTCCAATCTCCCTTCCACACTGCCCCAGAGGAAGTTTCTATAGGTTATATCTATATTATTAATCCCATATTAAACTTCCTATATTAAATTCCCATATTAAAACTTTCTATATTATTCCTATATCCCTATATCCTATATCCCTATATTATTCCCATATTAAAACTTCCCAGTGACTCCAGCACACACTGCTCTTAGGATGTCTGAAATGCTAAGCATGACCTAGAAGGCCCTAAAATGCTTGACCCCAGCTTTTCACTCTGGTGCCATCACCCTCCAATCACCACTCCCATTTTCCTCCTGAAACATTCCTCTCCTTTGTAACCGTTTCACCTGGCTGGTGCTTTTCCATGTGCTTAGCTTAAGCAAAACTTCTTCCAGGAAGTGCTCCTCAATCCCACCAGCTGACTTCAATGTTCCTATGTGGGTCCCTACTGCAACCTCTGCCTCTCTGCATCTTGTGCTGTATTATCATCACTGGCTTGTCATCCCCCACTAGATTATAAACTAGGTAAGAATAGAGGCTGTGTCTTATTCTTCATTCTGTCCCCAAGGCTGAGTCCAGTGCATGGCACATAGTAGATGCTCATTGAATCACAGTTTAAATGAATGTTGAATAGAGGTCAGATATATGTACATGTGGAGCAAGAGAACAAGGTGTCATCTTTCTCTTATGTTTAGGCATTTTCATGAGTGTAGCCCATAATGATGTTAAAAAATAATACACCATGACCTTAAGTCAAGCAGAGGTTGACCTTAAGTCAAGCAGAGGTTGACCTTAAATCAACCATCAGACAGAGGAACTAGAATTCCAGACTTTAGCAAAGTGATTAATTTCCTTCCCTGGCCTCTAGATGGGAGACAGGATTTGCCTTGACATTATACGATTCGCCTCGACATTATCCCTTTCTGTTCTGAGTTTTCATGGTCTGTCAGTGAAATTCAGTGAAAGACAGAGAAGGAGAGTTTGCATAAAAGAAGCTCAACTTTAACTGAGTCACTCTGGGAAACTGTGTTCTTAACTATAATACTCAGCCCAAAGATATAAACTGAGAGTTACCAACCAACCATCCATCCATCCATCCCACATATATTTGTAACGTATCTTTCATGTCCCAGGCATTGTGCTGTGCTGTGGGGAGATAATGGTGGCCAAGCCATTATCATCCTTGTCCTCGTGGAGTTGACCTGACAGGGGAGATTGACAGCAAACAAATGCAAACCCACCATTTTGTTCTGCACTTGGATGGCCTTGTCCTAGTCCTTAGCCAGAAAGAGCATAATCTGATCACCACACTTAAAACGTCCAGGTTTCTTTACTTTCCCCCATTGGATTCCCTCAAATGGGTACCTGGGATTGTGCCTTCTTCTGGCTGCCTGCCATCTTCTCTTAGTTGCCTCTCTGCTGTCTCCTCAAGGCCTTGACTCCATCCTTTCAGCTCCCTACATGGTCAAAAGCATGGTTTTGTTATTCCTGCCTTCATCCTGAAAGAAAAATGGCAGATACCTTTCTTCTTGGTAATTCTCTTAACTTCATCAGAATGAACTAGACACTAGATAAGCAAACTTCTTGCTGATACTGATTGGCTCTCATAGCATAATTGCAATGATGTATTATGCTAAAGACTCCCTTTCCTATAAGAGATGAGAATGAAAAGGAGCTATGGGAATATCAAGGAGGGCTCTTTGCCCAGAACTGGGGACATCAGGGAAGGATCACAGAGGAAATATCTCTGATTCAATCTGTAACTCTATCTTCCTTCAGAAGAGCTAACAAAGTACTTTCCTCTTTTTGTTGTTGTTGGTTCTATATGTGGTAGAAGGTGAAGGGACATGTATTAGTTCATTTCCACACTGCTATAAAGAACTATCTGAGACTGGGTAATTTATAAAGAAAAGAGGTTTAATTGACTCACAGTTCCTCATGGTGTGGAGAGGCCTCAGGAAACTTTCAATTATGGCGGAAGATGAAGGGGAAACAAGGCATGTCTTACATAGTGGCAGGAGGAAGAGAGTGAAGAGGGAAGTGCCACACTTTTAAACCATCAGATGATCTCGTGAGCACTCACTATCACAAGAACAACATGTGGGAAACCGTACCCATAATCCAATCACCTCCCGACTTTGACACATGGGGACTACAATTGGAGATGAGATTTTCGTGGGGACACAGAACCAAAACACATCAGGACATCTCTATCAATTAGGATATAATTGGCTGCAAATAAGAAAATCCATCCCAAACCTGACTTAGAATATAAGGGCCAAAAAGTAATAGCAAACAATATAGGCAACATATTGGTTCACAAATATGAAGAACACAGAAGGTAACAGATTTTAGGCATAATTTGATCAAGACTCTCGTTCTGTTTGTCTATCATTGTACCTTTTTTTTTTTACTTCCTTATGTCAGCTTCATTCTCAGCCAGGTTTCCTTCATCACAGCAAGATGATATTCACAGTTCCAAGTTTCACATGCACATGCTATACTTTCCATAGCAAAAGAGCATGTCTTTGACTCAGCAATCTCTGCAAGTATCCTAAGATTCCTTCTGACTGGGCAAGCTTAGGTCACAAACCTGTCCCAGAAACACTCACTGTAGCTGAGGGAATAAAATGTTATGATTGGTTTATCCTAGGTCATATGCTCCACCCTGTGAAGACTTTCTAGAACTGCATGAAACCACTAATAGAAATTGGGGCTACTGCCCTGCCCAGTCAGCCAGCCTACTCCCAGACCAAGAGCTGGCTCAGAGGTGGTCCCATCGCACAAAGAAAGCCCCACACAGCCACCTGGCATGCTACACCCATACCTACCCTGAGAGCCAGCCCAGTGGTAGGCCCACTCTCCAAGAGAGCCCACTACACAGCCTGTCAACCCACCACACCTGCAGATACCTGGCCCGACAACCACCTCTATGCCCTAGGCCCCAGAAACATTATGTTACCATTGTCACAAACTCCCATAGCCAAGGCCCCTGACACAATTGCAGACATTGCAGACAAAGATTATAGCTAAATAATCTGTATGGAGATCATATGACTCAGTCCACTTAGAACCAAAACCAGTGCACCATTCCCAACTGATACCCTAGGGCCCTTCTACAGGGAAAAGCCTCATTCTATAAAAGTTATTCCATAAAATTGAAAAAAGTAACTGTTCCACAAAGTGTGTAGATATCAACATAGGGACACAAGAAAAAGGAAATAAACGTGACACCCTCAAAGAAACAATAAGCCTCCAGTAACAGACGCCAAAGAAAAGGATATTTATGAAATGCCTGAAAAGGAATTCAAAATAATAATCTTAAAGAAATTCAAGAATATACCAAATAATACAAATAATTCAATAAAACAAAAAAATTATGATCTGAATGAGGAATTTAACAAAGAAATAGATGTTTTAAAAGAACCAGGGCTGGGTGCAGTGGCTTATGCCTGTAATCCCAACACATTGAGAGGCTGAGGCAGGAGGACCACTTGTGGTCAGGAGTTCAAGACCAAATTGGGCAACAGAGTGAAACAATATCTCTATTTAAAAAAATTTTAATTAATTGGGTGTAGTGATGCACACCTGTAGTCCCAGCTACTCAGGATGCTGAGGTGGGAGGATCGCTTGAGCCCTAAAGATTGAGGTTGCAGTGAGCCATGATTGCACCACTGCATTCAAGCCTGGGCAACAAAGTTAGACCCTGTCTCAAAAAAGAAAGAACGAAACAGAAATCTTGGAGCTGAAACAAATAATCCCATTTAAAAATGAGCAAAAAGATCTGAATAGACATTTCCTAAAAGAAGACATACAAATGGCCAATGGGTATAGGAAAAAATGTTCAGCATCACTAATCATCAGGGAAATGCAAATCAAAACCACAGTGAGGTATCATCTTACCCCAGTTAGTATTGCTTTTATCAAAAAGACAAAAAAAGACAACAAATGCTGGTACAGAGACAGAGAAAAGGAAATTTACTCTGTGGGTGAGAATGTAAATTAACATATTCATTATGGAAAACTGTATGGATGTTTCTCAAAAAATGAATAGAACTACCATTTGATCCAGCAGTCCCACTACTGGGTATTTATCCAAATAAAAGAAAATCAGTATATCAAAGGGTTACCTCCACCCTCATGTTTATTGCAGCACCATTTATAATAGTCAAGATATGGAATCAACCAAAGTGTTGAACAATGGATGATTAGGTAAAGAAAATGTGGTATGTATACACAATGGAATACTATTCAGCCATAAAAAGAATGAAATTCTATTATTTACAGCAACATGGATGAAACCAATGGTCATTATGTTAAGTGAATTAAGCTAGGTACAGAAAAACAAATATCACATTTTCTCACTATATGTGAGAGCTTGAAATGTTAATTTTGTGGAGGGAGAGAGTAGAATGATAGTTACCAGAGGCCAGAAAGGGTGGGAGGTAGGTGAAGAAAGGTTGGTTAATGGGTACAAAAATACAGTTACATAGAAGAAATAAGTTCTAGTGTTTGATAGAACAGTAGAGTGACTATAGTTAACAATATATTGTATATTCAAAATATTGTATATATATTATATATTTAAAAGTAGCTAGAAGATTTGAAATGTCCCCAACACAAAGAGATAAGAAGTGTTTAAGGTGATGGATATCCTAAATACCTTGAATTGATCACTACACATTGTATGAATTTATCAAAATACTGCATATCCCGTAAATATTTACAAATGGTATTAATCGATAAAAAAAGAGGGAACAGAATCTTGGAGCTGAAGAATTTGAAATGTTCCCAATACAAAGAAATAATAAATGTTTAAGGTAATGGGTATATTAAATATCCTGAATTGGTTATTACACACTGTATTCAATTATCAAAATACCACACATACCCTATAAATATGTAAATATTGTGTATCAATAAAAATAGAGGAAAAAAATCTTGGAACTGAAGAATTCAATGAATGAAATAAAAATAACTGAAGGCTTCAACAACACACTAGATCAAGCAGAAGAAAGAATTTCTAAACTTGAAGACAGGTGTTTAGAAATAACCCAGTCAGAGAAAAAAAAGTTAAAAAGAATGAAGAAGCCTACAAGACTTATGAGACACCATTAAGTGAAGTATATCCTGCAAAGCTCTCCTTTAGAAATAAATGAGAAGTAGAGACCTTCCCAGATAAGCAAAAACTGAGAGAATTCATCACAAATAGACAGGTGTTACCAAAAAAATGCTTAAGAGAGTACTACAATTGGAAACAAAAGGATGATAATTACTATTATGAAAACATATGAAAGTATAAAACTCACCAGTATAGGTAAACCCATACTCATACTCAGAATACCCCAATGCTGTAATGGTGCTGTGTAAATCTTTAAATCCTCTAGTATGATGGTTTAAAGTCAAAAAGGTCAAAAACGTGAACAACTACAATTAGTGGCTAAGGAACACACAAAAGACCAACATGTACATTAAGGCTAACAACATACAAATTGTGTGTGTGTGTGTGTGTGTGTGTGTGTGTGTGTGGGTGTATGAAGTCTGGAGGATTCTTTTTTATTTTTTGGAGACAGGGTCTCACTCTGTCACCCAGGACAGAGTACAGTGGTGCAATCTTGGCTCACTGCAACATCCACCTCCCAGGTTCAAGTGATTCTCCTGCCTCAGCCTCCTGAGTAGCTGGGATTACAGGTGTACACCACCATGCCCAGCTAATTTTTTTATTTTTAGTAGAGATGGGGTTTTACCATATTGGTCAGGCTGCTCTCAATCTGCCCACATTGGCCTCCCAAAGTGCTGGAATTACAGGTGTAAGCCACCGTGCCTGGCCCTCTGGAGGATTTTTATGTGACCAAAATTAAGTTGTTATCAGCTTAAAATAGCCTATTATAACTATAAGACTCTTTATTTTAGCCCCATGGTAACCACAAAGAAACACATTACAGTAGATACACAAATGAGAAAGAAAAAGAAAACAAAGCTTAGTGCCACAGAAAATCACCACACCACAGAGGAAAACAAGAGAGAAATAAAAGCACAAAAGATCCATAAAACAACCAGAAAATTATCAACAAAATGGCAGGAGTAAGTCCTTACTTATCAATAACAATCTTTAATGTAAATGAATTAAATGCTGCAATTAAAAGATATACAGTGGCTGAATAGATTTTAAAAAACAAGAACTAATTATATGTTGCCTGCAAGAGACCTACCCCAACATTACAGACAGACTGAAAGTGAGGGATAGAAAAAATGCAAACAGAAACCAAAAGTGAGCAGGAGTGACTATACTTTTATCAGATAAAATAGACTTTAAGTCAAAAACAATAAAAAGAAATAAAGAAGGCCATTATATAATGATAGACAGATTAATTCAACAAGATGATATCACAAGTATAAATATATATGCACCCAACAGTGAAGCACCCAAATATGTAAAGCAAATATTATTAGATCTAAAGAGAGACAGACTGCAATACAATAATAGTAGGGGACTTTACACCTCAGTTTTAATAATGAAGAGATTACCCAGACAGAAAATCAACAAAGAAACTTTGGACTTAAACAACACTATAGACCAAATGGACCTAACAGACATTTACAGAATATTCCATTAAACAGTTACAGTATACTCATTCTTCCCAATTGCACATGGAACATTCTCCAGAATAAATCATATGTTAGACCACAAAACAGGTCTTAACAAATTTAAGAAGACAGAGATTATATCATGTATCATTTTGGACCATGATAGTATAAAACTAGAAATCAACAACAAGAGAACCTTGGAAACCTTACAAATACGTGAAAAATTAAACAACGTGCTCCTAAATAACCAATACGTCAATGAAGAAACTAAAAGGAAAATTTAAAAATTATTTGAGATAAATAAAAATGGAAACACATCATACCAAAACTTTTGGAATACAGCAAAAGCAGTCCTGAGATGGAATTTCATAGCAATAAACACCTAATATATCTATCTATCTATCTAATAAATCCTTATTAGATTTCTAATAAAGAATGTAACCATGCACTTCCAGGATCTAAAAAACTAAGAACTAAACCCAAAATGGTAGAAGGAAGGAAATAATAAGTCTCAGAGCAAAAATAAATGAAGTGGAGAACAAAAGAAAACTCAAAAAAATTAACAAAAGAAGAGTTGGCTTTTTGAAAAGATAATCAAAATCAACAAATCCTTAGTGAGACTAACTTAAAAAAAAAAGAGAAAATATCCAAATAAATAAAATCAGAGATGGAAATGGAGACATTACAACTAATATTACAGAAATACAAAGGATCATAGAGGCTATTATGAACAACTATATATCAAAGAAGTTGAGGGCATAGAAGAAATAGATAAATTCCTGGACACATACAACCTACCAAGATTAAATTATAAAGAAATAGAAAATCTAAACAGATCAATACTGAGTGAGGAAATGGAATCAATAATAAAATGTCTGCCATTGGAAAAAAGCCCAGGACCTATTGAGGCTAGCATTACCCTGGTTGCAATATAAGGTAGACACAAGAACAAAAAGGAAAACTACAGGCCAGTATCCTTGGTAAATACAGATGCAAAAATTCTCAACAAGATGTTATCAAACCAAATTCAACAGAAAATTAAAAAGATCATTCACTGTGACTAAGTGGGATTTATCCCAGGGATGTAAGAATGATTCAGCATATGCAAGTTAATAAACATGATATGCCATATTAACAAAAAGACAGAAACCATATGATCACTTCAGCAGATGCAGAAAGAGCATTTGACAACTTTCAACATTTCTTTATGGTAACAACTGTCAACACATTTGTTACAGAAGGTATGTACCTCCACACCATAAAGGCCAGATATTACAAACTCACAGCTAAGAACATATTGAACAGGAAAAGCTGAAAACTTTTTATCTAAGATCAGGAACAAGACAAAGATATTCCTTTCATCAATCCTATTCAATATAGTACTAGAAGTCCTAGCCAGAGCAATTAGGCAAGA
Organism: Homo sapiens; assembly: GCF_000001405.40. Classification (NCBI taxonomy): domain Eukaryota; kingdom Metazoa; phylum Chordata; class Mammalia; order Primates; family Hominidae; genus Homo; species Homo sapiens. The sequence goes on along the minus strand of NT_187607.1, from coordinate 2,560,182 downwards.
AAAAAAAATAGAAATCATGCAAATTGAAAAACATGAAGTCAAATTGTTCCTGTTTGCAGACAACATGATCTTATATACAGAAAACCCTAAAGACTCCACCAAAAAATTATTATAGCTGATCAATGAATTCAGCAAATTTGCAAGATACAAAATCAATACATAAAAATTAGTAGCATTTCTATATGCTAACAGCAAACTATCTGAAAAAGAAATAAAAAAACTCACATATCATAGCTACAAAAATGTAAGATACCTAGGAATAAACTTAACCAAGGAGATGAAAGATCTCCACACTGAAACTATAAAATATTGATGAAAAAATCAATTAAGGCACAAATAAATGGAAAGACATCCCATGTCCAAGTATTGGGTTTTTTAATTTTTAAAACAATTTTTCTTAAATTCCTGCACAAAAAGTACAATGTCCAAGTATTGGAAGAATTAATATTGTTAAAATCACCATACTACCTAAAGTGATCTACAGATTTAATATAATCCCTATCAAAAGAACAGTGACATTTTTCACAAACATAGAAAAATCAATCCTAAAATTCATATGGAACCACAAAAGACTACAAATAGCCAAAGCAATCCTGAGCAAAAAGAACAAAGCTGGAGACATCACACTACTCAACTTCAAAATACACTACAAAGCTATAGTAACCAAAACAGCCTGTTACAGGCACAAAAACAGATGCATAGACCAATGAAACAGAACAGAGAACTCAGAAACAAATTCGTGCACCTACAGCCAACTGATTTTCAGCAAAGTTACCAAGAACACACACTGGGAAAAAGACCATCTCTTCAACAAATGTTGCAAGGAAAATTGGATATTCACATGTAAAATAATGAGACTAGACCCCTTCCTCACACCATATACAAAAATGAATTCAAAATGGATTAAAGGCCTAAATGTAAAACCCAAACCTATGAAACTACCAGAAGAAAACATACGGGGAAATGCTTTATGACATTGGGCTGGGCAAATAATTTTTAATAAGACCTCAAAAGCACAGGCAACAAAAGGAAAAGTAGACAGATGGGATTACATCAAAATAAAAAGCTTCAGCACATCAAAGGAAACAATAAACAGAGTGAAGAAACAACCTACAGAATGGGAGAAAATATTTGCAAATTAGACATCTGACACTAATATCCAGAATACATAAGGAACTTAAACAACTCAACAACAACAATAACAAAAAACTTTATTTTAAAATGGGCAGAAGACCTTATGAGACATTTCTCCAAAGGAAACATGGAAATGACTAGCAGTTACATGAAAAGATGCTCAACATCACTAATAATTGGGGAAATGGCAATCAAAACTGCAGTGAGATATCACCTCACTCCAGTTAGACTAGATATTATCAAAAAGACAGATAAAAACAAATGTTGGTGAGATGCACAGAAAAAGGAACGTCTACACATTGTTGGTGGGAATGTAAAGTAGTACAGCCACTATGGAAAACAGTATGGATGTTCCTTCAGAAAATTAAAAACAGAACTACTATATGATTCAGCCATCCTACTATGGAGTATCTATCCAAAGGAAATGAAATTAGCATGTTGAAAAGATACCTACACTCCCATATTTATTGCAGCACTATTACAATAACCAATATATGAAATCCACCCAAGTGTCCTACAGTAGATGAATGGATAAAGAAAATCTGATATATATACACTATTTAATACTATTGAACCATAAAAAAGAATGAAATTTTGTAATTTTTTGACAACATGGATCTGGAGAACATCATGTTAAGTGAAATAAGCCAGCCATGAAAAAACAAATACCATATGATCTCACTCATATGTGGAATCTAAAAAAAAACCAGAGACGCTATTATAGAAGCAAAGAATAGAACAATGGTTAATAGAGACTGGGGAGGGAATGCGAGAGGGGATGATAGGGCGAGGTTGATCAACTGGTACAAAGTTACATTAGATAGGAGAAATGAGTCTGGTGTTCCTTTGCACAGTTGGGCAAGGATAATTAAAAGTAAGGTATTTTGTAGATTACCAAATAGCTGGAAGAGAGGCTTGTAATTGTCCTCACCACAAAGAAATGATAAATGCACAAGGTGATTGACACACTAAATACCCTGATTTGATCATTATACAATACATATGCATCAAAATATCAAATTATACCCCACAAATATGTACAATACAATGTGTCAATTTTAAAAGGCATCTAATTTGGTGACAGAATTCCCCCAAAAAGAAATTGGGGGCCACTGAAAGGGAGGATAGGGTAATGAATGGCAGGGTAGCATCTGTGTTTGTTAGAATTAGGTTCAACTGTAAGTGACAGAGACTCAAATTAGCAATCGCTTAAACTTAGAAAATTTTTTCTCCCTGTCACGAAAAGTCTAGTAAGGTAGTTGAAAGCTGGTATGGTTTATGACAGCATCATAGACCCGAGCTCCTTCTGTCTGTTTCTTCTACTGCAAATTCCATGTCCATCTCATTGCCAAGACAGCTGCCCCAGCCATTACATCTGCAATCCAACCAGCAGAAAGGGAAAAGCAAAGAAGAGCATACCCATTCCTTTTAAAGAAACAAACCCAAAGTTGTACATAATACTTCCTACTTATATCTCATTGGCCAAAACTTAGACACATGGCCACACTTTGCTGCAAGCAAGGATGGGAAGCATAGTCTTGATTCTAGGCAACAATTAATATATGCTCCATGAAAAATCATTTTACTTTGGAAGAAGGAAGATTGGATATAGAGGGACAACTGATAGTCCCTTGCTCAGCATCCTTGGGTACTGGAGGTAACCCCTCCCCAGATTTCACAGAACTCCCTGGCATGAGTGACTGCAGCAAGAGGTTACCATACTTCATTCCAAGACTTTGAGGACTCATTGGGGAATTAAATGAGTCGTCAAATGTGAAAATTGGAGAACTGCTGACCCTTCTTTAAAGCCCCAATACCCTTTTGTTATCTCCCTTCTTCCTCCTTTTTTTTTTTTTTTTTTTTTTTTTTTTTTTTTTTTTTTTTTTTTTTTGAGATGGAGTCTCACTCTGTCGCCCAGGCTGGAGTGCAGTGGTGTGATCTCGGCTCACTGCTACCTCCGCCTCCCAGGTTGAAACTGGGATTCTCCTGCCTCAGCCTCCTGAGTAGCTGCGATTACAGGTGCCTGCCACTATGCCCGGCTAGTTTTTGTATTTTTAGTAGAGACAGGGTTTCACCATGTTGGCCAGAGGGTCTCGAATTCCTGACCTCAAGTGATCCGCCCACCTCGGCCTCCCAAAGTGCTGAGATTACAGGCATGAGCCACCATGCCAAGCCCACCCCCCCGCGCCCCACCCCCCGCTTTTTTTTTTTTTTACACCATATTATTTGTAGCTTGAGCAGCAACTAGTCTAATGAAAAGCTCACTAACTTTGGTTCAGAAAACCTGGGTCTGAATCTTGACTAAGCCACTTACTAGCTATTTAAAGCATTTAAGCTATCTGTGCCTCATTTTCTCATCTGTGGAATGGCGGCGGGGCCGGGGGAGGGGGGCGGGGTGGGGGGGCGGGAATTATACGGTCTCATGGGATTGTGTTAGACTAAGTGGTAGCTCATAGTAAGGGCTCAATAAATGGTAGCTACTATTATCATCAGGCTTCTCTGTCCTGGAGGTCATTGCAGCTGCCTTCTGCATAATCACCCAATAAGTGGAGTTTATTAAATGAGCCTCCATTCTAGGGCTAAGCCACACGGTTTTCAAATAATCAATATGTTAAGCCACCCAGCATAAGCAGACAGGCTATAAATCAAATTGGATTCAAAGTCTGTTACAGATAAAAGGGACCTTCATATACGTTGATTTGTCATTTTTCTGTTTATTGCTGTTATCATTATTGCTAATAACAATGGCAAGAGCTGTCATTTATTAAATGTCCTTGCGGCCGGGCGCGGTGGCTCACGCCTGTAATCCCAGCACTTTGGGAGGCCGAGGCGGGCGGATCACGAGGTCAGGAAATCGAGACAATCCTGGGTAACATGGTGAAACCCCGTCTCTACTAAAAATACAAAAAATTAGCTGGGCGCAGTGGCGGGCACCTGTAGTCCCAGCTACTCGGGAGGCTGAGACAGGAGAATGGCGTGAACCCGGGAGGCGGAGCTTGCAGTGAGCCAAGATCATGCCACTGCACTCCAGCCTGGGCGACAGAGCGAGACTCCTTCTCAAAAAATAAACAAATAAATAATAAATAAAAATGTCCTTGCTGTGCCAGGCACTGTGCTTTTTAAACTTCACAGTGGTCCCATGATGTAAGTTTTTTCATTCTCCTTTAACAGATGAAGAAACTGAGTACAGAAGGGATAAGTGATTTGCCACAAGTCACCCAGAGCCAGCCTGGTACTCAGATCCGAGTCTAAAGCATTTGTGTTTGTTAGAATTAGGTTCCGCTGTAAGTAACAGAGACCCAAACTAGCAATGGCTTAAACTGAGATAGAAATTTCATATGAATCATATAGTAGTTCTGTTTTTAATTTTCTGAGGAACATCCATACTGTTTTCCATGGTGGCTGTGCTATTTTACATTCCCACCAACAATGTGTAGACATTCCTTTTCTCTGCTTCTTATTGTTTATTTACTTTTTTATAATTTTTATGTTTAAAAATCCCCAAAAACCATAAAAGAAAAAAAACACCCATTTTTACACCACTTTTCTTCTTTTGAAGTCTCTAATGAAAGAAAAAGTGAAAACACCCCCCAGCTCTTCTAAACTCTTCCCCAGAGATAACCACTGTTAGCAGATTGTTTTTCATGCTTATGCAGTTTAATATTATTTAAATTGTCATTTTTACTCTTTTGCAAACAAGTCATTTCAAACAGGAGGAGTTAAAATGACTATGTTAAAACTTCCAGGGAAAAACGACTTTCATTCTATATATGCTGGCTTCTGTAGCTTTCATTTACTCGTTCATTCATTCGTTCACTCATTCAACAAATATTAACCAAGTACCCCATACTTGCCAGGAACGAGTTAGGCACTGAGAATACAAAATTAAGAAAATTCAGTTCCTCTGTTAGAGAAGTCACCAGTCTAAAGGGTGGTGACTTCACCCATCATTGCACAAAATGAAAAGACCTACAATCAAGATCAAGGGCAAAAATGAGAGAAAGGTCCAGAAAAGGAGATGCTTTAGTTCAGAATTAGGGGAGGCATTCACTGCACAGACAAGAAGCCATGCTATTTTGACCAGAGGCCAGTAGGGGAGACCCCAGAGGTGTCTTGTGTGGCTAGAACGTCATGGAAGGAAGTGCAAAATTGACGGAGATGAGGCTGGAAAGGTCACTTGGGCCTTGAATAAGATTCTTAGGTCTTTGCAGTGCATCTGACATTCCTATCTGCTACAAAGCCTCTTGTTCTAGAAGGAAAATAGATGTTCCACTTGTGAAAATGTTATTCTAGAGGAAAGATAGCTGTTCAACTTGTGAAAAGAGAGAAGTTCCATTTTAAAATCCATCATCAGGAATACTACTTGGTAACTTACAAAATGAAATAGTGATATGATACATGCTATAGCATGAATGAACCTTGAAAACATGCTAGGCAAAAGAACCCACTCACGAAAGAACCTGTGTCATTTTCTTTCATTTATATGGAATGTCCAGAATAGGCAAATCTAGAGAGACAGAAAGTAGATTAGTGGTTGCCTAGGGGTGGAGGGGGTCGGAGGAAATGGGGAGTGACTGCTAATGGGAGTAGGACTTGGGGAGGGAGGAGAAAATGTTCTAAAATTGATGATGCTGGTTACACAACTCTGAATATACTGGAACCACTGAATTGTACACTTTAAATGGTTGAATTGTATGGTATGTGAAATATATCTCAAGAGAGTGACTCAAAAGAAGGCTTAGCAGAATTTTAAAAAATCCCTCCATCACTAGAAAATAATACGCTTCTGAAAACTGCCACAAATAAGTATGTGTTCAAGACAGGCTTTTGTTGTCATTGTTTCTTTTCCATTACCATCCTTTGAAAAATACAGAATATTTTGAATGCGGGTTACCTTGAAAGTTCATTGGTCAGTCAACAGCCCAGGTCTATTTGTTTTCTCCCATGTTTAATCCAGAGGTTGCTAGAGGACAGGGACTCTCAAACTCTCGTCCTTGAACCACCTCCATCAGAATCACCTGCATTGTGGGTTATCAATGCAGATTCCCAGACACCCCCAAGGCCTAGTAAATCAGAATCTCTGGATGTGGATCCCAGGGATTGGCACTTTAATTTTGATACATACCAATGTTTGAAGACCTCTGCTCCAGACTATGACGCCTGGCTTATAATTTCTTCCATTTCGTGATGTTGGCCCCACCCCGGTTTCCGAGTCTGAGCTGATCCTAAATAGACCCAGATCATCGAACACATCAAGACACCCCGTGCAGAAGAAGCTTTGCAAAGAGATATGAAAATAAATGCAATCTGTGTATGACTGTAGCAGTGACTGAGTGTTCACAGAACATGTTAAGGACAGAAGGAAGTGGACGGCCAGGAAATTTAGGGCCAAAATCTGACTAGCTGAATGACCTCAAATCTAACTTCTCTGACCTCAGCACATGGGCTAGATTGTCTAAGAGCATGTCACTCCACCCATCTCCCACCTTCTGGATTTTTCCAATCTATGGCGCATCCTTCTGACTGCTGTGACTATGACCTTGCTGTCTCTCCTGAAACTCAGTCACCTCCTGTATAAAATGATGTGTTTGATCCCAATTGTCTTGGGATTCTCTCCAGGCTCTGACATTATATAATACAGGATCCAATGACTCTTGAGCAAAATTAGAAAGGCTTCTACCATGGCTTTGACACCCAGAATTTAAAAAAAGAGGGGCTGTGCATGGTGGCTCATGCCTGTAATCCCAGCACTTTGGGAAACCAAGCTGGGAGGATTGCTGGAGTCCAGGAGTATGAGACCAGCCTGGGCAACATAGCAAGACCTTGTCTCTACAAAAAATTAAAAAGCAATTAGCTGAGCATGGTGGTATGCATCCATAGCCCCAACTATTTGGGAGGCTAAGGTGAGAGGATCGCTTGAGCCCCGGAGGTCAAGGCTGCAGTGAGCCAAGATAACACTGCTGCACTTCAGCCTGGGCAACAGAGCAAGACCTTCTTTTGAAATAACAAAAACAAGCAAACAAAACAAAACAAAAACAAAGAGGGCTATCACCAGCATCTTCAAAATTCACTTTATTGAGATATCACTTACGTATGATAAAATGCACCCATTTAAGTGTATGTTTTGGTGAGTTTTGACACCAAACTCTGAGATCTGTTCACAGTATTACATGGGTGTGGATGGGAAGCCTTATTTTTTTATTTTTTGACAGCTTTGTCTTCATGGACCTGGGAAACAGAGCACTAGCATCGCTTCCCAGGAAATCCCTTTCCCCACCCTGACCAGGTCCAGCCTATCATTTACCCTGAAACACCACGTACTCCTTGCCTTTGTAGCCCCTCACCACTGGTTGTGACTTCCCCAACGCTGCTCAAGAGTCCCCCCAGATAATCTCAGGTTTGTGAGTGTTTCCCACTTCCCTGGATGCTGCTGAACCATTTATAACTTCCTGGCCCCCTTGGTTTTTATAGGGTGGTCAGTTTATCAGTACCTCATAATGGCTCCTTGCTGAGGCACTCTCATGGCTATATTCACATTCCAAGTTCTGGCTTTGACGATTTACGTAGCAGCTGAGATTCACCTGCTAAATGGAAGGCCCGTCACTCAGGCTTATTCTCCAACTGTTACGGGATGGAAATGCTTGACTGTGAGTTGTCCAGGTTCTTGGTGCACTGAACAAAGAATCAAACAAAACATACAAACAAAGCAACAACAAAAAAAAAACAAAACAATGAAAGCACAGATTTATTGAAGCAAAAGTATACTCTACAGAGTGGGAGCAGGCTTGAACAAGCAGCTCAAACGCTCCCATTATAATGTTGTTTAGGGTTCTTATTAAGCTAAAAGAATTTGGTAACACCCACTTGGCGCCCTTTAGAGGCCTCCAGTTGGTTATATCCTATGAAGGATTGGCCCAAGAACCAATCAGAGGCTAAAGTGGAGATGGCTCATGACCAATCAGAGGCTGAAGTGGAGACTTGGCCTGTGGTCAATCAGAGGCTGAAATGGAAATTTCCATGTTGTTATTTCAGAGTGAGGATGTGGCCTGTATGCTGCCCAGTCTTGCCTAGAATTGGCTGCACCTGCTGTTGTTTTGCTTATGACTTAACCTTTGGTTATCCTCATTCCCTATTCTCCTACTTCTCAAGCAGAGGGTTTCAAATACATGGACCCAAGTAAATCAATGATCTTCTATCTCTCCTCTTCCTGTATCTTGCGGACTAGAAGATGTTGATGCTTACAGAGTGGAAATACACAGTCTATGGCTGGAGACTGGTCTTTACGGCCTTAGAATTGTTCCCCTGGAAGGTCAGTTCAAGCTGTTACCCTGCATATTCAGAAGGGATCCCCTTCCAATTGTTCCAGTTGTCATTTGACATGTATTTATGTGACTGTTTGGCTGCTGTCTCTTTCCCCCATAACTCGTGAGTCTCAGAGACAGGAACTGTGTCTGTTTGGTCTCTGCACTCCATCCCTGATGTCTAGAACTCTGCCTAATATGCAGGAGATGACCAATTAGTATGAGTTGACAAAACTACAGAAAGGGAAGAAAGAAGTCAAGAAGTAGGCCAGATGCGGTGGCTCACGCCTGTAATCCCAACAATGTAGAGGCCGAGGCAGGTGGATCACCTGAGGTCAGGAGTTCGAGACCAGCCTGACCAACATGGTAAAACCCCATCTCTACTAAAAACACAAAAAATTAGTTGAGTGTGGTGGTGCACGCCTGTAATCCCAGCTACTCGGGAGGCTGAGGCAGGAGACTCACTTGAACCCAGGAGGCAGAGGTTACAGTGAGCTGAGATTGCACCATTGCACTCCAGCCTGGGCAACAAGAGCAAAACTCCATCTCAAAAAAAAAAAAAAAATCAAGAAGTAAAGGAAGGGAGGCAAAATAAAAAAAGAAAAAAAAAGGAAAAAGGAAAAGGGAGAGAGAGAACTGCAGATCACATCATAGGGATTGCTCCCATAACACTTGTAACAAGGTAAAATCTGATTCGACAGGACATCAGGCACGCTTGTACTCACATTGTTGTGGGCTGAATTGTGTCCCCCGACTCCTAAAAAATATGTTCAAGTCCTAGCCTCTGGTATCTTTAAATGTGACCTTCATTGGAAATAGGGTATTTGCAAATGTAACTGAGCTAAGATGAGGTTATACCCTAAATCCAATATCATTGCCATCCTTACAAGAAGAGAAGAAACACAGAGACACATAGGGAGAATTCCATGTGATGACAGAGGCGAGCCCTGGAGTGATGCTTTTACCAGCCAAGAACCACCAGGGATAACCAGCAATACCAGAAACTATGAAGAGGCAAAAAATGATGAATCTCTAGAGCCACCAGAGAGAGCCTAGCCTTGCTGGCACCTTTATTTTGAACTGCTAGCCTCCAGAAATATGAGATACGAAATTTCTGTGGTTGTGTTAAACTTGCACCACCATGCAAGTTTGTGGTGATTTGTTATGGCAACCCTAGAAAATAAATACGGACTCCCATCCTATGGGATTGTGATTGCCTGTTTGCTGGTCTGTTTCCCTTGCAAAAGGCAGGGGCTGTGACTCGTGCATCTCGGTAACCTCAGTACTAGCATACTGTGGTGCATGGCAGAGATTTGTTGCTTGGTCTCCATCCACTGAGTAGATGGAAGAGAAAGAGGTGGCGGTGGCTCTGAGTGACCTCCTGGGCCTTGTTAACACCAGTGGTTGCATCTTGTCCACAGGAAACTGCAGCCTCAACAATGCCCTGGCTGCCCATAACCAGGTGCAATTCCAGTTTCCCAGAAAATGAGACTGGAGAAATGACCCTAAGTAGTTGTACCCCAGGGAGGATTGTGAGTTTAAAAACAAACTCACTTCCTTTCTGCTAAATTATTGCCCACCTCCCACCACCCCAACTACTCCTTAGCTACAGAAAGCCTCACCACCAATCTACTCCTCTGTCCAATCAAATTCTTCATGTTGACAACGACCAGAATAGCTTATTAAGGACCAGGTTTGCAGGTGACTGCGCCATGCTGGGAATCGCTGTTCATTTTTAGAAAATAAACTCCAATTAGCAATCTCAGTTGTTTATTTCATTTCCTGGCTATGCATTTCCACTTGTAGGGCTGTTGCTGCTGCTCCTGACACCATCTCTGGGAACCTCAAACCTGGAGACCCTGGGAAAATGTCCATGTGGGCTTTCTTCATAACCTATAGAGGGAACTTTGCATGCTATAGAGGAGATCTGAGCCTGAAGGACACATTGACGCACTGATTACCCCTTATGTATCAGGCACTAGGCTACTCCCTTTACATACTTGTGAGATGTGGGCTACTGGTCCCATTTTATGGATGAAGAAACTGAGGCTCAAAGAGTTTAAGGATTTTTCATCTCAGAAAATGTCACAATTTTCCCTTCAGTTGCTCAAGCCAGAACACTGAGAATCCTTCTTAACTCCCTTCTACTCATCACTGATTATTTTCCCTTGGCCCACAAATTAGGTCTCGAATCCACATGAATCCCTGTATCCCTACAGCCACTGCCCTGGTCTAGGCCACGGTCACTCAACAAGCAATTACTGATTGTCTGGTATGTACCAATCTCTGTTCCAAGAAACTGGGATGCTCAAAGAAACAAAACTGACGAAGATCTCAGCCTTCAAGAAGCCTTCTTTCTGGCCATCGCTTTAGGTCACTGCTCTATCCTCCAACTTCTTCTCCTCCCACACAAACCATTCTCCAAAATTTAGTTGATTTTTCCAAAATAAAAACTCAATCATGTAATTCCCTCTTTAAAATTGTCTATGAGGCTCCCATTACTTTGAGGATACAAGTCTATTCTCCTTAATACGGTTCTGAACCCCTTTCATAACCCGGCCCTCACTAGCTCTCCAGTTGCTCTCCAGTCCCAGCTCTCACCATTTCCCTCTCTACCCCACACTCCACTAAAAGAAAAAATTAAAAAAACAAAAACAAAAAAAACAGCCGGGCGCAGTGGCTCACGCCTGTAATCCCACCACTTTGGGAGGCCGAGGCGGGTGGATCATGAGGTCAGGAGTTTGAGAACAGCCTGGCCAACATAGTGAAACCCTGTCTCTACTAAAAATACAAAAAATTAGCCGGGTGTGGTGGTGGGTGCCTGTAGTCCTAGCTACTCAGGAGGCTGAGGTAGGAGAATCGCTTGAACTCAGGGGTGGAGGTTGCAGCAGGCCGAGATCGCGCCACTGCACACCAGCCAGGACAAGAGTGAGAGACTCCGTCTCCAAAAAAAAAAAGAAAAGAAAAGAAAGAAGGAAACTACACGCAGACACACACAGAGTAGAAACTTCCAGATGAACTTTTCTCAATTTATTTAGAGTTTAAGGCACTCCACTGTCTCTAGCTCTCTGGCCTCCATATATGAGGTTCTCTCCGCCCAGCAAAGGTTCCCTTCCTCCATCTCCTATTCAGCCTTCATTTTCAGCTTAGGCTTAGCGCCACTGGGAAGCCTTCCCTGACTTCTACCCTGTCCAGACCACAGTAGTGGCTTCTGCAAATGATCTCATAAAAATGGGTCTTCCCATATCCTCGCTTGGGTCACACTTTGTCAGGGCTGTCTTTGCCAGTAGATTGTACACTTTGAAGGCAGGGAGGGGATAGTGTATGCCCTGTTCATCACTGTATCCACGGCACCAAAGGAATATCGCTGTACTAGCTTTTGAAATGAATAAATGAATGTTGAAGAAAGAACAGGTCTCAGTTTCATAGCTAGCAAGTAGCCAGAATGGGATTTGACTTCAAACGCCTGCTCTTAACCATGTCATAAGCCACTGTAGGGTAAATGCACCTGACAGCAATAACTAAAGCACACCCTTAGAATGACTCTGTATGGCAGATGCACCTGAATGTGCGTTCTGAGCTAGGGAATCAGGAGTGGCCAACCTGGAGATTTTTTCCTGGTCTATGAAGAGCATCTGAGTTCCTGGCCTGTCCCGTGAAACATATGTTGTACAGGGGATTGAAACTCTAAGTTTTGGATTAAATGAAAGTTGCCAGGTGGAGGTCATTAAGGGGAGGCTGCTAAGTGAAAATGCTATATAAACTGCATGCTGTTTTTTTGTTTTTGTTTTGAGATAGAGTCTCACTGTGTCACCCAGGCGGGATTGCAGTGGTGTGATTTCAGCTCACTGCAACCTCTGCCTCTCGGGTTCAAGCAAATCTCGTGCCTCAGCCTCCCAAGTAACTAGGATTACAGGCATGTGCCCCCACACCTGGCTAATTTTTGTATTTTTTATGGAGACAGGGTTTCACCATGTTGGTCAGGCTGGTCTCAAACTCCTGACCTCAGGTGATCCACCTACCTTGGCCTTCCAGAGTGCTGGGATTACAGGTATAAGCCACCGCACCCGGCCAAAACTACATGCTGTTTGTAAGCAGTTGAGGTTTTCTTGCCCAGCCCACCACCACCGCATTCTCTCCCATGTATGTTGCCCCTAATCAAACCCCATGTCTTTCTTTTCTTTTCTTTTTTTTTTTTTTTTTTTTGTAAGACTGAGTCTCACTCTGTCACCCAGGCTGGAGTGCAGTGGCGTGATCTCAGCTCACTGCAACCTCCACCTCCCGGGTTCAAGTGATTCTCCTGCCTCAGCCTCCCGAGTGGCTGGGATTATAAAGCATGCGCCACCACACTGGACTAATTTTTGTATTTTTAGTAGAGACAATGTTTCACCACGTTGTCCAGGCTGGTCTCGAACTCCTGACCTCAGGTGATCCACCCGCCTCAGCTTCCCAAAGTGCTGGGATTACAGGCGTGAGCCACCGCAGCCAGCTACCCCATGTCTTATTTACTGGCTCCGGGTCTCTTCTTCAGCCTCTTGAACCTGGTGCCTCCCTAATGAGGTTAATAGGGGTTTAGCACAACACCCACTGTGAAGGATGTTGTTAGCCGTGGGTCAAGCGAGCTTTGGGAATAATTTACCACTACTTGTCACAAATCTTCCTGATGAGAAGCAGAGCTTACGCTAAGCAGACAGGAAAGAGGATGAAATATAAGATGTAGTGTGAGTGCTTCATCATCTTAGTTCTTAGGACTGATCGACTTCTGCGTTGGTTATCAAGGGAATGACAAAAACGCAGAATATCCAAACTGGGATAATTTTTAGACATTGCCTTGCCTTTCAGCCCCATTAGAAAAATAAAAATTGAGGTTAGAATCCGAGTTTCCTGGACACCACATTCCATGTTTATGCCATGGGCATTACTGTAACGGGGTTGTGGGGAGGGAGGTCTAAGGGCCTAGTTATCATTAAATGGTTCAAAAGTCAAAAGAAAATCTAAATCTGCTTCTATCCATCAGGGCTGTAGCTACGGAGGAGAGATTCTTCCAACTAGATGGAAAATCCCTTTCCAATAAGGCGAGATGAATATTGCCTTATTGGAAAAGAATCATTGAGCACAGGAACCAACGTGGGTCATTCCAGGAAAACTATCCGAGTAGCTGGGATTACAGGCATGTGCCCCCACACCCGGCTAATTTTTGTATTTTTAATGGAGACAGGGTTTCACCATGTTTGTCAGGCTGGTCTCAAACTCATGACCTCAGGTGATCCACCTACCTCGGCCTTCCAGAGTGCTGGGATTACAGGCGTGAGCCATCATGCCCAGCTAAAACTACATGCTGTTTGCAAGCAGTTGAGGTTTTCCTGCACAGCCCACCACCACTGCATTCTCTCCCTTGTGTAGCCCCTAATCAAACCCAATATCTTTTTTTCACCCAGGCTGGAGTGCAGTGGCGCGATCTCAGCTCACTGCAACCTTAGCCATCCTCCAGTGAAGGAATGAGAGAAGTAAAAGGGAAACTTAACCAACTTGCAGAGCTCCTTACGTCCATCTGCACTGGGAGGAAATGGGGAGAAAGGGGCTGGTGGGAAGATTGTGTCAGCTCCATCATACTGTGTGCCAGTGTGCTGAGCATATCACATGCCTTATCCCATTGAATTCTCACAACTGTCCAATGGGACACATGCTAGTAGGTGCTGAGCTGGGACTTGATCTGACTTCAAGGCTGGCGTTCATAAACAACAGATTCTGTGGACTCTTGGTCATTAGAGTAGTTGGCCAAGAACTGGGTGAACACTCATTAAATACTGCCTGGTTCAGAACTACGTTATCTTTCCTACCCAAGGGAAGCCCCAGCCAAACTAAGAATGACCTCTAAGGTCCTTCAGAGGACCCCATGACATGGACAAGGATCGTGAAAGAAAGTGCTTAGGCACAGACCTTATACATTCTAGAAAGTTCTTGTCCATTGGGAACAGCAAAGACAGCTGCTAAGCATTGATCATATATATGCCAAGCACTGTGCTTTCCATAGATCCCCTCAAATTGTATGGGGTTGACCCCTGCAGATCATTATGATCTCCATCTTCATTTTCTCTACACCATTTTCAAAGAGATAAGTTAATGTGTCCAATGTCAGACAGATGGTTCGGGTCAGAGGCAGGATTCAAACCTAGGTCTGTCTGCCTCTAATTCTGCTGCCCTTACCTGTGATGGATGCCAAGTGGCTACAGCATTACTGCCAGCCAAATGGCACCACCTGGGAAAAATGCAGTGGGTTGAGGTCAAGAGTCCTCACTTCTATGTCTTGACTTCATCTGTCAGAAAGCACTTGCCTCCCATGATGACTTGAAGGTAAAATCAGGTAATCTCAAAAAACATTGGAAATGTGCACTGTGTAAATGCAGGCTCTTTGCTCTACTTTGAATTATGATTATTCATTGTCCTTGGAAGGAAACGAAGGAGGAAGATACAATTTGTTGCTAAGCCCCCAGCTGGAGAAAGACATCTTGGACTAGAATTGTAGGGCAGAGGAGGGATGTTCATTCCCCTTCCTTAGTTGGAGACCTCTTGCTTTCATTTGCATAAAAGCAGATCCCTGAAAAGCAAATTGCAGCCACTAATAGCATTGGCTGACTCTTGACCTGGAGTGAACTCACCTGGAGTGACCTGGAGTTGAATGGGCTCTTCTCTTTCTGAGCCCTCACCCCCATGCACCCTCAGAATCCTTGGTTGGATTAAAATTGTAGACAGTAAAATTCAGTAGCTGTTTCTGTGATATCTAAAGACCAAATATCAGCTCATTTCTCACAGCAAGAGTTCCCCACCCAGAGATTTAAAAGAGCTGATGTACTTTTCTTCGGGGGGTGGGGATGGGGGTGTTGAGATGGAATCTAGCTCTGTTGCCCAGGCTGGAGTGCAGCAATGAGATCTCAGCTCACTGCACCCTCCGCCTTCTGGGTTCAAGCAATTCTCCTGCCTCAGCCTCCTGAGTAGCTGGGACTACAGGTGTGCATCACCATGCCTGGCTAATTCTTGTATTTTTAGTAGAGACGAGGTTTCACCATATTGGAAAGGCTGGTCTCAAACTCTTGGTCTCAAGTGATCCTCCCATCTTGGTCTCCCAAAGTGCAAGAGCTGATTTATTTAAATCCCTGACATAGAGACTTGTACAATGTCAACATTCTAGAAATGGTGATGTGGGGATAGAGACAGCCCACATTGAGATGGTGGTTAAGGACCTCATTTTTTTGAAGATGGACAGGCCCAGCAGTACATTTCCTATTTGTGTGGACGCTGGACATGTTTTTAACCTTTCTGAGCTTGTTTCCTCTTCTGTAAAACCTACCTCAAAGTGTCATTATGAGAACGAAATGAGTGACCACGCCGAGCACCTGGTAAGCACTTATATTGGTCTGCTCAGATCTCTATAGCAAAATACCACAGGATGGGCCTTAAACAACAGACATTTGTTTTCTCCAGTTATGGTGGCTAGAAGTTCAAGATCAAGGTGCCAGCAAATTCAACTTCTGGTGAGATCACTCTTCCTGGCTTGCAGATGGCTGCTTTCTTGTTCCATCCTCACACAGCCTTTCCTCTGCATAAGGAGAAAAACAGAGTGCTGGTGCCTTTCTCTTCTTACAAGGGCATCAGCTCTATTGGATTAGGGCCTCACCTTAATTGCCTTCTTAAGGTTCCTATCTCCAAATAGGGCTTCAACATTTGAATTTTGAGGAGACACAACTCAGGCCATGATAGAGTTCAAACAGTGGTCACTATTAGGTGCAGTCCATCAAGTGGTAGAAGTCGCTAGAACTAAAGCATAGATGGAGAAAGTTGATTGCATCTGTTGCTCTTCGCCACCTGCCCCTTTCCCTGTTCCCACTCCAGCATGCACACAAGACCTCCAGGCCCCAGGGAGCAACTGCGGTTACCTCTTCTGGGCATCCTGCTTTCTCCCCAAAGGATGAGGAAGCTTTGGTTGACTTCTAATTACTCAGATCCTCAGTGTTGCTGTCCCTACTGCTATGGATATGATCTCTCCTTTCCTGATCCTTTCTGAACTTTTTTTTTAAGTTCTGGGGTACATGTGCAGGATGTGTATGTTTGTTACATAGGTAGAAGTGTGCCTGTGTGGTTTGCTGCACCTATCAACTCATCACCTAGGTATTAAACCCAGGTGCATTAGCTATTTCCCTGGGACTAAAGTGAGAGGACACCCTTCATTCACAGAACCACTTGGAAATTGACTTGCCTGCTCCTAGCACTGGATGGTTTTGCCAAAAACAAAACATTTGACAAGTGGCAGGTGGGGCAACTGAGGTTTCCTAGCCAATATCAGGGAAATTGGGACACTAAAGATCCAGAGATTCTATAAGATTCTTCAAGAGAAAAAAAATGATTGTGTTGAGTTTCTATTGACAGTTTTATTAATACAGTAACAAGTAATAGTTATTTATTCATTTTTCAAACTTTTATTTTAGATTCAGATGTACATGTGCAGGTTGGTTCTATAGGTAAACTTGTGCCACTAGGGTTTGTGATTTCATCACCCAGGTACTAAGCCTAGTACCCAATAGTTATTTTTTCTGCTCCTCTCCCTCCTCTCATCCTCCACCCTCAAATAGGCCCCAGTGTCTGTGCGCCTGTTGTTACCCTCTTGGTGTCTGAGTAACAACTAATTCGTATTGAGCATTTACTATGTACTGTCTACTAAACAGTGCTGAGAGCATTGTATGGATTATTTCATTTCATTCTCACAATAGCTCCATGGCAGCGGCTTTCGGTGAGGGGAGGGAGGAGGGATTGCGCCTCCCAGGGGACACTGGCAGTGTCTGGAGACGATTTTTGTTGTCATAATGGGGTGGGGGGAGAGTGCTACTGGCATCTAGTGGGTAGAAGCTAACGATGCTGCTAAACACCCTACAATGCCCAGGGCAGCCCCTCACCATGAAGAATGTCCTGGCCCCAAATGTTGATAATGCCAAGATTAAGAAACCCTGCTATACCAGACAGCTACTTTGATATTGGCACCATTTTACAGGTAAAGACACTGAGTATCAGAGAAATTAAGCTATCAGCTTCACATTGCAGACCAAACAGCATTTTCACCGAAGTGCGATGGATTTCAGAGCCCATTCTTCACCACACAGCTATAAACAATCATGATTCTGCATCAAAGTTAAGGTCCTCTCTTCATTAGAGTCACCGGTGTCCCTGACACTGAAACTATGTATGGATGTCCACGCTTCATTACAGCCAGCCTGGCTGGAACAACTAGGCAATGTGCTGACACTAGGAACCAACCCACGCTTCATTCCAAATCACCCTTAAGCTGTCGGAAGTTACCTTTCACAAGCGAAAAAGAAAAGAAGCCCTGATTCATGAATTTGCCAACTGCTTTTTCCCCCAGCTGCAGCTAACATAGGTATTTCCAGCTATAGATTATATTGAATTGCTGGGACTGGAAAAAAAAAAAAAAGAAAAGAAAATCAGCTTCAGGTGCAGGTCTAAAGAGAGAATGAGCTTGAGAAGAAGGAGAATGATTCGCCCTTCCTTTCCATATTCATCCTCACACTTTGGATCAAAAAGTAATTGCCAATTGTTGTCATGTTAAGAGAGAGGTAACTGTGTAGGTCAAGCTCTCTGATTTCTTATTCAGGGAAATTTTCCATTCCCCAAACTCTCATCTAAAAGCCCAAGCCTCAGAAAGCTGTGCTGCCTGAAGGGGCCCAGAGAGCACAAATGATTTTCTTTAAAGACTCCTTTGTCCATCAGAAAGCAAGCGATTCGATCAGACTAATTATTTCCCAACAAAGACATAAGGTTTCCTTTTAGCGCCTGCTCACTTCTTGTTATCAAAGGAGTATTTTTTTTTAAAATGTATCTTGGACAAGGAAGATCAAAAGAGAAGCATGTGTCCGGAGCGAATAATATTTTTTCACATTATTTCCAGTTGAATTTGCTTAAATCTCTCATATTTTACTACTTGTCATTACTGAAAACTTTCACCTTGAGTTATGGAGGGTGAGGGAAAAGAAGGCACTCCAATGAATAATGCTGGGTAGCAGAGGATGAAAAAAGACAAAGACAGGCCTGGGGTGACTGATGAATAAAGGGAATAAGAAAGAGGCGACTGTTTTATCTCAATAATGTTATCAATACCCACGTCTGTATTAGAGGCGTGGTGGGACTGTGAGCAAGGGGAAAGGGATTGTTCCAAAGGAAAATCAATGTTTAGATTAAAATGGGTTTATGAAGTTATGTCAAGCGAGCTTCTTTTATCTCTCACCCCAGGATTACACTAAGATGCCCCCGCACGTTGTGAGCTACCCAGCCTTTTTTTCCAGCACACTTGAGTGTGGCAGCTTAGCCGTGGGAAAGCGAGAAGTGCCCTTTTGAAGAGGGTGATGCAAAAATTAAAATAGCCCCGATGAAAGCCAACATTGATGGAGTTTTCTTTGCCAGTCTGTTAAGCTCCTAGTATGCAGCGGTTCATTTTGTTCTCACAATAACCTTGTGAGGTGCCTTATTACTGTCTTCATTTTACAGAGGGAGAAACTGAGGCAGAGTTGTAGGTGGAGATATAAGCTTGGGCACATCGAAAGTGCGGGCTGCCTGGGTTCAGGTTCTGACCCAGAATTGCTAGCTTTGTAATCTTGACACAGGTTGAGTTTCTGAGCTCCAATTTTCATCATTCAAGAACAATGATGAGGATGAGGATGAGGATAACGATGATATGATGATGATGATGATGATGATGCCTGGCTAAACGTCATAGGTTGTCTGGGGGATAAGTTGAGATAATCCAAGTAAAGTCGTTAGCACCTTGCAGGGCACAGAGTAGCTATAATATCTGTAAATGTGAGCTATCTTTACGACACATATTTAGTGCTGATGATCAAGTCACTATCTTAGTACTCTGGGAAATGTAGACTCTGGCACCATGAAAAGACCTTTATGTTTGAGCAGATACAGCTTCATACCCAGGCACAGCTCCTGTGTTACCCTGAACAACTCACTTGACCTCTCTGAGCTTCATGTATGGGAAGAGCCTAGTCTAATCGTGGCCATGTGTTAGGTATTTCATAATCACTGTTTAATAAATAAAAGGCATCTTTTCTTCCTCTCTTTTTAAATCTTAGGATTCCACAAGACTCTCTTTTTTCTCTGTCAGCCTCATACTCCCCTCAGATTCTCCTATCCCAAGCCAACTCTGAACAAGCTCTGGCAGGGAATTCATTTGGAGTTCTGTGTTTGTTCTTTGCCACAAGCCCCCAGAAGTATGTTGACTGGTCACAACAACCCTCCCAACTAATGCTCCCTGTGTTGGCTCCAGTCCCAGGATCCTGCCTCAGTTTCCCTATCAAATCTACTCTCCCATTGGGATCAGGGTCTGCCCCTGGAATGTTGAATCTCTGACCAAAACCTTAGTTTTGGTAGCCTTCTAACTTTGGAAGCTGGACTCTGTCCCCTCTTCCATGTGCCCCAGTCATTAGCCAAAGTTCTGTTTCAAGTCTACAAACCAATGTTACCACCAACTAGATGCTTTCGAGTCATACAGACATGAGTTGAAATCCTAGCCATGGCAGACCAAGTCACTCCAGCTTTCTAAGCCTCAGCTCCCTTACATGTAAAATGGATATAATAAGATACAGAACTCATCAGGTTGTTGAGAGAATTAAATACAACAGTGTAGGTAAGTCATTTAGTACAGTATCTGGTTCACAACAAATTTTTTGTTATACTTTAAGTTTTAGGGTACATGTGCACAAATGTGCAGGTTAGTTACATATGTATACATGTGCCATGCTGGTGTGCTGCACCCATTAACTCGTCATTTAGCATTAGGTATATCTCCTAATGCTATCCCTCCCCCCTCCCCACAACAGTCCCCAGAGTGTGATGTTCCCCTTCCTGTGTCCATGTGTTCTCATTGTTCAATTCCCAACTATGAGTGAGGACAGGTTCACAACAAATTTTTAATAAAAGATAGTGACTTCCTATAGATACTTGTCATAATTCTGCCCCCAAACCCCTACTTTGATCAGAGCCCTCCAACATCATCTCGAGTAGGGTAGAATCCAAATTCACCAGATCCCTTTTGTACTAGTTAGTTCCCCCACACCTAGTTCTTTACACACCTAACGTACACCCTTCCTATCAACCCTTTTCAGAGGTTCTTGCATAACCTAGTGAAGTTCCACATTTTATATCACAATGTCACCCAGGTTCTTAGGAGTTCCTCTAGTATGATTGTGTGACTTAAAGCCTACTTGGAACTTCTCAGTTACCAAACTATTGCTTGATTAGGAAGACAAGTGAGTTTGGCATGCAAGACACCCTCAGATGCACATTCTCCCAGATGTGGTCAACACCACATTATTCCCTTCTAATTTACAGAATATCCTGGCTTTTTACAGTTCCCTACTGAAACACGGCACCTCTCTGAACTCTTTAAATTACAAATGACTTAATTTAGTTTAAACAAACAAATAAAGGAAATACATTGGTTTACATCAAAGATGCAGAGTGCAGACTGGCTTTAAACAAAAATTGATCCAGGGTCCAGGAGTTGTCATCAAGAGTCTGCCTCCATCTCTCAGTTCTGTTTTCTTTCATATTGGCTTCTGATATGGTTTGGCTGTGTCCCCACCTAAATCTCATCTCGAATTGTAGCTCCCTTAATTCCCATGTGTCATGGGAGGGACCCAGTGGGAGGTAATTGAATCATGGGGGCGGGTCTTTCCTGTGTTGTTCTCGTAAGTCTCACCAGATCTGATAGTTTTATGAAGGGGAGTTTCCCTGCACACGCTCTCCTGCCTTCCACCATGTACGACGTGACTTTGCTCCTCGTTTGCCTTCTGCCATGATTGTGAGGCCTCCCCAGACATGTGGAACTTTGAGTCCATTAAACCTCTTTCCTTTATAAATTACCCCATCTCAGGTATGTCTTTATTAGCAGCATGAGAACAGACTATAATACAGCTTCATTCTTTGGCAAGCTCTCCCCTTTTCATAGTAAAGATGGTCACAGGCAGCTCTGGGTAATATTCCTGCCAGGTCAGCATCCCAGTAGAAAGAGAACCCTCTTTCCCAGTGGTTCTATCTAAAGTCTCAAAACTGAGTCTCTTGGCTCTGATTGGGTCACATGGCTATCCCTTGCCCAATCACTGTGGCCAGAAAGATAATAGATATTGATTGGTCAGTTCTATATCACATGCCCACCCTAGAGCTGGAGGGAGAGGCAAAAAACTTAGGTTGAGTGTGTAAAGGGTCATTCCCTCAGAGGTGCATGGGGCATCTTATTTGAAGGAAAGAGAATGGATGATGAATAAAAACATCATCCATTTTCCATCATCTGTGCTTATAGTAGTAGCCTTACTAAGAAAGACTCCAAGCATGGAATCTAGCTAGATTCAGCTCTACTCAAGGAATGTTTCCATCGATCAATCAGAGACAAAGCCTATGACTTCACTTGGCATTATTCTCACCAGCAAAATCCCCTTCTTATTCCAGCTGTCAATCCTCCACCTCCACTGCAACACACACCTTGCTGCTGTTGACACCCTGTGACTTGCTTCCCACAGATGGGTGTCTGCGTTTAAGAGCATGCATTATTGTCATTGAAATAACAGGATGCTAAAACCTTTATAAATTGATATGCCAGAAAAGAGGGAGGCAAAAATGAATGCTAAGTTTCTTCGCATAATACTCTGTGGGATGTGTTTTTCCCCCTAAGAATATTTTAGCATTAATTAAGATAAACAATGATATATGCTGAAAGACAATTGAATCTGTTCTCGGTTAAAAATGGCTTCGTTGTGTAAAAATAGTACCCAAATTATAGCATATAAAGATGCAGGGGGAAAAATACTGTAAACCTATAACATGATTAAAATAGAAATGCAAACCAGTAATGATGAGACCTTGAACAAATCTGGGGGAAGAAGAGAAAGATGGGGAAGTAGCAAGGCACGTCATCATGCTTAATTTATTCACCTCCCTCTGGGAACTTCTTTACTGTGTTTCTCTTTAATAATAACTATTATTTATCATGGCATCGTTAGCATACGTTTTCAATGAAATTGGTTTTGTTATTACCATTTTATAAGTGAGGAACTGAGCTTTGGAGAGTTTAAGTCAAGGTCACACTGGTAGAAATAGCAGAACCAGGTTTTGAACCAGGTTAGGTTAAGCCTCCAGCATAACACTTTCCACCCGTCTAGGCTGCCCCACTGTTCCCTGGGTCTCCCCTCTAAAAATCCTCTTCAAGTCAGAATGAGAATCAAGGAAGGAGCTCACACATATCACACTTAAGACGTGCCAAGCACTGTTCCAAGCTTTTCCTAAGTATTAGCTTATTTCATCCTCACAATATTGGGGGATTGTTATATTATTATCCCCATTTGACAGATGTGGAGAGTTAAGTAGTTTGTCCAAGGCCGGACAGCTGGTGGAAGCTGTAATTCAAGGCAGGCAGGTGGGCCGGCTTCAGAATTCATGCTGCGATGTTGTTCTATTTCCTTTGGAGAGCCATTTGTGACATCCAAGGGTGACTCCTCCTGCCCCATTTTCCCCAGAGTTCCTGCAGGGGTGAATACCTACAGCACATATCTGGCGTGGTCTTTATTTTAGCAGGGGATGTTTTTATGTCTTTGTGTGGCAACTGTCTGATAACCCTGCAAATTCCTTGAGAGTTAGGAGTTTCCAGAATTCTTCCCATCTCCCACAGTTCCTAGTCAATATTTTGCACATGATGGGTGCTCAGCAAATGTTTGATGGGGAGGCTGATGGAGACCAGTTAATTTTGCTTCCCTCCATGGCTGCAGGATGCATGGTGAAAGCTGAGAAGTCATTGTCCTTGGGCAGGCAAGGATGATGGACAGCTCTCCACAAAGCCCCTCGCATCTGGAGGAGTAATTCAAAGCTGTGTCAGAGCTTCTTCTGGGGTGCAAATTTATTCATTCATCCATTGTCTCACCCATTCACTCACTCACTCACATACTCAACCCTTCATTTACTCATTCCCTTACTTATTTATGCATTCACCCAGCACTTACTGAGTGGCTGGCTGTTCCATGCCAGATGCTCCACTTGATCCTGGGGATAAAACCGTTCATGCAGCCCATCTCTACTCATCTGAATGGACAGAAGAATGATCGAAGAGTGGCTCCCGGTATAGTCAGGACATTAGGACAGCAGCACCACTCACTGCTACAGCCTCCAAGCCCTGCAAACTCAAAGAAGTAGCAGGAAGGACCATCCATGTCTCTGAGTTTGCTCATGATCAGATGCTAAATTCTCAGTATATTCCACGTATGTGGCTTGCAGCCCTTGCTGCAATGTTTTGGTTGAAAAGCAGCAGGTTGAAAATCTTTCTCTCTCTCTCTCTTCCTCTCTATCATTTTTGGACCTCTTAAATCTGTGTTGGCTTTTCTTTCAAGGAGAAGACAGAGTGAGCATCTTCTCAGCTATCTCTGGCTTCTCTCCAAGCGTGGTTCTTTTTGTCTCCACAATGACAAGATCTTTATTGAATTTTGAGAATTATACTTATTTTCTTTAAACTATTTATTAGGTGCCTACTGTGTGTCAGTAAATTTAAATGTGTTATCTTTAAGATAGTTTCTGTTATTGCCTGCTTAAAAGTGGGAAAATACATGAAGCTTGAGAAAATGATTTGAACAATTTAGATAACTATAAGGAAACTCAATAATCAAAATGTTACTATTATTTATCTTGAGTTTCTTCATACATATCTGTACCATTTGAGTTGGTGGTAATCTTTTCATACACACATACGCATTCACACACGTATGTATACATATGAATATCACATAAATGGAATTGCCACAAATGCTTTTTTATTGTGCATACTTTTTAAGTTTCTATTCCTCCCACTTATTTTCTCTCCCCAGGTAAATAGTGTTAGGAAGCAAAGTGTATCTTTTCATACTTTTTGCCCATGCTCATGCAACTGTATGCAAACGTGCAAATGTCTATGTTAATAATGGGGGCTGGGCATCATTTGTTCTACAAAAAGGAATTTTGTAGCATCTTTGTCTACATCTCGCTGGTGTTGTAAACCAGAAGCCCCCTCCAAATGAACTGGCATAGATTTAATGCATTCGTTTTAAAGGCTACATAATAATTCATGCATAGGACACTTCCATCATTTACCCATTCACCTGCCATGGGGAATTCTTATTTTGTCATTGGAAAGCTTCAGGCATAGAACTTCTGGCTCTCTCTGTTCTCCCAGTCTAGGGAATCTTTTTACTAGTCTGGTGGTGGGGAAGACTTAATAACTCTCTCTTTTCTGTGCCCCTTAGAAGATTCTTTGTTCTTTCTCCTGCTGTCATAGTCTTCCTCCTGATAGAATGAATATAGATTGGCTTAGCTGAGTGAGGAGAAAACAAAGGCAGTAAGAATGGGAAAAAAAGCTGAGGGGAAAATCATGTTAATATTTCAAAAATATTCTTCCACCACATACTTACAATACTTTTATGGCACTTTACAGTTTACAAAGCCCTTCTCATATTGTATTCAAAATGCAGGTCAGGTGTGGTGGCTCATAATTATAATCCTAGAACTTTGGGAGGCAGAGGTGGGAGGATCACCTGAGGTCAGGAGTTCTGGTCTCAAGACCAGCCTGGACAACATAGCAAGACCCCATCTCTACAAAAAATAAAAAATTAGCCAGGTGGTGTGGTGTGCCTATAGTCCCAGCTACTAGAATGGCTGAGGTGGGAAGATGGCTTGACCCTAGGAAGTCAAGGCTGCAGTAAGCTGTGATTGTGCCACTGCACTCCAGCCTGGGTGACAGAGTGAGATCCCATCTCTTAAAAAAAAAATGCACTCACTTGGCTGTTACTACTTCCCACATCCTGAGCTGTCACTTGGCCAGGAAGCCTTCTCTAGTCTAACAAGCAGGCCTGAGCACCCCTTCTCTGACAACCTACCTCCCATATAAAAAAAAGTGTTTTGGAAAACAAATGAGTAAAATTGATATTCTTTAGGGGATACCTTTTTTGTTGTGAAAATTTTCAAAGTTTTACACAAATAGAGCCAACCGTATTAAAATGCTCACATATCCATCACTGAAAGCTTTACCAGGATAACTCTGAATCCACTCTAACTTATTTTTAAAAATAAAAACTCGTTACAAATTCCAGCTAATTTTAGGTATTTGCAACATACCTCTTATTGGAACTTGCAGCAGTGTTTTGTAAAATTCCTGCTACTGAGGAACGCTTGAGCTATGTTTTGGGAGCTGAGGGAGAGTAGGTAGTTATGGTTGGGTCACCCACATCTATCCAGTCCCTCTTCTTGCAACAGTACTACCTCCTTTTCACCTGAGATTAACCCTTCCCCTACTTTTAACCCAAGTGATTCGAGTGGGGCTTCCTCTCCTGCAGAGGTGGGGCGGGGGTACTTTTTTTTGGAGACAGAGTCTCGCCGTGTCACCCAGACTGGAGTACAGTGGCGTGATCTCAGCTCACTGAAACATCCTCCTCCCAAGTTCAAGCGATTCTCCTGCCTCAGCCTCCCAAGTACCTGGAATTACAGGTGCCCACCACTATGCCCGGCTAATTTTTGTATTTTTAGTAGAGATAGGTTATCACCATGTTGGCCAGGCTGGTCTCAAACTCCTGACCTCAAGTGACCTGTCTGCCTCGGCCTCCAAAAGTGCTGGGTTTACAGGCATGAGCCACCACACCTCGCTGGGGGGAACATTTGATCTAGTCCCAAATCAGGAGAATCACCCTTCCAAAGCTAGTGACACACACTACTGACATTGCTGAAACAGAAGTTGGCTCTCTGTTTTACTGAAGTTGAAGCTTTAGAGGATATAAGCTTAGCATCTCTGGCAACTATTTCATCATCAGGAGGAAAGACCCTGCTAAAAAGTGGAGTCAAGGAAAAGGAACTCAGAACTGAGAGATGGCAAGAAACTGAGTCCCAATCAAATCAAAGGAGTCCTTATACCCAGCAATGCCTACAATTAGATAAGCCAACGGATACCCTTTTTGGCCTGAGTCAGTCTGAGCTGGGTTTTCTATTTCTTGCTGCTCATGAGTCCTGATACTCATAAGTCAGGGTGGCAAAGAAAACATTAACCAGGAATCAGAGAGGGTGAAGAGAAGGCCATCTAAACATGCACTGGGAATGTGGATCCCATGCTAATGGCTGCGGTTTTGCCAGGACTTAGTAGTTTGCAGGTTGGGTCTGGGTTCTACGAATTAGGTGGATGTAAATAGCAAAGCAGAGACCGCCTGACTCCTAGTCTGTTGCTTTTTCTGCCAAACCCTATTACAAAAGACATCTCTGTAGATCCAAGGTGGGAAAGCATTCTTCATGGGGAAGATTCCAACACAGCAGCATTACATATTTCCCTCCAATTTCATCATCACTAAGGCAACTCTTCCATGCAATAGTCTTTCCTTATCTTCTTCTATCTCTACTAATCTGTATTCCCTGGAAAGTCCTGGGAGAGCAACTGACAGAACCCAGCTATGATGGTTAATATTGAGTGTCAACTTGATTGGATTGAAGGATGCGAAGTACTGTTCCTGGATGTGTCTGTGAGGGTGTTGCCAAAGGAGATTAACATTTGAGTCAGTGGACTGGGAGAGGCAGACCCACCCTCAATCTGGATGGGCACCATCTAATCAGCTGTGAGTGTGGCCAGAATAAAAGCAGGCAGAACATGGAGAGAATAGACGGGTTTAGTCTTCTGGCCTCCATCTTTCTCCCGAGCTGGATGTTTCCTGCCCTTGAACATCAGACTCCACGTCCTTCAGCTTTGGGACTCAAGACTGGCTTCCTTGCTCCTCAGCTTGCAGACAACATACTGTAAGACCTCACTTTGTGATTGTGTGAGTAAATACTCCTTAATAAACTCCCCTTTATATATACATCTCTCCTATTAGTTCTGTCCCTCTCGAGAACCCTAATACACCAGCACTACACACACCTCTGCCAAGCCAAGAAAAAAATGATACAGGGATGTATTCTGCTATTTGGGCTCCCTTGTTGTCATCCTGTATGGCAATTAAGGTAGAGTTCCCACGGTAGCTGAATTCCAATTACCCCTCCACAGTGGGGTCCAAGACATTTGTTATCTGACGAGAGAGATGTAACTGACTATATGATGTCTGAGTTCAGCTGCAAACTGCCGGGTGGTCATTTTGGTGTATTATAGCACGGCATGGAGGATGAGGAGCAAACCCTTTAATTCCTTTCAGAAACTGACAGCCAAAGCCAAACTCTAATTTCCCTCCATGAAACAGGTCAGTTGGGTGTATCCCTAGAATGCAGGAATACGCGCCTCAAATGGGACGCGGGGCTGAAGAACTAAGGTCTGTATAGCGACTGACTTGGCATTTCTCACATCCAGCAAAAGTCATGTTGCCCCCCGGCTGTCATCCTCTGCTCTGCACCTCTTCACCTTCCTTCTGTTAGATAAGAGCACAACCTTCCAGGTAAGGGAGTCACTGTCCTTTCTCTGCCAAGCAAGAGGGGCAAGCCAGTGCCGTGACTGAAATGTGAACTGTGCTGTCTGCCCGTTGGTGAAGACTTGACAGAGGGCTGTGGGAAAACAGGAACCGTGGTCATCTTAAGAACCCACTCAGTGACAGGACTGGGCTCTGTCACTCCCGCTCCCAGGAATTTCCAGGGAATCCAGATGCATGCAACCACTCTGGCACTAGTGCCTAATGGCACTGCTTTTTTTGTTTTGTTTCGTTTTGTTTTGTTTTGTTTTTTGGGGGCGGGGGCGGAGTCTCTCTCTGTCACCCAGGCTGGAGTGTAATGGCGCGATCTTGGCTCACTGCAATCTCTGCCTCCTGGGTTCAAGTGATTCTCCTGCCTCAGCCTCCCAAGTAGGTGGGACTACAGGTGGGTGCCACCATGCCCAGCTAATTTTTGTATTTTTAGTAGAGACGGGGTTTCACCATGTTGGCCAGGATGGTCTCGATCTCTTGACCTCATGATCCACCTGCCTCAGCCTCTCAAAGTGCTGGGGTTACAGGTGTGAGCCACCACGCCTGGCTATGGCACTGCTGTATTTCTACAGGTA
This sequence comes from Homo sapiens, assembly GCF_000001405.40. Lineage (NCBI taxonomy): Eukaryota > Metazoa > Chordata > Mammalia > Primates > Hominidae > Homo > Homo sapiens. The sequence goes on along the minus strand of NT_187607.1, from coordinate 2,531,667 downwards.
AACCCTGTAGATCACTTTTCCTGTAGAGTAGTTAGAAAGCAGTATTAATTAGAGTCACCACAGCTTACCACTACTAAGGTATATTTTGCTCTAATATGGGTTTTTCTATATAAAATAAAACAGAAAAGTTAAATATAATCCTCAATGAGTGTTCTTAACCAAGGATCACATGCAATTGAAGGCATGATTCAAAGAAATATACTCTGTCACTATTTTTTCACTTTCTGCTTGTTTTTGGTTTTTTTTTTTGAGACAGGATCTGTCACCCAGGCTGGAGTGCAGTGGTGTGATCGTAGCTCTCTGCAGCCTCAACCCCCCCCGCACTCAAGTGATCCTCCTGCCTCAGCCTCCCAGGTAACTGGAACTAAAGGCACATGCCACCGTTCCCAGCTAATTTTTTAAAACATTTTTTGTAGAGATGGAGGTCTCACTATGTTGCCCAGGCTGATCTGGAACTCCTGGGCTTAAGTGATCCTCCTGCCTCGGCCTCCCAAAGTGCTGGAATTACAAGTGTGAGTCACTGCAACCAGCCTGTTTTGTAACTGGTCCTTAAATACCATCAGTCCTCTTCTGACTGGTCCTTAAATACTATCAATCCCTCTTATTCCAATGCAGCTCGTACCAGTTGCCTGTTAAAATTCCATCTTAGTGATTAATGCATGTGAATACGCTTTATAAATTCTAATGCATCACATAAATGTAAAATGTAAATATGCAACCGACTCGTCTCTTGGTCCTGTTGAACATAGAGTTTCACACTTCCAGGAATGGCCCCCTTGTGTCTTTTTGCATTTCTCATCAGATGGAAGCTTGGCTCCTTGCGATGCCTTTAAATCACCTTTTACCCAGATACACAACAGTGAGATCATGCTTAACAGTGTGGAACTGCAAAATCCACACTTCTCAGAACTGTAACTACCAAAAAACACATTGAAACCAGCATAATAAGGTTTTTAAATAGACAAAAAGCACTTCTAGTTTTCATCTAGTTCTCAAAGTAGTACCAGACGGGTGTCACGAAAGATAGAAATGGATTGCTCCAGCCTGGGTGACAGAACGAGACTCCATCTCAAAAAAAAAAAAAAAAAAAAAAAAAAAAAAAAAAAAAGAAGAAGAAATGGATCACTCCAGCTAGCTACGTTGTGCAAGGGTCAGAAGGAAGAGAGACCCCCTGGTTATTTACAGGGATGGAGAGTTATCATAATGGTATGTGGGAAGGAAAGCTGGCGTAAGAATATGCACATAAGTGACATTCCTATCTTGGGTTCCAGAACTCTCCATAAAATAAGGCGTGTAGAGTTTTTTAAATAAAGGGTAATGTTGCCCAGAGATGTTCAGCAGAATGCCTGTTCCTCTCTTTATTTATATCACAAGTTTATGTGGAAAGACATTTACCTTTGAAATCATTGACTGCACTCTCTCCTCCATATCACTCTCATTACTCCTCACTCTCTTTCCTTTCCCTGACTCCAGCAGCAACTCGATTTAACAGCATTTATTTGCTTAATAAAGGGGCTGCAGAAAAGCAAAGGAAAAGGCTTTAAATTTCAAATGCCTCATATTGTGAGTTTCCAAACGTGAGCTTTTGAGCTTCAAAAGCCCACGGCTAAAAGGAATTAGGGCATAAATTCTGCAAAATATAGAAAAATTGCTATTGGGTAGAGACAAGTTCCCACCTCCCTGAACTTTTCCCAGACTGAAAGCATTTCTTGTGTCTGGGAGAAGGGAAGGGGGAAAGAGCAAAGGACTATGGAAGGGAAAAAAGTCAGCTGGGCCTGGAATGAAGGAAGTACACACACCTGCAGTGAATCTTAGAGAGGTATGGAGACTTCGCAGTGGCTTGATCACAGCTCACTGCAGCCTCAACCTCCCAGACTCAAGGGATCCTCCTGCCTCAGCATGCCCCAAATGTCTCCTGGAACAAAAGCTCTTGTGACTTAGCCCAGGAACTTCCTGGAAGCCCAGCTAGCTCCCATTAACATTGAACTCCTTCCCTCCTTATTAACGAGTTAAGGATGCCAGGGAATAAAAACACAAGTTGGGATCATTTTTCTTAAAAGACTCATTCCCGAACCTCAGCATGTACCACAAGGCTCGTTAAAACACAGATTGCTAGGAGACACCCCCAGAGTTTCTAGTTTCATGGGTCTGCGGTGTGGCCCAAGAATCTGCATTTCTAACATGTTCCCAAGTGATACTGATGCTTTTCCTCTAGGGACCCCATGTTGAGACCCACAACTTTAAATAGAAAGTTTTTTTTTAAAAAAAGACAGGGTTCTTCAGAAAGGTGATGTAACTTAATCAAGGTCACACAGCTCAAAAAGGGTGGAGGCAAAAACAAAATCTGAGTCCTCTCAGTGTCCATGCAGTTCTTTCTCCAGTCCATCTTACTGCTGAGGTTAGACCTCAGATGTCTGCTGCCAGATAGGGTGGGCTGCATGTGCCCAGGTGGCAGCAGAAACCCTGATCCAACCAGCAGTTAACCCTGAGGCTGTGGTGACCAGTCCTAAGCACATGGGGAATTATGGATGCTGGGCAGAGGCTGTGCTCCACGGGAGTGCAAACCGCTCTTCCAAGGGATAACGGACCCCTGCTGCTCCGGTTATTTAAGTTATGTGTTATAGCTCTCAAGGGACGGATTTGTCTTGGTTTTACTCACTTCTCTAGCACCAGTTTTGCCCACTTAGTGCTTTTAAGCTTTATATATCATTATCACATTCTCTGTTCTCCGATCACAGACAGTTTAGCTCTTATTGCTTTAATTTCGCTCCTGGAGGTCTTGTCAGGGGACGACAGGAAAAGTGAATGGTCCTTTGTAAGAGAGAGAATGGGGACTGGGACCCCTAGCATTAGAGAAGAGAATGTTAGGAGCAAACTCCTAGCAAAGGTGAGAGGTGCCCTCCTTTTTCTTCATCTTTTCTTTTTTTTTTTTTTTTTTTTTGAGACGGAGTCTCGCTCTGTCGCCCAGGCTGGAGTGCAGTGACGCAGTCTTGGCTCACTGCAAGCTCCGCCTCCCGGGTTCAAGCCATTCTCCTGCCTCAGCCTCCCAAGTAGCTGGGACTACAGGCGCCCGCCACCACGCCTGGCTAATTTTTTGTATTTTTAGTAGAGATGGAGTTTCACCGTGTTAGCCAGGACGGTCTCGATCTCCTGACCTCATGATCCGTCCGCCTCGGCCTCCCAAAGTGCTGGGATTACAGGCGTGAGCCACTGCGCCTGGCCTCTTCATCTCCTTTTTTGCACAAAGCAGCACAGTGAGGCAGAAGAACAAGGGCTTTGCAACTCTGATCCCAGCTATCGACTTCTGAGCTGACAACAAGAATATTAATAGTACCAACAGCTAATACTTTTTTTGGGCGGATGAGGTCTTACTCTGTTACCCAAGCTGGAGTTATCCAGTGGTGCAATCATAGCTCACTGCAGCCTCTAACTCCGGGATTCAAGCTATCCTCCTACCTCAGCATCCCAAGTAGTTGGCACTACCAGTGGGAGCCACCATGCCCGGCTACTTTATTTTTTGTAGAGACAGGGTCTTGCTATGTTGCCCAGGCTGGTCTCAAATTCCTGGGCTCAAATTATCCTCCCACCTCTGCCTCCTGAGTAGCTGGGACTACAGGTACCTGCCACAATAGGCAGCTAATTTTTTTTATTTTTTAGAGATGGGGTCTGGCTATGTTGCCCAGACTGGTCTCAAACTCCTAGCCTCAAGCAATCCTCCTGCCTTGGCCTCCCAAAGTGCTTGGATTATAGGTGTGAGCCACCACACCTGGCTGCTGCTTTCACCCTCCATTCATGTACACTCTCCACCTGAGCAATTTTTCTATATTTTGTAGAATTTACCCACTCTCCAAGGTTCACTCTCCAAGCACCTCCCATTCGTCATTACACTGAAATTCTCTCAGCAGCTCTAGGAAGTAGATACTGTTGCTTCTCCATTTTGCAGTTGAGAAAACTGAGACTCAGAGCCATAAAGAGACTATCCAGCTAACACGTGGCAGGACTGGGGGGACTAGAGCCTGAGACTGTTCGTCTTCAACATTCCAGACTCTTAAGCTCTCTGCTGGGCTACCTCCCTAGGGAACACCCTCATCTTTGGTAAAAATGCCAAATGAAATCCATTTCCATACCCCCAAAAAAAGTATTAGCTGTTGGTACTATTAATATTCTTGTTGTCAGCTCAGAAGTCGATAGCTGGGATCAGAGTTGCAAAGCCCTTGTTCTTCTGCCTCACTGTGCTGCTTTGTGCAAAAAAGGAGATGAAGAGGCCAGGCGCAGTGGCTCACGCCTGTAATCCCAGCACTTTGGGAGGCCGAGGCGGACGGATCATGAGGTCAGGAGATCGAGACCGTCCTGGCTAACACGGTGAAACCCCATCTCTACTAAAAATATAAAAAATTAGCCAGGCGTGGTGGCAGGCGCCTGTAGTCCCAGCTACTTGGGAGGCTGAGGCAGGAGAATGGCTTGGTCCAGCATCTGCCATCCCCCTGGCTTTCTCCACCAGGTCTATCTTCTGTATCTCAGCACTGATGAAGACCATTTCCTCAAATCTACACACAGAGAATTGTACTCAAAGCTTGGAAAGGCCTCAATGTCACTGGTCCCATGGTCTTCACAAGTGGTCCTCAAAACCAAGAGGGTCCTAGAGATGTCTTCAGAGCCACTTTGGAGAAGAGGGGGAGGCCAAATATGAGTAGGGCTCCAACCTGCTCCCCCTGCTCCCCACTGCGCCCCAAAACACACACAACAACTGCTTCTATGAAAATGACTCACATTTATCAGTTATATGTGCTGAACTTCAACATAAGATTTTACTTGAAGGGTTCAAGAAAATTAAAAGAAAAAAATAGTTGTAAACCTCAGATTGTGTACAGCCCTCCTAATTTACAGGTGGGAAGTAGGTAATTCATGTGTCTCTACAGCTGGGACACTTTGGGGATCTTTGGGTGACTTACAGAAGGCAGAAACTTAATGTCTGGACCCGAGACTTTTAGGACCCCCCGCTGACCCTTGCCATCTCCTTGGAATAAGTGGCAGAAAATGTTCTGGTCCAAATCTGACTCAAACAACTGTCACACTTTTGACCCCAGCTATCAACTTGCAAGCTGACAACAAGAATAGAAATAGCACTAAGAGATAACACTTATTTAGAAACAGGATGTCTCTCTGTTGCCCAGGCTGGAGTACGGTAAATACATAGTGCTTCAAAAGTCAGATCAAGACTGGGTGCAGTGGCCAAGGCTGTAGGATCATTTGAACCTAGGAGTCTGAGACCAGCCTGGGCAACATAGCGAGGCCCTATCTTTACAAAGTAAAAAATAAAATTATCCAGGTGGGGTGGTCCACGCCTGTAGCCTGAGCTACTCAGGAGGCTGAGCCAGGAGGATTGCTTGAGCCCAGGAGTTCAAGGCTGCAGTGAGCCATGATCATGCTACTGCACTCCAACCTGGGAGAGAGAGCAAAGCAAGACCCTGTCTCAGAAGAAGAAGGAGAAGAAGAAGGATTATCTCCCTTCTCACTCCCCCTTCCACATCCCAAACCATTACCACAAATGCTGACACTGACATGACAAGTGAAGGGTGACTGGAGGAGAGTCGTATGAGAGTCAACAGCACTGTTACATTTGATTTTTAATTTCTGACGGAGGCTTTCCATTTTCCAGCTAGGCTATGATGAGCCATCTTAGAGGTCCAGACCACACACCAAAAATTCTAAACATACTTCCTAATTCTACCTTTCCCAATCTGTAGGGTTGTGGGTGGCAGGGGAAGGGGTAGGGAGGAGGGAGGCAGACGGCACCTTCTGTTTCTGTCTGATTGCCCTTTTCCACTCTACGTGGGAATGGCAGAGGTGCCAATCAAACGATACCACCTATTAGCAGAGCAGGTGACATAAGGAAAGCCAATGAGGTTCTTCCACCCTGGTCTTCAAATCTGGAGCACAAATTACATGAGGATGAAAGGTGCTTAGGCCTCTGTCACCCTTGACAGCATTCTGGAAGGAGAGCCACAAATCCCTCCTGCCAAGATCCCTGGAGCAGCTCTGACTCCCGATGTTGCTGAAGGCTGTGTATTCATCAGCTTCCTGGTGTCCTCACCAATGCCCTTTCGCTATTGTTTAAGTCAGAGTTGATTGCTGCAACTTGTCCTGATAAAAGTGAATAAAATTAACCTTTAGCAAACTTGTCTCCAGATAGATCTTGCCCAGCTCCATTAATTGGGTATCAAAGGATGCAGTTATGCACATCTTGATTCATTTAAAGCTATCGGACTTAGGAAAATGTCAGCTATTAACAAAGGAAGCAAATCTTGAGATGTTTCCCATTCCCCTTGGAATTCACCGTTGAGTCTTAATTTCAAGACCTTGCATATTAGCTAGCTATTGTTGCATAATGAACCACCCTGAAATTCAGTGGGTTAAACAGTAAGAATCTGGAGCTAGGCATGGTGGCTCACGCCTGTAATTCCAGCCCTTAGGGAGGCCAAGGTGGGCGGATCACGAAGTCAGGGGTTCAAGTGAAAGCCTGTCTCTACTAAAAATACAAAAATTAGCTGGGCATGGTGGTGGGTGCCTGTAATCTCAGCTACTCAGGAGGCAGGTTGCAGTGAGCCAAGATCGTGCCACTGTACTCCAGCCTGGGTAAAAGAGCGAAACTCCATCTCAAAGGAAAAAAAAAAAAAAAAAGTACGAATCTGTTATTTCCCAGGAAACTATGGATTACCTGGGTGGGTTTTCTTATCTCAGCTAGGGTCTGCAGTCCATGGTCCTCGGTCAGTAGATAGTTTTACTCTAGGCTGGACTGTATCTTGCAATTTTTAGCAATTGTATTTTTAGCATAGACAGGGTAGGGCAGTTTGCCTGTTGTACACGTGGTGTCTCATCCTCCAGCAGATTAGCCCAGGCTCACGCACACAGGAGAGCAGGGCTCGGAAGGAGACAACAGAACTGTGCAAAGCCTCTGAGGCCTAGACTTGGTGCTACCAATTCTGCAGATTCTGCTGAACAAAGCAAGACACAGGCTAGCCGTGATTCAAAGAGTGAGGAACAGACTCCATGTCTTGATAGCAGGAGCTGCAAAGTGATATTGCAATGGCCAGGGGGGACATGGAGGAGAATTTGGGCTATTTTTGCCGGCAATCTACCATACCATGTAAAATTTGTCACGTAGATTGATAAAATAGTCACCCGGAGGTGTTTAGTTACTTGTGCAAAGTCACACATTGTTTTAGAGCCGGGCTTCCTCACCTCAGGACTATTGACATGTTAGACGGGATCATTATGTGCTTGGTGGGAGGGGGTGGCCCTGTGCATTGTAGGATGTTTTGCCACATCCCTGGCCTTTACCCAGGAGATGCTAATATAACCCGCCCCCAACTTATGACAACCAAATATGTCTCCAGACATTACCTAATGTCCCCTGGGGTGCAACCTCCTCTACCCCCAGACTGGTCTAGAGCCAGGAATTCTACATTCCCCTCCACCCAATACTGGACTCTTCTTGAGAAAATAATTCTCAACAGAATTCAAACTGAGAAGGGGGTACAATTATCACTACAGTTTAGAGGAGACAAGACCAGCTCCCTCTCTCTCCTCTCTATCCTTCTTTATTTGTTCTGTCTGGTTCTCCATGCATCTGAACCTAAACTGTCTTAAAAGGTTCCCCCCAACCTCTACACTTCACACGTGGTACCCCAAGCTTCCCTCCCTCCCTGTCTCCACCACTCACTCACATTGCCAATCCGAACTAGTTCCCGGTAACAGGAAACATTCACCCTACAAGATATTAGTAGGCCCGTTTTCAATCTCAGTTAACTTTTACAGCAGTTTCTCCCATTTGCCAGGTGCCCTGGCTGAATGTGAAAGCATTTGCTGTTTCCTTCACTGGATATTTTTCATCCCATGTCAATTAGCATGATGAAGGGAATCTAATAATGATGTATGGGCTGTGCTGGTGCGGCCGGCGCCAATGGCCCTGCAAGGAGGGTGGATTGTTAAGTGCAGCTCAGCCTCAGGCCTGACCTGCCCTGGATGCCCCAGGACCTGAGTTCCCCAGGTTTCTTGACGGTGCCCAATGATTCACTTCTAGATGCAATTTGACATCCTCCCATCCCAAAAACAAACAAAAAACAACAACAAAAGACAAGAAGAACTTTTGTATCCAAGGAGGTCAGAGCTAATAGAGGTTGAGAGATCATTCTATCCAACCTCCTATACATAAACCAACTTGACCCCAGAAAGGTCAATAGGCTTGTCCAAAGTCAGCCAGTGAATTAAGACCTAATCCAAATGTAAAATTTGGATTTTCTGACTCCCAGCTCAATAATTTTTTATACTTTGTTTTCTGCTTTCAAAACACCTACTTTTTTTTTTCTTTCTAGCCTCTATTTTCCTAGCCACCGTCTCTTTTTTCTTTTTTTTTTTTTTTTTTTGGTTGAGATGTAATCTCACTCTGTTGCCCAGGCTGGAGTGCAGTGGTGTGATCTCAGCTCACTGCAGCCTCCACCTCCTGGGTTCAAGCAATTCTCCTGCCTCAGCCTCCCGAGTAGCTGGGATTACAGGTATGCCCCACCACGCCTGTCTAATTTTTGTATTTTTAGTAGAGACAGAGTTTCACCATGTTGGCCAGGCTGGTCTCGAACTCCTGGCCTCAAGTGATCCACCCAACTGGGCCTCCCCAAAGTGCTGGGATTACAGGTGTGAGCTACCATGCCAGGTCCCCAAGCTACCTTATTCTTAATTGAGACTTAACAGGTATTGAGGGCTTTACAGAAAGAGAACTCTGGGTTACAGGACTCAGTCTCTTCCTGCAGGGATCTCACGATCTAATTTGGGGATGGGGGAGGAGGAGAAAACAGGTGCAAACATAACCAACACACATGTCAGAACTTGTTCAGTCCAAGAGCCACTACAGGTTCACTCCATGTCACAGTGTGGGCATGACTTTTGCCCTCTGCAGGTGTCACTGAAAACAAAATCAATTCATCTTCAGCCCTAGGCCAGAGGGATGGTACGAACCAGGGCCCAGGATTGGAACATTGAGCATTAATTTCTGCAGCCTGCCCTGGGGACAGGAAATTCTGATAAATTCAGAAGCAGCGACATCTGGTGGTCCTGTGGGAGAGCAAGCGCACCTCCCCAGACGAAATTTTCCCAGAGCCTCCTCAGATAGTTTCTGGCTAAAAAGTGAGCTGGCTCCATAGAATGACCCTATTCATGTAACATGGAAATACTAGATAGAGTTGCAGAGAAATGTATAATGATATTTCAAGGAAAAGGTTCAGCAACATGTTAAAAGAGGTATCTCTGAGTGATTTATTTCAACTGATAAAGTATTTTGTACTTTGTACCGCTTTGTATCATTTCATTTTTTAAAGCAATGAACATACATCTTTTTAACCAATAAAAACAATAAAAAATTATAGTCATTTTGGAAGGGAAGAAATTAATGGACAGACCCTAAGGGCGTCTCAATCCAGAATAAATTATTAAGCTACTCTTTTGTGCTGGCTAACTTTTGCACAGGAATAAAAGCAGGTCAAAATGAAACTTACAGGGTAGCCTTGAAGAGGATAAACAAGACAGAGATATCACACGAGGACAAGAATAATAGCCAGATCAGTAAATATAAAAACACCTTATTGATGGATACCCCATTTACCTTGATGTGTTTATTCCACATTACATGCCTGTATCAAAATATCTCACTTACCCCATATATATATACACCTACTATGTACTCACAAAAATTAAAAAATAAAAATAAACGCCTTATGAAATGCCAAGTAATTTACAAAGTACTTTAATGATCCTGTAACTTGTAAGACGCTTATACCCATGGCGTGGAGAGATGCCCACAAATCATGTTCTCGTCTCTGTTTGAGCCAGGCTTAAGCTATATCAACTACTGCAATAGTAATAAAACTAAAATTGATTGAATAGTTTCAATGTCAGGCACTGTGCCAAGAGCACTCTGTGCGTTATCCCATTTCATCTTCACAACAACCCCATGGAGTCAGTAATATTATGATCCATTAATAGATGGTGTTACTGAAACTCAGACAGCTGACATCTCACCCATTAACTCATAAGACCCATGAGACTAAACACAATATCATATTTGGCTGTACATCCCCAGTACCCATATGGTGATTCCTGGGTGGATGAATGGATGTATACACGGTGTGTTGGGAAAGGCACAAAACCATGAGGGTAAAAAAATGAAATTTCTGTTGAAATGAGCCTTTACTGAGCACCTACAATGTACCACACAGGCTGGTAGGTGCAGAGTTAAAAGATGTGTAAGAACAAGTCCCATGGTGTTGCATTCACTGAGAAAGAGACCCTAGACAAGGGTCACTTTTATGCCGGGGATCTGAATTCTATTATTATTATTGTCATTATATCATTAGGATCACAATAGAAAACAGAGGAAATGTTCATTTGGCACAATTGGAAGAGTTTGTTACTAATTTCAAAGCTGGAAAGGTGAAGTTTGGTGATGCTCAAACATGAGCGTGCTTCAGAATCACCTAGACCTAGAGATCTGGTCAAAATGCAGACTGCGGAATCAACCCAAATGTCCATCAATGATAGACTGGATCAAGAAATTGTGGTACATATACACCATGGAATACTATGCAGCCATAAAAAGGAATGAGATTATATCCTTTGCAGGGACTTGGATGGAGCTGGAAGCCATTATCCTCAGCAAACTAATGCAGGAACAGAAAACCAAACACTGTATGTTCTCAGCTAGAAGTGGGAGCTGGACAATGAGAACACATGGACACAGGGAGGGGAACAACACACACTGGGGCCTGTCAGGGGTGGGCTAGGGGAAGGGAGAGCATTAGGAAAAATAGCGAATGCATGCTAGGCTTAATACCTAGGTGATGCGTTGACAGGTGCAGCAAACCACCATGGTACATGTATACCAATGTAACAAAAACTGCATATCCTGCACATGTACCCCAGAACTTAAAATAAAAATAAAAATTAAAAACAGATGCAGACTGCTGGGCCCCACCCCTAATTTCAAGCTCAGAAGGGCTGGGAGGTAGCCCCAAGTCTGCAATTTTAATGTGTTTCCAGGTGATGCCACTCTCCCGCAAGGGAACCACTGCAAGGGTGAGAGCAGTCACCCGAGGCCAGCAGCAGTGGAGGAGCTGCCACTGCCTCCAAGCTTGGGGGAACAAGGACAGGGAATAGTTGCCAAGACCTGGAAAGAGGGAGTCGTGTAGGTACAGAAGGCCACTAGAAAGGAGCAGGCTTTTGGTGGAGGAACACAATCCGGCGGAGACCACCTTTAGGGGATGAACACTGCAGCCTCCCACTCCTGCCTCACTCCTCCCTCCTCTCTCCTTTCTCCTCCTAATTGGTCAAACCCAGCCAGAGGTGATGACGTTCCAATGACTCCATCTGCCATGGAAGGAACAAGGTGGAGGTGGGTGAAGAGCACATCCAGGGGATGGATGGAACATAATTGACCCACATGTGTTGAATTTAAAGTATCAGTAGGGGTTGGGCACAGTGACTCACACCTGTAATCCCAGTGCTTTGGAGTGGGGTCCCTCTTTGGCGGGCCGACGCAGGATGATTGCTTGAGGCCAGAAGTTGCAGACCAGCCTGGGCAACATAGTGAGACCTCGTCTCTAATTTACAACGTAGCTGGGTATGTTGCTAAGTGTTCCAAGCACTAATAATAGTATGCCTGCAGTTCCAGCTCCTCGGGAGGCTGAAGCAGGAGGGTCACTTGAGCCCAGGACTTCGAGGCTGCAGTGAGCTATGACCACACCACTGGACTCCAGCCTGAGTGACAGAGTGAGACCTCATCTCAAAAAAATAAATAATCAGGGCCAGGCAAGGTGGCTCACACCCGTAAGCCCAGCACTTTGGGAGGCCAATGTGGGCGTACTACCTGAGGTCAGGAGTTCGGGACTAGCCTGGCCAACATGCCAAAACCCCATCTCTACTAAAAATACTAAAATTAGCCGGGCATGGTGGTGGGCTCCTGTAATCCCAGCTACTTAGGAGGCTGAGGCAGGAGAATTGCTTGAGCCTGTGAGGCGGAGGTTTCATTGAGCCACAATCATGCCACTGCACTCCAGCCTGGGTGACAGAGTGAGACTTCATCTCAACAACAACAAAAAATTAAAATAAATAACTAAATAAATAATCCGTGGGATACTCAAGAGGAGATGCTGAAAAGGAAGCAGCATAAGCTGGAGCTCAGAGAAGAAATCCCAGTGACCAAGAATGCAGCCTGTCAGGTCTGCACTGCTGGGGACCCGGCCAAGATGCCCAAAGATTCAGTGGTGGGTGCAAGGAGAGAAGAGAGATTCCAAGTCTTGCTCACAGTATTTGAGAAGCCTGGCCAAAGAGGCACTTTGTAGAGGGCAGGACAAGCAGGGAGAAGAACTGAGATGATGATGAGGTTCAGGGAAGAAACTGGGAGGGTGGGATAGAAAGATAACTTGATACAGCTCAACCACCAGCCCCAACCAAAAAAAAGGTCAAGAAGCAGCAGGAAACTGCTAAGTCAATATCAAATGTCAATATCAAATGTGGCTCAACACAGGCAGCTGCCCCAGGGAAGTTCCATCCACATGCTCAGACAGCCTGACTCACCCACTCGACAGACAACTCCCTCTGGAATTGAGACACCCTCTTCTTGTGCCTTTGATTTCACGATTCCCCCTCCCACTCCCGTTCAGTTCCACAAAGCTTCATCCAGAATCTGTCTGCCAACTGCCAATTGTGAAGTGCAGTACGGCATGACGTTTTTAAATCTGGGAGAATTTGGAGAACTTTATGAGAATGCCTCAGAAAATTGGGATCACCAAGGAGGTCCTCCCCCTCTTCAATATTGTTTTTCATAAGCCTTCTGGTGCCTCAAATTTCACCATTAAAGATTCATTCCTTTGGCTTAAGGCTTTAATCCTCTATTAAATGTAAATCTCACTGACAAGCCGATAGTGTTTGGGGAATGAGGTCATACATTAAGCCTTATCTATCACTGACACCTCAATGAGAGCAAGTTGACAGTCTTTCCAAGAGCCAGGTTTAATAGGGGAGAAGGGAGATAAATGTAAAGGTATGGAGAAACTTAGCAGCAAAGGGAGAGATACTCAAGGGGATAGGATCAGAAACCAATGTTTATTGAGGCATTATGCTACTAAGAAAAAGAAGAATAGCTACCTTTTACTGACTGCTTAAATGTGTCAGGTTCCATGCTGTGTTTTTCACATATGGGGGCATCATTTACTGAGATACCTGTTTGTGTTTGTTCTTGTTGCTGAAGGATGCTCAAAAGATCAAGAGGGATTTTCCCTGCCTCATCTGAAAAACAAGTAAACAACCCTTGTGCTCTGAGACTGTTCTTCTTTATATCCCATTGGTTAGGGTGCTCTTAGGCAATAAAATATCCAAAGAAAAGTGGCTTAAACAGTGGGGAAAATGTCTCATCTCATCTCCCATCAGAAGGAGTCTGGAGGGAGGAGGCTCCTGGGTAAGTGATGTCATTAAGGACTTGGGCTCTCTTGGGTTTGGTCATGCTCAGCAGGTAACCTTGGTCCTTGAGATTCTTCCCTTTGATGCTCAATTGTCATGACATTGGACCAAACAAAAGGGGTTTTCCCCACTCTGTGTCTTGTCTTATAAACAAAGACTCAGTCTCCTACCAACTCACCATTCTGATATCTTTTAGGATATGACCATCATGTGCTTGGTCCAAGATGGCAGCAGCTGCATAGGAGACAGCAAGATGGAAGAAGAAAAGAACATCAAAGGGCAGGTATGTCCCTTAAAGAAGGCTCCCAGAAGCTGCCACCCACACTTTCTACCTAAATCTCTTTGTCCAGAACTCAACCACATGGCTATCCCTAGCTATGAGGCAGGCTGCAAAATGTCAGCCTTATTCTAGGCATTTCCTGTGTAGCTAAACATTCTGTTGGTGTGAGTGAAGAAGAAACTGGCTACTGAGGACAACTAGAGTCAATATTAACTCAGTAGAAACTATGAGACTTCCAGGACATAAGACTCATCCCAGCTTTGTTTAGGAAACATAAGCTCATTCATGAGGAAGGAAAATAGATCGGGGAGACAGTTGGGGTTTGGGGTGCCTGGAGGCAGGTAAAGCCTTGGCCTCCCATAACATTGAAGAGTGTGGAGGTTTGGGGTTTTCACAGGTGATTAGAACTGGGCTGTCTTTGAACACAGATCTCAGGGATACCAGGGTGGTTGGATACAGTGCCAAGACTTGGACAGCACTGGCAAAATTCCATGTGGTCAAACTTCTGGCTAGAAGAAAATACAATGGTCTTGAGGAACAGCCCTGGGTCTGTCGAGAGAACAAAGGCTGAGAAAGCAAGCAGGACAAACTCAGGAGCATCATGGAGCAGAAAGAGCAGCAGGAACTCTGGTGACTCCAAGGACTGAGGTCCAGGCCCCTCCCTCATGTTTTTTCCTTTTTTTTTTTTTTTTTTTTTTTTTTTGAGACACCGTCTTGCTCTGTCACCCAGACTGCAGTCTAGTGGCACAATCTCAGCTCACTGCAGCCTCCACCTCCGGGGTTCAAGCAATTCTCATGCCTCAGCCTCCCGAGCAGTTGCAACTACAGGCTCGCACCACCACACCCGGCTAATTTTTGTATTTTTAGTAGAGATGGGGTTTCACCATGTTAGCCAGGCTGGTCTTGAACTCCTGACCTCAAGCGATCCGCTCACCTTGGCTTCCCAAAGTACTGGGATTATAGGCATGAGCCACTGCACCTGGCCCCCTCCCTAATTTTTAAATCCCAAATAAGGGATTTAAAAGACCATTTATATCTTTGGGGATTGGTAGGGAATGCTCCTAAAGAAATCTGTGATTTATTTTCTCAACACTGTAGTTCTTGAGAGCCTACAGCCAGATTTACTCTGATTAAAACAAGTAAAGTGGATGAGCATGGTGGCTCACACCTGTAATCCCAGCACTTTGGGAAGCTGAAGTGGGAGGATCACTTGAGATCAGGAGTTTGAGACTAGCCTGATCAACAAAGCAAGACCTGGTCTCTACTAAAAATAAAAAATTAGCTGGGCATGGTGGTGCGAACCTATAGTCCTAGCTACTTGGGAGGCTAAAGTGAGAGGACTGCTCGAGCCCAAGAGTTTGGGGTTGTAGTGAGCTAGGATCACACCACTGCACTCCAGCCTGGGTGTCCCTAAAATGTATGTATGTAAAAATACGTAAATAAATAAATCAATAAAAGGAGTGAAGTATTTTGGGCCTTTCTTGCATCAGGACGCTGTGAAGAAATTCACAGCCACTCATTTCCATTGTGATTGCAGTTAGGGCAGTCCTGTGAGGCTGCTGTTATCTTCCGCACATTACAGATGAGGAAGCTGAGATTCCAAGAAGTTAAATTACTTGTACCAGGCTTGGCTGGCCAGAGAGAGTCATATCTCTACTCCAAAGCCAATCCCATCACTCTGGTACACATTGAAAGAAAAGGAAGAGTAAACTCGCACAGAGGAAACTTACCAACTCCACAATACTGCCCACAGCCAGCCAGATCCTGTCTAGAAGGAGGCATGCATGGAGTGGAGACACCATCTTAGACATACTTGCATGTTCTCATTCACAAGTGGGAGCTGAACGCTGGATACTCGTGGACATAAAGGTGGAAATAATAGACACTGGGGGACTACTAGAGGGGAAGAGGAGGAGGGTAAGGGTTGAAAAACTAACCACTGGGTATGATGCTGAGTACCTGGGTGACTGGATCATGTGTATCGCACCCAGCATCAGGCAATATATCCATGTAGCAAACCTGCGTGTGTGCCACCTAAATCTAAAATAAAAGTTGAAATTATAAAAGCAAAAAAGATCAGCAAGTCAGGCCCCAACCAGTCCTGGACCCATCAAGGTGTAGTATTATTAGCGCCAAGAGCTGTTGTATAGAGCTCACCTCTCTCTATATAGTCCTTCTAAAGGTCCTTTCTCCATAGAGAAAGGTGCCCCATAGGCAGGAACATAAACCTGTTGAACCTCACTCAACACTTGGCAAGAGGGAAACACTCTGGGAAAGACAGCTTGGGAACAACCATTCCCTTTTCCAACCTAAGGTTATCAAACTGGCTATTTGGGCATATTCCAAAGGTGTGATCATGAAGGGATCATTGAAATGTGCCTAGATGGGGATACATTCACTTTAGATTCTGTAGCAGAAAGGGTTCCCTTGTTCTGAACAATCTAACACCTTGGAAATGACAGTAATGAGACTTAAGCTGCCAGACTGCTTATGTAACCTGTGTATTCACATAGCAAAAACAGCAATATTATGTAAATCAGTCAAGTGGCACCACAGAAGGCATATGACACATCCATGTCATTTTCCCAAATCAATGGATTTTTACACTGTTGCATGGAAGTACAGACAGTCCATCTTCCCAGTCTCTGAACCCAAGCGCCAGATTCCACCCTACCCTAGGGTGAGGCAGGAGATGCTCCACACTTTTTAAACTTTCCACACCTTTCTCTCTGAGGAGTCTCCAAATATGCAATCTGAGCCTCTCCCAGTATTCCTGGTGCCTCTCACGCCCAGAAGCCAACAGCCAGATTTTCATTGTTTTAGAATTTTCAGACTCCAGGTCCTTGGAAGAGGTGAGAAACATTGACCAAAATGACAAGTGTGAATAATGTCATGTGTTGGCCTAAAGCAAAATGTACAGTCCATCTCTGACAAGTGTTAAGAATCCCTGGATGAGGATTTGTGTGCTAACCTCGCTCTTGGCTTCATTTTGTCTTTCCAGTTTTCAAGCACAGCCAGCTTCGCTTTCCCCATTTACTTCTATTTATTATGGCATGATCAGTTTTTGTATAAGCCAACTTCAGTTCTTTCTAGAATACAGTGGCATGCAAATAAACTCTATAGTTGCTTTCTATTGGCAGTGCCATTGTATACTCAGATACCTAAACTAGAAAGATAGAAATCATCCATCTCTACTCCCTTTCATCACCCCAATTCTATCACCCAATATTATTATTCTCATACCTAGATATTTATCAAACCCATCCCTAATTCTCCATCCCTGCTGCTACTGAATGAAAAAGCATTTTTTTTTTTTTTTGAGATGGAGTCTCATACTGTCGCCTGGGCTGGAGTGCAGTGGTGTGATCTTAGCTCACTACAACCTCCTTTCTCCTGGGTTCAAGTGATTTCTCCAGCCTCAGCCTCCCAAGTAACTGGGATTACAGGTGCCCACCACCATGCCCAGCTAATTATTATTTTTTTTTTTTGTATTTTTAGTAGAGATGGACTTTCACTATGTTGGCCAGGCTGGTCTCAAACTCCTGACTTCGTGATCCGCCTACCTCGACCTCCCCAAGTGCTAGGATTGCAAGCGTGAGCCACCATGCCCAGCCGAAAAAGCATTTTAATAGTTCTCCATCTCCTGTCTTGCCCTATTTCAATCCATCTTCACTTTTGATGTTGGTGTGATCCACCCAAAATTCAGATCCATCACGTCCTTCTCTGCTTTGAATTCCCCTGTGGCCCCTTCTCCCCTACAGCAATGTTTTTCAGTCTTCTAGTAAGCTGTGATGGGCAGCACAAGTAATACGTGACCAAAAAAACACAAAATACCAATGTTCGTGAGTGGTTCTCCTTTGTATGTATAAATTTGAAGAGGCTGGAGTGGAATGGGACAGGCATTGTTTGTCTAAGTGATCTCCCCTTCCAAGGTGCATTAGGGCTGCCAAAACAAAATATCACAGACTATGTGACTTGAATAACAGAAATTAATTTTCTTGCAGTTGAAGAACCTGGACATCTGAGATCAACGTGTCAGTAGGGTTGCTTTCTTCTGAGGCCTCTTTCCTTGGTTTGGAGATGACCAACTTCTGGTATTGTCATGTCATCCTCTCTCTGTATGTGTCTGTGTCCAAATATCCTCTTCTTATAAGGACACCAGTCATGTTGGATTAGGGCCCACCCCAGTGACTTCATTTTAACTTAACTATCTCTGTAAAAACCCTATCTCCAAATATCATCACATTCTGAAATTCTGGTGAGTAGGACTTCAACACATAAAATTTTGGGGGGCATAGGGACACAATTCATTCCATAACACAGAGAGTATCTTATGATTAACAATGTAAATCCTGCAAGGCATGCTGGCATAGCCTGTAGTCCAAGTTACTTGGGAGGCTAAGGTGGGAGGATCACTTAAGCCCTGGAATTCAAGTCCAGCTGGGGCAACAATAGCGATAGTGAGACCCTGGCTGTTAAAAAAAAAAAAAAAAAGAAAAAGAAAATGCAATTTTTGCCCACCCACTCATAGTCCCTCAGAAATAATAATGATTCCTGTTGGCTGGAGACAAGCTCCGATCATCTTATGTAATAGAAGAATGTAGGCTGGGCACAGTGGCTCGCACCCATAGTCCCAGTACTTTGGGAAGCCAAGGTTAGGAGGATCACTTGAGCCCAGGAGTTCAAGACCAGCCTGGGCAACATAATAGGACCCTATCTCTACAAAAAATTTAAAATTAGCTGAGTGTGGTGCTGCACTCCTATAGTCTCAGATACTCAAGAGGTTAAGGAGGGGAGATTGCTTGAGTCCAGAAATTCGAGGCTGCAGTGAGCCATGATTGTGCCACTGCACTTCAGCCTGGGTGATAGAGTGAGACCCTATTCCAAAGTGAATAAGTTAATAAAATAAAAATAAATAAAAGGATACAGAGTAGAGGAAGAGATAGGAGAGCTTCACAGGGCTGTGCGGAGGGAGGAATGCCCTGGAGAAATATAAGAATAGTGAGAGGATGGGAAATAAAAGAGGAGCTTCATGAGGTTGCTGTGAACTTAGGTTTTTGTCTCCTTCATCGTCTTTGAGAAACATAAACAAAGTAATTTTGCTTCCCATTTGGGTGTTATGTTTTAAAAAACTCAGCAAGGCAAGTAGAGAGTATATAATCAAAATAACTCTTGAATCCCTTCCAGTGCCCATTAAATACAATACAGACACTCCTTGGTATTCATGGGGAATTGGTTTCAGGACTCCCCATAGATACCAGAACTGGTGGATGCTCAAGTTCCCGATATAAAACAGTGTCGTATTTGCATACAATCTACACACATCCGCCCATATACTTTAAGTCATGTCTGATTACTTATAATACCTAATAGAATGTCACTGCTATGAAATAGTTGTTATGTTGCATTGCTTAGGAAATGACAAGAAACAAAGTCTGTACATGTTCAGTACACAATTTTTTTCCATGTAGTTTTGATCCACAGTTGGTTGAATCCATGGATGTGGAACCCACAGATACAGAGAGTCAACTGCATATGCTGGGTTTTTCATATGGCCAGCCAGGCCAGTCTGTCTCCCAGCAAAAATTGATCACTCACTGGTTCTTTGGTGAACCGTTTATCTTGTGTTTAGCACCCAGGTTGTATGAAAAACACATATTTCTAAACACTAGACTCCCATTTGGCTCCAAGAGATACTCAGGTTATGAAAGCCACATGGGAGACCAAGGCTGATGATGGGGCATGAACGTCAGTCCTCCTGTCTCATGCTCTCTTATACCATGAGTAGAGGACAGAATTGGCTGGGCCAGTTACACTGTCCCCACTTTCTCCCTTGCATGTCCCATCTCCTGCTTTTTCCATTCTTTAATCAGCATAAAGAATTGAATTAGGGCCGGGTACAGTGGCTCATGCCTGTAATCCCAGCACTTTGGGAGGCCGAGGCAGGTGGATCACCTGAGGTTAGGAGTTTGAGACCAGCCTGGCTAACATGGCAAAACCCTGTCTCTACTAAAAATACAAAAATTAGTCAGGCATGGTGGCGCACACCTGTAGTCCCAGCTACTTGGGAGGCAGAGGAAGGAAAATCGCTTGAGCCTGGGAGGTGGAGGTTGCAGTGAGCTGAGATTGTGCCACTGCACTGCAGCCTGGGTGACAGAGGGAGATTCCATCTCAAAAAAAAAAAAGAAAAGAAAAGAAATTGAATTAGGTTAAACCAAAATGTATAAATGATTCAACTCTACAGTAAAAAGTTTGATACTTTTTACAGTAAAAAGTAAGATACTTAAACATTATATCTGTTGGTAGATTGCATTTCTTTTACCTCAACTCCTCTCCAAGCTCCAATGCTGATGGATCCAGGCTTTTTAAGGACCGTAGAAACCGCATCTCTTTCACACTCACTGGATAGAAAAAACGGGTTGCTGATACAGCCAATGAGCTGGTAATCATGCAGAAGCCTAGGCACACCCAAGAGAAGTTATTACAGGGTGAAATGCTATCTGTGGGTGTCTGGCCATGGGAAAAACCAGTTAATCTACGGGATAAATTACAAGTCTTTTAGAGAACAAACAGGTTTCACCAGGTTCTGTCTACTTCTTCAACCACTAACGCATGACATAATTTCTGCTCCAGAAACACCACTTATCATGGCACACATACGTACCTTTTTATTTCACATCTCTATTTATTTGATCACATGGTCTGGCCACCTTATCTAATACCAATTCATACTAATGTTTTTACCGAGGTTTATCTCCTCCAGGAACCCTTCCTCTATGAGTTAGATTGGAAAGATTTCTTTTATCATGGTACTTACTACATTGTATTATAAATATCTGCTTATAGGTGGGACCTGCTTTGATGTGGGAGTGACTTTGGACCAGGGGCTGCTTTTTTTTTTTTCTTTTTGAGACAGAGTCTCGTTCTGTCACCTAGGCTGGAGTGCAGTGGTGCAATCTCAGCTCACTGCTACCTCCACCTCCCGGGTTCAAGCAATTCTCTTGTCTCAGTCTCCTGAGTAGCTAGGATTACAAGTGCACGCCACCATGCCCAGCTAATTTTTGTATTTTTAGTAGAGACGGGGTTTCACCGTGTTGGTCAGGCTGGTCTCAAACTCCCAACCTCGTGATCCGCCCACCTTGGCCTCCCAAAGTGCTGGGATTATAGGTGTGAGCCACCGCACCTGGCCAGGGCTGCATTTTATTAATTCATTTTAGTATCCCTAACACAGAATCCAGTGTGTGGAAAATGCTGGAATCTAGCCAATTGCCCAAACTTCCTTCCTCTGGGATTTTAACCGGTTGGTCCCAGACATAAAGATCACATGAAAATCTAAGTAAAGTGTCATCTTTATCCCTAGTTGGGCAGGGGCCAGTAACAATGCAAAGTTTCTGATTAACTGCATTGACAAGTGTGGCTTAGGCTTAGAGTCAAGCCTGGGCTTCCCACCTCCTCTCCATCAAAACCTTAACAGTCAGGCTGAAAGAGGTGCTGAGAGAAAGAAGTTTTGTTACCAGCATTATCAGCAGAAAGAGCTGATGCTGATAAACGATGAAACCAGCCAATGTTTGACTTTTTCTAGAAAGACCATGAGTTGTTTTTTCTTATGATAAAACCCATAAGGATTACAAAATGTACTGCAGAGAAATAGGCTTCAGCAAAAATGAAGTGCAGTCATTTCCTGAGACACTTGGACAAAATTGCAGGGTGGAGTCAAAGTAAAGCTTTGATGGTCCATATTATCCACCAAATGTATTTCTAGCAAATACCAACAAATTCTGTGGCTACTGGAGGTCACTGTGTTAGCTGTCCCGCTTCACTCCACCTAAAGATACAACTAAGAAAACCATAAAGGGATAGAGTGATAGAATGAGGATCCCACCATCTGCCTAAGGGCTTACATGTGACTTCGGAAACTGGCATAAAGAGGAAGGCGAGGGCCAGACGTGGTGACTCATGCCTGTAATCCCAGCACTTTGGGAGGCCGAGATGGGAGGATCATTTGAGGTCAAGAGTTCAAGACCAGCCTGGCTAACATGGCAAAACCCTGTCTCCACCCAAAACACAAAAATTAGCCAGGTATGGTGGTGCACACCTGTAATCCAAGGTACTCAAGAGGCTGAGACAGGAGAATCAGTTCACTGATTCTCCAGGAAACGGAGGTTGCAGTTAGCTGAGATCGTGCCACTGCATTCCAGCCCGAGCGACCAAGTGAGACTCCATCTCAAAAAAAAAAAAAAAAAAAAGAGGAAGGCAAGGTGATGTCATGGAGTGGATTCACTAGAAAAATATAAAAACATCTATTAAAAATGTTTTAAGTTACACTAAAAGCAATGGCAACAAAAGCCAAAATTGACAAATGGGATCTAATTAAACTAAAGAGCTTCTGCACAGCAAAAGAAACTACCATCAGAGTGAACAGGCAACATACAAAAATGGGAGAAAATTTTTGCAATCTATCCATCTGACAAAGGTCTAATATCCAGAATCTACAGAGAACTCAAACAAATTTGCAAGAAAAAAATCAACCCCATCAAAAAGTGGGCAAAGGATATGAACAGACACTTTTCAAAAGAAGACATTTATGCAGCCAACAGACACATGAAAAAATGCTCATCATCACTGGCCATCAGAGAAATGCAAATTAAAACCACAATGAGATACCATCTCACACCAGTTAGAATGGCCATCATTAAAAAGTCAGGAAACAACAGATGCTGGAGAGGATGTGGAGAAATAGGAATACTTTTACACTGTTGGGAGTGTAAACTAGTTCAACCATTGTGGAAGACAGTGTGGTGATTCCTCAAGGATCTAGAACTAGAAATACCACTTGACCCAGCCATCCCATTACTGGGTATATACCTAAAGGATTATAAATCATGCTACTATAAACACACATGCACACGTATGTTTATTGCGGCACTATTCACAATAGCAAAGACTTGGAACCAACCCAAATGTCCATCAATAATAGACTGTATTAAGAAAATGTGGCATATAAACACCATGGAATACTATGCAGCCATAAAAAAGGATGAGTTCATGTCCTTTGTAGGGACATGGATGAAGCTGGAAACCATCATTCTGAGCAAACTATCACAAGGACAGAAAACCAAACACTGCATGTTCTCACTCATAGGTGGGAATTGAACAATGAGAACACTTGAACACAGGGCGGGGAACACCACACACTGGGGCCTGTCATGGGGTGGGGGGATGGGGGAGGGATAGCATTAGGAGAAATACCTAATGTAAATGACGAATTAATGGGTGCAGCAAACCAACATGGCACATGTATTACCTATGTAACAAACCTGCACATTGTGCACATATACCCTAGAACTTAAAGTATAATAATTAAAAATAAATAAATAAAAATGTTTTAAGTTATGCCCTTTCACAGTCTATAAGGATACTTTTCTGAGAGAAAGAAATACGAAAGACTCTTCTATATAAGAAAAGATGCTAGCTTACTCACAAAGGAGAAATGCCACTTAAAACCATAATGAGGCCATTTCTGCCTTATCAGAGTGCCAAGAATTGTAAAGTTTGATCATACCCTGTGTAGGAGGACAAAGCTCTTTTATACATTACTGATTGAGGAACAAATTGGTATGATCTCTGTGATGAGAAATTTGTCGATAGCTATCAGAATTATAAAAGCACATAACTTTTGACCCAGCAAATTCCCTTCTAGAAATTTATTCTACAGTATAACTGCATAGGAGCAAAATGACTGTATTGCTCAAGGTTCTCCAGAGGAAGAGAATCAATACAGTATATATAGGCAAAGATTTATTATGGGAATTAGCTTACATGATTGTGGTGGCCCAGAGGTCCCATGATCTGCCATCTGCAAGCTGAAGAACCCAGGAAGCCAGTGATGTCATTCAGTCCAAGTCCAAAGACCAAGAACTGGGGAGGCCACTGGTGTAAGTCCCAGAGCCTGTAGCCCTGAGAACCAGGAGCTCCAGTCTCCAAGGGTGGGAGATGAATGTAGCAGCTCAACAAGACAGAGAACTCACCCTTTTTCCGCCTTTTTCTTCTATCTGGGCCTTCAGCGGATTACGCCATGCCCACCCACATTGCTGAGGGCCATCTTCTTTACTCAGTCTGCTGATGCAAACACTAATCTCTTTTGGAAATGTTTTAGCAGATATACTGCAAAACAATGTTTGACCAGCTATCTAGGCATCCCTTAGCCCAGTTAACAAATAAAATTAACCATCACAATGACGTATGCACAGTGCTATTCATTGCAGCATTGCTAATATTGAAGCATTGCTAATATAAAAGCAAAAGAAATAAAGTAACTTAAATTTACATCAAAATGGTCTACACTTAAATAATCCCTATAGCGGATTTTAAGTTATCCGTGCAGTGGACTATTATGTAGCAGTGGAAAAGAATTAAGCTTGAAGATGGCCGAATAGGAACAGCTCCGGTCTACAGCTCCCAGCGTGAGCGACGCAGAAGACGGGTGATTTCTGCATTTCCATCTGAGGTACCGGGTTCATCTCACTAGGGAGTGCCAGACAGTGGGCGCAGGCCAGTGTGTGTGCGCACCGTGCGCGAGCCGAAGCAGGGCGAGGCATTGCCTCACCTGGGAAGCGCAAGGGGTCAGGGAGTTCCCTTTCCGAGTCAAAGAAAGGGGTGATGGACGCACCTGGAAAATCGGGTCACTCCCACCCGAATATTGCGCTTTTCAGACCGGCTTAAGAAACGGCGCACCACGAGACTATATCCCACACCTGGCTCAGAGGGTCCTACGCCCACGGAATCTCGCTGATTGCTAGCACAGCAGTCTGAGATCAAACTGCAAGGCGGCAACGAGGCTGGGGGAGGGGCGCCCGCCATTGCCCAGGCTTGCTTAGGTAAACAAAGCAGCCGGGAAGCTCGAACTGGGTGGAGCCCACCACAGCTCAAGGAGGCCTGCCTGCCTCTGTAGGCTCCACCTCTGGGGGCAGGGCACAGACAAACAAAAAGGCAGCAGTAACCTCTGCAGACTTAAGTGTCCCTGTCTGACAGCTTTGAAGAGAGCAGTGGTTCTCCCAGCACGCAGCTGGAGATCTGAGAACGGGCAGACTGCCTCCTCAAGTGGGTCCCTGACCCCTGACCCCCGAGCAGCCTAACTGGGAGGCACCCCCCAGCAGGGGCACACTGACACCTCACATGGCAGGGTATTCCAACAGACCTGCAGCTGAGGGTCCTGTCTGTTAGAAGGAAAACTAACAACCAGAAAGGACATCTACACCGAAAACCCATCTGTACATCACCATCATCAAAGACCAAAAGTAGATAAAACCACAAAGATGGGGAAAAAACAGAACAGAAAAACTGGAAACTCTAAAACGCAGAGTGCCTCTCCTCCTCCAAAGGAACGCAGTTCCTCACCAGCAACAGAACAAAGCTGGATGGAGAATGATTTTGACGAGCTGAGAGAAGAAGGCTTCAGACGATCAAATTACTCTGAGCTACGGGAGGACATTCAAACCAAAGGCAAAGAAGTTGAAAACTTTGAAAAAAATCTAGAAGAATGTATAACTAGAATAACCAATACAGAGAAGTGCTTAAAGGAGCTGATGGAGCTGAAAACCAAGGCTCGAGAACTACGTGAAGAATGCAGAAGCCTCAGGAGCCGATGCGATCAACTGGAAGAAAGGGTATCAGCAATGGAAGATGAAATGAATGAAATGAAGCGAGAAGGGAAGTTTAGAGAAAAAAGAATAAAAAGAAATGAGCAAAGCCTCCAAGAAATATGGGACTATGTGAAAAGACCAAATCTACGTCTGATTGGTGTACCTGAAAGTGATGTGGAGAATGGAACCAAGTTGGAAAACACTCTGCAGGATATTATCCAGGAGAACTTCCCCAATCTAGCAAGGCAGGCCGACATTCAGATTCAGGAAATACAGAGAACGCCACAAAGATACTCCTCGAGAAGAGCAACTCCAAGACACATAATTGTCAGATTCACCAAAGTTGAAATGAAGGAAAAAATGTTAAGGGCAGCCAGAGAGAAAGGTCGGGTTACCCTCAAAGGGAAGCCTATCAGACTAACAGCAGATCTCTCGGCAGAAACCCTACAAGCCAGAAGAGAGTGGGGGCCAATATTCAACATTCTTAAAGAAAAGAATTTTCAACCCAGAATTTCATATCCAGCCAAACTAAGCTTCATAAGTGAAGGAGAAAGAAAATACTTTACAGACAAGCAAATGCTGAGAGATTTTGTCACCACCAGGCCTACCCTAAAAGAGCTCCTGAAGGAAGCACTAAACATGGAAAGGAACAACCGGTACCAGCCGCTGCAAAATCATGCCAAAATGTAAAGACCATCGAGACTAGGAAGAAACTGCATCAACTAATGAGCAAAATCACCAGCTAACATCATAATGACAGGATCAAATTCACACATAACAATATTAACTTTAAATATAAATGGACTAAATTCTGCAATTAAAAGACACAGACTGGCAAGTTGGATAAAGAGTCAAGACCCATCAGTGTGCTGTATTCAGGAAACCCATCTCACGTGCAGAGACACACATAGGCTCAAAATAAAAGGATGGAGGAAGATCTACCAAGCAAATGGAAAACAAAAAAAGGCAGGGGTTGCAATCCTAGTCTCTGATAAAACAGACTTTAAACCAACAAAGATCAAAAGAGACAAAGAAGGCCATTACATAATGGTAAAGGGATCAATTCAACAAGAGGAGCTAACTATCCTAAATATTTATGCACCCAATACAGGAGCACCCAGATTCATAAAGCAAGTCCTGAGTGACCTACAAAGAGACTTAGACTCCCACACATTAATAATGGGAGACTTTAACACCCCACTGTCAATATTAGACAGATCAACGAGACAGAAAGTCAACAAGGATACCCAGGAATTGAACTCAGCTCTGCACCAAGCAGACCTAATAGACATCTACAGAACTCTCCACCCCAAATCAACAGAATATACATTTTTTTCAGCACCACACCACACCTATTCCAAAATTGACCACATAGTTGGAAGTAAAGCTCTCCTCAGCAAATGTAAAAGAACAGAAATTATAACAAACTATCTCTCAGACCACAGTGCAATCAAACTAGAACTCAGGATTAAGAATCTCACTCAAAGCCGCTCAACTACATGGAAACTGAACAACCTGCTCCTGAATGACTACTGGGTACATAACGAAATGAAGGCAGAAATAAAGATGTTCTTTGAAACCAACGAGAACAAAGACACCACATACCAGAATCTCTGGGACGCATTCAAAGCAGTGTGTAGAGGGAAATTTATAGCACTAAATGCCTACAAGAGAAAGCAGGAAAGATCCAAAATTGACACCCTAACATCACAATTAAAAGAACTAGAAAAGCAAGAGCAAACACATTCAAAAGCTAGCAGAAGGCAAGAAATAACTAAAATCAGAGCAGAACTGAAGGAAATAGAGACACAAAAAACCCTTCAAAAAATCAATGAATCCAGGAGCTGGTTTTTTGAAAGGATCAACAAAATTGATAGACCGCTAGCAAGACTAATAAAGAAAAAAAGAGAGAAGAATCAAATAGACACAATAAAAAATGATAAAGGGGATATCACCACCGATCCCACAGAAATACAAACTACCATCAGAGAATACTACAAACACCTCTACGCAAATAAACTAGAAAATCTAGAAGAAATGGATACATTCCTCGACACATACACTCTCCCAAGACTAAACCAGGAAGAAGTTGAATCTCTGAATAGACCAATAACAGGCTCTGAAATTGTGGCAATAATCAATAGTTTACCAACCAAAAAGAGTCCAGGACCAGATGGATTCACAGCCGAATTCTACCAGAGGTACAAGGAGGAACTGGTACCATTCCTTCTGAAACTATTCCAATCAATAGAAAAAGAGGGAATCCTCCCTAACTCATTTTATGAGGCCAGCATCATTCTGATACCAAAGCCGGGCAGAGACACAACCAAAAAAGAGAATTTTAGACCAATATCCTTGATGAACATTGATGCAAAAATCCTCAATAAAATACTGGCAAACCGAATCCAGCAGCACATCAAAAAGCTTATCCACCATGATCAAGTGGGCTTCATCCCTGGGATGCAAGGCTGGTTCAATATACGCAAATCAATAAATGTAATCCAGCATATAAACAGAGCCAAAGACAAAAACCACATGATTATCTCAATAGATGCAGAAAAAGCCTTTGACAAAATTCAACAACCCTTCATGCTAAAAACTCTCAATAAATTAGGTATTGATGGGACGTATTTCAAAATAATAAGAGCTATCTATGACAAACCCACAGCCAATATCATACTGAATGGGCAAAAACTGGAAGCATTCCCTTTGAAAACTGGCACAAGACAGGGATGCCCTCTCTCACCGCTCCTATTCAACATAGTGTTGGAAGTTCTGGCCAGGGCAATCAGGCAGGAGAAGGAAATAAAGGGTATTCAATTAGGAAAAGAGGAAGTCAAATTGTCCCTGTTTGCAGACGACATGATTGTTTATCTAGAAAACCCCATCACCTCAGCCCAAAATCTCCTTAAGCTGATAAGCAACTTCAGCAAAGTCTCAGGATACAAAATCAATGTACAAAAATCACAAGCATTCTTATACACCAACAACAGACAAACAGAGAGCCAAATCATGGGTGAACTCCCATTCACAATTGCTTCAAAGAGAATAAAATACCTAGGAATCCAACTTACAAGGGATGTGAAGGACCTCTTCAAGGAGAACTACAAACCACTGCTCAAGGAAATAAAAGAGGACACAAACAAATGGAAGAACATTCCATGCTCATGGGTAGGAAGAATCAATATCGTGAAAATGGCCATACTGCCCAAGGTAATTTACAGATTCAATGCCATCCCCATCAAGCTACCAATGACTTTCTTCACAGAATTGGAAAAAACTACTTTAAAGTTCATATGGAACCAAAAAAGAGCCCGCATTGCCAAGTCAATCCTAAGCCAAAAGAACAAAGCTGGAGGCATCACACTACCTGACTTCAAACTATACTACAAGGCTACGGTAACCAAAACAGCATGGTACTGGTACCAAAACAGAGATATAGATCAATGGAACAGAACAGAGCCCTCAGAAATAATGCCACATATCTACAACTATCTGATCTTTGACAAACCTGAGAAAAACAAGCAATGGGGAAAGGATTCCCTATTTAATAAATGGTGCTGGGAAAACTGGCTAGCCATATGTAGAAAGCTGAAACTGGATCTCTTCCTTACACCTTATACAAAAATCAATTCAAGATGGATTAAAGATTTAAACGTTAAACCTAAAACCATAAAAACCCTAGAAGAAAACCTAGGCATTACCATTCAGGACATAGGCGTGGGCAAGGACTTCATGTCCAAAACACCAAAAGCAATGGCAACAAAAGCCAAAATTGACAAATGGGATCTAATTAAACTAAAGAGCTTCTGCACAGCAAAAGAAACTACCATCAGAGTGAACAGGCAACCTACAAAATGGGAGAAAATTTTCGCAACCTACTCATCTGACAAAGGGCTAATATCCAGAATCTACAATGAACTCAAACAAATTTACAAGAAAAAAACAAACAACCCCATCAAAAAGTGGGCGAAGGACATGAACAGACACTTCTCAAAAGAAGACATTTATGCAGCCAAAAAACACATGAAGAAATGCTCATCATCACTGGCCATCAGAGAAATGCAAATCAAAACCACTATGAGATATCATCTCACACCAGTTAGAATGGCAATCATTAAAAAGTCAGGAAACAACAGGTGCTGGAGAGGATGCGGAGAAATAGGAATACTTTTACACTGTTGGTGGGACTGTAAACTAGTTCAACCATTGTGGAAGTCAGTGTGGCGATTCCTCAGGGATCTAGAACTAGAAATACCATTTGACCCAGCCATCCCATTACTGGGTATATACCCAAAGGACTATAAATCATGCTGCTATAAAGACACATGCACACGTATGTTTATTGCGGCACTATTCACAATAGCAAAGACTTGGAACCAACCCAAATGTCCAACAATGATAGACTGGATTAAGAAAATGTGGCACATATACACCATGGAATATTATGCAGCCATAAAAAATGATGAGTTCATATCCTTTGTAGGGACATGGATGAAATTGGAAACCATCATTCTCAGTAAACTATCGCAAGAACAAAAAACCAAACACCGCATATTCTCACTCATAGGTGGGAATTGAACAATGAGATCACATGGACACAGGAAGGGGAATATCACACTCTGGGGACTGTGGTGGGGTCGGGGGAGGGGGGAGGGATAGCATTGGGAGATATACCTAATGCTAGATGACACATTAGTGGGTGCAGCGCACCAGCATGGCACATGTATACATATGTAACTAACCTGCACAATGTGCACATGTACCCTAAAACTTAGAGTATAATAAAAAAAAAAAAAAAAAAAAAAAAAAAGAATTAAGCTTAATTATAGGTACTGAGATGGAAGCTTTTCAGCATGTATTATAGTGGTAGGGGAAAAAAGGAAATTACAAAAGAAAATGTATACTACCACTTATGTAAAAATGCATGTACATATTTAAGTAAATGCAGAGTAAAAGGTATGGTTACCAGAAGTGCCACAGTATTTCTTGAAGGCAAGCTATTCAATGAATATGATTCATATCAATGAATATGATTCATGTCAATGAATATGATTATTACATGGGTGCTCCCTCTGGGTATTGATGTTAGAAAATCGCCCTTGGCAAATATTCCTATAATCACAGACAATTTAGGACCTGGTAGAGGTTTTGGAAAATATCAAGTCCAACCCCTTACTCTACAGATGAGTAAACTGAGGCCCAGGTTGTTTAATCCTAGAGTCTGAATAGGAGTCCACATCCTTCCCAACATGACAAAAATCACAAACTAACAAGGCTTCAGTCTTCATTTAAAATGTAACCTTTGTGAGCTGAGATCATGCCACTGCACTCCTGCCTGGGTGACAGAATGAGATCCTGTCTCCAAAAAAAAAAAAAAAAGCAAGAAAAAAAACAAATTTACCTTTATTACAATTGCTACATGTTCTTAGATGTCTTCCCATCTGTCCCAACTCCACCACAACCCTAAGGAAACATTTTCCTGTGCTAAATACAAGTGAGAGAAGGAAATTCATTTTACAAAGGTAAAGGCTGCTTGAGAAATCAAGTGTGGTCTTTTTAATAGTGGAGGGTGATGCACCATCAGCTTAGTTCCTATTCATTTGTGGTGCTTATTAGAGTGTCTGAAAATATAAGCTGAGTAATTGGAGCATTAGAATTGATTAATTGAAGTAGGCTTTTGGTGTAAATACACCTGGTGAAATTTTTCAAGGCGGGATTGAATTATCTGCTAAAGGCTTGGAAAAATTCACATCTCTGAACGTGGGAATAGAAATGAGGTGCAGTTTTCAAATATGGCTGCAAATTCTTTGATGCTCCTGCCATCAAAAGGTGGGGTCTGTGTCTCCTCCCCTCGAATATGGGTGGATTTATGACTGCCTCAATTTATAAAGTTTGGCAGAAGGAGTGCTATGTGACTTCTAAGGGTAAGTCATAAAAAGTCAAGGTCATGGAGGGGCAGGATCCCTCACAAATGGCTTGGTACCCTCCCCACAGTAATGAATGAGTTCTCACTCTATTAGTTCACACAAGAGCTGGCTGTTTAAAAAGAGAGTGGCACCTCCTCCTCTCTCACTATGGGACACACCTGCTCCCCTTCTTCTTCCACCATGACTGGAAGCTCCCTAAAGCCCTCACTACAAGCAGATGCCAGCACCATGCTTCCTGTGCTGCCTACAGAACCAAGAGCCAAATAAACCTCTTTTCTTCATAAATTGCCCAGTTTCAGGTATTCCTGCAACACAAAATGAACTGAGAGAAGGGTGTTGGTCTTAGAGAGGCCGTTGGACTAGAGCCTTTCTCAACTGGGAGATTTTGCCCCAGGGGACATTTGGCCGTGTCTCAGGACACTTGTTTGTCACAACTGGGGACTGCTACTGACATATAGTATGTAGAGAACAGGCAGGCTGCCAAACATTCTAAAATGCACCGGACATTCTCCCTACAACAAACTGTCAAACCCAAAATGTTGGCAGTGCCAAGGTTGAGCCACCCTGGACCAGGGGAAGCACAGCTGTGGGACACTCTGCAAATTCCCAGGAGCAAATAACCAGACTAAAGGACCTATCCCAATGCCAAAGTCCAGAAGTGGCTCCTAGGGAAGCCCGTCCAGCCTTGTGTTGGGTCTTCACTCTGTCTGTGCTCTAAGCCATTACCTGGTAATTGACTGGTCCCCAAATGAGGACGGCCTCCAGGACATGGGCAAGCTGCAGAAGGCAGGGGTAGGGACAGACCAAGACACATTAATACATTCTGAACCAAGAACACAGGCTTCTCTATTACAAGAGAAAACAAAGGTGTTGTAGAAAAGTTTTCTGAGCAAGGTTTGTGGAGAGAGGGGTGGTAGAAGACAGCAGTAATGATGGGACTAAGCCCATGTATCCATCACCCTTGAAAAGCATTAAAGCAAAAGCAACTCCAACCACTTGCTAATGATTGCGATTATTTGGCTGCCTGTGAGACGGTTTAAGACATGATTTGTGAATTTAAATTTTAATTAAGGCAGAAGCCCTTGGGGGCCTCTGGAGTTCAAACATTAAAAAGAAAAATCTACCGCTGGGGAAGAAGAAGGCTCACAGGGCCCCACAGCCTGGAGGATGAAAGAAAGCCTGAAAGAAAGCCCAAGTCTGAGGCCACTGATGGGCATTGAGATCAAGGGTCAGGGCTGGACAACTCAATGGAACTATTCACTTTAGTGCTGTAGAAAGTTCCTTACATAGAATAATAAAAATAAGAAAAGCATCCAAGTTTCTCAACATTTTCTTCAGTTCCAAGTCTTAAAAATGTGCCACTCCTCCCACTTCACTAACTCTGGACCCAGCATCGGAATTCCTGGGATATTGTCTCACCCCACCCTCCATCACCAATACCCTCAGGTGACCCTGAACACTCCAGTGGTCATGCTGAGTCTTGGTTTCCCCATGTAGGACTGATAATGCCACCCCTGGTTACTTCATAACTCCATCTCCATTCTAAGGGAGATGAATGAATGCACCTTGGAAGAGGTGGACTCTCTGGTAGGTTTACCTGACTTACCTGATTCCCCCTGAGGTGTAGCAAAAGCACCCATTTACTTCTCAAAGTTGCTATGGCAAAGAAAATAACACACAACCTAAGAGAGAAGCATAGCCCTGGACCAAAAAGAAAAAAAAAAAGAAGGCAACATTCATTTTTAGGCAGCTCAAACTTCACTGGATCCTGGTGACATGGGGTCAAGTGCTAAATCCACCGCAGTGTTTTCAAAATTCTTTGTAGTAAAAAACAAATAACATTAAATTTGCCATCTTCCACCATTTTTTAATGTACCGTTCAGTAGTGTTAAGTGTAAGTCGCTTTGTCATGCAACAGATCTATAAAACTTTTTCATCTGGCCAGGCACAGTGGCTCATGCCTGTAACCCCAGCACTTTGGGAGGCCGGCGGATCACTTGAGGTCAGAAGTTCGAGACCAGTCTGGCCAACATGGCAAAACCTCATCTCTGCTAAAATCACAAAAACTAGACGGGCCTGGGGGCATACATCTGTAATCCCAGCTACTCAGGAGGCTGAGGCAGGAGAATCCCTTGAACCCAGGAGGTGGAGGTTGCAATGAGGTGAGATTGTTCCACTGCATTCCAGCTTGGGTTACAAAGCAAGACTCCGTCTCAAAAAACAAACAAAAAAGAACACCACAGACTTGCATCTTATAAAACAGAAACTCTATACCCATTAAACACTAATTCCCCCTCCCCTCTCCTTTCCCCCAGCCCTTACCAACCATCTTTCTACTTCCTATGATTTTGACTACTTGAGATACTTCTTTGATCAGAATCATAGAGTATTTGTCCTTTTGTGACTGGTTTATTTCACTTAGTGGAGTGTCCTTGAGTTTCACCCAAGTTGCAGCATATAGCAAGATTTCCTTCTTTTTTAAGGCTGAGTGATATTCATTGTATGTATAGACCACATTTTCTGCATCCATTCATCCATCAGTGGACATTTGACTTCACATCTTGGCTATTACAAATAGTTGGGTAATGGCCGGGCGCGGTGGCTCACGCCTGTAATCCCAGCACTTTGGGAGGCCGAGGCGGGTGGATCATGAGGTCAGGAGATCGAGACCATCCTGGCTAACAAGGTGAAACCCCGTCTCTACTAAAAATACAAAAAATTAGCCGGGCGCGGTGGCGGGCGCCTGTAGTCCCAGCTACTCGGGAGGCTGAGGCAGGAGAATGGCGTGAACCCGGGAAGCGGAGCTTGCAGTGAGCCGAGATTGCGCCACTGCAGTCCGCAGTCCAGCCTGG
Source organism: Homo sapiens (assembly GCF_000001405.40). Taxonomy (NCBI): domain Eukaryota; kingdom Metazoa; phylum Chordata; class Mammalia; order Primates; family Hominidae; genus Homo; species Homo sapiens. The sequence goes on along the minus strand of NT_187607.1, from coordinate 2,497,457 downwards.
GCGACAGAGCGAGACTCCGTCTCAAAAAAAAAAAAAAAAAAAAAAAAAAAAAAAAATAGTTGGGTAATGTACACTGGAGTGCTAAGATTTCTTTGAGATCCTGCTTATTTTTTTTTTTTGCATGTATATCCAAAAGTGGGGTTGTGAGATAATATTGTAATTCCATTTTTTTTGAGAAAATTCCATACAATTTTCCATAATGCCTATGCCATTTTACAGTCCCATTTATAGTACACGAAGATTCTAACTTCTTGGCCTCCTCACCAACACTTGTTATTTTCTTTTCTTTTGATGGTGACTATCCTAATGAGCATGATGTCATGTGGACAATTTTGAGAAATTCACACATCCCTCTTGGGTCAAGACAAGGGAAATCATTTGAATTAGTTTAGACAACCTTCCATAGTGTTTCCAGCTCTTAAAAAAATTCAGCAAATCAGTCTCTGTGTCCCCACACCAAATAAGATCACGAATGTGAACAAAGAATCTTCGTCAATTGGGAAGGGCGAGACAGCTGAAAAAGAGCACATCATGTAAAGGCTAAAGGAGGGGACTTGGTTGGTCAGGCTGCCTAGATTTGATGCTCATACCCGCCCACTGCAAGCTATGTGAGACACCATCCATTTTCTTACCTAATGCGGGTGATAATTATCACTCACTCCCCCCACCCCCAGAGGGTTAATGAGAAGACCAAAACAGATCACATGAGTTAAGAAATCTGAACCAAGTGGAAGGGTGTTTGTTCCTTGCTAACAGGCAAAGCCACTGCTATTTTTTCCACTAACAAGTGAGGCCATAGGAGTTTCTCAACAAGGGCCAACTCCTTACGGTCTAAGGGAGACACCGAATCACAGAAAAGGGACAGATGTTGGCATCAGACAAACTTGGGTGTGTTTGAATCTTGATTCAGCCTCCTAGTAACTGTGGAATTTTAACAAGTTCTTCAGTCTCAATGAGCTTCATTCAGTTTACTCGGCTGGAACATAAAGATATTTTAAAATGACTTTTCAGGATTGTTGCATTGCATAGAATGTACCCACCTGCCATGTAACAGGTGTTCAATGAATGATAACTATTCTTTCTGTGTTGCTATCCTTTTCGAAGAAACACTGTTCCTTTCTGAAGGTAATAACATAGGCCAAGGGCCACCCAAATTAGGGGGAAGAGGAAGAGGTGGGAGAAAGGGGGAAGACGACTGAGTTTTCTATTCACAAATACTCCTTTTCCAGAAACAAGCCATTTATCGAAGTATTGGAGTCTCATTTACTGTCAAAATGCAAGGGCTAATTACACTTGAAGAACAATTGACTACAAGAGCAAAAAAGACAGGGCCTGTTCAATTAATGGGAAAAGAAAGGGGGTCTCTAGCACACAATATTTTGGACATCAGATTGGAATGGTTTAATTAGCCATTGCTAGGGACTCTGATTGTCCGTTGTCATAGAAGCCATTAGTCATCTGTAGCTTTTAAGCATCTCATTTCAATTCTCTCATTCAACACTTTCTTAGTACCTGTTACATGTCAAGCACTGTGCTCAACATTAGTGATACAGCAAAGTCTAGTGGAAGACAGATGGCTTGAGCCTCTGCATTAGTCAGGGTTTTTTAGAAAAACAAAACAAATAGGATATATAGAGATACACAGGAAGATTTATTATGGCCTCCAGCTCCATCCATGTCCCTGCAAAGGACATGATCTCATTCTTTTTTATGGCTGCATAGTATTCCATGGTATATATATACCACATTTTCTTTATCCAGTCTATCATTGATGGGCATTTAGGTTGATTTCATGTCTTTGCTATTGTAAATAGTGCTGCAATAAACACGTGTGTGGAAGTGTTTTTTTGTTTTTTTTTTTATACTTTAAGTTTTAGGGTACATGTGCATTGTGCAGGTTAAGGAAGTGTTTTTATAATAGAATGGTTTATATTCCTTTGGGTACATACCCAGTAATGGGATTGCTGGTTCAAATAGTATTTCTGTCTTTAGGTCTTGGAGGAATCACCATACTGTCTTCCACAATGGCTAGACTAATTTATGCTCCCACCAACAGTGTATAAGTGTTCCTTTTTTTTTTTCTTTTTCTTTTTTTTTTTTTTTTTTTGAGATGGAGTCTCACACTGTCACCCAGGCTGGAGTGCAGTGGCGTGATCTTGGCTCACTGCAAGCTCCGCCTCCCAGGTTCATGCCATTCTCCTGCCTCAGCCTCCCAAGTAGCTGGGACTACAGGCTCCCGCCACCATGCCTGGCTAATTTTTTGTATTTTTAGTAGAGACGGAGTTTCACTGTGTTAGCCAGGATGGTCTCGATCTCCTGACCTCATGATCCTACCACCTCGGCCTCCCAAAGTGCTGGGATTACAGGCATGAGCCATTGCGCCAGACCATTCCTTTTTCTCCACAACCTTGCCAGCATTTATTATTTTCTTACCTTTTAATAATAGCCATTCTGACTGGTTTAGATGGTATCTCATTGCAGTTTTGATTTGCATTTCTCTAATGATCAGTGAGTGCCATTACCCTTAGCAAACTAACTCAGGAACAGAAAATTAAATACCGCATGCTCTCACTTATAAGTGGGAGCTAAATAATGAGAACACATAGGTACATAGAAGGGAACAACACACACTGGGGCCTTTTGGAGGGCGGAGGGTGGGAGGAGGGAGAGGATCATGAAAAATAATTAATGGGTACTAGGCTTCATTCCTGGGTGATGAAATGATTTGTATAGCAAACCCCCATGACACACATGTACCGATGTAACAAACCCGCACTTGTATTCCTGAGCTTAAAATAAAAGTTAAAAAAAGAAAGATATGAGACATTGGTTTACCTCATTATGGAGTCTGAGAAGTCCCACAATCTACCATCTTCAAACTGTAGAATCAGGAAAGCTGGGGTGTAATTCCAGTGCAAGTCCAAAGTCCTGAGAACCAGGAGAACAATGATGTGCATCCCAGTTTGAGTCTGAAGGCTCAAGAACCTGGAACTCTGATGTCTCAAGGGCAGGAGAGGATGGATGTCTCAGCTCAAGCAGAGAAAACAAACTCACCCTTTCTCTGCCTTTGGTTTTTATTCAGGTTCTCAGTGGACTGAATGATACCAACCCACATTCAGTAGAGTGATCATCTTTACTCAGTCTACTGACTCAAATAGTAACCTCTTCCAGAAACACTCTCACAGACACACCCAGAAATAATGTTTTACCAGCTATCTCGGCACCACTTAGCCCCGTCAAGTTGACATATAAAATTAGTCATCACGCCCCCTTATGGGCATCTCAGATTTGTTATGTCTTCAAAGAGCTCTCATTTTATCCAACCTCATGCTCCTCTGCCAGTTTTCATATTTCAGTAAAAGGCCTCTGCATCTGCCCAGTTGCTCATGGCAAAAACCATCCTTGCTTTCAAAGTCATCCTTGATTTATCTCTGCTAGAACTCATCTTCGATAGATCAACAAGTCCCGTTTGTTTTATCACCAAAGTAGGTCTTGACTTCCACTCTTCTGTAAGCACATGGCCATTACCCTAGTCTAAGGCACCTGCTTTTGTCTGGGTTACTGCAAAAGCCTCCTTACAAAAAAAAAAAAAAAAAAAAAAAGTGAACTTTTTGTGTCTATCCCTGCTTCCCATTTTAATACACACAACATCTAGGGTTGTCTTTTGAAATGGTAAATCATGTTGTGCTATTCCTCTGCTTAAAATCCTTTAATATATTTTCATTTTCTTAGATACAGCCTAGAGTTACTAAAATAGCCTACAAGTTTTCACATGTTCTATCCACACCCACTCCTATAACCTCATCTCAGACCACACTCCTGATTGTTGGCTAAGACTTAGGCCCCTCAAGCACTTTCTTGCCTCCAAGCCTGTGCCCTTGTTCTCATTGCACTTACTCTTTCCCTCATCCATTCCCAAGCCTAGTTCTTTCTCATCTTTCAGGCCTCAATTGAAACATCACTTCTTCAAAGAGGTGGTCCTGACCTCACGATCCAAGTGACCTCTCCCAGTTACTCTCCAGCCCATCACCTTATTTATTTCTTCCACAGCACTCACCCCATTGGTAACCGCCTGACTCATGTGAGTTTGTTGGATGCCATAATCCCCCCTAGTCAATTGGTATCATGACGGCAGGGGCTTTGTCACTCTTGTTCACAGTTGCATTCCCAGTGCCTTGCATGGTGCCTGGCACATAGTAAACTGTCAACCAATATTAATTAACTAAGTGAATGAAGGGGATAATGTGCAGGACAGCATAGGAGCTAAAAAAAAAAATGTAAAAAAAGATACATGTGCACGTATGTTCATTGCAGCACTATTCACAGTAGCAAAGACATGGAATCAACCCAAATGCCCGTCAATGATAGACTGGATCAAGAAAACGTGGTACATATACACCATGGAATACTATGCAGCCATAAAAAAGAATGAGATCATGTCCTTTGCAGGGATATGGATGGAACTGGAAGGCTTTATCCTCAGCAAGCTAACTCAGGAACAGAAAACCAAACACTGCATGTTCTCACTTATAAGTGGGAGCTGAACAATGAGAACACATGGACACAGGGAGGGTAACAACACACACTGGGGCCTGTTGGGGGGGTGGGGTGGGGGGAGGGAGAGCATTAGGAAAAAGAGCTAATGCATGCTGGGCTTAATACCTAGGTGATGGATTGATAGGTGCAACAAACCACCATGGCACATGTTTATCTATGTAACAAACCTGCACAACCTGCACACATACCCCAGAACTTAAAATAAAAATAAAAATAAATTTTTTAAAAAAGATAATGTAAAAAACTCCAACTTCCTTCCTCTAAAGAACATTGTACAATGGTGTTTTTAGGAAAAATAAAATAGCTTCACCAGAAACGCACATATCAGATAGGAGATGATACTCACACAAGAACAGAGGCAGGGAGCCCTCACTGCAGAAGCAAGACTCTGAAACCCAAAGAGGAGGAGAGAGAGAGGCTTGAGAACCTAGAGAAAATGTAGCAGAGGGAAAAACCAAAGAAAATGAAAACAGTCTTCATGCCAGTAGTGTGTAAACTCCAGAAAGAGAGCTTTCAATGAAGAGATGCTGTGAGCCAGGCTCATGATATTGAATAGCAGTTTTCTAGATTAACAAGAGGAGTAAATCAAAATCAGGATGAGGGGTAAAGGACTTATGGATTGGAGCATAAAATGCATTATAGCCACAAAGAATGGTTGAACATGCCACAAAAGCACACAGCCACTGATAAACAATGTGGAATATCCAGCTAATTCCAGCATAGTCCAGTGACTCATTAATAGAGGATGGAGGAAAGACGGCCAGGATGATCCCAAATCTCAGTGAAATCAAAGCAAGAGTCAACTCTCCAATACCTGGGAGTGGGTGATTCATAGTTAAATCATCACAGAATCCTGGGATACTCAATGGGGCTTACATTGTAGGAGGTGACGAGTAATATTTTCTGGACCCTAGTGTTGGGAAAAAAGAAGTCCATTATTCTGCTGAGCCCTCAGAGAAAATGAAGGATCACCTCCTCTATAAACAAAGAATTGATTATAGAAGCTTGGCTTTCCTCCTCCCATCCTTCTGAGACTTATAATCAATTCTTATTTAGTTCTCACCTACTTAGCAAATCCCAGCAGAGACTGGAGCATGTCCCAAGTCCTGCTTCCATACTGACCTGGTTAATATTCAAACTGGCTGCTCTTAGATGAGTAAATATTGAACCCAGGGCCAGCTGTAGGCGGGGAGGGAGTAGCAGGAACTGAATGTTTAAGGCGACATTAGAAGAATGGCATTTTATCCTTATAAGTGTGGAAGGACTTTACCCAAGAAAGTGGCCTAGATAGGATGAGAGGAAGTGGCTCTGGCCATGGTGCAGTGCATGGATTGGAGGGAAAGAGCCTGTAGGCAAAATACCTGGGAAATGAAGTGTGAAAAGAAGGGGGAAATTTGAGGCATGTTTGGTAAGTACTGATAAGGAAAGAGTTTGGTTGATTATTGGATGTAACAAGCAGAGATGAGGGAGGATCTGGAATGACACCCACATATTAAGCTTACATCACTGGGTGAATGTGGTTATTCATTAACATCAGTAACACTAAAAGAATAAGTGGATTCAGGAAACATCAAAGACTTTCTCAGTTTTCACATTTCTTCTTGGACGTTCATCACTGCAAGAGTTTCTCCACTCTCCAGTGGTGGACTGTATCACTTGCTCACAATGACTTGCACCCTATCCACTCTAGCCATGCTTCCCATCCCTGCCCTATTGCCATTGGGCTTGGCAGCCAAGGGACGTGTTTTGACTGATGGAATGTGAACAGATATGACAATCACCATATCCAATCAGTAGCTATAAATGAACTCCTGAAATTTGGTTCTGTGCTCTTCAGCCTCTGTCATCTATCATGAGAGTAGCATGCCGCCAAGAGTGGCTGCTCCTTGAGAATACAAGAGGAGAGAGCTCAGCCCAGCCCAGGAGAGCCATGGGTGACCTTTGGCACAGATATAATATAAGCTAGAAACCTACAGCTCTTGGATTTAGGAATTGTTTTTTGCTGCAGCAAAAGCTGATTATGATACTTCCAAAATCTTAGTTAACCCAGAAAGTGACTTACCATCTCTGAATTCCTTATTCCATCATTGGGGAAGTTGAACTAAATGACTCCAAACTCCTTCTTGGTTCAAAAGTGTTTGTTTTTTTAAAGACTGTGTTGCTGTTCTATGATATAATGTTGTTTGGGTGTTCAAGCAATTTTTTTTTCTTTCCAAAGATACAGATAAATAAGACAACTTCAACTTAGCCAGACTCTAGCCTGGCAGTTAACAGTACCAAACTAGGACAAGGCCAAAGTGCAAAGACCTGAGGTGGTTTAAGCTGCTGCAGCAGAACTTGTATTCTGAAGACCCTGAGATTAAAAAAAAAAAAAAAAATCTATAAAGCACAAACGCGCCGCATTCAGCTGCTCCGGTTATTTATATGAGCATTTCCCGATTCAAATTGCATGCTCAAATCAAATTTCCCTGGTTTATGCCTTCTTCAGCAATTACTTAAGGGCAGTTTACCTCTCTCTGGAGGAACACAGCAGAAAGGCCTATAGACAAAATCTCTTTGACTCAGGGAGAGATAAACTCACTCTAGGCTTGGTGTTGCAGAAGTCACTTTGCCTACGGAGGCGAACGCAGATGAGCCTCCTGGCTGTTTTTCAGCTCGGCTGATAGGAACACATTCTCCAAGGAGGAGGGGGAGGCCTACAGAAATTGTAGGAGAGAGGTTAAGGCTTGGGGATGGGGAGGAAGAAACTACCTTCCCTTTATGGAGTTTCTTTTGTGGGGCTGCTGTGGTTTGGATGTGGTTAGTCTCCCTCAACTCACATTGAAATTTGATCCCCCGTGGGGCAGTATCAGGAAGTGGGGCCTAATGGGAGGTGTTTGTTCACGGGGATGGATCTCCTGTGAATAGATTAATGTCTCTCTCAAGAATGAGTAAGCTCCTACTCTCTCAGGAATGGATTAGCTCATCTGAGAGTGGGTTGTTAAAAAGAGCCTGGCCTCCTTGGTTTCTCTCTCTTGCTCTCTCTCTCACCATGTAATCTCTTTGCATACACCCACTCCCCCTCCACTTTCCACCATGAGTTGAAGCAGTCTGAAGCCCTCACCAGATGCAGATGCCTAATTTTAGACTTTCCAGCCACCAGGATCATAAGCCAAATAATCATCTTTTCTTTATAAATTGCCCAATCTCAGATATTCCATTATAGCAACACAAGGTGGACTAAGACAGAGGGTAGCAGGTCAACAGCTGAAAGCTGCTCCCACTCCAGTGAGATTGAGAAAAGTCAAAGGTGCACAGGGAACACATAATCATTTTTGTACCAAAAAGTTTCTGGACCCTCCAAGATTCACCTTAACCAAGATGAACCTACCACAAAACAATGCAACATTCAAAACCTATGTTCAGTGTGGCATCAGCTTGCCTTTAATTCACTTTTCCCCATTTGGGAGGATTCCCTCATCTGCCATCAAAGAAGCATCATTTGTTCATTTATTTTCTCATTGATTAATTTCCTTAGTCACTAATTCTCCTTTATATTTCCTTCTTCATTCAGTTGTTCAACTTGATAGTCCTTCTCTTGATTTGACTGCCTGACATCTGCTACTTTTTCTTTTAATAACAGCATCCTGGCTTTATTTTGGGAGACAGCTCTCCACTGTTCCCACCACATATGGTAGAGGTGAAGGTGCCCCATAATCCATTTCCTCCTCTCTAGAATCAGATGCACAACACTGACCTGACCAAACAGAATGCCATATTGTCATGGCCAGAGTGATTGGTTTGAGGATAGATGGACATATGGCCCAAGCCTACCCAAGGGAACCCTCCCTGGAACTTTTGGCAGAATTATTAGAAAAGAAAAAAAGAAAAAAAATCCAATAACTCATTGTGAATTAAATAAATCAAGCCAGGAAGGATTAACACAGATAAAATATCCCTAGTTACTAAAACTTATCATGGAAAAAAGAGTCAAGGTAGTTACTTCTGAATCTACCACTTACTAACTTGGAAGACCTTGGACAAATCATCTCAATGAATATGTCTTTGTAGTCATGATAATGACTGTTCTTTGTGGGTAAGCGTCTGTGAATAGGTCCCACCCACTCTCCTATCCAGGTGGCTGGAAGCAAGGAACTTTAAGATGATGGAGTTGCTGCTGGGTGTGGTGGGTCACACCTGTAATCCCAGCACACTGGAAGGCCAAGGTGAGTGGATCACCTGAGGTCAGAAGTTCGAGACCAGGCTGGCCAACATGGCAAAACCCTGTCTCTACTAAAAATAAAAAAAAAATAAAAAAACACCTAGCTGGGCGTGGTGGTGGGCGCCTGTAATCCCAGCTACTTGGGAGGCTGAGGCAGGAGAATTTCTTGAACCCAAGAGGCAGAGCTTGCAGTGAGCCGAGATCACGCCACTGCACTCCAGCCTGGGCAATGGAGCGAGACTCTATCTCAAAAAAAAAAAAAAAAAAAAAAAGACGGAGTTACACAATGGAAACATCCCAGATCCCTGAGTCACTGTTCAAGGAGAAAAGCCAAGGAGACTCCTAAACCACCTCTGACTTTGAGGTGAAAGAGACATATGTCTTTGTTACATTAAATTAGAAATGTGGCAATTTGGTTTACTGCTGCACAGCAAGTCTAACTAATATAACAAACATAGGTTCAATTATTCACGGATACCCGAAAGGTAACACAGATACCATGGCTTTATGACATGAAGCCATTTTGTCAAGACATGACTTTGAATGGTGCCTTCTGCCAAGACATGACTTTGAATGGGCAGGTGTCTAGCAACAGAGGAAGCAGATGCTCTTTCTGCTGACCAGCATCTTATTTCCAGGATGCTTCAGTGGTTTGTGAGAACAAGAATATTTGAAATTGGGATTGGTCCTATAGTCCACCATGAGTATGTGGTGATTATAAAATAATCTCAATGTGCCATTGGGAAAAGATAAGGACCAACAATGCAACCATGGAAATGGGTAAATGTGGACAAACCACCTAAGATAATGGCATGCTGAAAAGAGGGCAGCAGAGATGAGTCAGATTTAAGACGCTGTAAAAATCGAGAAAGAGAAGATGAATTCAATAACAGGAATGGCAGTATCTGCTGCAATGGAGGAAATAAAGGCATAGTGACTGAAATCATAAGCTTTGGAATCAGTTTAATGCAACAAGGATTAATGCAAAAATTTAATGCAATAGTGTTTGAATTCCATTTCTGCTACTGACTAGCTGTGTAATCTTGAGCAAGTCACTTTATCTCTCAGCCTGAATTTTCTCATCTGAAATATGAGGATTAAGAGAGTCCTTACCCTGCCTCATGGAGTACTGAAAGGATGAAACTAAATGATCCATGTAAAGTGCTTAGTACACAGTAAGAGCTCAATAAATTATCATAATGATATTGGCATTGTAAAAGAAAGCATGAACAAAGAGGTATATCTGGAAGAGATGAAGAAATTAAAAGGAGAAAGAGGGTGGTAAGGTCGTTAGGGTGGGAGCCAAGCGCCACCACCAATGAATGAAAGGGCAGAAACAAAGAATCAGCACCACCATTTAGCACTTTATTTTATTGTCTTTGAATTATGATAGCTTTGATTTGGCTAACTGCAAAAAGTACAGGTTTAAACTGGACTTGCCTTTAGTTAAAATAAAGGCAAATAAATTTTTAAAACATAAATGCTATATTTCACAAGAAATCAGTTGTTATTATCAATTACATATTCAGTTTTTTAAAGGAAGATGACTATTAAACCACATAGCATTTGGGGGACATTAAAGGAAATTTTCTTCCTCTATAGAGCATTGTACAATGATGTTTTCATGAAAAATAAAATATCTTCACCAGAAATAAAAGGGTATATCAAATGGGAGATGATACTTAGACAAGAACAGAGGCAGGGAGCCCTCACTGCACAAGCAAGACTCTGAAATCCACAGAGGAGGAGAGAGAGAGGCATGAGAATCTAGAGACAATGTAGCAGAGGGAAAAAACAAAGAAAATGAAAACAGTCTTCATGCCAGTAGTGTGTGAACTCCCGAAAGAGAAGAAGTCCAGAAGGGGGTAAAGAATAGAGACAGAGATGAGAGGGGAAAGTAAAACACAGGAAGTCAAAGGAGGAGAGTTGAGTCCAAAGAAAGCTTTGAAAGGTTGACTGAAACACAGAGATGTAGGAGAAGCACAGCTTAAAGCAGAAACAAGCACTAGAAATAGCTTAAATACACAGAACAGGAGAATTTTTAATGACTGCATGGGTTTCTGAATTCCCAAAAGCTCTGGAAACCAAATTTTTTAAAATTAAGGTTGGCACAAATTCATTTGGCAACAAAACTTGACCAGAACTGAAATGAGGCTATTTATGTCCTTTATTTATCTCACATCCCACCTAGCATGAACATCCACATATTTAACGGCAGTAATGAGCTGACCAGGAAGTGCTACTGCAGACCCCACTGAAAGTGGGATGTTGTGGAATGTATAGTTTATGCTCCACATTACCTTTCTAATTTCCATAACATTCTGAATTTTAAAACATGTGTCCCCAAGGGTTTCCAATCAAGGATTGCGAGCTTCTATTAGAAGATACAAAGCTGGGTACAGTGGCTCATCTTCGTAATCCCAGCTCTTCAGGAGACTGGAGGATTGCCTGAGGTCAGACTTTCAAGACCAGCCTGCACAACTAAGACCTCATCTCTACAAAATAAAAACTTAGCTAGGCATGAAGGTGCACATCTGCAGTCCCAGCACCTCAAGGGCTGAGAGTCCTGAACCCTCAAGGGCTGATGCAGGAGGATTCGCTTGAGCCCAGGAGTTCGAGGCTGCAATGAGTTATGATCACAGCACTGCACTTCAGCCTGGGAGACAGAGAAAGAGATCCGATCTCTAAAAAACAAAGATGACAATGATGATGATGATGATGAAGACAATGATGACACAGGACTGGACTGAAAAGAGATACTTGTTTCTAATGAAGTTAACAAAACGTGCCATTTCTTGAGTATATAGCACTTACAATACCAAGTGCTATAGACTCAATATTTCATTTAATCCTCACACTGTATCAGATTTCATTTTATTTATTTATTTATTTATTTTGTAGACACTGCAAGTGAGGTTTGAAAATTGAAGTAATTTGCACCCCCACATCCTGTTTATACAAAGCTGGCAAGAGGCAGAGTTTAGGATTTGAACCCAGCTATGTGACTTTAGAGCATGAACACCTACTAGGTCATGCTGCTGAAACCATGCCCCACAGGGTTAAAGAAACCGGTGACTAACAGAAATCTTGAGCTTATCTTGCAGGAATAAGATACAGTTTGCTGGCCGGGCGTGGTGGCTCACACCTGTAATCCCAGTACTGTGGGAGGCCAAGGCAGGAGGATCAGGAAGTCAGATCGAGACCATCCTGGCTAACACGGTGAAACCCCGTCTCTACTAAAAATACAAAAAATTAGCCAGGCGTGGTGGCAGGCACCTGTAGTTCCAGCTACTCGGGAGGCTGAGGCAGGAGAATGGCCTGAACCCGGGAGGTGGAGCTTGCAGTGAGCCAAGATGGCGCCACTGCACTCCAGCCTGGGCAGGCGACAGAGCAAAACTCCGTCTCAAAAAAAAAAAAAAAAAAAAAAGATACAGTTTGCTACAGTCCCCCCTAGCTTACAAAACTGACCGAAACAGATTGGAACCAATATGGCTGACTGGAGCCTGCACAGAACAAACTTGCTCACCCAATGAGTAATCTTTCGATGTCACAGCCCGAATTTTCACATGTTTCATACCAACTCCCTCCGAATTTGCACATGCAACTCATGAAGAAGTGTCAAGAGACGATGGCATGTCCAAGGGACTTTCTAAACATCCCTCCCTTTCAGCCAATCACTGCCCAGCCCTAAAACCCCACCCCTAACATCGCTCCCCTAAATCTGCAGCTGTAAGGCCAGTACAGGGAGACAGACTTGAGCATGACTTTGTCTCTCTGCTTGGCCACCTGGCAATAAACCTTTCTTGCTACAAAAATCTGGTGCTTTGGTGTTTGGCTTTCAGTTGCATAGGCAAAGGGACCTACTTTAGTTCAGTGACACTACCTCCCCATTAGCTGCAAGGAAAGAACAGACGTAAGGGTTCTCACCCCATATGCCCTCACCCCATAAGCCATTCCCAGATATGATTTTATATAATCTTCATAGTAATTCAATGAAGTCATATGATTATTGTCCATCTAAGGAGCTGAACAATTTGTCCAGAGTCTCATTATTAACTGGTCAGACATCAAACAATTTTTCTCCCTGATTGTAGTGATTTCAAAAGAGATTGTATGAGAGTCTTGTTTAAAAGAAGACAAAGTAGAAAGTTGAGGAAATCATTGCCTTTAGAATAAACATTCTGGCCGGGCGCAGTGGCTCACGCCTGTAATCCAAGCTCTTTGGGAAGCCAAGGCAGGCAGATCACGAGGTCGAGATCAAGACCATCCTGGCCAACATGGTGAAACCCTGTCTCTACTAAAAATACAAAAATTAGCTGGGTGTGGTCGAGTGCACCTATAGTCCCAGCTACTTGGGAGGCTGAGGCAGGAGAATTGCTTGAACCCGGGAGGCAGAAGTTGCAGTAAGCTGAGATCACGCCACTGCACACCAGCCTGGCAACAAAGCGAAACTATCTCAAAAAAAAAAAAAAAGAAGAAGAAGAAAAAGAAGAAGAATAAACATTCCACACAAAGGGCCCAGCACAATGGCTCAGGCCTGTAATCCCAGCACTTTGGGAAGCCAAGGTGGGCAGATCACTTGAGGTCAGGTGTTTGAGACAGCCTGGCCTACATGGTGAAAACCCATCTCTATTAAAAATACAAAAACTAGCTGGGTGTGCTGGCAGGCACCTGTAATCCCAGCTACTCAGGAGGCTGAGGCAGTAGAATCCCTTGAACCTGGGAGGAGGGAGGTGGAAGTTGCAGTGAGCCAAGATCATCCCACTGCACTCCAGTCTGAGCAGCAGAGCAAGACTTGTCTCAAAAAAAAAAAAAAAAAAAAAGTTTATGGCAGTTGTGGTGCCAAGGTTGGTTCTGGAGTGGGGAATAGTTTGTTCCCCCATAATCTCCATTAGCAAATCTCCCATCCCTTGATATGGACAACTGATGTTTTCTCATTCTTAGGTAAGGAAATGTCCCTTTAGCCCAAACCTCCCTTCCAACTCAACTCCTAAGTTCATCCTTTTTAGAGATTCTGAAATTAGGTAACAAAAATACAAAAGCTAAAAATTGTATCATAATTAGGAGAAACTGTTCAGAAGGGTAAAATATATAACCAAAGAGAATGAGGGAATAAAACAGATGATAGTAAAACAGTGAAAATTCAACAAGGAATTGATACACGAAATCTGTGAACATTCTATCAAATGTGATGAAGGAAGAGAATCTGAAAACACTTTATAATTTTGCAAAACCATGCGAGACTCAAATGAACAGGAGATGATACGGAGTCACAAGAGCTAGGTGTGTGTCTTGCCTTCATCCTGCCATAGTTTGATCTCTAACTTCTGTGAATTTAATTAAATACTTATTGTTTCTAGCAACCAAACAGCCCTTAGCTCTACAGTATATGGTATCGGTGTATAGGTGTGTGTATACAACATGTAGAAGGAAATACTGTGAACTTTTATGCTGTATTGGTATTTCTAACCAGGCAATAGGTGGAACATTTTGAACATGTTTATCTGCCTGAATACTCCAAAACAACACATTTGCTTTGTGCTCTAAATATAGCAACATCCACTTCCTTCTCCACATGTTTGCTAAGGCAAAATATTTTGTCTGTAAAGATATGCCATTTCCAATGTTTTGAACACTTCCTTTGGTTTCAACAGTTTGGCGACAGTGTTTTTAAGGATTTAATGTAGGTATCGCTCAGGATAAGGTTGTTGAGGGTAGGACAACAAACACACCTAATGTCACTCATTTAAAACAACAAATTTCAGCCATTCTTGTGAGATTAAAAAAAAAATAAAACAAAAGTTTATTTCTTGCTCAAGGTTCATCCTATAGTTTGGTCGGGGAGGCTGAAGTAATCAACACATACAACTGGATGTCACAGTAAACAAGCAGGTATATGAGCAATTCAAAAGTGTGGTCTCAGAAGGGAACTCACTTCCAATACCTGAAAGGTTAGAAAGGGCAGGGTGAGGGGGGAAAGACACAGGGACAAGAACGACTGGAACGTGTCTAAATGGTAACCTTACCAGTAACTAGAGTCTCTCAAATTACAGTGAGCAAGGATGAACTTGGAAATATTTATTTTGTGTATAATTCTAAAGTCCAAACTCAAGGTGAAAGAAATATCACTTTCTTTATAAAACCAGCCCAATTATCCCATAGAACTGATATTTATGGTTCTTTAAATAAATGTAGAAATTGACATTCCCAGTCTTAAAACTTGAGAAACTTCCATTTACCTTATCTGAGTTCCTTTCTCAGGAAACTGACCATGAGGTAGTATCAAGAAACTGAAACTTACCAGGTCACTGCAATGAGACACCAGACCACTCATCTGTCATGATTGCCTAACCAACCAACTGCTATCAATTCCTCCCTAATTCATATTTTCCTACACTAGTTCCTGTTGACTATGACTCTTCCTTACCCCCTCCCTAGTTCCTATTTTCCCACATGTAGTTACATTTATTCCCTGCTGTATAAACCCCAAATTTTAGTCAGATGGGGTGATGGATTTGGGATTTCTCTCCTGTCTCCTGGGTGACATCACCCATGTTAAAAAATCTTCCCTTGTAATGCTTATTGTCTCTATGATTGGCTTTCTGTGCAGCAAACAACTGGATCTTGGGCAAACATCTGGTGTTTGATAACATAATTCTGGTGCTATGACTCAGATTGCATTAGTCAAAGTCCCTCTGGCTTTGAGCCACCATCCCTATGAACTTGCATGAAGTTTAGCCTCAGTTACCCTGTCAGATGCAGAGTAAATAGAGTTTCATGTCACAGTAGGCAATAGAAAGTGTCTACCCAAACCTCAGTCCACTTGGCTGTCACCAGTGTACACTCTGCTTCAGTCTACATGGTGACTTCAATCCAAGTGGTTCTGCAGTGTATAGGTCATGCTTGGGGCCTGGAGATCCTTGGCGGACCCAGGTCCCCCAGTCTTCCTGGGGGCAGCTTTCCCTTGAGATCTTGCCACCTTCCAGGAACATTCCCAGAGAGCAAGGCTCAGTCTCCATCACTCTCTGAACATACAGACTCCTTTCCCTCTCAGTCTCAAGGAACCTCTCCTCCTCCCTCTCTGCTCCTACAAAGCTCCTCTTCCCTCTGAGATAGCTAGCATCAATGGACAGAGATTTCTACCAAAGATAGGAAACCCCATCACCTTTAGACTGCTTCTGTTTATGACAGCTAAAAATACTGAACAACGAGATGAAAGAGCAAGACACAAGTATATTGGGAGGAAAGCACTTCAAAAGGAGGAAACAGAAGGACAGACACCCTGAGGTGGGGGTAGAGGCCAGTGTGCCTTCAATGGTGTGAGTAAAGAAAGGATTGGTAGAAGACAAGAACCAATTAGTGACTGAGTCCAAACAACGCAAAAAAGAGATAATCCCAAAAATAATGACTACCATTTATACAGTGCTTACTAACTACACGTTGGGACCATTCTAACTTCTCATAACAACTCTATAGGGTGGCAGTAATATTCTCTCCATTTCACAGATGAGAAAATTGAGAATCAGATGGTATGATCAATTGCTTAACAAGTGGCAAAATCAGGACTCACACTCAGGCAGATGGCTCCAGAATCTGAACACTTAAATACTGTACCATACTGCCCATCTTTTTTGCCCAGGCAAAAAGTCAGAAAAATACAGAGAGAATCAAGAGTGAGAAGATAAGCCACAGAATGAGAGAAAAGATTTGCAAAAGACATATCTCATAAAGGTCTAGCATCTAAAATATGCAAAAAATCCTTAAAACTCAAAAATAAGACAACAAACAACCCAATTTAAAATGAGCAAAAGACCTGAACAGGCACCTCACAAAGATATACAGATAGCAAATAAGCATAAGAAAAGATGCTCACCATCATATGTTATTAGGAAGCTGCAAATTCAGACAATCATGACACATCACTACACACCTATTAGAATGGCCAAAATCCAAAACACTGAAAACACCAAATGCTGGTGAGGATGCGGAGCAACAGGAATTTTCATTCATTGCTAACAGGAATGCAAAATGGTACAGGCACTTTGGAAGACACTTTGGAGGTTTCTTACAAAACTACACATACCCTTACAATATGATCCAGAAATTGCACTCTTTGGTATATTTACTCAAATGGATTGAAAACTTAACATCCACACAAAAACCCACACAGAGATGTTTATAGCCTCTTCCTTCATAATTGCCAAAACTTGGAAGCAACCAAGACGCCCTTCAGTAGGTGAATGGATAATCTATGTACATCCAGAGAATTCAATGTTATTCAGTATTAAAAAGAAATGAGCTATCAAGTCATAAAAAGCATGGAGGAATGTTAAATGCATATTACTAAGCAAAACAAGCCAACCTGAAAAGGCTGTGTTCTATATGACTCCAGCTCTATGACATTCTGGAAAAATCAAAATGATGGAGACAGTGAAAGGATCAGGGATTGCCAGAGGTTGAGGGGAGGGAGGGAGAGAGGAACAGTTGGATCCCAGAGGATTTTTAGGCCAGTGAAACTACTCTGTATGTTGTTATAATGGTAGATACATGTCATTAAGCATTTGTCAAAACCCATTGAATGAACAACAGCAAGAGTGAACCCTAATGTAAACTTGGTCTTTGGATGATAATGATGTGTCAATGTAGATTTATCAATTATAACAAATGTACCATTCTGTGGGGATGTTGATAATAAGGGAGGCTATGCATGTGAGGCAGCAGGGGGTATGTGAGAAGTCTCTATTATCTTCCACTCAGTTCTGCTGCAAACCTAAAGGTGCCTTAAAAAATAAAGTGTGTTTAAAAGAATAATAACAATTTAAAAGAGGAGATAAGGAAGAACCTGGCTGCCTGGTGGCAGGAGAAAAAGGTAAAATATGGGGAGAGAGATGTTGATTCATTTTTTAAAAATCTTTCTACATAAGGGTGCATGCATTTATTTATCAAATATTTATTGTGTGCCATGCTGGGTACTACTTTATTATTATTATTATTATTTTTTTTTTTGAGACAGAGTCTCGCTCTGTTGCCCAGGCTGGAGTACAGTGGTGCGATCTTGGCTCACTGCAACCTCCACCTCCCAGGTTCAAGTGATTCTCCTGCCTCAGCCTCCCAAGTAGCTGGGATTATAGGCACGTGCCACCGTGCCTGGCTAATTTTTGTATTTTTAGTAGAGACAGGGTTTCGCCATGTTGCCAGGCTAGTCATGAACTCCTGACCTTGTGATCTGCCTGCCTCAGCCTCCCAAAGTCCTGGGATTACAGGCATGCGCCACCATGCCCAGCCAAGTGCTGGGTACTATTATCAATAATGGTGATAAATTAGGAAAGAAAACAGACAAGATTCCTACTAGAATGAACATATATCCCACTCACTCTGAGCAACGTCTCATTCAAAACTTTCAGAAGGAGAACGTAATGGGTCTAATTAATCATAGTCCTATGTAGAGATGGACTCTTACATGAGGCTAACTCATTGGCTACTTTCAGCTCAAGTGCCAGTCCCTGTCCAATCACCTATGGCCAGGTGGAAGGCTCACATAACACCAAATATGAAACAAATATGAGGTTCACATGAAACCTCAACAGGAGGATCCAGGGGGATATGTGGACACAGAGGCACTTCAAGTCTTGGAGACGCCACTCCTGGAACATTGTAATCTTAAAATTCAGTCTCAGTTTAAAATAATCAACGGTTACTCTACTCAGATTCCTAAAGGAGCTATCTGACAGGAGCTCAAGGAGAAACATTAAATTTGAGGAGGAAAAAACCCCAGACAAAGAAACCTATAGTTACACAGAATTGGAACAACCAACCCTGCAATTAGATTCAAGTTTCCTTACATCCAAGAGAAGGCTCTGTTAGCACTGGTTACGAGAGAGGCAATTCGGCCCAATCTCCAGCTTTCGGTATCATCTGCTGCCTTTGTGTGAAGTATTGTGATTTTGTACAAGTGAAAAGTATAAACAGACCTCTAAAAAGGTTCCATTAATAAAGGAAATCAAAAGGCAAAGGAAATTTGTATCTGATTCCCTGGTTCTGATTTACTGGGCATCAGTGAACAAACAAGGCTCTTTGATGGTGAGCAGAGGGTGATACTTTGAAATTGCTTTGCCCCTCCACCCCATCAGATCCCAAAAGGACTGTTTTTCTGGACAGGGGATTTGAGTGGCTCATGTTTCTGGCTGAATGATAATATTCTTGTTATTTTTTGGCTAGTGGAATTGGGTTTGGTTTGACCAGCTAAGACTCCAAACAGTTTGTGTCACTAACAGTTTCTTAGCATAACTGGAATTCTTCCC
Source organism: Homo sapiens (assembly GCF_000001405.40). Lineage (NCBI taxonomy): Eukaryota > Metazoa > Chordata > Mammalia > Primates > Hominidae > Homo > Homo sapiens. Next base: position 2,478,398 of record NT_187607.1, on the reverse strand, counting down.
TTCCATCTGTTGCTGGTTGACTATTTTATTATTGTCCATGATGTCATTATTTTTGCTGCTGTTGATTTGGCATAAACTAACACCATTCCCTCCACACCACGTGTGGCTTATGCAACACACTAAAAAACACAGCTTGGAGAGCTTGACTGATGGACATGCCTGAGTGTGAACCACTAAGTCTGCTTTTCAGCAGTGGCTTCATGGCACATCCTCTCCTTGTGCCTCCCCTTCCTAAATGTAACGCAGGGCCTTCTGAGCTTTGAGCACAAGGCAGAAAAATCCAGAGGTCCACTGATCCTTTTTGTAAATTTCTCATGAGCTTTGAGACATGAGAAGCTATACTGGTCTATGTTGGCTTGAGTCTTCACGGGAGAAGAGAAACTGGCACTTGGCTGAGAGGTTCTGGGCACAAGAAGAACTGCTTTGGGAGCCTGGCACCCAAGTTCCATGTACGCAAGGCAAAGGGACTTCCTTGCCATTGCAGCAGAGGGGCACAACAGCAGCACAATGCACGGACCACGGCACATTTGTAAAAGAGCCCATGCGCCCATCAGAGTGGCAGGGAATCAGGGATGTTGTGGAAGACTGCAGCAGAAGTACAGCAGAGAGTTGTCATCCTTAAGTGGTTTGCAGGAGACACATTTCAAAAACAAACAAACAAAAAAGTCTTGAGTGAAAAAAACCTAAGAGTTAGCACATATTCTAGCACACGTGAGACATCTCTGCAGGACTCCTGAAAACACTGGGGTCCACCAGGAAGAGGCAAAAGCTATGAGCCTGTATGGTCTAAACATTTGTCTCAAAATGACCCCATTTATACCAAGAAGCTGGTGAGATCTGGGATATTTGGCATACCTAAAGGGATTTGGGTTACTCCCAATAAATAATCAATATTTGTTACAAAGAATAGGGGTAAGAAAATACAGAAGACAAAACCTGTTTCATCATATCACTATTCTTCCAAGATCCAGCCCTACTAAGGTGCCTTGGGTCCTCCTATCCCTATGTTTCTATTTTACAACAAAAATTGTCCTCTGTCCAGAAAGGAGTGTGAAAATCCAATCATAAACATTTGCCAACTCAGTGCTGAAAAGTTAACCTGCTCCAAGTATAGAATTTCTGGCACAATCTTGGAAGAAGAAGGCTGGAAAACTTGACTTCAAGACCTCATATCAGGCTGCCTGGGCAAAATTAAGCAGACTCTGAATTATCCAACCTGCTTTTAGCATCCTCCAGCTATCCCAGCCCGGGCCCTGGGACTCCTGGGTTTAATGAAGCAAGTCCTATGGCTGACAGTCTTGCTATGGGCCACAACTGGGTCCCTGAATGCCAACACTGTCCTGGAGTAGGTGAAGGACTCTGTTTCAGGAGGACTGGGAACAGCAGGAGTATGCATCACTGTTGACAGCCCAAATGCAATGTACAAAGGTTTGACATTAATGAAACTAAATTCTTCAGGATAAGAAAATCAGCCAGATGCCAACTAGTAGGTGGGAAACATAAGTTCTCACCACCCTAGAAGCATTAAATTAAGGTTGAGAGGCTGAACTTGGAATGCCAGCCAAGGCACCATCCTAGGAGGCTGAATTTGGAAATCAATTAAGGGGAAGGAAAGGATGGGAGCCCAGCCATATCCTTGCTGCAGCAGGGAGAGAGCAGGGTTTGACTGACGGTGCTATATTGAGCCCCCGTAGCATATGTGTCTCCATGTCTGTTTTCACTTCATGGAGGAAAATTGCTAGAGAGGAAAGAAAGTCCTAGACTAAGCAGAAAAAAAACTAACTGTTCACAAGGAAACTTCAGAGGGTTTGAGAAGCATGAATGGCAGTCTGGCCAACAGCAGAAGGATTGCTCTTGTTCAGGAGGGGCTGTGACTATGTATTGATCCACCTACACTCTTGGGACACTTCCTTGGTGTCTAATACTTTGAGATCGGGTGACATAACAAGAGGAATTCCTTGTAGAGCAGAGAGGAAATGGTTCTGCTATTTGGAGATCAGCTTCAGAACATTTTCAGATCTGTGCTCCTAACAACTGGGCTAGCAGGCCTTAAGTAAGAAAAATTTGGAGTACAGGAATTCTCTTCTGGACTCCGGGAAGCTGGCAAGGCATCATGGCTATGGTCAAGAATCCAGGGTGCTCAAAGGCTCTGCTGTGCTGCCACCCCATCTGAGCAAAGCCTCAGGCCATTCCTGCACATGGTTTCCATGTTCCATGTCATAGGACCTGAAACCAGTGTTGCATCTGATTGCACCAGGAATTAGCAACAGAGGCAAATACAGACATCCATTGGATGGAGCAGGGAAGACCAAGAGCCATGGAGGTGCTCCCATGGGCTGCTGTATTCTGAAAAGGGATTATTCCATCAGCAGAGGATGTTGTGGGGTACCACCCAGACCTCCCCTCAGGACTGAGGCTCACATTCCCCTAGCTGGTGGGAGTACTGGTAGCCAACAGATGTCAGCTCAGTCCATCTCTGAAAATCACCCTCAGTGAAAGAAAGCCACCTCACCTGCAGTCATACCCCCCACTAAGGGCAGCTCATATCCAATAACAGACCAGTGTCAGAAATATTAAGACCTGAACCTCTTGCTTGAAGGGGATAAATCTGAACACAATTCCAGCTCCAAAGCATCCCCATGGTATTGGCTGAGGCCTCTGTTGAGACTGCGTCAAAGTCCAACATCTCTTCCGCCCAGTACCATTGTCTGCACTCCACCCATAATGCTGATCCCAAAAGCTCTCCCTCAAAAAAGTCCCTGCAGGCAAATCTACACCTGAGAGCCTGTTTCCAGGAAACCCAACCTAAGATGCCATTCAATCTGATCTTTTCTCCTAGGACGGTTGACTTGATGAAGATATTCGGTTGGTGCAAAATTAATCGTGGTTTCTGCCATTAGGTTGGTGCAAAATTAATCGCGGTTTCTGCCATTAAAAGTAATGGCAGAAACCGTGATTAATTTTGCACCATCTAAGAGAGAGAGAGAGAGAGAGAATGTTGGAAGTAGTGAGGCACTCAGAGAAAGCAGGAAACAGAAGGCCACAATACAACAGAAGACCCAAGGAAAGAGAAGCTGTGAATCTGCAGGAACGAAGATCTGGAGGTAAAGGGAGGTCAGTGCAGCAAGTAGGCAAAGCTGCATCATGAAAATAGCATGACGACTAGATGAGAATGGATTAACCATACTCCACAGACAGCGACAATTGGAGGTTTACAAAAATTTTTCAAACCTCAGCAGACCCACACACACAATTTTTTTAACCTCCAATTATGGTAAGATACCTGTAACATAAAATTCACTACTGCAACAATTTTTAAGTGTGTAGTTCTGTTGGAGCTTTTGCTCTCTTTACTTCATGAGGCACAACAAACCAGTGCCTGAAGCACCTGGAGGGAGTACCTATTTCTGAAAATCCCCAAGCCAATGCATAGGGGATAAGAGCAGACGCACTGAAATTAAGCAGACCTACTGAGGTCTAATTCCCTACTGGGTTTAAATCCTCATTCTGCACCTTTCTACCCACGTGACTTTGGGCAAATGATTAGAACTGACAAGCCTCACTATTCACAATAGCAAAGACATGGAATTGACCTAAGTGCCCATCAATGACAGACTGGATAAAGAAAATGTGGTACCCATACACCATGGAATACTATGCAGCCATAAAAAGGAACGGTATCATGTCCTTTGCAGGGACACAGATGCAGCTGGAGGCCATTATCCTTAGCAAACTAACACAGGAACAGAAAGCCAAATCCTGCATATTCTTACTTATCAAATGGCAGCTCAATTATGAGAACACATAACACATAGAGGGAAATCACACACACTGGGGCCTTTTGGAGGATGAGGAATGGGAGGAGGGGGAGGATGAGGAATGGGAGGAGGGAGAGGATCAGGAAAAATAGCTAATGGGTACCAGACATAATACCTGGGTGGTGAATAACCAGTACAAGAAACACCCATGACACAAGTTCACCTATGTAACAAACCTGCACTTGTACTCCCAAACTTAAACATAAAAGTTAAAAGACAAACAAAAAGAACCAGCCAGGTATGGTAGCTCACACCTGTAAACATAGCCCTTTGGGAGGCTGAGGCGGGAGGATTGCGTGAGGCCAAGAGCTCAAGACCAACCTGGCAAACACAGTAAGACTCCATATCTAATTTTAAAAAATAATAAAATTATTGTATTAAAAAAAATTGACAAGCCCCGATGTCTTCATCTGTATAATGGTGGTGGGAGGCGGGGGCAGGATGGCACAGTGACTAAGAAACACAGCCAGACAGGTCAGACTCTGGTATATACAGAAACAGAATCCTGGGCAAGTTTCTTCACCTCCCTGAGCCTGTTAGATCACCTGCAAAAGTGGAAGATAATAGAACCTTCCTCATAGCATTATACAGGGATAAATGAGATCATCCTTACAACATTCCTAGCATGGTAGCTACTGTATTTTCAGTAGCTTCAACTCTGGTTAAAATGCCCAGAGTGGTATTAGGAAATTGGCTTTGGATTTTTAAATTGTTTCTTTAGTGGAAAGGAATAAGGTCAAGACTTACATCCCTAGGGACAGCACAGAATCTTCTTACCGCTTCCAGAAAAAAGACACCACCCTCCATGTGTGAAAAAGCCATGGTACAAATCAAGCTCTGTCCTCCCACTGTCCCTCCTGTTCAGCTGCAGTGGCTGGAAGCCGAGTCCAGGATTTAGATGGAAGCTTCCGCCTGAGCTTCCCAGCAGGGACTCCCCATGGTCCCAGATTTTGGAGCAATAAATAAGGCTCAGAGGCAACAGACCTAGAAGGGGCGGCCGTCTGGCAGAGCGGCGGGGCAGTGGGGACTAATGGGCCGCCGTGGGTGTCTGAGTCTGTATTTCTGCCCCTGTCATAACAAACAGAGCCACGAATGCCACGAAAAGTCTTCTCTGTGTCCTAGTCCTCCTCCCTTCCACCTGCCCCAATGGCCTTTCTCCTAATTTTTCTTTCTTCTTCACAAGCCCTTTGCGGTTCTACTCCCCATATCACTGGCTACATCACCTGCCAGCCTCTCCTGTACCCCTATACCCCTGTATCAGTCATTCTGTCTCTCCTTTCCTCTTTCTCTCTCCCCTCTTCCTCTCTCTCCCCTCTTCTCTACCTCCTCCCTCTCCCTTTATCTTCTCTTGCTTCTCTCTTCATCTCTCTCTCTTCTTTCTCTCCTTCTCTTCCTCTATCCTCCTCCTCTCCCTCTCCGTCTCTCTACCCCTCTCTCCCCCTCTCTCTGCTTCTCTTCCTCCCTCTCTTTCTCCCCCTCTACCCCCTCTCTCCCCTCCTCCTCTCTCTCTTCCTCTCTTTCTCTCCCTCCACCCCTCCATCTTTTTTTTTTTTTTTTTGAGACAGAGTCTCACTCTGTTGCCCAGGCTGGAGTGCAGTGGCGTGATCTCGGCTCACCACAACCTCCACCTCCTGGGTTCAAGCGATTCTCCTGCCTCAGCCTCCCGAGTAGCTGAGACTACAGGCATCTGCCACCATGCCCAGCTAATTTTTGTATTTTTAATAGAGATGGGGTTTCCCTATGTTGGCCAGGCTGATCTCGAACTCCTGACCTCGTGATCCACCCGTCTCATCCTCCCAAAGTGCTGGGATTACAGGTGTGAGCCACAGCACCCCGCCAACACCCCTCCCTCTCTTACTGTTCCTGTTTCTTTCACTCTGCCTTTCTTTGCTTTTCCCTGTCATCCTCGCTGGTGTTTTTCTGTTGTTCCTTCTTCATCTCTCTTGAGCTCCATCTGACTATCTGTCTTAACTCTGCATCTCTGGGTCTTTCTGCCTCTGGCTCTGTTGCTCAGTTCTCTATGTAGCTCTTTGTCTCTTTGGCTTTACCTCTTGGTCTTTCTCTCATTTGCCTCTGTGTGTCTCTCTTTCAGGTCAGGAAAGAGGACAGGTGAGTGCTCTGGTCTGGTACATCCCCATGTGCCTCTGAGTCTTTCACCACATCCAGGGCCGACTCAGCTACCTGGCATCTGGGCCTGCTGGAGTGCTCAGTGAGGGAAAAGGCACCTGAAGATCTGCCTGCTGAGTGGGCTCAACCCCCAGGCCAGTCTGTCCCAGACAGTGGCCACTTCCCTCTGCCATCATTGTCAGAATAGACAGCATAAGAGTTTGAGAGGTGGCCAAGCCCTCAGTCTACCCACCCCAGCCAGGTGAGCAAAAGAGGGAGACAGAGCCCTGCAGCATTGGGATCCTACTGGGATCCCAGTTTGCCGTTCTCCATGAGCTGGGCTGCTGCTTCTTGACTAGCAGTGAGAGGTGCAGGAAAAAGGAACTTAATTTACACAGAGACCTAGGAATCAGGAGTCAGGCTACTTCACCAACCTGCTCGCTGCGTGACCTCATGAAAGTCTCTTGCCTTCTCTGGTTCTCAATCTCTTGTCTGTAAAATGAGGCTCTCTAGCCTTATCGCTAGCAAATATTTAAGAACATGGATCTGGGACAGTCACCCCCAGGTCCCTCCAGGGCAGACAATGAACCAGGATGCCTCTGTACAGTCTCGTCAGCTATTAACATGTTGAAATAATTCTACTGGTTAGAGTTATTTCCCTGAACTCCCAGAGTCACTCCCATCACTCTGGGCCCTCCTTCTAATCCCTACGGATTAGGAACTAACTCTTAATATCTGGCAGGGCCAAGGGTGTCCTAGACCTTTCATTGCCATTGCTTCTCAGTTTGTTAAAAAAATAAAATAAAATAAGACCGAGTTTCACTCTGTTACCCAGACTGGAGTGCAGTGGTGCAATCTCGGCTCACTGCAACCTCCACCTCCTGGGTTCAAGCAATTCTCCTGCCTCAGCCTCCCAAGTAGCTGGAATCACAGGCATGCACCACCATGTCCATCGAATTTTTGTATTTTTGTAGAGATGGGGTTTCACCACGTTGGCCAGACTGGTCTCGAACTCCTTGCCTCAAGAGATCCACCTGCCTCAGCCTCCCAAAGTGCTGGGATTACTACAGGCATGACCCACCATGCCTGGTCTAAAAAAAATTTTTTTTTTTAGTATCATCCCTGTTTCTACCACTCTATACCTTCAGGATAACAACAGATTTGATCTCTTAGCATTGCTGTCATATTAAATGAAGTGATACATATAAAGCCTTTAGCACAGTGCTGGGCACACAGCAAGTACTGAGTAAGCAGCAGCTAATATTATTAGGAGACAAATAAAGAAAGATTGTCCAGCCTAATAGAAGTGATCATGATTTGAAAAAGTAATGACAACAAGTACTTCCAGTAATGCTAATACTTAGTGGGTACTTGCTCTGTGCCAGGTGCTATTTTAAGTACTTCAAATGTAGTAACTCTTTTAATCTTCATATCAAACCTTGAAGTAGATACTATTATTATGCCTATTTTACTCAAAAGCAAGAGAACAATTCTGAAGAGATGAGACCCCAGAAGAGAAGCAGACTGTGACCCTAAACACTATAGGTCAATGCAACATCCTGGAATTTGACTAGTTGTTATGGAATGACTTGTGTCTAACCCTCAAAAGATTCATATGTTGAATTCTTAATCCTTAGTACCTCAGAATGTAACCATATTTAGAGATAGGCTCTTTACAGGGTTATTTTTATGATGTCATTAGGATGGGCCCTAATCTGATATGACTAGTGTTTTTTTGTTTGTTTTTGTTGTTGTTGTTGTTGTTTTTGAGACAGAGTCTTGCCCTGTTGCCCAGGCTGGAGTTCAGTGTCACAATCTCAGCTCACTGCAACCTCTGCATCCCAGGCTCGAGCAATTCTCCTGCCTCAGCCTCCCAAGTAGCTGGGATTATAGGCACACAGCACTATACCTGGTGTTTTTTTGTTGTTGTTGTTTTTTGTTTCTTAGTAGAGACAGGGTTTCACCGTGTTGGCCAGGTGGCCTCAAATTCCTGACCTCAAGTGATCCACCTGCCTCAGCCTCCCAAAGTGCTGGGATTACAGGCATGAGCCACCACACCCGGCCGACTGGTGTCTTGATAACAAGAGGAAATTTGGACACAAACAAACAGAGAGATGATGACGTGAGGGCATGGGGGAAGACGGCCACCTACAAGTCAAAGAGGGAAGCTGGGAACAGACCTTTCCCTCATGGCCCTCAGAAGGAACCAACCCTGCTGACGCCTTGACCTTGGACTTCTGGCCTCCAAAATTGTGAAGAAATAACTTTATTTGGCTTACCCAAGGTTGTGGTACTAGGATACTAACATGCCAGCCAAAAGCACATCTCATCCATCTCCAAGGAACAGGAGGAAAGAAGAAAGAACCTTTGTCTTCTTTCTCTAAGGGACCAACCCCTGGTATGCTCTTTGGCCTCTTCAGTTTGGCACTGAGACCCTTCACCTTAGCCCGTAAACCATCCAAGCAGAAAGACCTCCTGGCACAGTCTAGCATTGTAAATTTTGACCATGAATATTACTTCCACCCGTAGCCACTTCGTTTAAGTCTGTTAGCATTTAGTATGTAGAATACTCAAGCCTGTATTTCATCAACAAGTATTTATAGAACCTCTACCCTGGCCCAGGCACTGCATTTTAAAGAAAAGTGTATGCTTAGCTTCATTTAACAGCCTACAGTAGACATTACTAATGTTGACTGATATCCAATTCTTTTCTTTTTCTTTTTTTTTCTTTTTTTTTTGAGACAGTGTCTTACTCTGTCATCCAGGCTGGAATACAGGGATATGATATGATCATAGCTCATTGCAGCCTCAAACTTCTGGGCTCAAGCAGTCCTCCCACCTCAACCTCCAGAGTAGCTGGAACTACAAGTACATGTCACTGTGCCCAGCTTCTTTTTTTTTTTTCTTTTTTTTTTTTTTTTTGTAGAGACAGGGTCTTGCTTTGTCACTCAGGCTGGTCTTGAACTCCTGGGCTCAAGTGATTTCCCACCTTGGCCTCCCAAAGCACTGGGATTACAGGCATAAGATACTGTGCCTGGCCCCTCTCCTTTTAGACACACAGGAGACTAGCCTGACTTGTATCTAGAAGAGGTCATATGACTAATTCTGACCAATGGGCTTTGAGTAGAAATGACCTGTATCACTTCCAAATTCAAGCACTTAATTGCTGATGGGAGACCCTTCAGGCCCACTTAGCTTATTAGGAGAGTCATAGGGCCACCATGAACCTGACTTTCATCAGATTGCCACATGAGCAAGAAATAAACTTATTTTAAATTACTAAAATCAGCTGTGGTTTGATTCAAGAGCATAACTTACTCTGAAAAGTCAGCATCTTAATGAAGACAACAACCTATAAATATTTTATTTCTTATATGACATGTGGTTTGATTGTTGAGGGTGTTTGGGATTTTGTTGTTTGGATTTTTTTTTTTTTTTTTTTTGCAGTTTTTCTTTGGGGGAGACTACATTTACTCAGTTGTTACTATGTACCAGCCACTGTACTTTATATTCATTGTCTCAGTGAATCCCCTATGGGAAAGAATTTTTCCATTTATTCAGTCATTCCATAAATATTTATTGAGTGCCAACCAGGAGCTAGGCACTGAGAATAAATGGGGAAGGAGATAGATATGGTTGTCCCTAACCTCACGGTGCTTACAGCGCAGTGTGATACAGGGAGCTGGGGAAGACGTAATCAAATAATCTAATAAAAAAGTGTACCCATGCAAGCTGTAACCGGGTCTCTGGGAGAATAAACACAGTCCTGTGAGCATGCATAACAAGAGTCCAACCTGGGCTGAGGTTGAGGGTGACATATTAAGGAAAGCATCCCAGAATAAAGGTCTGAAGAATGAAGTAGGATAAGCCTAGGCTAATAGCATTGTTATTCCCTTTACTGTTGAGAAAACTAATTTCCCTACAATGCAGTCTATAACAAGCAGAGCTAGGGTTTAAACCAAGGTCTATCTAAATCCAAAGTCAATTCCCTAAACCACTGTACTATAGATGTATCTTTGTACTCAGAGGTAACTGAATTGTTCAGTATTTAAGATAATTATTCAGATATTCAAGCACTACCCTCATCAGAGGATACTTTAGTCTCAGTATTTTAAGTATATCTGGAATTGTTGGGTTTGAGTTGTCTTCTAAATTGCCCAGCCACATGAGTATGTAGATATATTTTCAATGTTTGAATAAATATATTTGGGGTGGAGTCAAATATGCCATTGCCTAAGTCATTTTAAAAAGACATAGAGCCAGTTGTGGTAGCTCACACCTTTAATCCCAGCACTTTGGGAGGATAAGGCAGGCTAATCGCTTGAGCCCAACAGTTTGAAACCAGTCTGGGCAACTCAGTAGGTCCCCGTCTCTATAAAAAATGCAAAAATTAGCCGGGTGTGGTGGCACGCACCTGTAGTCCCAGTTACTCAGGAGGCTGAGGTGGGAGGATCTCTTGAGCCCAGGAGGTCAAGGCTGCAGTGAGCTGTGATCACACCACTGCATTCCAGCTGGGGCAACACTGCGAGACCCTGTCTAAAAAATAAAAATAAAAAAAGACAGAAAATGTAAATAACTGAAAGTAGCATCAGCTAAACCAGCAATAAAAACAGCAATTAGAATCAATTTTCAAGCCACAATCAAAAAACTCCGCCCCACATCCCACACATCTCTTCAAAACAGATGATAAGTTAATTCCCAGCTCCTTTCAATTCATATTGTGTGTTCTCCAAAGGAATTCTACAGCACAGCATATAAGTATGGATAATTTCACCATGCTTATGAAGCATTTTGGAAGTTAAAAATTGCGGTTGGAGGAACAGGACAGTTGCTAGAAAAGATACGAAGGCAGAAGTTGTAAAATGGAAGAAAAAGATGAAAACTGGAAATCAAGATTCTCCCCGTTGCCAATCCCAGTTTTTTTAGACTCTGATTAAGCTAGTAGACATTTTCATTGAATTCTTTTTTTAAAAAAAAAAAAAAAAAAAAAAAAAAAAGCACAAAGTCAAAAACCTTGAGCATAAATGTTTATCAGTTAGGGGTCTTTGGTTGCAATCAACAGCAACTGACTAAAACAGAAAAGGAATTTATTAAAAGGAGCTCATTAGTGGGGAGACTGAAGAACTAGGATTTAAACAGACAGATGCTCCTGGTAGAAGAAATTGTTCATTATTATCACCTAAGTTCTCCCCCATCCCTCAACAACTGGATTGAATCATCAGCCATGGAATCTTGTAACTGTATCCTTCTATGCAAAATTCCATATCCTAGATCGCATGCCTGTCCCTGGTCTAGTCCAGAAGGTTGATAGGAACCATGGATTATTAATCCACTAAGACTGCATTTTAGGGAGAGATAATTCCCCCAAAAGGCAGATTGGGTTTCTTAGGAAGGGGGAATAGAAAACAGGCAGCTGAGAGTGAGAGGGAGGGGAAGGGGAAGGGGAAGGGGAAGGGGAAGGGGGAGAGGAAGGGGGAAGGGGAAGGGGAAGGAGAAGGGGGAAGGGGAAGGGAGAAGGGGGAAGCAGGAAGGGAAGATAAATGCCTCTACTTCTATCTGCTACTACATTTTACACTGAGTCTGATGAAATGGAGACTCAGAGGTTCAGCAGGTCTCCTGCAGAACCAGAATTCAACCCCAGGTAAATACAGAGCACTTCCCACTACTCCGCACTGACACTCATACGATATGCTCCTAGAAAACCGTTGCGCTCTCTCTTTCTCTAAAACTCAAATGTAAATACAGGACATCTGTTTTATTATATATGCCAAGTGGCAGAAACACAGCAGTAGGCAAGGTATTCATAGGCTTCCCCATAGAACTCACAGTGTGACATTTTGGCCAGGAAGCCTCTTATAGGAAACACACAAGACCTCTCCAACATATGGATGGCATGAGGAGGTTATAAGGTGGAGCCTTCCCTCTGCTATGTCCACGTCATCCATGACCCTCTCTCTCCCAAACTAACCATCTCAGTCAAACTAAGCTCATATAGAAATCATTCCACATTGTACCCATAATCATTCTGTCTTCCCTTTCCCACCAGCTTGTGTCATGAATTCCACCTGTCCTCTGCATTGCACAGCATGACCTCTTATATATCCGGAACACAGAAGCACCTCATATGAGTAAGGAAAGCAAGCACTTTGTATTCCATAAGGAATGGGGGGCATGGTGAATTGGTCTTGCCTTTCAGGAAGGCAGTTTGCAACCTTGTATCAAGAATGTTAATGTTCACATCCTCTTGCCCCACCATTCTAATTCCAAACATCTGTCCTAAGGAAACAATGAATTATGTCAATGCTCAAAGCAGCATTATTTATCAAACTACAAATCAGCAACACCCTAAATGTAGAAGTATGTAAGGAAATCATAACTGTCGCTAACATGGAGACTTACAGGTATTGTGCTGATCCTATTTGTGATGACCAGAAAAATGCGTCTCATAGACTTCCAGCTACAGAGAGTATAATTGACCAAAATCCCAAGAGCTTCCTGAAAATCTATTATTGCATTTGCACAGAGGCCATGCTTCCCATGGACTGCATCCAACTAACGTCTGAGAACAGCAGGAATACCAAGACAAGCCCCTTTCCTGGGAAGTGAGAGACTCCTCTAACAGCCAAGTTTGGTTCAAGAACTCCCTGGTGGTCTTGTGAACCTTCCTTACACAGCATGACAGTCTAGGACACTTCCACCCAACATTTGTCCCTCTCTCCTTCACTTGGGGGTCAGACTTGCACTGTGGTCTGATGTCTCCTCCAACCTTCTCTAGCTCCCTCACCATTTTCTTTCAAAGGCATTTTCCATAATGAAATCCATGCATATTTGACCTTGTCTTGCTGTCTGCTTCTCAGAGGACTGGGACTAATACAAGCGAGGCCAGCAGTGGTGCAAGAAAACAAGCGGTAACATGGGAATTTAAGACTGGCTCACCCACTGCCCAGCAGGTGAAGATGGTGTCCTGACTGGTAGATGGAACATGGTTAGTCCTTGACCAAAGGTGGTGGCTCGGTTGCTAAAAATTTTGCTGGGACATAGAAGAATATCCCAGTGGGAGGAAATGCTGTATCAAATGTAGTGATATAAGCAATTGGAAAATATGGAGCCAACCATGCTTCAAAGTCAGGAGAGTTGGCTGGTTACTACCTAGTGGTATTGATGCCCTGCAGAAAAATACTGACAGACTGAAGGCTATTATCAAACAATTAATGGTAAAGCGAGGCCCAGAGAGCCTCTGTGGTAGCTAGCAAAAAAAAAAAAAAAAGAAAGAAAGAAAGAAAAAGAAAAAAAAACAAACTGTGTTCTCTAATGGAAGGGCAGAGTGAGCTGAAAGGCAGACTGATGACCTGATTGTTATAGTTGCAGCACTTCAGAGATGTTTGAGTGCTCAACCAAGGTAGGCCTGTTATTTAAAGGTCAGGGTTCTAGTGGGAAAAACTTGAGATTTTAAAATATGAGACAGAGACAGCTGGATGGATGCTGCTGAGAATACAGATTCTGCAACACTGCCCTGCCTGCTCTGCCTCCATACTCTCTGGGTTTGTACAGGTAGCTGGCTCTTCCCTAGTAGGAGCTCCACTGTGCTGAAAGATGCTTTAGAAGCCTCTACCTGGCAAGGCAACAGCTAACCCCTTCAAAAGCCTCCCTTAACTTCTCTCCTGGATACCAGGCCGATAACCATGGCTAAATCCCAGGAAAACCCAGCTGGAGACATGCTGGCCTGGTAAAAGAGAAAAGAGTCTATACATCTAAAGAATGTAAATAGTTATGTAGCATGTGCAGGACCATGTTGTTTCCCCAAGATCGCCCCCAGTCAATGTCCAAGCACGGCAGGGATCCCAAGACAGACTGGTTTCCTAGAAGACATTTAATTACTGTGATTAATAAGAATATAGAGATTGAGATGCAGATAGGGATAGAGATGGAGATGGAGAGACATAATGTAAATTCAACCTTCTGTATAATTCACATTTACATGCACACATACGAAAAAGTACAGGAATCCAAAAGAAATTACTGAAAATCCACAAAAGACATTTTTAAGAATGTTTGTTTTTTATTCATAATAGCTAAAAACTGAAAACAACTCAACAGTCATCAATGGATAAGTAATAGTATAAAAGATAATGAAATACTATACATCAATGAAAAAGACTATAGCTATATGAAGCAAGCTAGGTGAATCTTGCAAATATAATATTGAGTGAGAGAAGCCAGACCTACAGAGGATATTCTGTAGGAGTCCATTTATATTAAGTTTAAAAATCATCAAATCTATTGTGAGAAGAACCAGAATAATAGTACCTTGTACTACGAGGGAGGCAGAGAGGTGAGTACTGACTAGAAAACAGCATGAAGGAAGGAAATTTACTGGAAATGTTCGTTATCTTCATCTAGGTGGTGGTTACATGGAGATATAGATAGAAATTCATTTTAAGTTGGATACTTAAATTTTGTGTACTTTATCACATTATTATACTTCAGAAGTTTAAAACGAAATAAAAAGAAGAAAATACACCAAAATGTTAACTGGCTATCTCTTGTTGATGGAATTAAGGAGAACTTAAAATTTCTTCATTGCAATTTTCTGCATTTTCCTAATTTTCTGCAAAGAGGATATTTGTCAGAAAGCAGAAACAATAAAAGTTACTCTTTAGAAGGGACATACATCATGAAGTGATGTGCAAACTTCACTTGCTGCCAGCTGCCAGGTACTTTGCATGCAAAGCCAGTATCATAAAACGTCTGGGCCACAGAAATATTATTCTTTGTCCTGGTTTTGACCACTTCATCACAATCCTAAAGCAATAACAGCATTGACAATATCATTGAGTAACTCTCCCTACAGTAATATTCTCTAGAAATTAAAACTCGAGTCTGTAATTTGGAATCCAAAAGCCACGGTACTTTAAGTATTTAGCCCTACTCTGTATTGTTTCTTGAAAATTCCCAACAATGTCTCAGATCAAACCACAATTATAGACCTTTAAACGTAAAGCCATTATTATGTCTGGGCAAATGCCTTGATTCCACTTGCATTTCAATAGTTGTTTTCTGATATTGAAGTTACTAATGCTTTTGTCGATCCTTAATGACTATTCTTAGCAAACAAATTTTGTGCCTTACAATTAGTGATTTTCTTCATAATTATAGCTTTTTACAATTTTCACATGAGATGACAAAAAATTCATGTTTTGCCCAAGAACCAGCTTATTAGTTAATGAAAATGTGTCTAATAGCAGCCTTTTAGATACCCTGTCAGAATCAAAAGCAGCATTCAGAGAAGAGAGAGGTTGCTTTCATATTAACATTCAAAATTAATTTCTGGGTAGGGGTTGGAAATGAGACGTAGGAGGCATAATTTCTTCCAAAAAGATTAAAATATATATTCTTTCTGAAGTCCATGGAACTTGTTAAATCAATCAATCTCTCTTTTTCTCTCTCTCTCTCTCTCTCTCTCTCTCTCTGTTTTTCCTTGTTGTGTGTCCTTTCCTTTGCCTCTGCTCTGTACCCATCCCCTGGGATTTAAACTGAAGAATAAGAAAGGACTAATCTCTGGAGTTAGTATCTCGTGATTTCAATATTTCTCTAAAATCAACCCTCAGGGTACCTAACTCTTCAGGTAGAGTTCGACTATTTAAATTCACTTCTACTCTCCACCACTCCTCCAAACTGTCCTCCCAAGTGTATTTGGTAAGCTACTTTCACTGGCAAGGACACGCTGACCTAAGACAACTCTCCTACCTGTTCTTTGATTTTTGAACCATAAATACGGCATGCTGGGAACATAATCTAATATCATCCCGCAAACAAGCATCCCTATTTTCTCTGGCAGATGCAGTCTGGTTCACTTGGCTGGGTTTGCTAATAATATGAAAGGAAAGTGAACTTCATCAAAAAGTAGTAACTCATTTTTCTCATCCAGTAAAACCCATAAAAGATTTAGGCACAGCCCAAACAATTTACATCTTAAATATTCATGCCCTAGTCCCAGCCCCCAAAATGACATTTAAATTGTGTCTGGGGAATTTGTTGTGAGCTAACTGCCATGGCCCACTTTGGAGGGCTTCAAAGACTAGGGGAGAGAGAGAGACAGAGGAATATTCAGACCTGTTTTCCATTTCAGAGATTTACGAGGTAGCAAATGAAATTCGCTCCTGCTCTCAGATGCTCCCCTGGGAAAGGATACATTCTCTGAATCTAGTAAATAAGGAGCTCAATATCAGCAAAGACTATGGTGGATGAAATTAATGTTCAAGTGATCCTGGAGTTTCTCAGACAGGTTCTTTTGCGGCCAAGTTTCTCAATCTCAGTACTATTGGCATTTGGGGCTGCATAATTCTTTATTGTAGGGACTATTCTGTGCACTGTAGGATGTTTAGCAGCATCACTGACCTCTACAAACTAGATGCCA
Source organism: Homo sapiens (assembly GCF_000001405.40). NCBI lineage: Eukaryota > Metazoa > Chordata > Mammalia > Primates > Hominidae > Homo > Homo sapiens. Next base: position 2,462,057 of record NT_187607.1, on the reverse strand, counting down.
GGAGTACCTTCTCCCTAGTTGCGACAACCAAAAATGTCTCCAGAAATTGCCACATGCCCCCTTGGTGGGGAGGGACAGGGATGAGGATCTCCTTTGGTTGAGAACTAGTATTTCAAAGGCAAATAAGTCTTATCCCTGCTTCATCCTAAACTTTAATGAGTTTATCTGTTTTTTTTTTTGCCTTTGGACTTATTGACAAATAACATGCACACAGAAAAGTGCATGAATTATAAGTACTCAGCTCAAGGAATTGTAATCTGGATATTCTTATACTACCAGAACCCAACTCAAGAAACAGAACATCGCCAGCTCTCCAGACACTCACTGTGAACCTCCTTCCCTCCTTCCACCTATGGGCACAGGTGAGAGGTTGGAGTGGGTGAGTACAGATGCCAGAATGTGGGGAGATGAGATTATGGGAGTCAGTGTGAATTCCCTTCTGGTTCCTTTATTTCTCTGAAAGAGCAAAGAAACATGGTCATCAGCTGAGAGTAAGAATGGGAAGGAGATGGGGTTTGAGAAGAAAAGAGACATGTAAAATAGGTGTTGAAGAAAGTGAGAGATGCTATAGAAAACATTATGGAGATTCCTTCTCCCTCAAAAAATTTGAGCTACCATACAATCCAGTAATCCCACTATTGAGTATTTATCCAAAAGAATTGAAATCAGGATCTCAAAGAGATATTAACACTCCAATGTATACTGCAGCCCTACTCGCAATAGCCAAGATGTGGAGACAACCTAAATGTCCCCTGATGTATGAATGGATAAAGAAAATGTGGTATATACATACACTTAAAAACAAATGGCCAGGTGCAGTGGCTCAAGCTTGTAATCCCCGCACTTTGGGAGGCCGAGGTGGATGGATCACAAGGTCAGGAGATCGAGACCATCCTGGCTAGCACAGTGAAACCCCATCTCTACTAAAAATATAAAAAATTAACTTTGGGAGGCCGAGGCGGGCGGATCACGAGGTCAGGAGATCGAGACCATCCTGGCTAACACGGTGAAACCCCGTCTCTACTAAAAATACAAAAAATTAGCCGGGCGTGGTAGCTGGCGCCTGTAGTCCCAGCTACTCGGGAGGCTGAGGCAGGAGAATGGCGTGAACCCGGGAGGCGGAGCTTGCAGTGAGCCGAGATCGCGCCACTGCACTCCAGCCTGGGCGACAGAGCGAGACTCCGTCTCAAAAAAAAAAAATTAGCTGGGCATAGTGGTGGGCACCTGTAGTCCCAGCTACTCAGGAGGCTGAGGCAGGAGAATGGCGTGAACCCGGGAGGCGGAGGTTGCAGTGAGCTGAGATCGCGCCACTGCACTCCAGCCTGGGCGACAGAGTGAGACTCCATCTCGAAAAATAAATAAATAAATAAAAACAAGGAAATTCTGCAATATCCAATATGGATGAATCATAAGGATATTTTGCTTAGTGAAATAAGCCAGTCACAAAAAGACAAATATTGCATGAGTGTAGGTGCAGATATATCATATTGTTTATGGCAGGAAATTAGAGTAGTCAAATGCATAGAGACATTAAGTAGAATGGTAGTTGCCAGGGGCTGGAGGAAGGGGGAAAGAGGAAGCTGCTAACCAATAAAGTCTCAATCATGCAGGACAAATACGTTCTAGAGATCTGCTGAACTTTGTGCCAATCATTAACAATGCTGTATTGTACACCTAGACAGTTCCTAAGAGGGTAGATCTTGGGTTAAACATTCTCACCACAATAAAATAAATTTTTAAAGAAACGAAAAAGCAAGATGCAGAATGAATGGGCTAGGAAAGTGCAGTGTGATCTCCTGGCAGTGTTAACGGGTCATTCGAGGTTCCTGGCAAGGTCGGAGTAGTTTTGTATGTTTCTCCAGCCGTGTTCAGTTTCTCAAGGGCAGGTACAGAGTAGGCAGAGAGATGAATTTAACCGGGATTGTGACCATGCCAAGCAAACAACGCAAGAGAGGGACACAGGAATCACGAGTGTGGACAAGGGGATGGTGATAGTAATTGGCAATGGCTTAGAGTCGGGAAAGGTGGTGAGAGAAGACATCAAGGGGGTGGATACAGGAGATCAATGGTTTAGAACTCCACATAAATAATCACAGGTGGAAAGAAGAGCATAAATCTTTAACTCTTGGTTCCACCACTTCCAAGCTGCGGGGCTTTGGGAAAGCTACTAAACCTCCCTAATCCCTCACTTATTAAAGCACCATCATAAAAGAACCTGCCTCCTAGAGTGATCTGGTAAGGACCAAATGAGATCACATTGTTCAGATGCTTAGAACAGTAGTTCTCCAAGCATGGTGCCTGGACCACCAGCATCAGCATCACCCCAAAATGTGTTAGAAAGACACATCCTCAGGCTCTTCCCCAGACACATTCTAAATCAGAAACTGTGGGGGTCTTATTAATTATCATTTTCATTATAATCATAATTATTGTGCAATAGCTCTCTAGTACAACTGTTGATTACAATAATAAATATTTATTATACTTAATAAGTTTTCAGGCAATAAACTAAGCATTTTGCATGCATTATTTCAGCTAATCCTATCAATAATCTCTGAGGCAGATTTTGCTATTATTCCCAATATACAGATGATTAAACTGAGGTTCTATAAATTGAGCACTTTGCTGAAGGTCACACAAGCAGTAAGTGGCAAGATTAGGATTCAAATTCAAGGTTTGCAGCAGCCCTGAAAATTAACATTTCTCTTTCAAACTTGAGTGTTAGTCTTTTCAATCACGGGAAAAAAGTAAACTGTTAACAATAACAAGAATGTCATTGAAAATTTTTTGAAAAAAATTTAAATGGCATTGAGCTTGATAACCAAGTACAGTGGCATTTAGACAGCCCTATTATCTATTATAATAATATTAAGGCCTCCAATAAATCACCCAAGAACTTAATTACAAGGTAACTTTCACAGTATCTTACCTGGATACCAAAATCATACAATTTACAATTTTTTAAATAAAGTAACCAATCAAATTTAATATATATGAAAAGCCACTCAACTTCTGCAACAAATTAAAGCAATAAAGTTCAAAGCAACACATATCATTTTTCACTTAACAAAGATAAAATGCCAAAAGAGCAGGGGTGGAGTTGTAGAAAACATTTCATTGGTTAGCAATTAGGCAACATCTATCAAAATCCCTTGTCATGGTAATTTCAGTTCAAGACCAAAATTACAGAATTCTAGAACCTAAAGGGACTTCATTATCAATGTACAGATTAATTCTATCATTTTCTAAATGACAAAAACAATGAGGCACAAGAAGCTACCCAAGATCACACAACCAAACATTGATAAATACCTTTTATTTTTTCTCTAGATTTTCCCTATAATATATGGTTCAGGAGCTCTAGTCCTGCATTTAAAATATCCTATCTTCAGGAAGAGTCCAATATTCTTAATTCCTAAATTTTTATGTAACATGTTTGCCAACTCTTCATTATCCCAGGACTATTGAAGGAAATACTGATTCACCAATTGGGTTGACCAAGAGTATAATGTCAGAATTGAACAAGTTACCTTTAAAACCCATGACTTGTGCTCATTACTTTTAGGTAAAAAGTCATTTTCATATATAACAGGCTAAACTTACATGGTAAAATGTACATGGTACTTTGTTGTTCTCTAAAATATAAGCTTCTGAGATACAGTAATCCTATCTTTGTCTCTTCCTTCAGCACCTCGGACAGTGCTCACCACCTAGTAAGGGCTCAATGAATTCAATCATTAACTGAAAAGAAATAAACTAGCCACCCATAATACCTATTGTTTCAAGAAGAGTTAGGAATTTGAAATATTTTTTAAAAATTTATGAGTTACTCCATACATCAAAAGTATTCACGAAAGACTGGGCATGGTGGCTCACACCTGTAATCTCAGCACTTTGGGAGGCCAAGGTGGGCAGATCACTTGAGGCCAGGAGTTCGAGACCAGCCTGGCCAACACAGTAAAACCCAGTCTGTACTAAAAATACAAAAAAAAAAAAAAAAATAGCTGGCCATGGTGGTGCATGCCTGTAGTCCCAGATGCTCAGCAGACTGAGGCACAAGAATCCCTTGAGCCCAGGAGGCAGAGGTTGTAGTGAGTGGAGACAGCACCACCACACTCCAGCCTGAGTGACAGAAAGAGACTCTGTGTCAAAAAAATTAAAAGAAAAAAATAAAAATTTTAAAAGTATTCATGAAAAATAGGATGTAAGACAACACAGTTCACCTAAAGTGAATGTCAAGTGGCTCTAATCCCTGGGCTCTGGAAATTCACAACCTGGCTCACAGCATCTATTCCCTGAGCCACTCACTCTTTCCACATATACCAGCCAGCTTTGCCTCCCTGTGGGGATGTCTTTGGGCTCAGTCCAGCTGCCCACCAAATCCCATGGCTCAAATTGAGGAGCCTATATATTTTGTCCTTTAGTAAGAAAGTCAACTTTTACCAAGGAAAGTTCATTCTACTCATGTGGGAAGTACCACTGGAAATCCACTTTGTTGTCTCCTAGGTATTAGGAGGAAGAAAATGGAAATAGATGTCTTTTTGATATTTTAGGGGATGGCCATACCCCGCAGTCAGATTTTCCTTCTTAAGACAGGAAAGAACCAAGTCTCTGTTTCTAAGAGATCATAAGAACATAAATGAGCATAGCTCAATGCACTTAGTAAAGGCACAACCATTATCCCTTTGTTTCCAATCTGCTAGACCTCTCTCTTTATGATGCCCCTAGCACCAAAAATCTACTTCAGTCACATGCAAGCCATATAAGCACCATCTAAGAGAAGTTAAGGGCAGTCTAATGGAAACTCCCTTGAGCTGAGTCCCAGATATGCCTCTTACTAGCTGTGTGACCTTTAGCATATCACTTCACTTCTGTAAGCCTTCACTTCCTCTGTGGCAAAACAAAGATAATATGAGTACCCACCTTATAGGACTACGGTAAGCCCTACGTGAGATGACATGTGCAAATGCTCAATAAATTGCCATTCTTATTGACACTACTCTAGTCAGTCAACTATGAACATTGTCCTCACTGCTCTTGTTCAACCCCATGCTGATGTATTTGATCACATTTTCCTCTTTTTCCTTGAGGGCCTTCTTCTCCATAGCAACACACTGTTGGTAAAGGCACAACCATCACCCCTTTATTTCTAATCCGCTGGTCCTATCTCCTTATGATGCTTCCAGCACCAAAAAACTATTTCAGTCACATGCAATCTATCCAAGCACCATCTAAGAGAAGTTAAGGGCAGTCTAGTAGAAATTCCCTTGAGTTCAGTCCATGGCACATCACTAACTCCATGGTTTCAAGCTTTACAGAATCCTTCTCTAACCACCTCAATGAATAATAAGAATGTCAGCTCATATTTACTGAGGGCTTACTATGTACATGGCACTTGCTAAACATGTGCTGTCTTAAATCCTCACACACCCCTGCAATGTACCTTCCATTGTGAACTCCATTTTATAGATGTAAACACTGATCCTCAGACGGTGAAGTGGTTTTCCCAAGATCACACCAGTAATAAGTAATGGAGCTACGATTCATACCCAGGCAGTCTGCCTCCAGAGCCTTATATCCAATCCAGTCCTCTACAACCTTCTCTCTTCTTTCAGATATCTATATATAACACACCTGAGCCTCACTGTTTTCTAAGTTTCCATACAGGCCAATATTCAATCTTGAACTGAACTACTTGGTCCTTGAATGCAGTCATCTTTCCTGTCCTGGGGTCTAGCCTAGCACTAGTCTGATCCCACATACCTAGTAAGTCCTTCTTAAACAACTCAAACTACTTCATCCTGTCTAGCCAGCAGCCACAAGTTAAGCAAACTACAATCATTGAAGACGACCTCATTTCTCACCACTCTCCCGTACTCGCTCTCTCTCTCTAGTCCCACCACACTTGGCCTTGTTGCTCTTCCTAAAACATACTGGGAATTCTCCACTTGCTGAGTTTGCTTCCCGTAATGTTCTTCCCACAGATATCTACATGGTTCACTCTCTTGCCTCTTCAAGTCTTTGCTCAAAATTCTTCTGTTGCAGAAAGCCTTCTCTGACCTCCCTGTTTTAAATAGAAACCTCCTCCATTTCTTCTCTGCTTTTGCTATCTATTTCCTTTGCTTAATTTACTTCATTAAACTTATCACCTTCCAATATACTATATACGTTCCTCTTTTTGTTGTTTCTTAAGTCTATTTCTCCCCACTAGACTATAAACTAGTAAAAAGGCCAGGTTTGGGACTTTTATTCCCGTACTTTTTCTACAGACCATATTAAACACCTATTCCTTGTTCCTCATGGCAGGGATTTTTGTCTGTTTTGTTCAGATATCTCCCCAGCACCCAGAATATGACCTGCAATATAGTAGATATTCAATACATATGTGTCAAGGATCTCTGTCTCTTGATTGACTTTGCCTCTTTCCACAGCAGAAATTCTGCAAAGAAAGACATGATTTTTCTTTTGCTTTCTGGGTCCTTCAAGTAGCCCAAAGAAATAGCCCTTTCCTTCCACCAACCCAGAAGGTGTCATTTCATCTTGCCCAAAGCCTGGGCAAAATTCAGGCTTTCCACTGCTTACATAGGCCAAGAATAATATCTAACAGGGAGGCGGAGGCCAAGTGGTCTTCACCAAGGAAGATAGAGATCAGTGGGAAAAAAAAGAGCCAGGTTCAACCTGAATTACATAATTGGCTCTTCCAAGGTAGGAGCCCATTTCTCCAAAAGAAAAAGTCTGCAAAATGGCAGGACTATGGTCTGAGAAATATTATCCCAACAGGAGCAAGTCTCCATCAGCGATTACCTCTCCCAGCTTTACCAGCTGTTGAACAGGGACAAAAGACCAAAGCCTGCAGACCACACCTGACTGTAGCTTGCACTTGGGCTTTCTAAGTTTAAAGCAGTGTGCTGTATTTTTTTCAGACAACCATAAAAGTGCCTTTCATTTGCAGCATGGTGCCTATTTCACCTCTGAGTTGTCTAAAGCTTTAGAAAACTCTCCCTGCCATCAATGTCCCCAAGGTTCATGAAGGGTGAATATAGTCTAACTCAAAAGGACATCTTTATCCTCATGAGAAAAGAGACTCTGATACCCAGTGACCTGCTGTAATTGATGACTCCAGAGACTCCCCTTCACTCTCCACCCTGGCAGAATCAGGGCTTGGCATTTAACAGGGTATAGAAAAAAAGGAAAACTGGAATGGGAGCCCCAGCCCTGGTTCTTTTACTACCTCATCATTAGACCTTCGGCAAATCAACTCCTGAGCACTTATTATTGTGTAAGGAGAAAGAAATAGTGTCAGATAAAGACAGAACCAGAAGTCAAGCCCTGCACTACAAGCCTGTGATCTTAACCTCTACATTACATTGCTTCCCCAATTCATCTTTATAGCCCATTTCTCCCTTTCCCCTCTAAAATGTTAGTTTTTCTTCTCTCAGAAACTTTTCTTTCCAAGTTACATGAATGATTTTGGCAAAACAGCACATTTTCTTCTTTCATATCATCTGAAATACTCACAGTTTGCTACTGTGCATTATGCTTCTGATTAAAAAAAAAGACAAGTGTAAACATTATGTCTTCCAGGACTCAATTTATACAAATTACCTAGTAGATGAAGGCAATGCCCAAGAAGCCATTGTGTCTGGAGAAGCGTAAGACGATGTAAACATAAGAAAATAGCCCAAGCACAGCTCAAAAAGCTCTAAAAACTGGGATGTAGCGACAAGGGGGTGGGTGGTGCACACTGTGAAACATTCTCCTCTTGTACAATGTCACTATTTTCTGGTTTAATTAGAATCAGATAGTGTGCAATATAGTCACCTGATAACAAAATTCCGTCAAACATGGAAGAGTAATATTCAAGTGACTGAAGCATGAACATAATTCACCTCAAGCAAGGGAGAGAAATTGTATTAGCAAATGCCGCCAGATCCACTAATTAATTTGCTATATTACGCATGACAGGAAACAGTGTAGAACAGAAAAAAGCTTGATTTTTCTGAGTTAGGGAGGTAGTGATGGACGTGCTTCCCCTTTATTTCTGCAATAGGTTCATTATTTGATCAAGGATTGGCTAAAAGGGATTCCACAGGGTAGAATGAAAGCACAGCAATGAGCTGGTGGAGTCGGTGTACTTATCTAGTTAGCAGATGTCAGAATCACTCTGCTTCACCACTTGCTATCTTCATTTAGAGAGCTTCTTTCTCCACTGAAGCGATCGTCTGTACCCTGCTTTTCTACAAACCCAAGAAATGGGCAAATTAGCAGAAATGTCCCTTGGCCAATTCATCAGTACAAATTGATTGAGTCTTCAACTCGATTATGTTTCCTTGTCTCCCAGTAATTACTGGATTTCTAATAAAGGCAAATAATACCAGTTTTTTTAATTTTAATTAGTTAACTTTTCATTGACAAATAAAACTGTATACATTTATGATGTACAAGATGATGTTCTGAAATATGTACACACTGGAATGGCTAAATTGAGCTAATTATCATATGCATTACCTCACATACTTATTATTTTCTGTAGTGAGAACACTTAAAATCTAATCTCTTAGCAATTTTTAAGAATAGAATATATTGTTATTAACTACAGTCACCATATTGTATAATATATCTCTTTAACTCATTCCTCTTGAGACTTTGTTTCCTTTGGCCAACATCTCCCCAACAGTCATCCCCGTGTAACTACCATTCTACTTTCTGCTTCTATAAATTCTACTTTTTAAGATTCCATATATAAGTAAGATCATGTTTTATTTGACTTTCTGTGCCTGGCTTCTATCACTTAACATAATGTCCTCCAGATTCACCTATGTTGTTCCAAATGGCAGCATTTTCTTCTTTAAGGTTGAGTAGTATTCCATTGTGTATACATAACCACATTTCCTTTATCTATTTATCTGTTAATGGATACTTAGGTTGATTCTGTATCTTGGCTGTTGTGAATAATGCTGCAATGAACATGAGAGTGCAGATATCTCTTCAACATACTGATTTCATTTCCTTTGGGTATATACCCAGTAGGGAGATTGCTAGATCATATGGTAGTTCCATTTTTAATTTTTCTGTGGAAACTCCATTCTGGTTTCTATAATGGCTGTACTAATTTATATTCCCACCAACAGCATACAAGGGTCTCAATGTCTCCACATCCTCACTAGCATGTGTTATCTTTCATCTTTTTAAAAATAGCCACTTTAAATAGATAATATCCAACAGGTAACAGGTTTGTGTTATCTTACCTTGAAGGCACAAACCCCTCACGAGGTTGAAAATGTAATTACATCCTTCAACTTACATATTGATAACAATTTGGATTAAGATCATTAACGTATGCCTTCAAATTATGTATCTATAGCCTGTCCACATAGTGAATAAGATGTTAAACTTCAAATTCAGATGGACCTGGGCTCAAATCTTAGCTCTGCCACTGCATAATCTTGGTCAGATCACTTAGTCTCTCTGAGCTTCAATTTTCTCATCTGTACACTGGTGGTATAATGATTGTATCTACCATGTTAATGAGACAGTACTCATCAAGGGATTTGTTGAATAACTGGCCATTTTGTCAGTCTGCCACATTGCTGTTTCTGCTGCTTGAGATCTAGGTGGCAGTGCCATAGGCTGGGCATAGCTGACCTCTACTAGAGACCCCACTGGCACTGGCACTCTTCAGAATGGAATAACCTCTTCCCCTCTGTTTGCCACAGCTCAGCAGAGACCATTTGGAGAATCACAGAAGATTCAGATGTAACAAAAAGAAAGCACATCAATAATAATTCCCAACTAATAAGATGTTGTATTTTAACCCAACATTAATAATGATAATAAATGTAAATGGCCTAAATACACATTAAAAGACAGAGATTGACAGATTGAATTTTAAAAAGCAAGACCCAACTATAGGCTGCCTACACGGAACCTACTTTAAATATAAAGATATAAATACATTAAAAGTAAAAGAATGAAACTACAAATACCATGGAAATGCTATCCAAAACCATGTATTTATTTAAAATAATAGTTTTAAAACACAACAAAATGAAATCTGGAGTGGTTATATTAGTATCAAAGTAGACATCAGAACAAGAAATATTACCAAAGGGACTTTATATAATGATAAAGGAATCAATTCACCAAAAAGACATAACCATTGAAAATACATATGTACTTAATACAAGAGCTTCAAGACACATGAGGCAAAAAAGTTATGGAACTAAAAAAATAGACATTTGCACTTGGAGACTTCACAGTTTGTCTTTTAGTAATTGACAGAAGAAATAGAAAATCAGCAAGGATATACAACACTATGAACCAACTTTATCTAATTGACATTTACAGAATGTTCCACTCAACAACAACAGAATACACATTCTATTCAAGTTCACATGAACCATTCAGCAAGATATTCTGGGCCATAAAACAACTTTAACAAATTTAAAATACTGAAATAATACAAAGTATATTCTGCAACCATGTGAGATTAAATTACAAACCAATAATATAAACATATCTAGAAAATATCAAAATACTTGCAAATTAAGTAACATAGTTCTAAACAACCCGTGGATTAAATAGGGAGGTACAATGAAAATTAGGAAATATTTTGAATTTAATAAAAAAGAAATTTTGACATATCAAGGTTTGTGGAACACAGATAAACAATGTTTACAGGGAACTCTGTATCATTAAATACTTATGTCTGAAAATAAGAAAGGTCTCAAATCGTAGCCTAAGCCTCCACCTTAAAAAACTAGAAAAAAAAAGTAAAAGAAATAAAATCCAAGTCAGGCGAAAGAAAGTAAATAATAAAGATAAGAGTAGAACAATAAAGTTGAAAAGAGAAAAACACTTGAGAAAAAAAATGGTGCATTAAAAGATCAATTTTCCAGCTTCATCCATGTCCCTGCAAAGGACATGAACTCATCCTTTTTTACAGCTACATAGTATTCCATGGTGTATATGTGCCACATTTTCTTTATCTAGTTTATCATTGATGGGCATTTGGGTTGGTTCCAAGTCTTTGCTATTGTGAATTGTGCTGCAATAAACATATGTGTGCATGTGTCTTTACAGAATGATTTATAATCCTTTGGGTATATACCCAGTAATGGAAACCATCATTGTCAGTAAACTAACACAGGAACAGAAAACCAAACACTGCATGTTCTCACTTGTAAGTGGGAGTTGAACAAGGGGAACACATGGACACAGGGAGGGGAACATCACACAATGGGGCCTGTCAGGGGTTGGGGGGCTGGGGGAGGGATAGCATTAGGAGAAATACCTAATGTAGATGATGGGTTGATGGGTGCAGCAAACCACCATGGCATGTGTATACCTTTGTAACAAACCTGCACATTCTGCACTTGTATCCCAGAACTTAAAGTATAATTTAAAAAATCAATAATTTTAATAAGCCGTTAGCCAGACTGATTAATGAGAGGAAACAGATTATCAAAAGCAAGAATTTAAGAGATGACACCACTATAGATAATGCAGACATTAAGATAGAACAAGAGAATATTATGAACGACTTTATGCCAATAAATTCAACCACTTAGACAAATCACTTGAAAAACATAAGCTTCCAAAGCACACTCAAGAAGAAATAGAAAATCAATACACAAAAATCAATTGTATTCTATATATCAGTAATGAACAATCTGAAAATGAAATTAAGAAGACAATTCTGTTCACAACAGCATCAAAAGGAATAAAATAGGAATAAATTTAACAAAAGAAGTGCAAGACTTGTACACTGAAAACTACAAAAATTACTGACAAAAATGTAAAAGGACCTAAATAAATTGATAGATATCCCATGTTCATGGATTGAAAGACTCAATATTATTTTTAGCAATTCTTCTCAAGTTGATCTATAGATTCAAGACCACTCCTATAAAAATCTCAGCAGGCTTTTTCCAGAAAGCTAATACTAAAATGTATGTAAAAAAGCAAAGAATCCAGAAACAGACAAAACGGCTTTGAAAAAAAGAAAGCTGGAGGACCTATATTTCTAATTTTGAATTTACATTTACCATAGCATCAAAAGACATGAAACGTTTAGAAAAAAATATGTGCAAGATCTGTGTGGTGAAAACTACAAAGACTGATAAAAGAAATTAAAGATGACCTAAATAGAAACCTATTATGTGTTCATGGACTGAAATATTCAATATTGTTAAGTTGCCAATTCTCCCTAATTCAATGCAATTCCATCAAACCCTCAGTAAGTTTTTTTTTGTAGAAACCAACAATCTGATTCTAAATTTTAAATAGAAAGGCAACAGAAATAGAATTCAAAAATAATTCTGAAAAAGATGAACAACGTTGAAGAACTCATACTACATGATTTCAGGATTGGCTATAAAGCTACCGTAATTAGGACTACATAGTATAGATGAAGAAAAAAACCCATAGATCAATGGAACAGAATAGAGTTCAGAAATAGACCCACACAAATATGGTCAGCTTATTTTTCACAAAGGTGCAAAAGCAATTCAATTATACTGAAATAATTATTGAACATCTTTCGTAGTCTGTTTTATGCTGCTGTAACAGAATACCTGAGACTGAGTAGTTTATTTAAAAACAAGGCTTATTTCTCACAGTTCTGGAAGCTGGGAAGTCTAAGATGAAGGGGCCTACATCTGGCAGTGCCTTCCTGCTGCATCATCCTGTGGCCGAAGGCAGAAGGACAAAAGAGCAGGCACAAAAAGGGGAGGAAAGGGGGCTAAACCCACCCTTTTATCAGGAACCCACTCCCACAATAACAAACCCACTCTCACAATGACAGCATTAGTCCATTCATGAGAGCAGAGCCCACATGACCTGATCACGTTTTTTGTTTTTTTTTTTTTCTTTAGAGACAGGGTCTCACTCTGTCACCCAGTTTGGAGTGTGGTGATGCAATTGCAGCTCCCTGCAGCCTAAAATTCCTGGGCTCAAGAGATCCTCTTACTTCAGCTTCCTGAATAGCTAAGACTGCAGGAGTATACCACCCTGCCTGGCAATTTTTGTTTTGTTTTGTTTTGCTTTGCTTTGTCGAGATGGGATCTTGAACTTCCAGCCTCAAGCTATTCACCACCTGGGCTTCTCAAAGCACTGGGATTACAGGTGTGAGCCACTACACCTAGCCTCTTAATGATCTTTTAAGTTCCCATCTCTCAACACTGTTGCATTAGGGATTTAGCTTTCAACACATGAACTCTGGGGGACACATTCAAATCACAGCAGCATCCATAAGCAAAATAATGAGCTTCAACCTATACATCACATAATCTGCAATAATTACATCAAAAGGGATCATAGACCCAAATATAGACCTAAAATTATAACATTTCTAGAAAAAAGTGGAGAAAATCTCTCTAATCTTGGATTAAGCAAAGGTGTTTTAGATACGACACATAATTCATGAATTTTTAAAAATTGATCAATTTGACTAGGCCAAAATGTAAAATTTCTGCTCTTCAAAAGACATTGTTAACAGAATGAAAAGGCAAGCCACAGACTGGGAAAAAATGTATTCAAAATACATACCTGATATCTGGACTTATATACAGAATATACAAAGGACACTTAAATTTCAATAATAAGAAACAAGCAACTCAAAAAATGGACACACAATTTGAACACACACATTACCGAAGAAAGCAGATGAATTGCAAATTAGCACCCAAAAAGAAGCTCAGCACCATTAGTTATTAATAAAACCAGAATGAAACACCACTACTCACCTATCAGAATGCCCTCCTTAAAAACTGACAATATCGTATGTTGTTAAGAAGGTAAAGTAACCATAACTCTCATGCATGTGAATGGGAATGCAAAATGTCACAGCCACTTTAACATTTTGGCAATTTCTTATAGAGCCTAGCATACACTTACCATATGATTCAGCATCCTCACTCCCAGACATTTACCAAATGACATTAAAATGTATGTTTACACAAAATTTTGTATGCAAGTCTTCTGGCAGCTTTTTCACAATCACTCCAAACTTGGAAACAACCTAAATATCCTTTAGCTGGTGAATGGATAAACAAACAGCAGCATACCTATACCATGGACTACTACTCAGTAATAAAAAGGAAGAAGCTATCCATATACACAACGATTTGTATGAATCTCAAATGCTAAGTGAAAGGAGGCCACATGCTGTATGATTCCTTTTAAATGACATTCTGCAAAAGGCAAACTAGAGTGGCAAAAAAACAGATCAATGGTTGCCATAGGCAGGGAGAAGACAAAGGGGTGGACTTCAAAGACACACAAGACAATTTAAGGGATAATTGAAATATTCTATATCTTAATTGTGGTAGTGAAACATGATTATTTGTCAAATTTTACAAAAAAAAAAAAAAAAGAAAGTTGAAGGCCTAACACTTCCTAATTCCAAAATTTACTACCTCTACTATAGCACCAAAAAGGATAAAATATTACATGTCTTTAAAAGGTCGAATTTTACTGTATGTGAATTATATCTCAAAAAATGGGTGAAGTTTACTGTACGAAACTATACTTCGGTATTTTTTTAATGGAATGTCCATTTCTCATCTTATAAAGTAGTATATAGAACCATGTCTGGCTCCTGTTAGATGCTTAATAAATATTTGTGGAAGGGATAGTCATTCTTATTAGAACTGGTTTTTCATCATTGTAGCGGTTGTTATTTTTGTCTTCTAGGCACCTCACTTTTCCTCCCTCTGGGAGAAGATCCCACCTCCATAGCCACAGTGGACAGATCACTAATGAGTATATGACTCAATTCTGGACAATCTTTCCTCAGGTCTTTTTCCCCAGCAGAACCTGGTGAGAAAATCCCTTTTTCCTTTCTGGACATAAAATGTGTGCCAGGTCAGTCTGATATAATGCCTCTTCTTCCTATGCAGAAAAGCTGGTCCCCAAGCCTGAAGCTAACATGAGAGAAGGAAGCAAAATGAGAAACAGCAAGAAACAATGGATGGTTTTGAGTCCATGGACCCAGTTGTCCTGAGACCAGATCTACCCTTACCCCTTCGTAGATTTGTTTACATGAATCAGTAAATAGCCCCCTCCTTTTTTTAAATAAAACTAGTTTCTAGTTTACTAGTTTCTGGTTTATCATCTAACAGGTGATAGTAACAATAGCAGTAATAATAATAGCCAACATTTATCAAATGTGTATTCTCTGCCAGGCACATTAATTACTTCATTTAATAACCCTCACCACAAACTTATGAATTAGGCATTTCTTTTACCAAAATTGTATAGGCGAGAAAATTGAGGAAACATAAAGAGGTCAAGTAATTTGTCAAAAGTCACACAGTACATTTATCTACACAGCACAGACACTGTCTTAATTCATGTTTTGTTGCTGTAACAGAATACCTGAAGCTGGGGAATTTATAAAGTAAAAAGGTTGTTTTGGCTCACAGCTCTGCAGGCTGGGAAGTTAAAGAAGCATGGTGCCGGCATCTGTTTCTGGTGAGGGCTTTTGCACCACAACACAATATGGCAGAAGGTGAAAAAGGAAACAGACACGTGCAAAGAGGGAAAACATGAGGGGTGTCCTTGTTTTATAACAATCCACACTCAAGGGAACTAATCCAGTCTCACCAAAGCCAGCCCCCACCCACTATCGCAGTACCAGCACCAAGCCATGCATGAAGGATCCACTCCATGACCCAAATGCTTTCCACTAGGCCCCACCTCCCAATACCTCTACACTGGGAATCAAATTTCAACATGAGTTTCAGGGGGAAAAAAAATACACCCAGGCTAGGTGCAGTGGCTTACCGCTGTAATCCCAGCACTTTAGGAGGCCAAGGAAGATGGATCACATGAGGTCAGGAGTTCGAGACTAGCCTGGCCAACATGGTGAAACTCTGTCTCTACTAAAATTACAAAAATTGTCCAGGTGTGTGTTGCATGCCTGTAATCCCAGCTACTCAGGAGGCTGAGGCTGGAGAATCACTTGAACCCGGCAGGCCGAAGTTGCAGTGAGCCGAGATCGCGCCATTGCACTCCAGCCTAGGTGACAGATGGAGACCCCGTCTCAAAAAACAAACAAACAACAACAACAAACACATCCAAACCATAGCATATACCATTTACTTCCTATACTTTAAGCTGTTTATGGGGAAAATGCTGAACTCTAAAACTGGTTTAAAGAAGTGGATCTCCAGTACGGCTGCACATCAGAATAACCCAGGACACTTTAAATAAAATCCCATTGGTCAGCCTGCACCCCAGGACCAAGAAAATCAAAATATCTCAGTTAGGACCCAAGCATCAGTACTTTTCTAATGCTCCCAAGTTGATTCCGATGTATGACCAGTGTTGACAACCCCTGATTCAAAGATGTAGATGTCATAACCACTGATGGCACCTCCTGCATCCTCCTATCCTCATCATAACAGAGAGTATAATAATGCACTTGGCCCTCCACAGACAATTTCCAGAATTAAATTGGCGTTTAAGTTAAAAACACTTTCAAGGCAGAAAAATAAGGCTTTTGTGCAGGCGTTTCTTAGGAGAAAAAAAAGGAAGGTTTCCCATGTTGATTTTTATAGTGTTATTTGGGCCACAAAGGGAGTTAGTCAGAACAGGACAGCCCTAAACCTTATTGAGCCCCAGTGGTATATGCCTCTTGCCAATATAGCCAGCTATCAAAACAAGAGAGACACAGGAAGCATATTGTGCTGAGCCTCAGTGGTACCGTAATTACCGCACACTTGGGTTTTAACACCTAAACCCTGGCTCTTACTTAACAGCAATAATAATAACAAATGTCACCCAGACAGTGGGGCATTCTGCTATGTTTTAATCCCATTTTCAGAGAGTGTCTATAAGGATAAGGGCTTTTTATTTGGGGCAGACTTGCAGAAAGATAAAATTTGGGGTCTGTCACTGCATTTATCCACCAGTCTGTCATTGGGTTGTAAGGAACTAATTCATCACTCTAATATTTTTCCTTTGTCCTGCAAAGAGAGTTGCTTCTGAGGCTCTCAATGTGGCCCTTTAACAGAAATAAAGCTATCCTTTTCCCAGCAAAGAGTTTCATTGTACTCTCTTGATGAGGCTGAGCTGTTTTATATTCTAGCCCATACGACAGAAAGGATGGCAGAGCTGAAAACATTAGTTTGCACCTGCTGAAAGATTTGGATTCATTCTGCCAAGTAGATATGACTTTGCACTTATCCTTCTAGCTTTAGGACTCCAGGACCAATTCTAGCCCTTTTGAAGAAGCAGCCCCACCCCCAGGCCACGCTCTGTAAAGATCTTTTCATATGTTAAATTTTTGTGCATGGGTAGGTGGATGTTAGCAATCCCATGTGGTGGTTAAGAAGATGAGATTTGAACCCAGGTAGGCTTGGGTTCTGTGTTAGTCTACTTGGAATGCCATAATAAAATTCCACAACTTGAGTGGCTTAAACAACAGAAATTAATTTTTTCACAGTTCTAGAGGCAAGAAGTGCAAGATCAAGGTGCTGGAAAATTAAGTTTCTAATGTGATCTCTCTTCCTCCCTTGCGGATGTCTGCCTTCTTGCTGAGTGTATGACCTTTTCTTTGTGTGTGCAAGGAAAGAGAGAGAACTCGGGTGTCTCCTCCTCTTCTTGGAAAGTCACCAGTCCTACTGGATTAGGGCCCCACCATAATGGCATCATTTAACGTTGATTAAGTCTATGAAGGTAATCTCTTCAAATACAGTTACATTGGGGGTTAGGGTTTTAACATATGAATTTTGGGGGAACACGACTCAGTCCTAAACAGTTTCATCCCAGCTCCGCCACTGACTGTCTGTGTAACTCTGGCAAAGTCATTCAAAAAGAGATAATGGTATCTCTTTCCTAGGGTGATTTGGATGACTGAACGAGATGATGTTTGCAAAGATATTAGTACAGTGCTTCCCATCTGGTAAGCACTAAAAAACAGCAATTTTTAGTTAGTTTAGCAACAGAAGTTCAAGCAACACTCAACTAAGTAAAGTGGTGAAGTGAATTAGGTTGTATTTCAAAGGCCGTCTCTTTCCTTTCCAGGTAACCTAGCTGCCCCGAGCCCACTACCAAACCCCTTGCAAGCCCAGGTGTATTAGTCCATTTTCATGCGGCTGATAAAGACATACCCAAGACTGGTAAGAAAAAAAGGTTTAACTGGACTTACAGTGGCACCTGGCTGGGAAGGCCTCAGAATCATGGCAGGAGATGAAAGGTACTTCTTATATGATGGTGGCAAGAGAAAATGGGGAAGATGCAAAAGCAGAAACCCCTGATAAAACCATCAGATCTTGTGAGACTTATTCCCTATCATGAGAATAGCAAGGGAAAGATGGGTCCCCATGATTCAATTACCTTTCCCTGGGTCCCTCCCACAACACATAGGAATTCTGGGAGATACAGTTCAAGTTGAGATTTGGGTGGGGGCACAGCCAAACCATATCACCAGGTTTTCTTCTCCAGGCTGAAACTAATGTTGGCATCTGCTCCATCCGTTCTTTTGCCACCAGAGCTCATATTTCCGTGGAGACTTCATGGACTTGGAAGTCAGCAACACCTGAGTTCAAATCCCAGCTCTGCTGCTTATTAGTTGTGTGACATTACACGAGGCACTTATCCTCTCTTAGTCAATTCAAGATGCCATAACAAAATACCATAAACTGTATGGCTTAAACATTAGACACTGATTTCTCAGTTATGGAGGCTGACAATCTGAGATCAAGGTGCCAAAGTGAGCCTAGTGAGGGCTCTCTTCCTGTCTTACAGACAGCTGCCTTATCACTGTGTCCTCACGTGGTGTAGAGAGAAAGCTCTGGTCTCTTCCTCTTCCTATAAGGACACTAATCTCATTGTTTGGGCCTTACCCTCATGATATCATCTTAACCTAATTACTGCTGAAAAGCCCCACCTCCAAAAACCATCACACTGGGGGCTAGGGCTTCAACGTATGAGTTTTTCAGGGACACTAACATTGATTCCTTAACACTCCGAGTCTGTCTTCATGAAGATTCTTTCAGTTACAAGTGACAGAATACCCAGATCAAAGATTGGATTAAGCATGAAACAGGATGTGTGGATCAACAAACCGAAAAGCCCAGGAATATTCTAGCGTTGGGCACGTCTGGATTCAGATGTTCATGTTGTAACAACTGAAACCACGCTTTCTTTTTCCACCTCTGTTTCCTTGGTGTTGGTTTTATTCTCACGTAGGCAAAGACTGCCCCTGTCTCCTCTAGGCTCATTCTGCTTTCTTAGCCCCACTAAGTCAGAAAAGGCACATTCCTACATCTCCTACAAAAGTCCCAAGTCTGGCTCTCAGTGGCCTCATATGTCTACTCCTGAACCAATCCCAGTGGCCAGTGGTGTAGATTATTTAGATTAGTCAGTTCTCAGACACAAGAGCAGGGAGGATCGGTCCCACATCAGCTGTATTAGTCCATCCTCACATTGCTATATTTAAAAAAAAATACCTGAGACTGTGTAATTTATAAGAATAGAAGTTTAATTGGCTCACAGTTCTCCAGGTAGTACAGGAAGCATAACACCAGCATCTACTTCTGGAGAGGCCTCAGGAAACTTCCAATCATGGCGGAGGGCAGAGAGGGATCTTGAAGGTCACATGGGGAAAGGAGGAGCAAGAGAAGAAGGGGGAGGTACTACACACTTAAACAACTAAATCTCACAAGAACTCACTATTGTGAGGACAGCACCAACGCGATGGTGCTAAACCATCATGTGACACCTGCCCTCATGTTCCAATCACCTCCCACCAGGTCCCACCTCCAACATCGGGGATTACGTTTCAATATGAGATTTGGGCAGGAACACAAATCCCAACTATACTGTGAGCTATATGCTAATAACAAAAGAAGGGGGAAGGAGAATGTTGGATGAGGGAAAACAGCAGAGCCCCAATACCCACTAAAGGGCCTCAATTTCTTCATCTGCAAAGTGGGGAAATAATACGGAACTTTTAGGACTGCTGTGAAAACAGAAATAAATAATATGTGTTAATATACTGAATGGCACTACCTGGGACTAAATTATTTATTACACACACACACATACACAAATACCCCTATATTGCAATATTCCAATTCCATAAGGATCTGCCCTTGACGATGGTTCCCCCTACTGTGGCAATCATACAGTGCCTGTGGTAACCCACTATAGAACTGATCAGTAGAAAGCATTGTTCAGGCACACTGGCCCTCCTGAGGCAAGATGTTAATTAGTGAGACCTCAGCACGGATGAGTAACTCTTCCAAAGAGACATCTTCACGGTCTCCCTAGAGGAGAAAGCAATGCCCCCTAAATGCTTTGAATGAGGGAGCCACTAGGTTCTCAGGAATTTCCCCACTGAAATGCAAATGGTTTAGGAAAGGCTTTATCTTAAACACCAGCTAATAGCTCAGTTATCACTTAGCAGAGCAGCAGGGATTATCTGGAATGGGGCCTGATAGGGACTCTGGAAGGGGGAGGAAAAGGAAGACATATGAGGCGATAGCAGAGGAAGGGGAGACTGACTAACTGATCTGAGTTTTTCCTGCGGCATTGTTTCTACACACCTCCCTCCCAAATGTGGGCTAATGAGCCGCTTAAAAGAATAACAGCAGCTGCAATTTAAAGATCATTCTAGACCAGGCACGGTGGCTCACACCTGTACTCCCAACACTTTGGGAGGCTGAGGTGGGCAGATCACGAGGTCAGGAGTTCGAGACCAGCCTGGCCAACATAGTGAAACCCCGTCTCTACTAAAAATACAAAAAATTAGCCGGGCGTGGTGGCGGGCACCTGTAATCCCAGCCACTCAGGAAGCTGAGGCAGGAGAATGGCTCCGGGAGGCAGAGGTTGCAGTGAGCCGAGATCGCGCCACTGCACTCCAGCCTGGGTGACAGAGCAAGACTCGGTCTCAAAAAATAAAATAAAATACAATAAAATAAATAAAGAATAGAATGCTATATGTGCCAGGCTCAGTGCTGGGCACTTCACAAGCATTATTTTATTTAATACCAGCTCCCATTGTATCATAGCTGTTTGCTTTTTTTGTTGTTGTTTTTTGAGACAATCTCGCTCTGTCACCCAGACTGGAATACAGTGACGTGATCTCAGCTCTCTGCAACCTCCGCTTCCTGGGTTCAAGCAATTCTCCTGCCGTAGCCTCAGGAGTAGCTGGGATTATAGGTGCACACCACCACGCCTGGCTAATTTTTGTGTTTTTAGTAGAGGCAGGGTTTCACCATGTTGGCCAGGCTGGTCTCAAAATCCTCACCTCAAGTGATCCACCCACCTTGGCCTCCCAAAGTGCTGGGATTACAGGCGTGAGCCATCACACCTGGCCAGCTGTTTTCTCTTAAGCAAGTTATATCAGCTCAATGAAACCACATTTCTTTTTTAGCCAAAACATGTAACAATCAGGGCCTGACATGTATTGAGTATTTACCATACACCAAATGTGGTTATATATAATATATATTATATATAACCACAATATATATCTTATTAATATAATATATAATATATATAATATATAATATATATGTTATATAACATATATTATATATTATATAACATATATTATATAACATATATTATATATTATATAATATATATAATTTATATATTATATAATATATAATATATAAATTATATATATTATATAATATATATTATATATTATATATATTATATATTATATATTATGGTGTATGGTAAATACACATTTAGTGTATGGTGTATGTATTACCATACACATTTGGTATGGTATTATATTATATATTATATATTATTATATATTATATATTATTATATATTATATATTATATTATATATTGTTATATATTATATATTATATATTATATATTATATATTATTATATATTATATATACTATATATATTATTATATATTATATATTATATATTATTATATATTATATATTATACTATATATATTATATATTATATATTATATATTATTATATATTATATATTATTATATATTATATATTATATATTATTATATATTATATATTATATATTATTATATATTATATATTATTATATATTATATATTATATATTATTATACATTATATATTATATATTATTATACATTATATATTATATATTATTATACATTATATATTATATATTAATATTATATTATTATATATAATATATATTATATAATAATATATGATATATATTAATAAGATATTAATAAGAAGAAGATAATAGCACCACCATTACTAGAACATTCAACAAATGTATTTTCATTTTGGGAAACAAAAATAATAAACTATCATGTACTATCTACATCTGTATAACTTAAAGGTATTTAAAAGCAAGTAACAGAAACCTACCCTAACACATGCAAACAAGAACTAAATATTTATTGAAGGGATATTTGGAAGGTCATAGAAATGAAGGGGAGTTTGAAAGTAGAGACTCATGAACAGCCTCAGAAGTAAGTGGCTTTGCATAAATCACCTCCACCCTTGTGTGTCTCAGCTCAAGAATCAGATTCCCAGGAGAGAGAGCGCTTGGATTGACCACATTGAGTTACAGACCCAGCTCTGCAGCCTGGGGTAGAGTTTCATAGATGGCAGGCCTATAGAGTCATGTTGCACAGGTGAGGGGCAGTTCACCAAAGGAAGTGATGCTGAGCAAACAGAAACAACCAGTGACAAATCTAGACACTCCCCCCAGCACCAGGACTCCTTCTAAGAATGCCAAAGCCTGGTGGGAGGTAACCTCCTCATCTAAGCTTTAAGATCTTTCACCAGAACATCTTCCAGCCAGGCACAAAGGACTCAAATCACAGCAGTAATGTCATACTCAGTGAAGAGCTTGAAGGGCCTCTGACCCTTCTTGAGATTCAAGGCCAGAGCTAGATAAGGACCTTCAAGGTATTTAAGCAGCTTCCCAAGGTGCGGCACCCAGAAGAAAATGCTAACTGGATTTATGGGGCACATTATTGATAAACCCAATGACCATGTGTCAGAATTCAGTATGAATTCTGACGGGGAAGCAAATGGCACTAAAGTCGTTGTATTAATTAGACAGACCCTGAACCTGATTTACGTGTTAAGTGCAAATTCCTCCCAGGAGCACCCGGGATGACAGCTCTAAACTACCTCTTCTGACTTTGCTGTTTGACTCCTTCCTCCTCTGTGTCTGAAAGAATTCACTAGTCAGTACAGCCTTTGCAATGGCATCATTGCCTGTTATACCTGTGCTAAAAGGCTGGATCTACAGATATACCAAGGACAAAACACACCCAGGACTATTGCCTTTGAAATGGGACATTGTCACCACTGGACATTGTTAAAACACTTTGGAAGGAGGTATCATTCCCTCTGCCTTTACATGAAAGCTGCTTTCAAGATATAACAAGTCATTTATGTGTTTATTCTTCTATTACTTGTGACCCAAAAGAAACAGGCTGTCTGCTAGGCATTCTGGTGACAAAAATATGTAAGATTGTAGCTTTCACCCTTAAGGCTCTCACAGCCTAGTGGGGATTGAGCATATGAGAAAATGTACCAAAGAAGGAGTGAAAAGACTTAGGTTCTTATCACAACTGGACTGCTTAGCTATCTATTCAAATTTCAGCATATCACAAACCCTCTTTGATCCTCAGTTACCTCACCTGAAAGAGACAGATGAGAGTAAATCCGTATCTTCACTAAAGAGGAAAAGGAATTGCATTCTGTATTAAAAGGCCATTAGGAAGCTCAAAGAATCTACAGAACACAGTATTATGCAATGCACTACACTCTACAAAGCCAGTATAATTCCCACGTTCGTGTTCACTATCATACATTTCTTAAGCCTCAATTATTTGCAGGCTCAGGACAAAGACTTTAGGTCTGAATCCACTATGATGTTTTAGAGTGCAAATAAAAGACATTCTTACTCGAACTAACTAAACTGGCTAGGCACAGTGGTTCATGCTAGGAATCCCAATGCTTCAGGAGGCTGAGGCAGGAGGATTGCTTAAGATCAGTAATGCCAGACCAGCCTGGGCAACAGAATGAGACTCCTGTCTCTACAAAATAAAAATTAAAAATTGCCCAGGCATGGTGACTCATGCCTGTAGTCCCAGTCACTCAGGAGGCTGAGGCAGGAGGATCGCTTGAGCCCAAGAGTTGAAAGTTGCAGTCAGCTATGATGACACCACTGCACTCAAGCCTGGGTGACAGAGCAAGACTCTGTCTCAAAAAACAACAACAACAAAAAAAAACAACTGACTAAATCAAAAAGAGCATTATTTATGATAATAGAGCATTGAAAGGGGAAGGTGTCTTCATTGATTGATTCAGCAGCTCAATGCTGACATCAGAAACCCAGAATTTCTCTGCTCATGGCACCCTGTCTCTATTTCCACAATGTGGGCTTCATCTTAAGGCTGGCTTCCCTCACTGATATAAGGTGACTGCCAGCAGAAACTGGGGCATGGGCCTCTTTAACTCACATACAGTCAAAGAGGAAAACTGGATGTCAAAGAGGAAAACTGGATGTCCTTCTCCAGAAGCGGTCATCAAGTTCCTCCTAGAATCTCACTGGCCCAGACTGGCATGGGCTTAACCCATCCCTGAGCCAATCACTGACAAGGGTGATGGGCTTACCATGACTGGCATGGGTAAACCACAGGACAGGAATGGATGTGTGGAGTTCCTGGCACTTCCTGTCCTCAAGGAGTTTACATTCTAAAGATGAAAAACCAAAGGTGTCTTTGAAAAGGGGATGCTTGGAAGGATAAATTTTTCAATTTTTCTTAATCTGTGTACCTGCTCTCTGTATCCATCTGAAAGGACAAATTTTGGAAATGGACTTCAAATGAAGAAAAGAGTATTTTGTGGGGGAATGGTGTTGCTGTTTGACAAACTTATCAGATCTTCACTAGAGAAGAAAAGGACCTGCATTCTGAGTGCTTTTGTGTGCCAATCATAGTATTCATTACTAGTTTGTGATCTCATTTTATCTTCTCACCATACCTAGAACACCAGTAGGATAAGCATCATTCCCATTGTATAAGTTTGAGAAATGTGTTCAAAGTGACACAGTTAATGGTGGAGACAGACCAGAACCCACATGAGAATGATTCCACAACCATGTTATTTCCAGCATATCATGACGACTCCTAAAGACATTTGGAGAGTATCCCTCTTTGCTTTTCCCCCACTTATAATAGTTACAAAAATAAGAGTAAGTACCATTTATTAAGTACTCACTACATACCAGGCATGGAACAGAGTGCTTAAAACATGATAACAACTATATCTATATATGTAGTTATATATAGATATAGTTGCTATATCTATATATATATAAAACTATATAGTTACATGTAGTTATATAACTATATATGATTTTATACTTAGATATATAATTACATAACTATATATAGTTAGATGTAGTTATATATCTATAGATAGATATGTAGTTACAGATATATAGATATGTAGTTATAGATATATAGATATAACTATATTGTTAGGATTATATATATATACACCTATTTTTACATATTCATATAGTCAGACATATAGTTAGTTATATAACTATATACAGTTATATAGTTATAGTTATGTAACTAGTTAAAGTCATATAACTATATATAGTTATAGTCATGTAACTATATATAGTTATAGTTATATAACTATATGTAGTTGCTATCATGTTTACATATATATAGTTAGATCATTTTTTAAACACTCTGTTATATATATAACATATCAAGAAATTAACCTAAAAATGAATGCACTAGAACTTCATGGAGAAAAGTAAAGCTCTTATAAAGAACATTTTAAAAAACCTCAATAAGTTAAGACAAACACCGTACTCATGAATAGGATAACTTAACATTGTAAGAATATTAATTTCTCCCAACATTAATCCATGGATTTAATGCAGTTCCAATCGAGATTCCAGTGGGGGAGGTTCCAAGATGGCCGTATACGAACAGCTCCAGTCTGCAGCTCCCCGCGTGAGTGATGCAGAAGACAGGTGATTTCTGCATTTCCAACTGGGGTACCGGGTTCATCTCACTGGGGCTTGTCAGACAGTGGGTGCAGCCCATGGAGCAGGGTGGGGCATCGCCTCACCCGGGAAGCACAAGGGGTCGGGGAACTCCCTTTCCTAGCAAAGGGAAGTTGTGACAGATGGTACCTGGAAATTTGGGACACTCCCACCCTAATACTGCGCTTTTCTAACGGCCTTAGCAAACGGCACACCAGGAGGTTGTGCACATGTACCCTAGAACTTAAAGTATAATAAAAAATAAAAAATGAAGATTCCAGCACAATTTGAGGACTTTGACAAATATTAAAATGTATGTAAAAATATAAAAAGCATGAATATCTAAGGTAGTTTTGAAAAATTGGAGAAGGATTCATTATACTAAATACCATGACCTATTACTAAGCCATAATAATTTCAAAAACTGGTACACGGAGCCCAGGAAGCTAAGGTCCACTGGCTTGAAATTCTCACTGCCAGCACAGCAGTCTGAGCTCAAGGTGCAATGCTCGAGCTTGGTGGGGGAAGGGGCGTCCACCATTGCTGAGGATTGAGTAGGCGGTTTTACCCTCACAGTGTAAACAAAGCTGCTGGGAAGCTTGAACTGGGCAGAACCCACCGCAGCTAAGCAAGGCCACTGTGGCCAGACTCTCTCTCTAGATTCCTCCTCTCTGGGAAGGGCATCTCTGAAAAAAAAGGCAGCAGCCCCAGTCAAGGACTTACAGATAAAACCCCCATCTCCCTGGGACAGAGCACCTGGGAGAAGGGGCAGCTATGGGTACAGCTTCAGCAGACTTAAACGTCCTGGCCTGATGGCTCTGAAGAGAGCAGTGGATCTCCCAGCACAGCATCTGGGCTCTGATAAGGGTCAGACTGCCCCCTCAAGTTGTTCCCTGACACCCACATATCCTGACTGGGAGACACCTCCCAGTAGGAGCCAAAAGACACCTCATGCAGGAGAGCTCTGGCTGCCACCTGGTGGGTGCCCCTCTAGTAGGAAGTTTCCAGAGGAAGGAATAGGCAACAATCTTTGCTGTTCTGCAGCCTCTGCTGCTGATACCCAGGCAAACAGGGTTTGGAGTGGACCTCCAGCAAACTCCAGTATACCTGCAGCAGAGGGTCCTGACTGTTAGAAGGAAAACTAACAAACAGAAAGGAATAGTATCAACATCAACAAAAAGGATGTCTACTCAGAGACCCCATCTGAAAGTCACCAACATCAAAGACCAAAGGTAAATAAATCCATGAATGGGGAGAAACCAGCATAAAAAGACCGAAAATTCCAAAAACCAGAACATCTCTTCTCCTCAAAGGATCAATAGCTGAGTTGATCAAGTGGAAGAAAGGATATCAGATATTGAAGATCAACTTAATGAGATAAAGCGAGAAGGCAAGATTAGAGAAAAAGGAATGAAAAGAAATGAAGAAAGCCTCCGAGAAATATGAGACTATGTGAAAAGACCAAATCTACATTTGATTGGTGTACCTAAAAGTGATGGGGAGAATGGAACCAACTTGGAAAACATTCTTCAGGATATTATCCAGGAGAACTTCCCCAACCTAGCAGGACAGGCCAACATTCAATTCAGGAAATACAAAGAACACCACAAAGATACTCCTCGAGAAGAGCAACCCCAAGACACATAATTGTCAGATTCGCCAAGGTTGAAAAGAAGGAAAAAATGTTAAGGGCAGCCAGACAGAAAGGTCGAGTTACCCACAAAGGGAAGCCCATCAGACAAACAGCAGATCTCTTGGCAGAAACCCTACAAGCCAGAAGAGAGTGGGGGCCAATATGCAACATTCTTAAAGAAAAGAATTTTCAACCCAGAATTTCATATCCAGTTAAACTGAGTTTCGTAAGCAAAGGAGAAATAAAATCCTTTACAGACAAGCAAATGCTGAGAGATTTTGTCACCACCAGGCCTGCCTTACAACACCTCCCGAAAGAAGCAGTAAACATGGAAAGGAACAACCGGTACCAGCCACTGCAAAAACATACCAAATTGTAAAGACCATTGCCACTATGAAGAAACTCCATCACCTAATGGGCAAAATAACCAGCTAGCATCATAAAGGCGGGATCAAATTCACATATAACAACATTAACCTTAAATGTGAACGGGCAAAATGCCCCAATTAAAAGACACAGACTGGCAAATTGGATAAAGAGTCAAAACCCATTGGTGTGCTGTATTCAGGAGACCCATCTCATGTGCAAAGACACACATAGGCTCAAAATAAAGGGATGGAGGAATACTTACCAATCAAATGGAAAGCAAAAATAAAAAGCAGGAGTTACAATCCTTGTCTCTGATAAAACAGACTTTAAACCAACAGAGATCAAAAGAGACAAAGAAGGCCATTACATAATGGTAAAGGGATCAACGCAACAAGAAAAGCTAACTATCCTAAATATATATGCACCCAATACAGGAGCACCCAGATTCATAAAGCAAGTTCTTACAGATCTATAAAGAGACTTAGACTCCCACAAAATAATAGTAGGAGACTTTATCACCCCACTGTCAATATTAGACAGATCAATGAGACAGAAGATTAACAAGGATATCCAGGACTTGAGCTCAGCTCTGGACCAAGCAGACCTAATAGACATCTAGAGAACTCTCCACCACAAATCAACAGAATATAAATTATTCTCAGCACCACATCACATTTATTCTCAAATTGACCACATAATTGGAAGTAAAACATTCCTCAGCAAATGCAAAAGAACAGAAAACAAACAGTCTCTCAGATCACAGTGTAATCAAATTAGATCTCAGGATTAAGAAACTCAGTCAAAACCACGCAACTACATGGAAACTGAACAACCTGCTCCTAAATGACTACTGGGTAAATAACGAAATTAAGGCAGAAATAAAGATGTTCTTTGAAACCAATGAGAACAAACACATAACGTACCAGAATCTCTGGGACACATTTAAAGCAGTGTTTAAAGCGAAATTTATAGCACTAAATGCCCACAAGAGAAAGCAGGAAAGATCTAAAATCAACACCCTAATGTCACTATTAAAAGAACTAGAGAAGCAAGGGCAAACACATTCAAAAGCTAGCAGAAGACAATAAATAACTAAGATCAGAGCAGACCTGAAGGAGAGAGAGACACGAAAAACCCTTCAAAAAAAAAAAAAATCAATGAATCCAGGAGCGGGATTTTTTAAAAGATCAACAAACTAGACCATTAGCCAGACTAATACAGAAAAGAGAGAAAAATCAAATAGACACAATAAAAAATGATAAAGGGGATAGCACCACCGCTCCAACAGAAATACAAACTACCATCAGATAATACTATAAACACCTCTACGCAAATAAACTAGAAAATCTAGAACAAAATGGATAAATTCCTGGATACATATACCCTCCAAAGACTAAACCAGGAAGAAGTTGAATCTCTGAATAGACCAATCACAGGTTCCAAAATTGAGACAGTAATTTCTAGCCTACCAACCAAAAAAAAGTCCAGGACCAGATGGATTCACAGCCAAATTCTACCAGAGGTACAAAGAGGAGCTGGTACCATTCCTTCTGAAACTATTGCAAACAATAGAAAAAGAGGGAATCCTCCCATCTCGTTTATGAGGCCAGCATCATCCTGATATAAAAACCTGACAGAGACAACAAGGAAAGAAAATTTCACGTCAATATCCCTGATGAACATCGATGCAAAGATCCTCAATAAAATACTGGGAAACCAAATCCAGCAGCACATCAAAAAGCTTATCCACCATGATCAAGCTGGCTTCATCCCGGGGATGCAAAGCTGGTTCAACACAGGCAAATTGATAAACATAATCCATCACATAAGCAGAACCAGTGACAAAAATCCCATGATTATCTCAATAGATGCAGAAAAGGCCTTTGACAAAATTCAACACCCCTTCATGCTAAAAACTGTCAATAAACTAGGTACTAATGGAACGTATCTCAGAATCATAAGAGCTATTTATGACAAGCCCACAGCCACTATCATACTGAATGGGCAAAAACTGGAAGCATTCCCTTTGAAAACCGGCACAAGACAAGGATGTCCTCTCTCACCACTCCTATTCAACATAGTGTTGAAAGTTCTGGCCAGGGCAATCAGGCAAGAGAAAGAAATAAAGGGTATTCAATTAGGAAAAGAGGAAGTCAAATTGTCTGTTTGCAAATGACATGATTGTATATTTAGAAAACCCCATCCATCATCTCAGCCCAAAATCTCCTTAAGCTGATAAGCAACTTCAACAAAGTCTTAGGATACAAAACCAATGTGCAAAAATCACAAGCATTCCTATACACCAAGTACAGACAAACAGAGAGCCAAATCATGAGTGAACTCCCATTCACAATTGCTACAAAGAGAATAAAATACCTAGGAATCCAACTTACAAGGGATATGAAGGACCTCTTCAAGGAGAACTACTAACCACTGCTCAACGAAATAAGACAGGACACAAACAAATGGAAAAACATTCCATGCTCATGGATAGAAAGAAACAGTATTGTGGAAATGGCCATACTGCCCAAAGTAATGGATAGATTCATTGCTATCCCCATCAAGCTACCATTGACTTTCTTCACGGAATTGGAAAAAAACTACTTTAAATTTCATATGGAACCAAAAAAGAGCCTGCAGAGCCAAGACAATCCTAAGCAAAAGTACAAAGCTGGAGGCATCATGCTACCTGACTTCAAATTATACTACAACGCTACAGTAACCAAAACAGCATGGTACTGGTACCAAAACAGATATATAGACCAATGGAACAGAACAGAGGCCTCAGAAATAACACCACACATCTACAACCATCTGATCTTTGACAAATCTGACAAAAGCAATGGGGAAAGGATTCCCTATTTTATAAATGGCGTTGAGATAACTGGCTACTGTACGCAGAAGGCTGAAACTGGATCCCTTCCTTACACCTTATACAAAAATTAACTCAAGATAGATTAGAGACTTTAACATAAGACCTAAAACCATAAAAACCCTAGAAGAAAACCTAAGCAATACCATTCAGGACATAGGCATGGGCAAAGACTTCATGACTAAAACACCAAAAGCAATGGCAAAAAAAAGCCAAAATTGACAAATGGGATCTAATTAAACTAAAGAGTTTATGCACAGCAAAAGAAACTATCATCAGAGTGAACAGGCAACCTACAGAATGGGAGACAATTTTGCAATCTATCCATCTGATGAAGGGCTAATATCCAGAATCTAGGAAGAACTTAAACAAATTTACAAGAAAAACACAAACAACCCCATCAAAAAGTAGGCGAAGGATATGAACAGACTCTTCTCAAAAGAAGGCATGTATGTGGCCAAGAAACATATGAAAAAATGCTCATCATCACTGGTCATCAGAGAAATGCAAATCAAAACCACAATGAGATACCATCTCATGCCAGTTAGAATGGCGATTAAAAAGTCAGCAAACAACAGATGCTAGAGAGGATGTGGAGAAATAGCAACACTTTTACACTGTTGGTGGGAGTGTAAATTAGTTCAACCATTGTGGAAGACAGTGTGGCAACTCCTCAAGGATCTAGAACTAGAAATACCATTTGACCCAGCAATCCTATTACTGGGGATATACCCAAAGAATTATAAGTCATTCTACTATAAAGACACACGCACACATATGTTTATTGCAGCACTGTTCACAATAGCAAAGACTTGGAACCAACCCAAATGCCATCAATGATAAACTGGATAAAGAAAATTTGGCACATGTACACCATGGAATACTATGTGGCCATAAAAAAAGATGAGTTCATGTCCTTTGCAGGGACATGGATGAAGCTGGAAACCATCATTCTCTGCAAACTAACACAAGAACAGAAAGCCAAACACCGCATGTTCTCGCTCATAAGTGGGAGTTGAACAATGAGAACACATGGACACAGGGAGGGGAACATCACACACCAGGGCCTGTCAGTGGGGCTAGGGGAGGGATAGCATTAGGAGAAATACCTAATTTAGACGACAGGCTGATGGGTGCAGCAAACCACCATGACACGTGTATACCTATGTAACAAACCTGCACATTCTGCGCATATACCCCAGAACTTAAAGTATAATAATAAAAAACTGTGCTACAGTCTTAGGAACAGCTAAATAGATCATTGAAGCAGTATAGAGATTCCAGAAACATCCCCACATACATAGGAGACATGGTGTCTTAACCCAGTTGGGAAAGAATAA
The DNA here is from genome assembly GCF_000001405.40 of Homo sapiens. NCBI lineage: Eukaryota > Metazoa > Chordata > Mammalia > Primates > Hominidae > Homo > Homo sapiens. The sequence continues at coordinate 2,429,833 of NT_187607.1, read as the reverse complement.
ATAACTTGGTAGGTTTGGGGGAGGATGGTTTACTGTATGACAAGGATTAAATTGGATTTTTTCCTTTACATCTGAATGTGAAAGGTAAATCATAAAAGTAATCAAACAAAATGTGGGAAATATCTTTGTGACTTTAGAATTGAGCAGGTTCTTGAGCAAGACTTAAAAGAACAAGCCATAACGGGAAAAGATGAAGTGTTTGACAAGATTACAATTGAGGTTTCTACTCAGAAAAGGACATCATCTACACGTTTAACACGTTGGTAGACTGTGAGAAGATATTTTCAGTGTGTAAAATGAAACTGGCATTAATATTGAGAGAAACTCCTGAAAATAGCAAGAAAATTTCAGGAAACCCAATAGAAAAAAATGGGCAAAGCCTATGAAAATAAAATTAATAGAAGAGGAAACACTAATGGCTAATAAGTATATGAAGAGATACTCAACATCAGTAATAATCAGAGAAAAGCAAATCAAAACAACAATGATATGCCACTTTACAGCCATCAGATTGGTAAAAATTACAACGCCAGAGAACATCAAGTGCTAGTAAAAAGTGTAAACCAAGCAGCCATTCTAAGTAACAATTTCTCAGTACTCAGTGCAATTAACTATTCATCTACCCAACAATCCCATATCTGGATATATACGTGCACTAGAGAAATTTGCACAAGGCCATAACAACACATGCATTAGGATGTCCACCATAGTTTTGCTTGTGACGACACAGACTTTGATGTTCCTATACAATAACCACTCAAGGAATGGATAAGCAAATTGTGTTTTATGCATACGTTGACTTTAGGACACAATCAGAAATTAACTAGATTTATATAGAGCAACATGAAGGGATTTCAAAAATATGGTGTTGAGTGGAGGGAAAGAAGGTTTTTGGCCCCAAATTATTTATGTAAATTAATCAGAAACACATTTTAAAACTCTTTTACCAACTATGCAACTCTTACCAACACGCTCTACCACCTCTGTTCACAAAACTCTACGCATGTTCAACATGGTGTCATGTAACAAAAAGTGCAAGCACATTAATTTCCCTCACATCTGAGTTTTCTTAGAATCTAAGACGATCACTGATACAGACTTATTTTTAGCTGACTAGCAACACCTGACCAAGCAAAACAACAACTTGAGCTCAACAATTTCACAGATTTTAATGAAAAACAAAGCCTAAACAAAAACTGTTTCTTGCAGCCCATCTTTTTGCATGATACAGCAACTTGTACCATACACCACCTATTCCTGAATAAGTTGCGTAGTTTTCAATGCCAAGTATAGTTATGTAAGAGCCAAAATCTATATAAACTCATATTACATTTTGCTTCACTTTAACAAAACTCCTCAGGCAAATTTGACTTCCAAAATTATTTTATAGCAAAAAAATGCAGTCTTGGAATTTCCTAAGAACCAAGTGTTGGTAGCCCTAGACAATGCCTGGCACATTATGTATGCTTGGTTAATGTTAAGCAGATGGGTAGATGGATGGATAGATGAATAGGTGGGTGTGTGGATGGATGAATGGATAGATTGGTAGGTGGATGGATCAAAGAGTAGGTATATGAATGGTGGATATAGGGTAAATTGATGAATGGATGGTGGATAGATGGATAGATGGATGGATGGTGGGTGGGTGAATGGGTAAATGGATTGATGGGTGAATTGATGGATGGGTGAAGTGTATGGATGGTGGATAGATTGCTAAGTAGATGGATGGGTGGGTGGATGGATAATTGATAGATGGATGGTAGATAGATTGGTGAGTAGATGGATGGGTGGATGGATAGGTGGGTGTATGGATGGTGGATAGATGGGTAAGTGGATGGATGAATGGATGGACAATAGATAGATGAGTAGGTGGATGGATGGACGGATGGACAGATGAGTAGGTAGATGGACAGATGTATTAATGGATAGATGGATGGAAGAATGGATGAATGGATGGATGACAAATGGATGGATAGGTGGATGGATGGGAGGTTGGGTGAACACATGGGTGAATTCCATGTATTCTTGTCTTCATGGCTGGGAATTTTAACTAATAACACAACCTAGATGCTTCCATGAGTACATCAGGGTGACTATCATATTTCACCCTCTCATCCTCCCCCCAAAAAAATTTTTTGAAAACTTTAGTACTACTTTAAGCTGGTATTTTCTGTTAACTTTCAGGAAACTTATTAATCTGCCAGTGACTACTCCAAAAGTACAAGCAGCCCAGAGGATGACAGCAGTGTGACTTAGGTCAACAACTATCCTAGAGACTCTGAAGACTTTGGACACTGCTTCTTGTTCTTTGTTCCCTTGCATTTTTGCTTGGTCTTGGTGTTGGGAGGAAAGATGAAGAGAAAACTCATCATTAGCTTAACAGAATCTCAGTGCTTTCAGATAGAGTGAGCTGCACCAGATCCTGGCCTCAGCTCTCATGTTCTGAAGTGCTCCAGGAAATGTGTTTCCTTGAGGCACTCTTTAGAGATACCAGTCCATCTAGCTGGGTCCCAGGTGCTGCCTCTACTTACCCACCTTGCTGCCTCTCTCTATACATTGAGCTCGACTGCCTTCCACTACAGTGCTCCTTACAATGGGCAAAGTCCCCAGGATTCCGTATCAAATGTGTTCATGACATAGACAAGGACTCAAGAGAGCAGAAACTAAGAAGTGAAAAATTGCAACTTACATTCCAAAACAATCAGTTTAATTTCCATAAAAGATTTCCCCACTGGATCATTTTCACTTGAGCTTTGTCCAGCAACATTAAACAATGTTCTGCCTGCTTACATGTTATAAGGAGCTCAAATACAGATGCAGTAACATAGATGTAGTTTTCTTTCATAAAAATGTCTGTGCTGTTTTCTTCATGATAGCCCAGCCTAGTAGGGCCTTCATTAAGAAAGGTGGTAAATTACTTCCATGTTTCCACATAAACTACCTATATTAGAATGCTGAAAAATAACAAAAACCCTCCTCTTTAGCTTAGAGAATATCTTTCTCAATTCTCTTGGAAATTTCTGGATTATATTTCATGAATTCTACTTCCTGGCCTTGGGTAATTTGCTTAACTTTCTTAAGCCTAAATTTGCTCATGTGTAAAACGGAAAGAAAATACTCACCTTCTGACATTGCTATAAAGATTCTTTAATTCTGTAAACAGTTTTTGAGAACCTGCTCTATGCAAGGTTCTAAAGTGAAGATCGGGATCCAGACATAACACAGAGTGCACGAGATCAGGAAGCTCACAGGTGAGAGGGATGCACAGACCAACAAGACAATACTGTAAGTACACTACTCACCATAGCAGAGACACAGACTCAACCTAGATACCTATCAACAGGACAATCCAGCAAGTGCGCTGCTCACAATAGCAGAGACACGTAGATGCTCATCAATGAGACAATACAGTAAGTGAACTAGTCACAATAGCAGAGACATAGAATCAGCCTAGATGCCCATCAACAGTGGACTGGATAAAGAAAATGTGGCACATATACACCATGGAATACTACACAGCAATAAAAAAAGAATAAAATCGTATCCTTTGCAGCAACATAGATGGAGCTGGAGGCCATTCTCCTAAGCCAATTAACACAGGAACAAAAAATGAAATACTACATGCTTGGTTTTTTTTTTTTTTTTTTTTTTTTTTGAGACAGAGTCTCGCTCTGATGCCCAGGCTGGAGTGCAGTGGCACGATCTCGGCTCACTGCAACCTCCACCTCCTGGGTTTAAGCAATTCTCCTGCCTCAGCCTCTGGAGTAGCTGGGATTACAGGCACCTGCCACCACGCCCAGCTAATTTTTATATTTTGTAGAGACAGGGTTTCACCATGTTGGCCAGGCTGGTCTCGAACTCCCGACCTCAGGTTATCTGCCTGCCTCGGCCTCCCAAAGTGCCGGGATTACAGGCATGAGCCACCGCACCTGGCCTTAATATCGCATATTCTAACTAATAAGTGAGAGCCAGACATTGAGTACACGTGAACATAAAGAAACGAACAATAGACACTGGGACCTGCTTGAGGGAGGAGGGTGGGAAAAGGGTGAAGCTTGAAAAACTACCTATCGGGTATTATGCCAATTATCTGTGTGGCACAATTATCTGTGCACCAAACCTCTGCAACATGCAATTTACCCATGTAACAAACCTGCACATGTACCCTTTGAATGTAAAATAAAAGTTGGAAAAAAAAAATACAGTAAGTGCTAATGTCGGAGGTAAGAAAACTGGGTTCAGAGTCATTGAGACCCTAGTTGAAATCTTGCTTTTGCCATTTCCTCATTGTATGATACAAAGAAAATAACCTAGAGCCTCAGCTTCTATATGGAGATAATAATGCCTTTCTATTGTTTTTATAAGGATTAAATTAGATGTTGCTTGATAAGGCACTTAACACAGTGTCTTGCACATGGAATGTCTTACGTGTTATGGAAAACACAAGATAATATGACACAAATGAACCAAGCACAGTATCTGATAAGCAGTAGGAGCACTGTGAATGTTAGACCATATATCCCTGTCCACATCATCTCTTCCCCCACATATAAGGTCATTACCTAATTCAAGTAAGGCAAGGCAAGACCTAGAAATGGACCTGAGATGCCGGGAACGGTGGCTCACACCTGTAATCCCAACACTTTGGGAGACCGAGGTGGGGGGATCACCTGAGGTTGGGAGTTTAAGACCAGCCTGACCAACATGGAGTAACCCCGTCTCCACTAAAAATATACAGTTAGCCAGGCGTGGTGGCGCATGCCTGTAATCCCAGCTACTCGGGAGGCTGCGGAAGGAGAATTGCTTGAACCAGGGAGGCAGAGGTTGCGGTGAGCCACAATCGCACCATTGCACTCACTCCAGTCTGGGCAACAAGAGCGAAACTCTGTCTCAAAAAAAAAAAAAAAAGAAGAAAGAAAGAAAAGAAAAGAAAAAGGAAAAAAAAAGAAAAAGAAAAGAAAAGAAAAGAAAAAGAAATGGACCTGAGATCTTAGAGATACAAAGCTGGGAGAAAATTCCAGTAGCTAGCTGCCTACAAACCTCAGGCTGGACTCTCTCTGGTGCAGAGAGAGGTATTTGTGCATTCATAAGGATCTACTGATCTACTGGTACAAGGTAGGGGGAGGACAAGGCACAGCAGAGGTAAATGCCATATCCTCAGAGCATGGATATAGGGCAACCATGATGAATGCTAGAAATGAGAATCCTTGACGAGACTGGGCTGAGACCCTCTGATGAACTGTGGACTGGAGCTGTCACTCCAGCCTGAACACAGTCTATTATACAGTGGTGACCAGCAATAACAGACGGGGAGAGGACTGATATTTTATTATGGACATGGGTATTGCTGGCGCTGACCACACTCTCCCATACATGAGACTTTACTGAAACTTGGAAAACATAAGTATTTAGGACTTTCTTCGAGGTAAGTGCCAGAAACCCAAGTTAAACGGACTCAGGCAAAAAATGAAAATGTATTAGCCTGCCTAATTGAAGGGTAAGACTTCAGGCATGGCTAAACACTGGTATCCAAGTGACATGATCAGGAACCTCCCTTCATTTCTCAGTGTTTTCCCTTGTTTGACTTCAAGAATGCCCTTTTTTGGCCAGGCATGGTGGCTCACGCCTGTAATGCCAACACTTTGGGAGGCTTAAGTGGGAGGATCAGTTGAGCCCAAAAGTTTGAGATTAGACTGGCTAACATAGTGAGACCCCATCTCTAGAGAAAATTAAAAAAAAAAATAGCTGGGCATGGTGTCACATGCCTGTGGTCCCAACTGCTTGAGAGGCTGACGAGGGAGGATAGCTTGAGTATGGGAGGTTGAGGGAGCAGTGAGCTACGATCATACCCCTGTACTCCAGCCTAGGTGACAGAGCAAGACCCTGTCTCAAAAAAGGAAAAAAAAATTTAGTTAGCCAGGCATGGTAGCACATACCTGTAGCTCCAGCACTCAGGGGGCTAAGGCAGGAGGATCTCTGCAGCCCAGGAGTCCGAGGTTGCCGTGAGCCATGATTGCACTACAGCACTCCAGCCTGGGTGACAGAGTGAGACCCTGTCTCAGAAAAAATAAAAATAAACATTAAAAAAAACCTTTCCCCGGAAAGCAAAGATAACCAGAAGCAGGTTTATGTCTTGTTCTTTCAGGAATTCCAATCAAAAAAAAAATTATCTTTTCCAATAGTTGTAGCAAAGGTCCCAGAATTCTAATTGGTTCTGGTTGGCCCAATTTGATGTTTTTGATTGGTCAGGTCTGGGTCTTTTGCCCACCCCTAGCACCAGGAATAAATCAGGCCCATCTGAGCCACCTGCCTTGAGAGTAGGGGAAGGGATCCTCCTAGGGAAATAGGGGTGTTATTATTCAGAGAGATCATTAACCTGTGGACAGATAAGAACTCCAGATATCAACGACACTTCCTTACCACTCTTTTTCTAGGCATCCACAGCACATCTGAAGAAATATTCAGAAGTTAACTAATCTCAGATGATTTCAGCAGGAGTAAAGAAGAGAAACAGACTCAGAAATGCCATTACAACAGTTAATTATGTCAAATTTATCACCGATTGATCACGCAGCATTAACCTCAAGAATGCCAAGCCAAGTTTTTTTGACAAATGTGAGCCAAGGTTTCCGAAAAACTAGCAGATATGACTGTGACTTACAAAATGGAAAAAGTAAACGAGAAACACAATTTGATATGATTTAATAAAAGATTTGTTTCCACCACTTCTCCTGGGAACCTCAGCACATTTTCTTTCCACTGACAGTTATTATCTCTACCTTTATTGAACAAAGACACCCGGAACACAGCTGCTGAGGATCAGTAAAGAAAATCATTCTTTTATTAATAAGACTGTTATTAGCAGGAAAAAAAAATCCATGTTTGGGAGTTTGCACTGAAGTTACAGGCCATTTTGAAGAAATATGGCTGACTAGTGCCAACATTATTTCAGGCAATTTCATGATCAAATGTCTTGTTAGGTTGTTTAAAATTTTTATAGAGATGTAAATCAGAACTATTTTCTATTTGCCCTAAATATTTAGGTGCTACAGGGAAAGCAGATCAAATTAAAGGGTACTGTGCACATTTTTTTACTGGGAACTCCCAGGGATATAAATCATTTCGCCTGCAGCATGGAATTCTTCAGTACACATGCTTGTGGAAACATTCCACGCTCCTCCAGCACGCTCATTAAAGTGATGATTTGGGTTGCAACAACAGTGCCAAGTACTTCCTGTGTTCAACTGGGGACCATGTGGCAAGACCCAAAGCTTTCCCAGAGATCCTATGGGAATAAGTTTTTTGAGCCACCATATTCCATTATTTCAGCCTAAAATAACACCATGGGACAAGAATCAGAAGACAGAGGAGCAGACAAATGTGTGTAGACACGCTGGAAGGAATCTTTCTTTTTAGAAACAGGGTCAATATCTATTAAACTTTAAGATGTGTATCTCTTGACCTGGCAGTTTCTGTATTTGAGTTTTAACCTACTGATATACCCATGCATGTGAATAAAGTATCTTCCTGCATGTAACAGGATATTTAATGTAACCTTGATTATAGTTGCAAATGCTGGGAAACGATCCAAATGTCTTTCAATATGGCACTGATTAAATAAATTACGGCACAGTCTCACAATGAAAAACAAATGTAGCCATTAAACAGAATGAAATGGGTCTAGCTAAATTGAAATAGGACTACCTCTAAGATATGTTGTTAAATAGAAAAAAAAGAAAGTGCAGAGGAACAAGTATGATACCATTTTGTATTTTTTAACATATGCAAGCGTGATTGTGCCCACACAGAATACCTTTGAAAATAAACTCAGTATTTGCCTCAGTGGATAAAAACAAGAACCAGCCTTATTTTCACTGTTATATCTTTTGGTACCACTTTTTGAACTTTTTACCATATGTGCATATGTAACTTTCTAAATAAATTTTGTAAAAAAGAGAAATATGGCTCGTTGCAATAAATCTAACAAGATAAAAGATTTGTTGAAGAAAATAATAAAACTATTCAGACATGAGCGTTCTTGAAAAATGGAGAAATACATTATTTCCTTGTATGGTAAGGAATGGTAAGTAAGCTGGGTGGTATGGTAAGCTGGATATTGTTCCCGACTCTTCATTCCCTCTCTTAACAGAATTATACATCTTTGCACCTTTGCAATCTTCCCACTGTGAGTGGAACATACATCCTGACCCACTGATATCAGTCTTGCTAATGCCAATTGTGTTAGTACATGTGATGCAAGTCAAAGCATTATATGTGCCTCTGTGGTCTGGTTTGGCCCCTTGCACTTCTGCCATCCACCCTGAGAAGTACAAATCTTTGGGATCCATTGGTCCCAGAATAAAAAGATATATAGAGCAGACCCAGACCAACCCACAGCGTGGAGTCAAGCCGAGCCAACAGAGCCCAGCAGAACCACAGCCTATGCACAGACCTGTGAAGGAAAAAATATTTTTTTGTTGTAAGCAAGATTTGGGGGGATGCTTGTTATGCAACCTTGTTGTAGCAATATCTGACAGATACATATGGGAAAACTACATTATTTCCTTTGGCTCTATTCCACCTCCACTAGGAAAATATTCCTGATTAACCTCATTCCACACCAGATTGTGATCTCTTCAATGACAGGAAGTGTGTGTTATTCATCCCTGTGTTCCTAGACTTCTGCACAGGGCCTAACAGAATTTCTAGAAAACAAAAAATTCTGACTACTGTGCCTAAAGTAGCCATCTCCGCCCAACAGTTAATCTCTGCCACATCACAGAGTTTATTTAGTTCAGACCATGCATAACAATCAATAATCATCTTTCTATTTTGCTATGTTTCCCTCATACACAGTGTAAACTTCCTAGAAGAAATGAATCAATGAGTGGGGGAAAAATGAATATATGACTTTCTTACTCTGATTTGCATAAGTACTCACACATTTTTGTCTACCACCCTCTCCAAACTTCTCAGTCTGCCTTTCAAAAGCTGGTCCCAAATGGTTCCCAATTTGATCACCCACTGCTCCCCTTAGGCATATGTAGTTATTCACCATTGCCCACCCATTACCCACACTTTTTCTTTCTCTGCAACATTAGTGTTATATTCCCTATGTCATGGATGCCCTTCTCTGCCATCCCTGCTTGTTTAAATCCTGACCATCTGTATTCTTTTGCAATAGGTTCAGCTATGAGTAACTGCAAAACTCAAAACAATGACCTAAACAAAAGTTTATTAACTTCTGTTTAGTAAATTTAGAAGTACCAGAATAGAACTGGAAAGGTAATCAGTGGTTTTACAGGAACAAGACCCTCCCAGCTTATTGCTCTGCCAGGAGTGTCTTCCATTCCTAAACTTACTTCATGATCCAAGATGGCTGCTGGAGCTCCAGCTATTACATACCCATTCCAGGCAATATAAAGGAAAAAAAGTGGAAGAAGAGCATACCTTCTCCCTGGAAGGAAATTCCCCAGAAATTACACACACCGTTTTTGTATGTAGAAACTTAGTCACATGGATACACTCAGCTGCATAGGAAACTGTACTAGTTAGTTTTGCTAAATCACAAACCACTATTTGGCAGCTTTAAACAATAAGCATTCATTTAGCACATGATTCTGCAGGCTGGCAATGTGCGCTGGGTCTATCTGGGCAAATGTAGTGCTCTTGATTGGGCCCATCTCAGGTACCAGCAGTTAGCTGCCTGGTTGGTCGGGTGCTGACTGGTCCTTACCTGGGCTGTCTCCTCTCCATGTGGCATCCCATCCTCCCAAAGGCTAGCTGGGGCTGGTTCACATGGTGGTTGGGCAGGATTCCAAGAGATTGAGTGGAAGTGTGCAAGTTATCTTGAGATTTAGGCTCAGAACTGGCACACTGTCACCTCCATCACACTGTATTAGCCAAAGCAAGTCACAAGACTGGCCTGGATTCAAGGGTGGGGAAATAGACTCTAATAGGAGAAGCTACAATGTCACATTGCAAAGGGGTGTGCCTATAGAGAGGAGAATAATTGTGGCCATTTTTGCAATCACTATTTCACAGAACTCTAGTCTTAATTCTGAGGGACAGCTTGCATTTTCTGTGACACCAACTTTTAAAGCCCAGTTCAAAATGAACTTTCTCCTCCAGGAAGCCTTCCTTGACTATTGAGCTAGAATTCTGACCACCAAATATTTTTACCCATTTGTTCTGTGGCCTTTGCATAGCTACACATGGAGAGACACTGTCCCATCAGTGATGGTTCGGGATGACAGAAGGTGAGCCCTTCGCCATCCTCAGAAGCCACCAAGAACTTAGACCCCATCTTCACCAAGATACTAACATTTCTGTTGAAACAAGTGCCCTTATGATTTAAAAGTAATAGACCCCTTGTTTCAATGGCAAGAGTATGAAATTGTTACTTTTGCTTTCAGCAAGCCCACAAGAGGCACGAAGAATCCACGTGACCCAAAAGTAAGAGGTCAAATACTGAGATCTGGAAGGAATCCCTTAGCATCCAGAGCCTGAATAGATATATACATTCTTTATCAGAGAAGATGTCGGAACTAGTCCATGTGTACATTGGCATTTTTCTTTCTCCCTTTGTAATTTTTCCTCCTCTCGGTATGACTGAAATATAAATCAGTAGCCTACAGTCCTTCTGGTTAACAAGGTTCTCATTTGGGAGGTTGCAGCCTAGGAGGCTATTAAAAACAGAAAGAAAGGCTTCTTCTATAAACATTTCCTGCCAGCTGCTGATAACTGGGGAGGAGGGAGAGCACAGGGGTGACAGCACAAAACAGGACCATTAGGGGAAGAAATCTGCAAAAGAGGAAGAATTCTTGGTCCACGTCCCTGGCAGAAGGATCCATGAATAGAAGTCCAAAGTGCAAAAGAAAACCTCTGGGAAGAAAGGAGGAGGGGCAGGAGAGCCTTCCACTGATCCAAACAGGCCAGTGCCATCGGAAGGGAGGCAGGAGGACAAAATCCCTGCCTGCAGATGCTTCCAAATGTTTAAGACAAAATACCAGGACATTAAAAGTTGGAGAAGGGGTGGTCTTGGCATCTTCCCTCAACTCCTACAAGAATAAGAGTTTGCATTTGTTGAGTGATCACTGTGTGCTGGCCCACATTAATCATTTTTTTAATTTTTTAAAAGTTGTATATATTTAGGGGATATAGGTGCAGATTTCTTAACCGCATACATTTCATTATGATGAAATCTAGGTTTCTACTGTACCCATCACCCAAACAGCGAACATTGTACCCAAGAGATAATTTTTCAACCCTCACTCCCCTCCTACCTTCCCACCTTTTGTAGTCTCCAGTGTCTGTTATTTTACTCTGTATGTCTGTGTGTACCCATTGTTTAGCTCCCACTTATAAATGACCACATGCAGTATTTGACTTCCTGTTTCTGAGTTATTTCACATAGGATAATGGCCTTCAGTTCTATCCATGTTGCTGCAAAAGACATGGTTTCATTTTTATATGCATTAATTATCTCAATTAAGGCCATAAGGTTGGAGCTATTATTAACCCCATCTTCACCATGAGCCTGGTGATGCTCACAATTTTCCCAAAGCCCCTTGGTTAATAAGTGGAAGAGGTAGAGTTCAAATCAGTTTCTCTGACTGCATAGGCCAGACTCCTGGACCTCTGTACCATCCTGGTCTTTGACACCATGATAGAGTAAAAGAGGAGATGTTTCAGAACCTACCATAGAATCATCTATCTTCAAGATTACCCATTGGATGAGACTGTTAATGGACACAGTGTCTCATTGAAGAGCTCCTGAAGTTTGTGAAGACAGTTGAGTGTTTACAAATAAGAATGAAGCAACAACAACAATAATAAATTGAGTCATTGTGTTGTGTTAGGTACTGTGCTGTCTAGATTCTCTCACTTAATGCACTGATGTAAGAATTATTGTCCCCATTTCACAGATGAGAAAATAGAAGCTCAGAGAAGGTAAGTCACATGGCCAGGATCTCACAGTCAAGGAGTAGCAGAGTTAGAACTCAAACCCAGGTCTGAGACCAAAGAGCAGGCTCTTTGTTTATTGTTGTGAAGTGCCTCCTTAAGTGGGCAACTTGGTCACTCATTGCTTCATTCACCCTTCAGATATAGACTACTACTCACTGTGTTTGGAAAATTTTTTAATTTCTAAAATTGAGGTGGGGGACTAGAAAGAAACCCATTGCATTTTTGTTTGACTGAGGGACACAAACCTTTTATTTGTAAAAAATGTAATAACTGCAAAGCACAATAAAGCTAAGTGCAATAAAATGAGATATACCTGTAATCGGTTTTTTCATAAGCTAATTTCAGAAGTGACAGCCCATCAGGACAGCCATATTGCATTCACTACAAGTGAGTCAGTAAGTCCAGCCCATGCTAAGGGGAGGGTATTACACAAAGGCATGAATACCAGGAGACAGGGATCACTGGGGTCCCTCATAGAGGCTGCCTGCCACATTGTACCTTTCATAAGATCACAAATACCTTTCAGTCATCCTATCACCTAATCTCTTAACATGCAACCTGCTTTCTCAATGAAAATCATGGTATAAATTGAGTTCTCCATCATTCTCAAGACTATGAAATCAAGGTAGAGCCCTGGTTTTCAAGCTTTTTGATGACAAAGATTTCTTCAAATAAAATCTTCCTCAAGGTGAATGGACATACTCATTGTTTTGTACTATAAAACAGAATACTTCTCAAGGTGAGAAAATAGAAAAACATGACTGATACACACAATAAATAGCACAGATGAATAACCAAAGCATTATTCTAAGCAAAAGAAGCCAGGAGCACATACTGTATGATTTCATTCATATGAAACTCCTAGAAAGAAAAATCTAATGTATTGGGATAGAAAGTAGTTCAGTGGGCCAGGCCTGGTGACTCATGCCTGTAATCCCAGAACTTTGGGAGGTTGAGCCGGGTGGATTGCTTGACCCCAGGAGTTCGAGACCAGCCTGGACAACATGGAGAAACCCCATCTCTTTGAAAAATACAACAAATTAGCCAGGCATGGTGGTATGTGCCTGTAGTCCCAGCTGCTCAGGAGGCTGAGGTGGGAGAATTGCTCGAGCCCAGGAGGCAGAGGCTGCAGTGAGCAAAGACCATGCCACTGCACTCTAGTCTGGGTAACTGACAGACACCTCAGGGAGGGGAAGGGGAAGGGGAAGAAGGAGAGGAAGGGGAAGGGGAGGTTAAGTTCAGTGGTTGCCTGGAGTTGGGGTGGAGATTAAGGATTAACTGGGAAGAGGAGCAAGGAGCCCCACCCAACTCTCACTTAATCCCCACTGTTGGAGGTGGGGCCTCCTGGGAGGTATTGGGATCATGGGGGCGGATCTCTCATGAATGGTTTAGCACTATCCCTTTGGTGCTGTTCTTGTGATAGTGAGTGAGTTTACACGACACATGATCATTTACAAGTATGTGGCACCTCCCCACCTACTGATATGCCTCCTCCCCCTTGCCTTCCACCATGATTACAAGCTTGAGGCCTCCCTAGAAGCTGATGCTGGAGCTATGCTTCCAGTACAGCCTGCAGAACCGTAAGCCAAATAAACCTCTTCTCTTATAAATTACCCAGTCTCAGCTATTTCATTACAGCAATGCAAGAACAGCCTAATACATCATCACGAAAGCTTCTTTGCCTAAGACTTGCAGAGATAGATATGTCCTATCAGGCCCTCCTCAGCCCAACCTCTAACACCCACAGAAAACCCTGAAAAGTGAGAACCCAGTGAACATCCTGAACATCCTCTGATGGCTGTGAAAAGTTAGTGCACTTCTGCTGTTATTGACACCTGATAACTCATTAAAACCAGACTAATCATCAACAAGCAGCAGGTTTCTTTCACACTCAAAGCATACCAGCTCCATTCTGAAATGATGGCTAAATTAACCGCAGAGAAGCAGCCAATAACCTCCTCCTCTCACCCTGTTCACTCTTTGGGCTAATAAGTGTCTTCTTCATCAGCTGCCTTGGATAAAAAACAAATGACTGGGTTATACATTTTCTTGTACTTGATACATAAGCCTTTCAGCAGAATATGATAACAACGTAAATAATAAAGATGGCCATTGCTTATTGAATCATTTACTGTGTGTTGTGTCTTTTGTACAGCATATAACACTATATGCTGTGGCCTCTATATATGCTAGAGTTATAACCCTCACTCTGAGCCGATTTAACTTTATCAATATGAAAATGGATACAAAGAATGTAATCTAGTCACCCAATGTCATGCAGCTAATGTGGTGTCTCAGGTCCCTCTATTCCAAGCCCCAGGTTTAGAGTGAGACTAACTGGACCTGACCGTCAGGAAAAATTAATAAACAAATAAGGACTTCCCTGCTGAGATACCCCAGGATAATTTGTACAAGTCTCCAAAGCCTAGCACACTGCCTGGCACATAGTAGCTGCTCAATAAAATCTTGTGATACGAGAAAACCGGAACTCCTCATGCACTGTTTTGTCGGTTACAAAATGTGACCCCGGACAGAGCATCATGATTTGATTAGAGTAGGCGGACTTGTTTTCAACTCCACAGGTAGTCAAATGGGGAGAGTGGGCATCAGAAAATACATAGGTATATATAAGATAATCCATCTTTCAAAGGAGTCTGAATGGCAGCTCAAAGGCATAGAGAGAAACTAGGGCAAGGTTATCCAACCTGTGGCCCAAGACAGCTTTGAATGGGGCTCAACATAAATTCATCAACTTTCTTAGCTCATCAGCTGTCGTCGGTGTTAGCGTATTCTATGTGTGGCCCAAGACAATTCTTCTTCTTCCAATGTGGCCCAGGAAAGCCAAAAGACTGGACACCTCTGACCTGGGAAAAAAGTACATTTTCTCCCCAGTGTCACAAAGGAATGTCATAACAAAATATTCTAAAATCAGAAAGGACCAAAAAAAATTGGGTAACTATCCAAAATGAAATAAATTCATGAAATTATGAAATATTAGTCATGGTTTGATTTATTCTGCAGCTATATAACATCACTCCATCAACAACACAGAAACAAAAAAGTTCTCTCAAAAATGAATAATGGATATGTTCAATCAATCATGGCATAACCAGGGAATGGAATGCTTTGAAGCTATTAAAAAGTGTAATTGGCCAGGCGCAATGGCTCACGCCTATAATCCCAGCAACATGGGAGGCTGAGGCACGTGGATCACTTGTGCCTAGGAGTTCGAGACCAGCCTGGCCAACATGGCAAAACTCTGTCTCTACTAAAAATACAAAAAGTTAGCGGGCATGGTGGTACATGCCTATGGTCTCAGCTACTCAGGAGGCTGAAACAGGAAGATCACTTGAACCTGAGAGGCGGAGGTTGCAGTCAGCGAGATTGCACCACCGCACTCCAGCCTGGGCAACAGAGCAAGACCTTGTCTAAAAAAAATAAAAAGAAAAAAATTAAGTAAACAATGTAATCAACACATATTTAAGGAGTTTTAATAACTAAATGAATAAAGTCAGTAACAAAACAGAAGATGAAGTATAATACCACTTTGCATAAGTATAAACTGATAAGAAAAATAATCTAGAAGGATGCGGAATAGAGAAATGTACAGTTTTTTCTAGATGGTCAGCTTATGGGTGATTTTTTAAATTTTAATTGGCATATCTGTGTTTTGAATTTTTATATAGTAAATGTGAATTGATTGCTGAATTTAAACTAAATAAGGGCCGGGCACAGTGGCTCATGCCTGTAATTCTAGCACTTTGGGAGGCCGAGGTGGATGGATCTACAAGGTCAAGAGATCAAGACCATCCTGGCCAACATGGTGAAAACCCATCTCTACTAAAAATACAAAAATTAGCCAGGCGTGGTGGCGTGCACACGTAGTCCCAGCTTCTTGGAAGGCTGAGGCAGGATAATCGCTGGAACCCAGGAGGCAGAGGTTGCAGTGAGTGGAGATCGCACCACTGCACTCCAACCTGGCGAAAGAGTGAGACTCCGTCTTAAAAAGAAAAAAAAAAAAAACTAAATAAAACCTGTTGTAATGGTGGTGTTTAAACAGAGACCTAAGGAGAAGTCAGTCAGGGCCTAAAGTGGTCCCAGGAAAGGAATAAGGAACTGGAAATTCAATCAGGCTTGGCAATTAGCAAAGGATCTGAGACAATTTAGGTGGAAATTAGAAACAGCTAAAAAATGAAGAAGGGGCTTTTTAAGACCTCACACTACTATGGTTCACAATAATGCCTCTCAAAACTCTGTCATAACTATTTTTCAATATGTCAAAGTAAATGTCATCTCTAGTTATCTAAAAACATCTTGATGCCTGATACCTACTAGAAAAAACAGCCCGAGTTTGTCCACAGTTTTCAGTTCCTGTGTCATTTCAGTTGCCTGGCGAGGAACTTTTCTTACTATATTGGCTCTCAGGTAACTCTCTAACTAGACAATTCCATCTCCCCAAAAACTATCATGGAAAAAGAACAGTCCTGAAAGTCGAGAGAGGCAGCCCAGCTCTGCTATTCAGGCTGTGTGACCTTGGGCAAGTCTCTCCCCATGGTCTCAGTGGGTTGATCTATGGAGCCCAAGCAATAGGATTCTCTCCCCCAGGAATTTGAAACTTGGAATCCGAGATTGGAAAGTGAGACACATTAATGGTAGAACTCAAGAAAGGTAGGGGCTGGGGGCCGTGGCTCACGCCTCTAATCCCAGAACTTCGGGAGGCCGAGGTAGGAGGATTGCTTGAGGCCAAGAGTTCAAGACCAGCTTGGGCAACAGAGCGAGACCCTGTCTCTACAAAAAGCAAATTAAAAATTAGCCAGGCATGGTGGCATGGTGGCATTAGCTACTTGGAAGGCTGAGGCAGCAGGATTGCTTGAGCCCAGGAGGTCAAGGATACAGAGAGCTATGATGGTGCCACTAGATTCTGGTCTGGGTGATGGAGTAAAACCGTGTCTCTAAAAAAAATTTTTTGAAGAGAGGTAGATCATGAATTCCATCTGCTGCTAAGCTTCCAAAACTCTATTAGTATTTTCCTTCCTATGCAAACTCCTCTCTCATTCAGTGAGAGCACCTGTTATCCTAACAATCACGAATTTATTTTCCTTACTTAATCAGAGTCAGTTTCTATTGCATGGAACCAGGCAACACTTAGCTACTGTGGCTTAGATACAAGGAAGTCCTTCCTGCCAGCATGAAAGGAATTGGTCAGTCAGGCAAAGGAGTCTGACCCAAAGGGAAAAGCTGCCACAAAGAGTGACTTTCATCCTTGGGCTAAGAAGCAGGGGCCCAATGGGGCAACTTGTCACATTCAATAAGGATTCTTGGTCAGCCCAACCATGCTCTCCAAGCATCCAGGCATGAATCCCCACAGGGCAAGGCAGCAGAGAGGAGCAACAGTGAGCATGATGGGTTATCTATTCTCCCAGCTCCCCACAGCCCACTGACTGCACTCAGCTGAGTGCAGGCACCAACTTCTTGCATCTGAGTTTTTGCAGCTGCTGTTGGAATCTCTCTAACACAGAGCTTCTCAACTGGGAACCATTTTGCTCCCCAAGGAGCATCTGACAATGTCTGTGGACATTTTTGGTGATCACAAATTGGGAATGGGGGCTGGACAGGGTGGTTCATGCCTGTAATCCCAGCACTTTGGGAGGCCAAGGCAGGTGGATCACTTGAGGTCAGGAGTTTGAGACCAGCCTGGCCAACATGGCGAAATTGCATCTCTACAAAAAATACAAAAATTAGTTTGGCAGCCAAGATGGCCAAATAGGAACAGCTCTGGTCTACAGCTCCCAGCATGAGTGATGCAGAAGATAGGTGATTTCTGCATTTCCATCTGAGGTACTGGGTTCATCTCACTAGGGAGTGCCAGACAGTGGATGCACGACAGTGGATGCAGCACACCGTGTGTGACCCAAAGCGGGGTGAGGCATTGCCTCACACGGGAAGTGCAAGGGATCATGGAGTTCCCTTTCCTAGTCAAAGAAAGGGGTGACACACGGCACCTGGAAAATCGGGTCACTCCCACCCTAATACTGCGCTTTTCCAACGGGCTTAAAAAACGGCGCACCAGGAGATTATATCCCACACATGGCTCGGAGGGTCCTACGCCCACGGACTCTTGCTGATTGCTAGCACAGCAGTCTGAGATCAAACTGCAAGGCGGCAGTGAGGCTGGGGGAGGGGCACCCACCATTGCCCAGGCTTGCTTAGGTAAACAAAGCAGCTGGGAAGCTCCAACTGGGTGGAGCCCACCACAGCTCAAGGAGGCCTGCCTGCCTCTCTAGGCTCCACCTCTGGGGGCAGGGCACAGACAAACAAAAAGACAGCAGTAACCTCTGCAGACTTAAATGTCCCTGTCTGACAGCTTTGAAGAGAGCAGTGGTTCTTCCAGCACGCAGCTGGAGATCTGAGAATGGGCAGACTGCCTCCTCAAGTAGGTCCCTGACCCCTGACCCCCAAGCACCCTAACTGGGAGGCACCCCCCAATAGGGCCAGACTGACACCTCACACAGCCAGGTACTCCTCTGAGACAAAACTTCCAGAGGAACAATCAGACAGCAGCATTCGCAGTTCACGAAAATCCGCTGTTCTGCAGCCACCGCTGCTGATACCCAGGCAAACAGGGTCTGGAGTGGACCTCTAGCAAACTCCAACAGACCTGCAGCTGAGGGTCCTGTCTGTTAGAAGGAAAGCTAACAAACAGAAAGGACATCCACACCAAAAACCCATCTGTACATCACCATCATCAAAGACCAAAAGTAGATAAAATCACAAAGATGGGGAAAAAACAGAGCAGAAAAACTGGAAACTCTAAATACAGAGCACCTCTCCTCCTCCAAAGGAATGCAGTTCCTCACCAGCAACAGAACAAAGCTTGACGGAGAATGACTTTGACGAGTTGAGAGAAGGCTTCAGACAATCAAACTACTCCGAGCTACACGAGGAAATTCAAAGCAAAGGCAAAGAAGTTAAAAACTTTGAAAAAAATTTAGACAAATGTATAACTAGAATCACCAATAGAGAGAAGTGCTTAAAGGAGCTGACGGAGCTGAAAGCCAAGGCTCGAGAACTACGTGAAGAATGCAGAAGCCTCAGGAGCCAATGCGATCGACTGGAAGAAAGGGTATCAGTGATGGAAGATGAAATGAATGAAATGAAGCGAGAAGGGAAGTTTAGAGAAAAAGGAATAAAAAGAAACGAACAAAGCCTCCAAGAAATATGGGACTATGTGAAAAGACCAAATCTACATCTGATTGGTGTACCTGAAAGTGATAGGGAGAATGGAACCAAGTTGGAAAACACTCTGCAGGATATTATCCAGGAGAACTTCCCCAATCTAGCAAGGCAGGCCAACATTCAGATTCAGGAAATACAGAGAATGCCACAAAGATACTCCTCGAGAAGAGCAACTCCAAGACACATAATTGTCAGATACACCAAAGTTGAAATGAAGGAAAAAATGTTAAGGGCAGCCAGAGAGAAAGGTCGAGTTACCCACAAAGGGAAGCCCATCAGACTAACAGCCGATCTCTTGGCAGAAACTCTACAAGCCAGAAGAGAGTGGGGGCCAATATTCAACATTCTTAAAGAAAAGAACTTTCAACCCAGAATTTCATATCCAGCCAAACTACGCTTCATAAGTGAAGGAGAAATAAAATACTTTACAGACAAGCAAATGCTGAGAGATTTTGTCACCACCAGGCCTGCCCTAAAAGAGCTCCTGAAGCACTAAACATGGAAAGGAATAACCGGTACCAGCCACTGCAAAATCATGCCAAACTGTAAAGACCATCGAGGCTAGGAAGAAACTGCATCAACTAATGAGCAAAATAACCAGCTAACATCATAATGATAGGATTAAATTCACACATAACAATATTAACTTTAAATGTAAATGGACTAAATGCTCCAAGTAAAAGACACAGACTGGCAAATTGGATAAAGAGTCAAGACCCATCAGTGTGCTGTATTCAGGAAACCATCTCACATGCAGAGACACACATAGGCTCAAAATAAAAGGATGGAGGAAGATCTAACAAGCAAATGGAAAACAAAAAAAGGCAGGGGTTGCAATCCTAGTCTCTGATAAAACAGACTTTAAACCAACAAAGATCAAAAGAGACAAAGAAGGCCATTACATAATGGTCAAGGGATCAATTCAACAAGAACAGCCAACTATCCTAAATATATATGCACCCAATACAGGAGCACCCAGATTCATAAAGCAAGTCCTGAGTGATCTACAAAGAGACTTAGACTCCCACACAATAATAATGGGAGACTTTAACACCCCACTGTCAACATTAGACAGATCAACGAGACAGAAAGTTAACAAGGATACCCAGGAATTGAACTCAGCTCTGCACCAAGCGGACCTAATAGACATCTACAGAACTCTCCACCCCAAATCAACAGAATATACATTTTTTTCAGCACCACACCACACCTAGTCCAAAATTGACCACATAGTTGGAAGTAAAGCTCTCCTCAGCAAATGTAAAAGAACAGAAATTATAACAAACTGTCTCTCAGACCACAGTGCGATCAAACTAGAACTGAAGATTAAGAAACTCACTCAAAACCGCTCAACTACATGGAAACTGAACAACCTGCTCCTGAATGACTACTGGGTACATAACAAAATGAAGGCAGAAATAAAGATGTTCTTTGAAACCAATGAGAACAAAGACACAACATACCAGAATCTCTGGGACACATTCAAAGCAGTGTGTAGAGGGAAATTTATAGCACTAAATGCCCACAAGAGAAAGCAGGAAAGATCCAAAATTGACATCCTAACATCACAATTAAAAGAACTAGAAAAGCAAGAGCAAACACATTCAAAAGCTAGCAGAAGGCAAGAAATAACTAAAATCAGAGCAGAACTGAAGGAAATAGAGACACAAAAAACCCTTCAAAAAATTAATGAATCCAGGAGCTGGTTTTTTGAAAGGATCAACAAAATTGATAGACCACTAGCAAGACTAATAAAGAAGAAAAGAGAGAAGAATCAAATAGATGCAATAAAAAATGATAAAGGGAATATCACCACCGATCCCACAGAAATACAAACTACCATCAGAGAACACTACAAACACCTCTACACAAATAAACTAGAAAATCTAGAAGAAATGGATAAATTCCTCGACACATACACCCTCCAAAGACTAAACCAGGAAGAAGTTGAATATCTGAATAGACCAATAACAGGCTCTGAAATTGTGGCAATAATCAATACCTTACCAACCAAAAAGAGTCCAGGACCAGATGGATTCACAGCCAAATTCTACCAGAGGTACAAGGAGGAACTGGTACCATTCCTTCTGAAACTATTCCAATCAATAGAAAAAGAAGGAATCCTCCCTAACTCATTTTATGAGGCCAGCATCATCCTGATACCAAAACCTGGCAGAGACACAACCAAAAAAGAGAATTTTAGACCAATATCCTTGATGAACATTGATGCAAAAATTCTCAATAAAATACTGGCAAACAGAATCCAGCAGCACATCAAAAAGCTTATCCACCATGATCAAGTGGGCTTCATCCCTGGGATGCAAGGCTGGTTCAATATACGCAAATCAATAAATGGAATCCAGCATATAAACAGAACCAAAGACAAAAACCACATGATTATCTCAACAGATGCAGAAAAAGCCTTTGACAAAATTCAACAACCCTTCATGCTAAAAACTCTCAATAAATTAGGTATTGATGGGACGTATCTCAAAATAATAAGAGCTATCTATGACAAACCCACAGCCAGTATCATACTGAATGGTCAAAAACTGGAAGCATTCCCTTTGAAAACGGGCACAAGACAGGGATGCCCTCTCTCACCACTCCTATTCAACATAGTGTTGGAAGTTCTGGCCAGGGCAATTAGGCAGGAGAAGGAAATAAAGGGTATTCAATTAGGAAAAGAGGAAGTCAAATTGTCCCTGTTTGCAGACGACATGATTGTGTATCTAGAAAACCCCATTGTCTCAGCCCAAAATCTCCTTAAGCTGATAAGCAACTTCAGCAAAGTCTCGGGATACAAAATCAATGTACAAAAATCACAAGCATTCTTATACACCAATAACAGACAAACAGAGAGCCAAATCATGAGTGAACTCCCATTCACAATTGCTTCAAAGAGAATAAAATACCTAGGAATCCAACTTACAAGGGACGTGAAGGACCTCTTCAAGGAGAACTACAAACCACTGCTCAATGAAATAAAAGAGGATACAAAGAAATGGAAGAACATTCCATGCTCATGGGTAGGAAGAATCAATATCGTGAAAATGGCCATACTGCCCAAGGTAATTTGTAGATTCAATGCCATACCCATCAAGCTACAAATGACTTTCTTCAAAGAATTGGAAAAAACTACTTTAAAGTTCATATGGAACCAAAAAAGAGCCTGCATTACCAAGTCAATCCTAAGCCAAAACAAAGCTGGAGGCATCATGCTACCTGACTTCAAACTATACTACAAGGCTACAGTAACCAAAACAGCATGGTACTGGTACCAAAACAGAGATATAGATCAATGGAACAGAACAGAGCCCTCAGAAATAATGCCGCATATCTACAACCATCTGATCTTTGACAAACCTGAGAAAAACAAGCAATGGGGAAAGGATTCCCTATTTAATACATGGTGCTGGGAAAACTGGCTAGCCATATGTAGAAAGCTGAAACTGGATCCCTTCCTTACACCTTCTACAAAAATTAATTCAAGATGGATTAAAGACTTCAACGTTAGACCTAAAACCATAAAAACCCTAGAAGGAAACCTAGGCATTACCATTCAGGACATAGGCATGGGAAAGGACTTCATGTCTAAAACACCAAAAGCAATGGCAACAAAAGCCAAAATTGACAAATGGGATCTAATTAAACTAAAGAGCTTCTGCACAGCAAAAGAAACTACCATCAGAATGAACAGGCAACCTACAACATGGGAGAAAATTTTTGCAACCTACTCATCTGACAAAGGGCTAATATCTAGAATCTACAATGAACTCAAACAAATTTACAAGAAAAAAACAAACAACCCCATCAAAAAGTGGGCGAAGGACATGAACAGACACTTCTCAAAAGAAGACATTTATGCAGCCAAAAAACACATGAAAAAATGCTCACCATCACTGGCCATCAGAGAAATGCAAATCAAAACCACAATGAGATACCATCTCACACCAGTTAGAATGGCAATCATTGAAAAGTCAGGAAACAACAGGTGCTGGAGAGGATGTGGAGAAATAGGAACACTTTTACACTGTTGGTGGGACTGTAAACTAGTTCAACCATTGTGGAAGTCAGTGTGGCGATTCCTCAGGGATCTAGAACTAGAAATACCATTTGACCCAGCCATCCCATTACTGGGTATATACCCAAAGGACTATAAATCATGCTGTTATAAAGACACATGCACACGTATGTTTATTGCGGCACTATTCACAATAGCAAAGACTTGGAACCAACCCAAATGTCCAATAATGATAGACTGGATTAAGAAAATGTGGCACATATACACCATGGAATACTATGCAGCCATAAAAAATGATGAGTTCATATCCTTTGTAGGGACATGGATGAAATTGGAAATCATCATTCTCAGTAAACTATCGCAAGAACAAAAAACCAAACACCACATATTCTCACTTATAGGTGGGAATTGAACAATAAGAACACATGGACACAGGAAAGGGAACATCACACTCTGGGGACTGTTGTGGGGTGGGGGGAGGGGGGAGGGATAGCATTAGGAGATATACCTAATGCTAAATGACGAGTTAATGGGTGCAGCACACCAGCATGGCACATGTATACATATGTAACTAACCTGCACATTGTGCACATGTACCCTAAAACTTAAAGTATAATAATAATAAAATAAAAAATAAAAATTAAAAAAATACAAAAATTAGCCAGGCGTGGTGGCGGGCACCTGTAATCCCAGCTACTTGGGAGATTGAGGCAGGAGAATTGCTTGAACTCGGGAAGCAGAAGTTGCAATGGGCCGAGACCACGCCACTGCACTCCAGCCTGGGTGACAGAGGGAGACTCCATCTCAAAAAAAAAAAAAGAAAAGAAAAGAAAAAAAGAGTGGGGTGAGGGGAATGCGGTGTTACTGGCATCCAGTAGGTAGAGACCAGGTGTAACCATTTCTTATTGTAACTGTAAAAACTTGCCATGAATTTAGTGGTTTCATTTTTATTTTTTTATTTTGAGACAGGGTCTTGCCCTGTCACCCAGGCTGTAGTGCAGTGGCACCATCATAGCTCACTGTAGCCATGACCTCCTAGGCTCAAGCCATCCTCCCATCTTAGCCTCCTGAGTTGCTACAACTACAGGGCATGCCACCATACCCAGCTAATTGTTATTTTTTGGAGAGATGGGGCCCAGGCTAGTCTCTAACTCCTAGGCTCATGCAATACTCCTGCCTCAGCCTCCCAAAGCACTGGGATCACAGGCATGAGCCACCACACCCAGCCAATTAAGTGGTTTTAAACAACTCAAATTTATTCTTATAATTCTAGAGGTCAGAAGACAAAAATGAGTCCACAGGGCTGCATGTCTTCTGGAGGCTCTAGGGGAGAATCTATTCCCCACCTTTCCCAGCTTCTAGAGGTTGCCTGCATTCCTTGGCTCATGGCTCCTTCCTCCATCTTCAAAGCAACAGGGTAACATCTTCTCTTCCCACTCTTATTCTATCATCATGTCACATCATCTTCTAAGGACCCTTGCAATTACCTGAGTCTCACCTGAATAACTCAGAATAATCTCCTCATCTCAAGATCTTTCATTCCAATCACATCTGCGAGAGTTTTCTCTTGCTTTGTTTTCGTTTGGATTTTGCCATCTTAATGTAATATATTCACAGATTCTAGGAGTTGAGATATGAACATCTTTGAGGAGAGGGGGCATTGTTCTGTCTACCACACCAGGTAGACATCCTGCAGCCCGCACAACAAAGGATCATCCAGCTTAAAATGTCAGGAGTACAGAGGTTGAGAAGCCTGCATGCTCTGATACTACCAGATTTCCCACAGACCCTAATTCAATGCCACTGCTTAATGTGCATGACAACTGCAGACCCCCTATTCCTTGATACCATCCATCCAAAACACTCCCTACAATGTTTTTTAAATATGTGTGAGTGTTATTGAGTCCAAGTAAGTGACAGAAATCCTGTTTCCCTAAAAAGTTTGATAACAGGAAAAAACAGTCATTTATTAGGCTTGACATGATTCTTGTGACTTCTAAGTTTGGGGCTTCAGGTGTTTGAAAGTTACTCAGAAGCCAGGCACGGTGGCTCACACCTGTAATCCCAGCACTTTGGGAGGCCAAGGTGGGCGGATCACTTGAGGTCAGGAGTTCGATACCAGCCTGACCAACATGTTGAAACCCTGTCTCTACTCAAAAAATACAAAAATCAGCTGGGAGTGGTGGTGCACGCCTGTAGTCCCAGCTGCTAGGGAGGCTGAGGCAGGAGACTAGCTTGAACCTGGGAGGCGGAGCTTGCAGTGAGCCTAGACCATGCCACTGCACTCCAGCCTGGGCAACAGAGCAAGACTCTGTCTCAAAAAAAAAAAAAATTTTTTTTACTCAGAAGGGAAAAAATGAACTCCTCAAACTTTGGGACAGAAAATGGGAAGTAAAACCAGAGAAAAACTATCACCAACCCGGTGCCTCATACCTGCCCATTTTCTGCTTCCACTTCCTGGGAGTAAAAGTCTTTAGGAAGGGAAGGTGAATTAGTATTGATTATACATGCACCAAAAGACAAACACTGGGCTGTATGCCTTACGTATGTGACTCTTCCAGGTTGGTGTCATCATTCCCACGTTAACATAAGTGGTAAAGGGAATGGAGACACCAAAGAGGTGTAATATAACTTCTTTAATGAAATAAACCAGGAGGCAGCAAACGTTTTCTGTAAACCATCAGTTAGTAAATATTTGAGGCTCTTTTGACCATGTGGGCTCTGTTGCAATCACTTAACTCTGCCCTTGTAGGGCCAAAGCAATCACTGATGCTATGTAAATGAACAGGTGTATGAGGCTGTTCCAATAAAACTTTATTTACAAAAATAGGCAGAGACCAGATTTGGCCCTAGAGCTATAGTTTGCTGCCCCCTGAAATACATTTTTTTAATTCCCAAAATAGCCTTCATCAGCAAATATTTCCCAAGCACCTACTATATGTCAATATACAACTGAACAGCCCAGAAACTACAAAGATGAATAAAGAAGCCAATAAAATTCCAGGTGCAGTGGCTCACTCCTGTAATCCCAGCACTTTGGGAGACCAAGGCAGTGGATCACCTGAGGTCAGGAGTTCGAGACCAGCCTGTCCAATGCAGTGAAACCCCATCTCTACTAAAATTACAAAAATCAGCCAGGCATGGTGGCGGGTGCCTGTAATCCCAGCTACTCAGGAGGCTGAGGCAGGAGAATCGCTTGAACCCAGGAGACAGAAGTTGCAGTGAGCCTAGATCACACCACTGCACTCCAGCCGGGGTGACAGAGCAAGACTCCATCTCAATTAAAAAAAAAAAAAAGCCAATAAAAATAAAACAGTTCAAATGCCACCACCCAGAAATAACCACTATAAACATTTGGTATTTATCATGAATGATTTTTTTAAACTCTATGAACATATATTTTCAAGACAAAAATAAGATGATTGCATACATAATTTTTATGACCTAATTTCAAAATAAATCCAAGACTGCTTTCTCTGTCACCAACTGTAAATGTAGATTTAACATTTAATATTTCATGACTAGGCAACGATTTGCATGTAGCAGGATTTGCTGAATGACCTCCCTATTGATAGACAGTGAGACTGTCTCCTTTTTATCACCAATAGCATTTACCCAGTTTCCTCCTCCGCCCCCTTCTCCTCCCACTCCCAACCTCCTGCCCTCTTTCTGGCATACCTTACATTGCTCGTGGGAATATAAGTCAGCACAATCTTCCTAAAAACAGTTTAACAATGTGACCCAGAAATTCTAGGTCTAAGACAAGAGGGCAAAGATAGACATGTAAAGATGTTCTTGGTAGCATTGCTTAGAATGGTGGAAGAGGGAGGATAGTCTCACTGTCCATCCACAAGGAGTCATTTCACAAACCCTGCTACATGTAAATCATTGCCGTAGTTAAATGTTAAATGTTAAATCTACATTTACAGTTAGTAACAGAGAAAGAAGTCTTGGATATATTTTGAAATCAGGTCAGAAAAATTATGTGTACAATAATCTTATTTTTATCTTAAAAATATGTGCTTATGGAGTTTTTTATAAAAAAAATTCATGATAATACCAAGTGTTTATGGTGGTTACTTCTGGGTGGTGGAATTTGAACTTTTGCTGGCTTCTTAGTCTTTGTAGCTTCTGTGCTGTTCAGTTCTACACTGACACATAGGAGGTGCTGGGGAAATATTTGCCGATAAGGTGAACACAACACTCCAGCATCAGGGGTTTCATGTGGCTATAAGGAAGGTATTTCTACCATGATGCTTGGCAAACACAGGAAAGGATCATTAAAGTCGCATCTGGAATCCCCTTTTCTGAAGGTGTTTTTTTAAAGAATAGAATTATCTTATGATCTTGAAATGACAAAGGTTTTTCTTAGCATGTCACAAATGCAGGAGACCAAGTATGTCACAAATCCAGGAGACCCCCCCCCCAAAAAAAAAAATTTGACTACATAAAAGTTTTTTAAAAAACAGAGCTGCAGAACCAAAACCACCCTAAGCAAAGTCTAAATACAAAAGAAAACCCAGGAAATAATGTTTGTGAAGCATGGCGTGGAAAATGGCTAATTCCCCTAATGTATAAAATCAATAAGCAAAAGAGCAGATTCATCACAGAAAAATGGACAAAAGATAAGAACAGTTCGTAAGAAAAGAAACACAAGTGATTCTTGGGCAAATGAAAACACGCTCTGTGTTATTCAGAGTAAGATAAATGCAAATTAAAACTATGCTGAGATATGAATTTTCACCTATCAGATTGGCAAAATTAAAAAGAACTCAATAATACATGGTGCTTGATGCCACTATGGGAACTCAAACATTCCTTGAGGGGTGGGTGTAAATTTTTTACAACCTCTGTGGAGAAAAGTGTGTCATTTGACCCAACTATTACACTTTTAGAAATTTATCCCACAGACAGTTGCACAGGAGCAAATTGCACCGGTATCAGATTATCGATTATAGTTTTTTTAAATAATAGCAGAAGAGTAGAAATAACCCAAACATCCATCAGTAGGAGGTTGCTTAAACAAATTATAGGGTACTACATGGTGTACTCTGCCACTCAGAAAAGAAAATAAGAAAGTTAACTGTGTACTCATAAGGAAGGATCTCCAAGATACGTATTTAAGAGAAAGGTGAAAAAAGCAAATAACGGAGAAGCATTTTTCATATTAAAAAATAAAAGATGATATGTGAATATCATATATATACTATATATAGTGTGGATATGTATATACATAAACTATACACACTATATATACACATATACATATACACACTATATATAGTATATATATGTGTATATATACACATATACATATACACACTATATGTAGTATATATATACACATATACACACTATATATAGTATATATACATATACACACTATAGTGTATATATATACACACTATATATAGTATATATATACACATATACACACTATATATAGTGTGTGTATATATGTATATACACCATACACACATACATTTTGCTTATGTATGCACAGGATATTTCTAGAAGAATACCAAAGAAATTGGTTCATTTGTTGCTTCAGGGATAGAGGTAGGGGGAAGGTGGTAAATGGAAAAAGGGAGACATTTCACTGTTTATCCTTTTGTATTTTTTGGAATTTGGACCATGCGAAAGTATTACCTATTCAAAACATTAATGGGTCAGGCATGGTGGCTCACACTTGTAATCCCAGCACTTTGGGAGGCTGAGGCAGGCGGATCACTTGAGGCCAGGAGTTTGAGAAACCCTATCTCTATTAAGAATACAAAATGATTGGGGCATGGTGGTGCATACCTGTAATCCCAGCTACTCAGGAGGCTGAAGTACGAGAATCGCTTGAACCTGGGAGGCAGAGGTTGCAGTGAGCTGAGACTGTGCCACTGCATTCCAGCCTGGGCAACAGACTGAGACTCTGTCTCGAAGAGGGAAAACAACAACAAAAAAACCATTAACAGAGGATCCTTCCTACTTCAGAGCTTCCTATACACTGTTTCCACTGCTGGAGGTGTTCTGATGTTGACTGACTTACACACACACACACTCCTCCTGGAAGTATTTTATCTTTCAGATCTCTGTTCAAATGTTACTTCCTCCAGGAAGTCTTACCTATCACCTCCACCTCCTCCACAGAAAGGGAGCTGTTATACCCATTCATGGTACCTTGTGAGATTTATCACAATGGGTATCAATTAATAATTAACATCTATCTTCCTTGCTGGAGGTACCAGAGGGACTAGTCTGCCAATGAACCCCAGGCACCAAGTCCAGCATATGCCACATAAGACACGCATCTCAGAGACTTTCTTCTGTTGGAAGGGAGGGAAGAAAATAGGAAGAAATAACCACAGTTACACTCCCATCATGAGCCAGACAGTTGTCTATGTGCTTTATGCAGATTAGCACATTAAATTCTCACAAGAGAGTTGTGATTCTTGCACAGATGAAAAAAACAGGCTCAGAGAGACCAAGCAACCTGCCCAAGATCCCCAGGCAGAGGCATGATTCAAACCAGGCAGGCTGGTTCCAGAGCCTATGCTCTTGGCTCCTAGAAGGGAAAACAGAAGAAAGGGAAGAAGAGGAGAGAGGGAAGAAGAGAGGAGGTTGCTCACAATATCAGGAGGATGCATTTTTCTGCTGTCTCCAGTTCAGTATCTCACAAGACCAGCAAGCCTTCCAGTCTGGGAAGTTATAAGAACATCATTGTATTACTCCATTTTCATACTGCTGTAAAGAACTGCCTGAGACTGTGTAATTTATAAAGGAAAGAGGTTTAATTGACTTACAGTTCAGCATGGCTGGGGAGGCCTCAGGAAACTTACAATTGTGGCAGAAAGTGAAGAGGAAAACAATGCATCTTCTTCACAAGGCAGCAGGAAGGAGAAATGCCGAGCAAAGAGGGAAGCGTTCCTTATAAAACCATCAGATCTCGTGAGAACTCACTGTCATGAAAACAGCGTGGGGGAAACTGCCCCCATTATTTAATTATCTCCACCTGGTCTCTCCCTTGACATGTGGGGATTATAGGGAATGTAATTCAAGATGAGATTTGGGTGGGGACACAAAGCCTAATCATATCAACCATTAATGGGGATTCTGTAATGTATATGAAACATGAAACACTTGCAGACTGACACTACTGGACCTCAACAAAGAGACAGCAGACTTGAAGTATGACAGCTGTCTTATCTAGAGGAGCAGGTAACATGCATTGTAGATAAATACACTATCTGATGTGGGTTAATAGGCTTCATTGAATTAACGATGACAGAATAATTACAGCGACATGCAACAGCAGCAGGGACTCTAATTGAGGATAATTCAAGCACACGGCAAGATCGGAAGTTTTGACTTTAGGACTTGGAAACTTCCCTGAGATTGGAGATTTATTATATCTATTATTTTAAATCAACAATATTCACCATTGGCAAGGTGCAGTGTCTCACACCTATAATCCCAGCACGTTGGGAGGCTGAGGCGGGCAGATCACTTGAAGTCAGGAGTTCAAGACGGGCCTAGTCTGTTTAGTAAAGATGGTTAAACCTTGTCTCTACTAAAAATACAAAAATTAGCTGGGTGTGGTGGCATCTGCTTGTAATCCCAGCTACTCGGGAGGCTGAGTCAGGAGAATCACTTGAACCTGGGAGGCGGAGTTTGCAGTGGGCTGAGATCATGCCACTGCACTCCAGCCTGGGTGACTGAGCAAGACTCCATCTCAAAAAACAAAAACAAAATAGTATCCATATCTACCATAGCATGTCTGAGCTCTCTGCAAGTCAATGGGAAGTTATCCACAGGACAGGATTTCCTTACTTTTACTTGTTAATAAGAGAAATGGAAGGGAATGGGAAATCAGAAAAGCAGAGGCATACCAATTTTTGCCATTTCTCCTCACATAGAATTTGTTCCTCATCTTAAAGGCTTGGACAGGATGCTGAAAAGTATAAGAGAATGGGGATTACATTCAGGTAATCACAACAGCAATAATAATAGTTATCATTTATTGAACCTTTACCTCCAAACAGCATCTAAAGTAAGCACTATTTATACCTTAGCCCACTGAATTCCCAAACTAATTTTGTAGAGTGGGAACAAATGTGTTTACCCATTTTATGGGTAAGACAACTGAGGCTCTGAGAAGTAAAGTGATTTGCCTAAGCTAGGAAAATGCAGAAGTTAAGAAATGAAAGCATTAGAATAATACCCAAGAAGGGGTCATTTCTGAAGGAGGAGATGGATTCATGAACAAACAAGCAGGCAGGCCAATATGTAATTTGTTGATAAGCATGAATATATTTAATTAAATAAGGATCTACTGGATACCTGTCACAAGCCCAGTGCAAGGTCCTTGTGGCAGATGGTTTTTTTCCAAAGGTGGCCATAGTGATATCTCCCATACCACATGCTGTCATAATGTGACCTTTTATTTCTCGTGTTGAGTGATGAAGTCCATGATCCCTCCCCTTTTAACCTTAGAAACTGCCTCAATCATTAAGATTACAGCAGAAAATATGCTATTTGATTTCCAGGGCTAGAACATAAAAAGCATATGCACTTCCTCCTTTTTTTCTTGAGCTACTCACTGTTGGACCCCAGCTACTATGTTGTGAGGAAGTCCAATTAGCCCACCTGAAGAGACCACCTAGGGAGGCCACATGCAGACGTTTTGGCTAACTGGCTAGCTGAGGTCTCAGCTAACAGTGAGTATGAAATACAGGCATGTGACAGAAGATTCCTCTAGATGCCTTTAGTCCCCAGCCATCAAGTCACCCTCAACTTTTGAGTTTTCCCAGCTGAGTCCCCAGACATCATGAGGCAGAGCAAGCCACCCTCTCTGGTCTGATTCTTGACCTACAGGATCTGTGAGTGTAATAAAATTGTGGCTTATAGCACTAAAAATTGGTGTGATTTGTTACCCAGTAATAGCAACTGGAAGAGCCCTCATATATTTTTAATACAAAAAAAAAGTGTGTGAAACAGGACCTGCCCTTCTGTTTAATTTGGAAAACAAGACTTCTATAACAATGTTATTTACAAAATGTATCTTATAATAGCCAAAAGGTGGAAATAATCCAAATGTCTGTAAACAGATAAATAAACAAAATGGGGTCTATCCATACAATGGAATGTTATTTAGCCATAAAAAGAAATGAAGTACTGATATATTCTACGACAGAAATGTAGAAATTAGAAATTAGAAAACACTGTGTTTCGTGAAAGAACCAAGACACAAAAGGCCACATATTGTATGACTCCATGTGTATCAAATACCCAGAATGGGCAAATCCATAGAGACAGAAAGTAAATTAGTGGTTGCCAGAGGCTGGGGGACAGGAGTGAAAGAGTGGCTGCTTAATGGTAGAGGTCTGGGGTTGGAGGGTGATGAAAACATCCTAGAATTAGACAGTGGTGATAGTTGAAAAATCTTGAGAATACACTAAGACCACTAAATTATACACTTTTAAATGGTGAGTTTTATAAGACATGAATTATATCCCAATGTAAAAAAAAGCAATGTGCCATATTAGGACCTTCTGTGAGGGTGGAAACTCATCAGCTTTGGGGTCAAGTAGATCTGGGTTGTTGTCCAGGGACTACCAGTGCCTAATTGTATGGACTTGAGCAAGTTTCTCAGTACCCAAGGGCTCAGATTATCCATCTGTGAAATGGGAATAGTAAGACTCACTTTGCAAGGCTGCTGTCAGGATTAATGATTGTCTTTATCAAAGATGGTAACAGAAACTCACTCGAGCAGCATAAGCCAAAATAAGCATTTTATGAAAGGAATCAGGGACATTTTACAGAAGCCCAGGTCACTAAGAACAATTTGGCCACATAAGAAACTTGAACCAGGAATTTAAAATATATCAAAAGCCAAGGTTGATATTCTTTCTGGCGTATATGTAGTGAACAGAGAAATTTCTTTCAAATTATTCATTCGTGGAAAATCAAGATTTGGCATTGCATTTTAAAGTTAATCCATTAGAGTCACTTAGTTATTTGCAAAATAACATTTTGGTAAAGGAGAATTTATTTGAATCTCAAATAAGAAAAGGTTCAATACCCTACCTGGTAGAGCTGGAAAACAGTTAATGATCACAGGCTTGGAACACAAAATCAACCTCCTGTAACAAATTTAGTTTATGACTTTAAAAGGAAAAATGGACTTTTCTACAATAAACATTCAAACAAACATGGTTCAAACAAACTTGGTTTCCAATAATAAATGTTTTTAAATCTCAAGGTCATAATAAATCAGTCCTGGGACTCTTAAAGCAAACTTTTTTATAGTATAGGAAAATGCTTTCCTATTTTATAATCAAAATTAGAAGGAAACTAGACTCTATGTTGACAAGAGACAAACTTACACATAGACTTTAAGTTAATTCTTTAGGGTAGTTGCCTTAATAGCCATTGACCTTCTTTATTAGTCTGAAGGAGTGATTCTCAGCTCTAGCTACACATTGAAATCACTGAGTACCTTTTTAAAAATACCAATGTCACCGGCCGGGCCCAGTGGCTCACATCTGCAATCCCAGCACTTTGGGAGGCCAAGGCGGGTGGATCACTTGAGCCCAGGAATTCAAGACCAACCTGGGCAACATAGTGAGACTCTGTCTCTCCAAAAAATTCAAAAAATTAGCCAGGCATGGTGGCACATGCTTGTAGTCCCAGCTACTTGGGAGGCTGAGGACAGGTGGTTGTAAGCTTCTATTTCTCATGTTGAGTGATGAAGTCTATGATCCCTTCCACTTGAACCTTAGCAACTGCCTCAATCATTAAGATTAAGATTACAGCAGAAAAGATGCTATTTGACTTCCAGGGCTAGAGCATAAAAAATCATAGGCATGTCCTCCTTGCTTTCTGGAGCCACTCACTCTTGCACACCAGCCACCATGTAGTGAGGAAGTCCAACTAGCCCATGTGAAGAGAACACCTGGGGAGGCCACACGCATACATTTTGGTTAACTGGCTGGCTGAGGTCCCAGCTAACGGTGAGTATTAGAAGGATCGCATGAGCCTGGGAGGTCGAGGCTGCAGCGAGCCGTGTTCGTGCCACTGCACTCCAGCCTGGGCAACAGAGTGACCCTGTCTCAAAACATAAAATTAAATTAAAAACAAATAAAATACTAATGTCCTGATCCCACTCAAAAAGTCTGATTTAATCCGTATGAAGTAGGGCCTGGCACGTTTGACGAACAAGCAAGGAGGCAGGAATGGCTGCAGCGGAGTAAGCAATGGCGAGAGGGACGGGAGATGAGGCCATTGAGGCTAGGGCAGGTGTGTCCTGGCATGCCAACGTGAGGGCTTGGGATTTTCATCTAAAGAAATGGGGAGCCATCACGGGGACCACTTGGCTAAAGTAGCAAAAAACCAACTCAAATCAGTCCAAGAAAAGTGGGAAGTTATTGGCTTTTCTAAGTCTAGATAGAGCTGATTTAAAGCTCAACATTATATTATGTCTCTCTCTTTCTCTCCCCCACTTCAATGTCCCTCTCCCTCTCCCTCTCAATGACTTTCCATCTTTTGGCTCGTTCTCCCTATAGACGAGATTTCTCCTCATGGTATAGGAGACAGCCCCTGGCAGTCCCTGACTCACTTCTTTCAGCCCCATTATTCAAAAGCCAAGACCCTGTCTCTCACAGCTCTGTATTAAAGAACAAAAAACATTCTGAATAGGTGATTGGCTTAGCTAAGGTCACGTGCCCATAGCTGGACCAATCCACATGGCCAGGATATTGGGGAACTCTGATTGGCCTGGTCACTTGCCCAGTCCTTCTACGGGAGTGAGGGAGAAGGCAGGATGCTGGGACTGGAAATTATCAGGACTGATGTGGGTAAAAGAAAGTGAGGCCGGGTGCAGTGGCTTACGTCTGTAATCCCAGCATTTTGGAAGGCTGAGGTGGGTGGATTATCTGAGGTCAGGGGTTCGAGACCAGCCTGACCAACATGGTGAAACCCCATCTCTGCTAAAAATACAAAATTAGCTGGGTGTGGTAGCACACACCTGTAGTCCCAGCTACTTGGGAGGCTAAGGCAGGATAATCGCTTGAACCCGGGAGGTGGAGGTTTCAGTAAGCCGAGATTGCGCCACTGCACTCCAGCCTGGGCAACAAGAGTGAAACTCCGTCTCAAAAGAAAAGAAAAGAAGAGAGAGAGGGAGAGAGAGAGAGAGAGAGAAAGAAAGAGAGAAAGAAAGAGAAAGCGAGAAAGAAAGAGAGAGAGAGAGAGAGAAAGAAAGAAAGAAAGAAAGAAAGAAAGAAAGAAAGAAAGAAGGAAAGAAAGAAAGAAAGAGAAAGAAAAAGAATAGAAAAGAGAGAGGAGATGCTCAACAGTCAAAACAATCCAGGTTTACGGCATGGTGGTGTAAAATTCTACTCTTGCTTTGCCCATTTGATTCACCCATGTGTGTGATGGGCCGTAGAGGAATAGTAACATTTTTTTTCTTTATTCTTATCCCTCTACTAACTCGGGCAGACCAGATAGAACACTTAGAGCTCCATAGAACCTTCTCTTCCTCTCTCTTCTCTCTTCTTTTCTCCTTTCTTCACTCCTTCTCTCTCTCACCCCAGTTTATTCTCCTGTCTTTGAATATTGCCTTTCTGAGCTAAAAGAAGAACTACCATCAACCCAGCAATCCCATTACTGGGTGTATACCCAGACGAATATAAAGCATTTTACCATAAAGACACATACACGTGAATGGTCACTGCAGCACTGTTCACGATAGCAAAGACATGGAATCAACCTAAATGCCTGTCAATGACAGACTGGATAAAGAAAATGTGGTACATATACACCATGGAATATTATGCAGCCATAAAAAAGAACAAGATCATGGCTTTTGTGGGAACATGGATGGAGCTGGAGCCTATCATCCTCAGCAAACTAACGCAGGAACAGAAAACCAAACACCACATGTTCTTACATATAAGTGGGAGCTAAATGATAAGAGCTTACGAACAGAAAGAAGGAAATAACAGACACTGGAGTCTACTTGAGTGGGGAGGGTGGGAGGAGGAAGAGGAGCAGAAAAGATAACTATTGGGGACTGAGCTTAATACCTGGGTGATGTAATGATATGTACAACAAACCTCTGTGACAAATCTTTATGTAACAAACTTTCACATGTATCCTCAAACCTAAAATAAAAAAAAATTTAATAATAAAAAATTAAGAATTAAAAAAGATCACCTTTCTCTACCTTTCTGCTTTTCTTTCCAACAAACATTCAAACAAATATGGTTTCCTATAACATTTTTTTAACCTCAAGGTTCTAAGTCAACAGAGCAGAAAGTGGTCACTCAAGGACGCTTGACATCACTTCCCAGTCTACATATCCAACCCTGAATGACAAATATTGGTGTCCAATTTCAAAATTCCAGGAGAAATAATACAATTGTCCTGGCTTGGTTCAGGGAACCAAGGTCCCAAGGTCTTACGGTCCACCGTTTTTTTCATCACAGGTACAAAGGCAAACTCTGATAAACTAAGCAGAGAAACATATAGTTCTATTGAATCATTGGTAGTCAATAGCATACCAACTGCTGGCCAGATACCAGGCTAAAAGTTTTTTCATGCTTTTTTTTTTTTTTTTTTTTTTTTGAGACAGAGTCTTGCTCTGTCGCTCAGGCTAGAGTGCAGTGGCGCGATCTCGGCTCACTGCAATCTCCGCCTCCCAGGTTCAAGCGATTCTCCTGCCTCAGCCTCCTGAGTAGCTGGGATTACAGGCATGCACCACCACACCTGGCTAATTTTTTTATTTTTAGTAGAGATGGGGTTTAACCATGTTGGTCAGGCTGGTCTCAAACTCCTGACCTCAGATAATCCACCCACCTCGGCCTCCCAAAGTGCTGGGATTACAGGTGTGAGCCACCGCACCCGGCCTCATGCATTATTTCATTGGTGCATCATAATTGCCCTATAAGTTAGGCACTATTATTACCCCCATTTTACAGATGAGGGAGTCGAGGCTAGGGTGGTCAAGTGAACTTGCTCAAGGTCACACAACTAAAATGATTTTCTGAATAAAGAGCACTTGTTCTTTTTTTTAAGAGACAGGGTCTCGCTATGTTGCCCAGGCTGGTCTCGAACTCTCGGACTCAAGCAATACTCCTGCCTCGGCTTCCCAAAGTGCTGGGTTTACTGGCGTGAGCCACCACGCCTGACCTCAAGATCATTTGTTCTTAACCACCATACTCTACTGCCACTTACCACACCATGGTGCTGTGATTATCCCCGCAAAAGATAGGAGGCTAATGTAATAAATGCTCTCAATTGTGTGAACACACTGGACTACCTTACTTTACATGAGAAAAGTACTGGAAGGAGCAAATCCAAAGCTAGTGATAAAGAGGAAAGCAGCCCCTGACAGCAGGGAACTGGCCTGGTACTGACAGGTCAATCTCGGTGTTTTCCTAAACATAAACAATTTCACAGAGCATCAATGTTAGACAAAGCCACTCTGTAGTCATGATGAATCAGGACAGAAAGAAGACTCCGTAATCACACGTGAACACAGACAAAACAGGAACATTGTTCAAGCCACAAAATGCCAAACATGACCTTCTCCTGGTGAATGCGAGTAACTAGTGTTCTTCACCAATCATAGTTTTAGCCTCGCTCTAGTCTGCTTTCCCTCCCTTCCTTATAGATAAAATTTATTGAGAGAGTCAATGGTAACATTGCCTCTTTCAGGCTGCACCCATGCCAGTGCACATCCCAGCTTGCTTGGACTCTCCCCAAAATCACACAACCAAAGTCCAATTCCATAATGAGTCCTTTCCAACACCTTCCATGGTTCCCCATGTGTGTGTCCTCTCTTGCTGCAATGAACATGAAACACAACTTGTTCAATATGGGTGTGTTCCTGGAGGTCTTTGGCTGGAGGGCATCAATACTGTTCACTTGTCAGGGGCCTGTTCTGACAGACTCAAGACTGCTCTCTCTCCCTTGACCAAAGAGCTTGAAAACCAGTCCTTGGTCCTAGAAGGCAGCGCAATGCAAACAGAATTCCAGTAACCAGAGACATCCACTAAACCTCCCCTCCACACATACACACATAAGGAAAGTAGAGAGGGCCATTTCTGCATCTTGCTCTACAGCAGAGTGACCCCAACACCATAGAATGGATGGAACCCAGTGAGATGCACCCAAGGTGCCACACCGCGTTCCTGCTTGAAGTTGCTCCAATTCTTTCCCAACCCCAAAGTTCTTCTCTGTCACTCTGAGCTATACAATTGTAGGCCCATAACAGTTGGACAGCTGAGAAAAAAACTCAAGGCTCAATTTCATGCTTCCTGTAAGACTGTGGTGAAGTTCAAGTTTTCCATAAATGTAACAAACCTTCACAGATTGAAAAGGAAATGGTTTCCCTTATCCTCTTGTCCTCAATCTAGTTGCATGGGACTGACTCAGCATCTCACGGGGGTGAAAATCAAGGATCAGTGTTTCTTAAAGCACCCCCGAGTGACTCTCCTGTGCAGCCAGGGTTGAGAATCACTACTCTAGTCATTCAACTGATCGTTGCTGGGCACGCACTGGGTTCCATGAACTGTGTTGTATGCTGGAGACGCTCTGGCAAATAACACAGATGCAATTCCTGTCCTTGAGACTCTACACTCTAGGGGGAGAGAAAAGCAACAAATAAACAAAGAAACGTCTAATTATACATTGTGGTAAGTGCAATAAAGAAAATTTACAGTGTGTTAGGGTAGAGAACAACAGGCAGAACTCTTTAGGTAAGAAAGGAATTAAAAGCTTCACTAAAGGGGTGAAATGAGGCTGAGAGTGGAGGAATAAGAGGGAATGAGCATTGAGGAAGGGAAGTAAGACTGTTCTAGAGGCTGGTTGTGGTGGCTCATGCCTGTAATCCCAGCACTTTGGGAAGCCAAGGTAGGAGGATCTCCTGAGCCCAGGAATTTGAGACCAGCCCGAGCAACATAGCAAGACCCTGTCTCTACAAAAAAAGTTAGCTGGGAGGCCGAGGCAGGTGGATCACGAGGTCAGGAGATGGATACCATCCTGGCTAATATGGTGAAACCCATCTCTACTAAAAATACAAAAAATTAGCCAGGCGTAGTGGCACATGCCTGTAGTCCCAGCTACTCAGGAGGCTGACGCAGGAGAATAGCTTGAACCCAGGAGGCAGAGGTTACAGTGAGCAGAGATCACGCCACTGCACTCCAGCCTGGGCAACAAAGCAAGACTCCGTCTCAAAAAAAAAAAAAAAAAAATTAGCTGGGAGTGGTGGCACATGCCTGTAGTCCTAGCTCGTCAGGAGGCTGAGGTAGGAGAATCACTTGAGCCCAGGGAGGTTGAGGCTGCAGTGAGCTATGATCACGTCACTGCACTCCAGCGTGAGTGACAGAGTAAGACTCTGTCTCAAAACAAGAAGAAAAAAATGTTCTAGGCAGAAAAAAAACACACATGCAAAGGCCCTAAGATGGAAGAGTATTTGCAAAGA
The DNA here is from genome assembly GCF_000001405.40 of Homo sapiens. NCBI lineage: Eukaryota > Metazoa > Chordata > Mammalia > Primates > Hominidae > Homo > Homo sapiens. Next base: position 2,390,135 of record NT_187607.1, on the reverse strand, counting down.
AGTGAAAGGAGGCTGCCATGGCTTAGGTGAGCCAGGAGCAAGTGGCAGGCATCTGCTTCCTCGAGCTGCCACACAAAGTGCCGCTGGCAGGGTGGCTTAAAGTGACTGAAATGTATTTTCTTGCAGTTCAAAGGCTAGAAGTTGAAGATCAAGGTGTCAGCAGGGTTGGTTCCTTCTGAGGGCTGTGAGACAAGGATCTGTTCTGGGCTGCTCTCTTTGGTTTGTAGAATGCTGACTTTTCCCTATGTCTTCACGTGGTCTGCCTTCTGCTTGTGTCGGTGTATGCCTTTCTTATAAGGATGCCAGTCATATCGGATTAAGGCCCAGTCAAATGAAATCATTTTAACATAAGTACCTCCACAGAGGCCCTAACTCTAAAGAAGGTAGGATTTGGAAGGAAACAATGAGGGTTAGGACTTAGAATTTGGAGGGGGTTAGGGTGAGGGATACATAATTCAGCCCACAGCATCATAGTAGGGGGATTTGGAACTTATTTAAAGTGGAATAGGATTGGAGGGTTTTAAATGAGATGGCATGTCTGATTTAAATGAATGCTCTGGGCCAGGTGCAGTGGCTCATGCCTGTAACCCCAGCACTTTGGGAGGCCAAGGTGGGTGGATCACTTGAGGCCAGGAGTTCGAGACCAGCCTAACCAACATGGTGAAACCCTGTCTCCACTAAATATACAAAAATTAGCTGGGTGTGGTGGCACACACCTGTAATCCCAGCTACTAAGGAGGCTGGGGCATGAGAATAGTTTGAACCTGGGAGGCGGAGGTTGCAGTGGGCTGAGATCACACCACTGCACTCCAGCCTGGGTGACAGAGCAAATGCTCTGGCTATTGTGTTGGTAGCAGATTGGAGGAAAACAAGAGTGGGAGGGTGAGACCTCTGAGCGAGTTACTTATGTTCAGATAGCAGTCCTGTCCTTTACTTGTTATGTGACCCTGGGCACATTACTTGACCTTTCTGAGACTCGGTCTCCCCGTCTGTAAAATTGGAATAATTATAATACCTCACACACACATTTGTTGAGAGAATTAATGAATCATCCGTGTTTAGTATATACTAACTGCAAATGCTAGATAAATGTTAAATATTATTATATTTTAGCCATCTTAGGAAGAGACAGCAGTGCCCGTGATAGGCAGCCTCTAAGTGGCTTCCAACCCTCTCATTCTCGTATTTATGCCCTTGTGGAACCTCCTCCCTAGAGTGTGGGCTGAACCTGATGACTTGCTTCTAAGGAATAGAACTGGCAAAAGTGGTGAGATGTCACTTCCAAGATCAGGTTATCATATTAGGCAGCTCAGGCTGCCAAAACAAAATATCACAGACTGGGAGATTAAACAACAGGCACTTATTTTCTCACAGTTCTGGAGGGTAGAAGTCCAAGATCAAGGTAGGACAGCAGGGTTGGTTTCTGGTGAGGGCTCTCTTCCTGCCTTGCAGACGGCCACCTTCTCACTGTGTTCTCACATGGTCTTTCCTATCATGTTTCTTCCTCTTCTTGTAAGGACACAGGTCCTATCAGATTAGGGCCCCACCCTTATAACCTGGCTTATTTTAAGTATCTCTGAAAGGGCCCTGTCTCCAAATACAGGCACATTGGGAGTGAGAACTTCAACATGTGGATTTGGGAGATTGGGAGAGGGCTGCAATTCTGTCCATAACCGTTAAAAAAAAAAAAAAAAAAAAAAAAAAACCTGTGAGTTCTGTCTTCTTTCTCTATGTAGATATAGACATATAGATAGATAAAGGCAGAGATAGAGATATTTTCTCACAAGCTTGCTTTGATGGAACAAGCTTCCCTGTTGTCAGGGAGAACCATCTAGCAGGAAACAGGGCAGCTTCTGGCCAGCAGCCAGCAATGAAAGGAGGCCCTCAGCCCAACAACTCTCAAGGAACTGAATTCTGCCAATGACCACATGAGCCTGGAAGCAGAGCCTCTCCAAGTTGAATCTTGAGATAACTGCAGCCTTGTGGGCACCGTGATTGCAGCCTGTGAGAGCCTCTGAGTAGAGGTCCCAGTTAAGCTGTACCTGGATGCCTGACCCCTAGAAACTGCGTGTTGTTTTAAGCTACTAAGTTTTTGGGTGCTTTGTTATGCCATAATCAAAAACAAATACATTAGCTAGACATGGTGGCATGCACCTGTAGTCCCAGCTATTTGGGAAGCTGAGGAAGGAGAATCACTTGAGTCCAGGAGTTCAGGGTAAGCCTGGACAGCAAAGTGAGACCCCATCTCTATTGAAAAGAAAGAGAGAGGAAAGGTAGGCAGGGAGGCACAAAGGGAGGGGAGGGGAGGGGAGGGAAGGGAAGGGAAGGGAAGGGAAGGGAAGGGAAGGGGAGAAAAAATTTTAAAAAGTGAGTAATTCGCCCAAATTCACACAGTAAATGGCAGAGCCAAGAAAAATAAAATAAAAAAATGATAACAGGTCAGGCATGTTGGCTCTCGCCTGTAGCTCCAGTACTTCGGGAGGCCAAGGAAGGAGGATCTCTTGTGCCCAAAAGTTCGAGACCAACCTGGGCAACATAGGGAGATCTCCATGTCTACAAAAAATTTTAAAAATTAGCAAGGCATGGTGGCATGCACCTGTAGTCCCGGCTACTTGGGAGGCTGAAGTGGGAGGATCGCTTGAGCCTGGGAGGTCAAGGTTGCAATGAGCTATGATTATGCCACTTGCACTCCAGCCTGGGCAACAGAGCGGGACACTGTCTCAAATGAAGAAAAAAAAAGAAAAAAAATGATGATAATAATATTAAGGAAAGACAAAAACAAAGAATCCTACCAAGTCTCTTGGATTCCAGAACCAATGTTAAAAAAATCATGAAACCAAAGTAAACTACTGCTATCCTGAAACAATGATAAATAATCCACAGATCATAAAACCAGGGACTCTGGAGCATGTACATTAATATAATTGTATGTCCCTTAGACTGAAGTTCTATCAAAGCTTAATGACCAAACAAATTAGCTATTGGCATTATTTTGCCTCCACTAAAACCTAAGCAGTAGCAGAAGTACAGATCCACAATTCTAAAAACTTCATCATGCGGGCTCCTTTTATAATAGCAGGTGGTTGTGATTTTCTTGTTTCTCGTTTCCTTTTCTCTATCCTTTGGGGGAGCCATCTGTAAGTGTTTGGTTTCAAGTTTCAAAAACAATCTCCATGACCTTGAACAATGGGTTAAAAGGGTTGTCCACATGTGAACTGAAAAAGGAACAAGTTATAGAAAAACATTCCAGGCCGGGCATGGTGGCTCACGCCTGTAATCCCAGCACTTTGGGAGGCTGAGGCGGGTGGATCACCCGAGGTCAGGAGTTCGAGACCAGCCTGGCCAACGTGGTGAAACCCCCGCCTCTACTAAAAATACAAAAAATTAGCTGGACATGGTGGTGGGTGCCTGTAATCCTAGCTACTAGGAGGGCTGAGACAGGGGAATCACTTGAACCCGGGAGGCGGAGGTTGCAGTGAGCTGAGATCGCACCATTGCCCTCCGGCCTGGGTGACAAGAGGGAAACTCTGTCTCAGAAAAAAACAAAAACAAACAACAAAAAAGAAAAAACAAAGAACATTCCAAAAGAAATTTCTTCTGACCATTTTCTTAGGAAACATCAGTGCTGCAAATTAATCCTTCCATCCAAAGTCCTGTCTTCTAACATTTTACATCTGTATATGTGCTTTACATAGTTGTTGAATTGCTCTCATATTCAGTATGTCTTGGTATTTCAATGCCTCCATTTCCTTCTCTATAAAAAAATTTTAAAAAAGAAGCAATAAAGTGCTTATTCCAGTACCTGGGCTGCTTGAATGATAGCACTGTTGTTAATCATATTCAACATTCATTCATTCAACAAACACCTAGGTAGCAGCATGAGAGCCAGTTTTCTATCAATTCATGGTCCTAAAATGGAGGATCCAGAATTTCCATGTATAGCAGCAGCAACCTAGCTAGAAATAGAAGACAAGGCTGTCATCTGGAAGTGGTGATGGGGAAGGGCAGCTGACAGATGCTTAAGAAGGCTTAAACCATCCTGCTGCTGCTGTTGCTTGGTCTTTTCAGAAAAGGAAAGCATTGGTTGGGTGCCCTGGCTTACATTTGTAATCCCAACACTTCAAGAGGCCGAGGCAGGAGGATCCACTGAGGCCAGAGTTCGAGATCAGCCTGAGCAAAATAGTAAAACCTTGGGTCTAAAAAAAAATTTTTTTTTTCTTAAATTAGCCAGGTATGGTAGAATGTACCTATAGTCCCAGCTACTCCAGAGGCTGAGGTCAGAGGATCACTTGAGCCTAGGAGTTCAAGGCTGCAGTATGGTGGAATCATGCCAGTGCACTCCAGCCTGGGTGACAGTGCAAGACTAAAAAATAGAAGGAAAAAAGTAAAGACAAGCACTGTTACCACCATTCGATTGATAAGAAATTTGAGGCTCGCATAGCTCCAGCGACTTCTCAAAATTACAAGACTAGGGGCCGGGTGTGGTGGCTCATGCTTGTAATCCCAGCACTTTAGGAGGCCAAGGCAGGTGGATCACAAGGTCAGGAGATCGAGACCATCCTGGCTAACACAGTGAAACCCCGTCTCTGCTAAAAAAAATACAAAAAATTAGCCGGGCATGGTGGCATGCAGCTGTAGTCCCAGCTACTCGGGAGGCTGAGGCAGGAGAATCGCTTGAACCCGGGAGGCAGAGGTTGCAGTGAGTTGAGATCACGCCACTGCACTCCAGCCTGGGTGGCAGAGCAAGACTCCGTCTCAGAAAAAGAAAAAAGAAAAAACAAATTACAAGACTAGGATATGGAAAATCAGACCCCCTAGAAGGCACTGAGCTGCCTTGGGGCAGAGACTTTGCTCGAAGGGTTTAACACTCTATCTCCAAGGCATAGACACAGTGCCCAACACACAGCAGGTCTTAGGCAGGTTCTGCAGGAGCAAAGCCTGAAACAGGGACTTATGCCCTGCTTTATTGAGGGAGTGTTCTTGTTACCGGAAAGGGGTCCCAATCTAGACCCCAAGAGAGCATTCTTGGATCTCATGCAAGAAAGAATTCAGGGCGAGTCCACAGAGTAAAGTAAAAGCAAGTTTATTTAAAAAGAAAAGGAATAAAAGAATGGCTGCTCCATGGGCAGAGCAGCCCCAAGGGCTGCTAGTTGGCTATTTTTATGGTTATTTCTTAATCATATGCTAAACCAGGGATGGATTATTCATGAGTTTGCTAGGAAAGGGGCCAGGAATTCCTGGAACTGAGGGTTCCTCTTCCTCTTAGAGCATATAGGGTAATTTCTGGACGTTGCCATGGCATTTGTAAACTGTCATGGCACTAGTGGGAGTGTCTTTTAGCATGCTAATGCATTATAATTAGCATATAATTAGCAGCAAGGATAACAAGAGGTCACTATCGTCACCATGTTGGTTTGGGTGGGTTTTGACTGGCTTCTTTATTGAATCCCGTTTTATCAGCAGGGTCTTTTATTTATTTATTTTTGAGACAGAGTCTCACTCTGTCGCCCGGGCTGGAGTGCAGTGGCATGATCTCTGCTCACTGCAACCTCCGCCTCCCTCGTTCAAGTGATTCTCTTGCCTCAGCCTCCCAAAGAGCTGGGATTACAGGCGCTCGCCACCACGCCCAGCTGATTTTTGTATTTTTAGTAGAGATGGGGTTTCACCATGTTGGTCACGCTAGTATTGAACTAGCTGGTCTTGACCTGCTGACCTCAGGTGATACACCCACCTCAGCCTCCCAAAGTGCTGGGATTACAGGTGGAAGCCGCAGCGCCCGGCCATCGGCAGGGTCTTTATGACTTGTATCTTGTCCTGCTGACCTCCAACCTCTTCCTGTGACTAAGGATACCTAACTTCCTGGGAATGCGGCCCAGCAAATCTCAGCTTCATTTCACCCAGCTCATATTAAGATGGAGTCACTCTCGTTTGAATACTTCTGACACCCTCAGGAGAAAGGGAGTGAGGGAAGTGAGATAGAAAAGGAAAGTATATAGATTCAGCAGGAGCCTATTCTCAGACCAACTCCACAAGGAGCTCTGGGGCATGAAGCCATCACAGAATTATCCAGCCTGTATCAAGGGGCCAGCTTTACATATGGCCTCTCCATTGGCAGGGGGCTGCCCCTGGGGAGGGTGCAAAATGTAACCTCCCAGGCATTCCTCAGCACCATCAGCTGAGCACAATTCCCTGGCAGCTGCCTTAGACTCCTAAGTGGGATCCAGGTGGGAAACCAATCGTATCCGGGACAATGCTCAATAAATATTTGTTGGATGAATGACTCATAACTAGAACACAATTCTCTACTCTCTCTATATCTTTTCTGTATACCCAAGAGAGGACTTTCAACCCACAAACATTTTACAGTCATCATCTCTAATTCAGAGACCTTGCCCAGCACAACTAAACAGCCTGGCAAGAGTCACATCTGACCGTGTTTAATTACCACTTTGGAGGAGGAAGGACACGCTGTTGAGGTTTTAAGCTACAGACTAATACTTTCACCCATCATCCAAGGCCACCACAAATTAACAGTTGCATTGGGTTTTTGTCTGACGGCTGGACAAAGCCAATTCATGTCAAGGGACCTGAGACATAACATAAAAAGTCCCCTAGAATTTTATCTCCTGGAGAGAGTATTTGCTTCTCACATTCTTGTACCGCCCCTGGGCGGAGAACTCAGCCTAGGGACTAATATACCTTTCACAGAAAATCGGTGTTAAAGCGGGAATGTGTAGTACAATCATTCCTGGCAAGAGAAATCAAGCCAGGTCTTTCCACCTTTTTTCTTTTAATTACACCCATTCTCCATTCAGCTCTCAAATGTCCTGCCATTCTGGTAGAGCTGCTAGCAGCCCTCATCTACCACTACTCTGTTCTTGCTCTTCATCTCACAAACAAAAGCAGCCCATATGAGGGAAAGAGAATTTGGCAAGAGAAGGGTTACAATGTGATCCTTTCCAAAAAAGGAGAGATCCATCCCCTCTCCACCCTGCTGCCAGAGTGAGCTCCTGCTAATATGCTAATATTAACATCCTGTTTAAAACCCTTCAATCTTTGGACAACATGTGCAATCTTTCATAGGGCTCACAAGGTTTGATGTAGGAGGGTTTGCACCTGCTCTCCCTCCAGCCACATTGACTTTCTTTCAGTTCCTCCAGCCTGCCACAGGATCTTTGCATATGCTGAATGCACTCACCTCCAGCTACTTCTTCAGATCAGAGCTTAAATGTTATATCTTGAGCTCCCTGTCCCACTCAGATCTGCTCTGGTTGTCACAGCACATTTTCTTCACGGCACGTCACAGTTACTATCGTTTTATGTGGGTGTTCTCCAGCGCAGGTGCACCAGAAGAAAGCTCTTAGTTTGATGATTATCAAATAGCTAGCTCTACTTCTCAGTTAGTTCCTGGCATGGAGGGAATAAAGGATACACTCTCTCATTTTAGAGATGAGGAAATTGAGCTGGATAGGAAACAATATTTATCTGAGGTCACATGGTTTGTTGGTTAATTGGCTGATTTTTTTAAAGACAAGATTAGCTATTTTCTCCTGAAATATTCAACCCTTTTGCAAACATCCTGTGTTACCACCTCAGCTCTAAGGACTGCTGTCTTCCTGATTTACTGCTGGCCAGGGAAGAGTGTCCTGGAACTCAGTGAAGAACCACATAGAAACCTCATAAGGAGGTGGGGCGTGGTGGCTCACGCCTGTAATCCCAGCACTTTAGGAGGCTGAGGCAGGTGGATCACATGAGGTCAGGAGCTCGAGACTAGCCTGGCCAACATGGCGAAACCCCGTCTCTACTAAAAATACAAAAAAATTAGCCGGCATGATGGCGTGCGCCTGTAGTCCCAGCTACTTGGGAGGCAGTGGCACGAGAATCGCTTGAACCTGGGTGGCAAAGGTTGCAGTGAGCCGAGATCACGCCACTGCACTCCAGCCTGGGCGACACAGCGAGACTCCATCTCAGTTAAAAAAAAAGAAGAAAGAAAGAAAAAGAAACCTCCATAAGAGCTCTGTAGACCTTGCTGTTTTCATCACCAATCTCTTCTAGAAGTGCCTTCTTCAAACTCCTGAAACTATCAAATTTCCCATCCACGCTCTCCCCCGGCATCACCTCAAAGCTTATCTTTAAATCATATAAAATAAAACAATTTATCAACATCATATTAATGCCTAGCCTTTATTCAGCACTGACTGTAATGTGCCAAGCCCCATGCTGAGCATGTTACACATCTTAATCCATGAGCTCCTGTGCTCACCAAGGCAGGCCGGGCAGAGGCCATTCTCTGGGGGAAGGGGAGGGCACAGCATCCTCCCTGAGGTGACACAGCTGCTGAGTGGCAGCTCCTGGCTTTACACCCAGCTTGGTCTGACGTGAAAGTCCATGGACTACCCCATCATGTTACTCTGAGGTGATCAGTTCCAGACTGGGACAGAGTCCTTTATCCTCTCAGCCACAGGACTTGGTCCCCGGCTCCATGACCGTCTTCCAGAATGTACATGGGCCTTCATGAGCCAAGACATCTGCATAGAGCAAGCATCAAACTAGTATACAGGAAATGGGGCAATGCAAAGTCTGACAGACTCCATGTCCTTGTTGAATATCTCTCCACATTGACACAAAATCACATAAAGAGAATGTGTTCTGTGCCAGGCACGGTGGCTTGCGCCTGTAATCTGGCACTTTGGAAGGCCGAGGCAGGCGGATCACTTGAGGTCAGGAGTTTGAGACCAGCCTGGCCAACATGGTGAAACCCAGTGTCTACTAAAAATACAAAAATTAGTTGGGCATAGTGGTGGGCACTTGTAATCCCAGCTACTCGGGAGGCTGAGCCAGGAGAATGGCATGAACCAGGGAGGCAGAGGTTGCAGTGAGCCAAGATCACACCACTGCACTCCAGCCTGGGCAACAGAGTGAGACTCCATCTCAAAAAAAAAAAAACAAAAAAAAAAAAACAAAAAAAAAGATGAGTTCCACTGCTTGTGATTGTAGATGATTTTGTTCTTTGCTTCTTGTGTTTTTCAGTTTCCGATAATGCACATATTAACTTTTTTTAAATGAAGGTTATTTAAAAAGAAAAGAAAATGAGCCCCAAACAAAGGGTACACATGGACATATAGAGCGGAATAAGAGACTAGACACTGGAGACTCCAAAAGGTAGGAGAGCGGGAGGGGAATGAGAAGTGAAAAATTACCTATTGGATACAATGTTCACTATTCGGGTGATGTTTACCCTAAAATCCCAGAATAGGTATGTAAGAAATCTTCGCTTGTACCCCCTAAATCTATAATTTTTTTTTTTTTGAGACAGTCTCACTCTGTTGCCCAGGCTGGAGTGCAGTGGTACGACCTCGGCTCACTGCAACCTCTGCCTCCCGGGTTCCAGCGATTCTCCTGGCTCAGCCTCCCGAGTAGCTGGGATTACAGGCACCTGCCACCACGCCCAGCTAATTTTTGTATTTTTGGCAGAGACAGGGTTTCACTATGTTGGCCAGAATGGTCTAAAACTCCTGACCTCAGGTGATCTGCCCATCTCGGCCTTATAAAACATTTTTAAATATATTTTTAAAAAAGAAAATGAGCTCCCTCTGTAACCAGCACTCCAATCATCAAAAACAGTTGGCTTTTTGACTGCCTGGCATACAATCCAGCTTCTCCTTTCCATGGCAGTGCCCATTTTCTTTTTTGAAGCTTAAAAAAATATATAATGGGTGCAGTGGCTCATGCCTGTAATCCCAACACTTTGGGAGGCAGAGGCGAGTGGATCACGTGAGGTAGGAGTTCGAGACCAGCCTGGCCAACATGGTGAAACCCCCTCTCTACTAAAAATACAACAATTCGCCGGGCACAGTGGCACAGGCCTGTAATCCCAGCTACTCTGGAGGCTGAGGCATGAGAATAGCTTGAACCTGGGAGGCAGAGGTTGCAGTGAGCCAAGATCATGCCATTGCACTCCAGCCCGGCCAACAAGAGTGAAACTTCGTCTCAAAAAAAAAAAATTAGCTGGGCATGTCAGCTCGGGAGGCTGACGTGGGAGGATTGCTTGAGCCCAGGAGTTCGAGGTTGCAGTGCGCCATGATTGCACCCCAGAATTCCAGCCTGGATGACAGAGTGAAACCCTGCCTCAAAAAAAAAAAAATTCAAAACAAAAGACAAAAACAAAAATCAAAATGCAGATTTGGATTCTGTAGGTCCCTGAGGGGGACCTGAGCCTCTGCTTTTCTTATGAGCTCCCAGGCTGGTGCTGATGCTGCTGGCCCAGGCACTACACTTTGAGTAGCAAGTGTCTAGCAAGGCATACAGTGGTTCCAGGGCTCTCTAAGCACAAAAGCCGCTCGTGCATCACCCTCACAGGGCCAGGCCCCCATGCAGGACAGATGCTGCTTTGGGTCAGTTTGCTCAGAACATCTGGGCCTTCCTACAATCACAAGTCACCCCCTGTCTCCCCACTCAGATGGCAAGAGGTGTTCCCAGGGGCACAGAAGGAAACATACTGTCACTCAGGGCCACCCCAGATGCTCCCTCAGCCTCAGATCGAGTCAGTCTGAGACCCCCTGAGCCAAGTTGCTCCCACTCACCCCTCCTTGTCCAATGCCCAACCCCTGTGCACTGAGCCTCCTCTCAAAATAAACTCACAGAGCCCCCCACCCCCACTTTCCATTGCACCTGAGGCAATTATTACTTGTCAAAAACAAGAACTGCCAGCTGTGCGTAGCATTCAGCTTGCTGTTCTTAAAATGCCTTATAATCATTTCCCTCGGAGAAGAATTCTCCAGCCCCACAATGGTTCTGCACAGCCAATCACAGTGTAGTCCCGGACCCGTGTTTTGATAAGACAATCTGACACTGTCAGTCAGAGGGATTCAAGACTCTTGCTGCAGGGAGGAGGGAGAGAGGAAGAAAAGAGGAGAGAGAGAGAGAGAAAGCGTATGCCTCTTCTCCCTCTGGAAGTGCAGCTGACTGCAGAGTCTCCCAGGAGCCTGTCCCTGCAGAGGCCTTGACAAATGTCAACAGACAGGACGAGATTTCTGCCTCTCCAATACCTGTAGGCCCCATCCCACCCCAGCTATACTCACACTCATTTCTTGTTTGTTTGTCTTCAAGCTCCATTCAGAGAGAATGGAGATGTCTTCTTGGTCTAAATTAAAGTTGAAGCCTGGCTGGGTGCGGTGGCTCATGCCTGTAATCTCAAAACTTTGGGAGGCTGAGGTGGGCAGATCACAAGGTCAGGAGATCGAGACCATCCTGGCTAACACGGTGAAACCCCATCTCTATTAAAAATACAAAAAATTAGCCCAACATGGTGTGGCGGGCGCCTGTAGTCCCAGCTACTCGGGAGGCTGAGGCAGGAGAATCCCTTGATCTCGGGAGGTGGAAGTTGCAGTGAGCCGAGATCACACCACTGCACTGCAGCCTGGGTGACAGAGTGAGACTCTGTCTCAAAAACAAACAAACAAACAAAAAAAAAAGTTGAAGCCAAGAGGGAAAAGTTGGAGGGCACTTGGAGGAACAGGGAGGCCCTCTATGGCCCAACCTGCAAGATGGTCCCAATTATTCTTGCCTCCAGGTATTCATCCCCTTGTGTGGCATCCCCCACCATGCACAGACCAGGGCTAGTCTGCATCATGAATAGAATAGGGTTGTGCTTGCTCTCTCCCTCTCTCTCTCTCTCTCTCTCTCTCTCTCTCGGGAACCAGCTGCCATGTTGCAGAGACATTCAGGCCATCAATGGCGAGGTTCGCATGGGGAGGCACAGCCCCCATGTGAAGGAACTTCGGAGCAGAGTCTCCTCTGGTTGAGTCCCAGTGTGACAGCAGCTCTAGCCAACAGCCTGACTTGCAGCCTCATGAGAGATCCTGAGTCAGAACCACCCAGCTAAGCTGCTCCTGGGTTCCTGACCCGTAGAAGCTGTGAGATAATAGGTATTTATTGTTTTCAGCTACTGCATTTGGGGTAACTTTTTACACAACAATAGATGATGAATACACTATCCCAAATCAATCCACAAATTTGGTGTCCCCACAAGTGTGGGGTGTGTCTTTCAATTTTTTGAGACAGGGTCTCGCTCTGTCACACAGACTGGAGTGTAGTGGCACAGTTACAGCTCACTGAAACCTCAACTTCCTGGGCTCAAGCAATCTTCCCACCTCACCCTCCCCAGTAGCTGGGACCACAGATTTGCACCACCGCAGCTGGCTGATTTTTTAATTTTTGTAGAGACTAGATCTCATTGTGTTGCCCAGGTTGGTCTCAACCTCCTGGGCTCAAGTAATACTCCCGCCTAGGCCTCTAAACACGCTGGAATTACAGGCATGAGCCAATGTGCCCAGCAAGTATGGGGTCTTTCTATGGCAAGATGTGGTGCCCATCACTGTGAGGGACAAAGATAATATTATTAATAATAATAGGCCTGTAATGGTGCCTCACACCTGTACTCCCACCTACTCAGGAGGCTAAAGTGGGAGGATTGCTTGACCCCAGGAGGTTGAGGCTACAGTGAGCCATGATCACACCACTGCACTCCAGCCTGGGCAACACAGCAAGACGCTATTCCGAATAATAATAACAATAATAATAATATCTAACATTTTAATAGACCTTACTTGGAGCCAGGCATCATTCTAAGCATATTGCATGCATGAACTCATTTAAACCTATAGCCATCTATTATTATTCCTGTCATGCTCATCAGCCAGAAGCCACCAGAAACACACCTGTAGTTGAACAGAAATGGGTTTAGTAACCTGTTGCAACAAGGAAGACCACACACCATGGGGAGTGGGAGCTGTGTCCCAGTAAGAGTGTGTTGGGGCGCTTCTGGTTAGCTGGCAGAAAGCAGTGTTAATTCCATGGCTGGGCATCATCATAATTTTTATGTAGGAGGCAGGAGGAATAGAGTGGGGCTAAAGCTGTCATTGGAAAACCAGCAGTAACTGCATGTGTCAGTCAGAAGGAGAGGATGCGTTTGGCCATTTTTTTGTGGTTTGCCCACTGCTCATACTTTCATGCTCAGATAGGATTCATTACAGACTGTCTTGTTTTTGTCTTGTTTCATCATGGTCAGCATGACATCTTCCAGTGTGACCATCCTATGAAATTGCTTAAGTAGGGAACACCACAGCCTAGCAGTAGTACCAGGCCAGCTACTAGCTGACAACAATCAAGACTGGGCTCCCGGCCGGGCACAGTGGCTCACGCCTGTAATCCCAGCACTTTGGGAGCTCCAGGTGGGCGGATCACTTGAGGTCAGGAGTTCAAGACCAGCCTGGCCAACATGGTGAAACCACATCTCTACTAAAAGTGCAAAAATTAGCCGGGCATGGTGGCACAAGACTGTAATCCCAGCTACTCAGGAGGCTGAGGCACGAGAATCGCTTGAACCCAGGAGGTGGAGGTGGTAGTGAGCCAAGATCGCGCCACTGCATGATCCACCCTGAGCAACAGAGCCAGACTCTGTCTCAAAAATAAAATAAAATGAAGACTGAGCTTTCCTTTTCTTATCCTCATTTTATAGATGGAAAATCTGAGGCCAAAATAAGTTCAGTAGTTATGTTGCCAAGCCTGGGCGGAACTGTAGAGCTTCTCAGACTGTCAGGGCTGCAGGGCCAGCTTTGCTTTGTCTTCTTTTGTTTGCCAATCCATCGTGGGCCAATACGTTCATAAAATACAATAAAAGCAAATTACTAGAATAACGATCATGCATTCAGATGTTTTAGGAATGTTAAATTGCTATCCTTCTAAACAGGTACCCTCAAGTTCTGTCTTATCTGGTCTCAGACAAGGAACAGTTCTCAGGCCATTACTGACCACAGACCACACTTTGGGCAGCTTTAGAAGTTGTCTGATCAAGAGTTTTCCAGGTTGGGCATGATAGCTCACACCTCTAATCCCATCACTTTTGGGAGGCCGAGGCGGGCAGATCACTTGAGGTCAGGAGTTCGAGACCAGCCTGGCCAACAATGTGAAACCACATCTCTACTAAAAATGCAAAAATTAGCTGGACATGGTGGCAGGTGTCCGTAATCCCAGCTACTTGGGAGGCTGGAGAATCGCTTGAACCTGGGAGGCAGAGGTTGCAGTGAGCCAAGATCGTGCCACTGCACTCCAGCCTGAGTGACAGAGACTGTCCAAAAAAAAAAAAAAAAAGAGGTTTCCAAACTTCATGCATTGGTACATCTTCATTTTTGCCATTTCTATTGAACACCTCTACTATTATTTACTTAATATTATCTTGAAATATCCTCATCTCATATCACCTCACACCCATTATGATGGCCACAATTAAAAAAAAACAGAAAATAACAAGTGTTGGCGAGGACGTGAAGAATTGGAACTTCTGTGCACAGTTGGTGGGAATGAAAATGGTGCAGTTGCTACAGGAAAACGGTATGGAAACTCCTCAAAAAGTTAAAAATAGAAATACCATATGATCCAGAAATTCCATTTCTGGGTATATATCCCAAAAATTTGAAAGCAGGATTTCAAAGAAATATTTGCACACCCATGTTCATTGCAGGGTTATTCACAATAATCAAGAGGTGAAAGCAACCCAAATGCCCATTGGCAAATGAAGGGATAACGAAAATCTGATATCTACGTACGATGGAATGTTATTCAGCCTTTAAAAAGAGGGATATTTGGCCAGGCACAGTGGCTCACGCCTGTAATCCCAGCACTTTGGGAGGCTGAGGCGGGCCAATTGCTGGAGCTCAGGAGTTTGAGACCAGCCTGGGCAACATGGCGAGACCATGTGTTGCATCATTTAGAAACATTTATAGCTACAAAAGCTTCAGAGATCTTGTATTTCAATGTACAAACAAACTGCCAAATGCCAAAAAAAAAAAAAAAGCCAGGCATGGTGGTGTGTGCCTATAGTACCAGCTACTCAGGAGGCTGAGGTGGGAGTATCACTTGAGTCGAGGGAGCAGAAGTTGCAGTGAACCGAGATGATGCCACTGCACTCCAGCCTGGGTGACAGCGTGAGACCCTGTCTTTAAAAAAAAAAAAAAAAAAAGAGAGAGAGAGGGAAATCTTGTGGGGTGCTGCACCATAGACAAACCTCGACGACTTTATGTGATAAGCCAGTCACAAAAGGACAAATACCGAACAATTCCACTCCAATGAGGTATCTCAAGTAGTCAAACTCCTAGAAACAGAAAGTAGAATCATGGTTGCCAAGGGCTGGAGGTATTTAGTGTTTAATGGGTCTAGAGTTTCCGTTTTGCAAGATGAAATACTTCTACAGATCTATTGCACAACGTGAATACACTTAACACAACTGAACTGTACATTATAAAATGGTGAAGATGGTAAGTACAATGTCATGTCCTTTTCAGCACAGTTATAAAAAGAAGAAAAGTCCTCATCCTAGGCAATAATAACCCATATTATGTATTAAGATGGCTAGTTCTATATGTTTTCTTTTATTTTTTTAAGAGATAGGGTCTTGCTATATTGCCCAGGCTGGTCCGGAACACCTGGACTCAAGCAATTCTCCCACCTCGGCCTCCCAAAGTGCTAAGATTACAGGTGTGAGCCATCACACCCAGCTGAGTTCTATATATTTTCTTATCTGCATTAACATAAATGTTTAACTGTTAAATAATAAAATGTTTTTTTCCATGAACGACCGAAAATCGTTTTGTGTAAACATTGATCTTTGAACCTCCTGTTTCTTCAATGCCTATCATCTGAGGCCTGACAAGAGAAGGGACTTAGAACCACTCCCAGCCTTCAAGGAGTTTGCAATTACACTGAAGGGTGAAGACACTCTCCCCCCAGAAGGAAGGCGGGAAAATCGTAAAAGAAATCTATCTGTTCCTTGAAGGCCAGCTCTGTGTGTTCAGTGCTCTGTCCCAAGTCCCTAGCACATGCCTTGCCCACAGTGGGGTCTCAACAGGTATTTGCTAGAGTCTATCAAATTAAGAGAAACACGAAACAGGCCCGGTGCAGTGGCTCACACCTGGAATCCTAGCACTTTGAGAGGCCGAGGCGGGTGGACTGCTTGAGCTCAGGAGTTTGAGACTAGCCTGGGCAACATGGTGAAACCCCATCTCTACAAAAAATTACAAAAATTAGTTGGGCGTGGTGACTCATGCCTGTAGTCCCTGCCACTTAGTGGGCTGAGGTGGGAGGATTGCTTGAGCCCGGGAAGCAGAGGTTGCAGCCAGCTCTGATCGTGCCACTGCACTTCAGCCTGGGTGACAGAGTGAGACTTTGTCTCCAAAAAAAAAAAAAAAAAAGAGAGAGAGAGAGAGAGAGAAATACTAAATAAGCAGCACAAACCAATGGGGTACTAGGCCAGGGCTCCCAACTTGAGGTTTGTGGGTAGAATTCAGAGGGTCCATAAACCTGCCTCATTTTCTCTGATTGCTAACTAAAATTTAGCATTTCCTTCTATTATAAATGGAAGCAACAAACCACAGTAGTATTTGCAATATCTGTGATTTTTGTCACCGATATAAATCACGATATTTTCATATCTCATTACAATCATAGCAGACATCTCATTATATTGTACGTGTGCATCACTAATTGGAATTACATAGTTATTAGACTCACCACTAAATCTTGTTATTTGATGCATTAGTAAAGATTCACATATTACTATGACACAAATTTGGTGAGTTTTTTTATATTTTGATAACCATATTTTAGTATAATTGGTTTCCTTTGTAATTCCATGCACTTTATTTTTTGCATAGATAAATAATTTAAACAATATTACAAAGAACAATCAATCAAATCTAGTATAGAATATTTCATAGCCTAAATAACATTTTCCCAAAACTGAATGGACCAAAAATAAAAAGTGCTAATGGTTAAATATTGTTTTGGAGTTAGAAAGATTTATATATATAAAAAAGGAAATATGTGAATTTTGGGCCTTAATTTAAACAAACAAACTGCCAAAGGGAATCTTTAAGGCAATAGGGAAAATTTGAGTATAACTAGTATGATGATACTTAAGCTATAGTTGTCTAATATGAAGATTACTAAGTAGAAGAAGTTATATAATATGTTTACTAGCAGATTTATAATTGTAAACATATTTACCTATAGGTTGAGATAAACGTCTGACACCAAGAAGATCTCAGTTTAAATAAAATAAGGGCATGCAATAATACTTTAAAAAAAGTAAGTTATATTGAGAACAAGTTATGTTATTCAGTTTGAGTTGAATAGAAGATCAATATTAGTAGGCATATTTAGGTTTGTTGCCCAGAAAGCTAATGTAATCATCCATTAATAAACATATCTTCTCCAAAAAAAAAAAAAAAAAAAAAGGATATTGTTCTCAGAAGGAGGTCATAGACTCCGCCAGATGCCAAAAGGGTACATGGTACCAAAAAGAGGTCAGGGTCCAGCGTGGGGTTAATTCAGTGGGTAACTGACTGGGCCTAAGAAGAAACAGACTGAACCAAGGACAAGCCCACTGTTACCACCTTTTAGGAGGGAAACACTAACTTACCATCGGAAAGAACGGTGAATTCACCGGCTAACATTTGTGTGCAGAAATCCCCTGACAACCGCAGGATTCAATGTTCCTAAAAACATATGTTCATTGGCAAGATCGAGGTCTCAGAGGAAATTCAGTGTTGAGCACTAAGTGATCTCACATCTGCTGGGTTCAAAGCATGGACTCTGGAGCCAGACTCTCTCTGTTTGTATCCAAGCTCCACCAGTTAGGACCTGTGTGAATTTGGATGAGTTATTTCCCCTCGATGTATCTCAGTTTCCTTGTCTGTAAAACAGGAACCAAAGAGCCTAGTGGTGGCTGGCAGAATAATGTCCCTTCAGAGATGTCTGTGTCCTAATTCCTGGAACCTATGAATATGTTAGATTCTACAGCAAAAGGGAATCAAAGTTGCAGATGGAATCAATGTTGACCTTAAAACCAGGAGGTTGTGCAGGTAGAACCGATGTAATCAAAAGGGTCCTTAAGTGTGGAAGAGGGAGGAAGAAGAGAATCAGAGAGAGATTTAAAGATGTTATGCTAGTAGCTCTGAATATGGAGAAAGAGGCCACAAGCCAAGGACTGCAGGTGGTCTCTAGAATTTGGAAGAGGCAAAGGTTCTCCCCAGAGCCTCCAGAAATAATGCAGCCCTGTCAATGCCTTGATATTAACCAAGTGAGACCTCTTTGGGACTTCTGACCTCCAACACTGTAAGATAATAATTTGGATTGTTCCAAGCCACTAAGTTTGTGGCAATTTGTTACAGCAGCAATAGGAAATGAATACACAGTTTTAAAGATTTTTGTGAGGATCAATAAATGCATTCATTTATGTAAAGCCCTTAGAACAGTTCCTGGCACATAATTGGTGCAATATACCATTAATTTTATAGAAATGGTGAATAAAAATTAGAGAATTAATCACTTCCAAAATAAACTGGATCCACTCAAGTCAAAGCCTTGCTCTGTTTTGCAACCCTTAATGAATTCATGGATCTAGGCATTATCATACAGCAGATAGATAACATCACAAATGAGGCTGGGCATGGTAGCTCATGCCTGTAGTCCCAGCAAATTAGGAGGCCAAAGTGGGAGGATCACTTGAGCCCAGGAGTTCCAGACCAGCCTAGGCAACACAGTGAGACCCCATCACTACAAATTAGTTTTGTAAAAAACTAACCGGGTATGTTAGTGCATGCCTGTGGTGCCAGCTACTCAGGAGGCTGAGGTAAGATGACTACTTGAGCCTGCAAGGTCAAAGCTGCAGTGAGCCATGATCATGCCACTGCACTCCAGCCTGGGCAACTGAGCAAGACACCATCTCAAAAATTAAATAAATAAATAATAAAAATAATTTTAAAAAATAAAAACACAATGGGAGATAACCAGACATCAGTTACCTCCTCATGGAAAAACATAACAATCTAAAAAGTGGTCTTGCTAAAAAAAAAAAAAAAAAAAAAAGAAAAAATCAGACCTAAATCTGATAAAAATGTATAGATACAACTTATCAACTTACAGAAATGTGGACAATGGGCCAGGCACGGTGGCTCCCACCTGTAATCCCAGCACTTCGGGAGGCTGAGGTGGGTGGATCACAAGGTCAGGAGTTTGAAACCAGCTTGGCTAAGAGACCAGCCTGGCCAATAAGGTGAAACCCCGTCTCTACTAAAAATACAAAAATTAGCGGGGCGTGGTGGTGGGTGCCTGTAATCCCAGCTACTTGGGAGGCTGAGGCAGGAGAATTGCTTGAACCCGGGAGGCAGCGGTTGCAGTGAGCCGAAGATCACACCATTGCACTCCAGCATGGGTGACAGAGTGAGACTCCAACTCAAACAAAAAAGAAAGAAAGAGAGAGGAAAAAAGGAAGGAAGGAAGGAAGGAAGGAAGGAAGGAAGGAAGGAAGGAAGGAAGGAAGGGAGGGAGGGAGGGAGGGAGGGAGGGAGGGTAGGGGAGGGAGGGAGGGAAGGAAGGAAGGAAGGAAAAGAAAGAAGGAAGGAGGGAAGGAAGGAAGGGAGGGAGGGAGGGAGGAATGAAAGAAAGAAAGACAGAAAGGAAGGAAGAGAAAAAGAAAGAAAGAAAGAAAAAGAAAGAAAGAAAAGAAAGAAAAGTGGAAGATGAAGGAATGCACTAAAGGACACCACAGAGATGCAACTGGCAATGTCTAGACTGCGGGGGACTCTACAGCAGTGCTTCTCAAACTTAATTGTGCATACAAAACACCCAGGGACCTTGTGAAAATGTAGTTTCTAACCCAGGAGGTCTGGGATGGGATCTGAGATGCTGCATTTCTACCGAGTTCCCAGGTGATGCTGATGATCCTGGTTCACTGACCACATTTTGAATTACACAAGATGAATAACCTATTTTTCCAGCAATAAAAGAACTGAAGGGGAAACCTATAGATTAAAAGACACATGAGCCAATCACTATGTGTAGGACTTTAGTTGGATTCTGATTCAAAGAAATTATTATTAAAATGTATTAGGCAGAGCCGGGAGTGGTGGCTTATGCCTGTAATCCCAGCACTTTGGGAGGCCAAGGCGGGCGGCAGATCACTTGAGGCCAAGAGTTCAAGACCATCCTGACCATATGGCAAAACCTTGTCTTTACTAAAAATACAAAAACTAGACTAGCCAGGTGTGGCGGCATGCACCTGTAATCCCAGCTACTGGGGAGGCTGAGGCACGAGAATGACTTGAACCCAGGGGAAAGAGGTTGCAGTGAGCCGAGATTGTGCCACTGCACTTCAGCCTGGGTGAGAGAGCTTACTGCAGCACTATTTACAATAGCAAAGACTTGGAACCAACCTAAATGCCCATCAATGATAGACTAGTTAAAGAAAATGTGGCACATATACACTATGAAATACTATGCAGACATAAAAAAGAATGAGTTCGTGTCCTTTGCAGGGACATGGATGAAGCTGGAAACCATCATTCTCAGCAAACTAACACAGGAACAGAAAACCAAACACCACATATTCTCACTCATAAGTGGGAGTTGAACAATGAAAACACATGGACGCAGGGAGGGGAACATCACATACCGGGGCCTGTTGGGGGGTGGGGGTCAAGGGGAGGGAGAGCATTAGGACAAATATCTAATGCATGCTGGGCTTAAAACCTAGATGACGGGTTGATAGGTGCAGCAAACCACCACGACACTTGCATACCTACGTAACAAACCCGCACATTCTGCACATGTACCCAAGAACTTAAAGTAAAATAAAAATAAAAAAGAAAGAAAAAATTGTATTAGGCAGTAAGTAACCTGAACGGTGACTGGATAGTTGATGTTCTAAGGAATCATTGTTAATGTTTTGGGTGCACTGATGGTATTGTGCCTATGTTTTTAAGAGTTTATCTTTTCAAGATACACATTGTAATATTTACAGATGAAATGGTAGTGACTGGAATTGGCTTCAAAATAATGTATGTGGGGAAAACAGGTAGAGGTATAAGCAAAACTGGGCATGAGTTGTCCATTGTTGAAGCCAGGTAGTGAGTCCTGAGAATTCATTGTGCTATTCTTCTACTTTCATATACCTTTGGAATTTCCCATCATAAAATTATTTTTAAGACATATTTCTTAAAATCTTCTCTGCTAGCTAATCCTTCTCTTGAACCACATTCTTCAAAGGTTCTCCTGCGGCCCATAAGTTATAAAGAGCTCATAAGTTATAAAGAGTCTGTGACTTTTAGCAGTTACAGACTTGAAATCTCATGTTTTTCATGCTGGCATTCCCTCTGGTTTCCTTTTTGCAAGTCTCAGCAAAATACTTTGTGTACCCACCTAATTATCACAGTCCTTAAGGCACGTACCCCTTGACCCAGTCTTCTGTCTGTTACCGGGATGTTTCTGGCACCTGAAATGCTTTTCTGCAGAACTGCTCATGGCAGCTCCTCCCTCCCCTTCTGTTCAATTGGCCCTGCTCAGAGGGGCCTCCACTGACCACTCAATATAAGCAGACATCCCAGTGTCTCTCTGTGGCAATGCCTCAGGGCACTCTCAGCATCTGAGATGATCTTGTTCATTTATTCATCCGCTTTATTTTCTCCTTCTTCACACAACACTCCCTCATTCTCCCCTTATAATGTATTCAACAGGAAGACAGGGACCTTGCCTGTTCATTGCTGCAGACTCAGAATGTAACACACTAGCAGGCACAGCACAGAATGAGTGAGTAAATGAATGCTATAGCTGTGTGCATAGCTCCATAGACCTAGAAAATCAACTGCATTCTTGCTAAGAGGCATATACACATCCATATATCTGGATCACACGTTTGCAGTCTTTCTCATCAAATCATGGACCAATGGAGCTGCACATCCCAGGCCAATAGAGCTCTATAGCCCATTTCTTTCAAGAGAAGAGTAGCTCCCTGCGAACTTTCATTGGACACCTGAGCTCTTGACTCACAATAATTGGTCACAAGAAGGTCTCTGTGCAAATCAGAGATGGTGGGACTCAAAATGTCTGTGGTCACAGATCCAAATGCACTACTCCATTATTTAGGAGGCCCTCAATACCCACCTAACAAACCCTATGCCAGGGTCTAATCAAAGAACCGGGTACTGCATTGAAAGTTGGGATTTGGACTGGTCTATTGGAAAAGAAGGGTTTTCAGATAGAGGCTTCACTCTGTATTTCAGCTTCATCAGCTATGGGCTGGAAAATGGTTATAGTGTCCTGGAGACTAATGAACGTGGATTTGAATCTCTGCTTCTCCTTTATTAGCTGTGTGACCTTAGCTAAGTGATATCACTTCTATGATCCTCGGTGGCATTTATATAATGGGAATAACAATAATGATATCTACCTTGTAGATTTGTTGTGAAAATTAAATGAGATGATAGAAATAAATATTTCATCTAGTGCCTGGCATAGAGCAAATGTAATAAAATTTATCTATTACTACTACTGCTGCTGCTACTGCTACCACTATCTTCTGATCTTGGAAGAGTCACTTAATTCCTCCAATTCTCAGTAGACTCTTCTCTAAGAAGAAATAACAATGTCCTAGATCCACAGAAAGTCTGGTGCTTCTCTCCCTTATTTTCTTTAGTTCTCTGCTCAGATACCACTTTTGCAAAGAGAGCTTCCCTGACCAGTGTCCCCCTCCCACATAAAATAGTCCACACTCTCTCCATCTCATTACTCAGCTTGGTTTTTCCTCCTAGGACATATCCGCCTGATTTGTACTTACCTGTTTAATGTCTGTCTTGTCTTCCTTGTCAGAAAGTCAGCCCCAAGAGAGAAGAGGCTTTGTCCATTGTGTTCAATGCTTATTCCTGGGGCCCAGAACAATGTCTGGCATATAAAGACACTCAATGAATATTTCTTGTGGAATGAATGAATGAATGAATGAATGAATGAAATTAGGTAACTTGGGACCATAACTATCCAGTCCCTGCATTGCTGTTCAATAGATATTAGCTTCCTTCCTTCCCTCCTTCCTTCCTTCCTTCCATCCTTCCAAGGCCAGAAAAAAGAACAATAAGTGAGAGAAAAACGCCTATCGGCCTCTTTTTTCCCTGCTTCTCCTCCAAGCATCATGCAAACAATCAAAACAAAAATGCAGCAGCAGGTGCCAAGAAGTCAGGTGCATCCTTCATCCCCAGTCAGTCTTTCCTGGCTCTGAAATGTTTGCAGGAGCAAGGTGCCCCCGAGGCACACTGCTTTAAATGAGTCCAGGCAGGATTTAGACAGCTGCTCTGTAACCCCAATAAACGATGTCTGTCTAACTTTACGCAGGGGCACTGAGGGTTAGGGTTGTATGGCTCTTGGGGTCTCTGAAGTAGAAAATCAATGGGTTTGATGTATGGCCCCATTTATGGCACCTGAAACAGAACATCCACTACCAGGTCGGCTACCATCAAACCTCTCCTAATATAACAATACAAGCCATCTCTGAGCCTTGAAAACCTCTTTACAAAGCCAGTGGTCAAAGAGTAGAACCGTCTTTTTCAACAGCAATCAGTGAAGATGATCATGTCACTCTCCTGTGGCCAACCCTCCCCTGGCTTCTGATCGCACTAGGAATGAAGTGCAAACTCTTCTCCCAGGATCTCACCAGGTCAGCACAGCCTGGCCTCACGTGTCTCTTCACCATCTCAGACCATTCTCCTGTCTTGCTCCACTCCAACTGCATTCATCTCTGTGTTCCCAGGCACGTGCCACCACACCTGGCTAATTTTTTTTTTTTTTTCTTGGTGGAAACAGATTCTCAACATGCTGCTCAGGCTGATCTCAAATTCCTGGTCTCAAGTGATCCTCCTGCCTCAGCCTCCCAAAGTGCAAGGATTAAAGGCATGAGCCACTGTGCCCAGCTGCATTTTATTTTATTTGATTTTATTATTATTATTATTTTTGAGATGGAGTTTCACTCTTGTTGCCCATGCTGTGGTACAATCTCGGCTCACCACAACCTCCACCTCCCGAGTTCAAGTGATTCTCCTGCCTCAGCCTCCTGAGTAGCTGGGATTACAGGCATGCGCCACCACAGCCGGCTAATTTTTTATTTTTAATAGAGACAGGGTTTCTCCATGTTGGTCAGGCTGGTCTCAAACTTCCAATCTCAGGTGATCTGCCCACCTCGGCCTCCCAAAATGCTGAGATTATAGGCATGAGCCGCCATGCCCAGCCTGCATTTCATTTTTCTAAGACAAAAATATTCTGGAGATGGATGGTGGTGATGGTTGCCCAACAATATGAATGCACTTAATACCACTGAACTGTACGCTTAAAAGTGGTTCCAATGGTAAATATTATATTATTTGTGTTTTACCACAATAAAAATGTGTTTTAAAAAAGGAAGAAATTCTGAAACATGTTACAACATGGATGAAACTTAAAGATATTATGCTGAGTGAAATAAGCCAGTTACAAAAAGACAAATATCATATGATTCCACTTATATGAGGTATCTAGAGCAGCTGAATTCATAGAGAAAGAGAATAGAACAGTGGTTGCCCAGGGATGGGGAAATGGAGGCATAGGGAATTGGTGTTTAATAAGGACAGAGTTTCAGTTTGAGATGATGAGAAGCGTCTGAAGATGGATGGTGGTGATGGTTGCCCAACAATGTGAATGTACTTAATGCCACTTAATTGTACACTTAAAATTGTACACTTCAAAATGGTTAAAATGGGCCTGGCGCAGTGGCTCACGCCTGTAATGCCAGCACTTTGGGAGGCCGAGGTGGACGGATCATGAGGTCAGGAGATTGTGACCATCCTGGCCAACATGCTGAAACCCCGTCTCTACTAAAAATACAAAAATTAGCTGGGCATGGTGGCGCATGCCTGTAATCCAAGCTACTCAGGAGGCTGAGGCAGGAGAATCGCTTGAAACCGGGAGGTGGAGTTTGCAGTGAGTCAAGATGGCACCACTGCACTCCAGCCTGGCAACAGAGTGAGACTCCATCTCAAAAAAAAAAAAAAAAAAAAAGGTTAAAATGGTAAGTTTTATATTACCCTATATTTTTATCACGATTAAAAAAAAAAATCACACTATCCCAGGCTGGACACAGTGGCTCATGCCTGTAATCCCAGCACTTTGGGAGGTTTGGGAGGTCAAGACAGATGGGTCATTTAAGGCCAGGAGTTCAAGACCAGCCTGACCAACATAACAAAACCCCATCTCTACTAAAAATCTTTTAAAAAGCTAGTCAGATGTGGTGGTGCACACCTGTAGTCCCAGCTATTCAGGAGGATGAAGCACGAGAATTGCTTGAACCTAGGAGGCAGAGGTTACAGTGAGCTGAGATTGTACCACTGCACTCCAACCGGGACAACACAGCGAGAGACTCTGTCTCAAAAAAAAATTTTTTTAATCATGCTACCCAGCCCAGGCAACACAGTGAGACCTGTCTCTACAGAAAAATAAAACAATTCGCTAAATGTATGCTACTCTCAGCTACTCAGGAGTTTGAAGTGAGAGGATTGCTGGAGCATGGGAGGCAGAGGTGGCAGTGAGCCAAGTACCTCTGCACTCCAGCCTGGGCGACAGAGTGAGATCCTACCTCAAAAATAAAAATCGCAGTACAAAAACAATTTTAAGAGGAGGGGTGTAGAGTATTTTATCCAAAGGCATGAGATAAACTAGCTCATTGATCCATTTTCTTTCTTTGTCCTGGGCGATCTCTGAGCCTCACCTAGTAAGAGTTAATATTTATGCCAGGCACCATTATAAGCAGTTCGCCAGTGTTTCCTTCATTTAATCCTCTCTACCGTCCTACAAGATGGGGAGCCTAATCATCTCCATTTAAAGGATGAGAAAACAGAGGCCCAGAGAGGTTTCGTGACTTAACCTACAAAGTCTGACTCCAGAGTCTAGGCAATTTTCCAGACCACTTTTCCCACAAGACTTGACCTCACCCTTTGATATTCAAAATAGGCTCCTCAGATCTACATAAAATATTCTAAAGTATCAGGAATGTATAAGTCAGGTTAAGGAGAATAAACTTTTTTTTCTGTATTCACCCCATCTTTGTTGAAAAAGTGCTGTTACTGGCTTCAAGGCCTGCAGGCTACATTGCTTAACACAGGTGTACTAAGTTAAAGTTCAGCAAACTTCTGTAAAACTCCATAAAAATTAATCTTTGAGGCTTTAGGGGCAGATGGCGTATGTTGCAACTACTTGACTCTGCCGTTGTCGCACAGAAGCAGTCATAGACGAGAAGTAAATGAATGGCCTTGACCGTGTGCCAATAAAACTTTATTTACAACAACAGGCACTGGGTTTGGTGGCTCCTAAAAGGGTTAAACACAGAATTGCCATATGACCCGGCAACTCCCCTCTTAGGCATGGGCCGAAAATAATTACAAATAGGAGTTCAAACAAAAACTTGTACACAAATGTTCACAGCAGCCCTATTTATAGTAGCTAAAAGGTGCAGACAATCCAAAGATCAATCAACTGAAAAATGGATGCACAAAATGTGGCATATGCATCCAATGGAATAGTAATCAGCCATGAATAGGAAGTATGGACGCATACTGCCAGGTGGATAAACCTGGAGAACAATATGCTAAATGAAAGAAGCAGACACAAAAGGCAACGTAGGCCGGGCATGGTGGCTCACGCCTGTGATCCCAGCCCTTTGGGAGGTTGAGTCGGGTGGATCACCTGAGGTCAGGAGTTCAAGACCAGCCTGACCAACATGGCAAAACCCTGCCTCTACTAAAAATACAAAAATTAGCTAGGTGTGGTGGCGCATGCCTGTAATCCCCACTACTGGGGAGGCTAAGGCAGGAGAATCACTTAACCCAGGAGGCAGAGGTTGCAGTGAGCCGAGATCGCACCACTGCACTCCAGCCTGGGCGACGGAGCGAGACTCCGTCTCAAAAAATAAATAAATGAATAAAAGACCATGCAATGCATGACTCTCCATTGATATAAATTGTCCAGAATAGGCAAATCCACAGACACAGAAGGTAGCTTGGTGGTTGCCGAGGACTGAGGAGAAGAAAATTGAGAACACCTGCTCAACAGTTATGGGCTTTCTTTTTGGAGTGATGAAAATGTTCTGGAACTAAGCAGATGTGATGGTTACAGAATATTGGAAATGTGGCCAGGCATGGTGGCGCACACCTACAATCCCAGCATTTTGGGAGGCCGAAGCAGGTGGATTGCTTGAGCCCAGGAGTTCAAGACCAGCCTGGGCCACATGGTAAAACCCTGACTCTACAAAATACTCTACTAAAAGGTGGAGACAATCCACCTTTGTTCAAAATAAAATAAAATAAAATAAAATATAAATTAATAATACAAAAATTAGTTGGGAGTGGTGACACATGCCTATAGGCCCAGCTACTCAGGAGGCTAAGGTGGGAGGATCGCTTGAGCCCAGGATGTCGAGGCTGTAGTGAGCCGAGATCACATTACTGCATTCCAATCTGGGCGACAGAGTCGAATTGTCTCAAAAAAAAAAAAGTGAATGTCCTAAATGCCACTGAATTGTATGTTTTTAAATGGTTAACTTTACGTTGTGTGAATTTTCTCTCAATTTTAAAAAATGTTTTAAAAAAACAGGTGGCTGATTGCTTTTGGCACACAGACCAAAGTTTGTTGCCCCCTATTCTAAGCCAAACAGCCAAGAAGGGGAGAAACAGAAGCATACTATGACCTATATGTAAAATATTCAAAGCCATTCATTTACCAGTGCTTGGGGAAGAAGCGCGTATCGTATGCAGTCTTATACCTCCCTGAAATTAACATTAGGCACCACCCTTGGACCTGAGAAGATAGGAAAGCTCCTAGGACTCGGTGCCCACACTGAAGCCTGAATCAGGGAGGAGAGGGCATTTCATTTACAGCACATGCTATAGCTTGAGGTGAGGTGGCACAGTCTCTCTGCAAAACCAAAACAAGTTTAATACGATCAGACTGCAGAAGGAGATGGAGTGAGGAGAGATAAAGCCAGATGAGGAAATAAGGGTCATGGCATTAAGACATGATAAGAAATCTGGATTTTATCCTGAGCGCAATGGGAAGCCTATCAAGGTTTTTCAGCAAAGGAGGTGGAAAGCCAGACTTGCTTTTTAGAAACATGATTCTCAGTGTATCCAGATAATGGATTGGGAGAGAGAGATGCTAGAAACCAGGAGAGGTTTTGCAGAAAATCTTGAGTGGCTTACGGTGCACAAATAAAGCTTCAAGACAACTCAGGAAAGTTGGCCTAAGGCAGGAGGCTCGCTTGAACCCAGAAGTCTGAGGCAGCAGTGAGCCATGATAGTACCAATGCACTCCAGCCTGGATGTCAGAGCAAGACGCTGCCTCTAAAAAAACTTTAAAAATTAAAAATTAAAAAAGTTGGCCTATTGAAGGTTTTCCACCTCTGACAGACTCCTCTTTCAAACAGGAGAATAAAGAAACTTCTTTATTTTTCCAAAAAAAAAAAAAATCCAATAAGGACCTCATAAGGGGTCCAGCTGCCAAGCATAGGAGTTGAGCAGAGCAAAAATGACAGGGAAATAAAACATAAAATGAGAATCTATTTCGCACTTTTAACTGAGGCCAATAGATAGAAAAGAGCTTGCAGTTTTCCATGAACAACAACTGATGCAGGCAATAATGCTAATTATTATTATTATGTATGTTAATAATGATATTCAATTGAACTGCTTAAACAGAGGATGCCTCGGAGGGCAAAGATAGTCTAAGGAATTCCATTATGAAAATTTCATTTTCAGCCCATAGCCTCCTTAATATCACTAATTAATATTCTTTCCCTAAACAAATGCGGGTGGAGGAGGTTGGCAAAGTACAGAAGTAGCACTTATCACAGGAAACGGTAGAGAATAAACAGGATAAAAGGACTGAGGTCACATTTGTGATTATTATCGTAATAAAATGCTTCGGAGGAACGACTTGGCAAAGCTTACCTGCACCATATGCCTGGCAGACTAGCAGCTTCAAAACAATCGCAAAATTAAAACAAGTCTTAGGGTCAGTTGCTGAGTTTAAACATTAGGAAAACACTTATTTTCCTCCAGTAACCAACACATGGCAGGTTTTTGTATTCTGGGTTTTGGGGATTCGGTTTTGTTTTGTTTTTTCATTAGCTTGGTTTTGATTGTATGTTTGCTTTACATGCTGGCATTTAATTCTGTAACCAGGTTTCCTCTGTCTTGTTCACAATCTTTTTCAAATATACACCTGAGAGCAGCGGATTCCTGGTGCCGCTGAGGCAGTGACTCACAGGAGTTAAAAGTGTGAGCTCTAGAGTCTGTGGAATGTGTTCAACTTCTGATTCTGCTCTTTAACCAGCTATGGCCTTAATCGCTCCATGCTTCCATTTCCTCATCTATAAAATGGGTATGACAGGACTATCTAACCTTGTAGAATTTTAAAGGATAATTGTGCTGAGACAATTTAGCCTGGCACTTGACATACATTTCAGTAAGTGGTAGTTATTATGGAATTATTATGCTGCATCCCTTCCCCTGCCCACATTGACAAATAACCCACACTAAATCAGATCCTACACCTAGACCACTGGCTTTCAACAAATGTGTTTTTTGTATATGAAAGAATACATGATCCTGGCAACTATTCTGGTCACTTCAAATCCTCACCCAGCTTTTGGAACCATCTTACTTCCACTAGTGTAAATGATAAGTGGGTGGTCCTGTGTGTCAATCATATAAGTCCCATGTCACAGAGAGAGAGAGAGAGAGAGAGGGAGAGAGAGAGAGAGATTAAATCTCTGGAAAGGGACAAAGATGGAACAGAGCCTCAGACCATTAACCTAGAGAGCAGGGGTCAGAGGGAAGGGAAAATGTCAATCATTTCTTAAGTGTGCTCTGGGAAGAAAGTTTAAAATATAGATAGTAAAGGATTCTTTGGGGCTTTAGGGCAACAGTAAATGTTGCCATTCATTACTAATAATAACCATTATAATAACCACCACCCATCACGTGTTTACTATGTGCCAGGTATTTCTTTGGCTTAGTGCTTTAAATACATTATCTCATTTAATCGTCATGACAGTACTATCAGGTCTAGATTTATTATATTCTCTATCTTATTTTAAGGAAATTGGAAGCCTAGAGATGATGAGTAATTTTCCCAGATTATCCGCCTGGGTGTCTGGTTCTAAAAACCCAAGTATTTAACCACTATGCTATATCACCTCTCAAGTAAATAGAGACCTTTAGACAAACATCGTGAGAGTATCACCTATATTAGTTTCCTAGGACTTCTATAAAAACAAAGACCACAAATTAGGTGACTTGAACAACAGAAATGTATTGTTTCACAGTTCTAGAGGCTAGGAGTCTGAGATCAAAGTACTGGCAGGGTAGGTTCCTTTTTTTTTTTTTTTTTTTTTTTTTTTTGAGACGGAGTCTCATTCTGTCACCCAGGCTGGAGTGCAATGGTGTGATCTCACTGCAACCTCCACCTCCCAGGTTCAAGCGATTCTCCTGCCTCAGCCTCCCAAGTAGCTGGGATTACAGGTGCGTGCCACCATGCCCGGCTAATTTTGTATTTTTAGTAGAGACATGGTTTCACCATGTTGGCCAGGCTGGTCTTGAGCTGACCTCAGGTGATCCGCCCGCCTTGGCCTCGCAAAGTGCTGAGATTACAGGCGCGAGCCACAGCGCCCGGCCGGATAGTTTCCTTCTGTGGGCTGTGAGAAAGAATCCGTCCCGTGCCTCTCTCATAGCTTTGGTGGTTTGTTGGCAATTTGGGGCATTTCTTGGCTTCTAGACCTCTGCCTTAATCTCCATGTGGAGTTCTTTTGTGTGCGTCTGTCTCCAAATTCCCTCTTTTAATGAAGACAACAATCATATTGAATTAGGGCCCCAGCCTACTCCAGTACAACCTCATCTTCACTAATTATATCCCCAAGAAACCTATTTTCAAAGAAGGTCACATTCTGAGGTACTGGGGGATAGAATTTCCACATACAAATTTGGGTAGATATAATTCAACCCATAACCTCACTCATAAGCATTTGTCTCTGCTGATTATTCCTTCATCTTCCAACCCAGGGGCACAGGGGAGGGGGCAGGGAGGAGCCCAGGATCTCCACACACGCACTTGCTGCAAGACATAACTCTTCATTTCAAACCCCACAGTGCCGTTTGTCCTACATGAGAAAGGAGAGTTGAAAAGGGATACAGTGCAAAAGATGTCAAACCCAAGATAAATGTTTCCTCAGATGCAATGACTTCCAGAGATTTGGAGTCGTAAGTTTTTGAAAAATGGACACATGAGGAACAAAGGTTGAGTTTTCTGAAATCATTGATAACCCCCAAGACAACACCCAGCTTTCTCCCATGATTATAAATGGGGGGATTTGAAATGGAACTTCTATTGTGTGGCTTTCAAAGCCCACGATGGCCCAGGAGTAGTGAATCATTTCTAAGGTAAAGCACTTCCTCTGAACTCAGGGGAAGCAGAAGTAGGCAGATAAGAAATGGTAATGCAGGAGGCAGATTTATGAACAACCTGAAATGTGAACATTTTTTTTCATATTCCATAAGATGGACCAGTCCTGTGGCCCATGTGGGAGTATAAGATTAAACACCAAAAATAAAATGTCTTAGCATTTCCCAAATTCACACAGGCAATGTCACATAGGCCCCTCCCCAGTAAACAATAGACATGATGTAAAATGCAGATTCTTTTGTCTGGCAATGAACATAAGCAGATGAACATTTGTTCATTCTTTCAACAATTGCTTCCTGAGTGACTGTCATATGCTGGGCTCTGTCCCAGGTGCTGAAAATAAATATCTCGAGTAGGGTTTACAGATTAGGTGGATACCAAACTCTGAATAATTAAATCATAGCTCTACAAAGGAATTCAGGGCAGTCATTTATGCAGACAGAAGAATGGAAAGGGAGATAGAGGAAAGTGCATCTTGTGTATTTCTATCAGGTGTTATCTAATGAATTCCTCACAGCATCCTTTCAAGATGGTGTCTTTCCTGCAAACCATTATTATTAATCTCATTGTTACCATTCTGTGGCAACCCTCAGTGACTGAATTTCTCCTCTTTTGGTCTAGCATATATACCACTAGGAACTATCATTTTGCTTTTGAGCTCCTCCTATCTAGCTGAAGACAAAGTTATTCAAGGAAGAAGCTAGCTCCCTGCCTTGGAGAAACAGTCTTGAAGAAACCATAGATGTATGAAGAGACTATTTCCATTAACAAAGGGAATAAGATCAGGAAATATTTTTGATCTTACTATATGACCTAAGCATATATCCCAGAGAAATTTTTTAAAAAGTACTCAAACAAATACTTGTACATGAATGATCCTGGTAGCTCTATTCACAATAGCCAAAAGATGGAAAGAGCTCAAATGTCCATAAATGGAAGACTGGATAAATACATTGTGGTATAATACATACATACAATTAACTATTACTTAGCCATAAGAAACTAATATATGCTACAATGGGGATGAACCTCAAAAGTATTATAAGTGTAAGAAGACATAAAAGGTGTATAATTCCATGTATATGAAATATCCAGAATAGGTATATCCACAAATGCAGAAAGCAGGTTGGTAGTACCCCTTTCTGGGGAAAGAGAAAAATGAAGAGTAACTGTTTAATGGGTACAGGTTTTTATTTGGGGGTGATGAAGCTATTTTGGAAAAAGGCAGAGGTGGTCATATAACACTGTGAAGGTACTAAATGCCACTAATTTGTTCACCTTAAAATGATCAATTTTGTCATGTGAATTTAACCTCTATAACACAGGGTACTTCAAAAAATAGACCTTCAATAAATGTTTGTAGAATGAATGAACAATAAACAAAGGAATGTATGTGGTCTTGGCAAACGGCTCATACTGAAAGGTGGTCTATGAAACGAGACTTTGTAAGTGGAGATGGTGTTGACCAGCAGAGTCTAAAATGATTCTTAGTGGCCTTGGCTCGGTTTTATTATTCTGTTCATGGAGAACAGGAATCAGAGCCTAGGGTTCTATCCAGGAGGAAAAAAATCTTCCTGTCTTGGAATTTTCAGAACCTAGTGTCTTCCTACATAGCAAAAGACATTTCTGGCTGCCAGGAGGGAGTAAAGCCAGTGGGAGTTAGTCCCATCTGCCTGCAGAGAGTCAGAAACATTATCTGTCTAAATTCTTCTTCATCAGAAAGTCTTATGGCTGGGGGCGCTTCCCAGCTCTCACTGTGACCTAGCCTTAGGACCACATTAAAGAGCACTACCATGCCGCAGAGAGGGGGTTGGAGGGAGGAGACTGGCTGCCAGACTGAAACTAAATTAAAAATAAAGCTCCCCTTATTAAATTCATAATTATTGTGAAGCTGTGAAATCTTATTTTAAACCTCTGGCTCCTTTCTTTGTCCAGAGTAGAGGCTGCCTGCTTCTGAATCCCTATTTTGCTTTATGGACAATTTCTTTTTAGCATTCTGAGCATTTAACCTTGAAAAATAGTGTTGTTTTGCTGCTGTATTTTCTGATTGTTAGTCTCCAGGCATCTCCATGGCATCTTTATAAATCTGCAGGAGCTGGTAAATATTTCTTGCCGACCAGCCGCTGAAATCTGAAAATACCAGCTCACTTTTTAGCTGTCAGGCAATTAATGTAATTCAAAGGAAATGAAAGGTGTGGGCAACTGGGACTGCTTTTAATAACAGGAGGGTTCCTGGCTCAGGCTTAGAAACACAAGAGAGAAGAATCAATAAAAGACTAACAGAAAGGGTAGAAGAGGGCGTGGAGTTCTCTAGAAACATTTTGTCAGCATCCTGGCAATGCTGCAAATCTGTGCCAAGAGAAACTGATAAATGCAGCTACTGATGATCGACTTGGAGATGAGTCAAACTTCGAGGCCTGGGCCAGGGCATCCACTGGCCTAAAGGGTGCCTTTGTGTAAAATGGGAAACGATACCCCATCTGGGTAGCTGAATTAGGAGAAAGTGCTCCCTGAGTATAGATGCAGCCCCACGCCAAGGCACACAGCTTGGTGGGCAGAGTGCTACTGGATTTCAGCCTTCTTCCTCCAAATTTATTCTTATGGCCAGCAGCCTTCGTGCAGCGTGCAAACTGAACAGCTGTGTGTAACATCGCTATCCAGATCAATTCCCACTTCCCTGTTTCTTGGATAATATTGGTTTTCCATTCTTCCCTGCTAAGTCAGGAATCAACTACATTGGCTTTGGACCCCAAAGGTGATTTAAGTGTAATTGGATTCATAGGAGGAGTTAGACTATGGAGAAGGAGGAGGAGCTCTCACATATGGCAATGCTATTTTGTTTCTCAAAGACAACAGGCTAGAAGAGGAAAAAGTCTTTCCTTCTAGTGAGGTATAGACTAGTCACTAAAGAAATACAATTTTCCAAGCATGGGAATGATAATTCTATCAATATCTGCCACCTTTCATATACTTCTTTTTTTTTAATATACATGGAGTCTCGCTCTGTTTCCCAGGCTGGAGTGCACTGGCACAATCTTGGCTCACTGCAACCTCTGCCTCCTGAGTTCAAGTGATTCTCCTGCCTCAGCCTCCCAAGTAGCTGGGATTACAGGCGTGCACCACCATACCCGGCTAATTTTTGTATTTTTAGTAGAGACGGGGTTTCACCATGTTAGCCAGGTTGGTCTCAAACTTCTGACCTTGGGTGATCCGCCTGCCTCAGCCTCCCAAAGTCCTGGGATTGAAGGCATGAGCCACCGTGCCCAGCTCATATACTTCTTACATGGCAGTCAAGGTTACACAATGCATAGAGCACAAATCATATTCTACTGTATATAAATAATGCCTCTCCTGACTACATGGATTACAATGTCATTGCTGCCCCCGGAGTTGTGCAATATGGCAACCTTGAGTCCCATAGGCAGTGCATCGGGGGAGGCCTACAGAGTATATTAGGGTACATGGATGAACCTACTTCCCAAGAGAAAGCAAGATTTCAAAACCCAGTTGATCAAAATAAATACAAAATCATCAAATGTATTTTGATATATCAATAAATGTTTAGCAAACAAAAAGTCCATCTATAATCATATTTTTAAATCAAATATCCAGGAGTAAATCTAGCAAAATATGTGCAAGACTGCTTCATGGAAAACTCTAAGATATTTTTGATAAAAATGTTTAAACACCTAAGTAAATGAAGGGATAAACGAAGGTCCTGGACTGGGGGACTCCGACTCCATGCTGTAGTAGCACTGTAGTAATATTAATTGTCTGCAAACTGATCTACAGATTTAATACAACTCCAGTCAAATTCCCAGCCTGTGCTGTTTGTTTGTTTTGGAAATTAGAAGCCGATTTTTAAATTTATATGTAAAGGCAGAGTCAAGACTAGCCAAGACAATCTTAGAGAATGACAAAGTAGAAGGAAACGCTCTACCAGGTATTAAGACTTATTACAATGATAGACATTAAGAAAGTGGTACTGGTGGCTGGGCATGGTGGCTCATGCCTGTAATCCCAGCACTTTGGGAAGCCGAGGCAGGCAGATCACCTGAGGCCAGGAGTTCGAGACCAGCCTGGCCAACATGGTGAGACCCTGTCTCTACTAAAAATGCAAAAATTAGCTGGGCGTGGTGGCGTGCGCCTGTAATCCCAGCTACTCGGGAGGCTGAAGCAGGGGAATCACTTGAACCCAAAAGGCGGAGGTTGCAGTGAGCGGAGATCGTGCCACTGCACTCTAACCTGGGCAACAGGGCGAGATTCCGACTCAAAAAAAAGAAAGAAAGAAAAGAAAAAGAAAGTGGTGTTGGCTTGAAAACAAACAATGGAAGATAATTGAGTCCAGAAATAGACCTTTGCATCTATTAACATGTGATTTATGATAAAATGGCAGAACAGTGAAGAAATAAGTCTTTTCAATAAAATGGTGCTGGGTCAACTGGATAAAACATGGTAAAAAAACAAAACTTGAGCCCTTCTTCACATCATACCTAAAACCAAATCCCAAATGGTATGTAGGTTTAGATGCAGAAGGTAAAACAAGCTTCCAGATGATAACATCGGAGTGTATCTATCTTCATTACTTTAAGGAGGAAAAGATTTCTTGGACAAGCCACACAGAGTACTAATCATAAAGCAAACAACTGATAAACTTTTAATTTTAAAATTAAACTTTTGAAATTAAGAACACTTGTGTATTAAAAAAAAAAACCACACTATTACAAAAGTGAAAAGGGCCGGGCATGGTGACTCACGCCTGTAATCCCAGCTACTTGGGAGGCTGAAGCAAGAGTATTGTTTGAGGCCAGGAGTTTAAGGCCAGCCTAGGAAACATAGCAAGACCCCCATCTCTACAAAAATAAAAATTAAAAACTAGCCAGGTGCGGTGGCACATGCCTGTAGTCCCAGCTACTCAGGAGGCTGAGTTGGGAGGATTGCTTGAGCCCAGGAGTTCAAGGTTGCAGTAAGCTATAATCACACCACTGCATTCTGGCCTAGATGACAAAGCAAGACCCCCTTCTCTTATTTAAAAAAAAAAAAAAAGTGAAAAGGTAAGCCTTATAGTGGGAAGAGATAATTGCAACATGTAAATGAAAAGGGATTCATACCAGATTACAAAATAATTTCTAAATCAAAACAAAAAACTACAGAAAAATGAAAAAAAGACTTGAACAAACAACAGATACTTCACAAAACAAGGATACCTAAATTGCCAATAGGCAGATAAAAAGGTGTTCAACCTCATTAGTCTTTGGCAAATGCAAGATAAAATCATTATCAGATGCCACTACATACCCACTAGAATGGCTAAAATTTTAAAAAGACTAACACTATCAAGCACTGAGAGCAATGTAGAGGAACTAGAACTCCCATTATGCTTCTAGTGGGAGTTTAAATTAACACAAGCACTTTAGAAAACTGTTTAGCAGCATCTACTACATTCGAACATATGCTAATTCTATGACTCAGAAATTTATATTCTAGATGTATGTCCAACTATATTTACATATAGCCAAAAATTAAATATAAATTTTTTCATAGCAACACTTTAAATAATAGTCAAAACACTGGAAATAACATAAATATACAACAATAAAATGAATAAATAAATGGTAGTATAGTCACATGATGGAATAGTACACAGCAATGAAAACTGACTATGGCTACATGCAAATACCTGGATGAATCTCATAACCACGTACAAAATAAGCAAAGACAAGTTGATTCATATTTCTTGATTCCATTTATATTGTTTTTAAAGTGGTAAAAACTAGTATCTGTGTTAAAACTCAGCATAGAAGTTACTTTTTGAGAAAAGAGGACACTGGCATTTTTGAGATGCTGGTTATGCAAGCATGTTCACATTGTGATAATATATTGAGCCATATCCTTATAGCTTGTGCACTTTTCTTTAAATAGATTATATTTTACTTAAGTATTTTTTAAAAAGATTTTTAAACCCATTTCAAAGGCCATATCTGGGAAGCCTTCCCAGAACATGCAGATAGATTTAATTACTCCCTCATTGATATCTTGGACTTATTTAGGTTGTTATACTTCGAACAGTCTATTATAATTTGTGTTCTTCCATGCAGTTCTTCCCTGTTACACATGAAATTCTTGAGTTAAGAGCAATATGGATATTTATTGGGATGTTTGGTTGCCATTGTTTGTTTGCATTGTTTTTTGCCCACAGCATCATATGTTTTCCCATTCTAACAGAGCCCTAGTTTTTCTTTGAGAATTCATTCTTCTACATATAAGGTCTGTGTGATTTGAGTGAGGCTCCATTCCTAGTCACACAGGTAGAGGAGGTGACCCAGGTCCAAGACAATCACTGTGTATCACATGATATATTAGTCTATTCTCACACTGCTACAAATGAATACCTGAGACTAGCTAATTTATAAAGAAAAGAAGTTTAATTGGCTCACAGTTCTGCAGGCTGTACAGGAAGCATAGCAGCTTCTGCTTCTTGGGAAACCTCAGGAAACATTCAATCATGGCGGAAGGGGAAGGGGAAGCTGGTATGTCTTATGTGGCTAGATATAGAGAAAAGATGGGAAGGTGCCACACAATTTTAAATGACCAGATCTCATAATAACTCACTCACTCTCATGAGAGAAGCACCAAGGAGATGGTACTAAATGATTATGAAGGACCATCCCCATGATCCCATCCCCTTACACTTGGCCCCACCTCCAACATTGGGATTACAATTGAACATGAGATTTGGGTGGCGCACAGATCCAAACCATATCACATGACCTAAACTGATCTAATCAGACTGAAATTCATTCTGGATTAGAATCAATTTCAGGATTTTTGTGGAAAATACCAAGCCACAGATGCTCATCTTTTACTGAGCATGAAACTGAAAAATGAGGTTTCAGGAGCTACTGTCAGACACCTTGAAACCATGAGAAAGAGTCTTCCTGAAAATGGAGCCAACACTGAGGAAAAGTCAGGATAGAAAGCCCCGAAGGAAACCCATGCTTGTTTGGTCAACCGTGTTTCAGAAATGTGTGAGGTGGCCAGACGCAGTGGTTCACACCTGTAATCCCAGCACTTTGGGAGGCCAAGGCAGGCAGATCACTTGAGGCCAGGAGTTCGATACCAGCCTGACCAACAAGGCAAAACCCCATCTCTACTAAAAATACAAAAATCAGCCAGATGTGGTGGTAGGCACCTGTAGTCCCAGCTATTTGGGAGGCTGAGGTGGGAGGATTGCTTGAACCTGGGAGGCGGAGGTTGCAGTGAACTGAAACAATGCCACTGCACTCCAGCCTGGGTGACAGAGCAAGACTCTGTCTCAAAACAAAAACAAATGTGTGAGGCAATTTAGTAGAGAAAGGATTGTCTTTTCAAAAATGGTGATGAATTGGATAACTATTTGCAAAAAAAAAATAAAGAACTAAACCTCAACAAACACCTTATATAAAAATTAAACTCTAAGTGGATTAAAAAGCTAAATGTAAAATCTAAATCTATAAAATTTCTAGAAGAAAACATAGAATAAAATTTTTATGACCATGATTTAGGCAAAGATTTATTAGTTAGAACATGAAAAGCATCATCCATAAAAGAGAGAATGGATAAGTTGGACTTCATCAACATTTTACACTTCTGCTCCTCAAAAGACACTGTTAACATATTAAAAGGCAAGCCACGTTTCAAAAATGCAAGCCACTGGGATAAAAGTATTTGCAAAATACATATCTGATAAAGGATTTACATCTGGAATATATTTTTAAAACTCTCAAAGCCCAATAATGAAACAATAATACAATTTTTATCTAATGTTATGTTATTTTATGTCTCTGCAGCTCTATGTTCATTTACATGTTTTAGATTTTTTTTAACAAGTTCGACTTTTATTTTAGATTCAGGGGGTATATGTGCAAGTTTGTTACATGGGTATCTTGTTTAATGCTGAGGTTTAGGGTACAGCTGATCCCGTCACCAAGGTAGTAAGCATAGTACCCAATAGTTTTTCAACACTCACCTTCCTCCCTCCCCCACCCAGTAGTCCCCAGTGTTTATTGTTGCCATCTTTATGTCCATGACTACCCAATGTTTAGTTCTTACATATGAGTGAGAACATGTGGTATTTGGTCTTCTGTTCCTGCATTAATTTGCTTAGAGTAATGGCCTTCAGCCACATCCATGTTGTTGCAAAGGACATGATTTCATTCTTTTTTATGGCTGTGTAGGTTTTTTTAAAATAAGCCTCAGTTTCTAGTTATTGTTGTTTCTACTTGCTCAAACAACTTATGAGGGTTCTATCTAAGAATAACATTTATCCCCTGTTAGATTTTTCCTGCTTTCTCTTGCGGGCATTTAGTGGTATAAATTTCCCTCTACACGCTGCTTTTAATGTGTCCCAGAGATTCTGGTACATTGTGTCTTTGTTCTCATTGGTTTCAAAGAACATCTTTATTTCTGCCTTCATTTAGTTATTTACCCAGTAGTCATTCAGGAGCAGGTTGTTCAGTTTCCAGGTAGTTGTGCGGTTCTGAGTGAGTTTCTTAATCCTAAGTTCTAATTTGATTGCACTGTGTCTGAGAGATAGTTTGTGGTGATTTCTGTTCTTTTACATTTGCTGAGGAGTGCTTTACTTCCAATTATGTGGTCAATTTTAGAATAAGTGGGATGTGATACTGAGAAGGATGTATATTCTGTTGATTTGGGGTGGAGAGTTCTGGAGATGTCTATTAGGTCTGCTTGGTGCAGAGCTGAGTTAAAGTCCTGGATATCCTTGTTAACCTTCTGTCTCGTTGATGTGTCTAATAGTGACAGCGGGGTGTTAAAGTCTCCCATGACACCCTAACATCACAACTAAAAGAACTAGAGAAGCAAGAGCAAACAAATTCAAAAGCTAGCAGAAGGCAAGAAATAACTAAGATCAGAGCAGAACTGAAAGAGATAGAGACACAAAAAAACCCTTCAAAAAAATCAATGATTCCAGGAGCTGGTTTTTTGAAAAGATCAACAAAATTGATAGACCACTAGCAAGACTAATAAAGAAGAAAAGAGAGAAGAATCAAATAGACACAATAAAAAATGATAAAGGGGATATCACCACCGATCCCACAGAAATACAAATTACCATCAGAGAATACTATAAACACCCCCACGCAAATAAACTAGAAAATCTAGAAGAAATGGATAAATTCCTGGACACATACACCCTTCCAAGGCTAAACCAGGAAGAAGCTGAATATCTGAATAGACCAATAACAGGTTCTGAAATTGAGGCAATAATTAATAGCTTACCAACCAAAAACAGTCCAGGACCAGACAGATTCACAGCCAATTTCTACCAGAGGTACAAAGAGGAACTGGTACCATTCCTTCTGAAACTATTCCAATCAATAGAAAAAGAGGGAATCCTCCCTAACTCATTTTATGAAGCCAGCATCAACCTGATACCAAAGCCTGGCAGAGACACAACAAAAAAAAGAGAATTTTAGACCAATATCCCTGATGAACATTGATGCGAAAATCCTCAATAAAATACTGGCAAACCGAATCCAGCAGCACATCAAAAAGCTTATCCACCATGATCAAGTCGGCTTCAACCCTGGGACGCAAGGCTGGTTCAACATACGCAAATCAATAAACGTAATCCATCACATAAACAGAACCAATGACAAAAACCACATGATTATCTCAATAGATGCAGAAAAGGCCTTTGACAAAATTCAACAGCCCTTCATGCTAAAACCTCTCAATAAACTAGGTGTTGATGGGACATATCTCAAAATAATAAGAGCTATTTATGACAAACCCACAGCCAATATCATAATGAATGGGCAAAAACTGGAAGCATTCCCTTTGAAAACTGGCACAAGACAGGGATGCCCTCTCTCACCACTCCTATTCAACACAGTATTGGAAGTTCTGGCCAGGGCAATCAGGCAAGAGAAAGAAATAAAGGGTATTCAATTAGGAAAAGAGGAAGTCAAATTGACCCTGTTTGCAGATGACATGATTGTATATTTAAAAAACCCCATCGTCTCAGCCCAAAATCTCCTTAAGCTGATAAGCAACTTCAGCAAAATCTCAGGATACAAAGTCAATGTGCAAAAATCACAAGCATTCCTGTACACCAAGAACAGAAAGAGAGCCAAATCATGAGTGAACTCCCATTCACAATTGCTTCAAAGAGAATAAAATACCTAGGAATCCAACTTACAAGGGATGTGAAGGACCTCTTCAAGGAGAACTACAAACCACTGCTCAACGAAATAAAAGAGGACACAAACAAATGAAAGAACATTCCATGCTCATGGATAGGAAGAATCAATATCGTGAAAATGGCCATACTGCCCAAGGTAATTTATAGATTCAATGCCATCCCCATCAAGCTACAAATGACTTTCTTCATAGAAGTGGAAAAAACTACTTTAAAGTTCATATGGAACCAAAAAAGAGCCTTTAGAGCCAAGACAATCCTAAGCAAAAAGAACAAAGCTGAAGGCATCACACACCTGACTTTACACTACAAGGTTATAGTAACCAAAACATGGTACTGGTACCAAAACAGAGATATAGACCAATGGAACAGAACAGAGTCCTCAGAAATAACACCACACATCTATAACCATCTGATCTTTGACAAACCTGACAAAAACAAGAAATGGGGAAAGGATTCCCTATTTAATACATGGTTCTGGGAAAACTGGCTAGCCATGTTCGGAAAGCTGAAACTGGATCCCTTCCTTACGCCTTATACAAAAATTAATTCAAGATGGATTAAAGACTTAAATGTTAGACCTAAAACCATGAAAACCCTAGAAGAAAACCTAGACAATACCATTCAGGACATAGGCATGGGCAAGGACTTTATGACTAAAACACCAAAAGCAGTGGCAACAAAAGCCAAAATAGACAAATGGGATCTAATTAAAGAGCTTCTGCACAGCAAAAGAAACTACCATCAGAGTGAACAGACAACCTACAGAATGGGAGAAAATTTTTGCAATCTACCCATCTGACAAAGGGCTAATATCCAGAATCTACAAAGAACTCACACAAATTTACAAGAAAAAAACAAACAACCCTATCAAAAAGTAGGCAAAGGATATGAACAGACACTTCTCAAAGGAAAACATTTATGCAGCCAACAGACACATGAAAAAATGCTCATCTTCACTGGCCATCAGAGAAATGTAAATCAAAACCACAATGAAATACCATCTCATGCCAGTTAAAATGGTGATCATTAAAAAGTCAGGAAACAACAGATGCTGGAGAGGATGTGGAAAAATAGGAATGCTTTTACACTGTTGGTGGGAGTGCAAACTAGTTCAACCATTGTGGAAGACAGTGTGGCGATTCCTCAAGGATCTAGAACTAGAAATACCATTTGACCCAGCAATCCCATTACAGGGTATATACCCAAAGGACTATAAATCATGCTGCTATAAAGACACATGCACACGTATGTTTATTGCGGCACTACTCACAATAGCAAAGACTTGGAACCAACCCAAATGTCCATCAGTCTTGACTGGATTAAGAAAATGTGGCACATATACACCATGGAACACTTTGCAGCCATAAAAAAGGATGAGTTCATGTCCTTTGCAGGGACATGGATGAAGCTGGAAACCATCATTCTCAGCAAACTATCACAAAGACAGAAAACCAAACACTGCATGTTCTCACTCATAGGTGGGAACCAGACAATGAGAACACTTGGACACAGGGCGAGGAACATCACACACCGGGACCTGTCGGGGGGTGGGGGACTGGGGGAGGGATAGCATTAGGAGAAATACCTAATGTAAATGATGAGTTCATGGGTGCAGCAAACCAACATGGCACATATATACCTATGTATCAAACCTGCACATTGTGCACATGTACCCTAGAACTTAAAGTATAATAATAATTTTAAAAAAGAATAACATTTATCCTCAAAATAGGTAAGTACACAATTATTAAAATGGGAAAAGATTTGCATGGACACTTCCCCAAGGAGGACATACAGATAGCACATAAACACATAAGGATGACTGACATCATTAGTTATCAGGAAAATGTAACTTAAAAGTACCTTGAGATAGCACCGCACACCTATTAGAATAGCTAAAATAAACCTTAAAAGGTGAGTGAGAACAAGTACTGGTGAGAATAGGAAGTAACTTTTATTTTATTTTATTTTATTTTATTATTTTTAGTAGAGATGGGGTTTCACTGTTTTGACCAGGCTAGTCTCAAACTCCTGGCCACAGGTGATCCACCCACCTCTACCTCCCAAAGTGCTGGGATTACAGGGGTGAGCCACTGTGCCCAGCACTGGTACAACCCATTTTGGAAAACAAATTGGTAGTTTCTTATAAAATTAAATACAGATTTACTGTATCACTAAGCAACTTCCCTACTAGGTGTTTACCAGAACAATGAAAACTTACATTCACACACACACAAATAAAAAACATATGCACAAACGTTTCTAGTAGTTTTATTCACAGTTGCCAAAAATGGTAACAAATCAAATGTCCTGCAATTGGTTAATAGGTTTTAAAAATCACTGTACATCTGTACAATGGGCTACTCAGTGATAAAAAGAAATCAGAGGTGTGATTACACAGATGACTCCTACACAAAGGCAGGATAGTGAGTAACAGAGGCCAGACACATAATCTTATGAGTACATCTAGACTACTTAATTCCATTTAAAAGATATTCTGAAAAAGGCAAAACTATAGGTACTGAAAAGAGATGAGTGGTTGTCAGGGGCTGAGGGTAGCAGGAGAAGTTGACTACAAAGGGACAAGAAAAAAATTAGGGAGGGGGGATTGTGGAAATGTTCTATATCCCGATTATGTTGGTGAGTACACAACTGCACGTTTATCAAAACTCACTAAACTGTGTACGAAAAGGGTACCATACCCAAGTTACGTCTCAATAACCTTAACCAAAAAAGTAAACAAATAAAAT
Source organism: Homo sapiens (assembly GCF_000001405.40). Classification (NCBI taxonomy): domain Eukaryota; kingdom Metazoa; phylum Chordata; class Mammalia; order Primates; family Hominidae; genus Homo; species Homo sapiens. The sequence continues at coordinate 2,345,819 of NT_187607.1, read as the reverse complement.
ATTTTGCTGAAGCCCTGAACCCAGCTACACCTGAAGTGAAATTTACTCTTGGAGTTTTCAGCTGTATAAGCTAATACATTCTCTCTTTCCTTAACCACTTGAGTTGGATTTTCTGTTGCTTGTCACTAAAAGAGACCCAACTGTTACACGGGCTCGGTTTACCCAATGTTATAGCCCAGCATCTAGATTTAATGAGGATAAATGGTCTCCCTACAGTTTAAACTTCTCAGAAACCAGAGTTTGTAGTTAGGAATAGCAACGGTATGATATATGCACACGTTATCCCTCCTCTTTGGCCCATGATACTCAATGATCACAACATCCTTCAGAGTAAATTCAGCTTCAGAGATCTTCTTATCAAGACAGTGTACTTTCTCTCATTACTACTTCACTGAAATCATTACTTCTCTCTTCCTGTAGCAGGTAGACTCTAAGATGTCCCCCGATCATCCTCTCCTCTTCACCTTCGTATCTTTGCATGGTTCCTTTTTTTTTTGGTATGGACAGGACCTGTGACCTACTTCTAATCAATAGAATATGTCAACAATGATGGGCTGTCACTTCTATAATTAAGTTATGTAAGATTGTAACTTCCAGCCGGGCACAGTGCCTCACGCTTGTAATCCCAGCACTTTGGGAGGCCAGGGCGGGTGGATCATGAGGTCAGGAGATGGAGACCATCCTGGCTAACACGATGAAACCCTGTCTCTACTAAAAATACAAAAATAAAATTAGCTGGGCGTGGTGGCGGGCCCCTGTATTCCCAGCTACTCGGGAGGCTGAGGCAGGAGAATGGCGTGAACCCAGGAAGTGGAGCTTGCACTCCACTTGCCGAGATTGGGCCACTGCACTCCAGCCTGGGCGACAGAGCAAGACTCCGTCTCCAGAGGAAAAAAAAAAAAAAAAAAAAAAAGATTGTAACTTCCATCTTGCTAGCAGACTCTATTGTCTTCTTGGCTTGCATGGTTTGATGAAGCAAGCTGACATACTAGAGAGGCCTCCATGCCAAGGAACTGAGGGTAGCCTCCAGACAACAGCCAGCTAAGAACTGAGGGCCTCAGTACAACAACCCTTGAGGAACTGAACCCTACTAACAGCCATGGGAACTTGGAAGGGAGTTCATCCCCAGTAGAACCTTCAAATTAAACCTCAGCCAGGTTGACAACCTTAATTGCAGCCTTATCCAAAGACTCTTGACACAGAACACCTAACTAAATTGTGCCTACATTTTTGATCATGGAAATTGTGAGACAACAAATGTGTTTTGTGTTAAGCTGATAAGTTTGGGTGTGATTATCGTGTAGCAACAGATAACTAATACACATCCCCATCATAAACAATTCCAAAAGATGTAGGTAACTATGCACCTCACAGAGAGAATGTTTCATGGTGTTTTCTTGACTGTACACTTATCTGACAATGATTAAATCTCACTCTGCTAACCTCCCTGCAGCCTCTAAGTTTTGCCCTAATTAACTGTGGACTGATTTTCTCAAATGAAAGCAAGTCATCTTCAAGCACATTTTCTTTTCTTTCTGCTTATTTTTTGATACCCTAATAAAGCAAGCTAATCTTGGAAGCTAAGTGGATAATTCTCATCTTATAGATTAAAATTAATTGAGTTGCAGGGAGAGATAAAAGCTTGTCCTTTTATTTGGATGTTCTGGCAAGTTGTACCAGGAATGCCATGGTAACCAAAACTACATTACAGAATTTTTTCTCTTAATCCCACTGTTTAGGTAGAAAAATTTCCATCTCTATTTTCCCTCTTTTAGAAAATTATAAATAAAAAGAAACTGAGTTAGCTGGGATGGAAAAGTAAAGCTGGTTTTTGCCTAATCATCCTCATTACTTCACACACCACAGCTCTTTCCTCTGGCTACTTCTTCACATTAAGCATTTGGCTAATGGCTTCTGTTTCATGTAGAAGAGCATTTATTGCTCTGGTATTTCCCTTTAACACTTCAGCTGGGGATATCATAGAGCAGAGATTTGCAACCACAACCCATGGGCCAAATCTGGCCCACCACATATTTTATAAATAAAATTTTATTAAAACACAGTCACATCCATTCATTTGCACGCTGTCTATGGCTGCTTTCAGACTGTAATGGGAGAGTTGAGTGGTGGTAACAGACAGATGGCCAACAAAACCCAGAATAATTTACTATCAGGCCTTTTGCAGAAAGCATTTGCTGACCCTTATCATTAAAAAAAAATTTGAGAAGCTTCAGAGAGTGAACATCCTTTGGCTACAGGGCATTGCAAGGAACATGAACAGGGATCAGGAGAAGTATATTCTAGGTCTAGCCCTATATAACCCTGCATTAGTCAGTTCTCTGTGCTTCCGTTTACCCATCAAAATTTCAGTAAGTGGACTAGATCAAGTTTCTTCTGGTTTTGAGTAATATATCAACTCAAACAACCTGGGGTATTTTGTTCATGTGAATAGCCCAACTATTTTCATCTGAAATCTTATTATTTTGTTTTTCTTTTCTTGGTTTACCGTGCTAGACAGCTTAAACATGATATTACCAACTTAGAGTCTAAATTCACCATGTCTTCAAAGAAAATAAGAACTAATTCCTATTTGATTGGGCTTTGAGACTAAATGGGACATTACCATTTAGTACAAATGAACCAGAAGAAAGGAGGGAGTTTGTGTAGAGTAACTTTAATTATCACAATCATCATCGTCACATATATTGCACGTAAGATGTTCCAGGTACTGTTCTAAGTGCTTTAAATATTTTAATTCCTTTATACTCTCACAAAAACCTTATGAAATAGGTACTATTATTAATCCCATTTTACAGATAGGGAAGCTGAGGTACAGAGATGTTAAGTAACTTATCCAAGGTCAAGAAGCTGGTAAGTAGCAGAGCCGGGATTCAAACCCCATGCAGTCTGGCTCCAGAGTCCTTTCTATTAACTGACATCCCATATAAAAGAAAGAACATTCCTAGCCTTGACAACATGTCTTCAGCAAAAGCAAAAGAAAGAGAACAGTTTCTCCATCTGCCCCACCCCTTCCAGTCTAAAACAGTATTCCCCAGGTCTATGGGCAGGAGAGCAGATGAGAAAGAGATCCAAGAGTTAGGAATTATGGCTGAACTAAAAGCAACTTCCCTTAGATTTTTGTTTCTTGAGCTCAGACTTCCATCTGCTGGGGGCAGTTTTCACATACCCCAGAGCTGTGTAGCCTACAGACGGTCTCAGTCAAGACACTCCATCAGCTGTCTATCCAGCAATTGTCCATCTATGTCCAAAATTTTGCTCAGTCTGTCTGAACCAAATGTAGAAACAGTCCCTGGACATTTAAAGGGTAGAAGTGGGGGAGGAAGCCTCTGAACTGTATTTCTGAAAGGCTGAATGGAGACAGTTTGAGGGCACACTCTTCCAAGTTGGGCCACGGGTCTATGCAAGCCAGAACCTCAGCAAAAATGAGAATTTACTGAAGAATACTGAGGAACACAAGAAACTCGGGTCCTGAGTTGAATTACAAGTTTTGGGGACTTTAGCGGCAGGAATGCATTCTTACAATATTCAGTGAGCATCTACTGTGTACTGAGCACTGTGTGAACACCGGAAATCCTGAGATGACTAATACTTTTATAATTCCCTAAATAGCAATGCTCCCTCACCCCTAAGCCTTTGCATAGCCTTGTCTCTCTTCCTGGAGTTCCTTCCCCTGACTCCTTCATCTGGCCAAATCCTCACAGTCATGACATTGCTGGGCCTTGCCTCCTCCAGGGGGGCCACGTTGAGGCTGGAATTGTGAACACTTGGTAGCCTTATGTTCTTTCATGAGTTATAGTTTCTCCTTAGCTCAGGCTTTTCAATGGTAAAATGGGAATCCTCACAGATGCATCTAAGGTCATTTGGAAGACTAAACGAAAGCATTATGTAAGGTTTTACCTCAGTGCCTCGTTCTTTAATTGCTCCCACATTGTCTTGAGATCTCCCTTCCAGACCAGGGGCTGTGTCTAATTCATTTCTGTATCCACAGATCCTATCACAGGGTCTGACGCTTAATACATGTTTGATGAAGGAAGAGAGGGAGAGATGCTACTCTTGACTCAAAGTTTTCCCAGTATAAAGGGAAAGACGGATATGTACACAAAGAATGAGAGCCCAGTATGAAAAATGCTATAAAAGAAACATTAAAAAGAGCCTCACAGAATCAAAGAAGAAAGGGCCATCGAGGCTGGTGATCTTGAGAAATACTTCGCAAAGGTAATAGCTGGTTGAGGACTAAGAGCTTGCCAAGCATAGCAGCAGGCAGATTAGAGCATTCTAGGCAAGGAGAATTGTACACTTCATTCCCAAGCACAAGGATTAAATTCTTACAGGGAATGGTAGGTTGGAACAAAAATAAGTGAAAGAGATAGAATAAGGAATATATATCCTTAACATAAAAATGAGTTACAAGGACAAAGATAATGTATGTAAATGTGTGACTATTTTACCTTTAGTAAATAACAGAGAAAAAAGTGGAGAACAAAAAGAGGCCATCAGTGATTTTTATATGTCTTAAATTAGCAGCAATCAGTACTATACAACCCATTTTCTATTTACTGCCTCAAGACGGCAGGAAATTTTTCAGGCTCTCCCTCTGCTTCATCTGCAATAAGAAGCTCACAAATTTGTTTTGCTTTGTTGCAAATAACATGTATGCTGAGAGGCATTTTTCCTCTCTATAACTGTACAGCCATCTAAATGGGTCTTTTCTGGTTTTACAACTTGAATATGTTAACATGCACCCCTCAGGGTCCCCCTTGTATCCCAGAAACAGCACGCTTGTAAAACCTTATTCATGTGATATCCTTAATAGCTGCTGACATTTATTAAGTGTTTAAGATGTGCCAGGCATAGTGCTAAGTGTCTTAGAACTCTTCCAGCCTGTAATCCCCGAGCCTCCCTGTGAAAATACAAGCATCTTAAGAATGCCCCCTACTCTGGCATTTACCTTCAGATGACCGATGAGGAAAGTGAGGATCAGAAACATGAACTTATCCTAGGCCAGCCCACTAGCAAGTGATGGAGGCAGCATTTGAACTCAGGGCTGCCTGATTCCAGACAAAAAGCCTCCAACCATAAAGCTATGCTGCCAATTCCACTTGGCCCGGGTGAGTAGCTCTGTCTCCAGTCTCCTCAATACTCAGATTCTAGAGCCTTAGCTGTCCAGGTGATAACTTCAGGCCGGTTAATACCTGGGGCACTCAGCACCTGTGACACACAGAGTTCAGGAACCTCCTCCTATAGACAGGGGTTTCAGTGCCAAAGCTCTCTCAGGCATCAGTTTGTTTTCCGCCTCCAAGGCTCATTGCAGAAATATCTGCTTCTGCTTCACTATCCTCCTTACCACTCTTTTCCACTCAAAACCTCCAATTTCCTCTTCTCCAATTACACCCAACAGAGGGGGCTCACATTTACCTAGAACCAAAATTCCTCTTCTTCCAAGAAAATGTTCAGTGCCTTTGTTATTTTACAACATGGACATTCATGTCTGCTGTGGCCTAAGAGAAGCAGAGTTGCAATAATCTCTGGGTGGTGTCATGTAGTTGACCCTCTTAATAACAGCATTTTTAAGCAGTTACTGTGTCTGAACTGTGCTTAGTGCTTTGTTGGCATTAGCACCTGGAACTCTCCCAACTACTGTAGGCTGTAGGTATTCTTAGAGCCCCATCTTACAGGTGAGGAAACTAAGGCACAGTCATACAGCAAGCAAAAGGCAAGGAGTGAAAAGTAGCAGAGTAATTGGAGAATACGAATAAAACAATGCTATTCTCCCCTGCAAGTCGGTGCTGAGCAGATAGCCTCTACTTGAGCAGGTCTTCAAAACATGAGCCAGCCTTGGGGAAACAGGCACTCTCGTTTATTGCTAGTGGAATCGCAAAAGGCTACTATCACCATGGAGGATAATTTGGCAACATCTATCAGAATTACATATGCATGAAAAGTTGACCCAGAAATTCCATTTCTAGAAATTTATCCTAAATATATGTAAAAGTATATGCACGTGCCTCATGCAAGTACAAGTTTATTCCTTACAATGTGTTTGGCCTAAGAAATAGTTGGAAAAAATCCAATGTCCCTCTATAGCAGATTGGTTAAATAAAGTATGGTACAACCTACAACAGGTAGTATGGGGCTGGAAATAAAGAATGAGGGAGCTCTCTATGTGCTGATTTGGAATAATCTCCAGGATATATTGGAAAATAAGAAACAAAAGCAAAAGACCCACGGCTCAAAACTGTGTGAAATGAGTCAAAATTAGTATTTGCTGATATATACAAAGAAACCCTGAACAGGTACATAAAAATGATCATGACGTCAGTGATTACTTCTGGGGACGGAGCACTGTAGGCCAAAAAAGACAGAGAAAGAAGGAAGGGTTTTCGCTGTATTTTTTTTTTTTTACTTTTTACTTTTTGAGCCATATGAATGTATTATCTATATTCCAAAAATATAGACCAGGTGCAGTGGCTCATGCCTTGTAATCCCAACACTTTAGGAGGCCAAGGCAGGAGGGTTGCTTCAGGCCAGGAGTTTGAGACCAGCCTGGGCAATAGAGCAAGACCCCATCTCTACAAAAAAAATTAAAAACTAGCCAGTCATGGTGGTATGTGTCTGTCGTCCTAGCTACTCAGGAGGCTGAGGTGGGAGAATTGCTTGAGCTCAAGAGTTCGAGGCTGCAGTAAGTGATAATTGCACCACTAAACTCCTGCCTGGATCACGAGCAAGACCCTGGCTCTTTTAAATGAATGAATGAATGAATGAATGAATGAAAATGTGTTCACAAAAGGAAGTCATCCTGAGTTTCACCAATTAAAAAAAGGTATCCAGAGATCAGATATTTCTACATCAGATTTTACACCTCTCCCAATCACAACACCCATTCTTAAGTGGAAAATTAGAGCTAGATCCTCTAAAAAATTTTAGCAAAGGGAACATGGTTAAATTCCTATTTTGTACATCAGATGCTTTTAAGTAGCTTTACAACCCCCTCCAAATGCTGATATTACTGAAATGTAAATGATTATGTTAATAGCAGCTGCATCTTAATAATTGATGATCTGTTTGCTTAACATTCAGTTATTACTTGATGTAAGAAGTCTCTAGTGCAAAATATTCTCTGCTAATGGCCCAAATAAAATTGATCACGTGAGGTGAATGGTTTGTTTTTCACTTTTCCTATTCAAACACCACCGTGTGTGCTGAGTTCTTTATCTGTAGATAAGAATATTTCAGAATATGTACCTGTGACAATGCTTTTGGCCCACAGATGAAAACTGTCTGTTAGGAAAATAATGCTTGCATCCTCAAATAAAATGGAAAAGCCTATCACCACTTAACTCATAAAAGTTTCAACCCTTAGGATTATTCACAGAATGGTCAAATCAGAAGTTGAGAAAACACCATTTAGATAAGAAATATGGAGAGAAGTTTCCACAGGCATCCAAAGGGATGGTTTATGCATTCCGAGATGCTATCCAGGTGTTTCAGTCCTGAAGTTCTTCTCTGAACCTCTGTCTCCCCACATACATCTGCAAGGCCACCCTTAGACCTGAGCAACAGGGGCTCCTGTCCTGGGCCACTCAGTCACCTGGGACCTGGACCTAGCCCTGACAAAACGCATTGATTACTCCAAACACCCACCCTAATACATAACACCATTCAGGCCCCAGAGAAGCACTGCCTCCCAGATCTTGATCTCTGTCCTCAAAACAAAAGGCAACTGTGCCCAAACACCTTGAAGGTTCATGTGCAGTACTACAGCCTAAAGGAGAGATGGGTACTGCTCTGGTGTGCAGGGGTCACAAAAGCACTTAGGAAAGAAAAGGACAAATTAACTTGTCAAATATTTCCTCTCAAATAGAGTGGGTAATAGATTCTTGCAGAGCAGAACATCATTTCCCCATAGTGCTGACTGCCTGTTTCTTGCTTCTCTTTGTGTTCTAATTTGTGGTTCTAGAATCAGTATGGCATTTTTGACAGTTGCATATTACGGCCACGGAAAATGTTGCAGTAGAAAGAATTCATGGCCAGGTGCGGTGGCTCACACCTGTAATCCCAGCAATTTGGGAGGCCGAGGCTGGAGGATTGTTTGAGCCCAGGAGTTCAAGAACAGTTTGGGCAACATGATGAAATTCCATCTCTACAAAAATGCAAAAATTAACCAGGCGTGGTGGTGCACACCTGTAGTCTCAGCTACTCAGGAGGCTAAGGCAGAAGGATTGATAGAGCTCAGAGGGTCAAGGCTGCAACGAGCCATGATTGTGCCACTGCACTTCAGCCTTGGCAACAGAATGATGCCCTGTTTCAAAAAAAATGTACTCTTAATTATGTATATTCATAAATCTGGCCATAATACTGAATGACTCTTGAAACTGACAACTGAACAGACATAGAAAACTAGAATTATGAATAGTTTTTAAATAAAAATATGTAATAAGATCTAAATCAAATTTCAAAAATTAAATTTCAACTTTCATTTTTTTAATTGTTTAATATTTAATTGTTAATACTAACATAATTTTCATTGTACCTTTTAATTGTAATAAATAATTTCAAATACCTAAAGAAAAAATAATGTTTTGAAAACATATACGAAAAATAACTTTAATTTTTCCATTTTATCTTTACTATGATATACTTTCTTGGTGAAAATATATCCAAATAGTTTTAATCCAATAATATTTTATTTTGTAATGACTAAATCATTGCTGTCAATAGAAGCAAATTGGTAGAACTCTTGATTATAAAAACATTATTGGCTGGGCACAGTGGCTCATGCCTGTAGTCCCAGCAACTTGGGAGGCCAAGGCGGGTGGATCACTGGAGGTCAGGAGTTTGAGACCAGCCTGGCCAACATGGCGAAATGCCGTATCTACTCAAAATACAAAAACTAGCCAGGCATGGTGGCTTGCACCTGTAATTCCAGCTACTCTGAAGGCTGAGGCAGGAGAATCACTTGAACGCAAGAGGCAGAGGTTGCAGTGAGCCGAGATCATGCCAGCCTGGGCGACAGAGTGAGACTCGGTCTCAAAAGCAACATTATTAGTGACTTTGATAAAATTAAAGCCAGAGAAAGAAATTTTATGAAATATCTAATTTGTGAATTATATGTGTCTTTTTTCTTTTATTCATCCAAACATTGCCAGCCAGTCCACCAACAGAATATCCAAAAATAACAGGGGTTTAATTGAGTGATGTTTGATATTGTGTCAACTTCCAGTAACATTAGAGCTAAACCTTAGCTCTATTGTATGTTTTAATCTTATCATTATGGAGTTTTGCCAAGGTAAGAGGATATGACATATATTGGTTTATGCTTAAATGTGTAAACATACAGTACACAAGCCTCCATTTTTTTTGTTGTTGTTGTTGTTTGTTTCTTTGTTTGTTTGTTTGAGATAGGGTCCCGCTCTGTCGTATAGGCTGGAGTGCAGTGGTGCAATTCGGCTCAGTGTAGCCTCAACCTCCCAGGCTCAAGAGATCTTCCCACCTCAACCTCCCAAGTAGCTGGGACCACGGGCATGTGCCACAACGCCCAGCTAATTTTGTTTATTTTTTGTAGAGCCAAGGTCTCACTTTGTTGCCCAGGCTGGTCTTGAACTCCTGGGCTCAAGCAATCCTCCCACCTCAACCTCCCAAAGTGCTGGGATTACGGGCATGAGACACCGTGCCTGGACAGATTGTACACTTTAAATGAGTAAATTGCATGGTATGTGAATTACATCGCAATGCTGTAGGAAAAAAGAGAGAGAGAGAAAGAAACAAACATCCGCAGGAGAAGCAAGGATAATCAAATGATTTTGTCTTTGTTGTAGGTCGGGGGGCCGCCCAACTTTGTCCTTGGCCTGATTCCCCGCTGGCTGTCTGCCTCCTGATGTCAGAACTCCCCACCCTGGGAAGAGGGGAAAAAACTCCACTCTAACCTCACCACAATTTAACAGAAAATTAAACTGAAATATGTGTGTGAGCATTAAACCTAGCCCAGCACATCATCTCCCGCAGATTAAAAAGAGCCAGCGAAAATGAAATATTGTTCTCTAAGCTAATATGTAATCTTCATAGACACCATCTTATTAAAGTTTGAGAAGCCATGCCTTGAGGGTAAGCCCACCTATCGATTTACGGGCCTGGCTGGAATTCCTGCTATTAGGTCTCTCATATTTGTTTTGCTCCCTGTCTTGATGCCAGCACTGTCTACCTCCACCTCCCCACTCCCAAAGCTGGCCCCCTGTAACTCTCTAAAATCTCCCTCCTTGGACTAGGGGTGGGGACCACTTTCCCTGCCAACGTCAGGCCTGTGCGTATTAACGGGGCCGTGCGCTTGGATTTGATGGAAGTGGCAGCTTAGACACATAAGCTCCTCATATACAGATGAATAATCACAGATAAAAACTACTTTCAAATATGATTAGGCTCTAACAGAGACAGACAGAGGCCAGAGGGAACGCAGCTCTCAAAGAGCAAGGAGCTACCGGCATCCGAAGCCCAGAATAGGAGATTAAGGCCTCTACAAGAACCCCTGGGACTTTCCTAGGGAAAATATTACAGTGATTCGCAGCATCCTCTGCTCCTCCTCTCTTTCCTCGGGACACCGTCTCCCCGTCCTGAAGCTTTGTGCTATTTCTTTCCGTGGGCTGTCATTTGCCTCTGGGAACAGGACAGCTCTTCCCGCTGTGACTTCTCGACTCTTTAATCCAGGCCGCCTGTCACGGAAACGCACGTGGAAATCCAGCAGGGTTTTTATTTACCATGCTTTCTTCTCACAGATGATAACATGTTTCTTTACTGACAGGCGTGCTTGTTGCCTGTGTCCCCACTGTATCCCAACCCCATGATAACAGCTAAAACACGAGAACTATGTACCAGCTACTTCAAGCCCTTTCAAAATATTAGCTTAGTAAACCTTCATCATAATGATATGAGCTACAAACTATCATTATCCCATTTTACAGATGGGGAAATTAAGCCACAGAGAGGGTAAGGAATTTGCCCAGTGCCACACAGCTAGGGAGTAGCAAAGTTGGGATTTGAACCCAGACATCCTGGCACTAGGAGGCCCAATCCTTAACCATGAAGCCATAGAGTCTCTCAATAATGACTATGTCTCGTATGTCAACTACATGTTAGGCCCTGTTCTGAGAGATTTGTTGCATTAACACATTGAATCCTCTCAAAAAGTTGATGAGGTAGATATATTTATTATCCCCATTTCACAGATGAGGATACTGAGGCTCCCCCAGAAGAGCAGGAATTTTGTATTGTCTGCCTCTATTCTGTTTCTGGACTGATGAATAGCAGTTCCTTAAATACCAGAGTGAATGTCCTCCCATCAACCACTACCCTTTTCCCAGGAGCTTCTCAGGACATTTATTTATAGCTAACCTATTTTGGGAAAAGATTTGAGGCATGTAGGGTTCTAATTCTGGCTCTGTCACTTATGAGCTGTGTGACTTTGGGCAAGTCACTCAACCTCTCTGGGCCTCACTTTGCTCAGTTTAGACCAGGGATAATAATAAAGCCCACATCAAGGAGCTGGAGTGAGGATTCAATGAGATAGAGCAGGTAAGGTGTTTAGCATCTGTGTGGCACAGAACAGGTATAAATGCTGGCTGCCTTTACTGTTACTACTGTCAGAGCTATTGTTTACCACTGCTACAGGCCAAAATGAGTTTTAAAGGGGTGAAAAAATACAATAAGGGGAAATAAGGGAACTAAGTTCTTGAAATTCTTTCTGAACTGGTGCTAGGGTTCCCATCCTCCTGGTTTTCCTACCTAACCAGCTGCCCCTTCTGTGTCCCCTAATGCCTTTCCCAATCCTAGGTCTCCTCTATCTAAGGGATCTTATCCCCTCTTGTGATTTAATCAGCTATAGACCAATAACTCTCAACTATCTCCAGGCTCGTACCTCCTACACCTGCCTACTCCATGTCACTGAGATGTCTAACAGGCATCTCACACAGGGCATGTATCCATCATAATACAGTTGTTGAGGCTTCTTTCATAAACCGAGGCCTCTGAGGGTCTTCCCCCAACATGGCTCCCACCCACAGATTATTCAGCCTCGAGACCTTGGAGTCATCCTCAACTCCTCTCTTTCCTTCCCATCCACATATAATTCAAACCCTGGGAGTTCTACCTTCAAATGTATATGCCAGCTGCAACCACTCCTCACCCCTTCTGCTGACACCACATCATTTCTTGCATCAGATGACTTTGGAAGTCCCCTTGCTGGTCTCCCTCTTCCACTGTGACCACCCCATTGCCAACCTACTCCTGCCACAGTAGCAGGCAGAATCATGTTAAAATAGAAACCATCTTACCTCCTTTCCATTCCAAAGACTGTCATGGTTTCCCCCCACACTTAGGATAAAATCCTAGCTCCTCCTTAGGACCTACAAAGCCCAACATGCCCTGGGTCTGTCATCTCTGACCATTCTCCTCCTCTGTCCAGCAACCGAGATCTTCTTGCTGTCTCTGAAGCAAGCCACAGGGACTGCACTGTCCCCTCCCTCTGCCTGCAACACCCTTCCCCACGCTTTCTTCCTGGTGGCTTCATCTCATCATTCTTCTCTTGCTCAATTGTACTTTCTTGGGGAAGATGATTCTTACATGAATCAATTATTATTAGTATTAGTATCATTTGAAACAAAGTCTTACCCTGTCACCCAGGCTGGAGTACAGCAGCACGATCTTGGATCACTGCAACCTCCACCACCTGGGCTTGAGCGATCCTTCTGCCTCAGCCTCCTGAGTAGCTGGAACCACAGGTGTGCACCACCATGCCTACCTAATTTTTTTTATTTTTAGTAAAGACGGGTTTCACCATGTTGCCCAGGCTGGTCATGAATCAATTATTACAATGGGGCTTGAAACATGATTTTTATTTTATTATTTTTTTTTAGAGACAGGGTCTCTCTCTGTTGCCCAAGCCAGAATGCAGTAGCACGATCACAGCTCACTGCAGCCTCAGCCTCCCCAGGTTCAAGCGATCCTCCCTCCTCAGCCTCCCAAATAGCTGGGACTATAGGTGTGTGCTACTATGCCTGGATAATATTTTTTATTAGTAGTAGTAATGAGGGTCTCACTATGTTTCCTAGGCTGGTCTTGAACTTCTAGGATCAAGTGATCCATCCACTTCAGTCTCCCAAAGTGCTGGGATTACAGGCACGAGCCACCACTCCTGGCCATGATTTTTAATTCTACCGATCCTTTTACAAGGATTAGTTAGCTCCCTAACTAAGAGCTTTCCTCCTTCACTTCTCCCTTTCTCTTTAGACACACTATTGACTCATGGGTTTTTATTTCTCCAGTGTGCGACATTCAGTTACATCCTTTTTACCAATGCTCAAATTGCCCCTAATTTAACCTGACCATTCTATTTAAAAGAGCAGCCCCTAGGCTTCAACTCAGTCATTCAGCATTCCAGCACCCAGTTTAATTATTTTTCATGGAACACATCATCATGTGTGAAATGATATTATTCATTTACTTCTTTATTGTCTGTCTCTAGTCAAATATTCATTCATTTATAGTAAGCTTCATGTGGCCAAAGATATTGTCAGTCTCACTCACTGTGATATTCCCAGAATCCAGAATCATGCCTGTTACAGAGCAGGAATTCAATAAATATGAAGCAAAATTAAGATGAAACCAGGAATAATGCCCCTAGATCAGGGACTGGCCAACTCCATCCCACAGCCCCAATCTGGCTCGCCTCCTATTGTAATTTTTTTTTTTTTTTTTGAGATGAAGTCTCGCTCTGTCATCCAGACTGGGATGCAGTGGTGTGACCTAAGTTCACTGCAACCTCCATCTCCTGGATTCAAGCGATTCTCCTGCCTCCGCCTTCTGAATAGTTGGGATTACAGGTGCATGCTACCATGCCCGGCTAATTTTTGTATTGTTAGTAGAGATGGGGTTTCACCATGTTGGCCAGGCTGGTCTTGAACTCCTGACCTCAACTGATCTGCCCTCCTCAGCCTCCCAAAGTGCTGGGATTACAGGCATGAGCCACTGCACCTGGCCTGTTGTAAATAAATTTTTATTGGAACAAAGCTCTGTCCATTCACTTAGGTATTTCCCCTGGCTGCTTTCACTACCACAACCAACTTGAATAATTCCGTGAGAGAATGTATGGCCCACAAAGCTAAAAATATTTACTATCTGGCCATTTCCAGAAAAAGCTTGCCAATTCCTGGTCTAGATCATTCCGAGTGCTAAATAGGGCTGACCCTTCAGGATCCTATTAGCATAGGGTCCCATTGGAGCCATTCAACAAGTCATTATTCATACATTTATTCAACAGATATTTATTGAGCACCTACTATGTGCTGGGCACTGTGCTAGGTGTTTTGGATATTTACAGGGATGAACAAAATTAGGCAGGCTTCTTGCCCTTATGGAGCTCAGCTTCTAGGGAGGGTAGGGGAGACTAATATAATAACCACATTAAAAATGAAAAATTTCCGTTGTGATGAGCCCTTACAAAAAGAAACTTATGTGGTACTTTGAGAACATTTGACAGCAGTATTTTGCCCAAACTGGGATGGGGAGGACAGTCTAGGAAGACACCCTTCAGGATAGGACCCCCTAGTGAATACCAGAAGTGTGAGAAGGGGTTAGCCGGGTGAGGCAGAGAGTGATGTGCTCCAGGCAAGGATAGGACAGAGGGAGCACGGTGCACTCCATGCAGTGAAAGATGGCCAGCATGGCTGACCTGCAACAGGAAAGAGGAGAATGTCCAAGATGACTCCAGGGAGGTGGCCAGGGCCACAGCATGCAGGGCCTTGAGAGCACCTAAGAGCAGTTGCATAATGTCCTGCTCTCAGGGCAGCTGATGCTTGAGTGGGGGCTCAAATGATGAGAAAGAGCCACCCAAAGGAAGACCACAGAGAGGCGTGTTCCAGACAGAGGGAGAAGCCTGCATATTATGCACTAATTCCAGAGGGGAAATGTACCTTTGCAATGGAGAGGTCTGGTGTTATGTCCCTAGCCAAGGGCTCAAACTTGGCATCACCAAGTGGGGAGCAAAGAAATACATGTTTCCTGGCATGATGCAATGTGAAAGATATGGCATCACCTTGAAGGATTCTTGCCAGAAATGTTTCACCCCAATCAAATCAAGCCTCTGAAACTAATCTTCAGGACAGAAGAAATATAGGGGAGAGAGGAACAAGTTCAATAACACCCAGAGGAAACTTCGGACAAATCCAAATGTGGGACATTCTACAAGACATCTGGCTGAGATTTTTCAAAAGTCAATGCCACATGCTGCAACTTTAAAAGGAAGGATTTTAAGCCAATTTCATTTAAAAGGGGAAGTGAGTTTGGTGTTATCCTGTGGACCAAATCTGGCCCACTACCTGTTTTTGTAAATAATGTTTTATTGGAATACAGCCATGTTCACTTGTTTACTTACTGTCCATGGCTGCTTTTGTATGAAAAGAGCAGAGTTAAGTGACTGCAACAGAGATGATATGGCCTGCAAAGCCAAAAATATTTGCTACCCGGCCCTTTCTAGAAAATGATTACCAAACTTTGTTATAGATTTAGACTAAAAACACCTAGTGACCAAATGCAGTGTGTAAGCCTTGATTATATCTGGGTTCAAGAAGAAAGCTATAAAAATATTTTTGGGCCAATGAGGAAAGCATGAATATGGACTATATATTAAATAATATCAGGCTCTATTGTTCATTTTCTCAGGTGTGAAATGGTATTATGATTATGTAGTAGAAGTTCCTGTTCTTAGACAACGCACACTATTATTTAAGAGTGAAGTACCATGTAATCTACTTTCAGGTGGTTATATACATACACATGCATGCACACATGGCAGGTGGCATCCTCAGTTACCCCTCAACTCATGCCAATATTTCCAAAATATGACATGCACACTGCTGGTACTTCCTGGGCTGTTTTTAGGTGGCAGAAGACAGGTTTTATTTTATTTTTATTTTTTTCATTTACTAAAACCAAAGAAAACTTTAATATTAGGCTGGGCACGATGGCTCACACCTGTAATCCCAGTACTTTGAGAGGCCAAAGCAGGCAGATCATTTGAGGTCAGGTGTTCGAGACTAGCCTGGCCAACATGGTGAAACCCCGTCTCTACTAAAAACACGAAAAAAATAGCCAGGCATGGTGGCACACACCTGTAATCCCAGCACTTTAGGAGGCCGAGGCAGGCGGATCATGAGGTCAGGAGTTCAAGACCAGTCTGGCCAACATAGTGAAACCCCATCTCTACTAAAAATACAAAAAATTAGCCAGGTGTGGTGGTGTGGGACTGTAATCCCAGCTACTCGGGAGGCTGAGGCAGGAGAATCGCGTGAACCCAGAAGGCAGAGGTTGTAGCGAGCCAAGATCACACTATTGCACTTCAGCCCAGGCAACAGTGTGAGACTCCCTCTCAAAAAAAAAAAAAAAAACAAAAACAAAAACAAAAAAAAAACCTTTATTATTAATTGCTAAAAGAGTAGATTTTAAATGTCTTCAACCCTCCAAAACTAAGTATGTGAGGTAATGAATTTTTTTAACTTTTACTTTAAATTCAGGGGTATAAGTGCAGGTTTGTTACATAGGTAAACTTGTGTCACGGGTGTTTGACTATTTCATCACCCAGTACCTAGTACTCATTAGTTATTTCTCCTGATCCTCTCCCTCCTCCCACCCTCCACCCTCTGAAAGGGTGTGTTGTTCCCTTCTATGTGTCCATGTGTTCTCATCATTTAGCTCCCACGTATAAATGAGAACATGTGACAGCTTTCATTTTAATAGTTATGTATTTATTCTTCTGATTAGTTTCCATTTCTGATAAGTGATACTGGCTTCCCACTTATTGTAGGAATATAAGGTCTTCATTTCAAATAAATATATTTAAGTTTAAAGCAATATGAGCCAACTAAAAAGGAAATATGAAGCAGACACTATTATAAGGCAAGGCAACAACCAAGAAAGGCTGAATTTGGATAACCACTTTGCCTTCAAAGCATTGATCATAGTCCATGATTACTTTGTTTTTTGTTTTTTTGTTTCTTAGATACAGGATCTCACTCTGTCACCCAGGCTGGAGTGCAGTGGCGTAATCATAGTTCACTGCAGCCTCAACCTCCTGGGCTCAAGCTATTTTCCCACCCCAGCCTCCCAAATAGCTGGGACTTCAGGGATATGCCACCACCATGCCTGGCTAATTTTTTCTGTTAGGTAGAGACGGGGTCTCTCTATGTTTCCCAGGCTGGTCTCAAACTCCTGGCCTTGAGCCATCCTCCCACCTCCACCTCCCAAAGTGCTGGGATTACAAGCACGAGCCATCGCACCCAGCCAAAGATTACCTTGTTTTAATAAACAAAAACAACACCTGTTTACTGTCCATTCTTCTCTCATTGGATTGCAAGCTAAACAGGCTCCTTGATGCTCTCATGTGATGTCACATACCAGCATAGTGCCCAGCATACAACAGGCAATCAATACATGTCTGAAGGCAGAGTGATGAAAGTACCATCCCCAACCAGAATCCCTACCATCTGACCAAGAAACAACTATTTGCAGGTAGGGTAAGAATTACTCATTTCCCTCCAATCACAGGATACATAATGACAGTTGATTCCTGAAACACAAGATAATCCTAATAACTATGCACATTTTAACATTTCTAAATAAAAGTTCAAGCTGGCTGGGTAGGGCGGCTCATGCCTGTAATCCTAGCATTTTGGGAGGCTGATCGCTTGAGCTCAGGAGTTCAAGACCAGCCTGGACAACATGGTGAAGCTTCGTCTTTATTAAAAATACAAAAAACTTAGCAGGATATGGTGGCACATGCCCGTAGTACCAGCTACTCAGGAGGCTGAGGTGGGAGGATCGCTTCAGCCTGGGAGGCTGAGGTTGTGATGAGTTGAGATTGCGCCACCGCACTCCAGCCTGGGTGACGGAGTTAGACCCTATCTCCAAAAAAAAAAAAAAAAAAAAAAATCTGACAAATTACTGAATAAGACATATGAGGACTCTGTGAGACTTTCTACATAGAGACGTTTGCAGATCCAAAAAAAGCATTTTGTCTAAGGCTACCTGGCTGCATTTCTGAATGAGAGGTTACCATTCCTGCATTTTTCTTTCAGGACATATAATCTCTGCATATATAAAGGACCCATCCCTGGCCCCATGCTCCTGGGGCAGCCAAGATTCCAGGGGGGAGCTAAAACACATCTACTGCTGACTTCGAGGTCAAACTCTCCCAGGTAAATGCAGACCACTAGGAAAGATGAGGACCACTAGGAAATGCCTCTGGATTTCATTTTTTTCTGGCATCATCATGAGCCTAGAGATCCAGACTGCTTCCGACACTCCATTCTTTTATGTTTAGTTTCCTCTTCTATTTTCTTTACCAATGCAAACTTTTGAAGAAGATATTGCTTTGGGGAGGTTTATAAGAGCTGCAAAGATCTCTATTAACCATCCTTTAACAGTGAGATAAAGACCAGCTGTTTCACTAATTGCCCTTAACTGCTTGGGCTTGGTTATTAATGAATGCCCTCGCCTTGAGTTCAAACAGCTTAATTAGCTAAAGTTAAGTGTTCCCAATAAATTTACTAACCTATGATAAGCTTTCCTTTAATAGGAAATGTGCAGTTCTTAATTAAATAGAATAATTTACAACTCCACGTCTATTATAAGTAATGGTTGCCCAGTTACCATGTTACCTAATTAGGTGATAGTGAAGTTTCTCCAAAGGGGAACGGAGGGTTACAGTTGAACATGCCCTTGGACAAACCAATTTGTTAGCAGCTCAACAGTAGCGGAGCTATGGGCAGCCTCTGGCACTGGCATCTGGGTTGGAATGTCCTCTCTGCCATGCAGAAGGGTCCGGCTGCCTCATCTGTAAAATGGAAACTAACTCCCTGAGGGGCCTCTCGGGAGTAGATTGGATAGCATTTGCAATCATTTAAATGAAGAATAAAAAGACAAGTTAATACCCCCATTTAATACCTCTAGGGGCTAGGCCTGGTATATCATGCCTGTAATCCCAGCACTTTGGAAGGCTGAGGCAGGAGGATCACTCGAAGCCAGGAGTTTCAGCCTGCACAACATAGTGAAACCACACGTCTAGAAAAAAAAAGAATTATCTAGCAGTGGTGGTGCACACCTGTAGTCCTAGCTACTCGGGAGGCTGAGGCAGGAGGATTGCTTGATACCACGAGATCAAGGTTGCAGTGAGCTATGATTGCACCACTGTACTCCAGCCTGGGGACAGAGACAGACCCTGCCTCTTATACACACACACACACACACACACACACACACACACACTCTCTCTCTCTCTCTCTCACTCACACACAACTCTAGGGTCACATTTCTTTTATTTTATCTTATTTTTTTAGAGACAGGGTCTTACTCTGTCACTCAGGCTGAAGTGCAGTGGCATGATCTCAGCTCACTGCAGCCTCAAACTCCCAGAGTCAAGCCATCCTCCACCTCAGCCCCCCAAGTAGCTGGGACTACAGGTGTGCGCCACCGCGCCCAGCTAATTTTTTGTATTTTCTTAGAGACGGGGTTTTGCCATGTTGCCCAGGCTGGTCTCGAACTCCTGAGTCCAGGCAATTAACCTGCCTCAGCCTCCCAAAGTGCTGGGATACAGGTGTGATCCACCACGCCCGGCGGGTCACATTTATATAGGCAAAATTATTCCAAGAGGAGATTAGTCTGGATAACACACACAAAAACAAACTGCTCCAGCATAATCTGGAGAAGGCATCCAGCAAACCCAGATCGGGGAACTTTCTACAGGATACCTGGCCAGCACATCTCGACCATCAAAGCCATAAAACGTAGGCCGGGCGCGGTGGCTCATGCCTGTAATCCCAGCACTTTGGGAGGCCAAAGCAGGCAGATCACCTGAGGTCAGGAGTTCAAGACTAGCCTGGCCAACATGGCAAAACCCTGTCTCTACTAAAAAAATATATAAAAATTAGCCATGCATGGTGATGCATGCCTGTAATCCCAGCTACTCAGGAGGCCAAGGCAGGAGAATTGCTTGAACCCGGGAGGCGGAGGTTGCAGCGAGCCGAGATCACACCACTGCACTCCAGCCTGGGTGACAGAACAAGACACCATCTCAAAAAAAAAAAAAGCTATAAAAAATAATGAAAAACTGTCACAGACAAGAAATGACTGAGGATTCATGCCAACAAAATGCAGTGTGGCACCCTGGATTGGATCGTAAAACAGAAACAGAACATGATTGGAAAAGTGAAAGCCATATAAACTCTGGAGGTTAGTTACAAGCAATGCGCCAGTTCCCATCTCTGAGTTTAGACAAAAGTACCATGGCGATGTAAGGTGTTAGCAGAGGGGAAACTGTGGTGGGGGTCAGGGGAGGATTTAGCAGTCAGGTTAAGCAGGTCATACTTTGAATTTTGCCATGGTTGAGGACTACATTTAATCCAGGCAGAGTGATTTCAATAGTTCATCTGAAAGGATATCAGCTATTAATGAGGTTGGTTATTATTATCTGTCTAATGGATAAAACCTTATTAGACCTAGAAGAATAAAAAATTATTTGCTCAAAGTCACATCACTGGCCACGTGCAGTGGCTCACATCTGTAATCCCAGCACTTTGGGAGGCTAAGACAGGAGGATCACCTGAGCCCATGAATTCAAGACCAGCCTGGTCAACATGGACCCAGTCACTACAAAAAATACAAAAAAAAAAAAAAAAATAGCCGGGTGTGTTGGTGCATGCCTGTAGTCCCAGTTGCTCAAGAGGCTGAGGTGGGAGGATCAATTGAGCCCAGGAGGTTGAGACTGCAGTGAGCTGTGATCGCACCACTGCACTCCATCCTGAGAGACAGAGTGAGACCCTGTCTCAAAAAAAATAAATAAATAAATAAAATCACATCACTATTATAAGTATCATTTGCATATCATAATAAATTCCACCATCACATATTTGGGCAGAGCCTTGAACATTTTCAAAAAAGCCTTCACATCATCCAGTGAAATTATCACACAAGCTGTATTAGTCCATTTTCATACTGCTATAAAGAACGGCCCGAGACTGGGTAATTTATAAAGGAAAGAGGTTTAATTGACTCACAGTTCAGCATGGCTGGGGAGGCCTCAGGAAACTTACAATCATGACGGAAAGCAAAAAGGAAGCAAAGCACCTTCTTCACAAGGTGGCAGGAAGAAGTCCTGAGCGAAGAGGGGAAAAGAGCCCCTTATAAAGCCATCAGATCTCGTGAGAACTCACTCACTATCATGAGAACAGCAAGGAGGAAACCACCCCCATGATTCAATAACCTCCACCTGGTCTCTCCCTTGATCTGTGGGGATTATGGGGATTACAATTCAAGATGAGATTTGATTTAGGTGGGGACACAAAGCCTAACCATATTACAAGCCCTGGAACAACAATAAGATGGAATTTTGATCTCCATTTATCTGATGAAGCCCAGGTAATTTGGGTTTTTTTCTTCTTCTCTTTTGGCTTAATCCATTCTCCCTCCACATCAGACCACCCTTCCTCTTTCTGTTAATCCTCATTGACAATTTAGAATACATCCTTCCAAATTTGTCTCTATACTCATAAATCACACACAAATATATGTATTCACACACAGTATATAATACATAGGCATTTGTCATTTTATGCACGCTTCCGCAGCTCCCATTTCCTCATGCTACAATATGCCATGGAAATCCCTCCAAGGCATCTGGTATTGCTCTAATTCATCGTTTTTTAATAGCTGCAGAAAATTCCATGGTGTGGATGTCCTGTAATTTGTTCAATCATTAATGGGCATTCACTCGTTTCTCCCTCTTTGGCTACTACAAACAGTGCTGCAATAAACATCCTTTCTACAAACATCCTTATGTACCATGGCCTTTATGTCTACGAGATAGAGTCCCAGGATGGGGATTACGGGGTCAAAGAGTATATGTATTTCTCTTTAACTATTTTTAAAAGAGCAAAGCAAGAGAACAGGGTAGTAGATACCTCTAGAGAAAGGCGGAGAAGGCAGAGAAAGTGGACTAGAGAGAAGCTTGCAGGTGGCTTCAACAGTATTGGTGACGACCGCATTCTTAGGTTGGAAATGGGTTCATTTTATCATTATTCTATATAATTTATGTGTCTTATTACCTATATTATTTCCTATATATCCAGTCCTATATAATTTCCAAAAATCTATATATTTTATGTTAATAAATGTGGCCAAAACACAGCTGAAATAATTCTCATTCCCATCAACAATATAGGTGAGATTGGTCTTTTCCATTTTTTTTCCCAGCCTGAGAGGGATATCTCACTGTTACTTTAATTTACATATCTCTGACACTGGTGAGTTTGAACATCTTTAATAAATGTATCATTCATTTCAATGAAATAAGTGACATTTTAAATCATCTACAAACCCTTTCCCATTAAGTAAAAAGGGGAAGGCTGATCTTCACTCCTTTTCATCTTACCCCTCTAAAAGATAAAGCTCAGAGTTTTTAAATGCCACAACAACAAAAAATCAACATGAATTGGTTCTCTTTTATCTAAAGTTCAAGATGCCATGACGTCAAAATGCATGATGACATGCGCTCTCCTCAGGGAAATCCCCAACTGGAACCTCAAATCCCCTAAAACTCTGGGCACAAATGTTTCTTTCCTATGAGAATCAATGAGACTAGCAGGTCATGGCCGTTGGCAAGGTGACTGTGTCTTTTTCAGAATAAGAGGCTACCTGGACGCATTGTGGGAGAACATGCAACCTTGTCCCTATCTAGCCTGGCTGGTCTCCTACCCTCCCGTTTTCTCTTCCCTCCCTTACAGGTCCTTACCCTGACCTGTAAGTTGACATTTTGACAAAACTAGAATCAAGCTCAACTCCTGTCTCTGCTCCTTCCTTTTCTCACTTTACAGCCCACCACAGACATGTCTTTGGAAAAATAGCCAGAGATCTAATTTGTTTTTAATAGCCACATAACATCACATAGTATAGCTATATCAAATTTTATCCAGTCATTTGCTGTTGACAGACAGTCAGGTCGCTTCCAAAATGCTCTGGTTTTCATTTTTGCAAACAGCGTGGTAATATATTTTCTTGTATGTGCATCTTTTATCATTCTAGACCAGATTCTTCCCCCTTCAACTATATATATTTAACCTTTTCACCATACCTTCTTCGATACCAAATGTATCGACTTTTTTTTAGTTGGTTGGTTGGTTGGTTGAGTTTCTTTGGACCAAATTTAAGGGGTTGAGAATGAAAGGGGGAACTTCACTGTAGTACTAGCTTCCCTATCTATCCTCTACATAACAATCACTTGTAATTTTATAGCCAGAACATAATTTGTATAGTTTCCCCTCCTTCTGATCAACTGATTTAGTTGTTCTTTTTCCTCCATTCTGAAATTAGCTATTACAGAGCCATAATATAATTTTTTAAATTTCAAATTCTCTTTAAACAATTGATTTCTTGTTGCTATTTGTAGGCAAGAAGTTGAATCTGATATGAGCCCTGCCAGAAATTAATTTACAGTGTTAGAGAAGGATTATGACATATATAAATGAGTACAATTTTAAAAAGGTAAATATCACAGTGTAAATACAAACTCATGGGATTCAGAGATAAGGGAGATCTCATTTTAGACAGAGAGATATAAAGGCAACTGGAAAGACTTGGCTTTGGAGTTAGTTAGGCCTTGGGACACTGGTCCAATTTTGACATATGGAAATAGATGGAAGGAAAAGAATTAGAAAAGAACAGAGCAACAATGTATCTTTATGTGACATTATGATTTATAATAAGAAATATATATATCTTTATCTCCAGTTCCTGGCAGATAGTGCCTAAATCCCTTGCAATTTCCTGGGCAATAGAGATGTTAGGAGCATCTTTTGTTCCAATATTTGGTCTTTAACCCTGGTTCCTGCCACAGAGTTCCTAATCCCTTGCAATTTTCTGAGTGATGGGAGCATCTCTTGTTCTAATATGGGAACTCTCAATGGGGCTTCTGGGTGGGGGCTGGTCACCAGAAAGACCAAGCCAAGAATAGAAGCTTGGAACTTCCATCCCCATTCCCATCCTCTGAGAAGGGGAGAGAGGCTGGAAATTGACTTAATAATCAATCATACCTATGTGATAAAGCCTCCATAAAAATCAAGGGGTTTGAGGAGCTTCTAGGTTTCTGAACACATGGAGGGTGTCTTACCCATACAGGATGTATTAGTTCATTTTTACACTGCTAATAAAGACATACCCAAAACTGGGTAATTTATAAAGGAAAGAGGCTTAGTTGATTCACAATTCCACATGGCTGGGGAGGCATCACACTCATGGCGGAAGGCAAAGGAAGAGCAAAGGCACATTCTTACATGGTGGCAGGCAAGAAAGCAGGTGCGGGGGAACTCTCTTTTATAAAACCATCAGATCTCATGAGACTTATTCCCTATCACAAAAACAGCATGGGAAAAACCTGCCCCCATGGTTCAATTACCTCCCACCAGGTCCTTCCCACAACACGTGGGGATTACGGGAGCTACAATTCATGATGAGATTTGGGTGGGGACACAACCACACTATATCAGAAGACATGGAATCTCCACAGCCCCTCTCCCCATACCTTGCCCTGTGCCTCATCTTTTTCATCTGGCTGTTCATCTGTATCCTTTGTAATATCCCTTATAATAAATGGGTAAACATTAAGTATGGTGATTTCCTGAGTTCTGTGAGCCACTCTAGCAAATCATTAGGGAGAGGGTGGTGGGAACCCCTAATTTATAGCCAGTTGGTCAGTTCCAGAGGCCCAGACTTGCTATTGGCATCTGAGGTGGAAGCAGACTTGTGGGACTGAGTCCTTATCTTGTGGGATCTGACTCCAAGTATATAATGTCAGAATTGAACTGAATTAGAGGATACCCAGTTGGTACCCATGGGAGTACTGACATGTAAGGAAAACCCCACCCATATGGTCACAGAAGTGCATGGAGTTGAGTAAGTGTAGTAGGAAAAAACAGTCAATTTGCTTTTTTTTTTTTTTCCTACTACACACTTTCCTTTTTAAATTTCTGGCCAGGAATAAAATCAAATAACCAAGAATTACAAATATTCATTGATTATGGGTGACTACTGTTGAAATGCATGCAGGGTAGGACATACTCCATGAATACATTACAAATGCATTCATGTCTTCATTTTCTGAGATATCAGTCATTTCATAATGACAGGGAGATAAAATAAGGCATGACTCTGCTGGGTGTGGTGGCTCATACCTGTAATCCCAGCACTTTGGGAGGCTGAGGCAGGAGGATCACTTGAGTCCGAGAGTTCAAGACCAGCCTTAGCAACATGGCGAAACCCTGTCTCTACAAAAACACAAAAATTAGTCAGGCGTGGTGGCACACGCCTGTAGTCTCAACTACTCTGGAGGCTGTGGTGGGAGAATCGCTTGAGCTCGGGAGGTGGAGGTTGTAGTGAGCCAAGATTGCGCCACTGCACTCCAGCCTGGGTGACAGAGTGAGACCCCACATCAAACAATAATAATAATAATAATAATAATAATAATAATAATAATAATAAGGCATGACTCATTTTCTTGGTCTAGCTAGATTACGGCGTTACACAAAAGTAAAATTAGTGTAATATTAAAAGAATCAAGAAAAAAGCTAAAACTTGTTTCAATGAACTTCATTCATTCAATAAATACTAGATATTGTATGTACAAGAGGCAACATGGTGAGAGAGACAGCAAAACCACCACGCAGAATGAGGTTTATAGCCCAATGGGGAGCTTGGGAAAGCTTACAGAGCAATAAAATTAAAGTTTGTCACCACATCCCAGTCTTCATTTCTCACTATTATTCTCCAGGAACCATGGCTCCTTGGAGAAATGGCTGTTTGTGGTCTGGGACAGAGAAAATACAAGATGAGCCTGCAGCATCTTGTAGTGACGAAAAGTAAAGACGTGCTTTAAAAAAACAAGGGGACGGGCCAGGCACAGTGGCTCACGCCCATCATCCCAGCACTTTAGGAGGCCAAGGCAGGTGGATCACTTGAGGTCAGGAGTTCAAGACCAGCCTAGTCTCTTTAGTAGAGATGGTGAAACCCTGTCTCTACTAAAAATACAAAAATTAGCTGGGTGTGGTGGCAGACACCTGTAACCCAGCTACCCGGGAAACTGAGGCAGGAGAATTGCTTGAACCTGGGAGGCAGAGTTTGCAGTGAGCCGAGATCGCACCACTGCACTCCAGCCTGGGTGACAGAGCAAGAGTCTGTCTCCAACAAACAAACAAACAAACAAACAAAAAAAAAAAAAAAAAAAGGAAGGGACAGCTTATCACAGGAATGCAAGGCCCAAAACTCACTATGATTAAAGCTGGAACAATTTGAGCAACAAAATAAATAACACAGTGTAAGGTTAAAACCCAAAGTATAAAATAAATGATTGATTGAATAAATTAATGTACTGGGGTAAAAGAGGCAAGTCTTCCTAACAAAGAACTTTAAATAATATCTGTAGACACCCCACACTTACCGATTCCACTCCTTTTGAGTGTAAGCGGGTCTTAGTAACTGGCTTCCAATAAATATGGAGTATAGCTTGAGTCTAGAAAAGGGAAATAGGACCAGGTGCGGTGGCTCATGCCTGTAATCCCAGCATTTTGGGAGGCTGAGGCAGAGGACAGCTTGAGGCCAGGAGTTTCAGACCAGCTTGGGCAACATAGCAAGACCTTGTCTCTACAAAAAGTAAAAATAAAAAAATTAGCTGGGCATCCTAGTGCACACCTATAGTCCTAACTACTGAGGAGGCTGAGGAGAGAGGATTGCTTGAGCCCAAAGGTCAAGGCTGCAGCCCAGAAGGGCTTCCAGCCAAGGCCTTCCTGGCTCTTTTTTCCTTGGGATGGGAGGCCAGGGAAGGTAAAAATAACTGGATAATGTTGCTAGAATCACACCACTGCACTCCAGCCTGGGTGACAGAGTGAGACCATGTCAAAGAAAAGAAAAGGAAAAGAAAGAGAGAAGGAGAGAGAGAGAGAGAAAGAGAGACAGAAAGGAAGAAAGAAAGAAAGAGAGAGGGAGAGACAGAGGGAGAGAGAGAAGGAAAGAAGACAGAAAAAGGAAGAAAAGGAAAGAAAGAAAGAGGAAAGAAAGAAAAAGAAAGAAAGAAAGAAAGAAAGAAAGAAAGAAAGAAAAGAAAGAAAGAAAGTAAGGAAGGAAGAAGGAAAGAAAGAGAAAGAAAGAAAGAAAGAGGGAGAGAGAGAAGGAAAGAAGAAAAGAAAGAAAGAGAAAGGAAGGAAGGAAGAAGGAAAGAAAGGAAGAAAGAAAGAAAGAAAGAAAAGAGAAAGAAAGAGAAAGAAAGAAAAAGAAAGGAAAGAAAGTGGGAAGGAGGGAGGGAGGGAAGAAAGGAAGGAAAGAAAGAAGGAAAGAAGGAAAGAAGGAAGGAAGGAAGGAAGGAAGGAAGGAAGGAAGGAAGGAAGGAAGGAAGGAAGGAAAGGGACAGTGGAGAGGCCTGGCAGACACTGCTTTAATTCCACAATCAAGGTCAGCATCAGTGATAGGCCATGTTGATAGCATGTACCTCTGTGCAATTCCTCCTAAAAATCCATTATTCCAGTCTAAATCACTAGGAAAAACTTTATACAACCCAAACTGAGCAACATTCAACAAAATACCTGACCAGTCCTCCTCAGAATGGTCAAGTTCATGAAAAACAAGGAAAGACTGAAAAGCTGTCACAGACCAGAGGAGGCTAAGGAGGCCTGAGACTAAATGCAACAGAATCTCTTGCACAGGGTCCCAGAACAGAAAAGGAGCATTCGTGGAAAAACTAGAAAAATAAGGTCCGGAGTTTTGTATTAAAAAAAACACATAAAAAATAAAGTTGAGTAGATGCTATTTTTAAAAAGTACAAGGTGCAATGTGTCTGCTAAAAATTCAAATAATAAAAGTTAATTGACTTTTATTATTATTTTATATTTATTGTGTTTTTAATCAAAAAATGAGCTTTGTACTATATGCACATTAAGGCTGGGCGCAGTGGCTCACACCTGTAATCCCAGCACTTTGGGAGGCCAAGGCACGCAGATCACTTGAGATCAGGAGCTCAAGATCAGCCTGGACAACATGACAAAACCCTGTCTCTACTAAAAATACAAAAATTAGCTGGGCGTGGTGGCGTGGTGGCATGGTGGCATGGTGGCATGGTGGTGGTGGTGCACTGCAGCCTGGGTAACAGAGCAAGACTGTCTCACGACAAAAAAGGACCAGTTAAACAATACAGGAAGATACAGAGACAAACTTAACCCTTCCCCTGCCCACCATTATTCTCCAGCCAGTCCTCTTCTAGATAAGCAGTTTGTGTTGTTTTCTACAATCTCTTTGTGTTTACGTGAGAAACACAGAATATATATAGGAGCTTTTCCTCTTTTTTCACGTTTTAACTACAAAAGTATTATCTTACTACTCATTGCTCTGCAACTGGCTTCTTTCATGCAAAAATATATTTTAACACTGTATCATAAATATCTTCCCAGCACAATGTATATAAATTGAACCTGCTCTTTCTTTAAATCAACTTTGCTGGGATAAAATTTATACAGAATAAAATGCACCCATTTGAAGCATACACTTATTATGTATGCACAGATGTGTAGACCTAGATAACCACCAGCACATAACTTATTATTTTTAAAATCAAAGTCATCAATCATCTTGCCAAATCTAGTGAAATTTCCTGGCTCTTCTTTCTTTGGGGTAGGAAGCCAGGGAAGGTAGAAATAACTGGATAATGTTGGAGAATGACCATTGCAAGACTTCGCTCCTCACATCCCAGGTGCATATTCCAAGAAAATTCTGATTCCCCGGGAAAATTCTCCATGCTTGGCATAGTGCTGGAGCCATGTGACTTTGGAAAGGTCTGAGGGAGGCATTTAGGCAGAGACTCAGCTGGGGAAATCACTGGGGGGCCCTGCACCAACAGACAGGCACCCAGAGCTGAGGAGGAATGGCAGCGGGGCCTGCTGAGTTAAGCAGAGGCCACAGACATCACCTTCTGGAGGCTCCCTCTACCACTGCTCCATGGGCAAGCCTGCTAGATACCCAGAAACAAGACAAAAGTGCTACACTGCCCAGGATTTACTTTTAAAGATGCCAAGGAGGGGGCTGGGCATGGTGGTTCATGCCTGTAATCCCAGCACTCTGGGAGGTCAAGGCAGGTAGATCACTTGAGGTCAGGAGTTCGAGACTAGCCTGGCCAACATAGCGAAACCCTATCTCTACTAAAAATACTAAAATTAGCCAGGCATGATGGTGCACACCTGTAGTCCCAGCTACTCAGGAGCCTGAGGCACGAGAATTGCTTGAACCTGGGAGGTGGATGTTGCCATGAGCCGAGGTTTTGCCACTGCACTCCAGCCTGGGCAGCACAGCGAGACCTTGTCTCAATCAATCAATAAATAAAATAAAATAAAAATAAAGATGCCAAGGAGAAAGTGTGAACCACAGACTTCCTCCCAAGCTGTCCCTTGAACCTAGGCACCATCTGTAGAAGCAAGACAGAAAAGGAAGGAATAGCCCCAAAAGAGAGTTGAATGTTTAAACCAGCTGAATATTTACCTGAAAAAAAGATTGTTTTATGGGAGGGTAAAATGGGACCACTCAAAACTTTAAGAGACCGAGACATCTCTAATTGGCAAGTTTAGCTGTTTTCCTTGTTCCTTGGCAGGACAGGGACCTCTCAGGAAATTTGATTTGGTTAGATTGGGACTTTGCAATAGAATTATAATGCAAGCCACACATATACTTTCAAATTTTCTAGTTGCCACATTTAAAAAACCAAAAGCTGGCCAGTGGCTCGTCTGTAATTCCAGCACTTTGGGAGGCCAAGGTAGGTGGATCACTTGAGGTCAGAAGTTCGAGAACAGCCTGGCCAACATGGTGAAACCCTGTCTCTACTAAAAATACAAAAATTAGCTAGGCATGGTGGTGCACACCTGTAATCCCAGCTACTCGGGAGGCTGAGGCAGGAGAATCACTTAAACCCGGGAGGCGGAGGTTGCATTGAGTTGAGATTGTGCCATTGCACTCCAGCCTGGGCGACAGAGTGAGACCCGTCTCAAAATAAATAAATTAATAAATTAATTAATTAATTAAATAGCAAAAACTATAGGACCCAGCAATCCCACTCCTAGATATATACCCAAGAGAAATCAAAACACATGTCCACACTAAAACTTGTACATGCATGTTTACATCAGGATTATTCCCCAGAGCCAAAAAGAGAAAACAAACCAAATGTTCATCAACAAAATGTAGCATATAATAGAACATTATTCAGCAGTCAAAAAGAATAAAGTACCTATATATGCTACAACAGAGATGAACCTTGAACGCATTATGCTAAGTGAGAGAAGACAAATGTAAAAAAACAAATATTACAGTATATGATTCCATTTCTGTGAAGTGTTCAGAATAGGCAAATCCAAGAAGACAAAGATTAGTGTTTGCTTAAGGCTGGAAGGGTTGGAGAATAATTAGAACTGAGAAGAGTATGGGGCTTTTTTGGGAGATGATAAAAATGTTCTAAAATTGATTGCAGAGATAATCACACAACTCTTTGAATATACTAAAAATGATCAAATTGTACATTTTCAATGTTACGTGAATATCTCAATGGAGCTGTAATTTTAAAAAGCAAAAAGATACATACAGCATTAATTTATAATATTTTAAGTCAATGTATTCAAAACGTTATTTCGACATAGTATCAAGAATTTAAAATTATTTTTGAGATAGTTACATTCTTTTCTTAAAATCTAGTGTGCATTTTACATTTGCAACACATCTCCATACAGATGCTAAATTTTCATTGGAAATACTTACTATATAGTTAGATTTCATAAAATTTACCATTGAAAGAGTAAATTCATACGCACAAGTTGTTCCAAAAATATTTTAAAGTCTTCCAACAGCTGAATTGAGTAGTGTTAGTGAGGTAGTTTCTAGATATAGCTGTAGATATAAATGGGTAAATATAGTTATTCAGCACAGATACATACTCAGAGTATGGTATGTTAAAATTTAACTCCTACTGTGAAAATGGAGGTCATTACGTTAAGTGAAATAAGCCAGGCACAGAAAGACAAATATCACATGTTCTTACTCATATCTGGGAGCTGAAAAGTTGATCTCATGGAGGTAGAGGGTAGAATGATAGATACCGAAGGCTGGGAAGAGTGTGTGGGTGGGGGTAATGAAGAGAGGCTGGTTAATGGGGACAGACATACAGTTAGATGGAAAAAATCAGTACTGCAGTTCAACAGCATGGCAGGGTGACTGCAGTTAACAACGATGTGTTCTATACTTCAAAATGGCTGGAAGAGAGGATTTGAGATGTTCCCAAAACAAAGGAATGATAAATGCTCAAGATAATGGATATCCTAAATACCCTGATTTGGTCATTACACATGTGAGACATGTAACAAAATATCTCATGTGTCCCATAAATATGTAAAAATATTATGTATCCATTTAAAAATTAATCTCTACTATATACACCAAAAACAAAACTAAATTCCTCATATGGCCTCAAAACCCTACAACATCTGCCCTCACCTCGCTCTCTAATCTCACATCATATCACTCTCCTTTTCTTCCACAATGCTCTAGCCATACTGGTCTTTCTACTCCTCATTCACTCCTGCCCCAGGGCCTTTGCACTTGCTATTCCCTCTTCCCAGAACACCTTCCACCAAGATCTTCTCATACTTGGCTCCTTCCCATCATTCTGGTCTCTGCTCAGGAGTCACCATCCTCAGAGAGTTCCCTGTCTTGTTCAGTGTGGTCTCCATCCATCACTCTTTAACCCATTATTCTCTTTTTTTGTTGCATGTATCACCAGTTGAGTTTATTGGATTGTCTCCTTGTGGTTACATTTTTGGCAAGAATATTGTACAGGCATTGTATGAGGAAGCATATGATGATCAGCTTGATTACTCAGCTAAGATGGTGCCCACATATTTCTCCACTCTGAAGGTGCCTTACTATGAAATAATAAGTTATCTGTGGGGAAATATTTCAAGACTGGTACCATACCCTTCCCAGCAATATTCCATATTCCATCTTACTCTGTCACCCAGGCTGGGGTGCAGTGGCATAATCATAGCTCACTGCAGCCTCAAACTCCTGGGCTTAAGAGATTCTTTTGCCTCAGCCCCCAAGGACATGGGACTATAGGTACACACCATCGTGCCCAGCTAATTCTTTTTTTTAAATTTTTTGTAGAGACAAGCTCAGGCTGGTCTCGAACTCCTGGCCTCCAATGATCCTCCTGCCTCAGCCTCCCAAAGCACTGGGATTACAGGCATAAGCCACTGCACCCAACAAGAGTTTGAGTTTCTAAGTCTAATTCCTTCTACATTTATTAGTTGACATTCTTCAGTAAATAAGCTCATTCCCTTCTCTCTCCCTTGTCTTTTTTTTAATATCAGTATAAATTCAGGGATTCCATGTGTTGTTTTCCATTTCTGTCATTATTAATTTCCATGCTTAGATTATCCCAGATTTGGAAAGCCCAATCTGAATATTTTGACCCTGATTTTGAAGTTGGACTCCCTTCAAGCTGGCTCCTATATCATTGCGACATGCCCCTGTCATTTTTTCTTACCACTCCATACATTCTGATGAGAAAAAAAAATTTAGGTGTACCTTGTAGTTTTCCTGCCCCAGCCCTGGAATCAGCCATTTCTCCAATGGCTAACTTTTAATGCACAATGGTATTTAAGAACCAAGATTTGTCACACCTGTAACCCCAGCACTTTGGGAGGCCAAGGCAGGCAGATCACGAGGTCAAGAGATCAAGATCATCCTGGCCAACATGGCGAAACCCCGTCTCTACTAAAAATACAAAAATTAGCTGGGCATGGTGGTGGGCACCTGTAGTCCCAGCTATTTGGGAGGCTGAGGCAAGAGAATCACTTGAAACCAGAAGGCAGAGGTTGCAGTGAGCCGAGATCACACCACTGCACTCCAGCCTGGCAACAGAGTGAAACTCCACCTCAAAAAAACAAAAAAAGAGCCAAGATCTGAGCATTAGGTGTGCCCATTCCTACTGGTATGCCATGCACCAAGGAAACAAATGCACTCATAACAAACAGGGCCTGGGAAGTCAGGTCCAGGCAACTGTGACATCAACAGGATTCAATATTGAAATTAAGTCTTATTCTCCAAGTGGAGAAGACATTTGTTGGTTTTAGTTGCCCAGCATCGAATCATTCTTCTGGTAACAGCACCCCTTTTTTCCTTTTGGAGAATTACCTCTCCCTTCTGTGAAGAGACATGGCGAACTGTAAATTAAGGTATCCTGACCCTCTCCCCATATCCAAAAGGGAGGCACTATTTTTCTAAATCAGACAGGTCCCTGATTTAGGGATGGAGTGAGACAGGTATGAGGATAAGGGGGTTTGACCACATATCCAGAATTGACAAAGCCAAGTGCCCTTCAAGGTGAAACTGAACGCCCCTTTCCAAGGTCTGTTGGCTTCTCATTTGGTGCAAGGCTTTATCTCACACAGCTAAAACTTCCCTGTCTTTGTAGAAAAATTCTAACACAACAGAGCCCATCTTGAATTTCTTTCCCCAGGATTGGTTGTTTCGTTCATCCTTTCCAATTCATAGAATTCAGTTGTTTTGACAAATGTCTAGATAGCTAGCAATATATTTTCATCTCCTTCGAAATCCTCACAACAGATATGCTGCTTGTAAATCTGCGAGGGTTTTTTTTCTGAGGAAAATCTTCTAAAACTTTGCTCATCTTGTGTCAATCCCTGCAGGGTTTCTTTATTTGCCTGCTTGCTGGTTTAGTGGGGAGAAAAAAAAAAAGGCTGAAATCCTAATTTTCACACCTTCAAAATGCATAAGCTCTGTCTACCTTTCATTTTTCTTTCTTTGAATTTTTTCCCTCTTTAAGTCCTTGTTTTCTTTCTTCTCCAGCACATGGGTGTTAGGCAAAATGGCAGATATAGATGAAAAGATGGAAGAGAGGGAAGAGAAGGGAAGGGAAGGGAAGGGAAGGGAAGGGAAGGGAAGGGAAGGGGAAAGGAAAGGAGGGGAAGGGAAGGGAGGGAAGAGGAGGGGAGGCAAGGGAAGGGAAGGATGAAGGAAAGGAGAAAGGGGAGGAGGGCAGGAGAAAGGGAGGGAAAGGAAGGAAGGAAAGGATGAAGGAAAGGAGAAAGGGGAGGAGGGCAGGAGAAAGGGAGGGAGGGAGGGAGGGAGAGAAAAATCAAAGAAAAATGCTTAACACTCCCCAATGCTTCATAATGCAAGAACACAATAAAATATTTTGCATCTTTCAATGCCTGGGTTTTCTGAGTCATCCAACACTCTGCCATTGGACTTGTTTATATCAAAAGGAGTTAATCGTCATGTAATGCCATTGTTCTGGGGGAGAGGAAGACACAGAGAGGCAAAAATGATGAATGCCACTTGTCTCTCTAAATGAGTAACAGGGGATTTGAACTCAATATGAGCTTTGGGAATAAACGTGGTAAACGTGGTTATTTCAGGGTTACAGGAGAGACCAACAAGCAAAGTCTAAGGGCTTCTTTGCCTGCCCTGCCCTTATAAATCTGAACTTATAGGACAAGATGGGTGGAAGTTGAGTCTCAGGTGATGAGTTCAGCTATGTATGGAAAGAAATAAAGCAGCATAGGGAGGAGATGTTCTGTAAAAGTTATGATTGGTTTTTCTGAAGTTTGGAGCAATAGATGTACAATCAAGGGCCTTGCTTAATTTCCCACTCACTAAAGGCACTTTTAGCTCATCAAACATTTACTGAGGGTCAGTGCTATCTGGGAAGGCAAAAATAATGCAGCTCTCAAGTTTTTGCTCATAAACAAGCAAGGGAAATGGCAACCTATCCCCTCACAAATGTAATAGTTTAGGTTTGTGTTGTACAATGTTTATAACCAATGGTACGCTACAAACTCTTCTAGGTGCACTGCCAAGTTTGGGTCCTTGTGCAAATGTTATTGTTTGGGTTTTTTCATTTGTTTGTTTGTTTCTACAGCTGCGGGTACTTACTGCTAGTGATTGTTGTATGACTTCCGTTGAGTTGCATGGGTCATGTGAGACTGCAGGAGGTGGAGTCTAGTTGAGACAAGTAAATACAAGTGTAGCAAAACATCAAGAGAGCCACCAGAAAAGACCATGTTTCCTACATTCTTGCTACTAAATGTGATACCTGCAGCATGGGTATGACCTGGGAGTTTGAGGAAAATGCAGAATCAATCTCCAGTCCTGCATCAGACCCAGTGAATCAGAAACTGCACTTTAGCAAGGTCCTTGCATGTAAAAAGAGAGGCAGTATCTTCCAGTATAGAAACCCTTTCTCATATGGATGTATAAGAGATCTTCGTCAGGGCATTAAACAGCCCAATTGACATCCAAGGCTCAGCCAAATGATTTGTAGATAAAATGTAATATTTGTATTACATTAATATATAATAATATAATTTACATTTATAATGTATTTTGTATAACATTAATATATAATAATATAAAAAATAATATATATATAAAATATAACCTCTTCTAGTGCCTTGCTACGGTTCCTAACGTGAGAGAGAACAGGCGCACATTCAGATAGCTGAGAGTTACAGTTTACCCAACGCTCCCCTTATATCACCACCTTTGAGACTTGCCACATCCCTACAAGGCAAGTGGTACAGGCTCTAGTGCCACATCCATTTTACAGGTGGAGAAACTGAGGTTCTCAGAGGTGAAGAACCGGCCCAAAGTCACATGACTCGAATGAGATCCCACTGGGACTTGAACACTGATTGCCTGGCCCAGGAAAAGAGAATTCTTTTCCAGCTGACTCTGAACCAGTGTAATAAAGACCAGGCTGGTTGTCTGACTGAAAAGAAACGGGGTTGGGAGGATGAGGTGGGAGGATCACTTGAGGCCAGGAGTTCAAGACCAATCTGGGCAATATGACGAGACCCCATCTCTACAGAAAATTAAAATACAAAAAATAGCCAGGCACGATGGCTCACGCCTGGAGTCTCAGCTACGTGCAGGTTGAGGTAGGAGGATTACTTGAGTCCAGGAGTTAGAGGGTGCAGTGAGGTAGGATTGCACCACTGTGCTCCGGCCTGGACAACAGGGCAAGACCACATCTCTGGAGGGGAAAAAAAAGGAAAAGAAATGTTCTTAGTAGCGCAGTGACCTATGCTGGTAAGAAAGCAGGATTTCTCTAATGGGGAGCTGGACAAAGTAGATAAGCTGACATAATGCAGGAAGCTTCAGATACCAGATCCTGAGTGTGGAGCTCCATGAAGAATCCACCTTCACATTCATCACCTTCCTAGGTACCTGGGGGGTGAGACGAAGTCATCAGACCATCCCACTGAGGCCTAGAAACCATCCAGGATAACGCACCTCCCTTAAATCTAGGACAGGTGCCTTCTTTTGACAATAATGGCCTTTTCTCTCCTCAGCAGGGTGACTGAACTCTTTCTTCATCTCCAGGAGGGACTGGAAAAAAAAAAAAAAAACAGATTTAGGGCTTCTTGCTGATATAAACCAACTTGACGGAAAACCCATTGTTCAGCCTTGTTTACTCAGCCACCTGCTAACCTGATTGTGGTCACTTAGGGAGAAGTTCCCCACAGAGAAACTGAAGAGCTTTGCTTAAAGTAATCAACAGAGACCTTGGGGGCTCCTACAGACCTCAGGAGCACAGTTTTAGCAACTGTGCCTAGGAACCTTTTTCCTTTGGTCCTAATCACTCCTCCTGACATCATCTATAAAACCGCGGAGCCTGACGGGCTTCAGTAAAAGGGTCCATGTGGATTCTGTCATCTGGGGCAAGACTGGAGGATTCAGGGCACTGTGTAGGTAGGTCACCGTTTTGTGGTGACTTGAACACTGACTGCAAGTGTAATGCAGCTTCACCCTTTTCTCACCTTCCTCCTGGGGCCACTAACTTCATGGGGAAGTCCAGGGTAGGACAGCAAGAAGCAGAATTCCTGGGTTGATGCCCAATTAACTCAATATGTCACTAGCTTATTTTGGCCTATCCTCAGGGCAAATTAGAAAGCAAAAGTCTCAAGGGACGTCTTGGTGTTGATTACCTGACACCCAAGCATTGACAAGCTATGTTCAATGCATTATGCTACTACTACTAATAATAACAGGCCAGGCACAGTGGCTCATGCCTGTAATCCCAGCACTTTGGGAGGCCGAGGTGGGTGGATCACCTGAGGTCAGGGGTTCGAAACCAGCCTGGCCAACATGGCGAAACCCTGTTTCTACTAAAAATACAAAATTAGCCGGACGTGGTGGCACATGCCTGTAATCCCAGCTACTCAGGAGGTTGAGGCAGGAGAATCACTTGAACCTGGGAGGTGGAGTTTGCAGTGAACCAAAATTGTGCCATTGCACTCCAGCCTGGTCAACAAGAGTGAAACTCTGTCTCAAAAATAATAATAATAATAAATATAATTTAAGAGCCCTCCTGGGCTTGCAGAATTAAGATTGGCCAGTGTCTTTCTCATACACAGAAGCAGACAATTTTGCATCATTCTGTTCCTCCCATTCACCCCAATATCAATTATGTCCTATGCTCATGTTTCAGAAACCAGTGGTATCAGCAAAGCAGAAACCACTCTAGATATTTCAAACCAAGGAGTTAGGTATAAGGTTTGGAGATGGATGGAAGAGCAATTGGAAAAGTGGGTGGGTCTGAGGAGCAAAAAGAAGACGTGATAACCGTAGATCAAAAACTGCTAATGGGCTGGGTGCTGTGGCTCATGCCTATAATCCCAGCACTTTGGGGGGCCGAGGCAGGATCGCTTAAGCCCAGGAGTTCAAGACCAGCCTGGGCAACATGGGGCAACCCCATTTCTATAAAAATAATAATAATAATTTGTTTAAAAAAATAAAAATAATAAATTTTTAGAAGCTGCTAATGCTCCTAGGCTGGAACCCATCAGCCTCCATCTAACATTGTGCCATTGAAGACACTGCTGATAAATCAGCTCTGAATTTATCAGAGGGCCACCTCCACCAGGGCTAGTTCTGCTAAGTGCCGCCTCTGCCTAGAATACTGGAATCTGGAATCACCCCACCTCTGTTCCTGCTGTAACTACAGAAATTTCCCTCAAATATCCAGAAAGGATCACGGCTGGGATTCAAGCCCAGTATTGTGATTCTAGAACTCACATGCTTAATCACTACAATAGGACAAACAAACAAAAGATTTTAATGTAAGTATAACTGATAGCTTCAAAGAGCTAAGAGCAGATCATGTATTCTATAAATAAGACCAATCTGACATGGAAAAGAACCACACCTAGTTGCAACAGGGTGCAATTTCAGTGAGAACAGAGTATCCTAAAAAGTTCCTAAGAGAAAAAAAAAAAAAAACCTCACTAAGGGATGAAGTAGCAGATCGGTAGCATATTCCTCGTTGGTAACACTGGATGCTAGAAGGCCACACAGGCGTTTTCAACTCGGAGACTTTCTGAAAGAGCGTACGTTGTTGTTGTTGTTGTTGTGGTTGTGGTTTTGGTTTTGGTTTTGAGATGGAGTATCGCCCTGTCATCCAGGCTGGAGTGCAGTGGTGTGATCTCAGCTCACTGCAGCATCCGCCTCCCAGGTTCAAGCGATTTTCCTGCCTCAGCCTCCCGAAGAGCTGGGAGTACAGGCGTGCACCACCATGCCCGGCTATTTTTTGTATTTTTAGTAGAGACGGGGTTTTGCCATGTTGGCCAGGCTGATCTCAAACTCCTGACCTCGGGTGATCTGCCAGCCTCAGCCTCCCAAAGTGCTGGGATTACAGACGTGAGTCACCGCACCTGGCCAGAAAGAGTATACTTTGGAAAAACAGACAAAATCTAAAATTGTTTTCAGTAATATTCTGCGAGGGGAGTAGGGAAGGTGGGAAAGGGTTGAAATTACCTGTTGTGTACTATATTCATTGTTTGGGTGATGGGTTCAATAGAAGCTAAAACTCCAGCATTATGTAATATGCCCACATAATAAACCTGCACATGTACCCCCTGAATCCACAATAAAAATAAATAAGTACATAAATAACATTCTGAAACTAAAGTTCCAGATCATTTCAACGTAGGAAATAGCAGCAGATGGCTAAGGTAGAGAAGTGAAAACATGCTGCTTGTTCTTTTGCTCCGGATGAAATCCTAATTAACTCTATACTTTGAAAGAATAGTATGTTTCATAATGTGTTTAAAATGTCAAAGATAATTGCCAAAGAGACAGAACTAGCGTGCATTTCTTCCAAACCACTGAAGAAAAAAAATGCATCAAGGAAAACATAACCAATGTAACAGGGGGAAAAAAAAGCAGGAAAGAAAAAGAACAAACTTTAAAACAGGGTAAATGAACATTTCTCAAAAGAAAACATACAAATGGACAACAGGGATATGAAAAAAATATTCAATGTCACTAATCACAAGGGAAATGCAAAGCAAAACCATTACGAGATATTTCACCCCAGTTAAAATGGCTAGTATCAATGAGACAAAAAATAACATGCTGGTGAGAATGTGGAGAAAGGGCAACACTAGTGCATTGCTGGTGGGAATGACAATTAGTACAGCCATTATGGAAAACAGTACAGAGATTTCTCAGAAAACTAAAAATAGATCTACCATATAATCCAGCAATTCCATGCTGGGTATATATCCAAAAAAAGGAAATCAATATGTAGAAAAGATACCTGCACACCCATGTTTATTGTAGCACTAATCATAATAGCCAGCATATGGAATCAAACTAAGTGTTCGTCA
Organism: Homo sapiens; assembly: GCF_000001405.40. NCBI lineage: Eukaryota > Metazoa > Chordata > Mammalia > Primates > Hominidae > Homo > Homo sapiens. The sequence goes on along the minus strand of NT_187607.1, from coordinate 2,305,998 downwards.
ATGGATGAAGAAAGAAAATGTAGTATATGCCGGGCGTGGTGGCTCATGCCTGTAATCCCAGCACTTTGGGAGGCCGAAGTGTGCAGATCACCTGAGGTCAGGAGTTCGAGATCAGCCTGAACAACATGGAGAAACCCCGTCTGTACTAAAAATACAAAATTAGCTGGGCATGATGGCGCATGCCTGTAATCCCAGCTACTCAGGAGGCTGGGACAAGAGAATCACTTCAACCCGGGAGGCGGAGGTTGCAGTAAGCCGAGATTGTGCCATTGCACTCCAGCCTGGGCAGCAAGAGTGAAACTCTGTCTCAAAAAAAAAAAAAAGAAAAGAAAACAAAATATAATATATATACACAATGGAATATCCAGTTAGCCATAAAAAGGAATGAAATTCTGTCATTTGCAGTAACACCAATGAAACTGGAGGACGTTAAGGGAAATAAGCCAGGCATAAAAAGATAAATATTGCATGTTCTCACTAATATGTAGGACCTTAAAAAGTTCATCTCATAAAAGTAGAGTAGAAGTATGGTTACCAGAGGGTGGGGGGGTGAGTGAGGGGTGAAGAGAGGTTGGTTAACGGGTACAAAAATACAGTTAGAAGGAAAAGTTCTAGAGTTCAACAGCACAGTAGGGTGACTATAGTTAACAATAATTTATTGTACATACCCAAATAGCCAGAAGAGAATATTTGAAATGCTCCCAACACAAAGAAATGATAAATGTCTGAGGTGATGAATATCCTAATTGCCCTGATTTGAAAAGTACACATTGTATGTACGTATCAAAATATCACATGTACCTCATACATGTGATATTTTGCATAATTGATGCATAATAATATATAATTATTATGCATCAATTTTTAAAACATGGTAAATTGGAATTTGAAATATCAGGAGTAAATTCAAACTTATCAATAGGCACAATAAACATAAATGGGTTAAATTTCTCTAATAAAAGACAATGCCTTTCAGTTTGGAGTGCTTCTTTTAAAAAAAATCCAGTTAAATACTGTAGACAAGACTATGCAATACAATAAACAACAAATAAAACAAGACAACATAGAAACATTGAAAACAAAAATGTATATCACAAAAATTCTAACAAAAAGAAAGCAGCAGACGCAAAAGAAAAGTAAAAACAAATTTCCCTATAATCATTATCTGGTTGTCACTCCAGAGAAGTAGGCATAAAACTGGTTAATGGGAGTTGGCAAGATAAGTCAGTTAAGTATTTAAGAGACTCATTTTTAAATTCGATATGGTGGTGGTGGTGGTGAGTCTGTGGGTGGTGGAACACGTCCATGACCAGATCTAGACAGTAGCAACAGCCATCAATGTCTGTCACTAAGCTCCTGTGGATTTTAGATCTAACATAAAGATTGCAAACGGCTCATTCTGGAGGGATGACCAGAAGTGACAAGCTAAAGGTCCTCACCCTGAAAGTGGATGCATCTCTGTCTTCTGAGAAACTTAGATCACAGGACATGAGCCATAGATAGGCATAAAACCTGGAGGTATAAAACTTTCAGGCCTTCGCTTATGCTGTTTTCTTTGCTTAGATGACATCCCACTGCACTCATTTCCACCTGTCAAAATCCTCCTTATCCTTTAAGACCACCTTTTTCATGAAGCTGAATTTTACCCTTACCACCAGAGTGGTTTCCCACAGTACTCATTTTGTGTCTCTCTCCAGACATTCACTGTACTCTCTATTATAGATTGCTTTATATTTCTGTGTATCTCTTTATATAGGCTCTTTAAAGATGCATTAGTCAGCTATTGCCGCATAACAAACAACTAATATTTCAGTTGTTTACAATGACAAACACTTCTGAAAACTCTCAGTGATCAGTAGGATGACTACAATTTAACTGATCTAGGCAGGGATCAGATGGGCAGGTCTACTTCATGCTGTGGGAAACCTGCACTTAGCTTTAGGCTGTGTGTTAAATTCAGGTCTGCCTCACATATTTTTGCTGTGACTCTCAGACTAAAGAAGAAACCGCTATGCAGAGTGTGTTCTTCTCATAATGGATCAGGAGAACACAAGAACATGAACTACAGCACAAAAAGCACATGTGAGGCATCTGTTTGCATCATATCTGATTCATGTTCCTTGGCCACAAGTCACATGGGCAAACCCAACACCATGGGGTGGTGCTATAGTTTGGATATTTGTCCCCAGCCAAATCTCATGTTGAATTGCAATCCCCAGTGCTGAAGGTGGAGCCTGGTGGAGTTAGTTTGGGTCACGGGGACAGATCCCTCATGATTTGGTGCTGTCTTCACGATAGTGAGTGAGTTTTCATGAGATCTGGTCATTTAAAAGTGTGTGGGCTACGCACGGTGGCTCACGCCTGTAATCCCAGCACTTTGGGAGGCCGAGGCGGGCAGATCACAAGGTCAGGAGATCGAGACCAGCCTGACCAACATGGTGAAACCCTGTCTCTACTAAAAATACAAAATTAGCTGGGCGTGGCAGTGCGCACCTGTAATCCCAGCTACTCGGGAGGCTGAGGCAGGAGAATGGCTTGAACCCAGAAAGCGGAGGTTGCAGTGAGCCAAGATCGCACCACTGCACTCCAGCCTGGTGCTGGAGCGAGACTCTGTCTCAAAAAAAAAAAAAAAAAAAAAAAAAAAAAGGGTGTAGAATCTAACCCACACTCTCTCTCTCGCTCCTGCTTTTGCCATGTGACGTGCCTGCTCCCTCTTCACTTCTGCCATGAGTAAAAGCTCCCTGCGGCTTCCCCAGAAGCCAAGCAGATGCCAGCTCCATGCTTGTACAGCCTGCACAACTGTGAGCCAATTAAACCTCTTTTCTTTATAAATTATCCAGTCTCTAGTATTTCTTTTTTTTTGAGATGGAGTCTTGCTCTGTCACCCAGGCTAGAGTGCAGTGGCGCAGTCTCGGTTCACTGCAAGCTCTGCCTCCCGGGTTCACGCCATTCTCCTGCCTCAGCCTCCCAAGTAGCTGGGACTACAGGCGCCTGCAACCATGCCTGGCTAATTTTTTGTATTTTTAGTAGAGACAGGGTTTCACCCTGTTAGCCAGGATGGTCTCGATCTCCTGACCTCGTGATCCGCCTGCCTCAGCCTCCCAAAGTGCCGAGATTACAGGTGTGAGCCACCATGCGTGGCCTCTGGTATTTCTTTATAGCAATGCAAGAACAGCCTAATATGGGTGGGGAAATATGCTCTGTCCATCTGGTACACTGAAAGGTCATATGGTAGAAAAATTGTGATCACTAACCAATCTAACCAGGCTAGGTGGCTCAAGCCTGTAACCCCAGCACTTTGGTAGCCTGAGGCAGGAAGATTGCTTGAGCCCAGCAGTTTGAGACCAGTCTTTGCAACACAGTGAGACCTTGTCTCTACAAAGAAAAAAAAAAGTGTAAGTTAGCCAGGCATGGTGGCACATGCCATGATCCCAGCTACTCAGGAGGCTGAGATAGGAGGATCACTTGAGCCCAGAATGTTGAGGCTGCAGTGAGCCATGATCGCACCACTGCACTCCAGCCTGGGCAACAGAGTGAGACTCTGTCTCAAAAATAATAACAATAATAATAATAATAATAACCCAATCTACCATAAAAGGCAGAAAACAAGCCATATCCTTTCATTTCTCTATTCCTACCATTTAGTACCACGACCAGCATAGAATAAACATCAAGCAATAATTGTCAAAATGAATTGATTATTCATGGCATGGAGTAACATGAGACATACACATAATGCAGTGGTTAAGAACTTGGACGTCAGAGTCACAAAGACCTGAGTTCAATGTAAAATGACAAAGGCTCTTTGAAAAGTTTCGCAGTTTCTTACAAAGTTTAACATGAGCTTACCATAAAACCCAGCAATTCCACTTCTAGGAAACTACCCAGATGAAATGAAAACATCCGACCATACAGAAACCTACACATGAATGTGCATAGCAGAACTCTTTATAGCAGCCAAGAAATAGAAATAATCCAAATGCTCATCAACTGGTAAAATGAATAAATAAAATGGGGTATACCCAAACATTGGAATAATATTCAGGAATAAAAAGGAATGAACTATGTTGTTGTCGTTGTTGTTTTTATTGAGGCAGAGTCTTACTCTGTCACCCAGGCTGGAGTGCAGTGGCATAATCTTGGCTTAATGTAACCTCTGCCTCCTGGGTTCAAGTGATTCTCCTGCCTCAGCCCCCTGAGTAGCTGGGATTACAGGTGCGTTCCCCACACCTGGCTACTTTTTGAATTTTTAGTAGAGACAGGGTTTTCCCATGTTGTCCAGGCTGGTCTTGAACTCCTGACCTCAAGTGATCCACTCACCTCAGCCTCCCAAAGGGCTGAGATTACAGGCGTGAACCGCCACGCCCAGCCAGGAATGAACTGTTAATATACAAAACAACATAGTTATCTCACCATAAGCAAAAGAAGTCAAATGAAAAGACTACATATTGTGTGATTCTATTTATATGAAATGTCCGGAATAGGTAAATTTATAGAGACACACAGGCCCAGGCACAGTTGTCAACTGAAGCTACAGATGGGAATGAGGATTGACGGCAAATCAGCACCAGGGGTCATTCTGGACACCATGGAAAGGTTCTAAGACTGTATTGTCATGATAATTACACAACTTTTAAAATTTACTAAAAATATTAGCTGGGCATGGTAGCCCATGCCTGTAGTCTTAACTACTCAGGACGCTGAGGTAGGAGGATGGCTTAAGCCCAGGAGTTCAAGACTACAGTGAGCTACGGTTATGCCACTGTCCTCCAGCCTGGCCAACAGAGCAAGACCCTGTCTCTTTACAAAATAATAAGTGGGCCAGGCATGGTGGCTCAAGCCTGTAATCTTGGCACTTTGAGAAGCTGAGGCTGGCGGATCACCTGAGGTAGGGAGTTCGAGTCCAGCCTGACCAACATGGAGAAACCCCGTCTCTACTAAAAATACAAAAATTAGCCAGGCGTGGTGGTGCATGCCTGTAATCCAGCTACTCAGGAGGCTGAGGCAGGAGAATCACTTGAACCCGGGAGGCGGAGGTTGCAGTGAGCCAAGATCATGCCATTGCACTCCAGCCTGGGCAACAAAAGTGAAACTCCATCTCAAAAGAATAAAATAAAATAAAATAAGTGGCTCATGCCTGTTATCCCAGCACTTTGGGAGGCCAAGGTGGGTGGGTCACCTGAGGTCAGGAGCTCAAGACCAGCCTGGCCAACATGGTGAAACCCCATCTCTACTAAAAATACAAACATTAGCCAGGCAAGGTGGCATGTGCCTATAGTCCCAGCTACTCAGGAGGCTGAAGCAGGAGAATCGCTTGAACCTGGGAGGCAGAGGTTGCAGGGAGCCGAGACTGCACCACTGCAGTCAAGCCTGGGCCACAGAATGAGACTCCATCTCAAATAAATAAATAAATGAAATAAAATGAAACGAAATAAATTTACTAAAAATTATTGACATGCACATCCAAATGGGTGAATTTTAATAAATTAAAGAAGAATCTGTGTTCAGAACTTGGCTCTACCATTTAGTATCCATGTGATCTAGAGCAACTTATACAGTGACATAACCTCTGTGAGCCTCAATTTCTCCATCTGCGAAATGGAGATGAAACAGAGGCCTGCTGAAGAGTAGATGAGATAATGCAGGTTGTTTCCCCAGCACAGGGCTTGAGAGGTGTCTGAGGAGTTCTTAGGGACTCTCTAGCACCCTGTGCTTTTAGGGAAATCATTTCCACCCAAGTCCCTCCTACGTCCAAGATCCAACCCTTGTTTTTATTTAAGTTGCTGGTTCCCATATTCCCTTAGGAATATGTTGTTCTCTGCCTTGTCCCCAAATCCCTAGTGCAAGAATATATATATATATATACACATATTTTTTTTTTTGAGATGGAGTCTCGCTCTTTCACCCAGGCTGGAGTGCAGTGGCACAATCTTGGCTCACTGCAACCTCTACCTCCCAGGTTCAAGGGATTCTCCTGCCTCAGACTCCCAAGTAGCTGGGATTACAGGCTTCTGCCACCACACGCAGCTAATATTTTCTATTTTTAGTAGAGATGGGGTTTCACCATGTTGGCCAGGCTGGTCTTGAGCTCCTGACCTCAGGTGATCCACCCGCCTCAGCATCCCAGAGTGCTGGATTACAGATATGAGCCAACATGCCTGGCCTCCCTGATGCAAGAATTACTCAGACTTTTTCTAGGCCAGAATAAGAGTAGGTCAACCTCGTCCAATCCACAGCTCCAGAAATTGAGGCATTTCCAGAATACTGTACAGAGATGAGAGGCCCTGGCCAAACAAACACATTACCTTTCCACTTTGTATTTTACTTCTCTTTCTTAACAACAACAAAAAAAAAAAAAAAAAAAAAAAACAGAAACAGAAACAAAAAAACCTTGGCTTGGCAGTTCTAAGCTAGGGCTGACAGATTCTATAAGAAGTCCCAGAAAACATCTCAGCCTTTGCAATGAACCTTCAGGGAACAAGTGGCCAGTGAGAAGGTGATTCACTTTGATGATAGCTTCCTGATGAGGGCCGGAACCAGTTGCAGGGTTGGTCAATTTACGACTTCATAGAAGGCTCAATAAAAGTCATAAATAAAAGGGCACGTGGGTGTGAGTGCACTTCACAGTGTTGGGAGGCCCCATACGACAGAACACAAGACCGATAATTCTGATTTGGCTCAAGGTTTATCACCTACGCAGTGAAAGGTGCAGACCCCATATGCCTGGGCTGCTTCTCTCCCAGTGAAAATAGATTGAGCCTATGGACTAGGGGGGCCATTTCTCAGATTCCTCAGGCCTTGGATCTGTGGGTAGTGCGGGGTGAGGAATGGCTGCCTTCTCTAATAAAATAAATCTTGGTGCCTCCAAGGTTGACCCTGGATAAGGACACTCCTGGGAGTACACAAGGGATGCCTCCCCTTCCAAACTGCCTGCCCCTCCACCATTCAATCCCAGAGCTGAGTGCTTAGTCTTCTAATCACCTTAGAATAGGTCTCATGTTGTGCTTTCATTCATTCATTTAATAACACTACTATTATTATCAATATTAATAAAGCTGATCCTGAGTTCACCTCCTCTCCTGCAGTAATACAAACTTCAAGGCATTCTGTGATAGTGAGAGTTAAATGAGACAGAGTTGAAAAAAAAAAAAAACAACTTAGCACCTGCGGGGCACATAGTTAAGCTCCATAAATGGTAGCTATATAATTTCTGACTATCAAAACGGTTTCTTGGTCTTGCATGGCAGCTCAATCCTGTAATCCCAGGACTTTGAGAGGCCGAGGGAGGAGGATTGCTTGAAGCCAGGAGTTTGAGACCAGCCTAGGCAATATAGCAAAACTACAGCTCTACAAAAAACAAAAACAAAAAAAACAAAAAACAAACAAACAAAAAAAACAGGGCCAGGCTCGGTGGCTCACGCCTGTAATCCCAGCACTTTGGGAGGCCAAGGGGAACAGATCATGAGGTCAGGAGTTTGAGACCAGCCTGACCAACATGGTGAAACCCCGTCTCTACTAAAAATACAAAAATTAGCCAGGTGTGGTGGCACATGCCTGTAATCCCAGCTACTCAGGAGGCTGAGACAGAGGAATTGCTTAAACCCAGGAGGCGGAGGTTGCAGTGAAACAAGATCATGCCATTGCACTCCAGCCTTGGTGACAGAGAGAGACTCTGTCTCAAAAAAAAAAAAAACTTTTTTTTCTGGCGGGGGTCGGCGGGGCAAAGTCTTGTTCTCTCACCCAGGCTGGAGTGCAATGGTGTGATCTCAGCTCACTGAAACTTTTGACTCCTGGATTCAAGCAATCCTCCCACCTCAGCCTCCCGAGTAGCTGGGACTACAGGCTCGCGCCACCACACCTGGCTAATTTTTGTATTTTTAGTAGAGATGGAGTTTCACCATGTTGGCCAGGTTGGTTTCAAACCCCTGACCTCAGGTGATCCACCTGCCTCAGCCTCCCAAAGTGCTGGATTAGAGGCATGAGCCACCTTGCCCAGCCTTAAAAAAACCTTTTCTCATGAAAGGATTTAAAACTCACACAGCACTGTCTATAATAACAAAATGAATAGTAATAATTATTACCATTATTTACCTATTTGTGCCATACACTAAGCGCTCTGGGGCCTTTCAGAGAATGTAAAAATGCTAAATATATATATATATATATATATATATATATATATATATATATCCAGAGAGTATATGGTAAATGCTAAGTATGTATGTATGGCAAGATACGTTAAGAAGACACAAGTGATGGGAGGTGTTATTTTTGTTAGGATGATCAGGAATGTCCCCCCAGATAAAGCAACAATTGCAGAGAGTCCTGAATGGAGTGAACAAGAGGGCCATGCAGATATCTTGGAGGAAAGACATTCCCGGGCAAGGAAACAGCAAGTGCAAAGGCCACAAGGTGGGATTGAGTGTGGTGTGTTTGAAAGCTGAACTGTCACCAGTGCAGGAGCAGAGTGGGCAAGGCAGAGCAGGGGAGTGATCCAGGCAAAGGTACATTTCAGGAAAAATTGACAGTAAGGAGTTCGGAATTTATGCTACATGTGTTGGAAAAACCAATGAAGGGTTTTCAGCTAGGTAACATGATCCGATTTACTCCCTTTAAAGATTGGCCGGGCACAGTGGCACATACCTGTAATCCCAGCACTTTGGGAGGCCAAGGCAAGAGGATTGTTTGAGCTCAGGAGTTCAAGATCAGCCTGACCAACATGGCAAAACCCTGTCTCCACAATAATAATAATAATAATAAAGTAAAAAAAAAATACAAAAATTAGTTGTGGTCCCAGCTACTCAGGAGGCTGAGGTGGGAGAATCATCTGAGCCCAAGGCTGGGCGCAGTGGCTCACACCTGTAATCCCAGCACTTTGGGAGGCCAAGGCGGGTGAATCACGAGGTCAGGAGATCGAGACCATCCTGGCTAACATGGTGAAACCCCGTCTCTACTAAAAATAAAAAATTAGCCGGGCGTGGTGGCGGGTGCCTGTAGTCCCAGCTACTCAGGAGGCTGAGGCAGGAGAATGGCGTGAACCCAGGAGGCGGAGCTTGCAGTGAGCTGAGATCGTTCCACTGCACTCCAGCCTGGGGACAGAGCAAGACTCTGTCTCAAAAAAAAAAAAAGAGTCATCTGAGCCCAGAAATGTTGAGGCTGCAGTGAGCCGCGATTGTGCCACTGCACTCCAGCCTGGATGACAGTGAGATCCTGTCTCAAAAAAAATAAAAATAAAAAAAAAAGATCACGCAGGCTACTACGTGAAGAGTGGATTATAAAGAGGTGAAGGAGGAAGCAGGGAGAGTAGTTAAGAGACTATTGTAGTTGTCTAGACAGGTGGGGGGAGCTGGCATGGGGTGATGGGGCTCAGAAAAGAGTGGATGTATCCAGGCCATGCTTTAGAGCCAGGATCAGTAGAGGCAGCCAGAGTGTTAGATGTAGGGTGAGTGTAGAGCAGGAGGGAGGAAAAGAGTTTCAATGTGTCAGTGGTGACTCCCAGCCCTTTGGTGGCCCTCCTGAGAGGAGGATGGCCCGTTAACCGAATGACAAAGGCAACAAGAAGTAGTTGAGGAAAAAACAGTAAAATAAAATATTAAGAGTCAGGGCCAGGCATGGTAACTCACGCTTGTAATCCCAGTACTTTGGGAGGCTGAGGTGGGTGGATCACCTGAGGTCAGGAGTTCGAGACCAGCCTGGCCAACATGGCGAACACCAGTCTCTACCAAAAATACAAAAATTAGCCGAGCATGGTGGCACATGCCTGTAATCCCAGCTACTTGGGAGGCTGAGGCAGGAGAATTGCTTGAATATGGAAAGTGGAGGTTGCAACAAGCCAAGATCACGCCACTGCACTCCAGCCTGGGTGACAAAGTGAGACTCCATCTCAAATCCCAGCACTTTGGGAGGCCAAGGCGGGTGGATCACAAGGTCAGGAGGTGAAGACCATCCTGGCTAACATGGTGAAACTCTGTCTCTACTAAAAATACAAAAAATTAGCCGGGCATGGTGGCAGGTGCCTGTAGTTCCAGCTACTCAGGAGGCTGAGGACGGAGAATGGCGTGAACCCAGGAGGCGGAACTTGCAGTGAGCCAAGATCACGCCACTGCAGTCCAGCCTGGGTGACAGAGCAAGACTCCGTCTCAAAAAAAAAAAAAAAGAAAGAAAGAAAAATTAAGAGTCAGGTAGTGAATCAAGCAGATGATAGAAAAAAAGAGACTCAGGGTCATACCACAAACCTTATCAGTCATCTATATCTCTATATGAATAATAACATCTTTTATTAATCATGGCTTTTCAATTCACAAGAAACTTTCATCTCTACTATATTATATTGGTATATTACATAATATATAATATAAGATATAGTTTAGAGGACAGTTGCTTGTATATATAGCATATATTACATAGTATACTATATTATATATAGTGTATATAGTACATATATTATAGTTTGTGTTATATGGTATGTATATCATATATACTATAGAATACTATATGATATATAGTATATGTTATGTACACTATAAAATACAAACATGGTATAATATGTGTATGTGCCATTATGTTACATAGTACATATGTTAGAGCATATATCATTGTACTCATGTTTATATGCTATAGTATTATATTTATTATAAAATATTTAATACTTAGTATACTATACTATATTAGATACATACTATATAATATATATATAACATATTGTATTAATCTGTTTTCATGCTGCTGATAAAGACATACCTGAGACTGGGCAATTTACAAAAGAAAGAGGTTTATTACTCCCCAGCCACGTGGAACTGTGGCTGGGAAGGCCTCACAAGCATGGCAGAAGATGAAAGGCATGTCTCACATGGCAGCAGACAAGAGAAGAGAGCTTGTACAGGGAAATTCCCGTGTATATAACCATCAGATCTCATGAGACTTATTCACTATCACAAAAACAGCACAGGAAAGACCCACTCCCATGATTCAATTATCTCCCACTAGGTTCCTCCCACAACATGTGGGAATTGTGGGATTTACAATTCAAGATAAGATTTGGGTGGGGACACAGCCAAACCATATCATATATTAGATAGTATATGTCATATACACCATGTAGTGTGTATATATAATATAATATGCTGTGTGAAGTTCATATAGATGACTTTCTTATATACTATTATGTGTTACATATTAACATATATAAACATATATATGATACAAATATTATGCTAAGAATTTCTAAATTATATCTAATTTAACTCTCCCCACCAGAACCACCCCATAGTGCATATTTTTTCATGGTCGTCTTTCCACAGATAGGGAAATTGAGGCTCTGATAGGTCAAGGACTTTGCCCAAGGTCACAAGGCTGATGAGGAACAAAACCTGAACTCTTCATCTGCCACAAAGGGGCACTTGGATGGAGACGTTCAAGTGCCAGTTACACCAGTACAGCTGCTGGAATCCAGGTGTTGCTTCTGTTAAGTCTATGGAAAGAAATGCCCAATTTTACTGTGACTTTTCACTTCTGAACTGTCTTGTCTGTAGTGAAAGAGATTTCCAATTTAGGTTTCTGTGCACTGATTATGTTGCAGAGTTAAACCCTCTTCCTGGGAGAAAAGAAAAAAAAGGAAATTATTAAAATTGAGCCTGAAAAAGAAATAACTAGCACACAGACAGCAAAGATGGAGTTGAAGCCTTCAAAGATGGAAATTACAAAATAGCCTACACTCCTAAAATGTAGATTTCTCCTATCCAGGTTCTTCAAAAGCTCCAGATGCTTGAAGGAAAATACCTCTAAATAGATGTTGGCTCCTGATTTTCTCTCATTACCTGTGAGAACTCTCCCTTCTAAGCTGCACATTTATCTTATCTTCTCCTATTTTCCATCACACAAGCTGCCTAGAGCTGATATTTCTTCATTGTTCATCTCTCTAAATTGCACAGTTTCCTAAAGCATTGCCCAGTGCCTTTGGTTTGTCAAGATGTTGCATATTCTGTGATACTGGCTAGAATAGGGAGATGGGGAGAGGGTGAGGAGGCAAATGAAAAGAGCCTAAGTCTTGTCCCCAGAGACCAGGAAAATAAGCATTTGCTCAGATGAGCTAATAGAGGGTGGGCTGCACAAATGTTAAAGATGGTGCAATGCCTTTTTCTAGGAGAACATCGTAGTCTCTTGGAATTGGCTTCATTCTCCCCCACGTACACAAATAGAGAGTTACCAGCTCCTGGGAGTGAAGGAAATCAGGAGCCAACACTTATTGAGCACCTACTAACTATATACCAAGCACAACACTTATTGAGCACCTACTATATACCTAGCGTAATGCTTATTGAGCATCTACTGGGTACCAAGAGCACATTTCCCTAAACCTCACAGCAACCCTCAAAGAGGGATAGTCTCATTTCCTTCTATAGATGAGAGTAATAGGAGATTGTGGCCAGCGCAGTGGCTCATGCCTATAATCCCAGCACTTTGGGAGGCTGAGGTGAGAGAATTGCTTGAGTCCAGGAGTTCTACAACAGCCTGGGCAACATAGCAAGACTTCATCTCTACAAAAAATAAACAAATAATTAGGCGGGTATGATTGCACACACTTGTTGTCCCAGATACTTGGGAGGTTGAGGTGGGAGAATGCTTGAGCCTGGAAGGTCAAGACTGCAGTGAGCTATGATCAAGCCACTGCACTCCAACCTGGGTGACAGCAAGATCCCATCTTTTTGAAAAAAAAAAAAAAAAAAAAACAGTAATAGGAGATGACTCACACTGCTATAAAGAAATACTCAAGTGATCCACTTTCCTCAAGCCTCCCAAAGTGCTGGGATTACAGGAGTACGACACCAGACTGGCCAACATAGCAAAAACCCCTCTCTACTAAAGATACAGAAAAATTACCCAGGTGTGGTGGCACATGCCTGTAATACCAGCTATTCGGGAGGCTGAGGCAGGAGAATTGCTTGAACCTGGGAGGCAGAGGCTGCAGTGAGCTGAGACCATGCCGCTGCACTCCAGTCTGGGCAACAGAGCAAGACTCTGTCTCACAAAATAGAAAAAAGGAAAGAAAGCCTCAAGACTGTGTAATTTATAAAGGAAAGAAGTTTAATTGACTCACAGTTCTGCATGGCTGGGGAGGCCTCAGGAAACTTACAATCATGGGGGAAGGGGAAGTAGGCACATCTTACATGGTGGCAGGCCAGAGAGAATGAGCAGGAGCAGGGAAACTGCCCTATAATATCATCACATTTCATGAGCACTCAATCAGTATCACGAGAACAGCATGAGGGAAACTGCCCCCATGATTCAATGACCTCCACTTGGTCCCTCCCTCCATACTTAGGGATTATGGGGATTCCAATTTGAGATAAGACTCGGGTGGGGACACAGGGCCAAAACATATTGTCGTGCTACCAGGAATTTTGTCTGTCTCATTTGCCCATATCAGCAGCAAAGGGCCTAGCACCTAGGAGGTGCTCAGAAAACATTTGGTGAATTAATTAATAAGGAAGCTAAGAATCACAGATGTATGGTACATAGTTTCAGTAAAGAACAAGACATTGGAATTGGGGTGACCTGGGTTGCAGCCCCAGCTTTGTTATTTACCTGCTGTGTAACCTCTAAACTTCATCCACAAAGTGGATGTAACTATGGTACCTATCTCCTGAAGTCTGAGGGAGGATGAAGTGAGATAACACTAACAAAAGCATTTGGCAACCAAGACCTCAATAAATGCTAGCTATCTTTATTATAGTTTCAACACATAGCCAAGTCCACATCTGAATTTAATTCATGGAAGAAGAGGAAAAAGAAGAAGAAGGAGGAGGAGGAGGAGAGGAGAGGGGGGGGGGGAGAAGGGGAGGAGGTAGAGGAAGAAGAGAAGATTGCGGTGATCTCAGGAGTAAGTATCAATGGAAAAAAAGATCCTGGCTTGAAAGCACGTAGAAGACTTGCGAGCAGATGGAAACAACCCAGTCAGGGCCGGACATGATGGCTCACACCTGTAGTCCCAGCACTTTGGGAGGCCGAGGCAGGTGGATTGCTTGAGGCCAGGAGTTTGAGACCAGCCTGGCCAACATAACAAAACCCCATCTATACTAAAAATACAAAAAATAAAAATTAAAATTAACTGGGTGTGGTGGCACACACCTGTAGTCTCAGCTACTCAGGAGGCTGAGGCACGAGAATCGCTTGAACCCGGGAGGCAGAGGTTGCAATGAGCCAAGATTGCACTACTGCACTCCGGCCTGGGTGACAAGAGAGAGACTCTGTCAAAAAAAAAAGGAAGGGAAGGGGAGGGGAGGGGAGGGGAGGAGAGAAGGAAAGGAAGGAAGGAAAGGAAAGGAAGGGGAGGGGAGGGGAGGGAAGGGCAGGGAAGGGAAGGGAGAAAGAGAGAGAAAGAAAGAGAGAGAGAAGAGAAGAGAAGAGAAGAGAAGAGAAGAAGGAAGGAAACAACCCAGTTGGTGCCCAATATATTCTTACTGAATTATATCAGTCTCTATAAATGCTGCCAACTGTCTTAAACATTCCAGACTTCTCCTTTTCCTACTCCGGCTAAGTGGAGTTAGATGTTATATTCTTCCCTCCACTCTACACTTTGGGAGTGGCTTTTCAAGTTTTGCATTCAATCTCTTTAAGGACACTCCACATTGATCATATCCAAAATGTCTGGATTGAATGTTCCTCAGATCCGGTGGTTCTCAAAGTGTAGTTCCCAGACCAGCAGCACCAGCATCAGAATCACCCAGGTACTTATTACACACGCAAATCTTATTTTGGACATGGTGGCTCATGCCTGTAATCCCAACACTTTGAGAGGCCAAGGCAGGTGGATTGCTTGAGCCCAGGAGTTTGAGACCAGCCTGGGCAACATAGAGAGACTCATCTCTACAAAAAATACAAAAATTAGCTAGGCGTGGTGGCACATGCCTGTAGTCCCAGCTACTAGGGAGGCTGAGTGGGGAGGATGGCTTGAGCCCAAGAGGTCGAGGATGCAGTGAGCCGAGATTGCACCACTGCACTCCAGCCTGGGTGACAGAGCAAGACCCTGTCTCAAAAAAAAAAAAAAAAAAAAAAAAAAAAAAAAAGCAGATCCCTAGACCTTACCCTCGACCTCCTGAACAAGAAATTCTGGGGGGATGGATCCCAGCGATTTGCATTTTAACACGCCCTCCACGTGGTTCTGAGGTATGGGAAAGTTTTGAGAACTGCAGTTCTAACAAAAAGGCAAACAGGGCAATCAAAAGCTGTTTTCTCTGCTTAGTCCCTGAGTGGTTTCCTGGTTGGTTGGTTGATTTGAGCTGGAGTCTTGCTCTGTCACCCAGGCTGGAATGTAGTGGGGCGATCTCAGCTCACAGCAACCTCTGCCTCCCAGGTTCAAGTGATTCTCCTGTCTCTGCCTCCCAAGTAGCTGGGACTACAGGCGCATGCCACCACACCCGGCTAATTTTTGTATTTTTAGTAGAGATGGGTTTTCACCATATTGGCCAGGCTGGTCTTGAACTCCTGACCTCGTGATCCACCTGCCTTGGCCTCCCAAAGTGCTGAGATTACAGGAGTGAGCCACTGCGCCTGGCCCGGTTTCCTGGTTTTGAATTGGGAAGAGTGAGATGAAAACAGGACTCCCTGCAGAACAAATGGCTTCTCCAACAAATTGTAATGGAATTTTACATGAGAGGAGCCAGAAAACTGCTGCTCAATTAGTCAGCCAAAAAATATGGAATACCTACTATATTTCAGGTGCTGCGCAAAGTGCTGGGGGAACCATGGTGAACAAGACCTATGCATCCAGCTCTTCAGGATTGAACACTGGGTGCCAGCAGACTGCATTTCACACACATCAAACTGGCAAAGATAAAAAGTCTGACAAAACCAAATGTCGGAGAAACTGGAATTCTCATGTACTGCAGGTAAGAGTGTAAATTGGTACAACTGTTGTGCAGAGCAACTTGGTGAAATTGAGTAAAGTTGAAGAAGTATAACCCCCACAGCCCAGCAATTCCACTCCTAGGTACATACCCTAGACCAGGAGAAGCTCTATCAGTTTGCACAAGGAGAAATGTACAGGAATATATATATATCTGAGATGGCGTTTTGCTCTTGTTGCCCAGGCTGGAGTGCAGTGGTGTGATCTTAGCTTATCGCAACCTCCACCTCCCAGGTTCAAGAGATTCTCCTGCCTCAGTCTCCCAAGTAGCTGGGATTACAGGCATGCGCCACCACACCTGGCTAATTTTGTATTTTTAGTAGAGATGGGGTTTCTCCATGTTGATTAGGCTGTCTCAAACTCCCAACCTCAGGTGATCTGCCCACCTCGGCCTCCCAAAGTGCTGGGATTACAGGTATGAGCCACCGTGCCTGGCCTGTACAGGAATATTTACTACAGCACTGTTTGTAATAGAAAAATAGAAACAGGTCAGGTGCGGTGGCTCAGGCCTATAATCCCAGCAGTTTGGGAGGCCAAGGTGGGTGGATTGCTTGAGCTCAGGAGTTGAAGCCCAGCCTGGACAATATGGTGAAACCCCATCTCTACAAAAAATACAAATATTAGCCAGGCATAGCGGTGCAAGCCTGTTATAATCCCAGCTACTCAGGAAGGCTGGCGTGGGAAGATCGCTTGAGCCTGGGGGGTCGAGGCTGCAGTGAGCCATGATCATACCACTGCACTTCAGCCTGGGTGACAAAGTAAGACCCTGTCTCCAAAAAAAAGAAAGAAGAAAAAAAGAAAAAGAGGGAGAGAAAGAAAGAGAGAAAAAGAAAGAGAAAGAGGAAGGAAGGAAGGAAGGAAAGAAGGAAGGGGAGGAGAGGGAAGGGAAGGGAAGGGAAGGGAAGGGAAAGGAAGGGAAGGGAGACGGCCAGGCTCAGTGGCTCACGACTGTAATCCCAGCACTTTGGGAGGCCAAGGTGGGCGGATCACCAGAGGTCAGAAGTTCAAGACCACCCTGGCCAGCATGGCAAAACCCCATCTCTACTAAATATACAAAAATTAGCCAAGTGTGGTGGTGGGTGCTGTAGTCACAGCTACTCAGGAGGCTGAGGCACGAGAATCACCTGAACCCAGGAGGTGGAGTTTGCAGTGAGCCGAGATGGCGCCATTGCACTCCAGCCGGGCAAAAGAGCGAGACTCTGTCTCAAGAAAAAAAAAAAAAAAAGGAACCTAAATGTCCATCTGCAGAATAGATAGATTAATTATGATTGAGTTCTACCATGGATGCTAGTACTAACAGATTAACACTAACAATAGTAGAAAATAAATGAAACATAACCTGTATCAACATTAACACTTTGCAAAATCGGCCAGGCCCAGTGGCTCACGCCTGTAATCCCAGCACTTTGGGAGGCCAAGGCGGGCGGGTCACCTGAGGTCGGGAGTTCGAGACCAGCCTAACCAACGTGGAGAAACCCCATCTCTACCAAAAATACAAAATTAGCTGGGCATGGTGGCGCCTGCCTGTAATCCCAGCTACTCAGGAGGTTGAGGCAGGAGAATCACTTGAACCTGGGAGGCGGAGGTTGCAGTGAGCTGAAATCACACCATTGCACTCCAGCCTGGGCAACAAGAGTGAATGAAACTCTGTCTCAAAAATAAATAAATAAATAAAAATAAAAATAAATTGCAAAATCATAACAATGAACCAAAAAGCAAGCCATGAGAACAATACATACAGTGGTAGTCTACTTAAAGTGTTTAAATATGCAACATAATGTTATATGTTGATAATGGATAACATATATTCAATAAGAATACAAAATAGGCATGAAATATAAGACACAACTGCAGGATAGAGATCCCATTGGGAAGGAAGGAAGAGAGAAAGGAGCACGAGATTAAGAGGGGTCCACAGAAGGACTTGATTGTCTTTGTTATATTTTTTAAACTGAGTGACGGGTAAATGGTTGTTCACTGTACTGGTCTTTATAGTTTTTTGTGTGCCTGAAATAGTTCAGAATAAAATTATTTTAGGTCACTTTTTTTCTGGGTTTTTTTTCTTATTTCTTTTAAGGAAAGCAACACTTAGAGAATAAAATTATTTTAAATAAGCCACTTTGAGTAATTAATGTAAAATTACAAATGTGCAAAGCACTGCAAAGAGGGACTACAGGGTATCATAAGAGGAGCTCTGACAAATTATTCTTCCTCTATCTCAACCCTGCCCTTAATCTGGCTTCTTAAAAGTCTTACTATTAACCCCAGCCAATTATAAGTTATTTTAGATCAGGTGTGGTGGCTCACACCTGTAATCCCAGCACTTTGGGAGGCCGAGGCAGGCAGATTGCTTGAGACCAGGAGTTCAATCCCAGCCTGGACAACATGGAGAAACCCCGTCTCTACTAAAAATACAGAAATTAGCTGGGCGTGGTTGCATGCACTTGTAATCCCAGCTACTCAGGAGACTGAGGCATGAAAATCGCTTGAACCCAGGAGGTGGAGGTGCAGTGAGCCAAGATCATGCTACTGTACTCCAGCCTGGGTGATAGAGTGACTCTGTTTCAAAAAAAAAAATTATTTAAAAAAAGTTATTTTATTTTTGTTTGTCCATATTCTCTAATTTTTCTACCCAGAAGATATGCCACTTATATTTCAAAATATCTAAATGATATTTTTAAACAAGGCAATCAAAATCAGCTTACAAAAGTTTGCATAGGATATCTCAATGTTCTATGTATCTAGTATATGCTTATAAGTATAGCTAAATAAGGGGAAGTGAATTCTGGGAGGATTTACATTAAGAAGTCAACAGTCATTATTTCTAGATGGTGCAAGTATTGGAAACTTGTCATTTGCTTCTCTTTTTTTTGTTTTGTTTTGTTTTTTGAGGCAGAGTCTTGCTCTGTCGCCCAGGCTGGAGTGCAGTGGCGCGATCTCGGCTCACTGCAAGCTCCGCCTCCCGGGTTCACGCCATTCTCCTGCCTCAGCCTCCCGAGTAGCTGGGACTACAGGCGCCCGCTACCACACCCAGCTAATTTTTTTGTATTTTTAGTAGAGACAGGGTTTCACCATGTTAGCCAGGATGGTCTCGATCTCCTGACCTCGTGATCCGACCACCTCAGCCTCCCAAAGTGCTGGGATTACAGGCGTGACCACTGCACCTGACCTCTTTTTTTTTTTTTTTTTTTTTTTTGAGATGAAGTTTTGTTCTTGTTACCCAGGCTGGAGTGCAATGGTGTCATCTTGGCTCACAGCAACCTCTGCCTCCCAGGTTCAAGCAATTCTCCTGCCTCAGTCTCCCGAGTAGCTGGGACGTGCCACCACACCCAGCTAAATATATATATATTTATATTTAGTAGAGACAGGGTTTCTCCATGTTGGTCAGGCTGGTCTCGAACTCCCGACCTCAGGTGATCCGCCCACCTCAGCCTCCCAAAGTGCTGGGATTACAGATGTTATATGCTTCTTATATAGCAATATCCATTGTTTTCATCAATTCATTTCCTTCTCTTTCTTTTGGAACAGAATCACCACTCCCTGTGGAGGACCTATTTAAGTGGACCATTCCTTGATTTCATCTCCCCTGGCCATTGACTCACTGATCTGGCCAATCAGAGCACCTCATCCCCAACCACAGGGATTGGTTCAAGGATGCACAGGTGGTACATCCCCAACCACAGGGACTGGTTCAAGGATGCACACGTGGTACATCTTCAGCCAATCAAGTCCCTCCCTGAGACTTTCCTATCTGAGCACTGGGAAGAGCCTCTTCCTTTCTAGTAGCATTGTTCAGTTGGTGGAGATTAATCTGGAATTGATAATGTCTACCTTTTCCACCATCTGGAGAAGGCCTATTCATGAAATAGAGACAGAGCAAGCAAGATGGCATTCCGCTAATAACGTTTGAGCCCTGGATACAGCCATGCCTGATCCACCTCTGTGACAGCCTTGTTCTGTGGGCCAATATATTCTCTTGAATCATCTAAACCAGTTTGCAATTGATTTCTGACACTTTCAGCTGAATGAGTTCTGACTTTTTATATTTTTTCTGTTAGCTTGACTATATTCATCGCTCATGACTTCTGACTTTTACACTTTCATTTTGTTCCCATCTATTTTCCATATTTTCCACAATGAGCTTGTATCACACGTAGAATATGTCTCAGACTCTCTTTTTTTAAGCAATAAAAGAAATGGCAGATTAGCATTTGTCTGCAGAGGGCTGGCTCACAGACACTTTTCACCTAAGGCGTAGGTTGGGCCTGCCTAATCTGGGGGACACCATGGGTTGCCTCTGGCTCCTCTGAGGTCCCCAGGCCTGACTCACTGCTTCCAAACTAAAGACTTTACTCTCCCAAATCAAGAGCACTGCCAAAGACACCTTTGCTGGTTTCCCCCCCTCACACCCCTTGGTCCCTGCTTTAAAGTGGTAATTAGCATAGAGCTGGGTGTCTTTTTCCCTGTGGGAGAAACATTCCTTAACAGTGTGAAGTGGAACGGAGTGTGGGTGGCCTTAACAAGGAGCTAAGGAAGCTTATGTAAGTGGCATTATTATATATGATTATATCACCGGTATAAGAGAAAC
This sequence comes from Homo sapiens, assembly GCF_000001405.40. Taxonomy (NCBI): domain Eukaryota; kingdom Metazoa; phylum Chordata; class Mammalia; order Primates; family Hominidae; genus Homo; species Homo sapiens. The sequence continues at coordinate 2,285,506 of NT_187607.1, read as the reverse complement.
TCATTCCTGTCTGGGTGTTATACCGATCATATTGTTTTAGGCTTAAGTGGAATGAAATGATGAGGAAAAACCATGAGAGCCTCCAGCAACCCAAGGTTGTTCTTGCTCCTTCTCTCAACCCCAGAATAACATCAACACTTACTCAGCCTTACTATGTTCCAGACACTGTCCTAAACTCCTTCTGTATATTAAATCCTCATTGAAATTTCATGAGGGGAGAATCATTATTATCCCCATTTTACAGATGGAAAAACTGAGTTACCAGGAAATTTCATAATTTGCCCGAGATTTCATAATTTGCCCAATATCTCATGGCTGGCAAGTGGGAGAGCCAAGATCCCAACCCATGCCATCCAATCCCGATGTCCACATTCAAAACCTCTCAGAAAAGACAACACTGAAGCTGTGCACAAAACCAGAAATCAACCAGCCAGGTCTCTCCATGTCGTCAAATACACAACAAATTTATTAATGGGTTTGGGGGGGTGGGAAAATCAACCTCACTGGGGTTTTTGGGGTGGTTTTGGGTTGGGTTTTTTTTTTTTTTTTTTTTTTTGAGACGGAGTGCTAGGATTACAGGCATGAGCCACCACGCCCAGCTATTTTTCAAACCATTTTAGATGTTTCATGTGCTTTCTAGTTTACCATAGTCCCTCCCACTCTCTAATGTCTTACACTTGGCCCACATCACTCATTTACAGGGAATCTGACTGAATTAGCAGCCTCTGATGCAGGGAATGGTTGATAACAAAAGGAGAAGAAAACTTTCTTGTTGGCTTCGAAAGAATAACTGGGTAATCATAATAGTTAAAATATGTTGAGTATTTATGCCAGATCTTGTACCAAGTGTTTTACACACCTTGTCTCATTTGATTGTAGTAACAATCCCATGAGAGGTTAAGTGATGCGTGGCCACAAGAATGCACCTGCCACTGACCTCCAGCTATGGGGAGCATAAGAGAGCAAGGGCCCAGCTAGATTTAAAATCCATCTCACCCATCAATAGTGTATGGCAGCACAGAAACTAAGGCAGCTCATTCCTAGAAAACACAGGGGCCCTTGACAACTGACTTTGGAAACCCCAATTTTCTTTAGACCGCACAGCACGGACAGTTCCACCAACATTCTCTCTTCTCCTCCCTTGGAGTCAGGCTTCATCACTGTCTAACTCCTTTCACACAAGGGTTTCCCCTAACAAAACCCTTGCATGTTAGGCCAGGTGCGGTGGCTCACGCCTGTAATCCCAGCACTTTGGGAGGCCAAGGCGGGTGAATCATGAGGTCAGGAGATCGAGACCATCCTGGCTAACACGGTGAAACCCCGTCTCTACTAAAAATACAAAAAAATTAGCCGGGCATGGTGGCAGGCGCCTGTAGTCCCAGCTACTCAGGAGGCTGAGGCAGGAGAATGGCGTGAACCCGGGAGGTGGAGCTTGCAGTGAGCTGAGATCGTGCCACTGCACTCCAGCCTGGGCGACAGAGTGAGACTCCGTCTCAAAAAAAAAAAATCCTTGCATGTTGAGTCTCAAAGCAAGCTCTGCTTCTCGGAGGACCCAGACTGACACAAGGAGATTTCCTAAGGCCTCACACCAAGCAAGGATAGAACCAGGATTGGAACTGAGGCCACGAGCCAGAACTCTGAACCACTACCTCAAAATTTTCTTGTCCATGGATTCTTATTTTCTCAAACTTCTTGGTCCAGAACACCAGAACAGCTGGAGATTTCCATCTGGATCCAAGAGTGAACCAAAGGCAAAAGGGACAGTTTTTTGTTTTTGTTGTTTTGGCTGGGTTAATAGCTTTATAACTTTTTTTTTTTTAGACAGTGAGTCTCCCTCTGTCACCCAGGCTGGAGTGCAGTGGTACTATCTTGGCTTGCTGCAACTTCCACCTCCCTGGTTCAAGTGATCCTCCTCCCTCAGCCTCCCAAGTAGCTGGGATTACAGGCACATGCCACCACACCTGGCTAATTTTTGTATTTTTAGTAGAAACGGGGCTTCACCATGTTGACCAGGCTGGTCTCCAACTCCTGACCTCAGGTGATCCGCCCACCTCGGCCTCCCAAAGTGCTGGCATTACAAATGTGAGCCACCACGCCCAGCCTGATAGCCTTGACACCTCAAAATATCTAGCAAAGACAAAAACATAAAACCCAGATAAAAATGTATGTTGCCAATTCTGAAGACATTTCTATTTGTATTTACCAATAATTTTAAAGCTAGCTAGTTTCGTAAAGATTTACTTAAGTCACGTGAACTTGAAAATTGCTTGGACTTATTAAGTTATGGGCACTCTCTTACTTATAAGCCAATGTGGTAGGCACAACATATAACAGTAAGTCTACATACAAATAAACACATTTAGACATGTATACACGCACACAAATGAAGATCCAAATGGCTTTTACCTTGGAACTCTAGCCATGAGATAGCAATACAAGCTCGCCGGTTTTACATGGTTACACTCTGTTTGCCCCAGTAGGTAATCCAGTGAAGGCTGTGAACCAAAATTTTGGGGTAAAGCAGTTTCCATGCCAGTTTGATTTTTAAATTCCAAAGAACACCGGGGCCAAACAGCACCAAAAGAGAGCACCACATGCTAACCAGGCCTGACCCTGCTTAGAACAGCAGCACAAAAGCTTGGATACATACAACACCATCCCACTTTCCCATTCAACAACAAACTCCAGATTCCAAGCAATATTGGGGACAAACTATTGCAAAAGAATATCAAGCATTTCCTCCTTAGATTATTGGGGTCAAATTGATACCAGTGGTTGAGGATGCAGCCAAGCGGGGGATCAGGTAGCATAGATGGAGTCTTTCCCGTTATTGTCCCCTGGCTGGAACGCCAAAATATGTTACCAGTGGAGGGTGTCCAGGTTCTTGGCAGTTTGAACAAAGACTCAGACAAAACATACAAAGCAATGAAAGAGTAAATCAATGAAAGCACAGATTTGCCGGATGCAGTGGCTCACGTCTGTAATTCTAGCACTTTGGGAGGCTGAGGCAGGTGGATCACGAGGTCAGGAGATCAAGACCATCCTGGCTAACACGGTGAAACCCCGTCTCTACTAAAATACAAAAAATTAGCCGGGCATGGTGGTGAGCGCCTGTAGTCCCAACTACTCGGGAGGCTGAGGCAGGAGAATGGCATGAACCCTGGAGGTGGAGCTTGCAGTGAGCCGAGATCGCGCCACTGCACTCCAGCCTGGGCAACAGAGCGAGACTCCATCTCAAAAAACAAACAAACAAAAAGAAAGCACAGAGTTATTGAAGCAAAAGTACACTCCACAGAGTGGGAATGGGCTCAAGTAAGCAGCTCAAGAGCCAAGAGGGAGAGTTTTGAACCCCCAAAGCCAGGCACAATATTCATTCCTAGATCCTAGTAGGCTCCACAGCAATCAGGAAAGTGCATCGGCTGCCCAGAGCACAAGAAGGAAACACAGGTAACTGACAAGTGGACATATGTCTATGATTCTCCTTTCCTATAGTCCTGCAGAAAAGTCAGCCCCTCCCCCAGGACTGGGGCAACACAAGGCCATGAACAATAAGAGAGAGCACTTGACTAGGAGTCTGGTGATGCACCCAGCCTGCCCCACAAAGATGAAGCAGATAGCAGGGTGAAGAGCTTTGTAGTCCATGAAGTATTTTCATGTCCACTATCACACTATTGGATTCTTTTGTCCACTATCACACTATTGGATTCTTTTTTTTTTTTTTTTCTGAGATGGAGTCTTGCTCTGTCGCCCAGGCTGGAATGCAGTGGCCTGATCTCGGCTCACTGAAACCTCTGCCTCCCGGGTTCAAGCAATTCTCCTGCCTCAGCCTCCCAAGTAGCTGGGATTACAGGCATGTGCCACCACACTCAACTAATTTTTGTATTTTTAGCAGAGACGGGGTTTCTCCATATTGGCCAGGCTGGTCTTGAACTCGTGACTTCAAGTGATCCACCTGTCTCGGCCTCTCAAAGTGCTGGGATTACAGGCATGAGCCACTGCGCCCAGCCTGCTCTACACTTTGAGGCCTGCTTTCTGTTAGCTAAAATACAGAAAAGTCTTAGAAACATACTAGTATCAAATTGAGCTATTCTCCTTGGTGTAAGCAGATTAAAAGGGAACTGAAATGAGATTGATAGTTTCACTTCAAAATGCATCCCAGACCAGAGCTCTTCCTAACCTCAGCAGGGGTACCACCTTACTGCAAGTCCCCATTATCTCTCTCCTAGCTTTTAGCTACTCAAAATGTGGTCCAGGACCAGCAGCACTGGCATCACCTGGGAGCTAGTCAGAGATGCAGACTCCAGACGTAGACTCCAGGGGCAGGAGGCTGAGTTTTAACAACCCCTGCATGAAATGCTCATGCATGGTTAAAATTGAGAACCACTGCCCTAGATTACAACAACCTTCTAAGGGGTCTACATGATTCTATTCTGCCCACTACCCTGCATCCACCAACATGCCTTAGAGGTAGGAGGCAGGACTCAACTCCAGAGGTGGGGCTCAGACACCAGACCAAATTGAAGACTAGCTATAAAACAGGGCCCCTCTCCCTCCCCCTCCCCCTGCCCTCCCCCTCCCCCTCCCCCTCCCGTCTCCCTCTCCCGTCTCCGTCTCCCACTTTCCACGGTCTCCCTCTGATGCCAAGCCAAGGCTGGACTGTACTGCCACCATCTCGGCTCACTGCAACCTCCCTGCCTGATTCTCCTGCCTCAGCCTGCTGAGTGCCTGGGATTGCAGGCGCACACTGCCACACCTGACTGGTTTTTGTATTTTTTGGTGGAGACGGGGTTTCGCCATGTTGGCCAGGCTGGTCTCCAGCTCCTGACCGCGAGTGATCTGCCCGCCTGGGCCTCCCAAGGTGCTGGCACTGCAGATGGAGTCTCGCTCACTCAGTGCTCAGTGTTGCCCAGGCTGGAGTGCAGTGGCGTGATCTCGGCTCACTACAACCTCCACCTCCCAGCCGCCTGCCTTGGCCTCCCAAAGTGCCGAGATTGCAGCCTCTGCCCAGCCGCCACCCCGTCTGGAAAGTGAAGAGTGTCTCTGCCTGGCCACCCATCGTCTGGGATGTGAGGAGCCCCTCTGCCCGGCCGCCCAGTCTGGGAAGTGAGGAGCGCCTCTTCCCGGCCGCCGTCCTGTCTAGGAAGTGAGGAGCGTCTCTGCCCGGCCACCCATCATCTGAGATGGGGGGAGTGCCTCTGCCCCGCTGCCCCATCTGGGATGTGAGGAGCGCTTCTGCCCAGCCGCGACCCCGTCTGGGATCTGAGGAGTGTCTCTGCCTGACTGCCACCCCGTCTGGGAGGTGAGGAGTGTCTCTGCCCGGCCGCCCCGTCTGGGAAGTGAGGAGCGTCTCCGCCTGGCAGCCGCCCCGTCCAGGAGGTGGGGGGCAGCCCCCGCTCGGCCAGCCGCCCTGTCCGGGAGGGAGGTGGGGGCAGCCCCCGCCCGGCCAGCTGCCCCATCCGGGAGGTGGGGGGCGCCTCTGCCCCCCGCCCCGTCTGGGAAGTGAGGAGCCCCTCTGCCCGGCCGCCACCCCATCTGGGAGGTGTACCCAGCAGCTCATTGGGAACGGGCCATGGTGACGACGGCGGTTTTGTCAAGTAGAAAAGGGAGAAATGTGGGGAAAAGAAAGAGAGATCAGATTGTTGCTGTGTCTGTGTAGAAAGAAGTAGACATAGGAGACTCCACTTCGTTCTGTACTAAGAAAAATTCTTCTGCCTTGGGACGCTGTTAATCTGTAACCTTATCCCCAACCCCGTGCTCTCTGAAACATGTGCTGTGTCCACTCAGGGTTAAATGGATTAAGGGCGGTGCAAGATGTGCTTTGTTAAACAGATGCTTGAAGGCAGCATGCTCCTTAAGAGTCATCACCACTCCCTAATCTCAAGTACCCAGGGACACAAACACTGCAGAAAGCCACAGGGCCCTCTGCCTAGGAAAACCAGAGACCCTTGTTCACATGTTTATCTGCTGACCTTCCCTCCACTATTGTCCTATGACCCTGCCAAATCCCCCTCTGCGAGAAACACCCAAGAATGATCAATAAATACCAAAAAAAAAAAAAAAAAAAAAAAAAAAAAAAAAAAAAAAAAAAAAAAACAGGGCCAAAGTGGAAGCAGCTTTCCAACAGACACTCTCACCAGCGTGGCATGTCAGTTTACCATTGCCATGGCAACACCCAGGAGTTACTGCCCCTTTCCATGGCAATGACCCAACAACCCGGAAGTTACCAACTTTTTTCTAGAAATGTCTGCATAAATCCCCCCTTAATTTGCATATCATTAAAAGTGGGTATAAATATGACTGCAGAACTGCCTCTGAGCTGCTACTCTGGGCACACTGCCTATGGGGTAGCCCTGCTCTGTGAGGAGCAGTCCCTCTGCTGCTGCTGTGCACTGCTGCTTCAATAAAAGTGTCTAGGCCAGGCATGGTGGCTCACATCTGTAATCCCAGCACTTTGGGAGGGGGTGGATCACCTAAGGTCAGGAGTTCAAAACCAACCTGGCCAACATGGTGAAACCCTGTCTTTACTAAAAATACAAAAAAATATTAGCCAGACATGGTGGTGGGTGCCTGTAATCCCAGCTACTCTGGAGGCTGAGGCAGGACAATCACTTGAACCCAGGAGGCAGAGGTTGGAATGAGCAGAGATCTTGCCATTGCACTCCAGCACAGGTGACAAGAGTGAAAACTGTCTCAAAAAAATAAAAGTGTCCACCACCACCGCTCACCCTGGAATTCTTTCCTGGGTGAAGCCAAGAACCCTCCCAAGCTAAGCCCCAACTTTGGGGCTTACTTGTCCTGCATCACCTTCTCCACACAGCAGCCAGAGTCGTCTTTCTAAAAGCATAAATTTTACCATGTTGCTTCCCTGCTTAACCTCCATAGGCTTTCACTGGATTTAAAATAAAATCCAAACTTCTTCCTTTCCCTGCAAGAGTCAAGAGTTTCCCTCTCTGAAATCTATATCTTACCACCATCCTCCTTCATGCTATGCCCCAGACACTCCAGCCTTGTGCAAGTCCCTCACATTGCCCCAGGAACACTCCTTCCTCCGGGCCTTTGCAGGTATTGTTCTGTCAGCCTGGAAACCTACTCAGCCAGCACTCCCATCATTCACTCCCTCATTGCATTGAGTCCCTAACCAAATCCTACCTCCTCAGAGGACAAGACCCTGACCACTCCCATCACAAGGATGACCCTCTTAGTGTGACTAGCTCATCCCAGTTTGTCCAGGGCTGCCCCAGCCTTAAAACTGAATGTCCCCAGCAAACTGGTGGTTGTCCACCCTGCAGTCCCCTCCACTCTCTGTGACATTGCCCTACTTTGTCCCCCATCATGTAGCATCTTCATATCTGTTCTTATTTGCTCTCCTGCTCCCTCACTAGAATCAGAACCCCATGAAGGGCAAGGAGTTCAAGATGTTCTGTTCACTGCTGTATTCCTGGCACCTAGAACAGTGCCTGGCACATAACTGGCACCTAATTCATATGATTGACAAAAATATCAAAAGAATGAGCACCGTGGCCTATTTAACCTATTGCTCACAGTTTAGTTGTTTCTCCTGTTTGGCAGCAATGCATAAGGCTCTCTCCAGATTTAAAATTATTTCCTTGGGCTAGATTGCCAAAAATTGACTTATTGGGCCAATGAGGATGCCCATGTTTAAGGTTTTGCTACCCAGTGTCAAACTGTTTCCCAAAATAATCAGATTTCCAATTCCCACTGCCAGGGTTCTTGCACCTATTTCATTCCACCAAGGCCAAAGCCAGGATTCTCATTTTCAGAATCTTTATGAGGTGAAAATATAACGGTTTGTTGTTTTAATTTGCATTTCTTTGATTACTAGTTAGGCTGACTTTTCCCATGTGCTTAGCTAATTGCATTTTCTCTTTAGTGAGTTGACGGTTCGCACCCCTTTGCTTGTTTTTCTACCCAGATTCAGGGACTTGTCTTAGTGATTTGTTTGAATTCTTTGAAACATAATTATGTTAGCCCTTTCCCTTCACACATTGAAGACTTCATTCTATGAATTTTCTGGTCTCTTGTCAATTGTGTCCCTTCCATATTTCCTTACACCTTTTTACATGTTTACACCTCATTTTGCACTTCTCTTTTCACTTATCTCTTTTAGTTTTTTTTGGGTTTTTTTGGGTTTTTTTTAGAAACACAAGGTCTTGTTCTGTCACCCAAGCTGGAGTGGCACCATCAAAGCTCACTGCAGCCTCAAACTTCAAACTGCTGGGCATAAGCAATCCTCCCACCTCAGCCTCCCAAATAGCTGGAACTGCAGGTGTGCGCCACCACATCAGGCTAATTTTTTGTTTTTATTTTTGCAGAAACAGGGTCTCCCTATGTTGCCCATGGTGGTCTCAAACTCCTGGCCTCAAGTGATCCACCCGCCTCAGCCTCAAAAAGTGCTGGGATTACAAGCATGAGCCACTGTGCCTGGCCCAGATTTTCTTTCATAGTCAGTTATTGAACAGGTGCTTAGAGAAACTGTCTTATGGTTTTCCGTCTCATTCAGAGGAAGACATTTTTCTCACAATCATCTATAAGGCCTTTCATGACCTCTCCCTTACCCCCACCCATAGGACCTCTTTGACCTCAGTTCCTGTCTTTCTGCCCCTGGATCTCCCTGCTGTGACCTTTCTGGCCTCCCCGCTGGTCCTCAAACACAGACACTCATTGTACTCTCTCCTCAGAGCCTTTGCACTAACATTTCCTCTCCCTGGAAGGTTCTCTCCCCAGGTGTCTATCCGTCACTTCCTTCAGGTCCCTACTCAAAAGTCACATCAATAAGTTCTTCTGGGAAGGCGTGGTGGCTTGTGCCTGTAATCCCAACACTTTGGGATGCTGAGGCGGGAGTATCACTTGGGCCTAGGAGGTTGAGACCAGCCTGAGCAACATAGCAAGACCCTGTCTCTACAAAAAAAGAAAATAGCCGGGTGTGATGGCACACACCTGTAGTCCCAGCTACTCAGGAGGCTGAAGTGGGAAGTTCACTTGAGCCCACAGTTCAAGGATGCAGTGAGCTATGATTGTACCACTGCCCTCCAGCCTGGGTGACAGAGTGAGACCCTGTCTCTAAAAACAAATAAATAAATAAGCTATTTCCTGGCCACCTTATCTAAAATCTCTGTTCCTGTGGTAGACAGAATAATTCACAACTACCCCCTCCCCAAATATGTCCACATGCTGATACCCAGAACCTGTGAATGTTACTTTACATGGTAAAAAGGAGGTTGCAGATGTGATTAAAGTAAGGATTTTGAGATGAGGAGATTATCCTAGATTATCTGTATGGCTCAATCTAATTGCAAAGGCTCTTATAAAAGGGAAGCAAGAGGGTCAGAGACTGAGGAGTGATGTAGATCAGAATGACGTAGGGCCATGATCCAAGGAATGCAGGAAGCCTCTAGAAACCAGAAAAGGCAAGGAAATGGTTTCTCCCCTAGAGCTTCCCGAAGAAATACAGCCCTGCTGATCCATTTTAGAGTTCTGACCTCCAGAACTATAAGATAACACATATGGGTTGTTTAAAGCCCCTAGATTCATGCTGTAATTTGTTATAGCAGAAAAAACTAGGAAACCAATATCCCTAACATCCCCTCATCCTCCTTCTCTGCTTTGTTTATCCTTAGCTTTCACAGCTCTCTAAGTTCCTATAATATTATCTATTTCTTTTTTACTTTTTCCTACCGCAGTAGAATCTCAGCTCCACGAGGGCAGGGGCTTTTGTCTGTTTTGTTCACTGTTATATCTCCAGTACCTTGGACAGTGCTTGGCACACTTAGGTGCTCACTGTGCTGAGTGAATGGATAAAGGCAGGAGAATGAAGGAACCTTTTGCTTTCTTTTTATTTCGAGATGGAGTCTTGATCTGTCACCCAGGCTGGAGTGCAGTGGCGTAATCTCAGCTCACTACAACCTCCACCTCTTGGGTTCAAGCGATTCTCCTGCCTCAGCCTCCGGAGTAGCTGGGATTACAGGTGCCTGCCACTACGTTCCACTAATTTGTTAATTAGTGGGGTGTGGTGGTGCATGCCTGTAGTCCCAGCTACTCAGGAGGCCGAGGCAGGAGGGCCACTTGAGCCCACGAGGTTGAGGCTGTGGTGAACTATGATTGTGCCACTGTACTCCAGCCTGGGCAAGAGAGTAAGAGCCTGTCTTTAAAAAAGGAGAGAACTAGCTGGGCGCAGTGGCTCATGCCTGTTACCCCAGCACTTTGGGAGGCTGAAGTGGGAAGATCACCTGAGGTCAGGAGTTCGAGACTAGCCTGGCCAACATGGTGAAACCCCGTCTCTACTAAAAATACAAAAATTAGCTGAGCATGGTGGCGGGTGCCTGTAATCCCAGCTACTCGGGAGGCTGAGGCAGGAGAATCCCTTGAACCTGGGAAGCAAAGATTGCAGTGAGCCGAGATTGGGCAATTGCACTCCAGCCTGGGCGACAAGAGCTAGACTCCCCATCTCAAAAAATAAATAAATAAATAAAAATAAAAAATAAAAAAGGAGAGAACTGAACTGACATTGTTGAATACCTATTGTGTGCCAACACTACACTTCAGATATTCAATCTCACTGGAACTTCGCAACTAGTCTGCAAGATGGGCATTATCGACACCCACTGCTCCACTGCCCTGAACTGCCCTTCCCTGATTAGGGAAGCCAGTTTCCCTACTGGGAGTGGGAAATGTCTAACAGAAACCCTTTGGGAAAACCCCACCATGCATTTCAGTTACCTTCAAAGACATCCACCTGGGAGGCTGTCTGCTGGCTCTTCCTGCTCATTTTTCTTCTCCCTGACCTCCTTCTTTCCCTCCCACTCTCTCCTCCTCTCCTTTGCCCTCTCTTTCCCCCTTCTCATCCTTTTCCAGGAAATCCTGGAGCCACTTCGCCAGTCTGTTCAGATCCTGCCAAAGTCTTGTCTCAGAGATTTTTTAACACAGGAAAATCTGTGTTTTCCCCCACAGGAATGGGTGATGGCAGATGGCTGCACAGATCCACTCTGAAAAGGGGAGGGCCACCTCCCACAGGCCCCGCCACGTCTAGACTCCAGCTTCCTGAGACATGAATCAGAGGAACTCAGCAATGGAACTCCCAGAAAAATCCATCTGATAACTTCAGCTTTCAAGATGTTCTTGCAGAAGATGGGGACAGAGCTCTGGACTTACCCAAATACCGTGGTAGAAAGTCTAAAAGACTGGGTTCACAGGGCTAGGCATGGTGGCTCACAACTGTAATCCCAACATTTTGGGAGACAGAGGTGGGAGGATCACTTTGCCACAGGAGTTTGAGGCCAGCTAGGCAATATAGTGAGACCCCCATCTCTACAATAAAAATCTAAAAATTAGCCAGGCATGGTTGTGTGCACCTGTAGTCCCAGCTCCTCAGGAGGCTGAGGCAGGAGAATCGCTTGAGCCTAGGGTGTTGAGGCTGCAGTGAGCTATGATCACACCACTGCATCCCAGCCTGGGTGACAGAGCAAGACCCTGATATAGATAGATAGATAGATAGATAGATAGATAGGTAGATAGATAGATAGATAGATAGATAGATAGATAGATAGATAGGGAGACTGGGTTCACATCCTGACCCCAGCTCATAACTTCATGACTTCAGGCAAGTGGCTTAATTGCTCTGAGTCCAATTTCTTCATCTGTAAAATGAATGTAATGATTCTTTCTGGAAAGGTCACCACAAGGATTAATAAAAACATCACTAGCACCATGTCTTGCATACAGTAAATGCTCAATAAGTGGTAACAATAATCAGTGATCTGTCAACTCCTTGAGGTCAAAGACCGTGGCTGAGAATGTCTCATTCCCAGCCTGTATTAGTCAGGGTTCTCTAGAAGGACAGAACTAATAGGATATATGTGTATATGAAAGGGAGTGTATTAAGGAGAATTGACTCACACAATCACAAGGTAAAGTCCCACGATAGGCCGTCTGCAAGTTGAGGAGCAAGGAAGCCAGTAGTGGATCAGTCCAAGTCCCAACACCTCAAAAGTGGGGAAGCAGACGGTGCAGCCTTCCGTCTGTGGCCTAAGGTCCGAGAGCCCCTGGCAAACACTGGTGTAGGTCTAAGAGTCCAAAAACTGAAGACTTTGAGTCTTATGTTGGGCAGGAAGCATCCAGCATGGGAGAAAGATGAAGGCCAGAAGACTCAGCAAGTCAAGTCCTTCCATGTCCATCTTCCTGCTTTTATTCTGGCCATGCTGGTAGCTGATTAGATGGTATCCACCCAGATTGAGGGTGGGTCTGCCTTTCCCAGTCCATTGACTCAAATGTTCATCTCCTTTGGCAACACCCTCACAGACACCCAGGAACAATACTTTGCATCCTTCAATCCAATCAAGTTGACACTCGGTATTAACCATCACACAGTCCCATCCCCAGTGCTCAGAGTTTTGTAGATTCTGAATAAGTATTGGTAATATATACACATTCATCTTTTTCTTTAAATACATATAATGATGCTGAGCTCCCTCCAGACAAATGAGAACTGATGTGTTGCTTCTTAGGTGCCAGGACCGGGATGAGGGAGAGGCAAGTGAGACATTCTCCCCGGGAGCAAAATTTAAGGAGGCACCAAACACCCAGTCATCAAGATAAATAACACTTGGATGCAATATGTTTAAAAACGAAAAAGAATGAAAAAATTAATGCAAAATTAATGCAAAAATACCCATGATAAACAAATATCACAGTCTTCAGGAAATGATTGGTATTACTAACTTTTCCTTTGGCCCCTGGCACCAGAGTGCCAGGCATCATTGAAGTGCTTTTAAAATACAAACTCATTCTTTTTTCTTCTTCTTCTTTTAAGACAGGGTCTCACTACATCACCCAGGTTGGAGTGCAGTGGCTCACTGCAGCCTCAAACTCCTGGGCTAAGTGATCCTCCCACCTCGGCCTCCTGAGGAGCTGGGACTACAGGTGGATTCCACCATGCCCAGTTAAGTTTCTTTTTTTTTTTTTTTTTTTGAGATGGAGTCTCTCACTCTGTCACCCAGGCTACAGTGCAATGGCATGGTCTCGGCTCACTGCAACCTCTGCCTCCCAGGTTCAAGCGATTCTCCTGCCTCAGCCTCCTGAGTAGCTGGGACTACAGGCACGTGCCACCACACCCGGTTAATTTTTCGGCTAATTTTTGTATTTTTAGTAGAGACGGGTTTCACTATGTTGGCCTGGCTGGTCTCAAACTCCTGACCTTGTGATCCACCTTCCTCGGCCTCCCAAAGTGCTGGGATTACAGGCATGAGCCACTGCACCCACCCATTCAATCCTTATAACAAGGCTGCAATGTAGCCATTTTTTCAGATGAGGAAAGGGAGGCCCAGGGAAGTGAGATAACTTGCCCAAGGTCATTCAGCTTGTAAGTGGCAGAGCTTGGACTTGAACCCAGGCAGTCTTCATTCAGAGTCCAGGTTCCTAACCACTCTCCTGTGGCTGTGTGTGATATATCTCTGCCCAAAGGGTCCTGTGTCAGTACATCCTAGGCTCTGACCAAAGCTTTGGTGTTTGAGCAGTACCCTCGTCTTTCATTCAAATTGCAGACATGCAGGGGCCCCTGCCATGCTCCAGCCCCTGGGCTGGACTCTGCAGACAGAGAAATAGCTACAAAACAGCACCTGTTCTTAGACGCGCCAGTGTCTCACATGACAAGTGTAGGGCTCCTGTCGACTGCTCTCAGAGACCTGGACAAGTGGTCTGTGAGGCTAGAGGAGGACATGACTAATTCTGCTTTAGCCAGGAGGTCCCTTGAAATTCAGAGGAGCTTTCCGGCTTCCCCATTCTGTGACAACTGACGCACTTTTGAGAGATGAGTAAGAGGTTGTCAGCCAGAGAAGACAAAACAGTGCTGTCCCCATTTGACAAAGACGGAAACTCAGCTCCAAGGCACACCACTTAAGTGTGCCTCGAGTGACACTGTGACGACCTCTCCATGTTTACTTCCAGTTCATTGTGGGTGGCTAACTGGCCCTCAACTCTTCAATCAAGACCCTGAATGAACGGCACAAAATGATGCTTAAGAGCATTAAGTCAGAGAGCTATGAACCCAATCCACACTCAGCACTTTTTAAACTGGGTGACCTGAAGCAAGCCACATAGTCTCTCTGAGCCTGTTTCTTCATCAGTATAATAGGGACAGGGATGCTGACCCCACAATCGTTTTGGGGATTAAATAAAATAAAGTACTTAGCACAGTTCCAGAGAAATGGAAAGCACTCAATATGTGGTAGATACACATTTATCACAAATACACAAAAACCCATTAGTTTCAAAAATGGGTTGCAAGCCAGGCACGGTAGCTAAAGCCCCATCTCCTCAAGAGGCTGAAGAGAGAGGATCACTTGAGCCCAGAAGTTTGAGTCCAGCCTAGGCAACACGGCGAAACATAGTCTCAAACAAAAAAAAAAAAAAAAGGAAAAAAATGGGTTGCAATGTAACCTGTGCTTATACAACAGTCCAGCAACTCAGTCCCTTGATGAGAAAGTGAAATTGCCTGTTGGATGTAAGCAGCAGTAAGCTCGTTGAGAAATTCAAGCACAAATATGGCATTCACCTGAAAAGCTAGGGCAGCTAAGGTCGCACATTAGAATCACCTGTGCGCACTCCCAGGGAGTATGTTTTCATTGGACTGGAGGAGGCTCAACTGCATTGTTTTGTAAAGTTTTCCCAGGCGATTCCATAGGCAGCTAGGGGTGAGAGCGCCCCAGAGAATGGGAGGGAAGAAATTACTCTGGGGCAGAGGTTCTGACAGAGGGCAGGAGCCGGTAATGACCTGGTAACAGATTTATGGATGTCCACTTGAACTAATGCTCATCACAACACCTTCCTGTTTCATGCATTTCTTTTTCTTTTTTTTTTTTTTTTTTTTAATTTGAGACAGAATCTTGCTCTGTCGCCCAGGCTGGAGTGCAGTGGCGTGATCTCAGTTCACTATAACCTCTGCCTTCCAGGTTCAAGCAATTCTCCCTGCCTCAGCCTCCTGAGTAGCGGGGATTACAGGCGCCCACCACCATGCCCAGCTAACTTTTGTATTTTTTAGTAGAGACGGGGTTTCGCCATGTTGGCCAGGCTGGTCTCAAACTCCTGACCTTAGGTGATCTGCCCACCTTGTCCTCCCAAAGTGCTGGGATTACAGGCGTGAGCCACTGTGCCCAGCCTGTTTCATGCATTTTCTATGTGAATATTCTATATCATCATCTTAGGTTTTTACCGTGGGGAATTTGAAACATATACTAAGTAAACAGTATACTGTGTACTGTGTCTGCCTGGGTCGTGACACAGTTCCCCATACCATCAACTCACAGTCATTCGTGCTGTGTCCAAACGTCAAGACTTTGTCTAGCTCCACCAGTATTTTAAAACAAATGCGAGCATGAAATCATTTTATCTCTAAGTATTTTCATGTGTAACTCTAAAAGAAAAGGGTTTTTTTTTTTCTCTGAAACAGAGTTTCATTCTTGTTGCCCAGACTGGAGTGCAGTGGCAAGACCTCGGCTCACTGCAACCTCTGCCTCCCAGGTTCAAGCAATTCTCCTGCCTCAGCCTCCTGAGTAGCTGGGATTACAGGCACCTACTACCACGCCTAGCTAATTTTGTATTTTTAGTAGAGACGGGATTTCACCATGTTGGCCAGGCTGGGCTTGAACTCCTGACTTCAGGTGATCCACCCACATCAGCCTCCCAAAGTGCTGGGATTACAGGCATGAGCCATCGCGCATGGCCAAAAGGGCTCTTTTTTTTTTTTTTTGAAATAAAACCTCCCTATCACCTAGGAAATGAATAATTCCTTAATATCTGCAAATGTTCAAATCTCAAATTATCTCATAGATAACTTCTTAACTCTCTCAGGATTTAAATAAGGTCTGCATATTGGCATTTGGCTTCTTTGTCTTCTAAGTCTCATATGTATGTTCAATTTCAGTGCCTCTCACACATCAATATGCATATGAATTCCTGATGATCTGGTTAAAATGCAGATTCTAACTGAGTAGGTCTGGGGTGGGGCTGGAGTTCTGTATCTCTGACACATTCCCAGCAGATGATGCTGTGATGCTGGTGCATGGACCATACCCTAAACAGCATAATTCTACTTCATGATAAACGAAAATCTTTTTTTTTTTTTTTTTTTTTTTTTGAGATGGAGACTCACTCTGTTGCCCAGGCTGGAGTGCAATGGTGTGATCTCAGCTCACTGCAACCTCTGCCTCCCGGATTCAAATGATGATCGTGCCTCAGCCTTCTGAGTAGCTGGGATTACAGGCATACACCACCATGCCAAGCTAATTTTGTATTTTTAGTAGAGACAGGGGTTTCTCCATGTTGACCAGGATAGTCTGGAACTCCTGACCTCAAGTGATCTGCCAGCCTCGGCCTCCCAAAGTGCTGGGATTATAGGAGCAAGCCGCCATGCCTGGCCCACAATAAAAGAAAATCTTCTATTAAAAAAAGGAATGTTGACATCTTGTGGTGGTAGGGGGCCAGCTTGGTATAAAATCCTGGAAGGCAAGCTGCTGCTGGCTGGGAAGGGGCCTCGCCTTCCCCTGAATTGCAGTTGCTAATCACACCTGCTATGGGTATTTAAATGTAAAAGGCAACACCTGACCCTCCAGAATTGGTACCTGACACCCTGGCCACTCGAGAGTTTATCCCTGCAGGGTCTGGCCATCCCAAAACCAGAGGCCCCCTTGTCAAGATCCTCAGAACCTCTGGAAGTGCATTGATTTGTTCAGTTTCTGGCAGGCAGACAGAAACACAAGCTGCAGAAATAAGGCAGTTACCTTTTCTCACAGTTATAGGTTTAATTAAAAAGCCCCATGCTGCCAGATTCCAAGCACCCTCCACTGATCTGCGAGACCTATTGATTGCCTAGCTCTCCCTGCGAGACTTAGCAGAGAGAAGACTTTATCTTCCTTTAATCAGACCTGCTTCCTTCCAATCTGGCTCCAACAGGACTGCTGAGTTCTTGTGTAGAACGCTTCCATGGCCCCACCTTCATCCAGCCCCGAATACAGTGGGTAGAGCCAGCATCAGCTACAGAGAGCTGTGATCTGTGCTCGCAGTGTAGCCGGAGAGATGGCATCATCATCATCATCACCGTGGCCAGCACAAATGGAACATACACCACGTACCAGGTGCCGAGCTGATACTTCAAATACATTCTCTCGTCTTATGCATCAATATTGTTCATTTCTGTCTGTATTATTACCTAATTGCCCTATTTAATGTCACCTGCACCAGGCATTTGTTCCCTTTCATATCACCTGTACTATTTTCTTCATTGCCCTTAGTATTATCTGAAACCGTTATTTACTTATCTGCCTCATTATTCATTGTCTCTGCCCCCGAACTGTAAACTCCAGAGGGGCAAGGATTTTGCCCTTCTCATTCGGTCCAGCATCCTGGCACCGAAAATGGCCCTGAGCACATCAAAAGTTCTCTACAAATGTGTGTTGAATTTGATTTGTCACATTTACTCTTCCCAGCACCCTAGGAGCTCACTGTCTTACATGCATTTTACAGTTGAGGAAACTGAGACTCAGGAAAGAAAAGGAATTTACCCAAATGCACCCACACAGGAAGCTATAGAGCAGAGATTGAAACCCATGTCTAGCCTGGGATGGTGGTTTATGCCTGTAATCCCAGCATTTTGGGAGTCTGAGGCAGAAAGATCACCTGAGCTCAGGAGCTCAAGACCAGCCTGGACAACACAGTGAGACTTCGTCTCTACAAAATAAAAATTTTTAAAAAGCCACAAAAAAGCAGGGCACAATGGCTCACACCTGTAATCCTAGCAGTTTGGGAGGCCAAGGAGGGGAGGGGGCATATCACCTGAGGTCAGGAGTTCGAGACCAGCCTGACCAACATGGTGAAACCCTGTCTCTACTAAAAATGCACAAATTAGCTGAGCGTGGTAGCACATGCTGTAATCCCAGCTACTCAGGAGGCTGAAGCAGGAGAATCGCCTGAACTCGGGAGGTGGAGGTTACGGTGAACCGAGATCGTGCCACTGCACTCCAGCCTGAACGACGAGCAAGACTCCGTCAAAAAAAAAAAAAAAAACTCACAAAAAAGAAAGAAACTCAAGTCTATATAACTCTAGCAAGGGCCAGTAACCTGCAATCAATGAACTCAATGAACTCGGAAGAAAAAATAGACCTCTTAATTTTACTAACATCAAACTGCAATGTAGCAATTCTTTCCATTATGAGTGTAGGCAGCAAACTGCCGTCGTGTCAACAGAACCTGTAACTTTGTCACCAACAGGAATCACAGATATTTTCATGTCCTGTTACATTTGTTGCAAAGATGTTGGAATATCATTTACACTCATCACTGCTTTAAACTGCAATCGTAATAATGTTGCCAACCCACCATCAGATCGCCTTATTTGGTGTGTTAATAAAGAGGCATGGGTATTGCTATATCACAGTTTGGCTTTGTAATATTTTTGTAATAATTTTGTAATATTTATATCAGCTGTATTTCCATATAATCAGTTGTCTTCACAAGCCTTTGGATTTCATATTTAGAAACATTGCTCAGAGGCTGGGAGCAGTGGCTCACACCTGTAATCCCAGTGCTCTGGGAGGCCAAGGCAGGCAGATCACTTGAGGCCAGGAGTTCAAGACCAGCCTGGCCAACATGGTGAAACCCTATCTCTACTGAAAAACACAAAAATTAGCTGGGCGTGGTGGTGCATGCCTATAGTCCCAGCTACTTGGGAGACTGAGGCAGGAGAAGCACTTGAACCTGGGAGGCGGAGGTCAGTGAGCTGAGATGAAGCCACTGCACTCCAGCCTAGGTGACAGAGGGACACAGGGACACTCCGTCTCTAAAAAAAAAAAAAAAAAAAAAAGGCCGGGCGAGGTGGCTCACGCCTGTAATCCCAGCACTTTGGGAGGCCAAGGCGGGTGGATCACCTGAGGTCAGCTGTCTGAGACCAGCCTGGCCAGCATGGTGAAACCCCATCACTACTAAAAATACAAAAATTAGCCGGGCGTGGTGGCAGGCACCTGTAATCCCAGCTACTCAGGAGACTAAGGCAGGATAATCACTCGAACCCAGGATGTAGAGGTTGCAGTGAGCCAAGATCATGCCACTGCACTCCAGCCTCAGTGACAGAGCGAGACTCTGTCTCAAACAAAAAATGAAAGAAAAGAAAAGAAAGAAAAGAGAAGAAAAAGAAACATTGCTCTGAGAAGGGTAATAGGCTTCCCCAGATACCAACAGGGCCCACAGTGCAGAAACTATTCAGGACTGGGCTCTAACGCCCATGCTCAGACCACAGGCTGCAAGTAACGTGTGGCTCAGACAGAAGAGAAACATGAAAATGACCGCAGGTGAGTTTCCAGCTCTCCTCCCTCCAAGGGCAGGGATGCTGAGGCTCAGTGTGGGGATGTGACCTGGGAGGACACATAGCAAGGTAGAACCTGGGTCTGAACTGGACTCCGAATTGTCCCATTAGCAGCCTGGCACCTTTTCAGCTGCACCAAGCTGCCACCTAAGGACACAAAGCATTCCAAGCTCAGACGTTTGTGGGCTGTAGCCCATGGTGATGAGCCACTTGGAGGCAGTTTGTGCAGTGGAGAACGCTCTGGTTCACTGACCTGCAGTGACTGGTAGTCACTTGTTCACACAAAACAGTCATTATTCGCTCACACACTGCCAGCAGGATGTAGATCAGTTCAGTCACCTTGAAAGGCAATTGGGCAGAGCCTGGTAAAACACGGGGTTGGGTTCTTCTTTTGGCCCAGTCATTGCAACACCAACATCCCCAATGTACACCCCAGAACAGCAGGTCTCAACCCTGAATGCACATTTAGAAGCACCCTGGAGCTTCTAAAACTGCCGATGCCTACCCTGAACCATTCAATTAAGAATTTGGGGAAAGGCAGAGAGTTGGTGTGATTGTTAAAAAAAAAACGTTCAGGTGATTCTGTCTGCAGCCAAGTTGAGAACTACTGGCCTCAGGAAACACTTCACGGTAGTACACAGAGGCCTACGCGGTGCACGCACTGAAGTGCTATTTTCAATAGCAAGGCAGTAGACACAACACAAATGCCCATCAACACAGAAATAGCTTGAGAAAACAAAAGGCAATTAATAACATAGTGAGATGCTATGCAGAAGGCAGGAGGAATTAACTAGCTCTCTATGTATCAGCGAGGATTGGTCTCAGAAACACAGTGTTGAGTGAAAAAAATTCAAGTTGCAAACTATACACATAGCGTGCTATATCTTGAGGTTTTCAGAACAAAACTAAAGATGCATACAAATGGATGCAGAAGTATTTGAAGGTCCTTAAGGATACACGATGTTCATAAAAACAAGGGCTGGCCGAGCGTGATGGCTCACGCCTGTAATCCCAGCACTTTGGGAGGCCAAGGCAGAAGGATCACTTGAGGCCAGGAGTTCAAAACCAGCCTGACCATCATGGTGAAACCCTGTCTCTACTAAAAATACAAAAAATTTAGCCAGTCATGGTGGCACATGCCTGTAATCCCAGCTACTCAGGAGGCTGAGGCAGGAGAATCGCTTGAACCCAGGAGGCGGAGGTTGCAGTAAGTTGGTATCATGCCACTGCACTTCAGCCTGGGAGACAGAGCAAGACTCTGTCTCAAAAAAATAAAATAAAATAAAATAAAAAAGCGACAAGGTGCAGGAACTTGGTGTGATCACTAAAAGGACTTGAGTTTTCCTTTTTTTTTTTTTTTTTTTTTTTTGAGATAGGATCTCACTCTATTGCCCAGGTTGGAGTGCAGTGGTGCAATCATGGCTCACTGCAGCCTCGAACTCCTGGGCTCCAGCCATCCTCCCACCTCAGCCTCCCAAGTAGCTGGGACTAGAGGCATGCCCCACTAAACCTGGCCCAGTTTTGCATTTTTTTAAAAAGGCAAAATACGTATATTTTTTACAGAAGGAATTAAAATTGATTCTAAACATTAGTATTTTTAAAAATATCCCAGCGCTTTCTATGTATTATTGTACTAGGCTCAGGAGAAATGAACTGGAATGGAAGACTTCAAGAGAGATACAGTCCAGAGGAGGATAAAGACAATGCTACCAGAATACAGCATTTTAGCTGGTGATGAGAAAGAGCTGCGGAAGATCTAAGAAGCAGCTCCTAGGCCAGGTGCGGTGGCTCATGCCTGTAATCCCAGCACTTTGGGAGGCCGAGGTGGGCAGATCACTTGAGCCCAGGAGTTTGAGACCAGACTGTGCAACGTGGCAAAACCTCCATCTCTGCAAAAAATACAAAAAATTAGCTGGGCACAGTGGCATGCACTCACTGCACACAGTGGTATCCAGCTCCTCAGGAGGCTAGGGTGGGAGGATCACTTGAGCCCAGGAGGTTGAGGCTGCAGTGAGCCACGATCACACTACTGCACTCCAGCCTGGGTGACAGAATGAGACCCTGTCTCAAAAAGAAAGAGAGAGAGAGGGGAAAGAAGGAGGAGGAGGAGGAAGGGAGGCAGGGGAGGGGAGGGAGGGAGGGAGAGAGAGAGAGGGAGAGGAGAGAGAAAGAAAGAGGATGGATGGAAGGAAGGAAGGAAGAAAGGGAGGGAGGGAGGGGAAGAAAGCATCCCATGCACAGGAAATAATAAGGTCAAAATCCTAGAGTGCAAAATGAGGGCAGCAGCCCCATGGCATTCTTAGGTCACTGGTCCTTCCTTTTGCCTGGAGAAAATGGTGAACAGTGAGGCTGAGAAGTGGGCAGGGGCCAGATGGTTGTGGGATCTCTTGAGCCATGTTAAGGATTTTGGTCTTCATCCTCAAGGGAATGGGACCGCTGCAGTGTGTTATGCAGGGAACTGTCACCATTACATGTATGCTCCCGGGTAGAGGCAAAGGGAAGGGAATAAGAGACAGAGCAGAAGCTAAGCAGCGTCTGTGGTCACCAGGTGAAAGCAGGGGGTGGCAGTGGGAGTGGAGAGAAGTGGACAGAGCTGACAGATGCTTTAGAGGCAAAACTGACACACTTGGTGACAGGTTCAAAGTGAGGAGTAAGTAACGAGTCCAAGAAGATACCCCTCAACTAGGCACTTCTGGCCCCCAGGGGTCCAGCCAGACCTCTGGTGGTCCAAGCCCAGGTCTGCATCCCTCTAGATTGTCTCCGGTCCAGAACAAAACTCTGGCTAAACAATGAACCTTCCACATGCCTGTAATCCCAGCATGTTGGGAGGCCAAGGTGGGAGGATCGCTTGAGCTCAGGAGTGTGAGACTAGCCTGGGCAACATAGTGAGACCCCCGTCTCTACAAAAAATAAAAAAATTAGCCAGGCATGGTGGCACATGCCTGTAGTCCCACCTACCTGGGAGAATGAGATGGAAGGATAGCTTGAGCCTGAGAGGTCAAGGCTAGAGTGAGCCGTGAGCACGCCACTGCACTCCAAGTCTGGGTGACAGCGTGAGACCCTGTCTCAACAAAAAAAGAATGAGCTTTTCAGTCGGGTGCAGTGGCTCACACCTGCATTCCCCACTACTTGGGAGACTGAAGTGGAAGGATCACTTAAGCCCAGGAGTTTGAGACCAGCCTGGGCAACATAGCGCAGAAAAACATCATCTCTTAAAAAAAAAAAAAAAAAAATTTAAAGGGATGGAGCCTTTCGGTAAGGAGGGTCATCTGAGTTCCAGCACATCTCAAAACAAAAATCAAAATGATACCCTTGGCTCACCACATCCAAGTCTCTTGTGCCCCAACAGTCATTATCCTGTTATGGCGCCCAGTGACAATTAGTGAGAAATTGTATGGACAGCTCCCGATTAGATGTAACACCCCTGACACGCAGCATCGTGAATCAATTACTCTGAGTAACTCAAGTCTAACACTCTGACACTCCGCCCCCCAGGAAAGTGCCTCCTTCTTTCCACACACACTTCTTTCTTCCCAATGAATAAATTGAGAGCTGTTTGTTTACAGAGACAAGGTTATTTTCATTCGTGACTGAAGAAGCAGCTCTGCTCACCCTGTTAGCTGTGAGTCACAGTTGATTCCCTCAAGGATGGGACTGAGTTGGGATGAAGGGCCCCAACCTCCCCAGGTACTGGTCCCAGTCATTGCCCAAGGAGTGGACTGTCTTACCCTGGGTCCTGGGGACCCACGAAGCCAGAGCTCCTCAGAACAGGGCTCCCAACATAGCTCCAGGGAGTGAACCCCCATCCTTCATTCAAGAGCAAATCCTGACCGCCTGCTCCATACCAGGCTCGGTTCTGGAAACCCCCATCCACATGGAGGAGGGAGATACACAAGAAACAGAGATATGTAGCATGAAGATGATGAGAAGTTCTGTGGGGGAAAAAAAAAAAAAGCAAAGACATGAAGAGGCATTCCTGGGAGGAGATGGGATAGAGGGAGCATTGCAAATGTAAATGGCATCATCAAGGATGTCTGGCTGAGAAGGTCACATTGGAGAAAAGTCTCAGCGGGGCACCGTGGCGCATGCCTGTAATCACAGCACTTTGGGAGGCTGAGGCAGGCAGATCACTTGAGGCCAGGAATTTGAAACTAGCCTGGCCAACATGGCAAAACCCCATCTCTACTAAAAATACAAATATTAGCCGGGCATGGTGGCATGCGCCTGTAACCCCCGCTACTCAGGAGGCTGAGGCAGAAGGATCACTTGAACCCAAGAGATGGAGGTTGCAGTGAGGCAAGATCACACCACTGAACTCCAGCCTGGGCAACAGAGTGAGACTCCATCTCCAAAAAAAAAAAAAAAAGAGAGAGAGAGAGAGAGAGAAGCCTGAAGGCAGTAAGGGAGCAAGTCGTGGGGATGTCTGGGAAGGGCACGGAAGAGAGCAAAGGCAAGTGTCCTGGGGCAGGAGTGGCCAGCGTTTTGGAGCCGCAGCCAGGGGACCAGTGAGGCTGGGGAAGAATGAGCAAGGCAGGAACAACAGGAGATGAGGTCAGAGAGGCCACAGGGCGGGGTAGCAGGGGAGGGAGGGCAGAGGGCCTGGGGCCTTTTAGGACATTGAGAAAACTTTGGCTTTGACGCTGAAAGAATTTAAAAGATCAGCCTGGCAAGGTGGCTCCTGCCTGTAATCCCAGCATTTTGGGAGGCCGAGGTAGGAGGATTGCTTGAGGCCAGGAGTTCAAGACCAGCCTAAGTGAGACTCCATCTCTACACTTTTTTTTTTTTTTTTAACTTAGCCTGGTATAGTGGCTTGTGCCTGTAGTCCCAGCTGCTCAAGAGGCTGAGGCAGGAGGACTGCTTGAGCCTGGGAGGTCGAGGCTGCAGTGAGCTACGATCACACCACTGTACTCCAGCCTGTGTGATAGAGCAAGACCCTGTCTCAAAAAAAGAAAAGAAATCACTCCAGCTGCTATTGCTGCTGATGATAATTATGATGCAGTTGTGATGGGCTTTGCTGCTGTCACGCTGGAGTTTTGGTCTGCTTTTCTTTTTTTATGCCAGTCCAACATCTCATCTCTTCCTCTTTTACCCTGGTGGCTCCTCTGGGAGTTCCCCATTATAAACACCACAATGAGGGGATGGTGGCCTCCTCCTCCACTAGGAAACCCTCAGTGGGCTGGGTGCAGTGGCTCACGCCTGTAATCTCAACACTTTGAGAGGCCGAGACGGGTGGATCACTTAAGGTCAGGAGTTCAAGACCAGCCTGGTCATCATGGTGAAACCCCGTCTCTACTAAAAATACAACAATTAGGCAAGCATGGTAGCACGCACCTGTAATCATAGCTACTGGGGAGGCTGAGGCAGGAGAATCACTTGAATCCGGGAGGCGGAGGTTGCAGTGAGCTGAGATCACACCACTGCACTCCAGCCTGCGTGACAGAGCGAGACTCTGTCTCAGAAAAAAGAAAATGGAAACCCTAAGTGGCCAGGCCTCCCTCCCTGCACCCCAGCCTGAAGGTCATGTGGCTTGGTTGAACCAATGAGCTGCTCTCCTCAGACTCTGCATCATGAGCGGTGATCCCAGCAAGGGGCCGCAGGAGGTCCTATCCACATGGTAGCCATGGGGGTTTTAGGACCGGATTGCTCCTGCCGGGGCCTTTTCTGTGACTGCCGCTGCTCAGATCTTCACAGCCTCCTTGGCCCCCACTCACTTCCCCAGCCTGGATCCCCCAGCTTCCTGGTGGGTTTGTGGACCCCTAGAGTTTTCCAATAATTTCTGTTTTTGCTCAAGGCAACTAAGTTTTCTTTTTCTGAGATGGAGTTTTGCTGTGTCACCCAGGCTGGAGTACAATGGTGCAATCTCAGCTTACCCAAACTCTGCCTCCCAGGTTCAAGCGATTCTCCTGCCTCAGCCTCCTGAGTAGCTGAGATTACAGGCACATGCCACCACACCCGGTTAATTTTTGTAGTTTTAGTAGAGACAGGGTTTCACCGTGTTGGCCGGGCTGGTCTCAAACTCCTGACCTCAGGTGATCCACCCACCTCGGCCTCCCAAAGTGCTGGGATTACAGGCGTGAGCCACCATGTCTGGCCTGCAGCCAGGTTTTCTGTTACTTGCAACCAAGAGCCACTCTTGATGCAATAATGAAGACAGCCAGGCAGGTGCTAATGACAGCTCCCAAATCCAGCTGTCTGGCCCAGGCTGCTCTGCTGGACTCCAGGCATGGACATCTACCTGCTGACCCCACATCTCCTCCAAAGCTTACATTTCTCACACTCAACGTGTCCGCCATACTCCTGATACTCCCTTCTCAATCAGTGGCAACCTCATTCTTTAAGGTGCTGAAGCCAAAAACCACAGGTCACCCATTATTTCTCTTCTTCTCTCTCTCACCCCATCTGCACTCCTTTCAAAATACATCCAGAATCTAATAACCTCGTCACACCTCTTACTACCACTTTAGTCCAAGCCACCACCACACTTACCTGGATGACTATATGGTAGCCACCAAATTCACCTTCCTGCTTCTGACTCCCCAACCCTACCCCTACCTTCATACTATTCTCAACACCACAGCCAGAGAGAGCCTGTAGAAAGCTACATCCAGTGAAGCCACTTGGGATGGTCAATTTGATGTGTCAGTTTGACTGGGCCACGGGCTGCCCAGATTTTTTTTTTTTTTTTTTTTTTTTGAGACAAGGTCTTGCTCTGTCGCTCAGGCTGGAGTGCGGTGGCACAGTCAGTCATGGCTCACTGCAGCCTCAACCTCCCTGAACTCAGACGATCCTTCCACCTTAGCCTCCTGAGTAGCTGGTACCACATGTGGTGCCATCATACCAGCTAATTTTTGTATTTTTTTTTATAGATACAGGGTTTTGTCATGTTGCTCAGGCTGGTCTCAAACTCCTGGCCTCAAGTGATCCACGCATTTTGGCTTTCCAGAGTGCTGGGACTACAGGTGTGAGCCACCATGCCTGGCCCCCAGATATTTTTGTTCAAACATTATTGTGAGTGTGTGTCTGTAAGGGTGTTCCTGGGTGAGATTCACATTTGAACTGCAGACTGAATAGAGCAAGTCGCCCTCCCTAATGTGGGTGGGCCCCATCCAATCCGTTGAAGGCCCATATAGAACAAAAAGGCACAGTACAAGAGAACTCCTGCTGCCTGCCTGCTTGGGCTGGGACACTGTGCTTTTCCACCCTGAGACTTGAACTGAAACATTGGCTTTTCCTGCATCTCAAGTCTGCTCGCGTTAGGACCAGAACTTATGTCATTGGCTCTCCTGGGAACTCACAGGGTCTTTGGGCCTCACACTGGAGCTAAATCATCAGTTCTCCTGGGTCTCCTGTTTGCCAGCTGCCGATCTTGGGACTTCTCGGCCTCCATAATCATGCGAGCCAATTCATTATAATAAATCTCTGTAAAGAAATTAATATAGGCCGGGCATGGTGGCTCATGCCTGTAATCCCAGCACTTGGGAAGAATGAGGCGGGTGGAACACCTGAGGTCAGGAGTTCGAGACCAGGCTGGCCAACATGGTGAAACCCTGTCTCAAGTACAAAAACTAGCCAGGTGTGGTGGCGGGCACCTGTAATCCCAGCTACTTGGGATGCTGAAGCATGAGAATCACTTGAACCCAGGAGATGGAGGTTGCAGTAGGCCGAGATCGTGCCACTGCACTCCAGCCTGGGTGAAAGAGCGAAACTCAATCTCAAAATTAATTAATTGATTAATGTAGACATGTGTATATCCTGTTGGTTCCCTTTCTCTGGAGAACCCCCTCAAAATAATTAATTGATTAATGTAGACATGTGTATATCCTGTTGGTTCCCTTTCTCTGGAGAACCGTAATATGCCACTCCTCTGCTCAAACTCCTGCACTGGCTCCCCTCTGACCCAGAAAAAAAGCCAAAATCCTTCTCACAGCTTCCAAAGGCCCTGCAAACTCTAACCCACCCGTCATTACCTCTTTGCCTTCATCTCCGACAACCTTCTCCCTTCTGTACTGGGCTTCAGGCACACTGGCACTCACTCTGTTTCTTGAACCCCAAGCATGCTCTGGCCTAAGGGCCTTTGCACTGACTGTCCCTTCTCCCCGGAATTCTCCTCTCCCAGAGATCTACACGGCTGGTTGCGTAATTCCTGCCAATCTTTATTCAACAGTCAGCTTCTCAATGAGCCCTTCCCAGGCTACCCTTTCTGAAATATTAATCTCCCCACCCACCCCAACACTGAATAGTATGTCTTTCCTACTTTTCTGTTTAGCATGCTCTGTGTTGATCTTATCTGTCTCACTTACTTCCTGGCTCTCTTTTTTTTTTTTTTTGAGATGGAGTTTCAGTCTGTCACCCAAGCTGGAGTGTGGTGGCTCGATCTCGGCTCACTGCAACCTCCACCTCTCGGGTTCAAGCGATTTCCCTGCCTCAGCCCCCCGAGTAGCTAGGATTACAGGTGCATGCCACCATGCCTGGCTAATTTTTGTATTTTTAGTAGAGATGGGGTTTCACCATGTTGGCCAGGCTGTTCTCAAACTCTTGACCTCAGGTGATCAGCCCACCTCAGCCTCCCGAAGTGCTGGGATTATAGGCATGAGCCACCCTGCCCAGCTACTTCCTGTCTCTTCTGCCAGAATGTGGGCTCCTAAAAACCGAAGACTGGGGCTTGTTCACTTCCAGCTGTGTCCCCAAGGTAATGCCTGACACAGACTTAGCACTCCATAAATATGTGTGGAATTTAGCCATTCATCCATTTACTCATTCATTGCACACCTACTCTGGGCTAGGCACACAAGTAATTTTATAACAACATAGCAAGGGAGGTCTTATCATCGCCAGTTTAGATAAGGAAACTTAGATTCAAAGAGAAGGGTGCTACCCAAGGTTATCCACCCAGAAATTGCCAGAGCCAAGAGGGACACTTGCATAGCTCCAAACCACTCCTTCTGTCTTTTGTTTTCTTATCTTTTGTAAGGATGGAGTCTCGCTATGTTGCTCAGGCTGGTCTCAAACTCCTGGGCTCAAGCAATCCACCCAAAGTGATCCTCCCAAAGTGCTGGGATTACAGGTGTGAGCCCTTCACGAAGCCCAGCTTTTTTTTTTTTTTTTCTTTTTTTGAGACCGAGTCTCGCTCTGTCACCCAGGCTGGAGTGCAGTGGTGCAATCTCGCCTCACTGCAACCTCTGCCTCCCGGGTTCAAGCCATTCTCCTGCCTCAGCCTCCCAAGTAGCTGGGATTACAAGCGCCCGTCACCACGCCCAGCTAATTTTTGTACTTTTAGTAGAGATGGGCTTCACCATTGGTGAAGGCTGGTCAGGTTGGTCTCGAACTCCTGGCCTCTATTGATCTGCCCACCCCAGCCTCCCAAAGTGCTGGGATTACAGGCATGAGCCACCATGCCCGGCCTGGCTTTCCTTCTTTCTGTGTAGTCCCATGAAGTAAGATCTGAATTGAGATGGAGTCCTGCTGGCAGTAACTGGCTATGAGGCCCCAGCTGTCACGTACACCCTCTGTTCTTCAGGAAACAGGACACGGTGGCCAAACCACCACCAGGTCCCCTTCTCTCCATATCGTGAAAACCTGGTGCCATCCTGTGGCTGCTCATCAGCTCAACTCAAGGTCCTCTGACCCACTCCACATGAATGTAAAACCTTTCTCTGGGGAATATCACTCAGCTTCGGTGACTTCCAGCCTCACTCTGCAAATCCCTGCTTCCTTTGCAAAGTCTGCATTTGTCTCTGTTTTAATAAGAAAAACCTGACCTCCTTCTGGTTTTCTGTTGAAAGAGAAATTGCTGGTACTTTCCAACTACTAACCAAAATCTAGCGTTTCCTGTGGTCCCACCGAAGCACCACTTCCCTTCTCCCACCTACCCCGCCTACTCCTTCATACAAGCTGGCAGATGGGCACCCACAGCCAGGGTCCTCTCCCCCAACCAGCCTTGGGCCCGCATCTGAGTTTGGTGGTAGCCCCTGCCACTTCCTCACCCCATGGCTCCATGGGACCCAGGACCAGCTTGCAGCCCCATGATTCGGGCTCCTCTCTCTGGGGTGCTCCTCTCCCACCACTTCCCTTCTTCTAGACCAGGTATGTGGGGCTGGATGAATCCTCTACAGAAAAGAGCCCAGCACCAGGTCAGACATACATGGGTTCAAATCTCAGTTCTGACCCAGTTAGCTGTATGGCCTCAAGCTAGACACTTGACCTCTCTGAGCTGCCTTTTCTTGTTTTTTTTTTTTTGTTTGCTTGTTTGGTTTTGTTTTTGTTTTTTTTGAGATGGAGTCTTGCTCTGTCGTCCACGCTGGAGTAGTGGCGAGATCTCGACTCACTGAAACCTCTCCCTCCGGGTTCAAGCAATTCTCCTGCCTCAGCCTCCCGAGTAGCTGGGATTACAGGAGCATGCCACCACATCCAGCTAATTTTTGTATTTTTAGTAGAAACGGGATTTCACCATGTTGGCCAGGTTAATCTCAAACTCCTGACCTCAGGTGATCCACCTGCCTCGGTCTCCCAAAGTGATGGGATTACAGGCATGAGCCACTGCACCTGGCCAACAATAATAAATTTTAAAAACAAAGAATATGATATGCTGCAGGTCAGAAATATCCTACTAGGAGCCAAAGCTCTAGAGGCAGAAAAGTCAGGAGTTGACAGAAATCCAAGGGAAGACTTGAGATGCCTCAGGAATGGGATAGAGGAGGAGGAGGAAGACAGGACGTTGGGGAAAATTTTATTGAAATCAGAAGGGGCAAAAAGGGCCCCAGATGACATCTGCTTTATATTCGGAAGTAAAGGAGTGAATAATAATATTGGGAATGGGATGCTAGTAATGGATGCTACAGACAGGTGCAGAAATCTCCAGCTGGAGAGATAAAAGCAACCTTGACACTCAACAAAAGGCAGTACCGGTTATTCTCCGTGTGTGTGTATGCATGTGTGTGATATATATCAGTGTGTATGTATGTGTGTGCATAGATATGTGTGTGTGTATATGCATTTAGCACAGGTGCTCAAAAATATTTATTGGATGGATGAGTGGATTGGTAGATGGATGGATGAATGAACCCATGGACGGATGGGTGGGTGGATGGATAGATGGGTGTTTGGATGAATGCGTGGATGGATGGATGGATGGATGGATGGGTAGATGGATGGGTGGGTGGGTGGATGGGTGGATGGGTGAGTGGGTGGGTGAATGGAGAGTAGGTGGATGGATGGAGGGTAGTTGGGTATATAGGTGGGTAGGTGGATGGAGAGATAGACGGATGAGGTACACCAACTATTCCTGTCCTTCGGCCCTCAAATCAACTCTCTTTTGCCTCAAGACTGGCAACACTTCTACTTTCCTTCCTCCTCCCTCCGGCGTCCTCCTCTTCCCCACGGCAAGTAAATGCTGTACCCCAGCTCCAGTCTGGGCTTGCGCTCAGGGACCAATATTCCAGGACATTTGCAGTCCTACCCTGCCACCTACAGGGAGCTCTGTGGTACTGCAGAGAGGAGCCCCCGTTTGACTTCGATTCAGGGCAGCGTCAAGTATCTCACCCTATTCAGAAAGAGAAAGGGTAGCACTCAGAGTGCTTGGCAAGGAGTGGGCAAAGCCCACGGGGAACTGGGGGCTGGTTTCGGCTTAGAATCTTCTTTCAAAGGGTGAAAACATTGGGCTAATTCAGGTAGGCAGAACTCAGAGCTGTTAGGTAGGGAAGGCAGGCACATCAGGGAGAGCGGGGGAGGGAAGAGGAGGGAAGGGGAGGGAAGGGGAGGGAAGGGGAGGGAGCGACCAGGAGGCGCGAAAGAGCACCCGCCTGGAGTTCACGTCCCCACTCCCCTTTCACCCCTGACCGCCCATGCGACCTGGAACTGCTCACTTCTCCCCTCTCTAGACCTCACTTTGTTCAACTGAAACAGAGGCCAGAAGATTCCTTTTTTTATTTTTTGAGACGGAGTTTCACTCTTGTCCCCCAGGCTAGAGTGCAGTGGCACGATCTTGGCTCACTGCAACCTCCGCCTCCTGGGTTCAAGCGATTCTCCTGCCTCAGCCTCCCGAGTAGCTGGGATTACAGGCACCCGTCACCATGCCGGGCTGATTTTTGTATTTTTTTTAGTAGAGACGGGGTTTCACCACGTTGACCAGGCTGGTCTGAAACTCCTGACCTCAGGTGATCCACCCACTCCGGCCTCCCAAAGTGCTGGGATTACAGGCGTGAGCCCCCGCACCAGGCCAGAAGATTCCTTTAAATCATTCACCAAGCTTTTCCACTTATGTGCTGGCTTATGTCACTTCACAACAGACCTGTGAGGTGTGGGTCAGGTTAGGGTTATTACTTTAACAAGATAAAAATATCTGTAGGAAGGCTACAGTTGGCCCTCTGCCTCTGTGAGTTCCGCATCTATGGATTCAACCAACCGAGAATTAAAAAAATATTCAGGAAGGCTGGGCACAGTGGCTCATGCCTGTAATCCCAGCACTTTGGCAGGCTGAGGCAGGAGGATCACTTGAGGCCAGAAGATCAAGACCAGCCTGAGCAACATAGCAAGGCCCCGTCTCTATAAAATATATATATATTTTTAATCGACAACAAAAACCATCTGTACTAAACACATACAGACTCCTTTTCTTGTCATGATTCCCTAAACAATGCAGTATAGCAACTACTTACACGGCATTTACATTGTATTCATTTTTATGAGTAATCTAGAGATAATCTAATGTATACAGGAGGGCCAGGCATGGTGGCTCATGCCTGTAATCCCAGCACTTTGGGAGGTCGCGATGGGCAGAACACTTGAGGTCAGGAGTTCAAGACCAGCCTGACCAACATGGTGAAACCCCATCTCTACTAAAAATACAAAAAGTAGCCGGGCGTGGTGGCACACACCTGTAGTTCCAGCTACTCAAGAGGCTGAGGCATGAGAATCGCTTGAACCTAGCTGAGGCGGAGGTTGCAGTGAGCCAAGATTGCGCTACTGCACTCCAGTCTGGGTGACAGAGGGAGACTCCATCTCAAAAATAATAATAATAAATAAAAATAAAGTATACAGCAGGATGTGCATAGTTAAATGCAAAGACTACATCATTTTATATCAGGGACTTGAGCTTCTGTGGGGTTTGGTATCCATGGAAAGTCCTGGAACTAATCCCCCATGGATACCAAGGGATGACTCCATTCGGAAACTCTCAGAAAGAAAACAGAGTTGAATAAACTGGCCTTAGAAAACACAGGAGCCGGCCAGGCATGGTGGCTCACGCTTGTAATCCTAGCACTTTCGGAGGCCAAGGCGGTCAGATCACCTGAGGTCAGGAGTTTGAGACCAGCCTAGCCAAAAATGGCAAAACCCCATCTCTATTAAAAATACAAAAATGAGCTGGGCATAGTGGCGCATGCCTGTAATCCCAGCTACTCAGGAGGCTGAGGCAGGAGAATCACTTGAACCCAGGATGCGGAGGTTGCAGTGAACCGAGATTGTGCCCCTGCACTCCAGCCTGGGTGACAGAGCTAGACTCCGTCTCTAAAAACAAAGAAAACACAGGAGCCTGGACAGCTTAGAATATCCCAGAACCCAGGAACTCTCTCAGGGTTTCCACCTCCTGACCTGAAGGCAAATTTCTACAATGAGGCTCTGACGGGCCCGGCCTGGATTATGTGGCCACCTTAGAGGTAGAATCCTGTTACTGGCAGATGTCAAATAAAGGCTGGTATCCCCAAAAAAGGGATGCTAAGCAGCCCAAAGCAAGTATACAAGGTAACATATATGTTAATTAGCTTGATTTAGCCATTCCATGCTGTATACATATATCAAAATATCATATATACATATAATTTTTATTTGTAATTAAAAAGTAAAATGAGTCTCTTGTAGACAGAATATAATTGGATCTTGTTTTCTCAACCCATTCAACTTGTATATTTAGCTGTCCCCATTTCACAGGCAAGAAAACTGAGTCTCAGAGGAGTTTGATATGGGTAGTGTGTCAGTCAGATTCTTGTAAGTTGGCCAGAAACAGAAATATTCTCAGTTTACTTTATGAAAGCTGGAAGGCCAAAGTCTCACCACCCAGTCAGGGCTGCCAGAGGCTGGAACATCTTCAGGTTACACTCATCACTGACAGCAGCTCTGTAATTCAGGGGACCATCCTAGCTCTGCCCTCTAGGCTCCACCAAGATGGTGACGCAGCATCTCCGGGTCTTGGCCTATTCCTCTGCTATCTCCATGCTACTCTCTATCTCATAGTTTCTGCTGACTTGTGGCTCTTGCCACGACTCAAGTTTCTGCTGACTCATAATTCCTGTCAATTCATGGCTCCTATTCACCCATAGCTTCTGCTGACTCAAAGCTTCCTCTTATAACTTTCCTTCTCTGTGTTTCTGTTTCTGCCCTCAATACTGACTACTAATCCTTTCTCTGTGTCTCGTATTCAGATTCTTCAAAAGAAAGCAACTGAATTTTTCAGTTGGTCCTCTCTATTTGTTGGATTTTTCACCTTAGGTTCAGTGTCCACTGCTGTCCAATTAGCTGAATCCTGCACGTGTAAGTTGCAAAATGGGGTTTATCAGTGTGAATAACCTCTCAGAAGGGGCAGCAATGCAAATGCAATGGGATCCTTCAAACCAAGTAGGACCAAGATTTTGAGTCAAGGTTCTCTGGTTGCAAGTG
The DNA here is from genome assembly GCF_000001405.40 of Homo sapiens. Lineage (NCBI taxonomy): Eukaryota > Metazoa > Chordata > Mammalia > Primates > Hominidae > Homo > Homo sapiens. The sequence goes on along the minus strand of NT_187607.1, from coordinate 2,251,491 downwards.
TTTCCCACCGGAGTATCTGGGTTGCCCTATCCCACAGGATCAAAAAATAATAATTAACACTGGCTGTCAAGCACCATCCTAGCCTTACACAGACTATCTCAACTAATCCTGACCCCAGTCCCAGGAGGCGGCCTCTTTAATTGTGCCCATTTCACAGAAATGAAAACTCATTTAGAAAAGGTAAATAACAGGCTCAAAGTTATACTTCTACTAAGTAAATTATCTATCAATAATTACTTTAAGTATAAATGAATTAAATTCCCCAATTAGAAGACATAGAGTAGGTGAATAGGTTGAAAAAACAAGATCCAACTGTACTCTGTCTACAGGAGGTTCACTTTACTTTTTGTTATAAATAAAAATTATGAGCCGGGCACAGTGGCTCACGCCTATAATCCCAGCACTTTGGGAGGCCGAGGTGGGCGGATCACCTGAGGTCAGGAGTTCGAGACCAGCCTGACCAGCATGGATAAACCCCATCTCTACTAAAAATACAAAATTAGCTGGGCATGGTGGTGCATGCCTGTAATCCCAGCTACTAGGGAGGCTGAAGCAGGAGAATCGCTTGAACCCAGGAGGCGGAGGTTGCAGTGGGCTGAGATCGTGCCATTGCACTCCAGCCTGGGCAACAAGAGTGAAACTCTGTCTCAAAAAATAATAATAATTATATTTATGGTGTACATGATTTTTTGATATACGCAGTGTGGAATGGCTAAATAAAGCTAATTAACATATATGTTACCTTGTATATGGATCATTTTTGTGGTTAGAACACTTTTATTAACTAGTCACAATAGACCTCTTGAACTTTTTCCTCCTGGCTAATTGAAATTTTTTATCTTTTGACCAATGTCTCCCCAACCCTCTCACAGACACCCTCACCTTGCTTCTGGTAACCACCATTCTACTCTCTACTTCAGTGAGTTCAACTTTTTTAGATTCCACATATAAGTGAGATCATGTGGTATTTGTCTTTCTGTGCCTGATTTATTTCACTTAACATAATGTCTTCCAGGTTCATCCACGTTGTCACCAATAACAGGACTTCCTTCTTTGTTTCCTTAATTTTATGGAGATGGGTTAAGGCTGAAGAGTATATATACCACATTGGTGTATGTGTATCACATTTTCTTTATCTACTCATCCACTGATGGACACTTAGGTTGATTCTATACCTTGTCTATTGTGAATAATATTGCAGTGAACATGGGAGTGCAGATATCTCTTCAACACACTGACTCCGTTTCCTTTATTTATTTATTTATTTTTAATTTATTTATTTATTTATTTTTTGAGACAGAGTCTCACTCTGTCACCCAGACTGGAGTGCAATGGCACAATCTCAGCTCACTGCAACCTCTACCTCCAGGGTTCAAGCTATTCTTGTTCCTCAGCCTCCCGAGTAGCTGGGATTATGGGCGCGTGCCACCACGCCCAGCTAATTTTTGTATTTTTAGTAGAGAAGAGGTTTCATCATGTTCACCAGGCTGCTCTCATACTCCTAACCTCAGGTGATCCACCCGCCTCAGCCTCCCAAAGTGCTGGGATTACAGGCGTGAGCCACTGCATCTGGCCCAGGATGGCTATTTTCAAAGAAGCAAAAAGATAACAAATGCTGGCCAAGACGTAGAGATCTTTCACTATACTTCTGCCAAAAAAAGGGTTGTTATTTGTGTGTGTGTGTGTGATTTTTCTTCCCTGAGCAGCCCAGGCAGAGCACACTGGGCCCCGTGCACTGTCCTGTTACCTTCACATTTTGTCTCCACTGACTCCAGGCCCAACCCCTACTAGAGCTGCAGCTGTGCCTGTGCCCAAAGTCAATAGACTGAAGAGCAGAAAGAGGGAGTGGACTCTTACCCCATGGCTGGCGGACATTAAGATTTATCTCTAGGCCAGGCGCAGTGGCTCACACCTGTAATCCCAGCACTTTGGGAGGACAAGGCAGGCAGATCACCTGAGGTCACGAGTTCGAGACCAGCCTGGCCGACATGGTAAAACCTCCCATTTACTAAAAATATTTTTTAAATTAGCCATTTACTAAAGTATTTTTTAAATTAGGTGTGGTGGTGCATGCCTGTAGTCCCAGCTTCTTGGAAGGCTGAGATAGGAGAATAGCTTGAACCTGGAAGGCAGAGGTTGTAGTGAGTGGAGATCGCACCACTGCACACCAGCCTGCGCAACAGAGCAAGACTCCGTCTCGAAAAAAAAAAAAAAGAAAGAAAAAAAAGATTCATCTCTAGCTTGCAAAGCCAAAGTCTGCCAACTGCCATTGAGAAGCCCCTAATCCATGAATGAGGGGCTTTAGCTTCCTTCATAGCCAGACAAAGACAGAGGAAACAGAAGAGAGGAGACGGATCAAGTACCCAGAGAAGCCAGAAAACCCTCTGCCAGGGAAAATACCACTTGTAAAAATAAGAGGATTATTTGGCTGTGAAATTTGCTTAATAATTGAATAGAAAACTTATTTTGATTCCCCAGGAAAAACCCAGACATTAAGTAATGTAAATTCCTGTTCAGCCAGGAGCCAAATAAGCAGAAAATATGAATTACTAGAGTCCTCCCCAATGCCAGACCCACATTCTATTTCACAGGAAATAAACAAAGAAAAAAATTCTCTGACATGGGGATTTTTCTCTAACCAGCAAACTGTCAGAATGGGTTGGGGAGGGAACTGCCGGCATTTTCCCATCCTCCTTCCCCTCTCTCTCTCTATACCACGGCCCCTCAGAATCACTCACAGAGGACTAATCATATTCCTTGTGTCCATTTGTGAATCACTTGGATCCTCCAAGGGCTGGCGGAGGAGTGGCTCATGACCAGTCAATGTCATGAATAAGTGATCAATGTCCCAGTAGGGGGAAGCCATCAAGAAGCTGAGAATGGGCCGGGCGCGGTGGCTCACACCTCTAATCCCAGCACATTGGGAGGCCGAGGCGGGCAGATCACCTGAGGTCAGGAGTTCAAAACCAGCCTGGCCAACATGGGGAAACCCCATCTCTACTAAAAATACAAAAATTAGCTGGGCGTGGTGGCAGGCACCTGTAATCCCAGCTACTCAGGAGAATGACACAAGAGAATCGCTTGAATCTGGGAGGCGGAGGTTGCAGGGAGCCACGATCATGCCATTGGACTCCAGCCTGGGTGACAAGAGTGAAACTCTGTCTCAAAAAAGTAAAATAAAATACAATAACAAAAACAATAAATAAACAGAGAATGGGGTCAGCTCACCCAGCCGCATGTGGAAGCAGGCCAGGGCAGGATGAGGGACGGCTTGAGCAAATTTTACCTTTCACATGGTACAAAAGTGTTTTTATTTGTTCCAAGTAAATATCCAAGAGTTCAAAAAATAGTTGCAAAACATGATGTTCCCCACTCTCCTTTAAAAGTGATTGATTAAGGCCAGGCACGTAATCCCAGCACTTTGGGATTAAGGCTCACACCTGTAATCCCAGCACTTTGGGAGGCTGAGGCAGGCGGATCATGAGGTCAAGAGATCGAGACCATCTTGGCCAACATGGTGAAACCCCGTCTCTACTAAAAATACAAAAATTAGCTGGGTGTGGTGGCGTGCACCTGTAGTCCCAGCTACTTGGGAGGCTGAGGCAGGAGAATCATTTGAACCCAGGAGGCAGAGCTTGCAGTGAGCCGAGATCGCGCCATTGCATTCCAACTTGGGTGACAGAGCAAGACTCCATCTCAAAAAAACAAAAAACAACAACAACAAGTGACTGATTAGCCAGGCGCAGTGGCTCATGCCTGTATTCTCAGCCTTTTGGGAGGCTGAGGCAGGAGGACTGCTTGAGTCCAGGAGTTTGAGAACAGCTTGGGCAAGATGGTGAGACCTCATCTCTACAAAAAATAAAAAAATATATTAAAAAATAGCTGGGCGTGGTGGCACATGCTGTGGTTCCAGCTACACAAGAGGCTGAGGTGGGAGGATCGCTTGAGCCCAGGAGGTGGAGGCTACAGTGAGCTGTGTTCTCACCACTGCCTTCCTGCCTGGGTGACAAAGCGAGAACCTGTCTCAAAAAAATTTTTTTTCATGAAAAAAACAGTGGCTGATTATACAAGCACATGTGATGTTAGAGAGTTGGCGAAAGTCCCACCTGTTTGTTTGGGTTCTGATACTGACAGCAGCTGTTAGGATTTTCTGAACATTGATCCTGTGCCAGACACTGAACTAAACACTGAGCATGTTCACGCGTTTAATCCTCATGATAAGCCCATGAAGCCAATGCAGTGACTAAGACCGAAGCCAGGGTTTGAATCTGCCTCCTCCACACACTAGCTGTATGATCAAGTGACTTGACTTCTCTATGCCTCAGTTTCCTCTTCTATAAAATAGGTATAAAAATAGTACCCATCTTGGCTGGGAGCTGTGGCTGACGCCTATAATCCCAGCACTTTGGGAGGCTGAGGCGGGTGGATCACGAGGTCAAGAGATCAAGACCATCTTGGCTAACATGGTGAAACCCTGTCGCTACTGAAAATACAAAAATTAGCTGGTATGTGCCTGTAGTCCCAGCTACTCAGGAGGCTGAGGCAGGAGAATTGCTTGAACCCAGGAGGCAGAGGTTGCAGTGAACCCAGATTGCGCCACTGCACTCTAGCCTGGCAACAGAGCGAGACTCCATCTCAAAAAAAAAAAACAAAAAAACAAAAACAAATAGTACTCATCTTGTAAAACTGCTATGAAAATTAGATGAGTTATATGAACAATATCTGGAACATAGTATGTGCCATAGAAGTATGGTATCATCTTTATCATCATCGTCATCATCACCACAGGCGAGATAACTGAAGCTCAAAGGAAAGAAGGCTACACTATTTCCCCACAGTCCAGTTGACTCTCAGGCTCATCCTCAAGCCCTCCTTCCCCACAGTCTTACGCACATGGTTGCTAGGCTGCATTCTTCAAGCCCCGTCCCTTGGATGCCTTGGGAAGTGGGAACATCACCTCTTCGCTCTGCTTTTGGAGCCATCGTGCTGGAAGGACAACAGGCGTGGACCTCCTCTCCCTAGGCACCTACCCACCACCCGCAATGCAACCTCTTCACCTGGCACGAGGCACTCCTAGGAGCTCTCTCCAGCTTCCACTTGCCATATTGTGTGCTTTTCGAAGGGGATGCAGACATGTAACCCCACCCCACAGCAGCCCACAACTTGAACAACAAAAGAGAACGCATCAAGCAGTGGTTTCTCCGTGTCTTTCACCACACCTGGGCACACTAACTCAGAACACATGCCCATCCACTCAGTCCCAAAGACACGACTCTTTTTTTTTTTTTTTTAACTCTGTGCCTGTGCTTACCCAAAGACAATACCGTTCTTCTTTCTTTTTTTTTTTTTTAAACAAACAAAAAAAAGACAAAGTCTCGTTCTGTCGCCCAGGCTGGAGTGCAGTGGTGCCATCTCGGCTCGCTGCAGCCTCTGCATCCCTGGGCTGAAGCGATTCTCCTGCCTCAGCCTCTCGAGTAGCTGGGATTATAGGTGTGCACCACCACACCTGGCTAATTTTTGTTTTTTTTTTTGTTTCTTTAGGTTTTTTATTTTTATTTTTTTATTTTTTTTTTTCTTGAGACAGAGTCTCACTCTGTCCCCCAGGCCAGAGTACAATAGCATGATCTCAGCTCACTGCAACCTCTGCCTCCCAGGTTCAAGCGATTCTCCTGCCTCAGCCTCCCAAGTAGCTGGGAATACAGGCATGCACCACCATGCCCAGCTATTTTTTTTTTTTTTTTGTATTTTTAGTACAGACGGGGTTTCCCCATGTTGACCAGGCTAGTCTTGAACTTCTGACCTCAGGTGATCCACCAGCCTCAGCCTCCCAAAAGGCTGGGATTACAGGAGTGAGCCACACAGCACCCCACCTAATTTTTGTATTTTTAGTAGAGACAGGGTTTCACCATGTTGGCCAGGCTGGTCTCGAACTCCTGACCTCAGGTGATCCACTCGCCTTGGCCTCCCAAAGTGCTGGGATTACAGGTGGGAGCCACCATGCCCAGCAAAGACTGTTCTTCTTAGTGAAGAAAGGAGACAGGAGAAAGACATCTGCTAACTCAAGATAATTTTGGTTTCCTCTTCCTCTATGCCATTGTTCCCATTCCCGCAAACCCCATCACAAGGAGGAAAAAAAAAAAAAAAGAAAGAAAGAAAGAAAATTTTGACTGCTAGAAAGACCTTACCCAACATAAAAGCATTGTGGATGCATTTGTTTACTCTAAAACTTTCTTGAAGACCTAGTATATGCCAGACACTGTGCCGAGTTCAGGACTCCACCTCTGCTGATGGAGCCCTTGTGATACAACAAAGACTTCTTGTTCTCTGAGGGTTTGCTATTCATGTGATTTGAATTAATAATAGTAATAACTCAACATCTCACTGGCCCACTGCCCTGCTGGCTCTCAAGGCGCCACAACTTCTGCAAAGTGCTCTCTCTTTAGGACTTTGTCCATGGTTTCCTTCATCTCTTTGAGTATATTTAAGACAGTCAATTTACACTCATTGTCGGCTGGGCATGGTGGCTCATGCCTGTAATCCCAGCACTTTGGGAGGCTGAGGCAGGCAGATCACTTGAGGTCAGAAGTTCAAGACCAGCCTGGCCAACATGGTGAAAACCTGTCTCCACTAAAAATACAAAAATTAGCTGGGCGTGGTGGCGGGCATCTGTAATCCCAGTTACTTGGGAGACTGAGGCACGAGAATCACCTGAACCTGGGAGACAGAGGTTGCAGTGAGCCGAGATTATGCCACTGCACTCCAGCCTGGGTGACAGAGTGTGACTCCATCTCAAAAAAAAAAAAAAAAAAAGTAATTGTCTAGCCTGGCATTGTGGTGCACACTTGTAGTTCCAGCCTACTCAGGAGGCTGAAGCAGGAGACTCACTGAGCCCAGGAGATAGAGATTGCAGTGAGCTCTGATTACATCACTGCACTCCAGCTTGAGTGACAGAGGGAGACCCTGTCTCTAAAAAAAAATTAAATAAATAATTTTTTTTAAAAGTCATTGCTGGGCTGGGCACAGTGGCTCACGCCTCTAATCCAGCACTTTGGGAGGCTGAGGTGGGTGGATCACGAGGTCAGGAGTTTGAGACCAGCCTCACCAACATGATGAAACCCCGTCTCTACTGAAAATGCAAAAATTAGCTGGGCGTGGTGGCGCACACCTGTAATCCCAGCTACTCAGGAGGGTAAGGCAGGAGAATCGCTTCAATCCAAGAGGCAGAGGTTGTAGTGAGCCAAGATCGTGCCATTGCACTCCAGCCTGGGCGACAGAGTGGGACTCTGTCTCAAAAAAAAAGTCATTGCCAGTAAGACCAATACCTGGGTTGCCACAAAGACAGTATCTAGTCATTTCTTTCTTGCCACAAATGAGTGGAACTTTATTATTTCTTTCCATGCCATGAGGGTTTTTGTTGACATTTTCAATTTATGGCAACACTGAAAATCAGATTCTCCTCCCTCCCCAGGGTCTATTGTTGCTGTATATCGTGGGTTGCTGTGGTTTGCTTGTTTGGTAAATTTTCCAAACTATTATTGTAAAGTCTGTATTCTTTGTGTTTCTGTTTCTGGTTTTTTTTTTTTTTTTTCTGTTCTGTTCTTTTTGTTTGTTTCTGTTCTTTTTGCTTGTCAGTCAGCTGGTATTTTGAGAGCTACCTAAAATGGCTGAAGCCAACAAATAAAGAAGAATAAAAGGAAAGAAACAAGAAAACAGGAGAAATAAAGAGAAAGACAGAGAAAGAGAGAGAGAAAGAAAGCAGGCAGGCAGAAAGGAGAGAAAGGAAGGAAGGAGGGAAGGAAGGAAGAAAGGAAAGAAGGGAGGGAGGGAGGGAGGAAGGAAGAAAAGAAAAACACTATCCTAGTCTTTGCAAATTGGATCTGTTTGGGGCACTCTCTCAACCCTTAACCAAGCCATTTATACTCTGCCTTAGCCTTCACTTCCTGCTTGCACAGAGACTGAAGGCCAGAAAGAGATGAAAGCCCAGGGTCTTCTTAGGCCTTTTCTTTTGCTTGTTTTTGTTTTGTTTTGTTTTGAGACAGAATCTCACTCTGTCACCCAGGCTGGAGTGCAGTGGCACAATCTCAGCTCACTGTAACCTCCACCTCCCAGGTAAAGTGATTTTCTGCCTCAGCCTCCCGGGTAGCTGGGATTACAGGTGTGTGCCACTATGCCTGGCTAATTTTTGTATTTTTAGTAAAGGCAAGATTTCACCATGTTGGCCAGGCTGGTCTCAAACTCCTGACCTCAGGTGATCCAACCGCCTTGGCCTCACAAAGTTTCTTAGGCCTTTTCTGAGCTTGCAACTGACTATGGGCCTGCACACAGCTTTCTTGATTTCCTGGTTTATGTAGACACTTTTAAAAGCCTCTACAGACACACATCTCTTTTTCCAAACTTTTCCTTCCCAGGCTGCTCGGTCTGTCTATTGCTTGTCCCAAGTGTTGTCCCCTGCCCCAGGGTATTGAGGCCAATACCTATGTCTTTCAATGCTTTTGTCTAAAGCCACCTGGGAAGCCATGCCAGCCCTGAAAATGCCCTGGTTAAAAAGCTCAGAAACCTTTCTGCTAGTCCTTGGGGAAGTCGTCAGACCTATAACCCCAAATTTATTTATTTTTTTTTTTAAGACGGAGTTGCCCTGTCACCCAGGCTGGAGTTCAGTGGCACGATCTTGGCTCACTGCAACCTCTGCCTCCCAGGTTCAAGTGATTCTCCTGCTTCAGCCTCCTGAGTAGCTGTGATTACAGGTGCCCACCACCATGCCCAGCTAATTTTTTGTATTTTTAGTAGAGATGGGGTTTCACCATGTTGGCCAGGCTGGTCTCAAACTCCTGACCTCGTGATTCACCTGCCTTGGCCTCCCAAAATGCTGGGATTACAGGTGTGAGACACCACACCCAGCCTACAACCACAATTCTTTGAGAGTAAATTCTGTGTACTCCCCCTACGCTAGCAACCAGCCCCAGAAGTGCAGGCTGACATCCTCATGGTCCCTGCTGATCTGGAGTTTGGGGGGATGTTACATGAGCAAGCAAAAACGCCATCAATCACACTCTCTTATCACAGGAGAGCTTTCTTTCTTTCCTTTTTTTCGAGACGGACTTTTGCTTTCACCCAGGCTGGAGGGCAGTGGCACTATCTCGGCTCACTGCAACCTCCTCCTCCTGGGATCAAGGGATTCTCCTGCTTCAGCCTCCCGAGTAGCTGGGATTACAGGCACATGTGCCACCATGCCCAGCTAATTTTTGCATTTTTAGTAGAGCCGGGGTTTCACCATGTTGGCCAGGCTGGTCTCGAACTCCTAACCTCAGGGGATCCACCCGCCTTTGCCTCCCAAAGTGCTGGGATTACAGGCGTGAGCCACCGCGCCCAGCCTCAGAGCTTTCTTTCTCCAAATTTTCCCGTGCTAGTTATAAGTTTGTTTGTTTCCCTTTTTAAAAACTAGAAGGCTGGGTGCGGTGGCTCAAGCCTGTAATCCCAGCACTTTGGGAGGCTGAGGCTGGTGAATTGCTTGAACTCAGGAGTTCAATACCAGCCTGGGCAACATTGTAAAACCCTGTCTCTACAAAAAATACAAAAATTAGCCTGGCATGGTGGCTTGCGCCCGTGATCCCACCTACTCTGAGGCTGAGGTGGGAGGTCAAGGCTGCAGTGGGCTGAGATTGCACAGTGGCACTCCAGTCTGGGGGACAGAGTGAGACCCCATCTCAAAAAAATGAAAGCTAACAAAAAGCTAGATCCCAGAGTACTTCAGAAGTTGATTCTGACAGTTTTTGCCACCTTATTAGTTGTGTTGGGGGAGGGATGGAGCCCTGGAATTCCCTACTCCACCATTTTGGGCCGCACAGTACCTTTAAAGCGCTCCTCTGTCTCCGGGGAAATTCCTGCACTGTGAGTCTATAGATCCCCTAGGTGGAGGCCAGGACTTGTTTTCCCCATCTCCCTTGCAGCCAGTAACCCCCTCAGTTCCTAGCAAGATTGGCTCTCCATCTCACAAATGTATGATTTTTTCAATGGATTTTTCTTTTATTCTTTTCTTTTCTTTTTTTTTTTTTTTTTTTTGAGATGGAGTTTTGCTCTTATTGCTCAGGCTGGAGTGTGTACAGTGGCGCCATCTCGGCTCACTGCAACCTCTGCCTCCCGGCTTCAAGTGATTCTCCTCCCACAGCCTCCAGAGTAGCTGGGATTACAGGCGCGTGCCACCAGGCCCAGCAAATTTTTGTATTTTTAATAGAGAAGGGGTTTCACCAATGTTGGCCAGGCTGGTCTCAAACTCCTGACCTCAGGTGATCCAGCTGCCTCGGCCTCCCAAAGCGCTGGGATTACAGTCGTGAGCCACCGCACCCGGCCAAGAGTTTTTTTTCTTTTTTTTTCTTTTTTTTTTTTTTGAGACACATTATCTGTCTCAAATAGGCTGGAGTGCAGTGGCACAAACATAACTCACTACAGCCTTGACCTCCTAGGCTCAAGCGATCCTCCCACCTCAGCCTCCTGAGTAGCTGGGACTATAGACTCATGCCACCACACCCAGCTAATTTTTTCCTTTTTTGTAGAGACAGAGTCTTGTTTTGTTACCCAGGCTGCTCTCAAACTCCGGCCTCAAGTGATCATCCCACCCTAGCCTCCCACAATGCTGGGATTACAGGTGTTAGCCACCACTCCCAGCTCTTAAAAACAGATTCACTAATGACCACAAAGGTGTTCCTGTCCACTCAGGATCTTATGTTCAGTACTGGCTCAGCACAATCTGCAGCCCTAAACATCCATTTCATAACAAACACTGTTCAGGCCCCAAAGTATGTCTCATTTCTGCCCGGCGTGGTGGCTCATGCCTGTTATCCCAGCACTTTCGGAGGCTGAGGCAGGGAGATCACCTGAGGTTGGGAGTTCGAGACCAGCCTGACCAACATGGAGAAACCCTATCTTTACTAAAAATACAAAATTAACCGGGCATGGTGGCGCATGCCTGTAATCCCAGCTACTCGGGAGGCTGAGGCAGAAGAATTGCTTGAACCCGGGAAGCAGAGGTTGCAGTGAGTCGAGATCATGCCATTGCACTGCAGCCTGGGCAACAAGAGCAAAGCTCTGACTCAAAAAAAAAAAAAAAAAAACATATTCATCTCTTGTCCTAAAATCTCAAAACAAAAGGCAACTATGGCCAGGTGTGGTGGCTCACGCCTGTAATCCCAGCACTTTGGGAGGCCGAGGCAGGCAGATCAGTTGAGGTCAGGAGTTTGAGACCAGCCTGGCCAACATGGTGAAACCCCGTCTCTACTAAAAAATACAAAAATTAGCCGGGCATGGTGGTGCGCACCTGTAATCCCAGCTACTCGGGAAGCTGAGGCAGGAGAATGGCTTGAACCAGGGAGGTGGAGGTTGCGGTAAGCTAAGATCGTACCACTGCCATTCCAGCCTGTGCGGCAGAGCAAATAAATGAATGAATGAATGCAACTATTTTATGTCAAGAAGGTTTGTGGGTTGCAGCTGCTCCCAATGTTGGAGACACACATTGCTTCAGAGTATGCAAAGGACTTGAGTGTTGAAACACTTAAGTAAGAGGAAGCAGAAATTAATTCTTAAATTCCTCTTCTCAGGGAGGCTGAATGCAGTAGATTCTTGTATAACAAGTATCATTTCTCAGAAGTACTGAGAGTCCATTTTTCTGTTTCTCTTCATGTTCCAAATTGCGCCTCCAGACATACTCATGAGTTAGAGAGTAATCTGGGTCAGGCGTGTTAGTTCATGCCTATAATCCCAGAACTTTGGGAGACTGAGGCAGAAGGATCACTTGTGGCTGACCAGCCTGGGCAACATAATGAGACCCTGTCTCTACAAAAAAAAATTAAAACTTTGTTTAAATAAAAATAATAAAAATTTTTAAAAGAGACCAATATGGCTACTCACTGTAGCTGAGGAACATTTAGCCATTTAAACAATTTGTATCACTCTCTAATTTGTATATAAGATCGAGACACAAAATGTATGTTGCAATATCAGTCCTTTAGATGAGCAATTAGACTGACATTGAACACTAGAACTGGAAAGTTATTTAATAATAATATGCAATAAGATTTAAGTTTTCAAAATATTAAATATAAATTTTTCAGCTTTTATTTTTTATTTTTATGTTTTTTGAGACAGTATCTCACTCTGTCACCCAGGCTGGAGTGCATTGGCGCGATCGCACCTCACTGCACCCTCAACCTCCCCCGGCTCAGGTGATCCTCCCACCTCAGTGGAGTATCTGGGACTACAGGTGTGTACCTCTATGCTTGGCTAATTTTTGTATTTTTTGTAGAGATCGTATTTCATCACGTTGCCCAAGCTGATCTCGAACTCCTGGGCTCAAGTGATCTGTCCACCTCAGCCTCCCAAAGTGGTAGGATTATAGGCGTGAGCCACTGCGCCCACCCAATTTTCAGCTTTAAGCAATTTTTATTTAAAGCTTTGTAAAAATACAAAAATTAGCCAAGCGCGGTGGTGAGCACCTGTAGTCCCAGTCTCCTGAGTAGCTCGGATTACAGGCGCCTGCCACCCCACCCTGCTAATTTTTGTAGTTTTAGTACAGACAAGGTTTCACCATATTGGCCAGGCTAGTCTCGAACTCTTGACCTCAGGTGATCCACCCGCCTCGGCCTAAAAAAAAAATTAAAAATAAATTAGGAGGATCAGTAGTGCCGTTCCCAAATATCTCATAATTTCCACCATTTTAAAGAGACAACCCTCACATCTCCCAGGTTCAAAATATCCTAAAGTATCTTCAACCTGGGTTGAGTCAGGTGCCCCACCCCAGGACTAAACGCATGTGTCAGAGGGTTTGGGGTGGGGGTGAGTATTGAAGAACCATGTGGCTGGGCACAATGGCTCACACCTATAATCCCAGCACTTTGGAAGGTAGAGGCAGGAGAATTGCTTGAGCCCAGGAGTTTGAGACCAGCCTAGGCAAAATAGTGAGGTCCCATCTCCACAAAAAATAAAAAATTAGGCATGGTGGTACATGCCTGTAGTCCCGGCTACTAGGGAGAGTGAGGCAGGAGGATCGCTTGAACCCAGGAGGTCGATTTGCACTCCAGCCTGGGTGACAGAGTGAGACCCTGTCTGGGAAAAACAAAAACATGTGGAGGGAGGGGGGTACAGGCTGGTCATGGAAGACAGGCATGTTGACAGCAGAGGGTGCTACAGATAATCTCTTGACATCCCTAACTGACAAAGAGAAGGCTAATCCCTTTTATTACTCTAGATCCCATTCTTTTCTATTCTGCCACTGAATAAGCCCTTACTAAATATCAGAGGTTGCTCTAAGCATTTGTATCAGTCAAGATACGTTAGGTTATAAAAACGCCAAATTGCAGTTGCTTAATTCACAAAAGGGTCATTTCTTGCTGCTACACACCCATTGCTGGGTGGCTGGATCTCTGCATTGTCACCCTCACTCCTGTGCCAGGCAAATGAAGCAGCCGCTCCTGGGCATAATCGCCCATCACCATGGCAGAAAGAAAGAGGAGCCATATCCACTCTGATGGTAGTTTCTTTTGCTGTGCAGAAGCTCTTTAGTTTAATTAGATCCCATTTGTCAATTTTGGCTTTTGTTGCCATTGCTTTTGGTGTTTTAGACATGAAATCCTTGCCCATCCCTATGTCCTGAATGGTAATGCCTAGGTTTTCTTCTAGGGTTTTTATGGTTTCAGGTCTAACATTTAAGTCTTTAATCCATCTTGAATTAATTTTTGTGTAAGGTGTAAAGAAGGGATCCAGTTTCAGCTTTCTACACATGGCTAACCAGTTTTCCCAGCACCATGTATTAAATAGGGAATCCTTTCCCCATTTCTTGTTTTCATCAGGTTTGTCAAAGATCAGATGGTTGTAGATATGCGGCATTATTTCTGAGGGCTCTGTTCTGTTCCATTGGTCTGTATCTCTGTTTTGGTCCCAGTACCATGCTGTTTTGGTGACTGTAGCCTTGTAGTACAGTTTGAAGTCAGGCAGCATGATGCCTCCAGCTTTGTTCTTTTGGCTTAGGATTGACTTGGTAATGCAGGCTCTTTTTTGGTTCCATATGAACTTTAAAGTAGTTTTTTCCAATTCTGTGAAGAAAGTCATTGGTAGCTTGATGGGGATGGCATTGAATCTGTAAATTACCTTGGGCAGTATGGCCATTTTCACGATATTGATTCTTCCTACCCATGAGCATGGAATGTTCTTCCATTTGTTTGTATCCTCTTTTATTTCATTGAGGCAACCTACAGAATGGGAGAAAATTTTTGCAATCTACTCATCTGACAAAGGGCTAATATCCAGAATCTACAATGAACTCAAACAAATTTACAAGAAAAAAACAAACAACCCCATCGAAAAGTGGGCAAAGGATATGAACAGACACTTCTCAAAAGAAGACATTTATGCAGCCAAAAGATACACGAAAAAAATGCTCATCATCACTGGCCATCAGAGAAATGCAAATCAAAACCACAATGAGATACCATCTCACACCAGTTAGAATGGCCATCATTAAAAAGTCAGGAAACAACAGGTGCTGGAGAGGATGTGGAGAAATAGAAACACTTTTACACTGTTGGTGGGACTGTAAACTAGTTCAACCATTGTGGAAGTCAGTGTGGCGATTCCTCAGGGATCTAGAACTAGAAATACCATTTGACCCAGCCATCCCATTACTGGGTATATACCCAAAGGATTATAAATCATGCTGCTATAAATACACATACACACATATGTTTATTGTGGCACCACTCACAATAGCAAAGACTTGGAACCAAGCCAAATGTCCATCAATGATAGACTGGATTAAGAAAATGTGGCATATATACACCATGGAATTCTATGCAGCCATAAAAAAGGATGAGTTCATGTCCTTTGTAGGGACATGGATGAAGCTGGAAACCATCATTCTCAGTAAACTATCGCAAAGACAAAAAACCAAACACCGCATGTTCTCACTTGTAGGTGGGAACTGAACAATGAGAACACATGGACACAGGAAGGGGAACATCACACTCTGGGGAATGTTGTGGGGTGGGGGGAGGGGGGAGGGATAGCATTTGGAGATATACCTAATGTAAATGACGAGTTACTGGGTGCAGCACACCAACATGGCACATGTATACATATGTAACGAACCTGCACGTTGTGCACATGTACCCTAAAACTTAAAGTATAATAAAAAAAATTAATTAAAAAAAAAAAAAAGAAAGAGGAGCCATAGAGGTCTCCTGCCAGCCACTAAAGGCCCCCGCCTGAAGGAGGCACTTCTGCTCCCAGCTGACTGGCCAGTTAGTCACATGGACAAGGCACTCCCACCATGTGCCAACCGGGGAGAATCTGAATATTTGGTGAACAGCTCTAATGACCACTCCAGCAGGTTACAAACATTATGTATAATCTTCACAACCACTACAGGAAATGTTACTATCATCTCTCTACTAAAGACAAGGAAACTGACGCACAGAGGCACAGCAAGTGGCCCGAGATCACACAGCAAGCAACCAGTGAAGCCACTAGATTCCAAAGCCCATTCTCTTAACCCCATTTTGTTTTTTTGTTTTTTGTTTTTTTGAGAGATGGAGTCTTGCTCTGCTGCCCAGGCTGGAGTGCAGTGGTGCAACCTCAGCTCACAGGGCCAGACTGTCTCAAGGAAAAGAAAAAAAAAAGCCAGGTGGGGGATAGGTGTAGGGGCAGAACCTGGGTGTCCTGTCCATATCCCAGCCTATTCCAAGACTGATTTTTGGGTCCACGGAATTCTGTGAATGCAACACTGAGGCAGAGGCACCTAGATTGGATTATCCTTTTTTTTTTTTTTTTTTTAGACGGAGTTTCACTCGTCACCCAGGCTGGAGTGCAATGGCGCAATCTCAGCTCACTGCAACCTCTGCCTCCAGGCTTCAAGCGGTTCTCTTGCCTCAGCCTCCTGAGTAGCTGGGATTACAGGCACCTGCCACCACGCCCAGCAAATTTTTGTATTTTTAGTAAAGACGGGGTTTCACCATGTTGGCCAGGCTAGTCTCAAACTCCTGACCTCAGGTGATCCACCTGCCTCGGCCTCCCAAAGTGCTGGGGTTACAGGCGTGAGCCACCACACCCAGCCGGATTATGCTTTAAAAGGCATGCTTTCCCATAGCCATGAGGGTCAGGGATTATTTTTTTTACAGCATAGTGCCATGCCCGTGGAGAGTCGAGATGCTGGGGATACACAGGTGACTAACAGGGTTCTTGCTGTAGGGAGGCTTAGCCCTTTAGGGATTAACAGGTTCCAATAAGGGCACAGACTGTTTGTTTGTGCACCCTTGTGTCCCGTCTGCCTAACATTGTCTGGACACTATAGACATCTAATAAACACTGGGAAAGACCAGGAAAACGCAGGACGAAACACGCTAAGGGCCTGGAGAGGAGTAGGCTGAGGCTTAAAAACATTTAAATGCTCACGTGACCACTTCTTAGCCTCTTGGACAAATGGCTTTCCAATTCTGTGCCTCATCTTTTTCACCTGAACAACTGGAGCTGGGCCAGGCGCAGTGGCTCACGCCTGTAATTCCAGGACTTTGGGAGGCTGAGGCGGGCAGGTCACCTGAGGACGGGAGTTCAAGACCAGCCTGGCCAACACGGCGAAACCCTGTCTCTACTAAAATACAAAAAAAATTAGCCGGGCGTGGTGATGTGTGCTGGTAGTCCCAGCCACTCAGAAGGCTGGAGCATAAGAATCGCTTGAACTCATGCCACTGCACTCCAGCCTGGGCGACAAAACGGACTCCGTCTCAAAAAAACTGGAGCTGGTAATAGTACCCATGATGCAGGATTGCTCAGATTAAATAATATATGTAACACTCTTAGCTCCACGCCTGGCAAGCACTAACAACCATTATTAGTCTCATTAAGGCATCCACATTTTTAGGAGAAAGATGAAGTAAAACACATGTTCCTTTTGGAGGAAGATAAATGGAAGTGACATTTAACTTGGCTCTTGGGAACATCTTTGGAGAGAAAAAGGCATTCCAGGTGGGATGAACCGTGAGCGAAGGCTGAAGCGCAGCACGTATGGAGCCCTCTGAGGATTCGGGATTGCCAAGTATGTCTTTGGCAACAACGGATTAGACTGAAAAGCCAAGTGAGATTCAGAGTTTAGGTCTCCCAGAGCTTGCTTTCTCCCTGGCCAGGAGCTCAAAGTGAACTTCCTCGCCTGGGGTGAAGTCATACTCTCAGACGTTGGTCCAGACCTAGCTTCAAACTCTGCCTTGCCCAGAGACCTGTGTGCTCTTTCACCTGGCACTCCTGACCCTGAGGTGAGACAATGGCCTCTAAGTGCGGACACGTGGCAGGCACGAGTATAGATGTGTTGCTGAATGTAGGGGTCCTTGGCAGTGGTTCCCTGGTCTTTTGAATGACACATTTCTTTCAGCCTCTGGTCAGAGGCTCCACGGGGTCTCTCCATGAAAATGCACGGGTGTTAAGTTTTGCATGTCTTTTTGGACAGTGCATGATATCCCTGACACCTGCAGCTCCGAGGCTGAGCAGCGGATAGGTGCTGAGGTCCCTTTTACTATGAGCCAAAACCACCTAGGTAGGAATGGATGATCCAGATGCTATCACCCTCTCCCCACTCCGGGGTCTCTGCCTAGCAACAGCAGCAGTATGCTGGGAGGATGCTGGGATCACCCCACAGAAATACTTGTCTCTGAGCCAAGACATCCTGCCAGCACGAACCTAAATTGTCTTCAGACCCTCAAACCCTGGGGTCTAGTCCCACACCAAGCAGCCCTGGGTCATGTTATAAAGCCATTTACAGGATCTGAGGAACAAGGGGTAAGGTCATCCGCTTCCTTGCCAACATAAAAGAACACATGTTAAATCCATCAGCCACACCACTCCTTCTTCCCCTATCACGTTTCTCCCACTCCTGACCACTTCAAAGGACATAGGATCCCCACAAAATGGTGACAACAAATGGAGCCATTTTCATATCCTATTTTATTTTTGAAGTCAGTGTCCAGAAAGAAACCGACGATTCACTCAATCAACATGTAAGCGACTGAGGCATCCCTACACGCCAGGTTTGCAGGCTAGGGACCAGAGACACGATGGTTAAACAAGCCAGAGCCCTGTGATCCTAGGGCTTACAATGCTGGCATAAGAAAATCCTTCTGGACTCACTGTCCCCATGCTTGTGACTGTCATGTGCCAAGTGCGCTTTACACAATCTCATTTTTCCCTCAACTTGGGGATAGGTTTTGTATCATTCCCATTACAGATACGGATGTTGAGGTTACTGAGTGGAAGAGGAAACCTGAATTCTGCTGCTGGACCCCAAAACTCATGTTAATTACCCACAGCCTCCCAAACATCAGAGGCCCCAAACATGCCTCCCAACTCACTTCTCACAAATGGGGGCCGTTATCTGCCCCATCTCTAGGGCCGTTCTGTAACATTCTCAGCGACTTCCCACATCTTACAGAGGCAGGCCCTCCTTTCAGGAAGCTGATCCATGCCCCTTAATAAGGTAGCTTCTCTCCCCACTTGGCACACCACCTAGCTAGCCAAGGGCAAAGCAGAGACTAGGGGACAGGCCCCAGCACCGGGTCAGCACCCACTACCTCCTCAGTGATCAACAGTGCCCATTGCACTTCAATGGGCACCTGCAAGTGGCACCAGATTCTCTTGGAACAATTCTTAAGGCAGGGCGTGGTGGTCACACCTGTAATCCCAGCACTTTGGGAGACCAAGGCAGGCAGATCACTTGAGATCAGGAGTTCGAGACCAGCCTGGCCAACATGGTGAAACCCCACCTCTACTAAAAATACAAAAATCAGCCAGACATGGTGGCACACACCTGTAATCCCAGCTACTCAGGAGGCTGAGGCACGAGAACTACTTGAATCTGGGAAGCGGAGGTGCAGTGAGCCAAGATCATGCCACTGCACTCCAGCCTGTGTGACAGAGCGACTTTGTCTTAAAAAAAAAAAAAAAAAAATTCCTAGCAAGTATTTATTACAGCAGTCAGTGACAAAAGCCAGATCTAAAATCCTATCTACAGAATAATCCTAGCCAGGCAAAACAAATTCATCAAAAACTAATAGAAAATACTGAAATATAGGCCAGGTGTAATGGCTCGTGGCTGTAATCCCAGCACTTTGTTCTGCCAGGTGCAGTCAATAGGTGCCTTGTCTGTAGAGAATTTAAAAAACAGTAATACAATCAACTATTAAATGCAATTTGGTATCTAAATCAAATTTTGGATCCAGGAAAAAAGGACATTGGTGGAAAAACTGATGAAATTTGAGTAAAGTCTATAGTTAATAGTGTTATATTAATATTAATTTCTTTTGACAAATGTACCATGGTGATGTAAGATGCTAACATTAGGGGGAACTGGATGAAGGGTAACTATAGGAATTATCTGTGCTATTTTTGCAACTTCTGCAAATCTAAAATTATTCCAAAACAACGTGGTTATTTCTAAAAATATATGAATTTCATACACGAGTATTATGACATGAACAAAAAGCAATTAAAGGTCATCCATTTTTATTATTACTGGCAATTCTAAACAATATTGGTGATAGAACTCTCCCACTCCTCCAACCAGGGCAACTAACCACTCTGTACCTACTCTGAGGATGGCTTTTTTATTTAGTTATTAGTTTGGAACAATGTTAATGTTCTGTAAAGACAAATATAAAACAAAATTTGAAAACAAAAACAGAAAGAGCCACAATATTGGGCATGAATAACCCAAATCTGAGCACTGTCACCACGTGCTCCTCTCAAATTCAGGGTTTTAATTTTTTATTCTTTATTACAGACAGGATCTCCCTATGTTGCCCAGCCTGGCCTTGAACTCCTGAGTTCAAATGATCCTCCTGTCTCGGCCTCCCAAAGTGCTGAGATTACAGGCATGAACCACCAGGCCTGGCCTCAAGTTCAGGTTTGAGCAGCTCTCACCAAAATCCCACTGCAGTAAAATTCACAGTGGGCTTCAAATTCAGGTCCATCTGAGTCCAGATCCCAAAAGCTTTCTGACAGGTATTCTTGAGGGTGACAAAACAGAAATAAAAGATCAGAATGGGAACTTACAGTTCCTCTTCTGTCCTTTATAGAAGTGTCAACGGGGATGCAAAGATTTCATTATCAACGGGACTGGCACTGTGCCCTACTATCAGGCGTCTGCTCTCACAGGGAAATCAACTTGGCACAGCCTCAAGCATTGAACCTAACACTGAGAGGCAGCCAGGCAGAGCAGAACGAAAGCTGAAGACAGGCCCTTTCCATCCAAGTCAACAAATATTTCCTTTGAATACGTGTACCTCAGGGTTTTTCCCAAAAAGAAAAATCCCTCCTCACATAAACCCCCTAGAAAGAAGTCATTGCTGCCTCAAATGCATGTATTCAGCTGCAAGGCTTCTATTGCTACATGCTTTCAGATTATAGCCACCATTTCTAAGCCCTGCAGGTATTTGCCCATCTTGGATCCTTTGAAACAGCTCCTTCCCCTGCCCCATTTGCTTCCAGATACCTGCACGGCTCAGCCCCTCCATTTATTTGGGCGTTTGCTCAAAGCCACCTTTTCAGAGAGGCCTTCACTCACCACCCTATTGAAACGGGGTCACACCTCCCATCTCTCTCCATTCTCTATACCTACTTTATCTCCTTAATGCTCACTACCTCTTAACATTTATTCATGTGTTCACTTGTCTTCCCTCTCTGAAAGCTCCAATGAAAGCAGGGTCTGTTGCATCTCCAGAGCCTACTATTTTTTTTCGGTGTGAACCCTAGGTGCGGATGTGGGGGTGGCTCACGCCTGTAATCCCAGCACTTTGGGAGGCCGAGGTGGGCGGATCACGAAGTCAGGAGATCGAGACGATCTTGGCTAACACGGTGAAACCCCATCTCTACTAAAAAAATACAAAAAAATTAGCCGGGCATGGGGGCAGGAGCCCGTAGTCCCAGCTACTCGGGAGGCTGAGGCAGGAGAATGGTGTGAACCCGGGTGGCGGAGCATGCAGTGAGCCGAGATCCCGCCACTGCACACCAGCCTGGGTGACAGAGCGAGACTTCCTCTCAACAACAAATATACATATATATATATATATATATATACACACACACATACATTAGGTGCAAAGGCCCTGGGGTGTAAACGTCCATGCATGCTAAAGGGGAGAAGGAAGGCCAGTGTGGCCAGTGTGGCTAGAGATGAGCTAAGGGAGGAGAGGAGGGCAGGGCCTTTGTAGACTATAGCAAGTGGTTTTATAAGGGTCTTATTCTGAATACAACAGGTAGCTGCTGGATAGTCATAAGCTGTGGGGTCCGGGTGGTGGGGAGGTTGACATCCTCTGATTATATTTATTTTAAAGATCATTCTGGTTTCTATATGAAGAATAGACTGAATAAGGCAAGAGGTAAAGCAGGAGACCGATTATAAAGGCTACCAGAATAGCCCAAGGGAGATGGGATGGTGGCTTGGATTACGGGGGTAGTGCTGAAGAGAGGAGGCTTGTGGGTGTTTCTTGGTAATTTGTGGATAAACTAGATGAGGGGCATGAGAGAAAGAAAAATGTCAAGGATGACTCCAAGTTTAAGGAGCTGAGCAAGGGAGTGGATGATAGTGGCATTTACTGAGATGGGGGTTCTGCAGAAAATACACCTTGAAAGGGGAATAAAAAGTTAGTTATGTTTTGTCCCAGAATCACAGCAATAATAAATTAGTCTTAATGCATTAAGTTTTGGGGTGGTTTAATAGGCAGAAATCGATCACTGAAACATTCTAGTAAGTACTGTTTCCTTGATTTCAGGATGCTTTTGATGGAGTAATGAGCGTCAATTAAATGCACACATCAAATGAAAAACACATCACGATTTTAGAAACCTACTTAATATCTTCTTTAGAGAAATGTCTATTAAAGTCCTTAGCCCACTTTTTAATCAGATTGTTAGAGGTTTTTTTTTTTTTTTGCTATTGAGTTGTAGAAATTCCTTATATATTTTAGAAATTAACTCATTACATAGATGGTCTACAAATAATTTTTCCCATTTTGTGGGTTGTCTTTTAACTCGATTGTTTCATTTGCTGTGCAGACACTTTTTCGTTTTACATAGTTCTCATCATTTATTTTTGTTGTTGTTGTCTGTGCTTTTGGTGTCATATTCACGAAATCATTGGCAAGACCAACATCATGAAGTGTTTCCCCTATGTTTTCTTCTAGGAGTTTTACAGTTTCAGGTTTTACTTGTAAGTCTTTAGTCCTTTTTTAGTTGATTTTCATGTATGGTGTTAGATAAGGATCCTATTTCATTCTTTTGCATGTGGTTATCCAGTTTTCCCAGCATCACTTATTAAAGAGACAATCATTCCCCTATTACATATTCTTGGCACCATTGTTGAAGATCATTTGATCACATATGTGTAGATTTACTTCTGGACTTGCTATTGTATTCCTTTGGCCTATATGTCTGTCTTTATGCCAGTACCATATTTTATTTTATACCAGTTTTAATTACTGTGGCCTTGTAATATATTTTGAAATCAGGAAGTGTGATGCTTCCAACACTGTTCTTCTTTCTCAAGGTTGATTTGGCTATTTGTGGCCTTTTGTGGTTCTATACAAATTTTAGACTCATTTTTTCTATTTCTGTGAAAAATGCCTTTTGGATTTTAATAGGGATTGCATTGAATCTGCATATTGCTTTGCATAGTATGGACACTTGAACAATATGAAGTCTTCCAATCCATGAATTTGGAATGTCTTTCCATTTGTTTATACCTTCTTTCATTTCTTTTTTTTTTTTTTTTCTTTTGAGACAAAGGCTCGCTCTGTCACCAGGCTGGAATACAGTGGTGTGATCTTGGCTCACTGCAACCTCCGCCTCCCAGATTCAAGCGATTCCTCTGCCTCAGCCTCCCGAGTAGCTAGGACTACATGCACGCACCATGATGCCTGGCTAATTTTTTTTATTTTAGTACAGATGGGTTTTCACCATGTTAGCCAGAATGGTCTCAAACTCCTGACCTCATGATCCACCCACCTCAGCCTCCCAAAGTGCTGGGATTACAGGCATGAGCCACCATGCCGGGCCACCTTCTTTCGTTTCTTTCAAGGTTTTATAATTTTTAGTATACAAGTCTTTCACCTCCTTAGTTAAGCCAACAAGTTTATGAAAAAATGTCCAATACCACAAATAATCAGTATCACTAATTGCAAATCAAAACCACAATGAGAAATCACCTCACACCTGTCAGATTGGCTAGTGTCAAAAAGACAAAAGACAACAAATGTTGGTGAAGATGTAGAAAAATTGAAACCTTTGCACACTATTATTGGCAATGCAAAATGGTACAACCACTAAGAAAAACAGTACGGAGGTTTCTCAAAAAATTGAAAATAGAACTAGCATATGATCCAGCAATCCTACTTCTGGATTTATACCCATAAAAATTAAAATCAGAATGTGGAAGAAATATTAGCACTAACATGTTCATTGCAGCACTGTTCACAACAGCCAAAATGGGGAAAAAACCTAAATGACAGATTAATGGGTAAAGAAAATGTGGTATATACACGCAATGGAATATTATTCAGCCTTCAAAAAGAATAAAATTTGGGATGGGCACAGTGGCTCACGCCTGTAATCCCAGCACTTTGGGAGGCCAAGGCGGGTGGATCACCTGAGGTCAGGAGTTCAAGACCAGCCTGACCAACATGGAGAAATCCCATCTCTACTAAAAATACAAAATTAGCCAGGCATGGTGGCACATGCCTGTAATCCCAGCTACTCGGGAGGCTGAGGCAGGAGAATTGCTTGAACGCAGGAGGCGGAGGTTGCGGTGAGCAGAGATCGCACCGTTGCCCTACAGCCTGGGCAACAAGAGTGAAACTCCATCAGAACAAGAGGAAGAAGGAGAAGGAGGAGGAGGAGGAGGAGGAGAAGTGGGGGGGAAGGGAGGGAGGGGGGAGGTGGGAGGGGGAGGAGGAGCAGGAGGAGAAAATTCTGCAAGATGTGAGAACAAGAATTAAATCTTGAGGACTTTATGGTAAGTTAAATATCTGTCAAACAAAGACAAATATTTCTTATTTCCACTTACAGGGGTCATGTGAAATAGTCAAATGCGTAGAACAAAAGAGTGTAATGGTGGTTGCCAGGGCTGTGGGGAGGAGAAAATGAGGAGCTACTCATCAATGGGCGTGAAGTTTCCGTCAGGCAAGATGAATGCGTTCTAGAGCTCTGCTGCACATTATGTACCTAGAGTCAACAAGGTATTGTGCACTTAAAATTTGTTAAGAGGGTACGTCTCATGTTAAGTGTTATCACAATAATTTTTTGAAAAAAAATCTGTTTACTATATGCCTTGACATGAAGAATATAGGTACCAGATGACGTATCTATGCACTCCAAGCTCTGTGTCTCACATTTATTTCAATCACATGTAGATAACAGCAAGAATCTTTAGACAACTCAGATTGCATCTGGCTTATCACCTGGTTTGTCCCTAAATTTATCGTTTCTACAGAGTGAGCAGACATGTCCCTCTTTCTCTCTCTCTCCCTCTCAGGGCATATTTCAATAACGTTCTCTTTTTGATGAAGTCACACAAGACGCAGAAGCAGTCCTAAAACTCAATTTATGGAAGTCAGTTGAGACCAGACTTTGGATTGAACCTCCCAAACCTGCCTAATTAATGACACACATTATGGCCCCTGCTCCCCTAACTGAATGCAGCCTCCAAACCTTGACGTGTTTTCCCAACAATAAAATGCAGTAAATGAATGAGTGTCCTGAGGGACCGTGGCAGGAATAAAGGGAAAGCCATGAAAGATAGATGATGTCTCAACTAATTTTATGATTTATCGATCTCCACTTTGCTCATTTTGCAATGCGGGAGAGCTCATTTTTCTGCCAGGCCCACAGTGGTGTCACCCTTGCTAATAGATATGATTACCATCCCCAAAACTGTGTTTGTGAAAATAAGAAGTGTGGCTTCTCTGCTGCTGCTGACCTCAGCAGTTTTCTTTTATTATGTGCTGGATCCGCTAAGAAGCAAAATTGATGTACTTATCCGGGGACTCTGTTGGACGGGCACAAGCATTTTCCTCATTTTTCTTCCAAACAAGTTCATCTTTAAGCAAGTACAGATTCATGGTTTAAATTACGGCATTGACACATCATCTGTTTTCAGTGTGTGTATTCTTACAAGGAGGATCTTTTATGTGATCAGAGAGAGGAAGAGAGGGGATAGAGGTGTCACCCACGTGCCAAGTTGAGTTTAAAGATATACATGTTAGGACACAATACAGGCTGCTTTGGATGGTTCACCAACTGCATTCAGCAAATATTGATCGGGCACAGGTATTGTGCTAAGCATGCCGGGGGTATTCAGTCATTTAATAAATATTTATTGGCAGGCCAGGCACAGTGGCTCACACCTGTAATCCCAGCACTTTGGGAGGCCAAGGCTGGCAGATCACGTGGTCAGGAGATCAAGACCAACCTGGCTAACATGGGGAAACCCCATTTCTACTAAAAATACAAAAAGTAGCCAGGCATACAAAAATAAAAAAAGGTGCACGTGCCTATAGTCCCAGCTACTTGGGAGGCTGAAGCAGGAGAATCACTTGAACTCAGGAGGCAGAGGTTGCAGTGAGCCGAGATCGCGTCACTGGGCGACAGAGCAAGACTCCGTCTCAAAAATACATACATACATACACACATACATGCATATTTATTGGTGATTTCATATATATAGCTGGAATTATAGAGCAAAATAGGCAATGTCTCTTTTATCATAGAAACTATGTCCTGATTAGAAAAGATGGAAAGTTCAAAATAATAATTATGAAGTGCATAAAATAGGGTGTGTTAGTCAACTATGCCACAGCAGTGCTGGGTAGCATACAGCCAGTAACTCCACAACAGCAAGCATGTGTACCTCATTTATGCAACTATGGTTTGTCCTGGGTTTGGCTGATCTAGGCTGGGCTTGGCTCCAGGCCATATGTTTAGTTCATGTCTGTTCCTTGCATCTCTCACTCTTCTGGGACCAACAGGTTACCCAGGGCATGTTACCCTCATGGCCATGGAAGAACTAAAGTAGGTGAGCCCAACCACTCTATCACATTTCAAATCTCTGTTCACTTCTACCCACTAATATCCTGTTGGCCAAAACGAGTCATATGGCCAAGCCCAAAATCATGTGGTAGGGAAGTAAATACCATCCACAATTGGAGCGGGGAGGCCATCAACACTTGCTGGGCAATAATCCAAACTGTTATGCAGAATGATGTGATAAAAGGGATCAGAGAGAAGTGCTGTGAGGAATGGGGATGAGTTCACTGGGATGATGTCAGAGAGGCAGGCGAGGGCCAGATCTTGCTGAGCTACGGAAAGAAATGGCACATTTGATTTGTGATTTCAAATAATCCCTTTCACTGCTATGGGAAAACTGGATTGTAAGTGGCACGAGAGCAGATGCAGGGAGTCCCAGCAGGTCGGACACTGGTTCAGTGTTCTAGGTGGGTGGTGATAGAAGGTGTGCACTTGAATAGTGGCAGTGGAGATGAAGGCAAGCGCTAGACTGAGAAACAGAAGCAAATGGACAGGGTACCAAAGTGGATAACATGTGGTCCCTGACCTTAAAGAGCTAATAACCTACTTGATGAGAAAAAGATGTACAGACACAGCCATGGTTTGGAGAGATATGTTTTTAAAATAAGGCCATACACAAAAAAAAAAAAAAAATCCAAAAAAGAGCTGTGAACTTTGTCTGAGAGTATCTGGATAATTTCAGGGAGGAGGTGATATTTGAGGTGGACTTCCAATGTATCATCTCAAATAGCACCAAGCTGATAAGCAAGAACCATCTTAATCAGATTGACTGGGTGCCACAAAGCCACACCTATGATGGACACACAGGAAAGTCTAGCAGCCAAGCAGAGGGAGGATGACTTTCCACAAAGACAAGTATTTGTGCTGTAAGACTACATGCTTTGACCCATCTGCAAAATGGGTGCATCTGCAAGAAGGAGGCCACCAGGCAATAGGCTGGGGGCCAAGTAGGTACTTCTTGAGTAGTGTCACACACTATTCAAGGAGATCTGTGACTCAATATACCCAAGAGAACCTCCAATTTGCCACCATTCTGCCAAAGGGAGACCAGAGGTTTGAGGAAAGCAGTCTGGCAAAGATAAATCCTCAGAATTGAAAGACCTAAAAGCACAGACCCATCCGTGTCCCCAACTAACTCGGTGATTTCTTTGCTCTTCAGTTTCCACAAAAATAAAATATTATTTATATAACATATGCAGATATAGGCACCAAGATACAAGGCATGCCATAGACTCTCAAATATCTGTTGAACAGATAAAGGAACATTTAACACAACATTATTTATAAATGTAAAAGCTTTGAAACTACCCAAAGGCCTTTAGTAGGCCAATAATTAAATAAACAATGGTATATTCATATCTTGGACTATTATGTAGCTATGCAAAATTTTCTCATTAGAAAAATTCATGATTAATATGTGGGAAAAACGTGGAAAACATGGAAAGATGCAAGAATAAAATAAAACACATCCCCTAGAGATAACCTCTATTAATATTTTGTAGTCTCTGCTTCCATCCTGTGTGGTACTTTTGTAGTGCATAGGCATCGTGTACCCATGTGTTTTTAGCTAACATAATTGAAATTATATTAAACATATGAATTCAAATTCTGCTTTTTTCCCTTTAATATTGTTTTATGGTGTTTTGTTTGTTTTGAGATGGAGTCTTGCTCTGTCACCAGACTGGAGTGCAGTGGTGTGATCTCAGCTCACTGCAACCTTCACCTCCCGGGTTCAAGCAATTCCCCTGCCTCAGCCTCCCAAGTAGCTAGAATTACAGGCAAGTGCCACCATGCCCGGCTAATTTTTCATATTTTAGTAGAGACAGGGTTTCACCATGTTGGCCAAGATGGTCTCGATCTCCTGACCTCAGGTGATCCACCCGCCTCAGCCTCCCAAAGTGCTAGGATTACAGGCATGAGCCACCGTGCCTGGCCTACAGTGTTTTTCTATATAAATTTTTACAAAGAAGTTTAGCAATGTAAAAAAATTGCACTGATTTTATAAGAGTGGAAACATGGAATGCAAAATCATATATCTGGTATGAGTTTAAGCACGTAAGTATTTCATATAGACAGACGTGTGTTTTGTATACGTCTGTATGAATGACTGTAAGAAAATATACCCAAGGTTAATAATGATTGTCTTGGGGTTGTGGGATTATTATGGGCTATCGTTTCATCACTTATATTTTTCTGCATCTTCTTCATAACATACAATAAGCATGTATTACTACTGCAATAAGAAAAAAAGAGAAATGTTTTTTGAACAGGAGCAATGAATTTGAAAGAATCCAAGGACGAGTGTATTAACCAACTGTGATATCTATGACTGTGGTTTCACAAATTAGGGGCATACTTGCAGCGCCAGGCTCACCTCGACCTCCTAGAGTTATGCCTCCTCCTCAGGCCAGGCCTTAGAGGTCATGAGACAGGCTGAAGAAAGAGAGGTCCAGGCCAGCATCCATGGAATCTGTCCCATTAGCTCAGAGACAACAAAAAGGGGACAGATCCAGAGGGTGGGGGGACTGGCAATGCAGGACACAGGAAAAGCTAGACTGAAAGATCCCGGGCACTGGGAGATCAAAGGGCCAAAGCGAGCAGCAGCCAGCCCTCAGACCAAAGACTCCCCAGCACGCCCCACACAGCAGGAATTCAAGAAATTCCAAAGCCTAACTCTGAGGATGTGCTCAAACCCTCACATTATTGACCATGATGGCAAGAAAAGTCTTGAGTATCATTTTCGTTATAGAAGTTAGCGGAGAAGCAGGCAGTGGAAACCCACCATGGTGATCAGAAAGGGCCCTTTGTTTGCATGAGCTTAATTATTGACTTAGAAAACTTGAGCATCCTCCTTTGCCAGAGAAAGAAGCACCTTTTTTTTTTTTTTTTTTTTTTTTGAAATGGAGTCTCCCTCTATTGCCCAGGCTGGAGTACAGTGGCATGATCTCTGCTCACTGCAACCTCTGCCTCCGGGGTTCAAGCAATTCTCCTGCCTCAGCCTCACGAGTAGCTGAGAATGCAACCCTGCACCACCATGCTGGGCTGATATTTTTGTAATTTTAGTACAGACAGGATTTCACCATGTTGGCCAGGCTGGTCTCGAACTCCTGACCTCAAGTGATCTGCCTGCCTCGGCCTCCCAAAGTGCTGGGATTACAGGCATGAGCCACCAAGCCCGGGCAGAAAGACCAATTCTTTCAGCATGCCATTCAAGGCTTCCCTGGGTCTGTCTCCAACAACCAACCTACCTACCTACACACACACACACACACACACACACACACACACAGAGTTGTCCATACCTGCCAAGACTTTGTTCATCCTGTTTCCTCTGCCTGGAAGGCCTTTCTCTCATTTCCACGTATCTAAATTCTTTACAACTCCAAAGTCCTCTTCTTAAAAAGCCTTTGGAAAAAACTATTGAGTGAACAAAGCAAGGGTCTGCTCCAGTCCTGTCTGAGTGAATCAGACAGGTCTGCTCCAGTCCAGGCCCCTCTCCTTACTGGCTGTGTGACCTTGGACACGTTCAATCGTCCTTCTGATACCAATTTTCTAATTAGTAAAATTAGCTTCTAATTGAAGCTGCCTCCAAGGCTTTCTGTAAGAATTAAAGGAGAAAATTATTTCAGATATCTGTTAAAAAGTAGCCGAATTTATGGCAATAAATGGCAACAAATATAAATTTTATATCCTCTTTCCTAGTATCAGTTCCCCACTTCATTTTCTAGGTGGCATTTTGCCTACGGGTTCACCATCTTCTGTCCAAGTTTACTTTTATGCCTCCTGGAGTCAAAGGCAACTGCCGCCTCTGAGTTTAGACACAATTGGGTTGCATCTTAGCTCCGGTATCTTCTAGCTGTGTGTTTTTGAACAAATCATCACACCTCTCAGAGCCTCAGCTTCCCCATGTGAGAAATGGGTTTAATGTTTCATGTTGGGGAGTTGAGTGAGTCAATGTACATTAAGCTCTTGGAACGGGGCCTGGCACACAGCGCTAGAAGGGTTCGTTGTTACTGCCTCACAGGGTTATGGTAAAGATGGGGTGGGTTTCTGTTCGTCTGCAAAGCCCTTATCCAAAGTCCCAACACATAGCAAGCCCTCTGTAAATATCAGTCGTATAATCTGGAATTTAGTAAACAAGTCCAATGCCCCTCACTCCACCCCTGCAGCAATGTAATAGATGTCAGTCAATCCCTTTTTTGGGTCTTTTCAGAACAAAAAGCCCTGTTCTCTCCTCCAGTGGGGTCTCCCTGGGCTAACTGAACCATCCTCCTGGTCTTAAACAGGAGGATTCCTGGAGCCAAGTGGGATCCTTCTCCTGCACCACGAGGGCCCAGGGGCCAGGTAACATACTGTCTGGCTAATCTGGAGCCAAGCAGAAACTGGCACAGAGGACATCCACAGGCTTACTGCATTTCCTTCCCCTGTAAAAGAACCCTACGGTCCAGCCCAGCAAGCACCTCTCTTTGACCAGCTAATAAGGTTATAAAAAAACTTATGTATCTGACTTTAATAATGGTATTAAACCCAGTAATCTGACTTTAATAGTGGTATGCCAAGGCAAACATGGTCCTAGCAGGGACCAGGAGCGAGGGCAGGTGAGGGTACACATCTGAGGCTGAGCGACACCTCCTATATGAAGTTGATTCATGTTGGAGCAAATCCGGGCAGGGACCAGCTGATTCAGGCAGTTAAGTTATTGCTCTGCCAGTTTAATATTTCGCCATCTGCTAACTGAAGGCTCTACTGCCTGCTGGGTCCTATAAAGACTTTTATTTATTATACTACACATGGCAACATCTGCCACCAGGATGAGGCTCTACTCGGCGCCCTAATTAAACAAACACACACTTCAGTGACAGCAGAGGGCCCGGTCTCGCTGTGAGCCGAACTGTTGCTGGGAGTTAAAAACTTGGAGTGTCCCATCCTGAAGAGCCTTTGCTGAGAAAAGGTAGCATGAGTCATTCACCTCCTGGTGGCCACTAAAGATTTACAGGTGATTTAAAGCAGGCTGGAAAAAAAAAATTAAAAGGCTGGGTGTTTATCTCCTCTAACCTGCCTCTCACTCCCAAACAGAACTTGAGTTTCAGGGCTTGGTTTGGCCAACGGTCAGAATTCCTGCTTCACACTGTCACATGAGCCCCTGCCCTTCAATCTCCGTGCACACTCTCAGAAACAAGCCCTGCAGATGAAGAAAATGAATGTCAAAGTTTCCATTCAATTTTTCATTCATGCATGCATTAAAAAAATATGGAGTCATTCTACTATAAAGACACACGCCCATGTATGTTTATTGCGGCACTGGTCACAACAGTAAAGACTTGGAACCAACCCAAATGCCCATCAGTGATAGACTGGATAAAGAAATGTGACACATATACACTATGGAATACTATGCAGCTATAAAAATGGAGGAATTCATGTCCTTTGCAGGGACATGGATGAAGCTGGAAACCATCATTCTCAACAAACTAACACAAGCACAGAAGACCAAATACCACATGTTCTCACTCACAAGTGGGAACTGAACAATGAGAACACATGGACACAGGGAGGGGAACATCACACACCAGGGCCTGTTGGTGGGGTGGGGGGCTAGGGGAGGGAGAGCATTAGGAGAAATACTTAGTGTGGTTGATAGGTGCAGCAAACCACCATGGCACGTATATACCTACGTAACAAACCTGCACGTTCTGCACACGTACCCCAGAACTTAAAGTATAATTAATAAATGAATAAAGAAGGAGTATGTGCTACATAACCCGTACTCTAGCAGGTGAGCTGGTAAATAAGATAGACATTTGTGTCTTCATAAAAGCCCCATTTGACTAAGTCAAGAGGACACATAAATGGATAAGATAATTGCAGATCGTGCTGAGTGTTAGGCAGCAAATAAAGAGGGCGATATATATATATTAGATACTGGGCTGGCATACAGGTATATTAGTTTCTTATTGTTGCTGGAACAAGTTACCACAAATTTAGTGGCTTAAAACAATACAAACGTATTATCTTACAGTTCTGTACTTCAGAAGTCCAACATGGGCTAAAATTACTGAGCTGAAATCAAGGCACTGGGCAAAGATCAAGATGTCAGCAGGGCTGCTCCTTCTGGAAGCTCTAGAGAACATCCATTTTCTTGCTTTTTCCAGCTTCTAAAGGCTGCCTGCTTTCTTTGGCTTGTGGCCCCTTCCTCCATCTTCAAGGGCAGTAACATACCTGTTTCCGTCATCACACTCCTACCTTTGACTCTTCGATTCTGCCCCTCTCTTCCACTTTTAAAGATCTTTATGATTCCTTTGGGTCCAACCAGATATTCCAGGAATAGCTCCCTAAGGTCAGCTGATTAGTAAACTTAATTTCGCCTGCTGCCTTAATTGCCCTTTGCCATGTCACTTAACATACTCTTGGGTTCCAGGGATGAGGATGAATTTCAAAGTTCCCATTCAATTTTTCATTCATATATGCATTCAATAAATATTGAGTATGTGCTACATAATCCATACTGTAGCAGGTGAGCTGGTAAATAAGACAGATGTTTCTGTCTTCATAAAAACCACATCTTTGCGGGGTGTCATTATTCTGCTGAACACAGTGGACAAGAAACTACTTTAGATAGCGTGGTCCTCAGGAGGGCTTCTCTGAAATGTGATCATGAGAAAGGGTTGCAAGCAGAAGGAAAAGGAAGTATGAAGATCCAGAGGCAGGAGAGAATTTAGAATGGCTTTGGTACTGAAGGGAAACTAGTCATGGGCTTAGGAGTCAGAGAGTCATGGGCAAGGGAAAAGTGGCCCCAGATGAAGCTGAAGGGGTGAAAAAGGGAGGAATCAGATCACCTAGAGTCTTGTGTGCCTTGCAGAGGCAGCTTGGTGCAATGATCAAAAGCCCAGACATTGGAAGGGAACTTACTTTCACTTAACACCTAATTTTTACCAGACCCTGTGCCAGGACCTTTAAATAGATTATCTCATTTAGTTCCTGGAACAAGTACATGAAATATGCATTGCAATTCCCATTTTGCAGATGAGAAAGTAGTGACTTAAACAACTAAATTATAAAGACACACTGATGTGAACTCTGAAATATCTGGCTCAGAGCCCTTGCTTTCTCCACCACTCAAGGCTCCCGTCCAAATGATTTTGCCTTCCGTGCATGTGTGATTATGCAGCCAGGATCCTCTATCTTCTTTTTTCTCATTTAACTTGATAGACAGACTGCAGAACCTCAAAATCACCTGCAGTGGAGTGTCCCACTGAATTTGTGTTTTGCTTACCGCTTTATCAAGAGGTACATGAAATTCCTCTTGCCTGCTCTAAAGAGGTTGGATCATCAGTGAGACTGAACCTATAAGCTCTCCAGTCCCACTAGGGAGGATGCATGTTATTTAGGACACTGGCTGAGTTGCTGGTACAAGAGATCCAAAAACACAGTGACTCAGGCCAAGTAGGAATCTACTTCTCTTTCACAGATTGGTCCAGAGGTACATAGTCTAGGGCTGCCATAGTTTCTTTGCCCCTTGCAATCAGTCATCTAGGGATCTGGTTCCTTGCATTTTAATGTTCTTCTTTCCTCTGAAGTATTGTCCTCATCCACATGGTTGAAGTAGACTTGCCAGAACTCCGTCAAATTCCAACGTGTAGAAAGAGGAAATAGAGAATGAAAGGCAAGTATTTTCCTTTCCAGTGCTGTGACTTGAAGCTGCACGCATCCGTTCTGCTCACACCCTGGAGGCAGTAATTTAGTTGCGTGTCCACACACAGTTGCAAGAGAAGCTAAGAAAGGTAGTCTCTACCCAGATGGTCACATACAGAGTGAAAGCTTGAGAAGTTCTACTGCTAACAAAATGAAGGAGAAAATAAATACTGGAGAAAAATTAGCACTCTGCCACAAAGGATGACTGCCCTTTTGGTTTATCTAAAGTCCAGGCATTCTTTGCCTGCTGGATATGGTTTGTAGAATTTTTAGAACGAATAAATCTCTATTGTTCAGAAAAGAGAACCAAATTAATTTCTTTTCTCTCTCAGGGGCTGAAAGTAAAAATGGCCTGATCCTGGGTAGGTCTCATTCACCTGCTGTCATTGGAAAAGGCATTGGAGTTGTGGGGACCGTGGTGAGTGGATAAACAAACCTCATCCAGAACAGGACCTCTAAGAGGGGTTACCGTGAGAGTTACCAGCCCGCACTACATTGTAGCCCAGCAGCACTGGCTCCGTGTTCAACAGTGCCATCTTCTCTCAGTAGGAAACCCAAACAGGCTGACAAATACCAGCGCTTTTCCCTAATTGGGAGTACAAGTTGTGAGGACTCCTAATTATACAAGAACCCTGGAACTGGAGCAGAAAGTCTCAATAAGGTAATTCAGGACTTCTGGCCAACCTGGAAGCTGGTAACTCAAGTACTCTTGATTAAATTTGGGGAAAAATAATTTAAATTCATGATAGTACTTGCTCTTGAGGTATTAGTAGAAATGCTATTTCTGTCAATAAACAAAAGAGTTTTTTTAAAAATAAAAAAAATCCCCTGAATATATCCTCAAACGTGATGCCAAAGCAAAGATTGATAAAATGCCAAAGATCTGGCTTAAAAAGACGCAAAGAATTCATGGAAGAGCCAATGTGACCCACTAAAACCACTCTAAGTGCAATTTTTGAATAAAATCCCACTTAAATGATTGTTTACCTGAGGTCAACGGAGGACCAGGGCAGTCCCAATGAGTAAGGGACTTAACATGGGCCACGGGGGTACATATTGATGACAGGAATCGCCTGACAATCACTAAGCTGATGGCCTGTTCTCCATATGTTCCTCATCTCTCCACCTAAATTTAATGTATCCAACTTTTTGGAATCCTTCCTCTTAGTCTTGCATTCTGTATGTATATGAGGAAGGTAAGGAACTAGGGGTTGCCTAGGAGGGATGGAGAAGGATAAATGCAAAAATAACACTGAAGCGATGGCCTTGCAGCCAGATGACATTTTAGGTAGATCCGCACAAATGCCTACAAATGAAACTCCAGGGCCTCAAATGCTTCATCTGTGAAATGGGATGATTACTTGAATCACCGATATAAATTATGTGTTCTAGGAACAAACGGTGGCTCACGCCTGTAATCCCAGCACTTTGGGAGGCCAAGGCAGACGGATCACCTGAGGTCAGGGGTTTGAGACCAGCCTGGCCAACATAGTGAAACCCCATCTCTACTGAAAATACAAAAAAAGTTAGCCAGGTGTGGTGGCAGGCACCTGTAATCCCAGCTACTTGGGAGGGAGGTTGAGGCAGGAGAATCACTTGAACCTGGGAGGCGGAGGTTGCAGTGACGTGAGATCACACCAATGCACTCCAGCCTGGGTGACAGAGTGAGACTCTGTCTCAAAAAACAAACAAATAAACAGGAGCAAAAGCCTAAGCTCAGCTTTGTGGCTCAAGAATAGTGTCCCTGAGGAGGCAGCATTTGAGGACGGTGTAGAAGGAGGGGAGGGATTTTGATGGGCAGAGATGGTGTAGAAGTGTAGGAGAATTGTGAGAAGCAGATTGTGTGGAAGGCCTCCCCCAGCTTTTATCTCCTCAACAGTGAAGTGGTTTACAAGATTATTTTGCAAGTTAGAAATAATGTTTGTGGAACACACCGGACAGTGTGTGACATTAAAAAAATACATCAAGTGATTATGATTAAATTAACAACTAGTCACTGACTGTGACAAGGTTGGGGAATCTGAGACTCCCATGTAAGGCTAGTTATTTTGAAGGAAGACAATGCTGGTGGTGTCCCAGGCTCCTAATGGAGGCAAATGAAAATTCTCCCTGTGTGAAAGCATTTTCTACTTGGGTCATAAGAATTTCCATAGATTAAGATCAAGCCTCTGTGAGCTTATAATCAAAAGCCACCAAACTCATTAGGAAATAAGCCACCATGAGTGAGAATCAGCAGAATTAATAAACAACAAATTTTTACTCCCACAAACTTCAGATATTGGAACCATTGAAATAATCAGATACATAATATAAAATAATTCTGATTAAAATATTTAAACAAATAAAAGATGGAATTAGAAAAATGGGAAAATAATCAACGTTTATAAAAAAATTATGAGGTATAGTTGAAAAATGGTCAAATAAAAATTTTGGAAATCAAATATATAACTGTCGAAGTAAAAAACTCAATTCAATTAGCTGGGCCTGGTGACGCAGGTCTATAATCCCAGCTACTGAGGAGGCTGAGGCACAAGAATCGCTTGAACCCAGGAGGTGGAGGTTGCAGTGAGCCAGGATCGTGCCACTGCACTCTAGCTTGGGTGACAGAGTGAGAATCTGTCTCAAAAATATATATATAACAAAAAAGAAAAATAAAATAAAAACTCAATTCAGATTAAAAATAGCAGGAAAGAGAATTAGAAATTGAAGATATGTCTAAAGAAATTATCTAGGGTGCAACAACACAAATAGATTAGGTGATTAAAACTATTAAAGAGAAGTTAGGAGATACAGAGGACAGAAAGAAACAGACTAATGTATGTCTAATATATTAGACATAATATTAGGAGAGAATAGAGAGACTGGATAAGAGGCAATATTAAAAGTGATAATAGATAGAAATTTTGCAAAGGCTGGGCAGGGTGGCTCATGCCTGTAATCCCAGCACTTTGGGAGGCAGAAGTGGGTAGATCACCTGAGGTCAGAAGTTTGAGACCAGCCTGGCCAACATGGTGAAACCCTGTCTCTACTAAAAATACAAAAATTAGCCGGCCACGGTGGCACATGCCTGTAGTCCCAGCTACTCAGGAGGCTGAGGCAGGAGAATCGCTTGAACCCAGGAGGCGGAGGTTGCAGTGAGCCAAGACTGCGTCATTGCACTCCAGCCTGGATGACAGAGTAAGACTCTGTCCGAGAGAGAAAGGAGAGGAGGGGAGGGGAAGGGAGGGGAGGGGGAAAGAAATGTTGTAAAAATGGTAAAATACAGTCACGTACCACATAACATTTTGGTCAACAGACTGCATACATCAGTGGCTCCACAAAATTGTAATACTGTATTTTTACTGGACCTTTTCTATGTTTAGATATGTTTAGGCAGACAAAGGTTTACCATTGTGTTCCAACTGCCTATAGTATTCAGTAGAGTAACATGCTGTACAGTCATGTAGCCTAGGAGCCATAGGCTATACCATATAGCCTAGGTGTGTAGGAGGCTACACTATCTAGGTTTGTATAAGGACACTATGATATGCACACAATGATGAAATCACCTAATGACTCATTTCTCAGAACATATCCCGATTGTTAAGTGAGGCATGATGAGATAGATAGATAGATAGATAGATAGATAGATAGATAGATAATCATATACACAAACACACACATAAAATCTTCAGGTCCAAGCACAGCATATATAAGCAAGATGAATGCAAAGAAATTCATAGCTAGACATATTGCAGTGAAACCACAGAACATCAAAGACAGAGAAGACTTAAAAGCTCACAGGGGAAAGGGGCAGATAACCTTCAAAAACACTACATTTAGATCATCACCTGAGTTTTCAGGCAAAGCAACAGAAGCCAAAAGACTCTGGAATAACATCTCCAAAATTCTAAAAGAAAACAACCATCATTCTAGAATTGCGCTTCAGGCAAATGTGTCTTTTAAGAATGAGTGTGAAATGATGACACTTCCATATAAACAAAAACTGAGAGATTTTTACCACCGATAAATTCCCACTAAAAGAATACTAAAAAAAAAAAAAAAAAAATAGCCCAGAAAAAAAAATTTCGAGTGTAAGAAGAATAGTTAGCAAGTAAGCTTACAAACTAGGAGATAAATCTAAAACATTATCTATATAAAATATTAATAGTAACAATCTGATTTGTGAGAATTTAAGATGAGATTGAAACTACTGACAACATTGACATTTAAGTAATGGGGAAGTCATTGACATTAAAGTATCATAAAGTCCTTACAGTATTTGGAAGGGGAAGTTAAGATATTTATGGGCTTTCAATTTTCCTTGATACACACAATAAAATTTCAAGGGAGAGATGATAGAAAAGAGGTTTTAAATTTTTGGAATTTTAGAATTTTTAGAATCTTAATATTTGAATTTGGAATTTTAAAATTCCAACAAGTAAAGGGAAAAGCAGAGTTTGAAAACAAAACAAAAACAAACAAAAAACCTCAATTTAAAGAAAAGAAAGAAAAGAAGCATGAAGAAAAATGGAATAAATCTTAGAAACCATATAGTGTGAACAAAGCAAGTCTTAAAATATTATTTAAGGCCAGGCACAGTGACTCGCACCTATAATCCCAGCACTTTGGGTGGCCAAGGCAGGCAGATCACAAGGTCAGGAGTTCGAGACCAGCCTGACCAACATGGTGAAACCTCGTCTCTACTAAAAATACAAAAATCAGCCAGGCATGGTGGCACATGCCTATAATCCCAGCTACTCAGGAGGCTGAGGCAGGAGAATCACTTGGACCTGGGAGGTGGAGGTTGCGGTGAGCCAAGATCGTGCCACTGCACTCCAGCCTGGGCAACAGAACAAGACTCTGTCTCAAAAAAAAAAAAAAATTATTTAAGGTATGAGACCATCTTTATAAAGCTCAAAAGCAAGCAAAACTGATAAAGCTTTGTGGTAAAGCTAACAAAGCAAAGAAAGGGGATGATAAACACAAAACAGGATTGTAGATTTCCACATGGGGATAGGATGGGGGATGCAAGAGGCACTTTCCACCCAGATGGATCCAGTAGAACTGGTCATTTTAGTCAATCAGTTAGGCACTTAATGTAGTTTGGATATTTGATCCTCCAAACATCGTGTTGAAATCTCTCCCCATGTTGGAGGTGGGACCTATTGGGAGGTGTTTGGGGCATGGGAGTTGATTGCTCATGAATGACTTGTTGCCATTCTCAAAGAAGTGAGTTCTCATTTTGGGCTGGGTGCAGTGGATCATGCCTGTAATCCCAGCACTTTGGCAGGCAGAGGCGGGAGGATCACATGAGACCAGGAGTTCCAGACCAGCCTGGCCAACATGAAGAACCTCTGCCTCCACTAAAAATACAAAAATTAGCAGGGCGTGGTGGTAGGCGCCTATAGTCCCAGCTACTCAGGAGACTGAGGCACAAGAATCACTTGAACCTGGGAGGTGGAGGCTGCAGTGAGCCAAGATCATGCCACTGCCCTCCAGCCTGGGCAACAAAGGGATATCCTGTCTCAAAAAAAAAAAAGTTCTCATTCTTAGTCCCAGGAGAACTAGTTGCTGAAAAGAGCCTGGCATCTCCTCCTCTCTCTCTCGCTTCCTCTCTCACCACGTCATCTGTGCACAGTCCCTCCACTTCCCCTTCTGCCCTAAGTGGAAACAGCTTGAGGCCCCACCAGAAGCAGATGCAGTGTCAGGCTTCTTGTACAGACTGCAGAACCATACACCAAATAAACTGCTTTTTAAAATAAAGTGCCCAGTCTCAAGTATTCCTTTATAGCAACACAAATGGACTAAGACAGCAATGATTTTATGGGTCTTCATTTTGTTGATATGTTTGATAACTTACATGTTATATATATATATTATTTCTGTGTTTCAAATATTGCATTAAAAAATTTAAAAATAGGCCAGGCATGGTGGCTCACGCCTGTAATCCCAGTACTTTGGGAGGCCAAGGCAGGTAGATGGCATGAGGTCAGGAGTTCAAGACCAGGCTGGCCAACATGGCGAAACTCCGTCTTTACTAAAAATACAAAAAAAAAAAAAAAAAATTAGCCAGGTGTGATGGCCGGTGCCCGTAATCCCAGCTCCTCAGGAGGCTGAGGCAGGAGAATGGCCTGAACCCAGGCAGCAGAGGTTGCAGTGAGCCGAGATCATGCCAGGGCACTCCAGCCTGGGCAACAGAGTGAGACTCTGCCTCAGAAAAAAATTAAAAATAAAATTAAATGCAGAAAACAATAGGAGGGTAAGTTTCCTGAGCAAAACCAGAGCTTTTCTGTATCCCATCTACTGTACACACAGTGGGCCCTCAACAAATATCTGCTTACATTACAGCCAGGGAATTTGTTTACTTTAGTGCATTACAAAAGAATGAGAAAAGCCGAGTCTTCTCAAAAGCAAACGTCAATGCGGCAGACAGAGGACTAAATTACATGATAACACAGCATATAATATAGTATAATGGGCATGATACAGGTAATAATAACAGAAAAACAAATCTGTTTTTCAGCCATGAATTACACTGTGTCTGTGGCTTTGGGCAAGAAGCATGCCTGTAGTTACCCTGGGCTGCAAGTTGTTAAATCATGATGGATGATCCCATAAGGAACCAAACAAGATCAGTGGAATTCATTCATTTGCCGGGTGCCCTGGGAATTCTTTCATTTCCCCCCAGACCTGACTGCCTCCTCCTATTACTGGGGCAGCAGTTGGGCTATACCACACAGACTAGCCATGAAGCGGGAGAGAGGCCCAGAAACACAAAGCCAGCATTCCAGGTCTAGCCACAAAGATTATAAAATAAGCAGCTCTCTACATCCAATCCAAAGCAACAAGAAGGTGGTTGGGAGGAGGCTGGAAGGACACACTCAAGAATTAAAACTTAGATCTGCAACTGCTGGTTTTGTGTCCGAGAGTGGATTATTTTGCCTGCATACAGCTCAGTTTTTGCATTAGGAAAATGGGAATCATAATGTCTAATTCAAGGATTATTTGAAGACATCTGCTTGCACCAGATCTAGCACATAGTGGGTGCTCTGCAAATGTCTCCTTTCCTCAGTAAGTTTCCACACATCTTCACCTCTGACCTTCAACTTTTAAATAAAGAAGAGATTGCAATGCTGCGTGACAGAGGAGAAAAATGCTATCTAAAACTACTACTGACTGCAGCTGCTTCTGTCCCTAAGGGAGAGACATTATTTCTCTCCAGACTAAATATATTTTCTTTAGCAAAACACTTTGATAGGCAGCTTTGGTTATGAAATGTGAGGCCCCCCAGGGCACAGTTTAGAAGAAGACAGTGAAACAAAGAAGTAGTGAAATAGCTCTGCATTGTAAAAATGAACAGAGATGCCAGGGTTTGGCGGTATGCTAGGAAGCGCAGTGATAAGAGAAAGCACATTGCAACAGCAATCCCTGTTGCTGTTCTTCACCTGACAGCCCGTCCTCTCCTCTTCCACTGCTTTATAGCTGTCATTAGAAATTAATCTGGCCGAGCACTGTGGCTCTCACCTGTAGTCCCAGCACTTTGGGAGGCCAAGGCGGGCAGATGACAAGGTCAAGAGATCAAGACCATCCTGGCCAACATGATGAAACCTTGTCTCTACTAAAAATAGAAAAATTAGCTGGGTGTAGTGGTGTGTGCACCTGTAGTCCCAGCTACTCAGGAGGCTGAGGCAGGAGAATCGCTTGAACCCAAGAGGCAGAGGTCACAGTGAGCCGAGATTGCGCTACTGCACTCCAGTCTAGCGACCGAGCGAGACTCCGTCTCAAAAAAAAAAACAAAAGAAATAAATTATCGGCCGGGCGCGGTGGCTCACGCCTGTAATCCCAGCACTTTGGGAGGCCGAGGCGGGTGGATCATGAGGTCAGGAGATCGAGACCATCCTGGCTAACAAGGTGAAACCCCGTCTCTACTAAAAATACAAAAAATTAGCCGGGCGCGGTGGCGGGCGCCTGTAGTCCCAGCTACTCGGGAGGCTGAGGCAGGAGAATGGCGTGAACCCGGGAAGCGGAGCTTGCAGTGAGCCGAGATTGCCCACTGCAGTCCGCAGTCCGGCCTGGGCGACAGAGCGAGACTCCGTCTCAAAAAAAAAAAAAGAAAGAAATTATCTTCAATCTGAGGAAACCAATTTAGAAAAAGAAAAATAAACAAAATAAAGAAATTATCAGCATCTTACTTACTATATAGTCTACTTATTTACTGTATGTCTCTTCCCTCAAGAAAGTAAGTTTCCTAAGGGCAGCATTTATGTGTATTTTATTCATTGTTGTTTCTCCAGAGCCCAGAAGAGTGCTTGGAAAATAAGAGGTATTCATTATGTTTTTCTTCAATAAATGACTAAGAGGGGAGTTTTAAAGCAAAACTTCTACTGCCAAACTGCAGCTCAATGAGAATACAAAACTATTGTTTTAAGTGTGAGTTTAGGGGGTGTTTGTTATATGGCATTATTGTAGCAACAGCTGACTAATACAGATAGCAATATTGGTTGCATTCAGATATGATTTAAATCACATCAAAGTTGGAAGACTGAGGTTTGGGGCTCAGATTCTCCTGAATTTAATCCTGTCCCATTATATCAGAGCCTCTCTTTTCTCCTCTGTAGGGAATAAACCCTCCTTCTGGAGTGATGAAATGATAACCTTCTTCACAGGTCACTGTGAGAATTAAAACACCACTTTTTTCATAAAAAGCACTCAATAAATATCAGTCATTACCATCTATCTACTCAAACAATTCTGATGTTTAATGGGTTCACTTATTCTCCAGGTAAAGTCAGTCCTGCTAAAAAATGAACATAAGATTTTGATCCTGTACAGTGCTTGAAGTTAAAGGTATGTAATATGAAATAATATTTTTTGAATAAGTTAGCAAAGTCAAATTAATTATAACACTTAAAGCTTATGAAGCAAAATGGTTATTTGCACTCATTAAAAATAGGTATAACTTCCTTGTTTTTTTGAGATGTAATATGACCATATTTTATTAAGAACCATAAAAAATCTTTAGATATTTTGATCAATGTCTACCTTCTAGAATTTATGTTAAGGAAATTATTGTAAATTTTTAAAAAAATATTTGGTGAATGCACATCTTTGTTGAAGCATATTTGGTTGCATACTACTTTGAATTCAGAAATAGAAAGTCAACAGAAAATGCCATTCTCATGCAAATAATCAAAACAAATTAGATGAGCTACAAAGCTATTTGGAAAAAAGAAAACCTTCAGTGAACTAAGGACACAGAAAAATCCAAATGAACTAAATTCCACAAAGTGAAGATCATTTTAGAGGAGAGGAGAGATTTACTACAGGTCTTATCAAAAGCATGCTCTTTTGGATGTAAATATTTTTTACTTTAGTCTCTACTGTTCTTTTATACAGAATTTTCAGTATACAATCAAACATTAGAAGACGTATTAATATTTTTTTAAAGAACAACAAAAAAGTGGCCTATAGTTAAGAGTAGAAACAATCAAGAAAAACAGATCCACAGATGACTCAGATGTTGGAATTATTAGACAGGGAATTTAAAATAACTATAATAAAAATGCCAAAAGCCTAACGAAAAATATAGATAACATGCATGAAGAAATGGAAAATTTCCTAAAGACATGTTCACCAGGAAATGTTAGAAGAAAATCAAATGGGATAAGTAGCAATGAAAAATACAATATTAGAAATCAATAACATCAGATGTGCTTAACAGCACACTGGAAAAAAAACAGATGAAAGCATCAGGGACAAAAGGCAGATCAATAGAAAGTATCCAAACTGAAACACAAAAGGCAAAAATAGTGGAAAAAATACAACAGAATATTCAAGATCTGTTGGACAGTATAAATGAATCTAACATGATATCAAGTGATGTAATAGAAGTTCCAGAAAGAGAAGAGAAAAACTGGATAGATAATATATTTGATATAATAATAACCATCTGAGAACATTCCAAAATGGATGAAAGACATAAACCTGTAGAGCCAAGAAGCTCAGTGAACCCTAAGCAAGATAAATATAAAGAAAACCTTACCTAGCTATTTAACAACCAAAAATCACATAAAACAATAAACAGCAAATCTAAAAAGCAATAGGAATAAAATGACACATTAAATACATTAGAAAAAAATTTATGATGGCTAACTTTTCATCAGAATCTAGAATAAAGCCAGAAAACAATTAAATGACATCATTGAGTATGACAAGAAAAAAGAAATGGAAGCAGAGAATTCTATGTCTAGCAAAAAATATCCTTCAAAATGAAGATGAAATAAAGATATCCTTAGAGAGACAAAATCTGAGATACTTGCTGATACTTCAGGCTGAGGGAAATTATATCAGATGGAACCCCAGATGTGCAGAAAGGAATTAAAAACACCAGAAAAGGTAAATATTTGTATAAATGGAAAAGACCTTTTTTGACTTTTATTTTTACATTTATAATTTCTCAAATATTTAAGTGACTATTTACAGTGTAGACTGGAAATAATAACAACGTATGATAGGATTAATACCATATGTGTCACTGTAACACAGAATATAACAAGAGCACAAAAGGCAGGATTGGACATAAGTGGAATTATACTGCAGCATGATTTTTATACTGTGAATTAGGTTAAACATTGTTTGAAGGTATACTGTGAACATTTACATGTAGTTTCTATAGTAACCACTAAATTTTTTAAAAAGGAAATATAATCTAACTATCCACAGAGGATATAAAAGTAATATTAAGAATACTTAATTTTCCCCTGAAAAGACAAAAATGAACAAAGGAATAAAGAATA
The DNA here is from genome assembly GCF_000001405.40 of Homo sapiens. Taxonomy (NCBI): domain Eukaryota; kingdom Metazoa; phylum Chordata; class Mammalia; order Primates; family Hominidae; genus Homo; species Homo sapiens. Next base: position 2,206,921 of record NT_187607.1, on the reverse strand, counting down.
AATACCATAAATATAAAACAAATACCAAGATGGGAGACATAAGTCGAATCATATCAATAATTACCTTAAATGTAAATGGACTAACTCCTCTAAGAAAAAGTCAGAGCTTAGTAAATTGGATATGAAAGGCAACACCCAACTATAGGTTGTTTTTGAGAAACACAATTTTATTATAAAGATACAGGCCAATAGAAAGTAAAAGGAAAGAAAAAGATACAGTATGAAAACACCAAAAATAAGAAATCTGGTATGACTATGTTAATATCAGACAATGTAGCATTTAAACAAAGAGTATGACTGGATATTAAGAAGAATACCTCAAAATAATAAAAAAAGGATAATTGAGAAGAAAACAATCATGAATATAGATGTACCTAACAACACATTTCCAAAACTCACAAAGGAAAAACTGACAGAACTGAAAGGAGAAATAAAAAAAAATTCACAATCATAGTTGGAGAATGTAAACCCTCTTGGTGCAGGTTGAACATCCCTTATCCAGAATGCTTGAGACCAGAAGGATTTTGGATTTTTCCAGATTTTGGAATATTTGCATTATACTTACTGGTTGAGCATTCCTAATATGAAGCTCCAAATCCAATGAGCATTTACTCTGAGCACTCAAAAAGTTTTAGATTTTGGAGCATTCCAGATTTCAGATTTTCAAATTAGGGATGCTCAACTTATAACTGATAGAACAAGCAGATCAAAGATTCAGTAAACACTATTTGAACAACTCTGTAAACCAAACTGACATAATATTTTAAACTACTACATCCAACAGCTGCAGAAAACTCATTCTTTTAAAGTTGTCATGGAACATTCAGTAAAATAGACCATATTCTGGATCATATAAAAGTATTAATGAATATCAAAGAATGAAATCATACAGAGTAACACGATAGAATAAAATCATTCACAATAAGATATCTAGCAAATCCCCTATGTATTGGGCAATAAAACAACCCTCTCCTAAATAACCCATAGATCAAAAAAGAAATCATAAAGGAAACTGTAAAATATTTTGAACTGAATAATATGAAAATATATCAAAATTTGTGAAATAAAGCTAACGCAGTGCTTAGAAGAAAATTTATGACTTTAAATACTTACACTGGAGAAGAAAGGTATATACAACCTTCCATCTTAAGAAGCTAGAAAAAGAAGAATAAGGTAAATCTAAAGCAAGTAAAAGAAAGGAAATACTAATAGTAAAGTGGCAATACAAAGTCTTAACAACAATGGACAAAAAAAAGAGGGAAAGCACAAATTGCCCACATAAATAAAAATGAAACAGCACTACATATTCTAAAAATGTTAAAAAGGATAAATATTAAAACATTCTAACAATTCAACAACTTATATTAATTAATCCAAATCACAAATTACTAACAACTGAAGACACAGAAAATAAATAACCCCATGGCTATTAAAGAAATTAAATTTGTAAAACCTTTCTAAAAAGAAAATTTTCCACATATATGGTTCATTAGTAAATTCTACAAAACATGTAAGGGAGAAATATCAATAATGCACAAATTCGGAACATAGAGGAAGAGGTATCACTTCCCAATTTAATATAGAAGGCCAGCATCACCCTGACCCCAAAATATAACAAAGCTATTACAAGTAAAAAAAATAACAGCCTAATCCCTCACGAACATAGGCACAAAAATTCTTTTTTTTTTTTGACACGGAATTTCACTCTTGTTGCCCAGGCAGGAGCACAGTGGCACAATCTCGACTCACTGTAACCTCCCCCTTCCGGTTTCAAGCGACTCTCCTGACTCAGCCTCCCAAGTAGCTGGGATTACAGGCACCCACCAACACGCCCAGCTAAATTTTGTATTTTTAGTATAAACGGGGTTTCACCATGTTGGTGAGGTTGGTTTCAAACTCCTGACTTCGTGATCTGCCCTCTTTGGCCTCCCAAAGTGCTGGGATTACAGGTGTGAGCCACCGCGCCCAGCCCATAGGCACAAAAATTCTAAACCAAATATTTGCAAACAGAATCCAGCTCTCTCTATATATATATGTATACATATCTATATATATAGATAGATATATGTATATATGTATATGTATCTATAGATATATATTTATACATACATATAAAGAATAATACATCATGACCAAGCAAGGTTTATTCCAAGAAAGCAAGGTTGGTTTAATGAAAATCAATCAATATAATTCATCATACTATAACAGAGTAAGAGTTTGAAAACCATTTGATCGTTTCAAAATACACAGAAAAAAAATTTGACAGAAATCATTAGTTCTTTATGATAAAAACGCTCAGTGAAACTAGGAATAGATGGGACCATCTCCAATATGATAACGTTCATCTTTAAAAACCTACAGTTAATATCATACTTAATAAAATATTAAATCTTTTTCTCCTAAAATCTGGAACAACAAAAGGATGCCCACTCTCATATGCTGTGTTCAGTATTTACTGAAGTTTTTAGCCAGAACATAAGGCAAATAAAAGAAAGAAAAGGCACAAAGTTAGAAAAGAAGTAAACTCTCATTATTTACAAAAATATAATTTGTCTAAAACCTGGAAGCAAAACTAATATCCAAAAATAGATCCTTTGAATAAATTTCAGGGAATCCATTTAACAGACTATTCTGTAGTCATTTAGAGTGAGATTCTATTAACAGTGCTAATAAAATGGAAAGTGTTTGCTAAAACCAGCTGTAAAAAACATTTTAGTGGAATGGTGGGGAAACATGGACTGGTTATTAGACAATTTTAAAGAGTTATTTTTCTCTTTGTTAGAAGTGATGGTGCTATGTGGTTATGTGAAATTTTGCATTTTAAGAAACGCATTCTTAATCATTTAGACCAAAGGTTTTCAACCTCAGCACTACCGGCATTTAGAACCAGATAATTCTTTGTTTTGGAGGGGGCAGTCCTGTGCATTGTAGCATGTTTAGTAACATCCCTGATCTCTACCAGGGATGCAGGCATGCTTCCTTTTGTGACAACCAACATTGTCTCCAGACAGTGCCAAAAGTCCTCTTGCGGAGGACAAGGGTCAAAGTCAACCTCAGTTGAGAGCCACTGATTTAGGGTTTAATATCATGATGTCTGTACTTTCTTTTGAACCACTTAAGAAAAAAAATGCACAAAGAAAATATAATATTAGTGTTAATTCTAAGCAATAAATACATGGGTGTGTATTATGCTATCTTTTTTTATTCTACCTTTTACTTATGTATTTTGTTTACATACTTGTTATATATATAATTTTTTTCTTAGATGGAGTCTTGCTCTGTTGCCCAGGCTGGAGTGCAGTGGCATGATCTTGGCTCACTGCAACCTCCACCTCCCAGGTTCAAGTGATTCCCCTGCCTCAGCCTCTTGAGTAGGTGGGATTACAGGCACCCACCACCAAACCCAGCTAATTTTTTTTTATTTTTAGTAGAGATAGCATTTCACCATGTTGGCCAGGCTGGTCTCGAACTCCTGACCTCAAGTGATCTGCCTGCCTCAGCCTCCCAAAGTGCTGGGATTAAAGGCATGAGCCACCACACCCAGCCGACATACTTGTTATATATATACTTTTTATTTTATTTTATTATACTATCTACTTTTCTGTTTGAAAGTTTCATAATAAAAGTCAAAATAATTATAATATGCTATAAATGGAAAATGCAATACAATTGTATGGCACTACGATTAAAAGTATACCTAATGCTAAATGACGAGTTAATGGGTGCAGCACACCAACATGGCACATGTATACATACGTAACTAACCTGCACGTTGTGCACGTGTACCCTAAAACTTAAAGTATAATAATAAAAAAAATGAAAAAAATATGCAAAATTACATATATAAAAACTACTCAAAGGAGTATGTTCAAGAGGAGTAAGTCTTTTCAGCAGTGTGCCCCAGCCACTCCAGCGACAGTGGGGATCAATGTAGGTTGGCTGTGCCACAGTCACCTGAATTCACTATGATCATTAATCCTCTCCTCCCATCTTTTGTGCTTTACCAGCTGTATAATGAATCCTAGGATAAAGTAGAAACAAGGAGGAATCAAAGATGTAAAGAACAGTTTCTCCCCAAGAAGAACTCTGAAGATGATTCATCCTTCCACAGCCAGATCTCTTGTCGGAAAAAAAAAAAAAAAAAAAAGTGACTGGCCCAAAGCATATCCAAGAGGAAGCATTGGAATGACCAGTTGACAGCCAGGACTTCCCACTCTAGAGTTGTCATTGTCCCAGAATAGAGTGACAATTAAAATCTTGGAGGAGTCACCCAAGAAGCATTTGATTTTAGGATTAAATGAAATTTATCCCCTCAATATTGGAGAGAAGTAGCAGAACAAAGGAACACCCTCTATGAAACACTTAAGGAAAATGAGAGGCTTCACAGAGAAATTGAAGAAAGAACAATGAAATTGACCACTTGGAAAAGGAGAGTAAACAATTGGCAAAAGCGGCAGAGTACAGTATATGACAGAGGCAACCCAGAGACTGAATGATGAACCTCTGGATAACTCTGAAGCACCAGATAGTCAGGAATTTGATTCTGAAGAGAAAACTGGTGAAGATTCTCAAGTGGAAAACCCAAAAATTGGCACATGCACTGAGAATCCTGTCTTCCTCTACAGATGCAAAACCTTGCACGTAAAATTTAGGATTCACAACTGTCAAGATATGAAACCAACCTAAGTGCCCATCGACCAATGAGTGGATAAAGAAAATGTGTGGTACATATACACCATGGAATACTACTCAGCCATGAAAAAATAATGATATAATAATGTCATTGCAGCAACTTGGATGGAGCTGGAGGCCATTATTCTAAGTGAAATAACTCAGGGATGGAAAACCAAATACCATATATGCTCACTTATAAGTGGGAACTAAGCCATAGGTACATAAAGGCATACAGAGTGATATAATGGACACTGGAGACTCAGAAGAGGAGAGGATGAAAAGGGAATGAAGGATACAAAAACTACATATTGGGTACAGTGTACACTACTCAGGTGACAGGTACTAAAATCTTAGACTTTACCACTATATAATTTATAATTCATCCATGTAACCAAAAACCACTTGAACCCCAAAAGCTATTGAAATATATGTATATGTAAACACACACACACACACACACACATATGTAAGTCTTACATGTTAAACCTATTAATATTTGACTCTTGAGAAATATACCATCCAATGGGTTCACCTGGCCCCCTGCCTAGACAGAGCCAATTTAGCAAGATGGGGGAACTGCAGTGGAAAAACAGTAATTCACACGGAGCCACGTGTGCGGGAGACCTGAGTTTTATTATTATTCAAATCAGCCTTCCTGGAGCATTTGGGGATCAGAGTTTTTAGAGATAATTTGGTGGGTAGCGGCTCAGGAAGTGGTGCTGATTGGTCAGGTTGGAGATGGTATCATAGGGGGTCGAAGTGAGGTTTTTTTGTGGTCTTCTGTTCCTGGGTGGGATGGCAGAACTGGGAGCCAAGTTACCAGTCTGGGTGGTGTCAGCTGATCCACTGAGTGCAGGGTTTGCAAAATATCTCAAGCACTGATCTTAAGTTTTACAATAATGACGCTATCCCTAGGAGCAATCTGGGGAGGTTCAGACTCTTGGAGTCAGGGGCTGCATGACCCCTAAACCATAATTTCCAATCTTGTAGCCAATTTGTTAGTCCTACAAAGGCAGACTGGTCACCAGGCAAGAAGGAGGTCTTTTCAGGAAACGGCTATTATCAATTTTGTTTCAGAGTCAAACTGTAAACTAAATTCCTTCCCAAGGTTATTTCGGCCTATGCCCAGGAATGAATAAGGATAGCTTTAAGATTAGATAAAAGGTGTAGTTGGTTAGGTCTGATCTCTTTCACTGTCATAATTTCCTCAGTTATAATTTCTGCAAAGGCAGTTTCAAGTTTACCTCCAGTATAGTTCTTTAAAGCAGAACACATAACTACATAATGCAACCTCTGAGATCAAAATTCTTTGTTTGAATCCTGGGACCCTACTGTATTAAAATATAAACACTGTATATTTTTAATTTATGATGTTTTATGTGAACAGCATTTTCTCAATTGTCAGACATGACTTGTGTAATTGACTAAAGAAACTTCAATCTCCTATTGAAAAAAAAAAGACAGATATTCAAGGGGTCGTGGATGAGTCTGAGTGTAATTCATGGTTGATTTCACTTCCTGGATGTTAAAGTAATCTGTAATTATCTGCTTTTATATTGAAAAAAATTGACAAAATCTAACAGTGTCAAAATGCAATATTATTAATCATTCATGGCCTAATATTAGAAGAGAATTAGCAGAAAACACAGCAGAGACGAGAGACTTGCAGACTGGAGTTCTTCCCTTCACTACGAAGAAAGCATCTAGAGGCGGAATAGATTTGAATGGGCATACATCTGCATAATGACTTTTCCTTTGTTCTTTTCTCACTGGCTAATTGAGTAACTCCTACAACAAATATGCCTTCAGACTTCACACCAGATTAGAGCCCTTTGTAAATACAATTAAAGTTGGGAATATGCTTCCCCTAGCTGGTAAATAAATTCAGGAAGTCTGAGGTTTAGCACTGCATGCCAAGATGTCTAAGTAAATCTCAAATTCTTCCATATTTTGAAATAAACACCAAGGATTATCAAATGCCAAGAACTCCCAAGAAGAAAATAGCTCACCTCACTCTCTGAATCAGAGACCCTCTCCAATCAAAATGTCCCACCTGAAAAGTAGTCTTCTCTCCTACCCCATCACAGACATATGGATGTTACTGATGTCATGTGTGTCTGGAATATTGCCTGGTTCCTATGACAAGAACAATAAAATCTCTTAGTATTCTGCGGCAAACAGTCTCTTTCTCATTTATCCACCTCTGCATTGAACATGAGTCCCTCCTATGGGCCCAGGCATTTTTCTAATCATTGGCATCACAATAGTGAACCAAACAAAAATGCCTGTCCTCAGAGAGCTTAGTTTTTAAAGGGTTCTTCCAAAATCCTAGCAGTGGTGACCACAAGCAGAGGAAAGATCCTGGGTAACCCGAGTCAGGTTATGCAATGCTTGTGTTCATCATGTCGGGATAAAAATCTTCATCTGATTTCAGACTCACCACACGGCATCGTCATAAGGTCATAAGTCATGGATCACTTGAGGAAGCACTAAGCTAAGAGGAGAAAAAGTGTCCTTGAACCTTTCTGAACCCAATGGTATCTGCCTAAGAGATGGGGAAGCTGAACTAGGTCACACCGAGATGAGAAGGGGGCTCCACCCATGATGTCCTTGTCTCAGAATAAGTCAGCCTCTTATGTTATAATACGTGGATCAAAAGAACAGGATGGGCTGGGTGCAGTGGCTCATGCCTGTAATCCCAGCACTGTGGGAGGCTGAGGTGGGTGGATGACCTGTGGTCAGGAATTTGAGACCAACCTGGCCAACATGGTGAAACCCCATCTCTACTAAAAATACAAAGAATTAGCCAGGCGTGGTGGTGGGTGCCTGTAATCCCGGCCACTCCGGAGGCTGAGGCAGGAGAACTGCTTGAACCTGGGAGAGGGAGGTTGCAGTGAGCCGAGATTGCGCCACTGTACTCCAGACTGGGCAACAAGAGCAAAACTCCATCTCCCAAAAAAAAAAAAAAAAAAAGAACAGGATGTGGGATCAGAGGAGCCCTCCAAGACAAGTGGCTTCAGTTCAAATATAAGCTCTGTCGTTTGTTCACAGTGTTTCAACAGACAAAGTACTTGAGTGTCCTGCCTCCGTTTCCCCATCTGTAAGCTGAGGTGAGCAAGAATACTTCACAGAGTTGTTATGAGAGGTAAGTGGAATGTTTCATGGGAGGCAGTAAGCACAGTGCGTGCCACACAGTAAACACTCAATAAATGTTAGCTATTTCCCACTAATACAGTATAGTATATATAATATAATAATGTTAGCTAGCTATGAGTCATTATGAACTTGGTTACTCACCCAAAGGCCCCAGTTATATCCTGAATGCACACCATGTGCCAGGCATCATGCTAACTGCTGTTTATATTTTCTTTTTTACTTCCTCCAGCAGCCTATAATGGAAGTTATCATGGTCTTTATTTTACAGGTGAGGATACTGAGCTCAGAGATGTGAAGCAACCTGCCCAAGGTCATGCAGCCAGGAGTGGCAGGGTCAAGATGCAAACCCAGGCAGAAATTACTCGAAATTCCGTGTTCTCTTCCCAACACAATCTCTGTCTTATTTCTGTCTTTCCAATGACACCAGTATTTCCAAGCTTTCACCTTACCACATTCTTTAAGCAACACATTATGCAGATTTTTTTTTAACTGGCAACCTGAGGCATGTCTCTCTTAACCGCTGTCAGCCTAAGCTCACTGCTAAAGCACCATCTCTATGTGCCCCCAGACCTTTGAGCACTATCAAAATCAGAAATGCATTCACTCTGTAACTCAGCAATTCTACTTTTGGAAATTTATCCTAGAATATACGTACACCTGTACACAATGACATACATGCAATGTTATTCATCGCATTGTGGTTTGTAATAGCAAAAGATGAGAACTTTCCCAACTGTTCATCAAGAGAGAAATAATTAAATAAGACATAATATAGCCATTATAATAGAAAAACATATAATTATAAGTAAGAATGAAAGAACTCACTATACCCTGATACAGAAAGATAAGCAGGATATAAGTTTTAAAAGGCAGGATACAGAACTGTCTGTGTAATAAAAAAAAAAGAAGTGCATATACATTTGTATTTGCTTGTACGTACCTGAAATTCTGCAAAGATAAAGAAGAAACACGTAACAATGGCTGTCTGTGAAAAGGAAATGTTCCAGGCAGAAGGGACAATTTTCACTGACTATTCTAGCATACTCTTGTTTTTAAATTTTTCAATCATATGAATTACTGGCCTGTTCAAGAAATGAAACAATTTTAAAAATACGGGTCTTAAGAGTATAGGATTAAGAGTATAGGATTTTTTTTAAGAGTATAGGATTAAGAATCAGAAATTTGAGTCCAAGTTCGGGGCAAACTTGGATACCTTACTTTATTTCTGTCAGCCTTCATTTCTTCATTAGCAAAATCTCCAAGTCCCTAAATACTGGGGACTTTGGCCAACGTTATCATCATCATAGCTACCATTTATTAAGTGGTTACTTTTGCCAAGCCCTATACTAGAGCCTCCTAAGAATTTGCCTCATTGAGTCATTGCAAGCAACCCTACGAGATAGGAACTATGATTACTCCCATCTCACAGATGAGCAAACTGAAGCTCAGTGCGGGGGTGTAACTTGCCCAAGGTCACACAGCCAGTATGTGGCAGAACCAGAATTCAAACCCAGGTCTCTCAAGCCTGTATTTGGACTCAATGGTTTGCTGCCTCCATCCACATTGACAATTTTCCTAGTTGTGTTCCCTGCCTCTTGCATAAATCCCACCCACCAGTTCCCTTCTGAAATTGCCAGCCTCCACCAGGCCTGGCCCTCGCTCATTTCCAATCACCCTTTATCCACCATAGCTTTGGAAATGGACTGTTACTAATGGCTAGTCATATGTCAGCCTAATGAATGGGAGGCAGACTTCCATTAAAATAATGAAATTAGCGAGTTTCAAATTTGGTTACATCGCATGGCACACAGCCTCAAGTAATGACCACCCCATGCTCCTTCCTACAAATTAAAGTCAGTTTATTTATTTAAGGTCTTTGGCTTGGCCATCTCTATTAAGCTCACATCATCTGTTTAGGGATGGATTTTTTTTTTTTTTTGGCCTTGTTTGTTTAAATGATGTTCGGGCTGTTCCCCTGATTAATAAAGTCGTAAACACAGTCAGGAGCAGCTTCTGAACCATGTGCAAAAGCAAAGAATGTAAGTCAAAGAACAATTCTTTGGGGGTTTGGGTTTTGTTTGTTTGGGGTGTTTTTTTTTCCTCCAAAGGATGGAAACAATAAGAAAGAAGCTCTTTGAGCTCCAGAAACTCCAATTATGCTGACATTTCTGCTGCAGAAACACACCAAGCTCCATTTTGCAGGAACCCAGTGAACTAGCTAATCAGATTTCCTTGGATAATTTGCTCCAAAGGTCAGCTGCCTTAAAAAGCACCCAGTGCCTCATTATTTGGTAAAGCAGGCTGCACGCGGGCTGCGATTTGGAACTCAGCCTCCCATGGCAAGGTAGTTTTTCTGGAATTTTTTAGCCCAGACCCTGCAGCCTTAGCTTTGGCCAAAGTCTCATCCACCTTTGTGATCAGCCCGCAGACAAAATCATTACCAGAAAAAGCACCTGAATCTCTGAGTCTGTGAGGTCTCTGTCTCCAAGACAGGTCTCTCTCGTGTCCCAGGAGCACCAAAGATGGCAGACTCATCTGAAATGTTCATGCCATTGGTCAATTTCAAGGGAGGCTTTTACTGATACTGTGATGGGTAGGCGGCCAGACCTAGGTTCTAATCACCAAGTCCAATTCTACAAAATCCCTAACCCAGTACCCCTCAAAACTATCAAGATCATGAAAAATAAGGAAAGATGGAGAAATTGTTCCATACCAGAAGAGACTACAGAGACGTGAGAATAAATGCAACATGAAACTCTGGATTGAATCCTGGACAGGAAAAAGACATTAGTAGAAAAACTGGTGAAATTCAAATAAAATTTGGAATGCAATTAATAGTTTCCAAAGTTGTGACAAAGACATTAACATTTTTTTAACATTAAAGAAGCCGGGCACAATGGCTGACACCTGTAATCCCAGCACTTTGGGAGGCCGAGGTGGGCAGATCACGAGGTCAGAAGTTCAAGACCAGCCTGGTGGTCTTGACCACCAACATGGTGAAACCTCGTCTCTACTAAAAATAAAAAAATTAGCTGTGAGGTGACGTGTGCCTGTAGTGCCAGCTACTTAGGGGGCTGAGGCAGGAGAATTGCTAGAACCAAGGAGGTGGAGGTTGCAGTGAGCCGAGATCGTGCCACCACACTCCAGCCTGGTGATCGAACGAGATTCCGTCTCAACAACAACAACAAAATTTAAGAAAAACTGAAACTGAGAAGGGATTTCTTGGAACTTGCTATAGTATCATTGTAACTTTTCTATAAATCTAAAATTATTTCAAATTTTAAATATCTGTATATACCATTAAAAAATCCATTGTGTATTAGTTATAGTTTGATGAAAATAAGTTTAAATAATACATAATTATTGTTCTATTATAAACTTGATATCCTAGTCCTGATATGATATCATAGTCTTGACATGTGATATCATAGTCTAAAAACAAAACAACAAGACCAGAGAGGAAGGTAAAGCCATTCCTACAACTGAATTTTTATTCAATCTCTTTTAAGATCCCAGCAAAGAAAAAAAGAAACAACAAAAAGTAGGACTTTGGTTAAGCTAAAATAAAATATGATGGATAGTCTCTCTCTATAAACTGACACAGGAAAATCCAAGACAAAGAAACTAGGTTTTGTTTGTTTGTTTGTTTGTTTTTACCACTCCCACCAACCTCACCACTCTGAAGGATTGTAATATCACAAGAATAGCTTACAAAGCAAACATCACTGGCTTAGCTTCCACTCTCACAGATTTTTAAGACACCCAGCTCCAATCCTCACCCTCTGATCCTTCTCATCTTGTAGAAAGAGATGCATGAAGAATCCATTGTGAACCAGGCATTGTGCTTGATGACGGAGACACCAAGTCAACTTGGACCAGGTCCTTCCCCTTAAGGAGTCTTGGAAAATTTGCTCAAGAGAGTCTCAGCTGAATCTCGAAGGAAGAAGAGGAGGTAGTTGGATGAAGAAAGAAAGGAGGCTTCCAGAAAAAGAGCACAGTGCATGCCAGGACATCTAAATCATGACACTTAGATACCTGCAGAAAGAGGACAAAATTGAGGTGGGAGGAGTTAGAAAGGGCCCCCAGGTAATGGCCTTGTGTGGTAAAGGATTTAACTTTCTCCTGAAGGAGATAAGGAGTTTTAAGCAAGCATTTTAGAAAGATTCAGCAGAGGACAGTGGATAGAGGGTGAGGCCAAAAGCAGGAAGACTATCATCCAGGCCAGACATTTCTGAATACAATGCCCAGAGACAGTGGGAGAGATTTCTCCAAGGATTCTTTGCAGGAAACAAGGGTCCCTGCAATGATGAGACCTGAGTTTCCTATTTCTCTAGTAGCTTTGTAGCTCAGCACCCATCCCAACTGCAGCTGGAAGATGTCCTCTGCTATTTCTCCATTCCATACTCCAAGTCCCTGCCCTGCAGTATGTATGTACCTTTTGCCACCCACCCTCTGACTCTGTTACATTGTATATTGAATCTTCAACCTAAAGATCTCAACTGCTTACAAAAAAGAAGAGAATTATGTGGGCTTAATAATGTTAAGGGCAGTTACCACATGAGCACTGACTATATCCAAGCATTGTGTTAGCCTTTAACCTGCAAAGAAAAATACAATTATCCCCATCTCAGAACATAAGAGGAAAATTGAGACTCCCAAGAAGTTAAATAACCTCCTATATAGCTTTTAACATGGGTGGGGATAGGATATGGATTTGAGAATGTCTGATTCCAACCACCCTTTTATGGCACCTCACTGGCTCACTTTTAATTTCACTTGCTGATTTATTACAAATCTCCCTCTCCTTCAGAATCAAACACAAACTCATTATGCTGGGCCAAAATAAAATCTGAATGGCCATACCCAATTGTTTTTAAAATGTTCAGCCTTCCCTGACAGATGTATGACATTGCAACACTACAGCTTTGGAGTGGCTGGCTTAACGCCAAGGAGTGGTTCCAAATCTCTTTTCCAGTGGAACAGTAGCACAAATTTGGTCTACCATCTAAAACCAAATAATGGCTGCCCTTTTCCTCTTCCTGGAAAAAAATGACATAGATGGGTAAATGGATTAATGAATGGATTAGATGGATAAATGGATGGATGAGTGAATAGATGGATGGATGGATAAATGGATGTGTGTGTGGATGGATAGATGGATGGATAAATGGGTAAGTAAATGAATAGATGGATAAATGGATGAATGAATGGATAAATGGATGGATGAATGAATGGATAGATGAATGCAAAGTGGATGGATAGATGGATGGATAAGTGGATGAAAGAATGGATAGATTAATGGAAAGTAAATAGATAGATGGATGGATAAATGGATGAATGGATGGATGGGTAAATAGATGAATAAATTGATGGATGCATAAATGGATCCATCTATGGATAGGTGGCTAGATAATAAATGGATGGGTAGATGAATAAATGGATAGATGGGTGAATAAATGAATACATGAATATACATTTACAATATAGAATATTTCTCAAGGGGAACATAGAAAACTATCAATAGTGGTTGCCATTTCTGTGAAGAAACAAACTGGTTAGGACAAGGATGGGAGTGGAAACTACCTTTTACTATACACTCTTTTGTATCTTTCCAATTTTGAGCCATACGTGTATAATACCTATTTTTAAAATAAATAGCAATATAAAACTAATTTCAAATACTTTTGTTAAATGTATATATGAATGGGTGGACAGAAGAATAAATAAGTCCTAAGTTTTTAAACAAATAAGATTCAACTGTTATTTTCCCCACTGATTTTTCTTTAAATCTCGGCACTAACTTCTACTTCCCTACATAAGAACATAATGTAATGCGTATCCACCTTAGCGCACAATCAACTACAAAATTTGGTTATTCAAATGGAATATGTCAATAACATTGTGTTGCTTTGCAAAGAGCACCTTGACTTCAAGGTGTGTCCGCTTACGTCTGTTCAAGGACCTCTCTGCAGGAGTTAGAGTAAGGGACAACAGTGCTGAGGCCTGGACACATGATCCCACCCAAGTTTCTTTTTCTGTTGTTGGTTTTTATTTTGTTTTGTTTTTTTGAGACAGGGTCTCACCCTATCACCTAGACTGGAGTACAGTGGCACAATCTCGGCTCACTTTAGTATCCACCTTTCGGACTCAGGCAATTTTCCCATTTCAGCCTCCTGAGTAGCTGGGACTACAGGCATGCACCACCATCCCTGGCTAATTTTTTGTAGAGATGGGGTCTCATCAGGTTGCCCAGGCTGGTCTCAAACTCCTGGACTCAAGCGATCTGGCCTGCCTTGACCTACCCAAAGTGCTGGGATTACAGGTGTGAGCCACCACACTTAGCCAAGTTTCTTTAAGCCATAATTCTCCTCTGTGCAAGACCTGCATACTGGGCTTCTGAACACTGCCCCCTGCACCATTTGGGGAACATAAGGAAGGGCTATGAGTAAGGAGACCTTGCCAAGGGAAAGATTAAAAAACAAACAACTTCCCCAGCCACCATCAATAGCATTTCCAGGAAGAAATAAACAGAACGGACTCTTGGCCATAAAGGATTTATCACTTTCCTTTCCATTGGTGTGGAAATGAAGCAGGGTTGCTTCAAAACTGCATTTTCCAGCTTTCCAAGGAGCTGTGTGGATTCCATATCCTAGAGAAGTCGACACCGTTCTAGTAAGTTGGCATGGACCCCAGGTCCTACCCTTAAGGGCTTAATACTCTGATGCAATATATAAAATATAATTTAATAAAAGACTGAGGCAGTATTTGTGTACCAAGTGTCTATAGCAAGTACCAAGGTATTTGCATGGATTGGGGGTGGTAGCAAGTGTGTGATATTCTCCTTCTAAATCCCCTGCATGTGGGGATGGAATTTTTAACAGTGGGCGATGTGATAGGACGATCAGAGATATGCAAAACCACCTTTTTAGTGGTGGGACACAGTCACAGTTCTATTCCTTCTGGGACTATTTGGAAATCACACATTTCTCATCAAGTAAGAAAATGAAAACAGAGAAAAACCAGTTGACAGTGATGGCTCAATAGCGCCATCTCGTGGTGATCTCTGTCCCCACTCCAAGAGCAGTCCATGGGCCCCACCCCTTCCGGGATGTTTTGCCCCCTCTGTATCTGAGTCCCAGAAGGCAGTGCAAAAGGGATCTGGGCAAAACAGAGTATCCTACAGATTGGAACAGTGACCAACGGCATCTTTAAGGAGGAGAAATTTGAAATGGGTTCTAAAGGAATAGATACCCAGGCATCAAAGAGAAGCAAAGACATTTTTGATGAAGGGCATAGTGCAAACCAAGGTTGGTGGCTGGAAAATGTCAGATCCTTTGAGGATATGAGGCTGGAAAGTCAGTCTGGGTTGGTGAGGACTCAATGCTGGGCTGCTGTGGGCATGAGATGTCCTTGGGGAGGTACAGACTTTCTGCGAGACAGAAAGTCAAAAATCATCTCCATTCACCTGTGGACCAGCACCGTGCTAAATTACATCACATACATCAGTTTATGTATGCATAAACATACATCAGTTTATCTGCCCTCAAGGGGTGATACTATTATGAACCTCCACTTGACAGATCAAGAAAGCAAGGCCCAAAGAAGTTAAATCGCTTACCTGAAGTGACTTAGCTAACAAGCAGCAGAGCCAGGATTTGAACCAAGATCTCTGCCCAACTTCAAAGCATGGTCTTGTTCTTCATAAAGGTGTTCTCATCTGCAGGTCTCTGCTGTTGCTTGTGGCAAAGACAGTTGTCACATATGAAATTGCTCAATCCAAAGTGCTTCTGCTTTAAATCTAAATAGTTACCAAACATTCTGCCCCCTGTAAAGCTGAAGTTTCTCCCGAAGGCTTCAGGCTTGTGCCCTAGGAATTCTTGCCACCTGGCCAGCTGGTCACAGTGTCTTTGAATGACTGGGGGACAGATGTTGGCAAAATGGTAAAGTGTGACGGTTAATTTCATGTGTCAACTTGACTGAGCTAAAGGATGCCCAGATAGCTGGTAAAACATTACATCCGGGTGTGTGTGTCTATGAGGGCATTTCTGGAAGAGATTAGCATTAGAATCTGTAGACTGAGTAAAGAAGACTACCCTCAGCCAGGTGCGGTGGCTCACGCCTGTAATCCCAGCACTTTGGGAGGCCAAGGTGGGCCGATCACGAGGTCAGGAGATCGAGACCATCCTGGCTAACATGGCGAAACCCCATCTCTACTAAAAATACAAAAAATTAGCCGGGCGTGGTGGCATGCACCTGTAGTCCCAGCTACTCGGGAGGCTGAGGCAGGAGAATGGCGTGAACCTGGGAGGCGGAGCTTGCAGTGAGCCGAGATCATGCCACCGCACTCGGGCCTGGGCAACACTGCAAGACTCCGTCTCAAAAAAAGAAAAAAAGAAGACCACCCTCACCCATGTGGGCAGACATCATCCCATCTGTTGAGAGCCCAAACAGAACGAAAAGCAAAGGAAGTGTACATTTTCTATTTGAGCTGGGACATTCACCTTCTCCTGACCTTGGAGATCAGAGCTCCTGGTTCTTGGGCCTTCAGACTTACCCTGGGACTTAATGTCATTGGCTTTCCTCATACCCCACCTTGCAGATGGCAGAGCATGGAACCTAGCCTCCATAACTGCATACAACAATCCATATAATAAATAGACATATATATCCTACTGGTTCTATTTCTCTAGAGAACCCTAATACAGGAAGGTTGTGAGGTCTGGGATCTAAATCCCAGCTCTGCCCCTGAGTTGTTCAAGCATAGCCTGTCCAAAGCTGAGTTCCCTTGATCTTTTTCCCCAAACTCCTCCTCCTCTACTAACCCAGCCACCATCAACGCTCCTCCTCCAACCACACATTCCACCTTGCCCCTCCTGGAACAGAGATTCCCACCTCAGGACCTTTGCACTGGCTGTTGCCTCCACCTAGAACTGCTTTGCCCTCCAATATCGACACTGCTCCCTCATGTCCTTCAAGTCTTTGCATAACTGTCGCCATCTCAATGAGGCCAAGCCTGGCCACCACCACCACCCCGAACTGCACGCCCTACACCCCGTTACCTTCTCTGTATTTCTCATAGCAGTTGCCACCTTCTACAATGCCATGTAATTTACTTGTTTTGTTTCCGGTTTACTGTGTGCCTTCCCCCACTGGTATCAATGTGCCCCAGTGACTGGTAGAACCTAGGTAGTAACTGAACACGTGTTCCCTATGAAATTGGTTTAACTCTGCTGTATGTGCGAAATTTTTTGTAATAAAATATTAGGGATAATGGTCTCAAAGGCAGTCGTTTTATCTGCTTTGTTCACTGATGTATCCCAAGTGTCTGAAACAAGACCTGGCTCATAGAAGGTGCACTATAAACATTACTGAATGGAGGAATTAAGGAGTACATGTGTTACTTAGGGCAAGTTATCTTATCTCCCTAAAGCTCTAGGTGTCAACTACAAAGGGGCAAAATAGTAGCTATTTTTCATTTATTAAGTATTTATTGAGCATCTACTATATATCTAGAACTACTATATATGTAGGTACTAGAGATACAACTGTGTGAAAGACAGACCAAGTCCTCCTTCTCATGGAGCTTTCAATCCACATAGGGAAACATGACCACAATTTCATGTAACTCCTTCATTTATTACTTATTGAGCATCTACTATATATCTGGAACTATGTAGGTAGTAGAGATACAACTGTGTGAAAGGTAGACCAAGTCCTCCTCATGGAGCTTTCAATCCAGATAGGGAAACAAGACCACAATTTCATGTAACTCCAATGCCATCTATGAGATTGCCTAATACCTGTGTGTCCCAACTCTGTCACAGGGATTCAGGGAGGACCACTCAGCTGAGTGGCATCAAAACTGAGCACTGAATCTTAATTGTTAGGATTCTGCTAATAAGAAAAATGCATCTTTATTTTGCTGAGGGCGACAATGTATCCAGCTAAAAATCATCTTTCACTAGCATCTCTTGCAGCTAGGGCTGGCCATCTGACGTAGTTGTGACCAGTGAAAAGAAGGGAGAGCGCACCTTTAGTTTTCTGGCTTGCTGCCCTCCCTTGGCTTCTATGCCTGCTGACGTGATGCCTGGAGATGAAGCAGCTATTTTGTAACCATGAGGATAGAAATTGCACAGCAGAGCAAGAAAATGAAAAAAGTGGGGGTTTCTGATGGTCTCTTTGATTCACTCTACCAACATGGCTTGCCTACTGTTTAGCTTATTGTGTAAGCCAAATAAACCCTTGCACCTTCAAGCCATGATAATAGAGTTTTCTGATACTTACAGCCGTATCTGTTGTCCCAAGCAAGATATGAACGAGGTTAAGAGGATGAAAGTGAAATGTACTAAGCCCAGGGCACAGCATGTGCAAAGGACCAGAGGTGTGAGTGAGCAAAGTCAATTCCAGCAACACAAAGTTCAGGGCAGCTGAAGTGGAGTGGGCAAAAAGCAGGTGGTGAGTGAAGAGTTTGCAAGAGCAAACAGGGATCCCACTGAAATCAAGGTTTTGTAAATCGAATTGGAGAAACAGTGAAGAGCCATAGCAAGCTGCTAAGAAAAATTTGAGTTAATTTATGGAAAGTGTCCAATGCACAGTGGGTGCCCAAGATATAAGCACCGTGAGTATCATCTTACCTTGGAATACACACAAAATTAACTCCTCCGACAAAATGAAGATGCATCACTTTTATCTGCAAGCCTGCCGGAGGTCACAGACACGTGCAGAGGGAAAACAGTATGGTGAGACGGAGAAAAACAATCCAGCCAGGACAGTTACACCGACGCTTTATTCATATCTGCCACCATCGGGATTGATTCCCACACAGTGACTCACTCACAGCACCAACCTCTTTAATCAACTGTGCTGAGCAGTGACATCCAAGCTCACCTCGGAAAACGACGGAAACTCCAAGGCAAGGTGGCCTCCCGAAGTGGCCTTTTCCCTTCCCTCCTCATCCCTGGGCTGTTTCCAGCAGACGGCAGTGAACGCCTAAATGAGGGTTTGATCAATGGAGGCCAAGCTGATATTGACAAAGCAGCTGCAGTTTCCGCAAATCACCCAGCACTCATAGATACTGAAGATTAATCTTTACAAATACGGGGCAAAGGGGGAGAGAAAAAACCAAGTCGATTTAGTTTCCGATTATTACTTTCTCCAGAAGGCACTGAAGAGTCAAAAGTTTAACTGATGTACATTAGACAGGGAGACAAATCCAGAAATATCACCCAATTACCCGGTAGCTTCTAGAAGGTATTTTTCATGACAGCAGGTGGGTTTGCCTTTTCTAAATCAGGAAGGAGACAAGACACCGCTAAGAGGATGTTGACTTGGCCCAGCGCACAAGCACTAACCTCACCGGACAAATAGAAGCCTGAAAATTTGTCCTCAGTCTACACGGTCCCCATGAAAACACATTTCCACCGATTTCCTAGTTATTTCTGTTTTATGCCTCATGTTTAGAAAGTAAATTGTTCCTTCCTGGAACAAGATGGACTTTTTTTTAACTACAAAGAAATAATAAATAAGTGCTTAGCCTCCCTAGGCCTCCATTTTCACATCCAGAGAGTGGGTACAGCCCAGGACGTAATGTTTAGAGGGCACTGACACCATCTAGAGTGGATCATTCTCTACCATGCAGGGCTATTCCGCCCACTGCAGGATGTTTACTGGCATCCCTGAAGTCTACGCACCAGATGCCAGTAGCACCATTTCCTCATCCCCAGTTGTGACAACTGAAAATGTCTCCAGACATGACCAAATGTCCCTGAGAGACAAAACCACTTGCATAGTCACGAACAGATAACACGACTAAGAATGGGGAAAACGTGAATCAAAAGATGTTCCATGCTGTGTTCACATAAGCAATAAAACCAAATGCTTGAATTTGATGCTAGTTATAACCTTTTTATTCATGTCCATGTCACAGCCAAAGAACTGTTTTTGTTTTTTAGGTTTTTTTTTTTGCAGAGACAGCATTTCATTTATTTCAGGACACTTTCACAGAAGTATTCATATATTCTGGCAAAATGAAATCATATATTACACAAACATTTCATTTCCATAGTTAGTACAGAAGAGGAAAAATTATTTGTGGTCAAAATTACTCCTGAGATTCCTTTAAATCAACCATAATTTATAGAGTGTGCATGTACTTGTGTATGTAATCATTTTAAGTCATAACTATGCCCCTCGAACAGTTGGAAGTCACTGAGCTGGACCGAAGAATTCACAAAAGAGAAAGCTCTTCACAGATACTTGGGTTTTGAAACCATTCTGCCATTAGATAGCTACCTAGTCCTCAAGGTGAACTAAGCACGATGGAGGAATTCCAAGTGTGGCTTCCCACCTGCAGGGTCGACTCCACTGAGACTCTGCTGCTAACCTCAGCATACAACCCTAGATGATCTTGTCGTGAAGATGAAGGAGATCACAGACAACATCTTGCCAGGGACTGAGTTTTAATGCTGGCGTTTTAGTTATCCTGTTGGGCTACAAAAACATGTCAGGCAAGATGTTAAGTTTTGTTTAAAGCATCAAGAATTCCAGGCCCGGCGCGGTGGCTCACGACTGTAATCCCAGCACTTTGGGAGGCCTAGGCGGGCGGATCACGAGGTCAAGAGGTCGAGACCATCCTGGTTAACACGGTGAAACCCCGTCTCTACTAAATATACAAAAAATTTGCCGGGCGTGGTAGCGGGCGCCTGTAGTCCCAGCTACTTGGGAGGCTGAGGCAGGAGGATGGCGTGAACCCGGGAGGCGGAGCTTGCAGTGAGCAGAGATCACGCCACTGCACTCCAGCCTGGGTGACAGAGCCAGACTTCGTTTCAAAAAATAATAATAATAATAAAGAATTCCAAAATCAAGTACAAAATCAAAAGGCAGATTTTCAAACAAAATCTTTGAAAAGTGGTTCTGGCCGGGCACAGTGGCTCACGACTATAATCCCAGCACTTTCGGAGGCCAAAGCGGGCGGATCACGAGGTCAGGAGACGGAGACCACCCTGGCTAACACGGTGAAACCCCGTCTCTAGTAAAAATACAAAAAAAAAAAAAAAAATCAGCGGGGCGTGGTGGTGGGCGCCTGTAGTCCCAGGTACTCGGGGGAGGCTGAGGCAGGAGAATGGCGTGACCCCGGGAGGCGGAGCTTGCAGTGAGCCGAGATGGCGCCACTGCACTCCAGCCTGGGCGACAGAGCGAGACTCCATCTCAAAAAATATATATAAATAAAAATAAAAGTGGTTCTGTCCTGCTTACACCCTCTTCTCACGCTTTTCAGGCACAAAGAAGGGCCAAGAGCAAGAGAGGATTTCTTTGGAGAGAGTCTGTTGAAGACACGCCTTCATGTTACAAGATCTTGAAACTCATGGGCACCATGGTCTGGGATCTGAATCCTGCAGCAAAGCTCTTCCAGGCTTCCTGCTATGCTGCCTGGGGTAACTGCACAAGGCCCCATAATTAGACGACCCCACTGTGATGCTGGCATTTTGAAATTCCTATAATTTTTTTTTTTTTTTTTTTTTGAGACAAGGTCTTTCTCTGTCACCCAGGCTACAATGCAGTGGCATGAACATGGCTCACTGCAGCCTCAACCTCCTAGGCTCAAGCGGTCCTCCTGCCTTAGCCTCCCGAGTAACTAGGACCACAGATGTATACCACCATTCCCGGCTGATTTATTTATTTATTTATTTTTTAATTTATTCATTTTTTTTTTTGTAGAGATGCAGTTTTGCCATGTTGCCCAGGCTGGTCTCAAACTCCTGGACTCAAAGCAACTCCCCAGCCTCAGCCTCCAAAAGTATTGGGATTACAGGTGTGAGCCCCTGCACCCAGCCAGAATTCCTATAATTTTCATAACAAGAATCCCCACATTTTCGTTTTGTGCTGGGCCCTGAAAACTATGCAGCCAGTCCTGCCCAGGATGCTTATTTTATTTCATTTTCCCAGCTTTAGAGGGGTAAAATTGACAAATAAAAATGGAATACATTTACAGTGTACAATGTGATCTTTGGAGATATATGTATACACAAATTGTGAAATGATCACCATGAACCAGCTAATTACCCTATTCATTACCTCCCATAGTTGTCTTTGGATGTTTATGTGATGAGAACACCTAAGATCTGGTCTCTTAGTGAAAGGATGGTGATTACCAGAGCCTGGGAAGGGTAGTGGGCTGGGGAATGTAGGGATGGTTAATGGGTACAAGAAAAATAGTTACAAAGAATGAGTAACACTTACTACTTGGTCAGGTGTGGTGGCTCACACCTGTAAGCCCAGCTCTTTAGGAGGCCAAGGCGGACAGATCGCTTAAGGCCAGGATTTCAAGACTAGCCGGGCAACATGGCAATACCCCATCTCTACTAAAAATACAAAAAATAGCCAGGCATTGTGGGGCACACCTGTAGTCCCAGCTACTCAGGAGGCTGAAGTGGGAGGATCACTTGAGCCCAGGAAGTCGAGGCTGCAGTGAGCTGTCATCATGCCACTGCACTCTAGCCTGGGTAACAGAAATGAGATCTTCACTCCAAAAAAAAAAAAAAGACCTACTACTTGATAGCACAACAGAGTGACTATAGTCAATAATTTAATTGCACTTTTTTTTTTTTTTTTTTTTGAGACAGAGCCTTGGTCTGTCACCAGGCTGGAGTACAGTGGCGCGATCTGGGCTCACTGCAACCTCTGCCTCCTGGGTTCAAGCAATTCTCCTGCCTCAGCCTCCCGAGTAGCTGGGACTACAGGCATATGCCACCATGCCTGGCTCATTTTTTGTATTTTTAGTAGAGACGGGGTTTCATCATGTTGGCCAGGATGGTCTCAAACTCTAGACCTCGTGATCCACCTGCTTCGGCCTCCCAAAGTGTGAGGATTACAGGCGTGAGCCACCACGCCTGGCCTAATTGTACATTTTAAAATAACTGAAAGAGTGTATTTGGATTGCTTGTAACACAAAGGATAAATATTTGAGGGTATAGATACCCCATTCTTCATGATGTGATTATTACACACCACATACCTGTATCAGAACATCTCATGTACCCGTAAATATATACATTTATTATATACCCACAAAAAGTAAAAAAAAAATTTTAAGAGCTGCTCTCTTAACAAATTTCAAGTAAGCAATATGGTATTGTTAACCATAGTTACCGTGCCAAATATGAGATGCCCAGAACTTATTCATCTTATCACCGAAAGTCTGTACCCTTTGAGCAACATTTCCTCCTAGCCCCTGGCAACCATTCTAATTCGACTCTCTTTTCCTCTGAGTTCAACATTTTCAGATTCCACAGATAAGTGAGATCACACAGCATTTGTCTTTCTCTGTCTGAATTAGTTCACTTAGCTAATTCTACTCTTTTTGTATGAGTTCAACGTTTTTAAATTCCACAAATAAGTGAGATCACACAGCATTTGTCTTTCTCTAAGTCCACTTAGACAATCAGAGGTGCTTGTTTTAAACTCAGGTTCCTGGACCCCACTGTTTTTAACAGTTCAGCTTGATATCCAAGCCTGTAAGAGACACTTTGATTCTCTGGATTAAAATGAGAGACAGTGAGAGGAGAGGAAGAAGAATAGAGGAGGAGAGCTTTCTCTCTAAAAATCTAAGGGATTCCAATTAAAAATCACCTCTCATTGTACATGCAGAAAATGTACAGTGAGACACAAAGATGGGCTGGAAGACAAAACTCTGAAACTAGTCTGGGAGGGTTAAATGACTTCATGGAAATACTAAAATATCAAAATGCTCTAAACTTTCCATTTTTACTTCTAAATGTGCTGAGAAAAAAATCTGATTATTTGACAGGAATTTTAAAAAGAACAATTTTTATAAAACTAAAATCACATTCCTGAACACTCAAATGCTTAGCATAGGGGATGAAATTGACCTGGAATTTTCTTTGTGAGAGGAAGGACCAAGTTCCCAATGTGGATACATTACCAGTTAGATTTTCCAAGCACAGTTCATACTGCAGAATTCACCTAACTTGATTTAGGTTTCTCCTTTATAATCAGTTTCCACTTGAACTTCAACTACCACGAAAAAGTAAGTAAGTAAAGCAAAGACGTAAATTCTTGGGAACTTTGTTATGAGAGGAACTTTCTAGACTGCACTTAGTTGTCTTATTTAATTAGCTACCAGGGAAACAAAACATATAGTATGTCCAAGGAGTTGACTCAATGGAATGCTGTCATGCTAAACAGATCTAACGTCATGCTGGGTGAGACACACAGTCTATTTTAGAAAGCCAAACAGGGCCGGATGCGATAGCTCATGCCTGTAATCCCCAGCACTTTGGGAGGCCTAGGCGAGTAGATTACCTGAAGTCAGGAGTTTGAGACCAGCCTGACCAACATGGAGAAACCCCATCTCTACTAAAAATACAGAATTAGATGGGCGTGGCGACGCATGCCTGTAATCCCAGCTTCCCAGCTACTCTGGAGGCTGAAGCAGGAGAATCACTTGAACCTGGGAGATGGAGGTTGTGGTGAGCCGAGATCACGCCATTGCACTCCAGCCTGGGCAACAAGAACAAAACTCCATCTCAGAAAAAAAGAAAGAAAGAAAGCAAAACAGAAGCAAAGCATGCCAGAGGTTTATTCCAAGCCTCTGACAGTAGGAGTCCTGAAATCCACCTGGTGGATGAAGGAGGAGACAAAATTTAGAGGACTTGGCAGAATCACAGAATGTGGGGAGATGTTTCCAAAGGGGACCTCATCTCATGCTGCAAACGTTTTGTCTGGAGAATACCAAAAAAAAAAAAAAAAAAAAAAAGTTTTGTCTGTGTCTTGTGTCTTAGGTTGTTTTGTTGTTGTTGTTTTTTAACGTCATCAATGAGGCGTTCCTTGTTCTGCTGAGGCCCTAGAAGCATTCAGGAAAGGAAATGCAGAGGTGGGAACTGGAGAGAAATAATGTGCTCAATAAAAGGAGTAAGGTTTTGGAGCCAGACAAAAAAAAAAACGAGAAGCAGAGCTGGGGAAAGAATAGAGGGTTCTAGAAGCCTGAATGTGCCAGAAAATCATCCCCTCCAGAATCCCCCAGTCTTCAGTGAAGCCCTATGAACTCACTAGCTGAGTAGGTTTCCTGCAGGCAATGGGAGACGCAAAGTTCTGCACTTAAGCTCCTGTAGGGGAAAAAGCAGAGCCAGCGTGGGTTGGGGGCACCAGGGCCAGAGGCAGATACGACCTTGAGAAGGTCGCCCTCCCCAGATTAGCAGGAAGTAGCCTGCATAGAAGATCTTACCTAGATCTTTGAGGATTCAGGGGACCCCAGCTGACATGTCGGTTTTTCTACTTAATTATAAAATGTTTGAGCAGGGCACAGTGACTCACACCTGTAATCCCAAGCACTTTGAGAGGCGGGGACAGGAGGAATGCTTCAGCCCAAGAGTTTGAGACCAGCCTGGGCAACACAGTGAGACTGTCTCTACACACTTTATTTTTTTTGTTTTTTTTTTTGTTTGTTTTTTAAATTAGCCAGGTAGGATGCTACAGGCCTGTGGTTCCAGCTACATGGGAGGCTGAAGTGGGAGGATCACTTGAGCACAGGATTTTGAGGCTGCAGTGAGCTATGACTGTGCCACTGTACTCCAGCCTGGGCAACAGAGTGAGACCCTGTCTCACAAAATAAAAATAAAGGCCAGGTGCGATTGCTCACACCTGTAATCCCAGCACTTTGGGAGGCTGAAGTGGGTGGATCACTTGAGATCAGGAGTTCAAAACCAGCCTGGCCAACATGGTGAAACCCCATCTCTATAAAAATGCAAAAAATTAGCCGGCATGATGGCAGGTCCCTGTAATCCCAGCTACTTGGGAGGCTGAGGAGGGAAAATCACTTGAACCTGGGAGGCGGAGGTTGCAGGGAGCCGAGATCATTCCATTGCACTCCAGCCTGGGTGACAGAGTGAGATTCCATCTCAAAAAAAATAAAAATAAAAATGTTTGGCCATTTCCAACCTTGCCTTCAGACTATGGGTTCCTGGAGGACAGGTGCACTTCTCAGCCATCTCTGGATGCACTGATGTGGCCATCTCTGTTAGTGTACTGGTATGGACCAGTAGGGTCCATACTTGCACAAATCCCAACAATCGGTATTTACATCTCTTTGCTTGGCCAGGGCCCACAATGCCTGTGCACAGGACAGGTCGGAAGTCCTGGAGAATTAACATACCTCCTGCATTAGGTCTTCACCAGTGACTAACTGGAGGGATGTATAAATATCCAAGCTCCTTCACTCCTCCAGGGGGTGATTCTGAGCTACATGCTCAACACTAGGGTTGGCAAACTTCTTGAAAAAGGGTCATATAGTAAATATTTTATGTTTTGCAGGTCATATTGTCTCTCACAGATGCTCAACTCTGCTGCTGTTGTATAAAAGCTGCCATGGGCTATACATAAATGAAAGGGTGTGACTGTATTCCAGGAACATTTTATTGAAATAACAGGTGGCAGAACAGGTTTGCCATGGGCCAATAGTTTGCAAATCCCTGCTCTGTGTCATTTTCCAGAGTTCCCCAGAGAGATTAAACTGTGATTCCCCACACTGGTAACTGACATGATAATGCATCTTTCTTGCCACTTCCCTCCCTTGCCTGTCCCCTTTCCCCCACCTCCTCAAGCTTAATAAACTATTGGCACTCAAATCCTTGCCTCAGAGTCTACTTCAGTGAGCATCCAAACTAAAACAGTTGATTAGGACTTTTTTTGTTTTTTTGCAAGAGATGGAGTCTCGCCCTGTCACCCAGGCTAGAGTGCAGTGGCGGGATCTTAGTTCACTGCAACCTCTGCTTCCCAGGTTCAAGCGATTCTCCTGCCTCAGCCTCCTGAGTAGCTGGGATTACAGGTACGTGTCACCACGCCTAGCTAATTTTTTATTTTTAGTAGAGACAGGGTTTCACTATATGTTGGCCAAGCTAGTCTCAAACTCCTGACCTCAGGTGATCCGCCTGTATCAGCCTCCCAAAATGCTGGGATTACAGGCGTGAGCCACTGTGCCCAGCCTGATAAGGATACTTTTGACTGCAAGCAACACAGAGTTGAACTACAGGTGATTTAAATATTAATTTTGCACCAACCTATAATCCAGATTTATTGTATCTCCCACACAAAATCCAGGCGTAGGTGGTCCAGACAGGTTAATTCAATAATGTCATGGCTTTGTGGTTTTTCTGATCCTTACTAGCTCACTACTGAGAACCAGGTCATGTGCCCAAGGCTAAACCAGTCAGCAGTGAGAGAAACAAGATGAGCATGCCTGGCTTGGGCCAACTGAGTTCCATGCCTAAGAGCATGAGGAAGGAAGGGGCTCCATTTCTCTGGGCATATTGCCAACTGATGCATGAATGAAAATGGGATGGTCTCAGCAAAGAAGAAGAGAAAAGGGTTGCTGGGCAGGTAACCAATACATACCCAGCAGCTGGTGCTTAGAAAATGCTGCTGCAGTCTATGAATGCATGAGCCACTGGATGTAAACAATGGATAGCAACTTTCTAGAAGAAAGATAAAGTTGAAGGAGTCATCCTGGACACACAAGAGTGGTGCAAAATAAGCACTGAGTGGCCAGGATGCTCAGGGGAAATCTCAGAGGCTTTAGGGAGCATGGTTACCTAACTCAGAACCATCAGTGCCAACTAAGGAAGACACAAGGTACATTGGTTAAAGTCAAGGACAATCATGTTCTTCCCCTAGTTAATAACAGACACGGCATTTTACAGTTCATAAAGCTCTTGTCCATTCATTAGTCTCACCATTCAGTCAATGAAATAAACCCAGGTAATAATCAGGTCAGGTATTATTCTTTTAAAATAATTTTATCCCCATTTACTGTGAAAAAAACTTCTTGAGACAGCTTGCAATAAAAGGTACACCCAAAGGGAAACCAAAAGAAAAATTATTTATTTATCAAATACATAAGAAAACTCATTTAATATGGTTATTTTGATTGCGTGTGCTCTTGGGTTTTAGCTCCCTAATAGCCAGAGCAAAAGAAAAAGAAAACATAAAGGACACATGAATATCATCATTTAACAAAGGGAAGTATAGCTGTTCACAGGAAAGGAAATGATTTTTCTTAGAATAGAATTCAAAAAAAATTCCATTTGGATCCTTACATAAGGCAAATGTAACTAAATGATGGATAATGTCTCCCATGATGGTTTTGCAGAAGATATGAGAATGTCCTCATTCATCATGACATCTGAAGTAGTCCATTCTCACACTGCTAATAAAGACATACCTGAAACTGGGTAATTTATAAAGAAAAAGAGGTGGACTCACAAATGGACTCACAATTCCACATGTCTAGGGAGGCCTCACAATCACGGCAGAAGGCAAAGGAGTAGCAAAGTCACATCTTACATGGCAGCAGGCAAGAGAGGGCTTATTATTTTTAGTAGAGACACGGTTTCACAATATGTTGGGCAGGCTGACAACTGGCCAAGAATAGCATGGAAAAGACCCCCCATCTTGATTCAATTACCTCCCACTGGGTCCCTCCCATGACACATGGGAATTATGGGAGCTACAATTCAAGTTGAGATTTGGGTGGGGACACAGACAAACCATATCAATATCCCTACCCATCAGCTTTTCATACAAAGCCAAAGGTTTCTCCCTGTGGATGGTATCATAGCACTGATACCCATAAGCCTCACTTCCATTCCACATTGTCCTGGATATCCTAGCTAGTGCAGTTAGACAGGGGGGAAATGTCCAGAAAGGAAGAAATGAAACAGTCATCATTCCTAGGTGACTTGATCATATACATAAAAATCCAAGGAAAATTGTTATGGACTGAATGTCTTTGTCTTTCTCCACCAAATCCACACGTTGAAGCCCTAGCCCCCAGTGCAATGGCATTTGGAGGAGGTAATTTGGGTTAGACGAGGTCACGAGGGTATTACCCCCATGATGGGCCTAGTGTCTTTCCCCAGAAAAACAATATCCTTTACCATATCCCGAAAATTATAACAATACCAGTTTTAAGTACTTACTATGCATGCACCAAGTGTTTACAGGTTTTGATTTACTCATTGAAACCTCACAGCAGCCTATAAACCCAGCTAGTATGTGGCAGAGTTGAGACGCAAACAGAAAAGCAGTACTCCAGATCCCCTTGGATCCTTACATAAGGGAAATGTAACCAAATGATGGATAATGTCTTCCATGATGGTTTTGTGGAAGATATGAGAATGTCCTCATTCATCATAATATTTGTATTAGTCCATTCTCACACTGCTAATAAAGACATGCCTGAGACTGGGTAATTTGTAAAGAAAAAGAAGTTTAATGGATTCAAGTTCCACATGTTGTCATATGCCACACTTCTTAGGGATGAATGAACATCACCATGATGCCACACTTCCTAGGGATGAATCAACGTCAGAATTTTTTTTTTTTTTAAGTTCTGGGATACAAGTGCAGAATGTGTAGGTTTCTTACGTAGGTATACATGTGTCATGGTGGTTTGCTGCACCTATCAACCCATCATCTGGGTTTTAAGCACCACAAGCATTAGCTATTTGTCCTAATGCTCTCCCACCCCTCACCCCCCACTCTCCAACTGTCCCCAGTGTGTGTTGTTTCCCTCCGTGTGTCCATGTGTTCTCATTTGAACATCAGAGCTTAAAGAAGCATTCCTGCTTTCTTCTCTCCCAGCTGGGCTGGGCTTCAGGTGCCTCCTATATGCTTCCTCCATATCACCTCCACCCTTGCTTGTCATTGTCTGGGTTTGTATTCATTTCCTGAGACTTTTGTAACAATGATCTCAAACTAAATGGCTTCAAACAACAGGAATTTCTTCTCTCCCAGGTCTGGAGGTCAGAAGACTGAAATCGGTTGCAATAAACTGAAATCAAGGTGTCAGTAGAGCTCGTTCCCTATAGAAGTGCTAGGGGACAGTCTGTTCCTTGCCTCTTCCAGCTTCTGGTGGCTGCCAGCATTACCTTGCTTGGAGTGGCATCACCCCAATCTCTGCCTCCATCTGGATATATCACCTTCTTGTCTTCTGGGTGTAATATCTCTCCGCCTTTCTCTTATAAGACACTTGCAATCAAATTTAGGGCCCACCTAGATAATCCAGAATAATCTCCCCATGTCAACATCCTTAATTTAATCATACCTGCAAAGACTCCTTTTCCTTATAATTTAACATATACAGGTTCCGCGGACTAGAACCTGCTATCTTTGAGTGGCCATGATTCAGCCTACTATAGGTTTCATCACTATCTCTTTATCAACTCTGAAGTCCTTGACAGCAGAGACCACCTGTGGCCATTTTCAAATGGCTGTACATTTTTACATCAAAGCAATCCCTTAGGGCCAGGCACGGTGGCTCACATCAGTAATCTCAGCAATTTGGGAGGCCAAGGCAGGCAGATCACCTGAGGTCAGGAGTTCCAGACCCACCTGGCCAACACAGTGAAACCCCGTCTCCACTAAAAATACAAAAATTAGCTGATGTGGTGGTGGGCGCCTGTAGTCCCAGCTGCTCGGGAGGCTGAGGCACGAGAATCACTTGAATCCAGGAGGCGGAGGTTGCAGTCAGCCGAGGTCACACCACTGCACTCCAGCCTGGGTGACAGAGGCAGACTCCGTCTCAAAAAAAATACAAAAAACAAACAAACAAAAACACACAACAATCTCTTGGGATCTACACCCTCTCCCTTGACTTTAATGACCTCCATGATTGCTTTGACGTATTGAATATGGTGGAAATCATACTGTGCCCTTTTCCAGTCCATGTTTTAAAAGACTATCAAGCGCTACTTCCTATATCTTGGAATACTCACTTTTGGAACTCAGACACCACTATGCTACGAGAAGCCCAAACCACATAGAAAGGCCACATGAAAGTGCTCCAGGCGACAGCACCAACTGAGCTCCTAACCAGTAGCCAATATCATGCCAGCCATGTGTCTCAGCCATCTTGGATGGCCAGCCTAGTCAAGCCTTCAGATGACTCCAGCCCCAGTCATTATCTGACTACAACTGCATAGGACTTGAAATGAGAACCACGTAGGTGAGCCCAATCAACACAGAGTCATGAGCAATAATACCAAATATTTGTTTCCAGCCACTGTGGGATCAGGCTCTTTTTTATGCAGCAAGAGATTATCTGAACATCATATTTGTTGCTGCATACCAGGTGCCTGGAACTATGCCTGGAGGTCTTGATATTCAATGAAAGTGGAATAAATCAAATAAATAAAAATGGAATAAATAAACAAAACTCTAGAAGCTATGGATTCTAGGGAGTTGAGCTGGAGATCAGGAGGAATGGATATTAGGTCTCAAAGAAATGACAAGGTAATAAGGTAGACGAAGAAGGCTGTGGATAAACAAATTTTCTGGAGCCTTAATGGTGGTGAGAAGTGGGCAAGTTCAATGTTGAGCAGGACCAAATTCAACAGACCCTCAGCAAATGTTTGCTGACTTAGCAGTACACAGATTCTGCATACATCTTCCTTCCTTTTAACCATTCCTTTAATTGTATAAGCAATATATTGAGTATCTACTGAGAGCCAGGCTTTGAGTTGGGTGAAGACTATTCAGCAGTTAAGTCCCTTTAACGCTTATACACTGTTGATGGGAATGTATATTAGTCCAGTCACTGGAAAGCAGTTTGGAGATTTCTCAAGTAACTTAAAATAGAACTAAGGTTGAATCCAGCAATCCCATTCATGGGTATAAATCCCAAAAGAATAATCATTCTACCTTAAAGATGCATGCACACATATGTTCATTGCAGCACTATTTACAATAGCAAAGACAGGGAATCAACCTAGATGCCCATCAATTGCAGACTAGATAAAGAAAGTATGGTACATATACACCATGGAATATACTATGCAGCCATAAAAAAGAATGAAATCATGACCTTTGCAGCAACATGGATGGAGCTGGATGCCATTATCTTAAGCAAATTAACACAGGAAAAGAAAACCAAATATTGCACATTCTCACTTAGGAGGTAAACACTGACTTCACATGAACACAAAGAAGGGAACAATAGACACTGGGTCCTACTTGAAGGTAGAGGATGGGAGGAGGGTGAGGATTGAAAAACTACTTACCAGGTACTACATTCATTACCTGGGTGATGAAATAATCTGGACACCAAGCCCCATAACATGCAATTTACCCATGAAACAAATCTGCGCACGTATCCCCCAAACCTAAAATAAAAGTTGGAAAGAAAATAAAAATGAAAAACAAGTCCCTTTCTTATGGAACTTAACAACCATAGAGTATTTGGGGAAACCTCAAAACCACAGGCAGGTGGTTCAAGCCCCCATCTCTGACCTTCATTACCCTGCTGTATAGCCATGATTACAAAAAAAAAAAAAAAAAAGCCAGACCATTCAATGCTATTGCTTCTCTCTTCCAAATGGGATGAAGTGCAGGCAGTAAACAAAGGAAGATGAACTTGGCCAAGTCCTTCTATTCATTTTGTGGCAGTGATGACAATTTCCCATTGTGGGGAGCTGGAGGGGCAGTCTCCTTCTGTTCAAATGACTCAGTACACTTTTGAGGGGGCATAAGAACCAGAAAGTGCAGGTGCTAGTAAAGCAGGCCTGTATTTACAGGGAGAATCAGTCCACAGACTTCAGCTTCTCAAAACCATTGTTAATGTGCTTTTACAAAATGCAAAATGCTGCTAGACAGTTCACTGGGTGGCCTTGGGCCTACCCAGTTCTTCCCTCTTTTCCCAACTCATGGTTCTTAAGAATAACTGAAGAATGTGCTAGAAATGCAACATCTTGAGATAGAGAGGGACTGGCCAGAACGACCCAACCTCTGTTTCAGTCCACCCCTAGAAACAAAATGTCTTAAACACTTTAGCCCAGCAAATCACACATCCTGGGGTATAAAACACAGAACCAGCTGCTTTCTGGGGTATCTGAGCTTCTGTGCAAGTAAGGCATGCACAGATATGACTCTACTTACCCTCAGCAGGTTTCCGGGGACTTGGAGGAATAGCTCACAATGAATCCTAGGCTTCTACCATCTCTTGCTGCCTATCTGTAAGTAATAAACCTACCTCAGGTAACTTGTTGTGTGGGAGTGTTCTGTCTCACTGGACAAGTTGGTAGCCAGTGAACAGTGAACCTGCTTCACAAATTCCTCTGCTGTAAAGTGCACCAGAAGCTCTCAGTCATGGAAGTTCTGTGCTCAAATCTTCCTTCAAGGTGAACTGCTCTGGAAGCAGAGCTAACTGACAACCTCTAGCTGCTGTACCTTTTGACCCACCGAGGTGTTCATGCTAGGCTGCACTTCCCTGGGGATTTTCCCAGCCAGTGACTGGGCACAGTGGAAGTAACGGAATTAGGTGATTCTAACCCAACTGGGAGTTGTCCAACAGAGAGAGTTGCCTTAGGAACTATTACACTGGCTGATACATTCTCAGAGTTGTGCCGAAGCCTTTCTCTTTCTAACTATCTCTCTTCCTTCCCACTCTGCTTTCAGAGGTGTCAGACCTGCATTACGGTCTGAAATCTCTCCCTGCTCCCTCCCCATTTCCCTTCACAGGCATTTTCTTCAATGAATTTCCTGCACAATTAATACTTGGTTTTCTTTCATGTTGTAAACCACTGTAGGATGACTACAGTTAACAATATGTAGTTTTGGCCAGGCGCAGTGGCTCGTGCCTGTGATCCCAGCACTTTGGGACTCTGAAGTGAGCAGACCACTTGAGGTCAGGAGTTCGAAACCAGCCTGGCAAACATGGTGAAACCCCATCTCTACTAAAAAAATATTAGTCGGGCGTGGTGGAGCATGCGTGTAATCCCAGCTACTCGGCAGGCTGAGGCAGAAGAATCGCTTGAACCTGAGAGGCAGAGGTTGCATTGAGCAGAGATCATGCTACTACAAATCAGTCTGGGTGACAGAGCAAGATTCTGTCTAAATAAAATAAAATGATAATGGTAATAATAATGCAGTTTCAAATAGCTAGAAGGAAGATACTGAATGTTACCATCACAAAGAAATGAGAAACGTTTGAGATGATGGATATGCTAATTACCCTGATCAAATCACTATACATTATATATATCAAAACATCACTACGTACTCCATCAATAGGTACCATTATTTTTCAATTAAAAAATAATTTTTTTAAAAAAAAGAAATATAGAATGTTATACTTGTAAAAAGAAGAAAATGGAAACTGAGGAATCAAATTATGTAAGAGTGATCTTCCTTCTCATCAGCTATCATTTTAGAAATTTGTAGGAAAAGAAAAGGAGATAAAGGAAGACAGCAAGAGGAAGCAAATAAGCAGAGGGAGGAAAAGAGCAGAAAGTAAAGAAAGAATTAGAAAGTAAGGAGACACAACAGATCAGATCAGCTACCATAATTCAAATGCTCGCCAAAATCACTTCCTATATTTGCAATACAGAAGCTGCAGGAGACATGTTATTTAAAATTAGTAAGAGGGCCGGGCACAGTGGCTCATGCCTGTAATCCCAGCACTTTGGGAGGCCGAGGTGGGTGGATCACAAGATCAAGAGATCGAGACCATCCTGGCTAACATGGTGAAACCCCGTCTCTACTAAAAATACAAAAATTAGCTGGACATGGTGGCATGCGCCTGTAATCCCAGCTACCTGGGAGGCTGAGGCAGGAAATCACTTGAACCCGGGAGGCGCAGGTTACGGTGAGCCGAGATCGCGCCACTACACTCAAGCCTGGCAACAGAGTGAGACTCCGCCTCAAAAAAAAAAAAAAATTAGTAAGAGAATGAGAACTTCATACAGAAGTTGAAAAGTGGATTTGAAATCAGTGGAGACTGGGACCTTGTACAATTAATTCTGTTTTGCCTTCTGCTACTCAGAGGACCTGAACTGACTCACCTACCATCTAGAGACAGCTACTATTTTGTATTTCTTTTTTAGTTTCATGCATTTAATTTGCATGATTATCATTTTGCTTTATTTCTCCATTTTACATTATAATATGTGCCACCTCATGTTACTGTGCTTCATGTCTATTATCGATGCCCCATAACATTCTATTGTATGGAAGTATCATAAATATCAACTATTTCCCTTTAGTTGGACATTCAGGGTCTTTCCAGATTTTTTTCCTAATTAAATGATGCTGCAATAAATGCCTTGTTTCGCTCCTTCAGAACAGGTCATTGCAGTAAGGGCCTCTCCATTGGAGTGGTGGATTTTAGTCGTCTGGGACTTAGGGTTTTGGTTCTGATTCTGCTACATCCTAACAGCATGACCCTGAGCAAGTTACTTGGTTTCTCAGGACTCCTGTTTCCTCACCCATCAAATGGAGGTAACACCAGACAAGGATCCTTTGTGACTATCAGATTTAATCCATGGCATCATTTTGAAAATATTTTCTTTTTTCTTTCTTTTCTTTTTTTTTTTTTTTTTTTTTGACACAGAGTCTCACTCCATCACCCAGGCTGGAGTGCAGTGGCATGATCTCAGTTCACTGCAACCTTCACTTCATGGGTTCAAGCAATTCTCATGCCTCAGCCTCCCAAAAGATTTCCATGGAAGGTGCTTGCAAAGGGAAAAATAACTTGTGTGGTCAAAAAGTTTAGAAACCCCTGGTCTAAACGGCGCTAGCAGGACTTATCAGAGCCTTTATTATAACAGCACACAGTCCCAAAGGTAGATCCTTATGGTATTATCTTAGTCTATTTAGACTGCTATAAGAGAATGCCATAGGTTGTGTGGCTTACAAACAGCAGACATTTATTTCTCACGGTTCTCTCCAGAAGATCTGGGAAGTCCCAGGCAGATTCAGTGTCTGGGGAAGGCCTTCTTCCTAGTTCATAGACAGCCCTCTTTTCACTGTGTCTTCCCATCATGGAAGGGCAAAGGGGCTCTCTGGGACCCCTTTTAAAAGGGCATTGGCCAGGCGCAGTGGCTCACGCCTGTAAACCTAGCACTTTGGGAGGCCAAGATGGGCAGATCACTTGGATCAGGAGTTCAAGACAGCCTGGCCAACGTGGTGGAACCTCATCTCTCTAAAAATACAAAAAAAAAAAAAATTATCCAGGTGTGGTAGATAATTATCCAGTAGTCTCAGCTACTCAGAGGATGAGGCAGGAGAATCACTTAAACCCAGAGGCAGAGGTTGCAGTGAGCCTAGATGGTACTACTGCACTCTAGCCTGGGAACAGGGTGAGACTCTTGTCTCAAATAAATAAATAAATAGGCATGAATCCCACTTGTGGAGTCCCCACCATCATGTCCTAATCACCTCCCAAAGGCCCCACCCCCTAATACCATCCATCACACTGGGGATTAGGTTTCAACACATGGTGGGAACACATTTAGTGGATAGCAAGCATGAAGCATTAATCAAGCTTATTTGCCCATCATGCCCATGAAATTCTGAAGTCTGACAAGCAGCCTGTGAGAAGAAAGACATACAACAAGGAGGTAGGACTATGGTGCTTTGGGGTGGAGGCCACTGATGAAAAACTCACCCCTCGAAAGCATCTCCTACTTTGATACCTACGGATGCAACATCCAGGTAGAACCAGCCTCGATGTCTTCTGGAGCCCAGGACCTGATCTCCAAGCTGGCCCAAGACAACGCTCAGAGTGCCACTGTTCAAGCTCCTCTTGCTCCATAATCACTTTAAAGAGGCTGCCCCCACCCCCGGGGCTCAGAGGGCTTCCTGTGACCTGACACTATGATCGTGAGCGAGTGCCGCGCTCTGTTCCCAACTATGCTTCCTCATCTGTCATCCACGGCTTTTCTTTTAAGGAGTTATTTACGAAGAGGTGAAGCAATTTGCTTTTAAAAATGAAAAACAACAGAACTAGTATTTTTTGTAAGTCAGCTTGATAGGCAGTAAACAATCCTGCCAAAGCAAAGCAGAAAATGCTGAAAAGGTTCATGTCTCTTCAACGACTCTGACCAAGACTTCAGAGGATGCTCCAAGGGGAGAAACATGCTCAGGGCTACAGAAGCGACAATCATGGATACCCTAAGCTGGTCTTTCCCAGGAGCAATTTTACCATGCAATTTTCCCTGGATCCTTTCTCTATCGCCCCATAACACCTCTCCCATTTGGAAACAAAAATATAATCTTTGAAAGAAAAATAGAAATCACTGTCTAAATAAAAATAATACATTCCTAGCATTCATTCACCCTCTTCATCCTCCTCCCTGCCCCTGCGGGGGGGAAAAATCTCATGTATCATGTTGAATTTCTCATCTCTTGTGAATGCCATGCAATTGGGTAAATAAGTTCTGTGTTCAATCTTTTGTTTTTTTGTTTGTTTATTGCTTTATTCATTCACAATGGAAAGAAAGACTAAACTTCAGGTAGAGATAAAAGAATATAAGATGTATTTTTAACTGTCCAAGATCATGGGATCCCCGAATTCTATTCATGATAGAATGTTTGAGCATCTGTGGACCCCAGTTTGTGAACTCTTGCCCTGAAACAAAGCCTGCCAGTTATCTGTGTTCAGTCTTTTAACAGGGGTTATTCAATTTACTCAAGCCAACATGAGAGGTTTCCATGACAACCTCTCAGCACATTCAGTCTTCATATAAATGAGTTATTGCTTTTATGTTCTCATACTCTAAGACAATGGGGAAATTAACATAATGTGGTCATACAAAAAAAAAAAAAAATCAAAACAATCAAAATCCTCATATCCTCCCCAGAAACTCACAGATAGCATTCGGTGAAAAAGAACCA
This sequence comes from Homo sapiens, assembly GCF_000001405.40. Lineage (NCBI taxonomy): Eukaryota > Metazoa > Chordata > Mammalia > Primates > Hominidae > Homo > Homo sapiens. The sequence goes on along the minus strand of NT_187607.1, from coordinate 2,169,409 downwards.
AAGAGAAATGAAGCCTTCACATCTGACAACACTGTTAACATTAGAGATTTCATTTCAGATGCATTTAAATGAAGCCAGACCATAATGGGGTTCAAAAAAAAGTGTATAGACATAATTAAACTGCAGAGGAAAGAGACTTAAAGTCAGGGACCCAAATTCACTTTCAGGCCATATATCCTCCAAAGATAACCACCATTCTCTGCCTCTCTTTCTGCACCCCATCCACACTAGCATTCCTGCCCCAGGACCTTCGCACATGCTCTTCCCTATGCTTGGAATGTTCTTCCCCTGCTGTTCTTCCAGTGCTGCTTTGCTTAGCTAACTCCTACCCATCCTCAGGTCTCAGCTCAGCAAAGTCACTTCCTCAGGGCAGTCAAGCTTTGCCACTCATCAAGACTAGGTAAAATTTTCTTGTTAAATCTATTTATGGATTTTCCTGGTTCTTTGTATTTTTCATCATCTTAGATAGGTTAGGTTTCCCCAGAAACAAATCCTAAGAGAAGGTGAGATGGTTTGGCTGCGTCCCTACCCAGATCTCACCTTGAATTGTAACAATCTCCATGTGTCAAGGGCGGGGGCAGGTGGAGATAATTGAATCATGGGGGTGGTTTCCCCCATACTGTTCTCCTGATAGTAAGTCTCATGAGATCTGATGGTTTTATAAATGGGAGTTCCCCTGCACAAGCCTCTTGCCTGCTGCCGTGTAAGATGTGGCTTTGCTCCTTCTTGTCTTCCACCATGATTGTGAGGCCTTTCCAGCCATGCAGAACTGTGAGTCCATTAAACCTCTTTCCTTTATAAATGACCCAGTCTCAGGCATGTCTTTATTAGCAGCATGAGAACAGACTAATACAGAAGGACTTGAAGATAAGTGGGTTGATTTGGAAAGTGAGCCCAGGAAACACTGGGATGACAATAGGGAAATGAGACAGAGAAGGGAAAGGAGCTAATCCAGGTCATGTTTATAAGCAGGCTGCTACTATGGGCAACTGGGGTTCAATCCCACTGGGGACATCTGGGAGACAGCATAGCGCCTGCCTCACCCTAAGGTATGGAAGGCAGGGCAACTGCCCTCAGCAGCTGGCTGGGGGAGATGTGCCTGTGTTGGTTTCTCTGCACTTCCAGCCTGCCCCACAAGAGCCTAGGTTATGGCAGTGAGACAAAGCCCCAGGCAGTATTGCAGATGCTTGCAGTAGGAATGGTGAGTTCCTATGCCAGAGGACATAGGCAAGGCAACAACTACATCTGCCACCTTCCCCAATGCAAACAGCATAATTATTGCTGGAGACTGGAGATCAGTGGAATAGAAGACAGAAGATTTAATTCAAAGCCATTAGACAAAAAATAATAGTCCCATTGAAGACAAAGGCATGGGAATACGGGGAAGGTATAAATCCACATGAATAGACAATTTTCAAAAGAAGATAAACAAATGGCCAACAAACATGTGAAAAAATGCTCAACATCACTAATGATCAGGGAAACGCAAATCAAAACCACAATGCGATACCGCCTTACTCCTGCAAGAATGACCAGAATCAAAAAATCAAAACATAATAGATGTTGGCATGGAGGTGGTGAAAAGGGAACACTTCTACACTGCTGGCGGGAATGTAAACTAGTACAACCACCTTGGAAGACAGTGTGGAGATTCCTTAAAGAAAAGTAGCACCACCATTTGATCTGGCAATCCCACTACTGGGTATCTACCCTGAGGAAAAGAAATCATTATATGAGAAAGATACTTGCACATGCATGTTTATAGCAGCACAATTCACAACTGCAAAAATATGAAACCAGCTCAAATGCCTATCAATCAACGAGTGGATAAAGAAACTGTGGTATATATATGCCATATACCAGCAGTATATTTATACTACTCAGCCATAATAAGGAATGAATTAATGGCATTCACAGCAACCTGGATGGAACTGGAGATTATTATTCTAGGTGAAGTAACTCAGGAATGGAAAACCAAACGTCGTATGTTCTCACTCACAAGTGGGAGCTAAGCTATGAGGATGCAAAGGCATAAGAATGATACAATGGACTCTGGGGACTCGGGGGAAAGGGTGGGAGGGGGTGAGGGATAAAAGACTACAAATTGGGTTCAGTGTGTACTGCTCAGATAATGGCTGCACCAAAATCTCACAAATCACTATTAAAGAACTTACTCACATAACCAAATACCACCTGTTCCCCAAAACCCTATGGAAATAAAAAATTTTAAAAATAAAAAATAAATTTACATGATATAAAAGACCTTGACTCTAGGCCTGGGTGACTGATTATATACTGGGGTACAGGTTTTAGTCAAAGAGCTGGAGACTATATGGAAAAGGGGTGTCTAAGGCCCTCTCTGACATTCTAACAACCCCCATCATCTCTTTTGCTGGCCAGGGGCCCACCTGGTAGGACAGTCCAATCCAGGGTAATTCTGGCTCACAGGTCACGCAATACCAATCTTTGGTCCCAAGGTTAGGAGTGGCTGCTCTCACAATGGACTTTATAATAACCTCTCCAACCTCTGTTTGTTGAGCTTAGATTCTTAAGCCTCTAAGCTTCTGATGACTCTTACTAGAGAAAGTAATATAATTACCCATCAATAGAGAAATGGCTCATTCAGCAAGGATATATCTGTTCAATCAAATATATTTGTTCAATCAAATCACTAAAAACAATGGCCGTTTAAGAGTACATATACAAAAGGTACGTGTGCAACAGTATAATAAGAGCAAACCTAAATTATGCTTGTTGTTCACTGATTGTCTCCCCACAGTAGCATGGAAGTTCAGCAAGAGCAGGGATCTTTGTTTTTGTTCAATGCTAGGTCCTCAGCACCTAGGACTGTGCCAGGCACAAAAACATCCAGCACCCACCAAGGTAAAATTTACAATGTCTGACATCCCATAAAAGTTACTTTAAAAATAGAGGCTGGGCCAGGTGCCATGGCCCACGCCTGTAATCCCAGCACTTTGGGAGGCCAAGGTGGGTGGATCATGAGGTCAGGAGATCGAGACCATCCTGCCAACATGGTGAAACCTGTCTCTACTGAAAATACAAAAATTAGCTGGGCGTGGCGGCGCGTGCCTGTAATCCCAGCTACTCGGGAGGCTGAGGCTGGAGAATCTCTTGAACTTGAGAGGTTGCAGTGAGCCGAGATTGCGCCACTGAACCCCAGCCTGGGCAACAAGAGCTAGACTCCCTCTCAAAAAATAAAAAAATAGAAGCCAGTGGCCAGGAGCTGTGACCGACACCTGTTATCCTAGCACTTCGGGAGGCCGAGGCAGGTGGATACTTGAGGTCAGGAGTTCAAGACCAACCTGGCCAACATGGCGAAACCCCATCTCTACTAAAAACACAAAAATTAGCCAGTCATGATGGCACACACCTGTAGTCCCAGCTACTCGGAGGCTGAGGCACAAGAATTGTTTGAACCCAGGAGGCAGAGGTTGCAGTGAGCCAAGACTGCACCGATGTACTCCAGCCTGGGCAACAGAGTGAGACTCTGTCTCAAAATAATAATAATAGAGGCCAGGCATAGTGGCTTATGCCTGTAATCTCAGCAATTTGAGAGGCTGAAGCAGGAGGATCTCTTGAGGTCAAGAGTTTGAGACTAGCCTGGGAAACAAAGCAAAACCCCATCCCTCCAAAAAAACTTTTTAAAAACTAGCCATGCATGGTGGTGCATACCTGTAGTCCCAGCTACTCAGGAGGCTGAGGCAGGAGGATCACATGAGCCCAGTAGTTTGAGGTTGCAGTGAGCTATGACTGTGCCACTGTACTCCAGCCTGGGCAACAGAGCACGATCCTGTCTCAAAAAAAATTACCTTAAAATAATAAGTAAATAAATATCAATTTTACAATAAAATAAAAGTGACTCAGCCTACCCTGGGTGGGGTTAAGGGCTGGCCTCTATCACACCTATCAGCTCCCAGAGGTCCTGGATCCCCCAGAAGCTGCTAGGAGGGGCTGAGGGCCATTACTCAGAAGTGCAGAGTGGAGCAAGCTTTGACCAATAAGAGACAGGAAACAGCAGGAGCTGGCAGATGACTGACTCCAGAGTTATCCCATGCTTGTGTTTCTGGGAAACTGCAACTCCACTAGGCAATATGCACTTCTTTGGTTTTGCTCTTCCTCTTTCTCTCTTTCCCTTATCCCTGCTTTCTTGAGATTGCGTGACCCAATGAAACATTCACATATTTGTATCAGGCACTGTTGGTAGGCTAAGATAACCTCCATCCCCAAAACCTATGACACATGGGGTATCTCCTGAAGGATGCCATTCAAGTTAATCCCCAAACATTATGGCTTAAAGCCACAACTGTTTTTATTATAGATCATGATTTTGAGGGTCAGGAATTCAAGCAGGACCCAGCTGGGCAGTTCTTCTGCTCACACAGTATCATCTGAGGTCACTCAGTAGTATTCAGAGGGCTTCGGGGCTGCTCTGAAGGGTCTAGTGCAGTTTTAGTGATGTGCCAGGCACCTTGGTGGGTGTATTAGTCCATTTTCATGCTCTTAATAAAGACATACCTGAGACTGGGTCATTTTTACAGGAAAGAGGTTTAATGGACTCAGAGTTCCACATGGCTGGGGAGCCTCGCAATCATGGTGGAAGGCAAGGAGGAGCAAGTCACGTCTTACATGGATGGCAGCAGGCAAAAAGAGAGCTTGTGCAGGGAAACTCCCTGTTATAAAACCATCAGATCTCATGAGACTTACTATCATGAGAATAGCATGAGAAAGACCCACCCCCATGATTCAATTACCTCCCACCGGGTCCCTCTCACAACATGTGAGAATTCAAGATGAGATTTGGATGGGGACACAGCCAAATCATATCAGTGGGACAGGATGGAAGCTGGGCTCAGAGCAACTTCTCTCCCTTTCCATGTCATCTCAGAGTCTCTCCAGGTTTCCCTCCAGCAAAAGCCCTCAGATTTCTCACACAGTGGCTCAGGGGTTTAAAACCAAGAGTTCCAAGAGGTGTAAGGCGGAAACTGCATGATCCCTTAAATGCCAGGACCAGAACCATCATGGTGTCACTTCTATGGCAATCTATTCGTCAAAGCAGTCACAGGCCAGCCCAGGCTCAGGAAAAGGGAAATAGACCCCATTTCTGAATGCATGGGGTATCAAACAGTTTGCACTCATCTTTGACCTGCCACAGATACACAAGAAACTGGGAGGAGGGGTGGGTGGAAGACTGAAGCATTAGAGTAAGAGAGGCTCCTTCATCCTCCGGTCATCATTTGCCATGTGCACGTCTGACTTTTTTCAAATAAAAACTGGGGAAGGACAAAAAGTGGGGAGGAACCATGTCAATAAGCTGAATCCTCATCTTCTATGGCACAGAGTCAATAGAAAATGTCTTAAATTGATAAATCAAGAAACAGCCACATAAGCATCTTATTTGGAGTTACAGAGATAAATAACCGAAGACCTAAAAATGGAAACAACATTTCAAGCACTTACCTCCGGGAAATAAGACTTAAGGAGGGGAGAGAGGAGAGAAGGGGCCAGGAACCGCTGCTTTCATTAGCAGCTCCTCTGTACTTTAACTTTGTACGATGTGCTCATATTACTATGATTTTTTTTTTTAAATTCAAAAGGGAAAAAAATAAGAACAAAATGATGATGGTTATTTTTAAAACTATGTAATTAAACCTGGAAAAATCTCATTTTGCTAAACGGAAAAAAAGTAGCAGGATACTAAACTATATTAATAGTATGGTCATAAGTATGTTTAATAAAGAAAGAGAAAAACATATATGGGAGGAGAAAAATCTGAAGAAATTTACTACCAAATGATAGTGGGTGGGTTTCTCTACTTTTCTAGGTTTCCCACATTTTCAGCAACGTGATTCTCATACTTTCCTAATGAAAAGAAATACATTCATTACATAAAATAAATTAACTGGGCCAGGCGTGGTGGCTCATGCCTGTAATCCCAGCACTTCGAGAGGCCAAGGTGGGCAGATCACCTGAGGTCAGGAGTTCAAAACTAGCCTGGGCAACATGGTGAAACCCCGTCTCTACCAAAAATACAAAAATTAGCCAGGTGTGGTGGTGTGTGGGTGTGTGCCTGTAGTTCCAGCTATTTGGGAGGCTGAGGCAGGAGAATCGTTTGAACCGGGGAGGTGGGGGCTGCAGTGAGCCGAGATTGCGCCACTGTACTCCAGCCTAGGTGACAGAGTGACATTCCATCTCAAAAAAAATAAAATAAAAATGGCTGGGCGCCGTGGCTCACGCCTGTAATTCCAGCACTTTGGCAGGTCGAGGCAGGCAGATCACGAGGTCAGGAGTTCAAGACCAGCCTGGCCAAGATGGTGAAACCCCGTCTCTACTAAAAATACAAAAATTAGCTGGGCATGGTGGCACTTGCCTATAATCCCAGCTACTCGGGAGGCTGAGGCAGAGAATTGCTTGAACCTGGGAGGCAGAGGTTGCAGTGAGCCGAGATTGCGCCACTGCACTCCAGCCTGAGTGACAGAGCAAGACTCCGTCTCAAAAAAAAAATAAAAAAATTAAAAAATAAAAATAAAATAATAAAATAAATGAGCCGAGCATCAATTAAATAAAATGCCAGAAGGGTCTCTGAAGAACTTTCCACAATAGAAGTGTATTTTAAGTCCCTGAGCCTTCATCTCATGCCTATGGACAGGGGACTCTTTGCACTGGTTCTGGAACGCTCCAGTCCACCATGCCCACGGATTTAGTTAGGAAACCTTCCCAGAAAGAACTTAGTCCATGTCATTTCAAAATGAATTAATTCAACTCAACAGGAACTTTTGTAAGCCTCCAATGTATGCGGTTCTGAACTTTTGTAAGCCTCCAATGTTTCCAGTTCTGAATCTGGAATGCTCATTCAGCCACAAAATAAACATTTATTGAGTACCTACTATGTGCCAGACAAATGCTACTTGCAGGGGTGACAATGATAGAGACAGGCAAAATATTCAATTCTTTGGAGCCATAGACTAATGGGAGAGGCAGACAAGTGACTAGGCAAGTGTAATACATCCTAACAGACACTTTGGGGAACAGACAAGGGGCTGTGGAAGGAGGCAACCTGGAGGGCTTCCTGGAAAAGGCCAAACATGGGCCAAGCGCCGTGGCTCATACCTGTAATCCCAGCACTTTGGGAGGTTGAGGCAGGCAGATCACTTGATCCTGAGAGTTCGAGGCCAGCCTGGGTAATATGACGAAACCTCATCTCTACAAAAAGTACACAAGTTAGCTGGGCATGGTAGCATGCAATTGTAGTCCCAGCTACTCGGGAGGCTGAGGTGGGAGGATCACTTGAGCCTGGGAGGTTGAGGCTGCAGTGAGTCACGATTGCACCACTGCACTCCAGCCTGGGTGACAGGGTGAGACCTTGTCTCAAAAAAAAAAAAAAAAGGCCAAATATGAGCTCAGAGCTCAGTCTCAAGGGATGAACCAGGGCAGATCAGGTTAAAGCGGAAAAGCTGTTGCCAGCACAGAGAATAGAATATACAAAGACCCAGAAACAACAGAGAAGATGGATACATTCAAGGAACTGAGAGTGATCTCAAAAAAAAGATTTGTCATGATCAGAAGAGACAGTCCCAAACCAGCACTCACTTGGGGGCTCTGGGACTGGACTCCCTAAATTGGAATCTCAGCCCCATCATGTGAGCTCAAAGTGCTTCACCTCACTGTGCCTCAGTTTCCATGTCTGTAAAACAGGGTAGAAGTAGAACTTATCTCAGAAGAGTTATAAGAATTAAACTAGAGAAGAAGTGAGCATTGTTTATATGTGCTTGTTGCTATGGATCCAAAACTGCCAGTAATAACAATAATAATAATAATAATAATAGCTTATGCTTTCGTTGAGCCCTTGCTTTGCACCTGGCCAGTGACAGGCACATTATCAGTAACACAAATGCAAGTATCTCATCTAACCCTTGCATCAACGCTCAGAGATGGGTTTTATCAACATCCCCATTTTACAGATGAGGAAAACTGAGGCAGAGCAGTTGCACAACGTCGCAGCTGTTCCTGGTGCTTCACCCAGATCCTCATTGCCAGTAAACCACTCATCATTCAGCCTTTGCTGATCTGTGCCTAATGGCTTATACCAATACTTTCTCCGGAGAATTCCTTAGCTAGCAAAAGCCATTTCACCCAGGGAGTTATGCTCTCACATGCTGAACTGGCCAATGACTAAGCGATATGAGGCGAGAGGAGTCACACAAAAGTCCAGTCCTCCTGCTTCAAGGCAGAATACACTCCAGAGACCCACGTGAGATCAAGGCTAGCCTCAGCCTGAGAGCCCATTCTTGCTTGGCTCTGTCCCCTCCCCCATCATCCTCCTTCCCTCACTTTCCTTCTCCTGAGAACCCCCACCTTGAATAAACCGCACCTACCCAAATCTCATTCTCGGGCTTCCAAGGAACCCAACCCGTCACACAACTTGCAGGGATTCGGACCAGGTTTTCTCCTTCCAAAGGGCCCCACGTGAAACCACCAAGCTGCACCAGGCTCATCTCAAAATCAGAGTCATGGGATCAAAGAACAGTTGCTGATGCCAACCCCTGCCGGCATGAGCCCACCGCTGGGGAAACAAGGCGAACCAGACATCTCAGACTAGAGGAGTGAATCCAAGGAGAGAAGATGACAGGAGGTTTATTTGTTCTCACGCTGCTAATAAAGACCTACCCGAGACTGAGTAATTTACAAAGGAAAGAGGTTGAATGGACTCACAGTTCCACATGGCTGAGGAGGTCTCACAATCATGGTGGAAGGCCAAAGAACAGCGAAGTCACATGCTACACAGGGGCAGGCAAGAGAGCTTGCGCAGCGGAACTCCCATTTATAAAACCATCAGATCTCGTGAGACTTACTCACTACCATGAGAACCGTATGCGGAAACTGCCCCCATGTTTTAATTATCTCCACCTGGCCCCGCCCTTGACACGTGGGGATTATTACAATTCAAGGTGAGTTTGGATGGGGATACAGCCAGACCATATCAGGAGAGGGCACAGCATTAGGACGCAGCCTGTGGTACTGTAATTCGGGTCGGGGGAGGTTGCTGAAATACACTCATAAGGATAGTTTAAAAAGAGCATCATCGGCCGGGCGCGGTGGCTCACGCCTGTAATCCCAGCACTTTGGGAGGCCGAGGCGGGCGGCTCAAGAGGTCAGGAGTTGGAGACCAACCTGGCCAGCATGGTGAAACCTCGTCTATACAAAAAATATAAAAAATTAGCTGGGCATGGTGGCACGTGCCTGTAATCCCAAGCTGCTCGGGAGGCTGAGGCAGGAGAATTGCTTGAACCTGGCAGGCGGAGGTTGCAGTGAGCCAAGATCATTGCACTGTTGCACACCAGCCTGGGCAACATAGCAAGACTCCGTCTCAAACAAACAAAAAAAGGGGGAGGGGCGGGGCTTTAGACAGATCCAAGCTCAACCCTGCAAGTTGCCGGGACTCCGTTTCTTTATCTGTAACATGGAGATCACGATGTTCACCTCGCGGAGTAGATTAAGCAGCTGGCATGTGTGAAGTGCCCAGCACTGTGTCTAGCATATGCTAGGTACTTGGCATGTGTTTCTTTCTTTCCCTCCCTTGTTCAAGGCCACATAGTCCATGACTGGCAGAGCTAGAAGCCTTCTCATTTATCCAAAATCAAAGAACTTCTACAAAATAGAAACAGCCCCCTGCCCCCTCCTGCCCCCGCCCGCCTGCTACCTTAATAGGTTGTTTCCCAGTTATTCAATGCAAGAGACTTAGCCCAGCTAAAGTTATTCAAAATCGACCTTGAGATCAGGAACAAATTGGCTACAGCAGTCAGCGATTGGCAAATGCAATCTAAATGCCCCAGGCGGCATTAGAGCCTTCCACGTTGACAGGAAGAGTCAATGTGCATCTTGGAAAAATCTGAGAAAAAAAAATTAAAGGTCACCGCGTTTGTAGGCAGAATGGGTTTTCTTGAGACCATTACAAACAGACTGCCTAAATTGCAAAGATTCCAGGCTTGACAGCTCCCGGAGGACTCCAGATGGAAAGAACACCACCCCCATCTCTTATACATCCAGGCTGCTGTCTGTGGATGTCCGAAGGTTTTCCCACCACCCATGCTATTGTTGAAATTCCACAATCAACCTGCAATGCCCCAGTGAACCATTTTGCTGGGATGGGAGGACCAACTTAGGGCCAACCCTGTGTTCCAAGGGGCTGACCAGGCAGGACAGCCAAGGAGGCACAAGTCTGTAAGATGGGTCCAAACATTTCTGTAGGAAGGGGGTCTTGAGCCAAAGCAGGAAAAATCAAACCCCAACACAAAGTGTAGAGAGAGTCGGATCATAAATCACACACAGACAGGGTCCGAGAAACATGGGCTGGGGACCAGCAGACGACAGGCTAGGATAATTGATCATTAGAACATCTGTGCTGTTTTTGTTGTAAGAATAGTATCAATATTAATAACAACAGCAAATATATATTGAGTGGCTTCTGGAGCCAGGCACTGTGGTAAACTTTTGCACGTATCCTCTCACTTAATCCTCACAGTGCTCTACAAAGTGGGTACTGGTTTCATGCCCATTTCACAGAGAACATATCTGAGGCTCAGAGAGGCATCTACAAGGTCAACCAGGTAATCAGGAAAGCCAGATTTCAAGGGCTTGTCCACATCACTCTATGACATGTGGGGAACTCAAGTGTGTGTTGGCTTAACTCAAATAAATAGTACAAGTTAGGCTGGGCACGGTGGCTCATGCCTGTAATCCCAGCACTTTGGGAGGCCAAGGCAGGTGGATCACCTGAGGCCAGGAGTCTGAGACCAGTCTGGCCAAAGTGGCAAAACCCTGTCTCTACTAAAAATACAAAAAATTAGCCAGGTATGGTGGTGGGCATCTGTAATGCCAGCTACTCAGGAGGCTGAGACAGGAGAATTGCTTGAACCCCGGGAGACAGAAATTGCAGTAAGCCAAGATCGTGCCACTGCACTCCAGCCTGGGCAACAAGAGCGAAACTCCGTCTCAAAAAAAAAAAAAAAAAACCAACCAACCAACAAACAAAAAAACAAATAAATAGTAAAAGTTACTTCTCAACACGAGCCAGTCATTTTTTAAAGTATCTTACATTTTTCTTTTCCTTTACTTATTACTTTTTGAATTGACAAACAAAAATTGTCTATAATTATTGTGTACAACCTGATGTTTTGAAATATGTATACATTGCGGACTGGTGAAATCAAGCTAATTAACAAGTGGTGGGGATGCTTCAAATTTACTCTCTTAGCAATTTGCAAGAATACAAACACTTTTATTAATTATAGTCACTATTTTCCAAACAAGGAAACGAATGCCCAGTAAAAGTACAAAGTAACAGAACTCCTCACTGAAGCTGGGGTCATGGGTGAAAAAGATAAATATAGGCTGGGCGCCGAGGCTTATGCCTGTAATCCCAGCACTTTGGGAGGCAGAGGCAGGTGGATCACCTGAGGTCAGGAGTTCAAGACCAGCCTGGCCAACATGGTGAAACCTCATCTCTAGTAAAAAAAAAAATACAAAAAAAAAAAAAAAAAAAAAAAAGCTGGGTATGGTGGCAGGTGCCTGTAATCCCAGCTACTCGGGAGGCTGAGGCAGGAGAATTGCTTGAACCCAGGAGGTAGAGGTTGCAGTGAGCCGTGAACGTGCCATTGCACTCCAGCCTGGGTGACAAGTGCGAAACTCCATCTCAAAAAAAAAGATAAAATACAAATACATCCATATATAATTAAAATATGATAGTGGTATGTTTTCCTGTTTAACAAATATTTACTTCCCTCTCATTCCCTTCACCATGGGAAGAACAGAATCCTCTGCCCTGTTAGTGATGGGTTTGTTTTGGCCAATGGAACATGAGCAGAGCTGACGGTGCACCAGTTCCCAGCTTAGGCCTTAAAAGGCATTGAGTATTTCTGCTCACTCCTCTCTGGAAGCTGCCAACCTTCACCAGGTACCACTGCTTCTCCAATCTGGACCTCAGAAATAAATGTAAGAATCAGACTTGAACTCAACCCACAGCCTAAAGCAGAATCTCTCCAGCTAAACCACAGACCTATGAGCAAAAAATAAGTGTTTATTTTTATAACCATGAGGGTGGTGTTACTTGTTACACAGCTACAGGTAACTGATACATTTACACGTGAATATGTGCACATACTATACATGTGCATATTATATAGGATACATATGTGTGGCCGTGTTACATGGAAATAGATACGTATAAATCCTTAAAATGTATCTCCATATGTGGGATATTTATACATATCTATTTGGGAGATAGTAAATGGGGTAGAATTTGGAGACTGCTAAATTTGCATTCTTGCGTTGACACAAGCTGTGCATTTTGGGGGAAATTACTTGACATCTCTGAGCACATTTTCTCCTTTGTAACATGGAGATAAAGATGAAGCTTATCTCATAGGATTACTGTGAGAGTTGAGTAAAATAATACACGTAATGGGCTTAGCAGGGAGCCTAACACACACTCGCTCACACCCATTCATTCAATAAATGTTATTGAGTAACCACATTTGCCAGGCCCTCTTATTGGTGTTTAGAACACAGTTACTAGCTGTGGAGAAAAAAGCAAAAATAAAAAGGATAAGGAGAGCCAGCAGCCCCGGAGGAGGAGGGAGGGAGGCATAGGATGTGCCTGTGCCTGGCACGTAGTAAGTGCTCAATTATTGGTAGCCATTTTTATTCTCAAAGTGATTAACGTGAGAACAAGGGGGTCAACTGGAGATTTAAAAAATAATAATCAGTCTCTCTGCTCCGCAGCAGACCCCTGAGACCCTTGGCAAACCCCAGCAATAGATCAAGGACCTTCAGTAGGTGAATACAGTCGCAGGAACTGCTAGAGCTGACACATAGTCCCTGCAACTCCAGCCAGACGCCAGCACCAGCTGCCACTGGGAGATGTGAGCTTGGCTTCTCCATGAAAGAGAAAGATTCCTGGGGCCTCAGCCGTGCCTCAAACCCCCTGATAACATCAAACACACATTGCTGGGGGGAGCCGGCCAGGTGCTCAGAAGCTGCAGGGTGACCCTGCGTGTAGGTGTCGGGAAGTCAGCAGCGACTCGGGGGTGGAGAAACACCCACGCCTTTGCAAACACTCTTAATGTAATGCACTGCCCTTGAGGCCACCTCCCGTTTTTTTGGCCCTAATTGGCATGTTTTTCTATCTCCTCAGAAACAGCCACGGGAGACAACATTCCATAGCAGTTAAAAGTGTGGTCTCTGGGTTTGCAACCAGACTATTCCCCACCAGCTGCAACCTTGGGCGAGACACTTAACCCCAGGAGCTTCCCCTCCCGTGGTTGTGATGATTAAATGAGATAACCAGATAACCCCTTAGATGGCAAACACTCAGCACAGTGCCTGATGCTCATCATTGTGGCTTTTATTACGGACTCATTTTATAAACGAGGACATCAAGGCCCAGACAGCTTAAGCCATTTGCTCAAGGTCAGAAGGTCACTCTAACCTTGCCATCAAACCTTGGGATTTTCTTTTTCCTCCATCACACCATCCCCAACTGATCTACTCCTCAAGTGAATTTCAGAAATCCTCCAAAGATGAATTTTGATCTACCTAGAGCTGTGCTGACTTAACTGGAGCATAGCACATATTTTCAAAACAGGAGGAAACTTGACCACAGCTTTGAGCCATGTGGATGATAAAGTCATCGTAGGTGAACTTGAGACTGGGATTCGGCCCTTGTGTCAATTGTGATTAGCACAGAGTGAAGCAGCATCATTCTCTCGGGGGTAATACCTGAGATTCGTTGCCTCATACCAAAAACATTAAGGACACAGACACACACAAAGAGTGAGTTTAAAAGCAGAGGTTTAATAGGCAAAAGAATGAGAAAGGAGAACACTGTCTCTCTTCCGAGAGGGGGGCACCCAGTGGGACTTCTGGCCCAAGTCAGAGTGCACCAGATTTTACAGGGTTGGGGAGGCGGTGCCTGATTTACTAGGGCCCAAAGATTGGTTGCACCAGGTGTGACATTTACATAGCGCATGGGGAAGTTGGCCGCCCCACCCTAGTGTTATTATGCAAATGGGGTCTTTGCCTGGCTGGCTCCTTGTTGCCTGCTCCTTACTGTACACATGGCTGGCAAAGAGAAGGGAAGATGGAGCTGCCCTGTTGGACGTGCCTAGCCCCAGCTAGCCTTTTCTTATGGGCGGAGCTGCCGGCATTCACCCGTGCAAGCTTCCAGCTTGCTTGCCTATGTCTGCAGCTTGATTTTACAGGATGCTCTCCGTTAGAAAAGAAAAATGATTTGGGGACTGCTTTTCATTAAAAGGAAAACCTTACTGAGGACTTCCTTACCCTCACTATCTGCCTAAATAATCTCTTCTTAACTCTTACATCAGTAATATGAACTCAACAGACTGAAAGTAACAATCAGATCACAAACACAGATGTCTACAGAGTCTGGAGGTTACTAGGGTGACTATCCATCCTGGCTTGAGCACTGCAAGTCCCACACTCTGGGAATCCGCTCAGGCCTGGGCAAACCAAGACAGCTGGTCACCCTCGCCGTAACATAAGTGAGTAAAGGTATAAAAAGCTGTGCCTGTCTCAGCGTTTTCCACTTCTGAGAAGCAATCATGTATGGTGGTTAAAAGCAAGGACTCTAGAGCCAGACTCACTTGGTCTATACCCCATCTCCATTGCCTACCAGCTGCAGGACCTCACACAGGATTACCCAACCTCACCATGCTTCCGTTTCCTCACATATAAAATAGAGATATTAGAGCCCCCTACCCTAGGTCAGCCTCAACACCACTGACATTTTGGACCTGATCGTTCTTTACTGGGGAGTCTGGGGACAGCCCTGTGCCTTGTAGGATGTTTAGCAGCATCCATGGCCTCTACGTACTGGATGACAGTAGCACAGTATACCCTAGTTGTGACAATCAAAAATGTCTCCAGACATTGCCAAATGTCCCTTATGGGGATGGAAGTGTCCCCAGTTGAGAACCAGTGTTGTAGGCAGTGTTGTGAGGATAAGGGAGGTGGTACATGCAAAATGCTGAGAAAAAGCCATGACTTGGAGAGTCTGTTTCTACAGGAACAGCCAATAAAGCCTTAGAGATGGAGCAGGAAGGTGGCAAGCCAAGAGCTGAGCAAGCAGGACCTTGGAGGGACCAAGGGCAGGGCAGCCAAGCCACTGTGAAATGGAACAAGCTCTGCAAACGTAGGCCAGCCCGGCCACCCTCCCCCTCACCTCTCACACAAGATTGGGCTTCTATTTCACCCCAGGTGCAGAAAGTGGAGTGAATTACTCCTGAGTTTCTGGCATCACCACGGTGCAGTGCAAAACCCCCTCAGCTGAGGTATTCCTCTTCTCTTGAATGTGTGCGCATTCTTGTGAAGTGCATTTGCTCATCAAATATTGAGTGTTCAGAATGTGGCAAGAAGACAACGGTGAACAAAATAGACAGAAATCCCTGCCCTCTTGTAGCTTTAAGCATACTGTCTTGTGTACAAATACATTTTTAACCAATAAAAATTGTGTCATACTATGGTCTAGATATGGTTTGTTTTGGCCCCTGCCAAGTCTCATGTTGAAATGTGATCCCCAGTGTTGGAGGTGGGGCCTGGTGGGAGGTGTTTTGGTCGTGGGGGCAGATCCCTCAGGAATGGCTGGGTGCCATTCTCTCAAGAGTGAGTGATTTCCCACTCTTAGTTCCTGCAAGAACTGATTGTGTGTGCGTGTGTGTGTGTGTTTCAAGATGTAATCTCACTCTGTTGCCCAGACTGGAGTGCAGTGGCACGATTTCAGCTCACTGCAACCTCTGCCTCCCGGATTCAAGAGATTCTCCTGCCTCAGCCTCCCAGGTAGCTGGGATTACAGGCACCCGCCACTACATCCAGCTAATTTTTGTGTTTTTATTTTTTTCTATTTATTTATTTATTTATTTATTTATTTATTTATTTATTTATTTATTTTGGGACACAGTCTCGCTCTGTCGGCCAGGCTGGAGTGCAATGGCAAGATCTCGGCTCATTGCAACCTCCACCTCCTGGGTTCAAGTAATTCTCCCACCTTAGCCTCCCAAGTAGCTGGAGTTACAGGCAAGAGCCACCATGCCTGGCTAATGTTTGTATTTTTAGTACAGAGAGGGTTTCGACATGTTGGCCAGGCTGGTCTCGAACTCCTGACCTCAAGTGATCCACCCACTTCGGCCTCCCAAAGTGCTGGGATTACAGGCATAAGCCACTGCATCCGGCCGAGAACTGATAGTTAAAAATAACCTGGAACCCTCCTCTGTCTCCTATTCTTCCCTGTCTCCTTCTTCCTTCTCTCATCCTCCTTCCTCATACCCCTCTTATCTCCCTCTCTCTCTCTCTTTTTTTTTTTTTTTTTTTTTTTGAGACGGAGTTTCGCTCTGTCGCCCAGGCTGGAGTGCAGTGGCGCGATCTCGACTCACTGCAAGCTCCGCCTCCCGGGTTCACGCCATTCTCCTGCCTCAGCCTCCCGTGTAGCTGGGACTACAGGCGCGTGCCACCATGCCCGGCTAATTTTTGTATTTTTAGTAGAGACGGGGTTTCACCGTGTTAGCCAGGATGGTCTCGATCTCCTGACCTCGTGATCCGCCCGTCTCGGCCTCCCAAAGTGCTGGGATTACAGGCGTGAGCCACCGCGCCCGGCCTCTCTCTCTATCTTACCATGTGATCTACACACACCAGTTCCTCTTCACTTCTGCCATGAGTGGAAGCTTCCTGAAGCCCTCATCAGAAGCAGATGTTGGTGCCATGATTCTTGCAGAATGATGAGCCAAATAAACTTTTTTTCTTTGTAAATTATCCAGCCTCAGGTGTTCCTTTATAGCAGCACAAACAAAGACACTTGCTATAAATTGATTCTATTGCTCACTTTTTTTCCCCTTGTGCTTTGTTTTTAAGATCCATCCAGGCCAGGCACAGTGGCTCACGCATGTAATCCCAGCACTTTGGGAGGCTGCGGTGGGAGGATCACCTGTGGTCAGGAGTTCGAGACCAGCCTGGCTAGTATGGTGAAACCCTGTCTCTACTAAAAATACAACATTAGCCAGGTATGGTGGCGGGCGCCTGTAATCCCAGCTACTCGGGAGGCTGAGGCAGAATTGCTGGAACCCAGGAGGCGGAGGTTGCAGTGAGCCAAGATTGCACCATTGCACCCCAGCCTGGGCAACAGAGTGAGACTCCATCTCAAAATAAATAAATAAATAAATAAATAAATAAAATAAAAGATCCGTCCATACTGGCATGTGAAGATCAGACCTGTTTTTCTAACTACCACAGTCATATCCCACAGTGAGTATCTGTCATGCTTTGCTTATCTATCCCCTTCTGATGCGCACAGCAGTGGCTTCCAATACCCCGCTACCACAAACCCACCTCCTTGAACATCCTTGGGTGAAACTTTCTCTGGGGTATAAATCCAGGAGGGGAATTGCTGCTGCTCAGTCTTTAATATGCACAGGACTCACCCAGGGATCTTGTTAAAAGGCAGATTTTGACTCAAGAAGTCTGGAAGGAGACTCGAGAATTTCCATTTCTAACAAGCTCCCAGGTGATGCTGATGCTGCTGGTCTGGGACCACAGAGAATATGCAGCCTTCATTTGCTTTAGTGTCAGATCTCTCTAGAATGACCGCGCCAGTCCACAGTCCAAGGGCTTGCTTTTAAATGGGGCCAAACCCCACTGGCCCCCCTAACACGGTGTAGACTTGCAGGGCTCTGCTGAGAGCCACCATTAACCACAAGCATCATGTCTGTATTGCTACCGTTCGTCAATACCCTTGACCCTCTTGCCTTAAGGAACCCTCTATTTCCAAGCACATCTCCAAATCAGAGCCCCACCCCCTCCACAAGGCAAAGTGGGACCATCTAGGAGAACATCCAGCCCAACCTCCTGGCTTTATAAAGGGAGAAACCAAGACCGAGAGACTTGCAAGAAATCACAAGAAATTCCCGTTTCTTTGCATCTTACTCGCCCAGAGCCCTCTTTGAGTGATCAGTAATTCGTCCACAATTTATAGGACTTAGTTCACTTTACCCATCTTTTTCCATCTCCCTGCCCCACCCCACTCCACCCTCCCCATCCCATATCCCCCAGCCCACCCTGCTTTTTAATCCTTGCTAGAATCATCCATTTTGCGACCAAGTATTGACTTCAAATGATATATGAGACAATTGACATTTCAAATATTCCAGGCAGGATACAGAATTCTGATCACGGCCCAGTCTGAAACATCTCCTCCACATCTCTTTCCTTATTCCTTCTGGGCAATAATTGTCCCCCCACCAGCCCACCCCCCTCCCAACCTCGACATTAATTTCCCCTGATTCATTTTTCATGCCTTTGAATTCTGCCTTTTCAAAGCAGAATATGTTTCTGTAGCTGTTTCTCATACCTCCCTTCCCCTCATGAATATTTCAAATGCAATAGTGATATGATCGTTCAACCTTAAGAGGCACACCAACTTTATCTTATTTATCTTACCGAGCTGCTTCCGATCCCGGGATTAAGTCCAAAACATCCTTTGAGAGTTTGTTTGGGTTGTTTTCCCCCAGGCTGTTGCTGCTGTGTATGTAAATTACAAAGAGAAGCAGCCTCCCCCTCCCCTCAGCCCCAGCCCCGGGCACCAGCCCCCGGCCCGAGACGCCCGCCCTCCCTCTGCCAATCCTTCCTGGGAGATGCAAGACGCGCTCCTCTCAAAGCCAATTGGCAGGCCTCCGGACGGGTCCCTGCCAGGGCATGTCTCCCTGACTTCCTCCAGTGGTCTCTTAGAAGCCCAAAACTCACCATGCGACCTTGGGTAGGGCGTTCCGCCACTCAGGCAAGTTTCCCCATCTACAAACAAGGGGAATAGACACGGCGACCCTAAAGTCCTTTCAGCTCTGAGACTCCATGTGACGTGATGTAATGTAACAGACACAGCCCTACCTGGTTCCAATCCAAGCTCTACTACTAAACGAGTGATGAGATGGCTCACCAACTGTACCTACCACTGACTAGCTGTGTGACCCTTAACTAACTGTACCTACCACTGACTAGCCGTGTGACCCTTAACTAACTATACCTACCACTGACTAGCGGTGTGACCCTTAACTAACTACACCTACCACTGACTAGCCGTGTGACCCTTAACTAACTGTACCTACCACTGACTAGCCGTGTGACCCTTCACTAACTGTATCAACCACTAAACTATCCATGTGACTTTTAATTGTCTACCATTGACTAGTCTTGTGACCCTTAACTGTCTGCCACTGACTAGCTGTGTAACCCCTAACTAACTGTACCTACCACTGACTAGCTTTGTGACCCTTAACTAGCTGTACCTACCACTGACTAGCTTTGTGACCTTTAACTAAATATACCTGCCTCTGACTAGATGTGTGGCCCTTAACTAACTGTATCTACCACTAAACTATCCATGTGTCTTAAACTATCCATGTGTCTTTTAACTGTCTACCATTGACTAGCTGTGTGACCCTTAACTGTGTCTACCACTAACTAGCTGTGTAACCCTTAACTAACTGTATCTACCACTAACTAGCTGTGTAACCCTTAAATCTATCACTAACTGTGTGACCCTTAACTGTGTCCACCACTGACTACCTATGTGACCCTTAACTAACAGTATCTACCACTGACTAGCTGCACAACCCTTAACTATGTCAACCACTGACTAGCTGTGTGACTCTTAACTGTTTCTACAACTAACTGACTGTGGGACCCTTAATTGTGTCCACCACCGAGTCGGTATGTAACTTGTTTCTACCACTAACTAGCTGTGTGACCATGATGCGAGTTACAGAAGTTCTCAGGGTCTCAGTTTCCTCCCCTGCAGCATGCATTGGTTAATAGCAGCTGCCTCTGGGGCTGTAGTAGGGTGACCAGCCATCCTCTTTGGTTTATCTAGGACCGAAGTGGTTCCAGGTATAGGGAACGCTCAGTGTCAAATCCAGTAAAGTGCTAAAGCCAACACAAGTTTGTCACCCAAGGTTGTAGTGAGAACTAAAGGTGAATGAGGTGACATGGATAAAATCTAGCACATCAATATAAGTTAGTGTCATTACTGTTGCTATTGCTATTGCTTTTTGTTTGTTTGTTTAGAGATAGAGTTTCACTCCTGTCACCCAGGCTGGAGTACAATGGAGCGCTCTCGGCTCACTGCAACCTCCGCCTCCTGGATTCAAGTGTTTCTCCATACTCAGTCTCCTGAGTAGCTGGCATTACAGGCACCCACCACCACGCCTGGCAATTTTTGTATTTTTAGTAGAGACGGGGTTTTGCCATGTTGGCCAGGCTGGCCTTGAACTCCTGACCTCAGGTGATCCACCCACCTCGGCCTCCCAAAGTGCTGAGATTACAGGCGTGAGCCACCATACCCGGCTGCTATTGTTAACGGTTCTGCTCATGGCTATAAAGGAATTTTTTTTCACTTCTAATTTTTTCTAGAATTTCAGATTTCTCTTTATCAAAGCAGTACAAGCAAATGATACAAATGACTTGAAATGGAAAACAAAGCTGTCTTACCCCAGCCCTTCTCCCATCAAATCCCTCTCCCCAAAGGCAGGCAGTTGAAGTCCTTTTTAGCGACTGATCTTTTAAGGCTGACTCTGCCTCAGTCACCCTCTGTTCCCACTACTTCAGGCCCTCACCACATTGGCCAGGCTGGTCTTGAACTCCTGACCTCGTGATCCTCCCACCTCAGACTCCCAAAGTGTTAGGATTACAGGTGTTGAGCCACCGCACCAGGTCCATCGGTTTTCATTACCACCACCTGACAGGTGAGCAGGCTGGTTCACACTCTGGTCACCTGGCATGGCTTGTCACATACTGGTGAAGCTGTCACCCGCAAAATCCAGACCTGGGACTGAGGAAAGAGCTAAGCGATCCTAAAGAGATACAGTCTCTCAGGTGGCCCTTGATGGGGGCAAAGAGAGGAAGGGACAGTTCCTCTTTTATTTGTCCATTCACACATGTTGGGAGCCAGGCATTAAATTTGCAAGCCAGAAAAGGCAGGAAAAACCAAGTTTATGGCTTTTCAAGTTGGTTCAGAAATTACTGTACGGGCCCTCCAAAAGGTTTAATGTCTCTGTGGTGTCATCCCAAAGAGAAGCACAGAGAAGCAAGAGGATCTGCAGCTGGAGAGCCCAGAGGCAATGAACACTCACCTTGACTCTCTTCTCATTTCTGAGGCTCTATCAGTTAAGGTTCTTAGTTTTCAAGCAACAGAACCAAATCTTTTTTTTTTTTTTTTTTTTTTGAGACAAAGTCTCACTCTGTCGCCCAGGCTGGAGTGTAGTGCACGATCTCGGCTCACTGCAAGCTCTGCCTCTTGGGTTCAAGCGATTCTTCTCCCTCAGCCTCCTGAGTAGCTGGGAGTACAGGCACACGCCACCATGCCCAGCTAATTTTTGTATTTTTAGTAGAGACGGAGTTTCACCATATTGGCCAGGCTGGTCTCAAACTCCTGACCTCGTGATCTGCCCACCTTGGCCTCCCAAAGTGCTGGGATTACAGGCGTGAGCCACCATGCCCAGCCAACAGAACCAAATCTTTACATTAAAAAGCGGGGAGCTTACAGGATCAGAGAAAGAATAGAGTTCCCAGACTTGAGGGGGTTCCAGTTGGACCATCTTTGTATGGTGGTGGATCTCAACCCTCACTGCAGCCAACAGTCAACCAAAGAGACTTTTAGAAACCACTGATGCTGGGCCCTCACCCTCAGAAATTGAGATTTAAGCCGGGCACGGTGGCTTATGCCTGTAATTCCAACACTGTGGGAGGCCAAGGCAGGCAGATCACTTGAGCCCGGGAGTTCAAGACCAGCCTGGGAAACATGGCGAAACCTCGTCTCTACTAAAAATACAAAAATTAGCTGGATGTGGTGGCGCATGCCTGTAGTCCCAGCTACTCAGGAGACTGAGGCAAAAGGATAGCTTGAGCCCAGGAGGTGGAGATTGCAGTGAGCCGAGATTGTACCACTGCACTCCAGCCTAGATGACAGAGTGAGACCCTGGCAGGGCAAGGCAGGGCAAGGCAGAGCAAGGCAAGGCAAAAAGGAAAGAAACTGAGATTTAACTGGCTCAGGTCTGTCTTGTTTCACACCTCCCCTAGGTGATTCTAAGGTGAGGTTGAAAAATGAGATTCACTACTCTCGGGATGCAACTGCACCGTGAGTCCAGAAACCAGCAGTACTGGCATCACCATCTCCAGTAGAGCTCGTCAGAAATGCAGACTCTCTCTCAGAACCACCCCAGACCTTTCGAGTCAGAATCTGCCCTCGAACAAGATCCTCCAGTTAGCGTTAAGCAGATTAAAGGTTGAGAAGCACTAGGCTGCAGGGTCGTGGAATGACCGGACTCTAATCACTCTACATCCTTGATGATCTCTCCTTAAGATGCAAATTCCCAGAAGGCAGGCATTTGATGGGCCATGCTTTTGTCACACCATGATAGAAGATCTGGGCATAAGAAATTCTGCAGAGTGGTCCCACCAGACCCACAGGCAGGAGAAGGGCCATCCCTGAACGGAGTGGGATGCGGGGCTGATAAATACTACATAGGTTAAGCACAGCGACCTTCACAGTTCAGAGATAGTGATGCCAACTACCACTTATTAAGCACCTACTGTATGCCAAGCACAGTGCCAAGGACTCAAATTACTCATGGAATTCCCCCTATAACCATGAAGCCAATATTATTATTACTGCTACAGCTACTACTACTATTATTTTATAAAGGAAGAAACTAAGGTTTAGAGCAGTAGATCCAACTTTAGCACGGATCAGAATCACCTGGAAGATTTGTAAACTCACAGACTTCTGGAACCTACCCTCAGAGTTGCTGGTTCTGTAAGTCTAGGGTAAAGCCTGAGAATTTTTATTTCTAGCAAGTTCCCAGATGATGCTGATGCTGTTTGTCCATTCACACATGTTGGGAGCCAGGCATTAAATTTGCAAGCCAGAAAAGGCAGTAAAAACCAAGTTAATGGCCTTTCAAGTCAGTTCAGAAATCACTGTACGTGCCCCAAAAAGGGAATGCCAAACATTAGGCAAGTCCCCATCTTCACAATGAGAACTTACCCACCTCAGAGAGATGGTTTCCCCAGGAAACAAGTGCAGATGGCATTTTGCAGAAAGTGCACATTGAAAGAAAGCAAACTGGCTTAGAAATATGGTTAATGGGAATTCTTTGGAATTCATAGCATCAGGAGAGAGTCGTTTCCTTCTACCACACACCTGTCTGGGAGGGTGACAATGTCCTTAGGAGGGAGAGACTGGGAAACATTAATACCAGAGCCCTGACTATTATTTGCAATGTATAGCAATGTTTTTCCTCAAGGTAGATCTTTGGTGATCTGTACACAGTAAAGCTAGCCATTCAGGTGGAATTACATCCAACTAGTCATCTCCGTCATACTAAAACAGTAAACAATGCTTGAAGAAGTCAGATGCCTGGCATCAAATCTAAGATCCACCATTTACTGGCTGTGGTCATTAGGCAAGATGCTTAACGTCTTTGTACCTTATTATCCTATTTTGTAAATGGGGGAATTATAATAATACCTAATCTCTAGGTTACTGGATGGACTAAATGAAATAATGTGTGAAATTTTTAGTAACATAGCTAGAATATTACAAGCTCCCAATAAGTCTATTGTATTAGTCCATCCTCACACTGCTATAAACAACTGGCCAAGAATGGGTAATTGATAAAGAAAAGGGGTTTAATTGACTCACAACAGGTCTGCATGGCTGGGGAGGCCTCAGGAAACTTACAATCATGACAGAAGGAGAAGCAGACATCTTCACAAGGCGATAGGAGGGAGAAGTGAGAGCACGGGAAAAAACTGCCACATTTAAAACCATCAGATCTCATGAGAACTCACTCACTATCATGAGACCAGCATGGGAGAAGCCACCCCCATGAGCCAATCACATCCCTCCTTCGACACGTGGGGCTTACAGCTCCCTCCCTCGACGCGACACCTGGTGATTATAATTCAAGATGAGATTTGGGTGGAGACACACAGCCAAACCATATCACCTATTTTATTTATCATACCATTATTGTTATTATTATTATTGGTGGATGTGCTGGTGGTGTTAATATTGTTGGCAAAACTGGAACTAGCTGGATCTTTATCAATAATTGCAATCATGATTCTGACATCTGACCCTTCCATGCCACTGGTAGGCATGTAAACAGGCACAATTTTTCTGGAAGGTCATTTGGCAATATGTATCAAGAGCCTTACAAATACTCACCCATTTTGACCCAGAAGGTCCACTCCTAGAAATTTATTTTAGGGGAGTACATCCAGTTGAGGACAAAGATGTATGCCCAAGGAAGCCATCACATTATTGCAAATGGTAAAAAATGAAGTGTCAACCAACAGAAAAATGTTTCTGAAATTACACTATGTTCGTACAATGAAATCTTCTTCCAATTATTAAAATAATGTTCATGCCTTTTAATTGGGGTGATTGTATAATTTTATATCTTTATAAAAATATATGTATGTAAGACTTCATATAGATGATGAACTCAATTATGTAAACATATGATAGAAAAAGAGAAGGGAATAATCCAAAAGCCATCTGCTCTGGGTCTTAGAATGGGAATTCTTATGGTTTTGTGCATTTTTGCAGCTATTTCTCAATAGTCCCCTTTATAATCAGAGCAGGCTGGGTAGAATCTGGTACAGGAGATTGTGGCAAACTAGATAATTAACCCAGAGAACATTATTTCTGTCTGGGTATGCCATTAAGTTACAAAGACCTTTTGTAAATGTGGGTAATAATGAAAAGAGGGCTATAGTGTTGGAAAGGAAGACAGGAGATAAGGAGGAATGAAAAGGAGTAGGTATTATTTCTACAGAGTCTTGAAAGATTAAGAAAAATGAGGCAGCCAGATGCAGTGGCTCACACCTGTAATCCTAACACTTCGGGAGATCAAGGTGGGAGGATTGCTGGAGCCCAGGAGTTTGAGACCAGCCTGAATGATTGAGTAAGACTCCCCTCTCTACAAACAAAATTTAAAAAACTAGCCAGGCATGGTGGTGTGCACCTATGCTCAGGAGGCTGAGGTGGGAGGATCACTTGAGCCCAGGAGGTTGAGGCTGCAGTAAGCCGTGATCACACCACTGCACTTCAGCCTGGGTGACAGAGCAAGTCCCTGCCTCAGAAAAAAAAAAAAGAAAGAAAGAAACAAAAGAAAAGAAAAGAAAAAATGAAGCAAAAGATACCAGCAGCATTGGCTGAGCCCTAGAGGTAATGGGAAGGGTTGATGGGGCAAGATCAGAGACTTCTGTGATGTTTCCATTTGATGAGACAAAACTCAGCATTAGCAGAATTAAAGTTACCTAATCTCTAGATTAGGAAAGGGAACAGAGAAATACCTCATGGCAACACATGGCCTTTTTGAGTTGCAAGTTGACAGAAACTCAAGTCAAACTGGCTTCACTGAGAAATTCACTCTAGGTGAGATCTGTCATCAGGTTGGAGGGGATACAGGCTGTTAGACAGTGTGATCGGCTTTCCTTCTCCTCTCTCAGCTCGGCTCTCCTGTGATTTCCTTCTCAGGCAGGCTCTCCCCCAGGGTGATGAGATGACCACCAGCAGCTCCCGGTTTCCACCCTACCAGGTTTGCAACCCCAGCAAAAAGAGAACCCCTCTTTCCCTATCCACCTAACAGAAGTCCTGCCACTGATGCTCTTTGAACCACCTTAAAGGCAGGTTTCTGAATCAATCACAACAGCCAGGAGAATGGCATTCTCCCATCTGCCAAACCCAGTCTCTCGAGTCACCCAAAACACATGGGCTGAGAATGGAGGAGAGGTCCCACCTCTCCCTGCAAAAAGTGAGATACTGGTCTAAGAAACAGAAAAACGAAGCTTACATGGGCTAAATGAACCCAGAAGCACTATGTGGAGTTTTTCCTTCCAGAACATGAACCAAGTACTCAAGTTACCCCCAGATGGTATCAGAAGGAAGGATTCAACAGTGCCCTTAAAAAAGGGCCATGGTTCTCATCCAGGGGTGATTCCTCCTCCTCCCCTCAGGGGACATTTGGCAATGACAATGGGGCAGGGGGTTGTGCTACTGGCATCTAGTGGGCAGAGCCTAGGGATGCTGCTACACACCTTACAGTGCACAGGACAACCCTCACCCAAAGGATTATCTAGCCCAAAATGTCCACAGTGCTGAGACTGTGAAACCCAGAATTAGGATGACCTTATAAGTTATCGCCCAAACCAGAATGCTTTCGAGACAGGCAAAACCAGGAAAGCAGTCGTAACAGGGACTGTTGCAGCAAATGAGGACATATGGTTACCCTACTCTCAACACACCGTCCAAACAGCAGGCAAAGCCATTCTCACTGAAGGCTGTGATTCAAGGGAAACGTTTCAATGCTCCCCACCCCAATCATCAATTACAGGACCACAGAGATGCTCTTCCCAGCCGAGGCTTGTCTTTGACCCCTTCTGCTCTCTCCCACTTCCGGCATGGCTGACAGTCCCTCCCATCTACTTCTAAGAGGTCACTAAAAATCGACCAGGGCTTGCCAGCCTAGTGGGGTTGCCCAAATGTCTGCCCACAGATGCCGCTTCGAAAAGCTGTCTCTGGCATGGCCCCTACTGCAGCAGCGCGTGACAGACTGCCTTGCTTGGTGGAAGGAATCCCACCCCGATTAAATTGCTGGAGCCCTGCTGGGAAGGAGGTGGAGGCAGGAGGAGAAGGAGAGTAGGGAGCCAGGCAAGCCACTCCTGCCTCTCCTTTTTCATCTTGGAAGAGCCAATTTCAAGCTTGCCTCGGGTCATAAAAGAAATTAATTTGATTCTCTCAACCTTGCTCAGAGTGGACACACGTCTTCGGCTGGAGCATCTGCTGCTGCTGGATCCAGAGCGAGGAGACCATCCCCTCGAAACGATTCCATTTCTGTTGCAAGGCAGGGCCAAAATCATCTGCCTGGAGCTGGAGAAGCAGCTGCCTGGAATACCCTGGGCTGTCATTTTTGCTGGTAAGATCGAAAAACGGTTCTCACAGCTAAGGTGACTCCCAAGTTGCAGGAGGTTTACCCAGAGAGATACTCATGGGTAGGGCTGGTTCTTGGAAAACTCCCAAACAGAATTTAGCACTGGCAGCTGCCTAACCCACTTCATATTGATCAGCTTGATCACACTGAGTCCTCTTAACTGTCAGGCACGGCCCCTGGGCTGTATTCCTGATTGCACACAGCTAAGGTGACTCCCTTGTACAAGCCTCCCCGCCTGAGAGAGGATGGAACTTGTGACCTGCTTCTAATCAACAGAATATGGCAAAGGTGCCAAATGTCACTCCCTTGATCATATTTCACCAAATAAGATTTCCCCTTAGGAGACTTAGGGACTCCCTTGCTGGCTAGGAGGAAGTAAGCTACCATGTTGTGACAGGGCCATGTCAAAGAATGCAGGTGGCCTCTAGAAGCTGATAGAGGTCCCCAGCTGACAGCCAGCAAGAAAACAAGGCCTCAGCCAGGTGCAGTGGCTCACACCTATCATCCCAGCAATTTGGGAGGCTGAGGCAGGAGGATCGATTGAGCACAGGAGTTAGAGACCAGCCTGGGCAACATACAGAAACCTCATCTCTACCAACAATTTAAAAATTAGCCAGGCGTGAAGGCATCTGCCTGTGGTCCCAGCTACTTGGCAGGCTGAGATGGGATGATCCCTTGAATCTAGGAGTTAAAGGCTGCAGTGAGCTACGACTTACCACTGCACTCCAGCCCGGGTAACAGAACAAGAGGCTGTCTCAAAATAATAATAATAATAATAATAATTATTATTATTATTATTATTATTATTATTATAATTTCATTTAAAAGAAAAAGAAAACAAGAACCCAGCTTTACAACTACAAGGTAAGTCACCAGCAACTGCCATGAGGACCCATTGTCTAAACCTTTTAATGTAAAATAAAACTACATTAGAAACCACACCAACCAAATGTGTAGCTTCTTCAGCCTTTCCTTATTTTTCTAAGGTTGTACAAAACTATTGTATTTACAAAAATGGCACAAAAGTGAATTCAGGGCCGGGCGCGGTGGCTCACGCCTGTAATCCCAGCACTTTGGGAGGCCGAGGCGGGCGGATCACGAGGTCAGGAGATCGAGACCATCCCGGCTAAAACGGTGAAACCCCGTCTCTACTAAAAATACAAAAAATTAGCCGGGCGTAGTGGCGGGCGCCTGTAGTCCCAGCTACTTGGGAGGCTGAGGCAGGAGAATGGCGTGAACCGGGGAGGCGGAGCTTGCAGTGCGCCGAGATCCCGCCACTGCACTCCAGCCTGGGCGACAGAGCGAGACTCCGTCTCAAAAAAAAAAAAAGTGAATTCAGCAGTCAATTCACATGCATACTTCCCTCACATCTTCAACAACAAAAGGTATTCTAACTCTAACTCTACAGAGCTTGGCAGTTTTCAGGAGTACTGGGGACGGATTTTGCAGGATATATCTCTGTATTAGTCCATTTTCATGCTGCTGATAAAGACATACCTGAGACTGGGCAATTTACAAAAGAACAGGTTTATTGGACTTACAGTTCCACGTGGCTGTGGAGGCCTCACAAATATGGTGGAAGGCAAGGAGGAGCAAGTCACATCTGATGTGGATGGCAGCAGGCAAAAAGAGCTTGTGCAGGGAAATTCCCATTTTTAAAAACCATCAGATCTCATAAGACTAATTCACTATCACGAGAACAGCACGGGAAAAACCTGTCCCCATGATTCAATCATCTCCCACCAGGTCCCTCCCAC
The DNA here is from genome assembly GCF_000001405.40 of Homo sapiens. Lineage (NCBI taxonomy): Eukaryota > Metazoa > Chordata > Mammalia > Primates > Hominidae > Homo > Homo sapiens. The sequence continues at coordinate 2,140,581 of NT_187607.1, read as the reverse complement.
AACACGTGGGAATTATGGGAGCCACAAGATGAGATTTGGAACACAGAGCCAAACCGTATTAGCCTCCATTTGAGTTTGTCTGATTTTTTTCTTTTTTCATGATTAGACTCAGGTCATGAGTTTTTGCAAAGAATACCACAGAGGTGAAGTGCCCTTCTTTTCCAAGCTTGTCACTCATCCATGGTGTGGTTCAAACTTTCCCTTGTCTGTGATGTTCCTGCAACTAGTTCTAGATTTTTAGACTGCAATAATCTCATTATAAGGTACAGAGCTCATTCAAGAAGGATAAGGGGCATATTGATTTCCTAAGGATGATTAACAAAACAGCACAAACGAGGTGGCTTGAAACAAGAGAAATTTATTCTCTCACAATTCTTGAGGGAAGAAGTCCAAAATCAAGGGGTTCACAAAGCTGTACCCCGAGCCTCTGGGGAAGATCCCATCCTTTCCTTTCCTGGCTTCTGGTAACCATAGGCATTCCTGGGCTTGTAGCAGCTTCACTTCAATCTCTACCTTGTGCTCGCTTCGGCAGCACGTACATTAAAATGGAACTTCAATCGCTATCCCCATTGTCACAAGGGGGTCTTCCCTGTGGGTCTGTGTCCAAATTTCCTACTTCTTCTAAGGACAATCTCGTATTAGATTAAGGGCCCACCCTACTCCAGTATCACATCTTCGTAATTACATCTGCAATGACCCTGTTTCCAACAGAGGTCACATTCTGGGGTACTGAGATGTTAGGGCTTTCAACATATCTCTTTGGAGAACACAGTTCAACCTATTAAATAAAGCATCCCACAAAACCAAAGTCAGAAAGCACAGCAGGGTTTTGGGATAGAAAGATAGCAGGAGTCAACACAGCCTGTCTCTGTCTTTCTGGGAGCTCCCGGTCTGTCCTTCCTAAGTCTGTATTGTGTTCTCAATCTCTTCTTTCTTTCTCTCTGTCTCTCTCTCTCACTCTCTCTCCCCCATCTTCTCGCTCCCCATCTCCCTCTCTCCCTCTCTCTCTCTCCGCCCCCCCATGTATTAGTCTGTTTTCACAATGCTAATAAAGACATACCCAAGACTGAGTAATTTATAAAGAAAAAGAGTGGTCACGGACTCCCAGTTCCACATGGCTTTGGAGATCTCACAATTATGGCAGAAGACGAATGAGGAGCAAAGTCATGTCTTACATGGTGGCAGGCAAGAGAGTGTGTGCAGGGGAACTCCCCTTTTTAAAGCCATCAGATCTCGTGAGACCTATTCACTATCACGAGAACAGCATGGGAAAAACCCGCCCCATGATTCAATTACCTCCCACCATGTCCCTCCGATGACATGTGGAAATTATGGGAGCTACAATTTGAGATTTAGGTGGGGACACAGCCAAACCATATCACCCTGCATATCAGTTTTTTCTATTGCAATTGTCCACAGGCCAAACATGACTATATTGTCACCAACTTTCTATCCCCCTCTAGTTTCAAGCACCTTCCAGAGATAAGCTCAGAGATTTTCAACTCCAAATTTCTGGGAGAGAGTCCACATGGCCTGGCTGTAATCCCATATCCAACCCCTTGGTACACAGCCATGGCCAGAGCCAAAAGAATCCTATGGGGTTCTGGGTCTCCTAGGGCTCTGGGAAGGGCAAGTTTCTGAAGGAGGAATGGGGGTGGACAAAAATTATTGGCTGAGAAAATAGCTGGTGAATGAGACATTATTTCTGGTAGGGAATGAATGCAAGAGGCCACTATGTTCTGGAGCACAGAGAAAACTCCCACTGGATTCTCAGGACCGTCTGAGAGGAGAGGAATTTGAAAGCAGCTGAATTATCACAGGAGAAACAGAATGGAGTCAGAAAAATTCTGCTTTGTGGCACTTAGATCAATTCTACGTCTCATATCTTTGGGAGCATGGGTGGTTTCCCCCACCCTCCCTTTTCCTCTTCTCTCTGAACAAAAGTTTTAGTTTGTGAAGTCAAATCTCATCTTTTTTTTTTTTTTTTTTTTTTTGAGACAGTCTCACTCTGTCACCCAGGCTGGAGTACAAGTGGTATGATCTCGGCTCACTGCAACTTCCGTCTCCAAGGTTCAAGTGATTCTCCTGCCTCAACCTCCAGAGTACTGGGATTACAGGTGTGCACCACCACACCTTGCTAATTTTTATATTTTTAGTAAAGACAGGGTTTCACCATGTTGGCCAGGCTGGTCTTGAACTCCTGGCCTCAGGTGATCCACCCACCTTGGCCTCCCAAAGTGCTGGGATTACAGGAATGAGCCACCACACCCAGCCCAAACCTTGTCATTTCTGAAATAGAGTGTCAGGGTAGTGTCTTAGTTAGCTTGAGCTGCTATAACAAATTATAATAGACTGTGAAGCTTAAACAACAGCAATTTATTTCTCACAGTTCTGGAGGCTGGGAAGTCTGAGATCAGGGTGCTGGCATGGTCAGGGTCTGGTGAGGACTCTCTCCTGGCTTGCAGATGGCTGCCTTCTCACTGTGTCCTCATGTGGTGGAGAGACGGGTATCATCTCTCTCATATCTCTTCTTACAAGGGCACTAATCCTATTCATGAGGGCTCCACCCTCATGATCTCATTACTTTCCAAAGGCCTCACCTCCTGATACCATCACATTGGGGGTTAGACTTCAGCCTATGAATCTGAGGGCAACACAACCAATGTCTGTTAGTTCACGGCAGACAGTGAAATAGTGGAAAGGAGGGTGTGATTGATTCTGGGAAGGGCTGGTGTTGAACTCTGACTGCAGGATAAAGCCCTCATTGGTTCTCTGGGCCCCGGTAACTGCCCATCTCCCCAAGAGGGTTCCCACATCCATTTCCTCCCACTCTGGGAGTGAGCGCAGCCCAGCATTTCATCAACAACTGATCTCAGGAGCCAAAAGACACAGGGAGAGTATGGTGATCAGGGAGCTGAGGAAGAGGGTGAAAAAAGGCAAGGGGTGCCAAGCAACTCAACCAGCACTTCCCCTCCATCTTCTGCTGGATTTGCTCCTTTGTCTCCCCAGCAGGTAGGAGGGATTTTCCAAGACAAAGCATTGGTTACCATCTTTCTGTGCCAAGGCTCTGGGAGACAAGACTGGATTGCGGTCCTCCTTCCTTATTGTACTTATTGTCTAACCTTAAGGTACTTCCTTATGGTACCATTTTCACACGCTGATAAAGACATACCCCCACACCCCAGACTGAGTAATTTATAAGGAAAAATAGGTTTAATGGATTCACAGTTCCACATGGCTGGGGAAGCCTTACAGTCATAGCGGAAGACAAAAGGCACATCTTACATGGCAGCAGGCAAGAGAGAATGAGAGCCAAGCAGAAGGGGAAACCCCTTATAAAACCATCAGCTCTTATCAGACTTATTTACTACCATGAGAACAGTATGGGGGAACTGCCCCCATGATTCAATTATCTCCCACTGGGTCCCTCCCATGACACATGGGAATTATGGGAGCTAGAATTCAAGATGAGATTTGGGTGGGGACACAGCAAAACCATATCACTTATTCTGTAGGAAGAAATGACTTCCAAGGCATTCTCCACCCCTGTCTACATCTGACAGATAGAATTATATTTAACTATATGTTAGTATATTACTATGACAATAATAACTCATTTATTCCTCACACCAACCCTGTGCTATCCCCGTTTAAAGATGAGAAAACAGAGGCACAGAAGGTTTGAGTATTATGCCCAAGATCATTCAGCTGATAAATGCCATATCCATCTAACTCCAAATCCCTTGTGGTTGTACAGTCAGCTGAGCTGGCTTTTGGATAAAATTGGTTGGAGGTGAATAGAGAGAATGGGTTGGGGGAAAGTGGTGGATGCCCCCAGCAGGTGTCTCAGAAATAATGTGTTGTCATTTTCACTGTGAATATCTCAGGCTCAAGAATAAAATCACTTTTCTATATAATGATTTGCAATAGTCATGATTCTTTATGATGAAAATATAACCCAAATCAAACTTGCCTAAGCAAAAAAATATATATATAACATAAAATTCACCTTCAAGGGATGGGGCTGGAGTTACCCCCGGAAGCAAGAAGAAAAATTATGCAGAGCGCCTGGTATATCCATCAGAGACCACCAATGTGTTCCTGTCACCCCAACAGGAAGCAGAGAACCCAAGGCTGTGTTGGCAAGTAGAAGACCCTAGGGACCCAGAGGGCCCAGAGAGCCCAGGGATTCCCAGTGCAAAACCTCAGATGCCTTGGTGCCTTAAGGAAAAACACACCAGCCTCATGCTGCCTAACTTCAGCAAGAAAAAAAAGGACCATTCCCTTAATACAAGCCTCAATTGCCCTGATGCCTTATGGCTGTTATTTTAGAGAATTATAATGCCACCTATGATTAATACCGCAATGTGGTCACACAGCAAACGCTCATTAAGTAACCTCCCAGCATAAATACCAAGAAAATCCAGACTTACCACGGCTTCATATACATTTTAGATTTTTGCTAAATTGGCCCTTGATAAAGCGTGTGGCCACCTTCATCACAGAAATCAGCTTCCTTCCCAGGCCTAAAATTAGAAGCCCCAACTGCCAGTCGTTAGGTACAGAGCTCAATGCCTGCTGAGATTCCCCTCTCATTTATCTTCTGCGGGGAGCATTTCAAGTTATCGCCAGCTCTCGTATCAGCTGGCCCGGGGAAGGGCAGCAGGCAGCGAGAGGGGCAGCTAACATAGGAAGAGGTCAGCAGGTGAGGGGTGGCTCTGGAGGCGGTGGAACTGGCTGGTCCCTGGAAAGCTTCCCGCTGCAGGTCTAGAGTGGAGAACTCGGACTCCAACAGGGAAGAGTGTGGCTGGGAAGAATTACAGACCAGATCCATGGCTGGATTCTGAATTTAGATGGGGCCCGTAACAATTTGCCTAAATGATTTATTTCAACAATCAACACATCCATATGCTCAGCCACTCAGAATGATGACTGAAATAAAAATGAAAGGTAACAGGCCAGGCATGGTGGCTCACACCTGTAATCCCAGCACTTTAGGAGGCCGAGGTGGGAGGATTGCTTGAGCCCAGGAATTCAAGACCAGCCCTGGCAATATAGTGAGACTGCATCTCTACAAAAAAAAAAAAAAAAAAGGAGCGAGAGAAAGAGAGAGAGAATTGGATGCATGCTATAACAGCCTATGATGGTAGATCCAGCTGGTCTGGGGAAAGAGGAGAGTATCCAACTGGGCTTCCCCAAGGTCATGAATTTTTTTTTTTTTTGAGACAGTCTCACTCTGTCACCCAGGATGAGGTGCAATGGTGCAATTACAGTTCACTGCAGCCTCGACCTTCCAGGCTCACATGATCCTCCCACCTCAACATCCTAAGTAGCTGGGACTACAGGCATGCAGCACCACATGCAGCTAATTTTTTGATTTTTTTTTTCTTTTGGTAGAGATGGGGTCTCACTTCATTGCCCAGGCTGGTCTGTAACTCCTGGGCTCAAGCGAACCTCCCACCTCCGCCTCCCAAAGTGCTGGGATTACAGGTGTCAGCCATCAGGCCTGGCCAGATGATGACATTTAAGCTAAGACTAGGACAATGAGGAGTTATCCAGGTGTCAAGTGAGAGGAATGCATTTATACAGAGATAGTAACATGTGCAAAGGCCCTGGGGTGAGAAGGAGTTCCATGTGTTGAAGGAATTGGAATGTTGGGAGGAATGAAAAGGGTGTGGCAAAATATGTGGGCTGGGGAGGGAGGCAGGGGCTAGCTCAGGCAGGATGAGATAAACTCTGCTAAGGATTGTATGTGCTCACAGAAACTCATTAACACTTCACTGAATGCTAATATTTATTTATCAGGTTTCAGAGTCTGTTTGTTTGTGAGGGGAGGGTTTTCCATCTTCTCCACTTGAATATAAACTCCTTGAAGGCAATGACCTTTGGTTCACAGTTCTATCACCAGCACCTAGAACAAGAACTAGAACAAAGGCAAATAAAGACACCCTTATCAGGCACAATGCTGCAAAGACTTAGTGGTTATCTTCCAGGAGCCAGTGAAGGGCCAGACCTTTCTTAGGAATGTGCAGGATTTGAACTCCCCAGACCTCCTGAGTCAACTCTTTACTGCAGGGGACCATACAGAGATGAGAAAGATGCGACATTCTTTCACTTCTGGGTAGCAGAGTCAACAAATGGAACCAGGGTGCCCCCAACGCCCGTTACCTATGACATCTTCCTCTGAAATAAGCTCAACAGAAGATGGTCCCTGGCTACAGTGACTTTTGTCAGGGATCTCCAAGACCACCCTCAGGCCCATTGATTTGCCAGAAGGACCCACAGAATCAGGAAAGCCATTGTCCCCATGAACATTGTTTATTGCACTAAAAGGATACAGATTAAAATCAACCAAGGTACAAGATGCATAGGTCTCTCCAAGAGAGACCAGGGGTAAGTTTCCAGTAGTTTTCTCCCAGTGGAGTTAGAAGGATAGCTCCTAATGCTCTGTATTAGTCTGTTTTCATGCTGCTGATAAAGACACACCCGAGACTGGGTAATTTATGAAAAAAAAAAAGAGGTTTAATGGACTCGCAGTTCCACGTGTCTAGGGAGGCCTCACAATCATGGCAGAAGAGCAAGGGAGAGCAAAGGGATGTCTTACATGGCGGCTGGCAAAGAGAGAATGAGAGCCAAGTGAAAGGGGTTCTCCTTATAAAACCATCAGATCTTGTGAGACTTATTCACTGCCATGAAAACAGTATGGGGGAAACCACTCCTGTGATTCAATTACTTCCCACTGGGTCCCTCTCACAACACGTAGGAATTGTGGGGGCTACAATTCAAGATGAGATTTGGGTGGGGACACAGCCAAGCTATAAGAGACAATTAGCAATGTATACAAAGTACTGCCAGCCACAGCAGCTCCCCCAAGCCTTGGTGTCCAGGGGTTTTATCAGCATTTCATCACCCAGGCATGGAGCACCTGCATGGGTGACTTTTGTTACTCAGTCTCCAGCCCCTCTAGAGGTCAAACTGACACATACAAAAACAGGCACTCACCATAAATTGCATTGTTAGCATGGACTAGCTAGCTCAGCCTGAGGCCATAGGTAAACAAAGACACTCTTATCAGGCAGAATGTTCCAAAGACTTGGCGGTTATCTCCCAGGAGCCAATCAACGGCCAGAGCTTTCTTTGGAATGTGCAGGATTTGAACTCCCCAGACCGGCTGAGTCAACTCCTTACTGCATGGGGACCATATAGAGATGAGAAAGATGCCATATTCTTTCACTTCTGGGTAGCAGAGTCAACAAATGGACCAGGCTGAACGAAGACAGTCAGGTAGAACCAGAAACCACCTCCACCTGCACCCCTGCATAGGACCTAAAAAAATGTCATAGGACCATGACAACTTTTTTGAGACAGGGTCTCAGTCTGCCACCCAGGATGAAGAGCAGTGGTGCAATCATAGCTCACTGCAGCCTCAACCTCCCGGGCTAATGCTATCCTCCCATCTCAGCCTCCCAAGTAGCTGGGGGCATGCACCACATCTGGCTAATTTTTTGACTTTTTTTTTTTTTTTTGGAGAGATGGGGTCTCACTTCGTTGCCCAGGCCGGTCTCTAACTCCTGGGCTCATCAGGAGTTAGATGATCACCCAGATGAACAACAGGGACCTCATCCCTCCCCAGGGGTCCTGGGGTAGGACCCTCAGCAGATGAGAGGAGTAGCTCTCCTGGCCCATACCCATGCCCTGTTGTGGTGTTTATAAGCCTGTCATAGGTCAGGTTTCTAGAGAGACAAGCTGTGGGATGGAGATCTGGGTGCAGGGGGTTTACTGGGAGGAGCACCTGCTGGAAAGCAAGGAAGCAGCATTGGGCAGAGAGGGGAGTGGCACTGTGGAACAGTCGCCAGGACCCCTGAGACACCCCCTGTGATGGTTAATACTGAGTGTCAACTTAATTGGATTGAAGGATACAAAGTATTGTTTCTGGATGTGTCTGTGAGGGTGTTGCCAAAAAAGATTAATATTTGAGTCAGTGGACTAGGAAAAGCAGACCCACCCTCAATCTGGGTGGGCACCATCTAATCAGCTGCCAGCATAGCTAGAATATAAGCAGGCAGAGCAGCATGGAAGGGCTTGACTGGCTGAGTCTTCCAGCCTTCATCTTTCTCTCGTGCTGGATGCTTCCTGCCCTCGAACGTCGGATTCTGAGTTCTTCAGCTTTGGGACTCTTGGACCTTTGACCACAGACTGAAGGCTGCACTGTTAGCGTCCCTACTTTTGAGGCTTTGGGATTTGGACTGGCTTCCTTGCTCCTCAGCTTGGAGATGGCCTATTGTGAGACCTCACCTGGTGATCGTGTGAGTCAATACTCCTTAATAAACTCTGCTTTTTATATACATCTATACTATTAGTTCTGTCCCTCTAGAGAACGCTGACTAATACACTCCCATACAGAGGGGCAAGGGACAGAGCCTTTGTAACCCTCCAGGATTATGGGATGCCTAGGAGGGGAGGAGGATTTCCCAGCACTAGGTGGCTTCCTACAGGTGCCTTCTTGCCAGAGGCAGGACTTTGCTATGAGCTGTTAGCAGCCAGGTCTCCCAGCAGCTGGGGGGACAGAGGGCCTCGGTGGTCCTGCACAGAGGTCTGAGTGGTGCAGCACCCACAGCGAAGCCAGTGACCAAAGTGGAAAGATAAAGATATGAAAATCTTTCAACTAATTAAGATTTAAAACTCAGATTGATGTGAGAATCCTGAATTGACTGTTTACCAAAGAGACTAGGTTTTAAATGAGAAGGGTCTGGGTTTACATTGACTTGGCAAGACTGAGTGTCCTATCACTGGAGTGACAAGGGAGGCTGGTGGGGATGGATCCAGGGAAAAGAAGCAAAGTATGGAACAAAGAAGTTTAGAATAAAGAAAGTGGCCAAGGCTGGGCGCCACGGTTCACACCTGTAATCCCAGGGTGGCCAAGGCAGGAAGATTGCTTGAGCCCAGAAGTTCAAGGCTGCAGTGAGCTATGATCATGCCACTGCACTCCAGCCTGGGTAACAAAGCAAGAAAAAAAAAAAGCAAGAAAGGAAGGGAGGGATGGAGGAAGGAAGGAAGGGAGGGAGGGAAAGAGAGAGAGAAAGAGGAAAGAAAGAGAAAGAAGAAGGAAAAAAGAAAGAAGAAAGAAAGAAAGGAAGGAAGGAAGAAAGAAAGAAAGAAAGAAAGAAAGAAAGAAAGAAAGAAAGAAAGAAAGAAAGAGACAGAAAGAAAAAGAAAGAAGAAAGAAAGAAAGAAAGAAAGAAAGAAAGAAAGAAAGAAAGAAAGAAAGAAAGAAAGAGGCATCAAACCTCACAGGTTGAGGTAACTGTAAATACACGGTAGTTTATCCCTGAGCACAAAATCTCAATGGCACAGTCAAAGCCCCAAAGAAGTAAGAAACAAACATCATTTCCACCTTTTGGGCCTGAAGAAGCAGGTACATTAGAGAAGGGCAGCCACAATATCTGTGAACAGTCATTAAGCTCTCAGACACAGCATCCCACCTTCACCAATCTGATCTCCTTGACGGGGGTGATGCTCCCTCCAAGATAACAAAGAAAACCTGGCCAGGCACGGTGGCCCACGTCTGTAATCCCAGCATTTTGGAAGGCTGAGGCAGGAGGATTGCTAGAGCCCAGGAGTTCAAGACCAGCCTGGGCAACATCGTGAGACCCCCGTCTCTTAATAAAATAAGAAAAAAGAAAAGAAAACCTTCCCTTTACATGAAGGCATCATACTTTAAATGCACATCCCATCTGCCCAGGAGGCTCACCTCTAGATTTGTATCCTACTGATGAACACACACCAAGATGGACATACTAGCATAAATTGTGGAGAATGACAGAAAATATCCTGAATGTCCACCATGAGGGAACTGATTAATTTATACACATCCGTATACTGGAATACTACACAGCTGATAAAAAGAATAAGGAATGTCTATATGGACTGCTATGCAAAAACCTCAAAGATATATTGTTGAATGAAGTCAAGATGCAGTGTAATATGTACAATGGGCTATCATTTATAAAACCGGGAGGAGACATATATACATATGTTTTTCTATATAAAGATTGTATCTCTGGAAACTTTCAAGAGAAGCCAGCAACACTTGTGACCTTGGAGAAGAAGAACTGGTGGTTGGGATGGAAAACAAACTTAATTTTCACTGTATACTTTTTCTGGTACTGTTTAATTTTTTTTTTTTTTTTACCATATGCACACGTTTTCTATTCAAAAGAGAATTTTTTTTTAACTGGAAACAATGAAAAATCTTATAGGCATACAAACTAAATTAATTAGCCATCCCTATAGCTTCAACATGCATTTCAATTTGCAAGCACCCTGGCCTCCAAGATTGATTGATTGGCTGTAAATTGAGAACCTCAGCAATTTCCTTTCACAGGGACAGATGTTGACATTATTCCTGTGATTTTTCACAGATGTTTGCCTTCCAGCATCTTTAAAATCGAGTTTTCTGTCAATTTGGAAATCCCAAATTTCTCATATCAAATCGAGATGACAGGAAAATCAAAACCATTATCACATTTTGAAAGAGTTTATGGATGGCAAATGACACTGGGAAGGGAGATGTTTAAGGAGCAGCCGACGTCTCTTAACCCTTTCTCATCACTTCCTGCCTCAGTTTACCTAAGCCAGAAAAAGGGGAAATTTGATTCAATATACAGACAAGGGCTTTAGAGTCTGCGTAGCTGTGCGATCTCACTTTGGCTCCAACTCTCTAGCTGTGATACTTTGAACCAGTTCATTAACTTGCCCAGCCTCCTCTCTCTCATCTGTAAAATGGGGATAATATCCCCAGCCTTGCAGTGTGATTTTACAATTCACTGATGCAAAAACGGAAAATGTGTGGCACTTAGCACCACCTAAATGTTTTTTTCCTTTTATTTTTCCCTTTCCCTCCTCCTTCACCAATCCTCCAAGCAGCTTTTCTTCCTTCTTCACGTCCACATTTTGCTCACGAGATTCCAAGATTTACCCACTGAAGCTCTCATGAGATTCCCAGATTTACCCATTGTTGAGAAATCAGAAACATCCCCCACCCCCTAGAATTCTCCTGACCTGTGTCCCCTCCCCTTAGGACTCTGCTCTCCCTCAGTGACAACAGGCAGGAATATGATCTACTCATACAAACCAAACCTCTGCTGTTTATACATCTTAGCTAATAATGCCCAACACGCAGCCAACGTTTACTAAGTCAGGCTCTTGAGAGCCACTTCATCTGCATGACGCCACAAAATCCTCTCAGTTATTATTTCTGTTTTAGAGATATGGAAATGAGCACCAGAGGTAGATGTAACTTGACAAATATCTGGGTGGTAGATCTGGAAATCAAAGAACCCTGAACCCCAACCACAGACACATCTTCAGTTCAGGCTGGGTCTCTACGCTTTGTTATTTTTAACGGGGCATTATGCTCCCTGGATGGCTATGATGCTGTGGTTAACTCTGCTCTTGTGGATGAATGCAATTATCTGGGGAGCTCGCACTTATAAGATGTACAGCTATGGGCAACCTAAGGCACATCGTGGAGTCTTAATTTCCTCATCTGTCAAATGAGAATAGCAAGGATGGCAGGGAGGGATTAAGGAGCATTTTTGGAAAAGGAAGTGCTATGAAATGAACGTTTGTGCCTCCACCCCCAAACTGATATGTCGAAGCTGACACCCTAATTACCAGTGTTACGGTATTTGGGTATTTGAAGATGCGGCTTTGGTGATTATGTTTAGATGAGATCATAAGCCTAAGGTCCTGGAGATGTGATGTGTCCATATTAGAAGAGACACCAGAGATGTCTTTCTCTGTCTCTCACTCTTGCTTGATCTCTCCCTCTCTCTCTTGCACTCTCTCATGCTTGCGTGCTCTCTCTCTCCCCTGTGAGGATACAACAAGAAGGCTTCCAACTGAAAGCCACAAAGAGGGCCCTCACTGGAGAAACAAATCACCCAGCACCTTGATCTTCGAATTCCCAGCCCCCAGAATAGTGAACAATAAATGTCTCCTGTTTAAGCCACGTAGTATGTGGTATTTTGTATGGCAGCCTGAGCAGACTGCCACAGTAGATGGTTGGTCCTTCCTCCAACCAATAATAGATGGCTTGTCCTTTCCATCGCCCACCTTGGGCAAGGCAAACAGGACAGTGAAGGCAAGCACATCTCACAGACACCAGCATTCATGTGCTAATGAGGCTCACTACTAGTATTGGAAAGATGGGAAGTCAAACAGAATTATGTCCTTGCGAACATACAATAACTTGGAAAATTTATTGAAAGACATTAAGTTTGCATACACACAAAAATGAGTGAAGAGTTTTTTGTTCCATTGAATAATTTAGAGGACATGTAAGAGAACACAAGTTTGAAATCTTATTATATTTTGTATAATGATACATAATAATTTCCATGATAAAGCTGATGTGTATTGAGGAGATCATATGTGCCAAGCACTCACTGTGTGTTAAGCATATTCTATTCATTGTATCATTTAATCCTCAAAATATGATCACCGCCTGTATTGACTGGGGTTTTCCAGAGAAACAGAACCAATGTCTAAACAGAGAAAGAGATTTCACGCAATTATGGAGGCTAACAAGTGCTGTCATCTGCAGGGCGAGGCAGCAAACTGGAGACCCCAGAGAACTGATGGTGTTAGTTCCAGTCCTAAGGCCAGCAGGCTCGAAACCCGGAAAGAGCAGTGTTTCAGTCTGAGTACAAAGGCAGAAAAAAGCCAATGGTGCAGTTTAAAAACCTTCAGGCAGGAGGAATTCTCTCTTACTTCGGAAAGGACCGACTTTTGCTCTATTCAGGTCTTCCGTGGATTGGATGAAGTCCACCCACATTAGGAGGGGCAACTGCTTCCCTCAATCTGCCAATTTAAATGACAGTCATCCCAAAACGCCCTCACGAACACACCCAAAATGATGTTTAGGCAAATAGCTGTGCACCCTGTATCCCTAAGAGTTAACACATAAAACCTACCAACCCATCACTCTTTCCAAATAGAAAAAGTGAGGCTCAGAGAGGTTAAGTCACTTCCCCAAAGTCACAGAGCTTCTTATAAGTGGTGGAGGGTTTGACTGAGGACCCATGCTCTATTGTAATCATAGAAAATCCTAGTGGAATTTTCCAATAGAATAAAACACCTGCCCAGCTGCAGCCAAACGTTCCATAGACAATGTCTCTGGGCCTTTTGTGGCAGAAAAACCAACATAAGGAAAAGAAGGCTGGAGATGCCAGTTTTATCAAACTCCCATAAGGTAAAGGGAAATATCTTTCTGGGGAAAGGAGACTAAAGGAGAAAATTAACAGCCACTTTTCAGGGAGAGAGAAAGAGCAGGGACCCAGCCCCTCTGAGACTGTGGGCTGGGTGTGGCCTGAGCTGATTGGCAGCTCCACTGTAACTATACTGTAAAGGAATGACTCTACCGAAACTGAGCTAAAGGAGAGTTTGAAGCATTTTTAAAAACTCTGCCCAGGCCAGGCATGGTGGCTCATGCCTGTAATCTCAGCACTTTGGGAAGCTGAGGCAGGCAGATCATTTGAGATCAGGAGTTCAAGACCAGCCTGGACAACATGGTGAAACCTCATCTCTACTAAAAATACAAAAATTAGCTGGGTGTGGTGGTGCACACCTGTAATCCCAGCTCTTTGGGAGGCCAAGACAGGTGAATCACCTGAGGTCGGGAGTTTGAGACCAGCCAGGCCAACATGGTGAAATCCCATCTCTACTAAAAACACAAAAATTAGCTGAACATGGTGGTGGACACCTGTAATCCCAGCTACTTGGGAGGCTGAGGCAGGAGAATCACTTGAACCCAAGAGGCAGAGGTTGCGGTGAGCCAAGACTGCGCCACTGCACTCCAGCCTGGGTGACAGAGCGAGACTCTGTCCAAAAAAAAAAAAAAAAATTCTCAGACAACCAGCACTGATACAAGAGATAAAAGGCATCTGGCTTTACGCTGCAAACAAAACGGAAACAGGAAGTGAGAGAGCAGTTGGCCTCTAAGAAGCATCCATTTATTTTACCCTGCCAGGTGCCTACAAGGTGATGGTTTTGCCTCCCAAATATAATCAGGGGCCCAATCTCTGCATTCAAAGAAGTATATTTCAGCAACCCATAAGTAATCCAAAAGCAGTTCCCCACACATCAGCTCAAACAGTGTTACAGGGCAGGCATTCTTGGTGCCATCAGATCCAATGTCCCATGTTTTAACCAACCAATTGAAAAGCCCTCTTTTTTTTTTGAGACAGGGTCTCACTCTATAGTCCAGGCTGGAGGGCAGTGGTGGGATCTTGGCTCATTGCAACCTCCACCTCCTGAGTTCAAGCGATTCTCGTGCCTCAGCCTCCCGAGTAGCTGGGATTACAGATGCGTGCCACCATGCCCGGTACATTGTTTTTTTTGTATTTTTGGTAGAGACAGGGTTTCACCATGTTGGCCAGGCTGGTCTCGAACTCCTGACCTCAAATGATCCACCAGCCTCAGCCTCCCAAAGTGCTGGGATTATAGGCGTGAGCCACCATGCCCAGCTGAAAAGCTCTCTTTTCTACCCTGAAAAAAAAAAAATGTGCTGATCCTATAACCCATCTACTCTTCTAACCAATCACAATTGTGCCCTAATTATAATAAAAAGGAGAAATGAAATGATGAGGATTTCTAATGAAATAATATATAGAGAAATGATTTGGGTTTCCACCAGGAAAGACGGAGCGAAGCAGTCAAGTGCTCACACACGTGTGTGTAGAATAACCAGTGACAGTCACAAACGCAGACAGCGTGGTGTGTTGTCGCATCGGCTTTACTGAGAGTGCCATGTTCTTCAAAAGAGTGGCTCTTTCTTGATAAATTCCCATACCAAACAGAGTCAAATCTTCTCTTGATTTACACCATAGCTGCTACATTCTTGGAAACATCAGTGTTCATTCAACACTTACATGTAAAATAGAACATGTAAACATATAAAATAGAATAGGCAGATAAAATAGAAGAAGGTTGGACCGGGCGTGGTGGCTCACACCTGTAATCCTAGCACTTTGGGAGGCCGAGGTGGGCCGATCACAAGATCAAGAGAGCAAGACCATCCTGGCCAACAGGGTGAAACTCCGTCTCTACTAAAAATACAAAAATTAGCTGGACGTGGTAGTACCCGCCTGTAGTCCCAGCTACTCGGGAGGCTGAGGCAGGAGAATCGCTGGAACCGGGGAGGCAGAGGTTGCAGTGAGCCGAGATGGCACCACTGCACTCCAGCCTGGGTGACAGAGTGAGACTCTGTTTCAAAAAAAAAAAAAAAAATAGAACAAGGTTATAGACTCTGATAATCATGGTTCTTCTAACCCATATGAATTTGGGATCTACACATATATATATTCAAAAAACTACCCCACACCGTAATGACTCCCCCATCCCTATCATTAGGGCAACCAAAAGCTCTCTGCAGATTTAAAACACACACACACAAACACACACACACACACACACACAAACACACACACACACAAACACACACACACAAACACACACACACACACAGACACACACACACACACACAAACACACACACACACACAAACACACACACATGGGACAATTCAGTCCCCAGTGAGAACCTCTGTAATAAAAGGTCCAATTCCTAACCTGCAATAATACTCTTTTTTTTTTTTTTGAGACAGAGTCTCGCTGTCGCCCGGGCTGGAGTGCAGTGGTGCGACCTCAGCTCACTGCAAGCTCCGCCTCCCAGGTTCACGCCATTCTCCTGCCTCAGCCTCCCGAGTAGCTGGGACTACAGGCATCCGCCACCATGGCCGGCTACTTTTTTGTATTTTTAGTAGAGACGGGGTTTCACTGTGTTAGCCAGGATGGTCTCGATCTACTGACCTCGTGATCTGCCCGCCTCAGCCTCCAAAGTGCTGGGATTACAGGCGTGAGCCACCACGCCTGGCCCACAATAATATTCTTAAAGTCCCCTTTCCCGCCTCCTCAGTTCTCCCACAATTCCCAGTTTCCCCAGAACAAACCCCAAGAGATTTCTCTGCCCTTCCCCCACCCCCAGGCAGCGATGTCTTCCAACTCTTCCCCAGCACTGTAACTCTCCACTCTGGTCAAGTGGACTCCACCTTGGGGAAAGAATGTTTGTACCGGGCACCAAACTAGACTTTGGAGATACACTAGTTCTTAGTATCTGCTAGTATCTGCTACTGTGATAATTAAGGTAATTATTTAGACCAGGAATCTGCAAAATACAGCCTGAAGGCCAAATCCGAGCTGCCTGTTTTCCTATGGCCTGAAAGCTAAGAAAGAATGGTTCTTACATTTTATATTATTATTATTATTATTATTATTATTATTTTGAGATGGAGTCTCGCTCTGTCGCCCAGGCTGGAGTGCAGTGGCACCATCTCAGCTCACTGCAACATCTGCCTGCCAGGTTCAAGCGATTCTACTGCCTCAGCCTCCTGAGTAGCTGGAATTACAGGCACCTGCCACCACACCCAGCTAATTTTTGTATTTTTAGTAGAGACAGGGCTTTACCATGTTGTCCAGGCTGGTCTCGAACTCCTGACCTCAGGTCATCCGCCCACCTCGGCCTCCCAAAGTACTGGGATTACAGGCATGAGCCACTGCGCCCAGCTAGTTCTTACATTTTAAATAGTTAGTGGGAAAAAGACAAAAGGAATAATACGTCATTACATGACAATTATATGAAATTCCAATTTCAGAGTTTATAAATAAAGTATTGTCTGTGGCTGCTTTTGCACTACAACGGCAGGGTTGCATGGTTGCAAGAGAGCACATGGCCCCCAAAGCCTCAAATAATCCACTATCTGGGCCTTTACAGTAAGGTTGTCAGCCCCTGGCTTAGGCACTAAACAAGTGCTTTCAAGCACCTACTATATGCCAGACACTAAGGTAATAGAGAGGGGAGACAATCAACAAGAAGCATTCTTTCTCAAAAGTTTTAGGCTGGGCACAGTGGCTAAAGCCTATAATCCCAGTACTTTGGGAGGTCGCGGCAGGAGGGTCAATTGAATGCAGGAGTCCAAGACCAGCCTAGGCAACATAGTAAGACCCCGTCTCCTCAAAAAATGCAAAAAAACAAAAAAAAAAATTAGTTGAGCATGGCAGTGTGTGCCTGTAGTCCCAGGTAGTTGGGAGGCTGAGGTGGGAGGATCACTTGAGCCCAGGAGGTCAAGGCTGCAGTGAGCCAAGCCATGATGGTGCAATGGCACTGCAGCCTGGGAGACAGAGTGAGACCCTGTCTCAAATAAATAAATAAGTAAATTAATTAATTAATTAAATTAAAAGCATGTTATTCAGAATCACATAGACTTGGGCTCAGCTCTTCAGCCATAAGCATGTTTCTTTTCTCTTTTTCTTTTTTTTTTTTTTTTTTGTTGACACAGAGCCTTGCTCTGTCACCCAGGTTGGAGTGCAGTGGCACAATCTTGGCTGACTGCAACCTCCACCTCGTGAGGTCAAGCGATTCTCCTACCTCAGCTTCCTGAGTAGCTGGGATTACAGGCACGTGCCACGATGTTCGGCTAATATTTGTTTTTCTTTCTTTTTTTTTTTTTTTTGAGATGGAGTTTCGCTCTTTTTGCCCAGGCTGGAGTGCAATGGTGCAATCTCAGCTCACTGCAACCTCCTGCCTTCCGGGTTCATTCGATTCTCCTGTCTCAGCTTCCCGAGTAACTGGGATTACAGGTGCATGCCACCACACCTGGCCTAATGTTTGTATTTTTAGTAGAGACAGGGTTTCACCATGTTGGCCAGGCTGGTCTCGAATGCTGTACCTCATGATCCGCCCACCTCAGCCTCCCAAAGTGCTGGGATTACAAGTGTGAGCCACCGCGCCCGGCCCATGAGCATGTTTCTTGACCTCAGTTTCCCCTTCTGTAAAGCATGGTGTGGATTGTTCACCTCACATGGGCATGTGAATATCAAATGAGACATCCTGTGCAATGTGCCTCAGACAAAGAAAGGAGATCAGCAAATAATATTTCCTTTCTAGTTCATCCTCTCTTCCCATGTATGCCAAGAAAGCAGGCGAGATTGAGTGAGGGAGGTCATATCCTCTTTGTCTAAATGTTTTCTTGTTAGAGAACATCTTTCTTCTTAACATCCCTTCCTACATAAAGAATCTCTGTCAGAGGAATATTAAAAGGCCCTAACCTACAGTTAGATGGAAGGCGAGACTCCGATCTCACAGCTGAATCACTTTAGTCTACCTCTCTACCCATCTAATGTTACCCCCTTCAAAAATAATAATAATAATATGAAAGTTGGGAAGTGGAAAACCATCCTCTGGAGTTTTCAAAAACTAATTCCGTTGTAATCATAGAAGACTGAAGGCAGGATTCATGACACATTTCTCTTCCTCCTGGGCAGATGAATCTACAATTTGTATTTGATTTTAAATGTGATTCTCCTGCATCTTCAGTGGGTTTGATTGATAGAGCACATGGGGCCACTCAGTAAAATGATACAGTGGAGATCAAAGCCTGAAAGATAATTTTTGCCAAAATGTCTGCAGCCGACAGTGAGTTATAAGCCTTTGTCTCCCACTTTACGGAACACAATTTTATTTAAAGCCGAAATCTGTCCTTTGGTATTGTTTATTGAAATGCATCCCATACCACGGTCCCGTGAAGAACAACGTCAAGTCAAAAGGTAAAAAAATCCAATGGTTACAAACAGCCCAGGACCATATAAAGGAGGGAGAATGCTTCCAATCTGCATAAATATTACCCACCAGTGATGCATTTGGGGCAAGCAATGAAGTCATTCATCTGCAAAGTAAATATCTGGCATTGTCAGAGGTGCCTGACACAGCCCCATAAACCCAGTGAGTTCTGTTCCATTCAGCAGCTCACACATCTCTATTTGATAACTTTGCTTTATTTATGGGTCCACAATGGGAGTCATAACTGGGTTTTTATCTTTGCACAACTTTTTTATTTTTTGAGACAGGGTCTCACTCTGTCACCCAGGCTGGAAGTGCAGTTGTGTGATCACAGCTCACTGCAGCCTCGACCTCCTGTGCCCAAGCAATCCTCCCACCTCAGCCTCCCAAGTAGATGGGATTACAGAAATGCACTTCCACACCTTGCTAATTTATATTAGTTTTTGTAGAGACGGGCTCTCCCTAGGTTGCTCAGGCTGGTCTTGAACTCCTGGGCTCAAGTGATCCTCCCACCTAGGCCTTCCAAGTAGCTGGGACTACAGATGCACACCACCATACCCAGCTAATTTTTAAATTTTTTATAGAAAAGGAGTCTCACTATGTTGCCCAGGCTAGTCTCAAACTCCTGGCCTCAAGACATTCTCCCACCTTGGCCTCCCAAATTGCTGAGATTACAGGTGTGAGCCACTGTGCCCAGCTTGCACAGCTTTTTTAAACCTTTTTTTTTTTTTTTTGCATTCATTCACGCTTTTCATACATCATGATTGAGGATCTACCCTGCAGACTGTATGGAGTTATCTAGAAGGCAGGAAGGCAGAGAACTAAAACCTTTGGTTAAAATATCTGGGGTTGAGCTCAGTGTTTCCTGCTCTCCAGCTATGTGACCTTGATCGGGTCTCTTCACCTGTCTGAACCTCAGTTTCCCCACTGCAAAGTGGAGAGCAAATGAGACCATGGACTTGGAAATGCTTCATACATTTCTGAGTGCCTCACAGATATGAAGCCCAAAGATAGCACCATTCTAGGCTCTGTCAGGACAATGAGGCCAAAGTTGTCACTGATGCCATAAAGTTGTCTCTACAGCGAAAGGTCCCTGGAATTAGCAGGAGGCTTTTGTGGAGCAAATGCCTCCTTTTCTGCGTAGAAAGTGAGATGCCTCAATCACTCTGCCTAGATGCCTCTAGATGCCTCAATTCCTCTGCCACCAACAGACTCTGTGACATTGGGTCACTTTTGAGATTCCTGGGTCCTGCCTACTTCACCAGAATGTCATGTTCTGGAACCTTCTCAGTCTCCAACCTCATCACTCACAAGCTTTTCTTATGCTTTGATAGATGCTACGATTGCTTGTCAAAAAAAGAGCCTCTCTTCTCCGTTGCTAAGAGAACCCCAATTTTTAAAGTATTGAACAGTCACATGCTTTAGGAGAAGTTGCCCTTCTGAGCCTCAAGGAGTGAATCTTGACTGACCTAAACTAATCATAGTAATACTGACCCCCTGTCTAGTGATTGCTTTCGAATAGGCACGTGACCCATTGTGACCAATGAGAGTTGATGGAAATTTCCTCCTTGCTGTCAACAATGGACACAAGGAAGACACATTTTCTCCTCTGACCTTTGGACATTGAACGTTATTGTGTTAGGATGTGATGTAAGGCACTGTGGCACCCATTTTGTGCTCATTAGAGGAAAAGACTGGAATTAAGCCCTTGCTCTGTAAGTCAGAGCACAAAGATGGCAAGAGCCCAGGTCTTTGATGATACAACTGAACTACTGAATAAACCAACCCTAGACTCACCTACCCCCAAATTCCTTTTAATGTGAGAGAATAATGTCCCATCTTGTTTAAGCAATTTCAGGTTTCCATTACTTACTAATGAATATATTTGGATTCCAAGTTGTTATTTCCTTGCATGGAATGCTTCTGACACAACTCACCCTTGCTAGCCTCAAGGGTGGTGGCCGAACTGGGGAGGGTCCAAGAGGAATTGCAAAAAACAGAGCTGCAAGGAGCAGCCTTATCTCTGACCGCTGTGGTGAGCCCTCCACTTTGTATACCCTCCCCCAACCGTGTGACTCTGGATCAGCCAATCAGGTGATCTCTCTTGGCACCTTGACTCATGATGCAAGAACACAGGCCCTATTGGGTTTCCATGAATTCTCTGCAGGGAGAGCAGGGGTCCCCAGATCAGCCTATCCCTAACGCATGCCCTTGGAGGAGTTGCCGCTATAAAGCTATCTGGAGTCACCTTGTATGGGGTGTTTTCCAAGGCTGGGCCTTCAGCAATGCCTTCGGCATGTTCTCTTTCTTTGGTAAGAGTCAGTTTCTGGGGTGAACAACTGAGAACTCAGGGACATAGACAAGAAATCATGTCTCATTCTTAAAAGCCTCAGCACAAGTCCTGGCATAGAGTAAGTGTTGATGGGAGGTTGGATGAATGAATAAAGGAGTGAGAAAGTTAATTGCTTCCCTTCTCTGGGCTGCTGTATCAATCAAGGTTGTGGCAGGAAATACATAGTAAACTCAAATGGGGTAACTAAAAAGAGTTTAGCAAAGGGCTATATATAGCTGTATAAGTGGGATTAAAAAAAACAAAAACAAAAAGGGAGGTTGCAGTAGCCCTAACTAGCAGCAGTGAGGAGCCATTTCTACCCCTAGACCTGGAGGAGAAATAGTTATGGAACCCAAGGAGAGTAGCCACAGTCTTCAGGGAAAGACAGCTGCCTGGCAGGAGCTTCCAACCTATGGCAACCCAACAGGAAGGAGCCACAGAAATAAATATCCGAATCCCTCTCTCCTCCCACCTTCTAGTATTCTATGATCCCCACCCCATTGGCCAAACCCAAGCAGCCACAAGAGGATGGGAGACCACATGTGATGTAGTCCATAGAAGTCAGCCTCCTGGGGTACAAAGCAGGAAATGGGGGTGGACAGTGGATGTAAAGGAGCAAATACAAAATATCCGGCACAGATATTGCTATGGTTTGCATGTGTTCCCCAAAGTTCAAGTGCTGGAAACTTAATCCCTGATGCAACCGTGTTGAGAGGTGAGGCCTTCAAGAGGTGTTTGGATCATGGGGACATCATCTTTCTGAATGGATTAATGCCTTTATCATGGGAGCGGGCTGGTTTTCACAGGAGTAGGTGCTCTCTCTCACCCTCTCTCTCACCCATGTGATGCCTTGGGTCACACCATGATGCAGCAAGAAGGCCTTCACCAGATGTAAGCTCTCAACCTCGGACTTCCCAGCCTCCAGGACTGTGACCCAAGTAAATTTCTATTCATTGTAAATTACCTGGTCTGTGGTATTCTGTTATAGCAGCACAAAATGGACTAAGACAGATAGTATCTAGTGATAGGATAGACTACAAGAATCTCTTTCACCCAGATCCTGCAGCCACAAAAGGGCCAACGCTCTTTGGAGAGTTTATCTCTCACCCAAGCAGCCACCAGCATCATCAGCAAACAGCAATGTTCCTCTACACGCTTGTGTGTTTCCTTCATTGGTACAAGTTTCCACCATTGTTTTGCTCATAAGAGAAACCATTCTCCAAAGCCCAGAGTAATTATAGAGCCCAGAAGTCTTGGGGCTTTCTGAATTTGAAGCAGATTCAGGGCTCAAGAGAGCCAAGAAGTCATATCAATGCCAGGAATCTGGACCCCAGGCAGACAGCGTGGATAACCTACCCCAACAGAGGTGCAGGCTCTCTTCCTTTCACCCAAAAAATAGCAAACACATTTATTGATCACCGTGGGCCCTTTCCTTCCACCTGGAGGTTAGCAGGAACTTTCAAAGGTTTAGTGTCATCCATATCCCATTGTCTTCTTCATGCACAGAAAAGAGAAACTTCTTCATCTCTGGAAAGGAGACATGGACTCACACTCCCCTTATTCTGAATTTTTGCCCACTAAGCCATTTCACAGGAAGTTAGCCATGGTTTGTGGATTTTTAAATGCTTCTGGGAGGAGAAGGATTTACTAGTGATAAGAAATAAAAATGCAAATGTTTTACTGATGAGATATGCATGTAAAGTGCTTGATATAATGCCTGACATGGAAAAAACACTCAATAAATGTTAGTCATCAGTATTTATATCATCATTCCTTTTAATACACGCCATCGACTGGGTGCAGTGGCTCACGCCTGTTATCCCAGCACTTTGGGAAGCAGAGGCGGGAGGATCACTTGAGCCCAGGAGTTTGAGACGAGCCTGGGCAACATAAGAAGACCCCATCTCTATAAAAGAATCTTTAAAAATTACCTAGGTATGGTGGCATGTGCATACAGTCCCAGCTACTCAGGAGGCTGGGGTGGGAGGATCAATTTGAGCCCAGGAGGTCAAAATGAGGCTGCAGTGAACCATGATAGTACAAAAAAATAGTTAGAAAGAATGAATAAGGCCGGGCGCGGTGGCTTACTCCTGTAATCCCAACACTTTGGGAGGCCAAGGTGGGTGGATCACGAGGTCAGGACTTCGAGACCAGCCCGGTCAATATGGTGAAACCCCGTCTCTACTAAAAAATACAAAAGTTAGCCGGGCGTGGTGACAGGCGCCTGTAGTCCCAGCTACCCAGGAGGCTGAGGCAGGAGAATTCCTGGAACCTGGGAGGCAGAGGTTGCAGTGAGCCAAGATCGCACCACTGCACTCCAGCCTGGGCGACAGAGCAAGACTCCATCTCAAAAAAAAAAAAAAAAAGAATGAATAAGACCTACTATTTGCTAGCACAATGGGGTGACTATAATCAAAAACAATTTAATCGTACATTTTAGAATAACTAAAAGAGAATAATTAGATTGTAACACAAAGGAAAACGCTTGAGATGATGGATACCCCATTTAGCCTGATGTGATAATTACACATTGCATGCCTATAATATCTCACGTAACCCATAAATATATACACCTACGATGTAGTCACAAAAACTAAAACTAAATATAAAACAACAAGCATTTATCATCTAATTGTCTGGATTTGGAACCCACAAGCCAACTCAGCTAAGTGCTCTGGCTTAGGGTCTCCAATGAGGCTGCAGGTAAGATGTCAGCCAGGACTGCAGTCATCTGAGCGTTTCTGGGGCTGAAGACTAGGCTTCCAGGCTCACTGTGTGGTTGTCTCTATTCCTTACTGGCTCTTAGAAACCTCAATTCCTCACCACGTGGGCCTCTCCGTAAAGTGCCTTAGTGTCCTCAAAACATGGCAGCTGGCTTCCTCCAAAGCGACTGATCCAAGAAAGAGAAAGAAAGAGCCAACAATGGAAGCTGCAGTCTTTCATGACGTAATCGCGGAAGTGACATAACATCACTTCTGCGGCATTGGTCACACACGAGCCCCAACATGGATCTTTCCAGCGTGGGAGGGGACTAAACAAGGTGTGAATGGCAGCAGGCAGGGATTGTTGCGGGCCATCTTGAAAACTGGTTCCCTCAGAGGAGAGCTGGAAGGCTGGGGACAAGGACACAAGAGAGGCTTTTTTATTTTTTTATTTTTTTGAGACCGAGTCTCGCTCTCGCTGCCCAGGCTGAAGTGCAATGGCGCGATCTCAGCTCACTGCAACCTCCGCCTCCCGGGTTCCGGGAATTCTCCTGCCTCAGCCTCAGCAGAGTTCCCCAAGGGTGCCTGTTGGCCTAGTTTGAGACTCTTGGCTCTGTTAGTGGGAGTCTCAAACTATGCTCCAGGCTGCTGATTGTTCTGAGGGATTTCTCTCTCTTTCTTTCTAACACTAAGAAATAGGAACTTGGCCTCCCAGAGTGCTGGGATTACAGGCGTGAGCCACCACGCCTGGCCTGTCTGTAATCTTTAAAAGTAATAGCATATTAGCTCTGAGGGTCGGTTGGATTTTTTTTTTTAAACAGTTGGCAGTCATTTGTAGCCAAGTCAGGTGAAAAGGGTAGGTGATCAAGCTCATTACAATTTTTATTGAAATAAAATTTATCTTTAGTAACGAGATTGATTTTTTGTGTGTGACTCCGGAGGGCAGTTTGCCCAGAGCAGTGGTTTTCAGACTCTTAACAAACTATCCCTGAGAGGAAAAGAGAATGAATTCATACTCTGTGGAGTGTAGCCCAAAATAACCTCTGCAAGGGTGAAATTTTCTTTGAAGTCTTATTTTACCTTAGGTATTTGTGAACTCTGCGTTCTATTTTGTGCCACATGTGTTTTAAGTTACTATTACTCTACTAAAGTTTATTCATCCTCCAGGAAGATGATGATGTTTGTACTGTAGTTTTTTATGTCCCAGGGATACAGCAGGGTTCCCCAAGGGTATCTGTTGGCCTAGTTTGAGACTCTTGGCTCTGTTAGTGGGAGTCTCAAACTATGCTCCAGGCTGCTGATTGTTCTCAGGGATTTCTCTTTCTTTCTAACACTAAGAAATAGGAAATATAGTTTTCAGTTTAAAAATAACATAATTACAAAGTGTAGAAAAGTCTCTCTTGGCCGGGCACGGTGGCTCACGCCTGTAATCCCAGCACTTTGGAAGGCCGAGGCGGGCGGATCACGAGGTCAGGAGTTCGAGACCAGCCTCACCAACATGGCAAAATCCCATCTCTACTAAAAATACAAAAATTAGCTGGGTGTGGATGCAGGCGGCTGTAATCCCAGCTACTCGGGAGGCTGAGGCAGGAGAATCGCTTGAACCCAGGAGGCGGAGGTTGCAGTGAGCTGAGAATGCACTACTGCACTCCAGCCTGGGTGACAGAGTGAGACTGTCTCAAAAAAAAAAAAAAAATTACAGGCAAAAGAGGTTGCCCATGTTCTCATCATTGGCAGCAGCAGCATCAAAATATGGCACCCACTCCAGTGATGCCTTTCCAGAAGGAGCAACACTCATGTGAAACCACCAGCTTTGCTTTGTTTTTGTTTTTGTTGTTGTTGTTTTTTCAGAGAGAGTCTCACTCTGTTGCTCAGGCTGGAGTGCAGTGGTGGGATCATAGCTCACTGCAGCCTTGAACTCCTGGGCTCAAGCGATCCTCCTGCTTCAGCCTCCCCAGTAGCTGTGGCTACAGGTGCACACCAGCACGCCTTGCTAATTCAAAAAAAGAAAAAAAAGAAAAAGAAAAGAATTGTAGAGATGGGGTCTCGCTATATTACCCAGGCTGGTCTCAAACTTCTGACCTCAAGTGATCCTCCTGCCTTGGCCTCCCAAAGTGGCAGGATTACAGGCATAATCCAGCCATTGTCCCTGGCCTGGCTTTTTTTTTTTTTTTTTTTTTTTAATGTAGCTCACGACCACAAACGGAGTTTGGTTTCCTTGCTCTCTCTTTTTCCCATTTGGTACTTTTCTTTCTCTCCCATGCACTCCTCTTCAAACCAAAAGTGAATCTTGTTATTTCTTGAAAAATGTGTAGATGTTGAAGGGATGAAAAACCTGAACTCTAACGTCTGACTATCTGAACCCAAATTCTAGCCGCCCCACTCAGTTGCTGTGTGACTGTGAGTAAGTTCTTACCCTCTCTGAGCCTGTTTCTTCACTTGGAAAATAAAAGTATACATATATATAGCTGTTAGCCAGAACTCAGCCTAGGGTAACCTTTCAATAAATATTAGCATCATCAAGGAAATCGCTTGACAAATTAATTTTCATTAAGCAATGAGGGTCTATAACAGTGATGACTTCTGACCAACCAACCAGCCCAATGGCTGACAAAGGACTGATAACACTTTACATTTTTATAATTTCCCTAGATTTCAAATTCTCCATAAGGAGCAAGTACAGTTTTTATAATCAGACATAGAACTCGCGTTCACTCTGCTCATCCTGACCCTAGCCACTGGCCACCAATTTCTGGGTTGGCTGCTCCAACCTGAGAGCACAGCTACTGGAATCAGAGGCAGAGGAGCTCCTCTTGCGTTTCGTTGCTGGTTTCCCTTGGTTTTGTAAAAATAAATAAATAATAAAATAGGGATACACCCTTCAGACAGCAGGTAACTTCCTAAGCTAAGATGAACAGGAGGAAATTTAAATGTCTTTCTCCGGTTCAAATCCCCTACCCTCTCCCATCTGCCTACCCTGGGCTCCAACACTCGGGAGAAAGACCATAAGTCGTTCAGATGATGCTTTGGAGCTGGACAATCAATCGTGATCAAAAACAGGGGCATGGGAGCCCGGCTAACGTGGAGGGATGGGAGAAAATCAGGCTGAATTAGAGAAGGGTACATTGTGGAGTGTGTTTTACAACGCCATTAGTTCTAAGCACATAAGGATTTCAAATCAAGGAGCATCCACACACACACAAACTCTTGGATTACTTAAGAGATAAGGCGGATCCAAAATTAGCATATAGATCAGAGGCATGCAGTTGAGTGCTGCTAAAGTGGGCTATAAATGCTTGGGGGAAAATAAACTAGTTGTTTTTCTGAAGAAAGCTTTACAACGTTCCAAAATCTTGTCCAGGAAGTGTGAACTCTAAGTCCAATGGACTGAACTGTGTCCCCTCAAAATTGATATGTTGAAGCCTTAACTTCCATTATGTTGGTATTAGGAGGTGGGCTTTTTTGGAAGACTATTAGTTTAGATGAGATCATGAGGATGAGGTCTTCGTGATGGAATTAGCATCCTTACAAGAAAAGACACCAGACGGCTTGCTCTCTTGCTCTGTCTCTCCTCTTCCCTCCCTCCCTCTCTCTCTCCCTCTCTACCTCCGCTCCCCCCACCCCCCACTTCCTCCGTCATGTGAGAATGCAGAGAGAAAGCAGCTTTCTGCAAGCCAGGAGGAGGGTCCGCTGGGAGCTACATCAGCCAGATTGTGGCACTTCTCAGCCTCCAAAACTGTGAGAAATAGATTTCTGTTGCTTAAGCCATCCAGTTTATACTATTTTGTTATTGCAGCCTGATATGGTTCGGATTTGTGTCCCCGCCCAAATCTCGTGTTGAATCGTAATCCCCAGTGTTGGAGGAGGGGCCTGGGGGAAGGGGATTGGATCACGGGGACAGACTTGCCCCTTGCTGTTCTCATGACAGTGAGTGAGTTCTCACAAGATCTGGTTGTTTAAAAGTGTGTAGCACTTTCCCCTTTGCTCTCTTCCTCCTACTCCAGCTATGTAGGACATGCCAGCTTCCCTTTCACCTTCTGCCATGATTGTAAGTTTCCTGAGGCTTCCTCAGCTATGCTTCCTGTACAGCCTGCAAAACTGTGAGCCAATTAAACCTCTTTTCTTTATAAATTACCCAGTCTCAGGTATTTCTTTATAACAATGCAAGAAGAGACTAATACACAGCCCAAACTAACTAAGACAAACCCACTCTGACCCATTCTGACACCCAAACTAACTAAGTCCTGGTTTGAACCCTTCACTATTGTGTCACCTTGGGGCAAGTCACCCAACTTCTCCAAATGTTTGTTTCCCACCAGGAAGATGGAAATGACAGTACCTCTCCTTCCTACCCCGCAAGCCTATCAGGAGGATCGAAAGGGACATGGCAAGCAAATACTTTCTAAACTGTAAAGTGCTGTGCAAACGCAAGACAGCATTACTCTCTTTTTATGGAGTTATTTATACTCTACCTGGTTACAGCAGAGGATTTATGGTAGATGTCAGTAAGGCTCTTTATTTTGAATTTTAAGAGAGAAATAAGAATCTTTGTTATCTGTAGAGAAACAAATATAATTTCCATGGGGCACTAATATAATATAATATAATATAATATAATATAATATAATATAATATAAATATACCTTACCGAATAAACCCTTTGCTCAGACGTAGTGAAAAGGTAAATTCCCCTTCAACCTAATGAAGTTTCAGTCACTCACATTTTCTGAATTTGCCGAACAGAAATGCGATCAGGTGCCTACTAAGTCCAGTACCCAGCACGATGTCTAGCATTGAAACATACAGTGTATACACCAGCACCTCCACCAAACCCATATCCAGCATGCAAAACATACCCTTTTCAAGTCGGAAGCACATAGATAGATTTTTTGGAGTTCAAAAGGTCTTAATGCAAACTGGCTCCAATTCCTTTTTTTTTTTTTTTAAATCTTTGAAACATTGGTTAAGTCTTCTCAGAGCTATCATTTTGCACACATGGAAACTTTAGACCATCCATCCTTCAAGTGTCTTGGGGTAATTAGAGATACTGAAGGTTAAGGACCTAGCATACTACTAATAGATTTTCAACAAATGGTAGCTACTGTTATTTCTCATCATTGCAGATTTAAGAGTGCCAATTCTCAGAGCACTTCAGATAAAAACCCTACCTTTCTTAAGGCAAAAAACAACGGCATTAACTTTTTTTTTTAATTAACCTAAGTTCCCATTATGTTTAGAGAAGAGATCACAATGATAAATGCTTGCCCTGTCTCTCTTTTTTAAAAATTTACTGTTCTTACATGTGACATATACTGTGGTACTTAGTGTCACCCTACAAAGAATAAATTTAAATTGAAGAAACAGAAACACGGGAGAGTCCTTGTTTGGGTTTAATTTGTATCTGACTACAATAAAATTCTATCCTGGAAGCTAGAGTCATAAAACTAAAAGTCAGGAAGGAAAAGAATGGCTAATTAAGCTCTGAAACTAAAAGCTCTTTCTTTATTGCTATTTCTTTAAGTCCTAACAATTGGTCAGGCACAGGGGCTTAGCTGCGCCATTCTAGTTAATGGTCGGTTACAAATTTCCACCATAAACTCATCTTCCTTCTAGCAACTTAAATCTCAGGCACTGGGATGTAATAAGGAGAGAAAGCTCTTAGGCCCAGGGCAATCTCTCTCTCAATCCCAATCTCCCTTCCCCTCATCCCTATCCCACCACAATAACTGTTAGTAAGAGCTTTTGGTTGCATGCCCAGAAATCTAACTCTGGCTAAATTAATCAAGAAACGAATATACTGGTTTATCCAGCTGAGGTCATTTACGGAAAGGGAATGCTAAGGTTTGAACGTGTCTCCTCCAAAATTCATGTTGAAACTTAATCCTCATTGCAGTGGTATTAAGAGGTGAGGCCTTTTAGGAAGTGATTCAGTCAGGAGGGCTTGGCCCTTAAGGAATGAATTCATGCCTTATAAAGGGGTAGAGGGAACTAACTTAGGCCCTTTTGCCCTTCCAACTTCCACATATGAGGATACAGCATTCATGCCCTCCAGAGGACACAAGGTACCACCTTAGAAGCAAGGAACAGAGCCCCTTACCAGACACAAAATGTGCCTGTGCCTTGACCCTGGACTCCTCAGCCTCCAGAACGGTGAGAAATAAGTTTCTGTCCTTTATAAGTTATCTAGTCTTGGGTATTTTGTTACAGCAGCAAAAACAGACTAAGACAGGAAGAGAAAAGAACCAGAGCCCCAGGGACTAGAAACAGGACTCACTGCCTCAAAGTACATGTATACTCTCTCTCTCTCTCTCTCTCTCTCTCTCTCTCTCTCTGTCTCTGTCTCTCTCTCTCTCTCTCTCTCTCTGTCTCTCTCTCTCTCTCTCACTCTCTCTCTCCCTCTCTCTGTCTCCATTTCTCTTCACTGTTTGTCTTTGCTCAGCCTTATTCTCCATCTCTCTCCATGTGGGAGGGCAAGTAGAGGCTGGCACCTCCAGATATATATCCTCTCTGTTCAAGAACCACAATAAGTTAATCCCCAGGGAAGATTCTGATGCCTGTGCCACTCCAAGGTCCAACACTGCTGGGTGGATAGATCCTGATGTTTGACCAGATATGTGCCACTTACCAACCATAGCAGACACTGGCAATGGCCACCCATGTCCCTTGGACCCTCCCCATCCCATACAAGCTGAAGGCATCCCTCTGCAAGCACCTGCAACTCCCCACCTGAAGGCCTTTTCTTGGCCTCGGCAAGACAGGCCAGAAGTTCAAGGATGTCAAAGTCCCTGAGAGCATCCCTTGGTCAATGTCAGATGAGTGATGAAAGATAAATATCTCAGTTTTCTCAACACTCAGGTGGGACAATTTGAGGTGTGTTCCATGCCATCAACCAAAGCCCATCAAAAGGACCAAGCCCCGGCTGCCCATAGAAGTAACTTACTCATTACCTTGCTCTATTCTGGTTTAGATTTCCTTGTCTCATTTTGCCCTGTGATGGTTAATTTTATGTGTCAACCTGACTGGGACGCTGAGTGCCCAGATAATTGGTAAAACATTATTCTGGGTGTTCCCGTGAAGGTGTTTTCAGACGAGATTAACATTTAAATGGGTAGACGGAGGAAAGCAGGTTGCACTCCAGATGTGCATGGTCCTCATCCAATCAGTTGAAGGTCTAAATAGAACAAAAGGCCAACCCTTGCCTGAGTCAGAGAGATCTCCTCCTGCCTGAGGGCCTTCAAGCTGAAACGTCAAAATTTTCCTGCCTTTAGACTCAAACTGAAACACGGCTCTTTCTGGATCTCAAGCCTGCTGGTTTTCAGACTGGAACTACACCACTGGGTCTCCTGGGTCTCCAGCTTACTGACTCATCCTGCAGATCTTAGGACTTGTCAGCCTCCATAATTGCATACACACACACACACACATATATATAAAAGTGCATATAGATACATATATGTATGTGAATGTATGTATATAAAAGTGCATATAGATACATATATGTATGTGTATATATATATATACACACATACACACACATATGTGTGTGTACATATACATGTGTGTATATATACACACATGTATATGTGTGTATATATACACACATGTATATGTGTGTATACACACACACACACACACACACACACACACATATATATATATATATATATATATATATATATGGACCATAGAGAAGTCTCTAAGCCAAAGCTGGGGACAGGGGAATCCTGTGTCTCCTGGGGAGAGGTCTGCTTTAGTGTCCCTGCCATGCTCAGTCATTAGCCAGGAGCACCTCATGGAAGGAAGCATATGGATTCCCCATATGCTTATATATGTGTGTGTGTGTGTGTGTGTGTATGTATATGCATATGTGTGTGTGTATGTGTGTGTGCTATTCTATTGGTTCTACTTCTCTAAAGAACCCTGACTAATACACTCCCATTCTCCTACTGGTGCTTCCCAGAGTCACCCTACAAATAAACCATTACATGGAAATCCTCATCACAGGATCTGCCTCTGGGAAAACCCAGCCTAAGACATCCATGACTTTCATAGGAGAAGAAAGAGCTCTAGAATTGGCAGCCTTACTGAACCATGTGGAAGAGGAAAGGAGAGCACCTAAACAAAAGGGTATTAACCAATTAAAATAACCTAAACCCACACTTGTCCAAATTGCTGAGCAAGTGGGATGGAATGGAACAACTTTCAACCAGTGTCCAAATATTGCTGTGACTCCTAGACTGGCTTGACACAAAGGCAGTGTCCACCAGCTCTAAACATCCATCTCAACTAAGATTTCTCCAGGAAGGCTAGAACTGACACCCTCTGCTTAGGTTCTCAGTGACTTCACCCAGCCAGCAAAGGAGCTCTTAGGAAGGCAGACAAGCCCTGAAGTCTGTCTGCTCAGACTCCAGCTACCTGCTCTATTCCTGCTTTATCAACCTCTAGCTTAGTCGCTCAATCTCCAGCTTTGCTCCTTCCCATTAGATTCTATGGCTGAACCTGACTGCCATAGTTTGTTTCTCAGATGAATTTAAGGCAAGGGTTGCAAACTTAAATGCACACATGGGCAGACAAGTAACACAAATGAGTGAAGAGTACAGATTAGGGCAACTGGGTCTGGTGGAGACTGTGGCAAACTAGAGAGCACACACCTTATCTAAGGAGGCAGCGAGGACTCAATTTTGCAAGATTTGTGGAATGGACTCCCAATGTTGCCAAACTGCCACTATTTTTTAAAGAGAAGCAGGAAATCCAGGGGTTTTTAAAGATGTAAAATACACAGTTTGTTGAATGCTGGCAACTGATTTTTTTTTTTTTTTTTGAGACAAGAGTCTCACTCTGTTGCCCAGGCTGGAGTGCAGTGGCATGATCGCAGCTCACTGCAGCCTCCTCCTCCCACATTCAAGAAATTCTCCTGCCTCAGCCTCCTAAGTAGCTGGGATTACAGGGGTGCACCACCATACCCAGCTAATTTTTGTATTTTTAGTAGAGATGAGGTTTCCCCCTTGTTGGCCACGCTGGTCTCCAGCTCCTAATCTCAAGTGATCTGCCTGCCTTGGCCTCCCAGAATGCTGGAGTTACAGGTGTGAGCCACAGCACCCAGCCCTGATTTTTTTTAATGTAAATACTGTATGAACCCAGACAAATGTTCTGCCAGGCCACTGCTGCATGGCTCACCATGTGGTGGCCCTGAGAATGGGCCTCATCGACCTCCCTCTACTGGGAGTGTAATTAACCAGGGCCCCAGCTGCTGCGCTGGGGAATCCATATGCTTCCTTCCATGAGGTGCTCCTGGCTAATGACTGAGCATGGCAGGGACACTAAAGCAGACCCCTCCCCGGGAGACACAGGATTCCCCTGTCCCCGGCTTTGGCTTAGGGACTTCCCTATGGTGTTCGCACCCTAACTTTTTTCTCCTCTCTCTTTTACTCAGAGTCAGACTTGCATTACTGTCTCAGGTTCTCCCAGCTTTATGTGGCACCTTCTTTGCTTTCTCTCAAGGGCATTTCCCTTAATAAAAATCACATATGTGTAATCCTGTATGGGAGTTTGTTTCTCAGAACTGGGCTGACACACCATCTTGCAACTCTGCTTTCGGCATTCAGCTCACACTTACTTACACCCTCCAAACTCCAACTATTTAGGGCTAATTCCATTCCAGCTCCCACCCCTTGAATCCCTTCCCCCCTCCCCCCACTTCCTCCTCCCATTCTGCTTTCCTGGAAACAGCATTTCCACTTACTTTTGAACAATGGTCCTTCCTTCACTGTTCATTCATGGAGTTTGGATAGCACCATCTTCTAAAGCTAGAGCTGAGCACATGATCAGGACTGACTAATCACCCTCTTCTACTTCCTTAGCCACAATAATTCGTTCAGAGATGGGCACCTGACTCTTACAATGCAATGAGAGTCAGCTTCTTATGCCAGTGCTTTTGGCAAAGGTAAGTTCATTTTCCCCTGGGATTACTAAGCTGGTAGGAGGTAAGTCAGCAGCTGCTGATGGCATAAGAAAAGGGCCTGATAATGAAGCCAACATGGATGAAAAGAGAGCTGAGAAGTAGAGATCAGACAGATTTCAAAGCATATCATTTAAGCATCTGGATCCAGCCATACTTGAAGTCCAGTCTATCTGTGGGCTTTGAAGTTGCATGGAACAATAGCAAGATGTAGCTGAGAGAGTTTTGGCTAATATACCACCTCACCTCTCATTCAGTTTCATGGAATATAACAGACATTGCCAACTAAAATTTACAAACAGCATTGATATAAAAGCTCCGCCATTTAAAAAAGGAAACTTTCTATTCTTTCACTGTGTGGCCTTGGGAAATTTCTAATCCGTTCTGAACTTCAGCTTTTTTCCCTCTCAAATGTAGCAAATACAACATAACTTGCTTGCCATGGAGGGAAATCAGATGCCCTTATCTAGGAAAGTAAAGATAGAGGTATAAAACATTGTTATTTCAAAAAAAAAAAAAATCCAGCACATAAGTCTAGGAGCATTGAACAAGGGTCAGATTGCATGGATTCAGATTCCAGCTCCATTACTAACTGGCTGTGTGACCTTGGACAACTCAATTGACCTCTCTGGCCCTCAGTTTCCTTATCAGTAAGACGGAAACTCCAATCGTATCTATTGCACGGGATAGTTGTAGAAATTAATAGATACATAAGTGCTTAGTGCAACATGTGGCACTCAAAATATGTGTGGTATGATTGTTATTGACACAATGGTTGACCCATGAATGACTGTGATGCCAACCCCCTCACAGTTGGAAATCCACCTATAACTTTTGACTCCCCCAAAACGTAGCTACTAATAACCTATTGTTGACCAGAAGTCTTACCAATAACACAAACAATATACACATATGTTGTATTTTATATGATTATACACTGTATTTTTACAATAAAATAAGCTAGAGAAAACAATATATGATTAAGAAAATCATAAGGAAGAGAAAATGTATTTATTATTCATTAAGTGGAAGTGGATCATCATAAATGTCTTCATCCTCATTGTCTTCACATTGAGGAGACTGAGGAAGAGGAGGAAGAGGAGGAATTGGTTTCGCCGTCTCAGAGGTGGCAAAAACAGAAAAAAATCCATGTATAAGTGGACCCATGCGGTTCAAATCCATGTTGTTCAAGGGCCAACTGTATTTATATTACAATAAATGCTGTTAATGTTGTCACTGTTGACCCTTCTAGTCCATTCCCAACATCACTTCCTACGCCCAGTGGAAAATTCCATCTTAAAATCACCCAGCCCAAGCCCTCTTCAGTAGACTCAGATAGATGGCTTGTCAAGGGCATGACTTAACTTCTCCAAACACAACCAGCCCAGTTTCAACTGCCATTTGGGGAACTTTCCCAATTACCACATTTCCGCACATCAAGTATGAATTACTTTAATTGCCCCAGAAGAACGCACTGTTGAAACATTTGACTTGCCCAGAACTAATTGTCTGTCAAAAAGAGATTTTGCAGCCAAGCTGATCTCTTCATTGGACATCTAATTTAACTGAAAACCTTTTTCCCTGCTTGTTTTATGCTTTCTTCTCCTGTTTTTGCCAAATTCTGGATGCTGGGCACTGCTTTCAGAAATAATTTATCTTGTTATTTTCTATTATAAATGTAATACATGTTCATTATAGAAAAACTGAAAAAAAAAAATTCCAAATGAAGAAAAACAGTTGATCCTAGACTCATTGCCCAGAGGAAGACTATGAACATTCCACATGAAGAAAAACAGTGGCTCCTAGACTCATTGCCCAGAGGAAGACTATGAACATTCCACATGAAGAAAAACAGTTGATCCTAGACTCATTGCCCAGAGGAGGACTATGAACATTCCAAATGAAGAAAAACAGTGGCTCCTAGACTCATTGCCCAGAGGAAGACTATGAACATTCCACATGAAGAAAAACAGTTGATCCTAGACTCATTGCCCAGAGGAGGACTATGAACATTCCAAATGAAGAAAAACAGTGGATCCTAGACTCATCGCCCAGAGAAAGACTATGAACATTTTAGCACGTCTCCCTCCCAGGTTTCCTAGAATAGATGTCTGTACATAGTTAATAAAAACATATATTCAAGTTTTGCAGCTTTTTGTTCCACTTTACATTTTAAGTTGAACGTTTACACTTCCCATTCCAAGATCTTCAGAAACATGTTTAGAAACAGAAGAGTATCCCAACAACAGTCTGTTTAACCTCTTCCCCTAATGCTGAACTATTGTTGCTTTAAGAATACATTTTCTGTGTGTGTTTCAGATGTAGTTTCCTTAGGAAAGATTCTCTATGCTGTGCAACAATTCCCCATGTGTCTCTTACATTTCTGCACATCTTGTGTCAGCTTTTGTTCTAGACCGTCTTTATAAGGATGTTTGTATAGCTAATAGCATTAGAAGATAGGGCTAGTATAGTAGAAGACAGATTTATTTGCTGATTAGGATTATAATAATAATATCTCCGGACCAGGCGCAGTGGCTCATGCCTGTAATCCCACCAATTTGTGAGGCTGAGGCAGGCAGATGACCTGAGGTTGGGAGTTCGAGACCAGCCTGGCCAATATGGTGAAACTGCCATCTCTACTACAAACACTTAAAAAATTAGCTGGGTGTGGTGGTGGGCGCCTGTAATCCCAGCTACTTGGGAGACAGGTGGGAGAATTGCTTGAACCCAAGAGGCAGGGGTTGCAATGAGCTAAGATCATTCCACTGCACTCCAACATTGGTGTGACAGAGCAAGACTCTACCTCAAAAAAACAAAAAACAAAAAAAGAAGAAGAAAAAGAAAAAGAAAGGATTATAATGACAATGTCTCCCTCCATCCAGGGTAAAGGTTGAAAAGACCAAGATTCCTAAACTTGGGGTTCCTCAGGTGTGATGCAAATCCACTGCAGGCACAGATTCTACCTGGATCCATCCATGTATTACTCATTTCTCACACTGCTAATAAAAACATACCCAAGGCTGGGTGTGGTGTCTCACACCTGTAATCCTAACACCTTGGGAGGCCGAGGTGGGCAGATTGCCTGAGCTCAGGAGTTTGAGACCAGCCTGGGCAACATGGTGAAACCTCATCTCTACTAAAATACAAAAAATTAGCCAGGTATTGTGGTGCACACCTATAATCCTAGCTACTCAGGAGGCTGAGGTGGGAGAATCGCTTGAACCCGGGAGGTGGAGGTTGCAGTGAGCCAAGAATGCGCCACTGCACTCCAGCCTGGGCGACAGAGTGAGACTCTGTCTCAAAAAAAGAAAAAAAAAAGGCTAGGCATGGCTGTAATCTCAGCACTTTGGGATGCTGAGGTGGGCAGATCACCTGAGGTCAGGAGTTCAAGACCAGCCTGACCAACATGGAGAAACCCCATCTCTACTAGATACACAAAATTAGCTGGGTGTGGTGGTACATGGCTGTAATCCCAGCTACTCAGGAGGCTGAGGCAGGACAATTGCTTGAACCTGGGAGGCAGAGGTTGGGGTGAGCTGAGATCCTGCCATTGCACTCCAGCCTGGGCGACAAGAGTGAAACTCTGTCTCAAAAAAAACAAAAAAACAAACAAATGAAAAACATACCCTAGACTGAGTAATTCATAAAGGAAAGAGATTTAATTGACTCAGGGAGGCCTCGGGAAACTTACAATCATGGCAGAAGGGAAAGCAAACATGTCCTTCTTCACATGGCGGCAGAAAGGGGAAGAATGAGCAAAAGAAGAAAAAGCCCCTTATAAAACCATCAGATTTTGTGAGAACTCATTCACTATCATAAGAACAGCATGAAGATAACTGCCCCCATGATTAAATTACCTCCCACTGGGTCCCTTCCATGACACATGGGGATTGTGGGAACTACAATTCAAGATGAGATTTGGGTGGGGACACAGCCAAACCATGTCAACCTGTGTCACCCTTGAGGGACTTGGGGGTCAAAGGGAACTGGTGCAGACATGAAGCTCAAGCTTCCTGTTGTGCCATGAAAAATAAAGTCCTTTATCTCTCAATCCAGAGTCTCATGTCTTCTGCCCACATCCATAAAACTCACTAGCCTCCATGTAGGATAATATCTTAGACCAGCACAGTTCTTGACACTCTAGAAGTGAATTTGTTGGATCAAAAAGCATGAACAATTGCTAAAACTCTTAATATGTCTTGTCAATTAGCTCTCCAAACAAATGAGTCATTGCCTGAAATCTCTTTTGTCCTCAGGAAGGGATAGAGCTGCTTGACTCAGATCTCCCAGGTGGCCTTAGACCGTAATGTCTTCCTTTCGTGCAGAGCTCTTACCATCCTAAGCCACTACTCCTACCTAATATTCTATAAAAAGCTTTTTCTCCCTACCCAGTGTCTCCAATGAGCTGACTTTCTTTTCTGGATTACTCTTTTATGTAATAAAAAGTAGACATGAGGGTCAAACAGAAAGGGAAAAAGGGGAATTTGTTTAATTTCTACCAAGTGCCAGGCATAGTACAAAGAACATTTAGATAAGGCAGAAGGCATTAATTATTTTTATCTACCCAGAACCCCCTGCCCCACCTAAGCACCCCAGCCCCTGACCTGGCCACGTGGGTGGCTATGTGACCTGAGCTGAACCAATCAGAGTCCTTCCCTGGGATTTTTTTCACATCATAACCACATGAGAAGGTCTCCCATTATGAAACAGAGAAGCTTGTTGGCAGCCATGGTTCTAGCCAAGGATGGAAAAAACAACCAAAAAAAGAAAAGAAACAAAAAAAAACCCACCATGGTAAAAAAATACATATATAAAAATAAAAAAGATATGACAGACAGACAGACATGGGGAATGGTCTCTTTCCAGTTGCCCCTGCCACTCAACTGCTCTCCTACCTTCCTGGATTTGGTTATGAGAGTCAATAAATTATCCCCTTTTATTGCCTAAATGACTTCCATATGAGTTTCTGCTCCTTGCAACCAACATAATCTTGACAATTAATAGTAGCTAGCATTTTGTGAGTGTTTACTGTGCCATGCCCATTAATACACCTAATCCTCTCTACAATTGGACAGGTAAGGTGCTTTTAGTAACCTCCAATGTACAAAAAGGAAAACAAGTTGGGTGAAGTGAAATGACTTGCTCACAGTCGCTGGGCTAACAAGGGGGCAGAGTCAAAGTTTAAACCCAGAGCCCATACTCTTCCCTATTGTATAACACAGACATGCTGTCTCTGTTCCCAGTGCTGGGGAATGCAGAGAACTGGGGACTGAAGGAAGAGCAGGCGTTCAGGTAAGCATTAATCAGGGGACCTTCCACAAGGGAAAAGGGAGTACTGGCCCAGTTGAAGTCCAGCCAGCACTCAGCATGGTCAAGGATGGGGTGGTGCTCTCTCCAGCCATTCAAGGTGCTGAGAAAAGAACAGAACTTTCATCTGAGGAATACAAGCCTTTTAAATTATTAGGCCCAGAGAGGCAATAGAATGAGATAGCAATCATGTCCTACATACCCCCTTTGAGCTCGGTATTCATTTCTTAAAACTGCTTGCCATTGCCACAAGTAGCTATAAATTAATCTAATAATGCCCCACTGGATGCTATAACCCACACCTAATAGCTTAACAATGTATAGCCAATCACTCGTCAATGTTATTTCTGAAAACCAGTGAGAATTCCTGACAACCAACTGTGTACCAGCCCACTCCATGTCCCCCTTTTTTGCCTTTATAAATCCACTTGTAACTGCTGCTAATTGGAGTGTATATTCAGGGAAACTTGAATCTACGCTCCCTGGCTACAGTCCTCAAGCTTGGCCCAAACAGAGTCTTTACTTACATTAATTTTGCCTCAGCTTCTTCCTTTTAGGTTGACAGTGCTACAGGCTGAATTATGTCCCCCTAAAATTCAAATTTGAATAAATGTTCAAATATGAATTTGAGGCCAGGCACAGTGGCTCATGCCTGTAATCCCAGTACTCTGGGAGGCCGAGGTGGGCAGATCATCTTAGGTCAGCAGTTTGAGACCAGCCTGGCCAACATGGCGAAACCCCATCTCTACTAAAAATACAAAAATTAGCCAGGTGTGGTGACGCATGCCTATCATCCCAGCTACTTGGGAGGCCAGGATAGGAGAATCACTTGAACCTGGGAGGTGGAAGTGGCAGTGAGCCAAGATCGCACCACTGCACTCCAGCCTAGGCGACAGAACGAGACTCTGTCTCTCTCTCTCTGTCTCTCTGTCTCTCTCTCTCTCTCTCTCTCTCTCTCTCTCTCTCTCTCTCTCTCTCTCTATATATATATATATATATATATATATATATATATATATATGAATTTGAAGCCCTTCAACCATATGGATCATATGTTGAAGTCCTAACCCCCTAGCACCTCAGACTGTCATTGTATTTGGAGATAGGGGCTTTAAATAGGTGATTAAGTTTAAACCTATTTAGCTCATTTAGGGTGAGCTCTAATCCAATCAGACTCGTGTTCTTATAGGAAGAGGAGATTAGGACACACAGAGAGACACCAGGGATGGACAGGCACAGAGGAAAGACCATCTGAGGACACACCAGAATCGACCATCTGCAAGCCAAGAGGAGGTCTTCGGAGGAACCAACCCTGCTGACACCCTGATCTCAGACTTCCAGCCTCCAGAATTGTGAGAAAATTAATCTCTGTCATTTAAGCCACCCAGTCTGTAGTACTTTGTTATGGCAGCTCCAGCAAACTATATCTACAGGAATCCATCACCACTTATGACAGGCTCTGCCACATAGTAGGTGTGTGTGCACACACCACACACAAACATGTTTAGAATATGAAATCTGTGAACCCTACTCCCACACTGATAACAGTTCAGGAACAGTTGATTTTCCCTCAGGGAATCTGGTTTGTTTTCCTAGTTTCCATCCCATCAAGACCCCTTCCCACCTGCTGGGAAATACTTGCCTGAACCCCTCGTTCCTTTCACAACACACACCTGATGGTAGGAAGAAGCTTCCAACTCTGATATTGACAGGGTGCTTGTAACCTAGCACCCTTTCTCCTACCTTGTTATGGAAAAATAAATCCTTTATCCTATTTCAACTACAGTCTTGGCAAAGGAAAAAACAAAACAAAAAAGGAAACCAGCCTAGAAATGGAAACCAAAGATCATGAACAGTGCTATGCTGAGTTACAGCTAAGGGTTGGCCTTTCTGGAGCTGGCTGCCTTCAGATGGCAGGGCTCTGAGAGTGTGTGTGTGTGTGTGTGTGTGTGTGTGTGTGTGTGTGTGTGCCAGAAGCACAAGATGACACACCCTGTGGTGGGGTCAGGCAAGCTGATTGTGGGAAAGGTGGGAACAGAATATTTTACAACAATGTTGGAAAAATGGGTTTACGTTCTCTGAGAGGAAGATACCCAAAGCTTCAAGCTCACCTCAAGGGAAAATTGAGCTAGGTTCCCATGCTCTCCACTTGGATCTCACGCACATGAACACACATACAACCTTCTCCTCAATATTCACAAGAGGCCTCTGTTGTCTGCTTCTCCAGAGAGCGGAGGTGAATTTACCTGAAGCTAATGAGGCTTGGGCTTCAGGGTCTTTTCCTTGTACCTGTCTCTTTAAATGCTGGACTTGGGGAAGGCTTTAGGTGAGAAGGGAAAGCTGGGTTTCAATAATGAAGCACCTCTATGTTCACATTTCTGATTAATTGCCTACACAGATCCCAGAAGAATGGAATGGAAATAGCTAAAGGCTCCAGAATTTTCTCTTTTTATTTTTTTGAGACAACATCTCACTCTGTTACCCCCAGGCTGGAGGCTGGAGTGTGGTGGCAAGATCATCGCTCACTGCAGCCTCCAACTCCCTGGCTCAAGCGATCCTCCCACCTCGGCCTCCTGAGTAGCTGGGACTACAGGCACACACCACCACACCTGGCTAATTTTTTGAATTTTTTTTTTTGTAGAGATGGGGGTCTTGCCATGTTGCTTAGGCTGGTCTTGAACTCCTGGGCTCAAGAAATCCTCCTACCTTGGCGTCTCAAAAAGCTGGGATTACAGGCATGAGCTACCATGTCCAGGCAGCTACAGGAATATTATACTTAATTTCTCATTCCAAAATAACATTCTCTTTTGTGCCTAATTTTAAATTCATAATTTTGTATTCTTTTTCTTAAACAGAGATCCCCATATTATATAAGCTTCAGTCCCCACAAAAACTGGATCTGGTTCTGCCAAAATGATATATCCTTTATGATATTTATAGAGACGTTCTGATTATTTCTGAACATCTCAGACTTTCTGGAACCAAGACAGGTTCGATTATGAACATCTGTTGTCTAATTTTAAAGACCAAGGGGGAAGCCGGGTCCTTATGAAGGCCATAAAGGCTCCAAGCTAGATGGATATTGGGGGAGTGGGTTGGCAGAGATGTCCTAAAACAATGTATTACACTAATGGGAAGAACAAAAGGTAAGTCTAATCACAGATGTCTTGGTTTTCAAGCTAGTCAGACTTCAGATAACTGTCAAATCTTCAGCCATAAATCAAAAGTGGAGGAGAATTAAAGACCCATCCTTGTTTGCTTACAGAATTTACTTAATTTAGCCACTCTATCCTTAATTGATAGCAACAGGTTTTTTCAAAATAGCCAAAGTAATCTATGCTTTGCTACATAATAGCAAAAGTAATAGCCAACATACATCAACACCTACTATGTTATACCCTTGACAGGGTTTCCTATTTTAGTAGTCAAAGCAATTTCATGGAGTAGCAATTACAGTTGTAATTTCACTAGTGAGAATGCAGAGTGAGGCTCAGAGAGGTTAAGGAACTTACCCAAGGTCACACAGCTAGTGAGTGGAGAGTTGGA
Organism: Homo sapiens; assembly: GCF_000001405.40. Classification (NCBI taxonomy): domain Eukaryota; kingdom Metazoa; phylum Chordata; class Mammalia; order Primates; family Hominidae; genus Homo; species Homo sapiens. The sequence continues at coordinate 2,098,057 of NT_187607.1, read as the reverse complement.
ATTTCATCTCTCTGATTTTAAAGTCTGGGCCCTTTCCTCTACTGCCTCTCTCTGAACTCAATGACACATCCTAAGTAAGTAAGGGCTTCTACACAGGATGGGTTAGACTATGCTGCAGTAACAAACAACCCCTGGATCTCAGGAACTTAAAACAAAATTTCAGGCTGGGTGTGGTGTCTCACACCTGTAATCCCAGCACATTGGGAGGCCAAGGCCAGTGGATCACTTGAGGTCAGGAGTTCGACACCAGCCTGGTCAACATGGAGAAACCCCATCTCTACTAAAAATACAAAAATTAGCCAAGCATGGTGGTGGGTACCTGTAATCCCAGCTACTTGGGAGGCTGAGGCATGAGAATCACTTGAACCTGGGAGGCAGAGGTTGCAGTGAGCCGAGATCACACCATTGCACTCCAGCCTGGGCGACAGAGCGAGACTCTGTCTCAAAAAAAAAAAAAAAATTCTAGAAATAACTCCAACCTTATTTTCTTGAACACGACTCATCCTGACCCTCCAGCACTCCATTGATCTGGGCTAAATATATGGAATCCTGCAGATGAAGACACCAGCACCCAAAGCTAATGGGACACAGAAAACAGAGGCCACTCAAATAAATGTCAGCACTCCTAGTTACTGAATACTCTGTGTCTGGCAAGTTTCATCATTAGTCAGTTATTCATTCACTCAATCAACAACTACTTACTGAGTTAATATAGCAGCATGGTTATGAGCACAGACTCTGGAGCAAGAGGTCCTAGGTTCAAATCCCAGTTACCCTGCTTATCAGCTAAATGACTTCTCAGTGCCTTGGTTTCTCCACCCAGAAAAATGGGGATTATAATTAATAATTGCCTACCTCATTGGGTTAAGTGGATAAACTAAGAACAGTGGCATGCCCATATGACATGCTCTATAATTTTTATTATCACTGTGTGCCAGGCATTATTCTATATGATGGAGGATGCAGCTATGAATAGGGCAGACAAGGTGCCTGTCTTTACAGAGCTTCTATTCTAGTGAAGGAGAGAGGCTTTATTAGCGAGTAATCCTTGATCGAGCCATACCTGAAGCTAACTACACATCCTTCAACCTTCCAATTTCCCCAGGCATTAAGTTCTTTTTTCTTTTCTGCCTAGGCTAGCTTGCACTGAGTTTCTCTCCCTTGTGAACCAAAGTGTCCTGACCAGTACAGAGGTCTAAAGCCTAAGCTCTTTCCAGTCTGCCCCTTGCCCCTTTCCAGCTGAAGCCCTATTCATTTGCACCCAACATCATCATTGTGTCCAGTGCCTCACCACTTGGTGAGACCCTTGAATATTCAAACCAGCGTGTAAGCAGAGAGTTAGGAACTATAAACAGTAAATTATAACAAGCATGAAGTGGAAGCCTGCTGCTGATCATTCGCAAGAGAGCAATCAAATCTGTCTTGGTGCCTACATGTTTTATGGAAAACATGTCTATGTTTTAAAAGTGTTTTTGAAATAAAAAATAATTTACTAACTAAATTAGATTTCCACATGTTTTATCTAGTTAACCCATCCCTTATCATAAGAAACGTAACTTCTTTTTTTTTTTTTTTTTTTTTTTTTTTTTTGCGATGGAGTCTCACTCTATCACCCAGGCTGGAGTGCAGTGGTGTGATCCCGACTCACTGCAACCTCTGCCTCCTGAATTCAAGTGATGCTCCTGCCTCAGCCTCTCAAGTAGCTGGGATTACAGGTGTGCGTCACCATGCCCAGCTAATTTTTATAATTTTAGTAGAGATGGGGTTTCACCATATTGACCAGGCTGGTCTTGAACTCCTGACCTCAAGTGATCCCCCTGCCCCAGCCTCCCAATCATGGTGGGATTATAGGCTTGAGCCCCTGTGCCTGGCCTAGAAGGCTAACTTCTTAATTGCAAGCTACTTTCATCAATATAATGCATTTGTCTCACTCCTTAAAGGACTCCTGTCACAGTGTATTGGCAAAGAACTGGTCAGACACAAGAGGCAGTGGAGTATTAGTAAAATACACGTGGATTTGGAGTCAGACCTTCCTAGGTTTAAATGCTGGTTTTATCGCATACTAGTTGTATGCCTTCATCGGGGTTTCCCAAGAATCAGACCCTGAGACAAGACTCCAAGAGTAAGTCATCTATGTGGGAGGTAAATGAAACATGACACAGGAAATGAAATAGGTCAGGGAGGCAGCCAGTAAAGGGCATATTATAAAACAAGTTACCACTTGGGACAATAACTGGAGCTTAAACTTGCTGGAAAACTCTAGGATACACTGTAGAACATCTCTAGCAATGTGCTGGTAGATGTTTAACAACCAACACTGCAGAAAAATATTAAAAGCCCAGATTTGTAGTGTCTGCCCATATCCATGGTGTAAATCCTCCCACCATGGCTGATTTCACACTACCTTGTCCCTGAACAAGGACTTGGGGAAAGATGCACATACCAGCTCTTGCTTCATAGTTATCTGACCTAAGGGGTGAGGGAGATGGGGTAGTTATCCACATACACCAACTCTCATCAGTTCCTGGTGGAGGGATGCTCCCAGGGCAGGTGTTGATTCCTCCAAGACTTCCAAGCCATCATACGGGTGGGCAAAGACAGTACAACCAGAAAAAGACCTCAGAAAGAGGGCCAGGCATGGTGGCTCATGCCTGTAATCCCAGCACTTTGGGAGGCCAAGACAGGTGGATCACCTGAGGTCAGGAGTTCGAGACAGCCTGGCCAGCATGGCAAAGCCCCACATCTACTAAAAAAAAAAAAAATAGCTGGGCATGGTGGTGCATGCCTGTAATTCCAGCTACTCAGGAGGCTGAGGCAGGAGAATTGCTTGAACCTGGGAGGCGGAGATTGCTGTGAGCTGAGATCACGCCACTGCACTTCAGCCTGGGCGACAGAGTGAGACTCCATCTCAAAAAAAAAAAAAAAGAAAAGAAAAAGAAAAAGTCCTCAGAAAGAGAATGCAACTACATTTGGATGGGTCAGTGGATGCTTAAGAGGTAAAGGGTTAGAAGATACAAGGGAAGCACTGAAAGCATCTGTTACTCTGTGCAATTGTGAAAACGTTATTTCATTTCTCTAGGCTTCCAATATTGCATTGGTAAGATATGATTCATTGAATCTTCCAACAAATATTCATGGAGCACTTAGTATATACCCGGCAATCTTCAGGCCACAGGAAACAGAATGTTGAGTTACCATGACAAAGTCACTGTCACAGAGCCAGTGGGGAAAGCAGCCTCTAAACATGCCACCCAGTAAGTAACAAAGATCATTTCAGGAATGGTGAGGACTATGATGTTAGAGAGGGTGATGGGAGGGAGAATAATGTAGCGGAGAGGACATGAACGGGAAAATCTTTCTGAAAGGGTAACGTGTAAGGTGAGGCTCAACAGATGAGAGGAAATGTGTTGTAAAAAGATCTGGGAGCAGCATTCCAGGTGGAGGAAACTGCGTGTGCAAAGGCCCAGAGGTGGGAAGGAGCTTGGCTTGTTCATGGAAAAGAATGGAAGCCAGTGTGTCTAGATCAAAATGAATCAGGCAGAAGGTAACCAGGAAACAGAGTGGAGGGGCAGGCAGGAATCAGTGTCTGCAGTGCGTGCTCAGCATCATAAAGGGTTTGGGTAGTAACACAACCCTGAAGAGTTGTTAAATGAGCTCCCATGCATGTAACTGGCATTACTCATGTTATTAACCTGGGAAACTGTCACGTCTCTTACTTTTCCATTTAATCTCATGCCCATCCTCTTTGCTCACAGGAGCCAAGAAGTCCAGTATCTCACTCCACATCTGCCTTCTCGTGGTCCAACACTCTGCCGACTCAGTTAATCCAAAGATCACTTCCAAACTTCAGGCTGATGGAAACCTGAGGAGTCGCATCCATTCATAGGCAGCCCCATTTTCACCTTCCCTTGTCCCCGAGGCTGCCATTAGGTTGAAAACCAGTCTGGTACTGTCAGCGTGTCTTTGTCTACAGCTATGAAAAAGTCCACATAGTCCAGTCTCTACATAGGGCACAATGATTCTCCTCTACATCTCAGCTACCAGGTACCAGCTTGTCGAACACACATGCAAACATTCAAACCCTTCTCAGGTTCCCCTCTAGGGCCTTCAGGGACTTATCCGGCATACCTGAGGTTGGGGCCATTGCAATCTATTCTTAGTCTAGTGTTAAGCCGGGTCAACAGCGGAGATGCTCCTTCTCCTTGAACTAATTTTATTTCCAGAGTTTCATTTTCCTTCACTGCAACATTAGGCACCATTTGGGGATATTTTTATCCATCCATATGGATTTCAAAATCTCATAAAGAAGGAGCTGGGAGAAGAATGAGGAATCACTGATTTTAATGACTGTATTTGTTGATCTCTTACTCCATTCCTGGACCCATGTTGAATAACATAAATATATATGCATGTACACATGCTATACATGGTATCTAGATGCTATATGTGTTATATATAACATACATGTTATAATATATGTTAGATATGTATGTCATACATATCATAATATATAATTATACATTGTATATTATATATTATACTATTACATATATAATTATACATTGTATAATTATATATTATACTATTACATAGTATAATATATACTTATGTTTATATAATAAAATATAATGTATATGAAATATACATAATACATATATGATATATAATTATATCATATAATATATAATTATGTATATTTCATATACCATATATTTTATCATACATAAATATATAAGTTATATATAATATATAATGTCATATATTATATAAATTATAATTATTATATATTATATAAAACATGTATTATATTATATATAATACATGGTTTATATGTTATATAACATATATAACAAATTATATATTATATAACATGTTATATAATATAACAAGTTATGTAATATACAATATATGTTATTAAAATAGATATTACATAATATATTAAATAATATATGTTTTATATATTATATTATATATGTTTTTTATATATTATATAATATATATGTTTTATATATATTATTTTTGTTTTTTTTGTTTTTTGGGGGTTTTCTTGAGACAGAGTCTTGCTCTATTGTCCAGGCTGCAGTGCAGTGGTATGATCTTGGCTCACTGCAACCTCCGTCTCCCGGGTTCAAGCAATTCTCCTGTCTCAGCCTCCCAAGTAGCTGGGACTACAGGTGCCCACAACCAGGCCTGGCTCATTTTTGTACTTTCTTTAGAGGCAAAGTTTCACCATGTTGGCCGGACTGGTTCTCAACTCCTGACCCCAAGTGCCCCGCCCACCCCATCCTCCTAAAATGCCGGGATTACAGGCATGAGCCACTGCATCCAGCCTATATATGTTCTTTCATCATCACCACATCATCTAATTTTACAGATGAGAACACTGAGGCTTGGGGAGATATTAAATGTCTTATCCAGATTGCATGCATGTAAGTGACATAAGCATGATTTGAAACTAAGCAATCCAACACGAGAGTCCTAGGTCTAGAGCCTCTCTGACCTGCTTTCTACCTAGAAATTATCTGAGTTCTTTATGCAAATTGATGCACTTTTTCATCTCAGAAATCCCTTTGGTCTCTTGAAGTGGCAGCTTTTGCTGCACCCAGTTCTCACAACAACTTGCAAAGAGGATCAACACACACGACTGATCACGAGATAAAGGAAGTCTGAAGCAGTCCCCACCAAACATGCAAATTCAATGAATGAAGATCCATTTCTTGCAGCTTTCTGCTTTGCATAATAACATTTGGCTGTGATGATCTATTATGACACTAATCCTTGCACAGCCCAGAGAAGATGGGCAATAGTTTTCTGGATGTCAGTGGGACTCTGGCACAAGGGCCAGCCAATTTTGGTGAGCGCAACAGGAAATTCTTTGCAATGTCCTTGTGAATCTGAGGTTACAAAGACTGGCTCAATCTGTCACAGGAAGCATGCTGGAATGCCTTTGTCCTTCTTTCTAGTTTTTCTTTCTTTCTTTCTAATAATTCTCAGTGTGGGAGAATATTATTCTTTCTAATAATTCTCGGTGTGGGCTTACATCCTTTGCTTTGGGGAAGGTTTCTATCATTAGACCTCTCTTTTCCCCCAACCATCCAGCTGTGAAGCGGTTCACTGCGGACCCAACCTCTGGCATGACTGTGGATCAGCAGCACCAATGCCATGAAGACTGCAGACACACTGGAGAACCAAGGCTAATTCCCTTAGCCATTGAGCCTCCGCTTTCCATCCATGAAATGGCTCTCAAAATGCCAGCTTGGGCTATTGCTTGCTTCAGAGCACCTAAGAGCATCTGAACAAAAGGAATATCTTTTTCACAGATGTAAATGAGGAAAGCGAGGATTATACAGTAGAAGAAGTGCTCTATAAGGCTGCTGAAGATCACAATTTTTTTTTTTTTGAGACAGTCTGGCTCTGTGTCCCAGGCTGGAGTGCAGTGGTGCAATCTCGGCTTACTGCAACCTCCGCCTCCCAGGTTCAAACGATTCTCCTACCTCAGCCTCCCAAGAAGCTGGGATAACAGGTGTGCGCCACCACACCTGGCTAATTTTTGTATTTTTTAGTAGAAACAGAATTTCATCATGTTGGCCAGACTTGAGGTCAGGTCTTGAACTCCTGACATCAAGTGATCCACCCGCCTTGGCCTCCCAAAGTGCTGGGATTATAGGTGTGAGCCACCGTGCCCGGCCTGAAGATCACAATTCTTATCTAACTCTGCTATTCATTGGCTGGGCCACCTTCGGCATGTCCATTAGCTTTCTGGTTCTTAGGACCCTCATGTCTAATAACAAGGTCTTTCCTACCTGCCCCACAGGGCTGTTGTGAGGACCAAATGAGATCAAGAATGCAAAAGCTCTCTGTCAACTGTGAAACACTACCAGGAGTAAAGATTCACAAGGCATGAGTTGCCACAAGGCAGTATAGCATGGTGGTTAGGAGGTTAAGCTCTTAAACCAGATTATTTGGATTCCAGTATAACCCCAGGATACTTAACTTTGTTTTATGGTGTTGTTGTTTTGTTGGTGTTGTTGCTTGGTATTTTGTCTAATTTTTAGAAACAGGGTCTTGCTCTGTTGCCCAGGCTGGAGTGCAATGGGCATGATCATAGTTCACTGCAGCCTTGAACTCCTGGGCTTAAGCTATCCTCCTGCCTCAGCCTGTGGAGTAGCTGGGACTACAGGTGTGCACCACCGCACCTGGCTAATTTATTTAATTTTTGTGGAGACAGGGTCTTGCTTTCTTGCCTCAGCTTGTCTCGAACTCCTGACCTCAAGCAATCCTCCCATCTTGGCCTCCAAAAGAGCTGGGATTATAGGTGTGAGTCACTGCGCCCAGCCAATTTAAATTCTTTAAGTCTCAGTTTTTCCATTTGTAAAATGGGCATAGTAATAGTACATTTGTCACAGAGTTGGTTTGTGATAGGATAAGGTGATGCATGTTCACTAGAAATGAAGAGAGAAGGGTTATGATTCATTGAAAAGAAAGAAAAACCTAGGCTGGGTGTAGTGGCTCACACCTGTAATCCCAGCACTTTGGGAGGCTGAGGCAGGAGGATGAATTGAGGACAGAAGTTCTAGACCAGACTAGGCAACATAGTGAGACCCTGTTTCTACTAAATAAATAAATAAATAAATAAGCCAGGCATGGTGGCATGAACCCTGCAGTCCAAGCTACTCAGAAGGCTAAGGCAGGAGGATCACCTGAGCTCAGGAACTTGAGGCTGCAGTGAGTTATAATTGTGCCACTACACTCCAGTATGGGTGACAGACTGAGATCTTGTCTCTATAAAGAAAAAAAGAAGAAGAGGAGGTAGAAGAAGAAAGTCTGAACTACTCCCTGCAGGAAGAGTAGACAAGGTAAAGAGCCCTAGAAAAGATTCGTCCCCGTGCTTTCCTCTAGAATGAGGACTCCAGTAATTTATACCAGTGCTGGAGCACAGGCTTGACAATGGCTGGAGCTCAGCCTCCACAGTATCTGTTGTGATTAGTGCTCAAAAGCATAAAGCATAAATGGAACTAAGAAGAAACAAGATGCTCAAGGTCTCCCCTTCAGCCTTCCTTCCAAGTAACAGAATCATGATTTGATGATTTGACCCCTTCTTCTACCACCTCAATATTGAAATCTGTTTCCAATTCCCGTTACCTTAGAGAACACCGTCAGATGTCCATTGTATATCTCAGATTCATTTCTTTCCAAAAACGAATTTAACTTGCCTTCCAAATAATTTTACTCCTAATTTTTAGCTCACTTTCTCCATGAATATCATCACCATTCACCCAGTTACCCAAACCAAGAGCCTGAACAACATCTTTGAGTCCTTCTCCATCACACCCTACATTCAACCAATTGCCACCTTCTCTTTTATATACCTCCTTAAGTCACGGCCTTAATTTGGGAATGATCGTTTCTCATTTGGACTTGACTTCATGGTCAAATATGGCATCCAGAGATCTAGCCATTGCATCCTAATTCAAGACCAACAACAGGAAAAATGGGCAAAGAAATATATGGTCCTCATTCTGAGAAAATGTCCATATTACTCTTCTCTTTGCATTCCTTGGCCAAAGCTAAATCACATGGCTTGGGTAGCTTCATGAGAGATTGGGAAATTAGAGGGTTTTGGTTTTGTTGTTGTTGTTTAAAGCAGAGTCTATGTCACCCTAATTAAAATCAGTGTTTCATCTTTTATTCTTCCTCAAATATTCAGTGTTAAAGTCACTAAAGGGCACCAACCAAAGTAAGCATCAACGAGAGGGGATAGGACAGAGATCTGGCATGGGGTGTTGAAGCCTAGAATTGGTGCACGACCTAGTTCTAGTCACGAAAAAGCATCAGACAATCCCCAATTGAGAGCTCTTATACAACATAAATGGCCTGTATCTTCAAAAGTATCAAGGTCAAGAAAGTAACAAAGAGACTGATGAATCTGCCGGAATAAGACGTGACAATTAAATGCTATGATAATCTTGCCCTGCAAGATTATAAAGGACATTATTGGGATGGTCAGTGAAACCTGAATGGGGCCTTTGGATTAGATGGTGGTAATGTATCAATGTTATAATAATTTCCTGACTTTAATGGTCGTATTATGGGCATATAGGAGAAGGTCCTTATTGCAAGACACACACAGTAAAGTATTGGGAAACGATTCGAGGAGAGGGAAAACTTAATTGTACTGTTCTTCCAACTATTGTCTCAGTTTGAAATTTTTCCCCCGAAAATAAGGTGTTATTTCAGAGAAGAAAAGGGAATGTAGATGTTTCAATATGTAAATAGTAGGCTCCACCACAGATGGTATTTAAATAATGTATCAGAAGAGGTCATCCCAAGGGAGTAATATTTAAATCCAGAGCCAAAGATAGAAAGCCATCCACGTGAAGAGCAAGGAGACAAAGTTTTCAGGCAGAAGGAACATGTGAGAAGTAGCTGAACTTGTTTTCAGAGTTATAACCCTAGCAATATGGTGGAAAATAACAAATAACTAGCAATATGGTTGAAATAAACAAACTGCTATTCCTTCAGAAACATGAGTAAGCACCACTGTGTGCAGGAACTTGCAGCAGTCAGCTAGATGCTGTAAGACAAACAACCCCAAATCCCAGAAAGAGCTTATTTCTCTGCCATGCCCGTATAGCTTGGCTGGAGCAGCTCTGCTGGAGGTTGCAGGTCTGAAGACATGCTGGGGCGGCTCTGCTCTAGATGCATCTCATTTTTCTAGGACCAGCAACCAACTAAGTCATGTTTTTCTCATAGAGAAGGCAAAAGCACAAGAAGGCAAACTCATCACACGAGAGCATTTCAAGCCTTTCATAAGGGTTATGTCCTCTCACATCCCATTAGCCAAAGAAAGTTAAGCTCAACTCAACAGTCGAAGGGTAGGGAAGTACACTATGCCATCTCTCAGGGAAAAGGAAGTCACATAGCCTAGCTGAACATCAATGATGTAATAGGAGAGGGAACAAATATTTACTAAACAATAGTCTCATCTACCGTAAAGCTCAAATACTTCACAAAAGAGCCACCCTTAGAAATAGCTTTTATCTCATCTATTTTATGGGTGAGTGGGGAAGAAGGATGACAAAGCCCCTTTAAGAATTTTATATACCCTAGACACATTCACTTTTGGAGGTCTCACCAGAAAGCATTTGAAACATGCTACAAATTTGCCTGTATCCTACATTAAATGGATTTTTGGCTCTAAACATTTTTTGAGAAAATTTTAAAATTCTGCTCCTGAAATTATCTGGCAATAGGTGATTTATTTAAATTTAGATTGGATGTGATTTCTTGGTAATTGTGCATATTCAGGAGGTCTAGAAAGTGGGAAATTCTAACTATCCACATTTTTCAGATGTAATGAAATCCCTAGGAATGTTAAATTTAACAATTAGTGATATTGACAAAGCAGCACAATTTGTAGGTAATTTTTTTTTTTTTTTTAGAAGGAGTTTCACTCTTGTTGCCCAGGCTGGAGTGCAATGGCATGATCTCGGCTCACTGCCACCTCCACCTCCCAGGTTCAAGCAATTCTCCTGTCTCAGCCTCCTGAGTAGCTGGGATTACAGGTTTACAGGCATGCACCACCATACCAAGCTCATTTTCATATTTTTAGTAGAGACAGGGTTTCACCATGTTGGTCAGCCTGGTCTCGAACTCCTGACCTCAGGTGATCTGCCTGCCTCAGCCTCCCAAAGTGCTGGGATTACAGTCGTGAGCCACCATGCCCAGCGTAGGTAATTTTTAAGATATTCATTAATTTCAATTTTGTCATTTTCTCTTTTGCATTTTTAAGCCAATGTGTGTGTGTGTATGTGTGTTTGTGTGGTGTTTTTTGTTTGTTTGTTTGTTTGTTTGTTTTTGGTCTCAAACATTTCTGTAGATCTTGAAAAACGTATAGGTCCCGGGAAGACCCTATGCCTAACGGATTAAAAATGCACATGTTGCCTGGAATCAAAGCTAATTATTATTGGTTGGGAAATGGATACCCTCCCACTCCAGACTCCTCAGCACAGGAAAATAAGAGCAGCTAACTCCAACAGAACCCAATTCATTTAGGAGGCTCTCTGCCTCTGCATAAGGGTGAATGGTTTGGGATTGCTGCGCAGCAGAGCCCTTCATCTCATTCACGAAGCCATTCACACTGTATCCAGTCCATTTGTAAGGCAAATAAAAATGTCGTCTTCCAATCTTGGCTCATTTCATCTTATAAGAAAAGTCTCCCGTCCGATGCCTAGCCAACATTTCCCTGTTGTGATTAAAGAAACAGCAGGTAATAAAAGCTGGACTAGCGGTTGGTCCTCTAAGGACCAAAATATGGTTGAAGAAGCAATAACTTACCCCAGTGCCCCCAAGGCAAGTTGTCTCAATAATGTAACAAAGCTATACTTAATGGCAACAGAGCACGTTTCACTGATACTACACCATAAACTGCCCGCTTTCAATTAGTTGCATATGTATTAAAGGGAGTCAACATATATTTACAGCAATCATTTCTATGTATACAAGATGCCACAAAAATGTAGCTTTCTGCTCCTTCTGGTCATTTGGCCACATAGGAATAATCACCAACCATAGATGCAATTCTGGAAAAGTCATTAATGCTCATCTCTATGGTTGCAAGAGATTATTGGGCTTCTATTTCATGCCAAGGCACTTTACATATGTAAATAATGGTGCATGCTTTGAATGAAGTCATGTTTTTGTGACCTACAATCCCCACTGGCTGCTGCAGCACCTGGCACATATTAGCCACTCAAGAAATTCTCGTTGAGTGAATAAATGAAACATTCAATGGCTCTGAGACCCTACCTTTCAGATTATCAGCACCGTGACCCTGCTTTTGAGACCCCTACTCTCTCTCCCTTCCCTATTATCTCTTGGTGAATATTGGGGAATGGCTCACCTGAACTGCCCCACGATTTCATGCCTGTTTTCGCCATTACCTGTCACCTTACCTGGCCACAGTCATTCCTTCCAAAGCCACTATTCACATCTCTATCAGATGCTCTGCAGTTCTGGGGCTCCTGCCTCTTGGGACAAGGCTAGTACTGTCATACCAGGTGTGATGGTTAATATTGAGTGTCAACTTGATTGGATCGAAGGAGGCAAAGTATTGATCCTGGGTGCGTCTGTGAGGATGTTGCTAAAGGAGATTTACACTTGAGTCAGTGGACTGGGAGAGGCAGACCCACCCTCAATCTGGGTGGGTACCATCTAATCAGCTGCCAGCGTGGCTAGAATAAAGCAGGCAGAAGTTGGAAAGAACAGACTTACTGAGTCTTCCGGCCTTCATCTTTCTCCTGTGCTGGATGCTTCCTGCCCTGGAACATTGGACTCCAAGTTCTTCAGCTTTTGGACTCTTGGACTTACACCAGTGGTTTGCCAGGGGCTCTCAAGCCTTTGGCCACAGAATGAAGGCTGCACTGCTGGCTTCCCTACTTTTGAGGTTTTGGGACTCAGACTGGTTTCCTTGCTCCTCAGCTTGCAGATGGCCTATTGTGGGACTTCACCTTGTGACCGTGTGAGTCAGTACCCCTTAATAAACTCCCCTTTGTATATACATCTATCCTATTAGTTCTGTCCCTCCACAGAACCCTGTGTAATACACCAGGCCAGCAGAAGGGAGACATTTGCTTTCCTGGACATTTTCTGTTCATTTTACATTTGCTCAATGAAAAAAATCAGGTTGCAATACATATATAAATAGAAAACACAGAGAGACATAAATATTTTTTAAAAAGAATCAGAAACATATGCCCCAAAATGCTAATATGATTACATCTGGGTGGTTAATATTTATTTTCTGTTTCTATTCTCTTTGTGTTTCCCCAAATTTGCTTGTTGACAGCACATGTGCATTGCTTTTGGCCAATAAATGTTTGGCTTATTTAAAGAGTTATCTTGATGATAGCCAGGTGTGGTGGCTCACACTTGTAATCCCAGAACTTTGGGATGCCAAGGTGAGCAGATCACCTGAGGTCAGGAGTTCCAGACCAGCCTGGCCAACATGGTGAAACCCCATCTCTATTAAAAATACAAAAATCAGTCTATCTTAAAAAAAAAAATTAGCTAGGTGTGGTGGCACGTGCCTGTAATCCCAGCTACTCAGGAGGCTGAGACATGAGAATTGTTTGAACCTGAGTGGCGGAGGTTGCAGTGAGCCAAGATCATGCCACTGCACTCCAGCCTGAGCAACAGAGCGAGACTCTGTCTCGATTAAACACACAAACACACACACACACACACAGTTATCTTGATGGCAGTTCAGGAAATTGGGAGATGAGGGCTGTTCTCCTGAAACCCTATAAGAACCCTCAGGTGGGTTATGCCACCCGTTCACTAATATCCCATTTACGGGTGAAGGGAAAGGTGGAGGAGACCAACCAACCCACCAGCAGTGGCCTCAGTCTCAAATAAAACTTAGTCCCTGAGTTAGAAGCCAACTTAACCATGGAGAGGAAAGAGTTCATCAGATGGGACTAAACCTGCTCACTTCCTTCCAAGAACCACCCCAAGGGTTCATTTCCCAGGCACCAGGAGCCACCCAGCTCCAACATGCTGTTTTCTGTCTTCTGGTGACTTATCACTTGTTGTTTCTTCAAGAATAAGCCTTCGTTGTTCCAAGTAAACATCTCAAATGCACACATTCTTAAAGTAGTAAGTCATGTATCCACCTGTGCATCCAACAAATTATTATGTAGTGAACACCCATGAGGGACGTGCTGCTGTGTTCAATGCTGGGGACACCACAGGGGGCCACCCACGGACTTGGTTCCTGCCATCATGGAGCTCTCGGTCCAGTGGAGGAATTAGACATGAACCAAATAAAACACAGTCATGAATGTAAAACCAGAAACTAGAGTAAGTGCTCTTGAAACTGCCTTAGCAAAATTATGACTGAGACAGTGAAAGAGATTTAACTTGATCAATTCCATCTTGCTTCTAACCTCCAAGCTGTCCTTATTCATTCTTGGGTGTAGGCTGACCTAACTTTGGGAGAAACTGAGTTCATGGTTCATAGTTTGTAGTTTAAAGCAAAGATGATAACAGCCCTTTCCCAAAGCAGACCTCCTTCTTGCCTGGGGACTAGATTGCCTTTGTTAGGACTAAAATCAGCCACAAGATTAGAAACTATGGTTTAGGAGTCAGGCGGCTGGAGGTTACAAGATTCTGACCCTCCCTAAACTGTTCCTAAGATCAGTGCTTGAGATAATTTGCAGACCCTGCACGTGACGGGTCAGGTGGCACCACCCAGATCGATCAACTGGCTCATCTGATCTTGTGGCCCCAACCCAGGAACTGACTCAGCGCAAGAGGACAGCTTCGACTCCCTATGATTTCTTCCCTGACCAATCTGCACTCCTGGCTCACTGGCTTCAACTAACCACCCCTACCAGGCTGTTCTTAAAAACTCTGCTCCCCAAATGCTTGTGGAGACTGATTTGAGTGATAATCAAACTCCAGTCTCCCACAATGCCCCTCTGCATGAATTACTCTCTCTGTATTCCAATCCCCCTGTCTTGATAAATCAGCTCTGTCTAGGCAGCGGGCAAGGTGGACCCAATGGGCGGTTACACTCTGTCGAGAAGGAACACAGGGAGCTGCGGAAGGCTTCCAGAGGAAGTGCCTGGGCTTTGAAGAATGAGCAGGCATTAAGTGGGCAAAAGAGCATGTGCGAGGGTACTGTGTAATGTGTCACCACCCAGGGAGAGAGGAGAAGTGGACTATGAGGCTGGGGACATAAACACGGTCCTGGCCATGGAGGGCCTTGTAAACCCCATGAAGGATGTTTGCTCTTTATCCTAGTATCAACATGAAGTGATTAGAAGGTAGCAAGCCCTTGATTAACCAACAATTCTAGATCCTTCTCCAAACTTCTCTTTTAGGGAAAGGAAACCTAGAAGTCAAAATATAAGGTGGTGGGATTTCAGTTGAAAAGGTGCCCAGGGTCGGCCTCGGGTCAGTCTATCTTTGGGTCTATCACAAACACTATATTAATTGCCCCTATTAATCTTTCATCATGTGCCAGGCATTGTGATGATGTATACTTTATATCCATTGGCACATGTAAGCCTCACCACAAGATTTAGGGCCTATCATTATGCCCATTTCACAGATGAGGAAACTGAGGTTCAGGGGGGCTTGTAACATGTCCCAAATGGTGTAGCTAGTAAGTGGCAATGCCGAGGCTCAAATCCCTCCAAAGATTCTCTCTCCAAAGGTCATTTTCCTTTCCCTAAGCCATGCTGGTGCATCTGGGGTCCTGGAAACTAGGAGATGATTTTCAGAATTATAAGACTTAGGTCGTGCAAGCTTCTTAATCATCAAAGAAAGTCTGGAAAGAGAAGAAGATGTTTGCAGGAAGCTGCCACAGAAGAGAACATTTTAGACAGAGGAACAGCATGAAGAACCGAACACACGTGGCATCCCCTAGGGGCCATGAATATAGCAGGGAGGCAACCACAGAGTTGGGAAGATCCAGAGAGAGGCGGGACAGATACAGTGGGTCCTGAAAGTATGTTAAATAGAGTCACAGTGACACGGCAACCAGGAGTGGCAAGGGAGCCACAGACACACATGATTAGACACAACAATCATGTTTTCAAGGCACAGCCCACTTAGAGATCACAGCAAGATGCTTTATCCAACCTCCACCGGCAATCAGAGCTTGAAAAAGGAGCATTGTCGTCAATCAACTTCCCTTTGGGCAAAAGACACAGGCAAAGGAGAAGATACTTCACCCACCTTTTAATAAATGTGTCTTGAGGAGAGAGTTGGCCCACATAGTACAGTCTCCAAGATCTAAGACTCCACATGGGTAGTGGCAGGGGAGACAATGGGACCAACAGGACATTGGCTGGAATCACAAGTCACACCTTCAGTAAACCAGAGGAGTCATTTCTCTCTCCCTTATTGACTCTGGGCCCTGGAGAAATGCCACAGAAATTCATGAGAAGAGGAGTTGAAGGTAGATGGCACCTGGACATTATTTCTGCCAGCCCATTTGAGTTCATCTGGTAAACATTTTGCATTTGGAAGTTGACATCGTTTAATAATAACTGTCAATGTCAATGATCAATGCCATCATAATGGCACAAATACCCTTGTGGGCTTGGGGTTGGGAGGGGTATGGTGGGGACTGACTTCTTTGTCTCCTGTCCTTTCAATGGTTATAAATAATGATGATAATAATTTCTATTTGTGTAGCTTTGTGATTGCAGAGAGCTTTAGGCTTCCTGAGAGCTTTCACCTATATTACCTCAGCTGATCCCTCTACAATGTGCAGTATCTATTTTGGTCCCCTCTGGGAACCTGAGGCTTGACAAGGTCAGGAAAGGCCACACCATGGCCTGTTCCTGAAACAGGAACCACAAATGAAAATCCTTGTAGAGAGTCCAGGCAGATAACATAAGTGAAGAAAGGGAGGAATGAGAAGCAGTAGGGAATGGTGGGGTCTGTGGTGAATTGGAGTGCATGCCCCATTGAAAGACGGAGGTAGCTGCCTATCTTGTATCCACCAACTGTCTCCACGTGGGAACATGGGCCCAATGCTGTCAGAGCTTCTAATAAATTAAGAGAAGCTAAAAGCCAGATGCTATGTCAGTCTCCCAGTTTTTAAATGATCGCAACTGGGAGTCTTGCAACTCTGTCTCCCAGGCTGTAAGGCAGTGGCACAATCCTAGCTCACTGCAGCCTCGAACCCCTAGGCTCCAAAGATCCTCCTGCCTCAGACTACCGATTAGCTCAAACTACAGGCATCTGTCACCATGCGTGGCTAGTTTTCACAATGTTTGTAGAAATGGGGCCATCTCACTATGTTGCCCAGGCTGGTCTCAAACTCCTGGGCTCAAGCATTCCTCCCTGCTCAGCTTCCCAATTAGCTAGAACTACAGGTGTGCACCACCACACCTGGCTACAAACTCTCCTTGTCACCCCCTGTTGACAGGTCTCTTTCCTTCACAGGCTGAGACAACTCCAATTCAACTCTGAATCCCCAATACAGGACCTGCCCAGGGAACAGGGCTCAGACATTTATGCTGGGAAATACTCAGCTTTTGGGGCTCAGCGTCCTTTTCTGCAAAAAGAGTTCCCCTCCCAAGAGGAAATCCCCTAAGCCTAAGGACAGGAGGTGATGGAAAGATGGATGGACGGGCAGATAGATGGATGGAAAAAAAATGGACAGTTGGAAACAGACAAGCTTGGTGGATGAGCAGAAATAAGCCTCATTCTCGCCTGACAACGGGACAGCCTGGGGGAGGGGCGGGACACACCAAGGCTCCCAGTTGAACCCCAGCAATTGGACAAGAGAGTTTATAAACCAGCATCGGGGTTTTAGGAGCATTGTAAGCTGCAGAGTGCATGGGGTCTTCAGTGGGAAGCATCTCCTTCCCCATCCCTGTTCTCTGTCCTGGGGTTGCCCATCAAGCTAATCACATGTCCACCCCTGGGGTCCCTCTGGCCTCTGCCACTCTTCACCAAAGTACAGTTAAACTCCAGGGGCAAATGATGTGTTGGGGGTGTGCCAGACAGGGATTGTGTCTCAGCAGAGAGGGCACAGCACTCACAAAATAGCTTCAATAGTTCCAGGGTCAGTAGATGTGCGCGAAGAGGAACCCCACATCGCAAGTGGCCTAAGCCTGGGGTAGGGTGAGCACTGCTCACTCCTGCCCAGAGGAGTAGCTGAGGGGCCTAAGCTCTAGCTCTGAGCCCACCAGCCATTCCATCCACCACCCACCTGAAACTGTTCTGTTGACCCACAGCAACTGGTCCTGGTGCCAGGCACAGAACGGATGCTCAAAAGATACGGTTGATCCTGTCTGGGTGCAGTGGCTCACGCCTGTAAACCCAGCACTTTGCGAGGCTGGGATGGGAGGATTGCTGGAGGCCAGGAGTTCAAGACCAGCCTGGGCAACATAGTGAGATCCCCATCTCTATAAAAATAAAAATTAGCTGAGCATGATGGTGTGCGCCTGTAGCTCCAGCTACTCGGGAGACTGAGGTGGAAGGATAGTCTGAGCCAGGAGTTCGAGGCTGCAGTGAGCTACGATCATGACACTACACTCCAGCCTGGGAGACGCAGCAAGACCCTATTTAAAAAAAAAAAATGGTATGGTTAATCTGCCTTTACTGATTACAAATCAATAAATTTGTATTATCGTAATAAATCTGTCTTTATTGATTACAAGGCACTTTCTCATCCCCCATCACCTAAGACAACTGCATAAAGACCGCATGAGCTATAAAGACCATTTCCTTGCCCCAGGTCACACGGAGGAAAAGAGACAGAGCCAGGATTTAAACCCCTGCCCCTGGCTTTCATTCCTTTGCTGTGTCCCTGCAGACCCGAGGCCCACCTGGGTGAAGAACAGGTGGGTGGACATTGGCAGTGTTCACCAGGGGAAGCATGCCAGGTGCAAGGAAACATGTGAGCACCTGTCCGTGCCCAATGGGTCTCTGTTTGTCTCCCTGCATCTTCACCCAAACCAGCTTCTCACACCCCCACGGCCACCACCACCACTCCAGGCCTCTACCTGGGCCCTTTAATGCCCCTTCCCCATTCCTCAAGAGCCCACTGGGGTCCCTTCCCTGATGGCCTGCTGGCCTCCTGCCTCCCTCCCTGACCTCAGCCTCCTCGGATTTTCAACAGCCTGGGGTTGCAGGCTGAGCTCAGCATCTGGCAGGGGCCTGGAAGAAATGACCTCTAGAGGGCCCACACTCTCTGGGTGTCATATTTTGGGGCTATTATCACAAAATACCTTAGACTGGGTAATTTATAAATGACAGAAGTGTGTTGCTCACAGTTCTGGAGGCTGGGATGTCCCAGATCAAGGCACCTGCAGATTCAGTGCCTGGTGAGGAGGGCTCACTCTGCATCATAGGTGGTACCTTGTTGCCGTGTCCTTATATGGCAAAAGAGGCAAAGGCGCTTGCTCAAGCCCCTTTTATAAAAGGGGGCACTAATCCCATTCATGAAGGTGGATTCCTCATGAATTAGTCACTTCCTAAGGGGCCCCTCTTACTACTATCACATTGGGTATTAAGTTCCAACATATGAATTCAAGGGGAACAATGACATTCAGACCATAGCACCAGACGTCTATCTGGGGAAGCCCCCAAATATTTGTCTTTTTTTTTTTTTTTTTTTTTTTGGAGGCAAGTTCTGCCTCTGTCATTCAGGCTGGAGTGCAATGGCACAATCACAGCTCACTGCAGCTTTGAACTCCTGGGCTCAAGTGATCCTCCTATCTCAGCCTCCCCAGTAGCTAGGACCACAGATGTGCACTACCACATCCGACTATTTTTTTATTTTAGTTTTTTTGTAGAGACAGAGTCTCACCATGTTGCCCAGGCTGATCTCGAACTCCTGACCCCAAGCAATCCTCCCACCACCTCAGCCTCCCAAAGTGCTGGGATCACGAGTGTGAGCCATCATGCCCAGCCAGCCCCCTCATATTTGATCCAGGCATTAAGCCTCCTGGCAAGACCAGCAGCTCCCTGCACCTGAGGCAGGGCTGAGTTTCAGAAGCTGCTTTTCATTCTCAGACTATGCTGAGCCTGGTACTGTGCACACAGCACATCTGAACTTTGTTCAACATATCCCTGCACCAACCTGGCAGGACGGCCTCAGGCCAGGGAGGAACCGGGGAGATGATGTGGGATGAGAAGAGAGATCAGACAGAGGCTGTCTAGACACAGTTTCCTGGCAAAGTCACCAAGAGCCCTGCGAGCAGCTGTCCACACCTCCTGGCACTCTCTGTATCTGTCCCGTCCCTGCCAGCTCCCCACCCGCCCAGTGCTTCACCAGCTCACCCCTCAGACACTGTCCAGGTGGGAACCATTCCCCTCAACTCCCTCCAGAACAACCAGATGGCACCTGCCAGCAGCCCTGGGAGCCAGAATCCCACCCACCTGACCCAAGGGCTCTATCTGATCTCAGCCTAACCCATGAATCAGGCCCTTTGGAGAGCCAAAGGAAAATTGGGCTTCCCTGCCAGCTGACTATGTGACAGTTCAGATGTCCCAGAGCACAGGAAAGAGGCAGAGACAGGGTCGTGAGGAGCCCTTGCTTCTCCTTCAACATCTCCCATAAACAGCTGGAGAGGGGCTCTCACAGGGTCCATGGGAAGAGACCAAGGAGGGGCATGGAGGAGAGGGGAGGGCTGAGAAGACCAGGGTGAAATGGATGAGGAGAAGGAAGCAGATGGCAGGGACCCTCCCATCTCCCACATGGGCCCCCTTAGGTGCTACTGGCCTTGTGCAAATTTGCACACTCACATTCACACATTTCTGTCTGCATCTCTCCAATCTTTCAGATACCTAGCACACACCCCAGCCTCTAGAATCAGGTAGTCAGTCTAGCAGAGTCTTTAGCATTTGACTTCTGGGTTTAAATCCTGGCTTTAGCACTTCCTAGCTTCACGGCCCTGTTTAGGCAGTTTATATGCCTCCCTGAGCTTCCCAAATTTTGGGGAGGAATAAATGGCATAGCAGATGGGGAACATCTAGCACTGTCCTGCTATATCATAGACTGTGAAAGATCACTGTTTTTGTACTATTGGCCTTGCTTTGTAGTAATTATCATTAACTTTTTTTTGAGATAAGGTCTCACTCTGTCTCCCAGCCTAGTGTGATCATAGTTCACTGCCACCTCGATCTCCTGGGCTTAAGTGATCCTCCCACCTCAGCCTCCCAAGTAGCTGGGACTACAGGCACACACCACCACACTTGGCTAATCTCTCTCCTTTTTTTTTTTTTTTTTTTTTTTAGAGACCGGGTCTCATTATGTTGCCCAGGCTGGCCTCCCAAAGTGCTAGGATTACAGGTGTGAGCCACTGCACACGGCCTACTTTGTAATAATAACAAACAATACAGCCGCTACTTTTTGGTAGTTTCAAACCATGATCCCAGAATTTTTTGATTCATCAAAAGGTAGAACCTATGTCATCTACCGTTGAATCCAGACTGTGCGATTGCTTGACCAATAGAATATAGAAGAAACGTTATGCGACATCCAAGGCTACATCATAAAATGTGACAGAGCTTCCACTGGGTTCTCCTTGTCTTAGAGCCCAGCCACCATACGATGAGGAAGCCCAAGTAGCTGAAGAGAGGAGAGGCCCAAACAAAGGAACCAAGTCCCCTGGACCACAGCCTAGCTGAGCTCCCAGCCAACCAGAAAGCGCCAACTTAGCAACCGCTAGAGGAGCCATCTCAGAAATGAATTCTGCAGCCCCCTGGTGAGCTCCAGCTGATGCCACGTGGAGCAGGAACGAACTGTCCCCTCAACATCCTGCCCAAATTGTGGATGTGTGAGCAAAATAAATGACTGTCATGTTTTAAGCTACTACATGTTGGGTGGTTTGTTGCACAGCCATAGACAACTGGATGACAAACACATATCTGACGCTTTATCCGTCATTGCCATGCTAAGCTGCAGATATTTTTGTAATCTACACGTTTAGACCTTTTCCAGCTTTTAGAGCTCACACTTCCCTTCAGTACACCTGCAAGCTCCCTGAATTCATTTTCATGTAATCCTCCACTTTTTTCCTTCAGCCGGTTCATGTTAGGTTTCTCTCATAGCCCCTAAACACAGTGCTCAAATACCAATAACCTGGATCCCATCTTGCAGCTCTGCAGGAAGCTGTTTTTGCACAAGGTTCTTCCACATTTCTGGGAACCCAGGAGATGTCTACTTCAGCTACAATCTCTCCTGCTCGTCCCCTGTCCCCTCGGGAGGGTCTGGCTCAGAACAGATTTCACTGTGGGACCCAAGCCAACCTGTTAGCCACTCCTACCCCAGGACGGTTGAAACAGTCTTTCAGTAACAAGACTTACTTTTGAAGGATGGAATTACAATATGGAAAAAATACAACTTCACAAGGTACACGTTCAGTTCATAGCAGCAGCCAAGACTTTGAAGGAAGAGTTCAAGTCGCCACAAAAACATAGCAGAGGGAATAGTACGGATTTTAGAGCCAGATAGTACTGGAGACTTGGAGACTGCAGGGCTGGGAGGGTCACAGACAGTCCTGAGTTCAAATCTCCACTCCACCACTCATTGCCCACGTGACCTTGAGCAAGTTATTTAACCTCTCTGAGCCTCCATTTCCTCAAAGGCAAATTGGGGATAATAAACGCAGTGTTTGTGAGGATAGATAGGATGCATATTCTGCTCGTGGTTGTGCCAACCAAGGACACATTCAGAGTAAATTCAAGACTCTTCTTGAAGAGTCACGAGCACAGTGGCCCATGGCAGTAATCCCAGCACTTTGGGAGGGTGAGGCGGGTGGATCACTTGAGGTCAGGAGCTCAAGACCAGCCTGGACAACATGTTGAAACCTTGTCTCTACTAAAAATACAATAAATTAGCAGGGCGTAGGCATGCCTGTAGTCCCAGCTACTCAGAAGTTTGAGGCAGGACAATCCCTTGAACCTGAGAGATGGAGGTTGCAGCCGCTGCAGTCCAGCCAGCCTGGATGACAGAGAGAGACTGTCTCAAAATACAAATAAAATAAAATAAAAAAAGAATGAGACTCTTCTTACTGCAAAAACTGACCTCTGCGGGGTGGAAACAAACAAACAAATGAGCAAAAACCATTGTTCTTGCCTAGCTGTTAAAGAATATTGCGTTTTCTCATAACTTGACACGATACAGAAACATACAATGAAGAATCTGGTGGGTATTGAACTGTCAATTGCAAAATAATTATTCATCACTGCAGGTCCAGCCTGTTCTCCGGGAAGGACTGTTTGAATGTCCTGGGCCTCCAAGCCAAGCTCCCAGAGCCCAGACCATCTCTTTGGCTAATGCTGGCTCTATCTCCTGAAGAAAATAGTTTGATGCAAGGAAGAACTTTCATTATCTTTTGCCCTGGAGCACCAGTAACTGTCTACAAAGAGCAGAGCAAGGGAAGAAGGGCAGTGAGAAATTAATCTTTGAGTTTCCTCCTTGGTGATTCATCCATTTAGAAATGGGTAGATTCAGAGAAGTGTTTCTTCATCCGGTCCCTCTGTTCCCATGATCTCAAAAATGAAAAGGCAGCCAACCCTGATCACCACCCATCAGTCAGCCTCTTTTCACAAGTGGGAGGCATGGGCTGTGCTGGACCAAGTGCAAATGCAAGACATGTCTCTAACAGGCCTTCTGGAACCAGGGGAAGCTGGTGGCTTGGATGCACCCACTGTGAGGTAGAGTGTTATACTGCAGCCCCCATAACCCTGCACTTCTCCAAGTCTATGATTATTTGACTCTGGAATCTGGTGTAGCACATCTGCTCAGTTGCTCAGTCATTACTTACTGAGCACTTACAATGTGCCAGGACAGGCAGGGTATAAAGGATTGAGAATTGAACAAGGTAGTCAAGGTAGTATGATCCCTGCCCTCAAAGAGCTTGTTTTAGTATATAGGGTTTCTCAACTTTGGCACCATTGTGGGCTGAATAATTCTTTGTTGTGGGGCTGTCCTATGTACTATAATTTTTTTTTTTTTTGAGACAGAGTCTCGCTCTGTCGCCCAGGCTGGAGTGCAGTGGCGCTATCTCAGCTCACTGCAACCTCTGTCTCCTGGGTTCAAGTGATTCTCCTGCCTCAGCCTCCCGGGTAGCTGAGATTACAGGCACCAACCACCACGCCTGGCTAATTTTTGTATTTTTAGTAGAAACGCGGTTTCACCGTGTTGGCCAGGGTCGTCTCGAACTCCTGACCTCAGGTGATCCACCCACCTCGGCCTCCCAAAATATTGGGATTATGGGCATGAGCCACCACGCCCGGCCCACTATAAAAACTTTAGCAGCATCCATGGCCTCTATCCACTAGATTCCAATATCACACCCTTTCTCCCAATTATGACAACCAAAAATGTCTCCAAGCATTTTCAAATTTCACCCGAGGGTCAAAATTCACCGCACCCCACTCCTACCATTCACGATTGAGAACCTCTATTCCAATGAAAGAAGCAGGCAGCTTAGTGGAAAGAGTGTGAGCTTCGGAGCCAGGTGGGCCTGGGTTCTCCCTTCCACTTTATTAGCTGCGTGATCTTTGGGGAATCACTTCTCTCTCTTACGCATACGTAGATTATTTGAAAATTATGGGTAGCAATCATATTTTTACAAGGTTGTTGGGTGAGCTAAAGATCAAATGTGTAAAGAACTGTGGCAGGCTGGGCACGGTGGCTCACACGTGTAATCCCAGCACTTTAGGAGGCCAAGGCGGGTGGATCACCTGAGGTCAGGAGTTCGAGACCAGCCTGGCCAACATGGTGAAATCCTGTCTCTACTAAAAATACAAAAATCAGCCAGGTGTGGTGCCACACGCCTGTAATCCCAGCTACCCGGGAGGCTGAGGCAGGAGAATCGCTTGAACTCAGGAGGCAGAGGTTGCAGTGAGCTGAGATCACGCCACTGCACTCCAGCCTGGGTGACAGAGCGAGACACCATCTCAAAAAAACAAACAAAAAACAGGGGCAGACACTGTCAACACCAAAAGTCATCCTCTTGTCTTAATTCTTCTTGCTAACAGAACCCCAGTTCTTTCAAGGGTCCCTATCTCAGAAGTTGGGCTCAGTCCCTAGAGGGGGTGGGCATGCAAACCAGGTCTAGTTAATGAGCTATTTGAGGGAGGGGGCCCTCTGGGGGTAGAAGGTTAATAAAAAGTTTGGTTATTTTATTTTTATGCTTTTATTTTTTTAGAGACAGGACCTTGCTCTGTTGCCCAGGCTAGAGTACAGTGCCACAATCATAGCTCACTGCAGCCTCGAACTCCTGGGCTAAAGGAAGGTGGGGACTAGAAGATGGATA
The DNA here is from genome assembly GCF_000001405.40 of Homo sapiens. Classification (NCBI taxonomy): domain Eukaryota; kingdom Metazoa; phylum Chordata; class Mammalia; order Primates; family Hominidae; genus Homo; species Homo sapiens. The sequence goes on along the minus strand of NT_187607.1, from coordinate 2,073,260 downwards.
AGCACTCCACACTTGTTAGCTATCTATTATTGCTGTTAGCACTGTCATTATCAGTATTTTTTTTTTTTTGACGGAGTCTCGCTCTGTCACTCAGGCTGGAGTACAGTGGTGCACTCTCGGCTCACTGCAACCTCCGCCTCCCAGGTTCAAGCAATTCTCCTGCCTCAGCATCCCAAGTAGCTGGGAGTACAGGCGCCTGCCACCACGCCCGGCTAATTTTTGTATTTTTAGTAGAGACAGGGTTTCACCATATTGGCCAGGCTGGTCTCAAACTCCTGACCTTGTGATCCGCCCGCCTCGGCCTCCCAAAGCGCTGGGATTACAGGCGTGAGCCACCACGCCCAGCCCTTTTTGTTTTTTTTTTTTTTTTGAAACAGGGTCTCGCTCTGTCACCCAGGCTGGAGTGCAATGGTGCAATCTTGGCTCACTGCAACCTCCACCTCCCAGGTTCAAGCAATTCTCCTGCCTCAGCCTCTCGAGTAGCTGGGAGTACAGGCACGTGTCACCACGCCCAGCTAATTTTTGCATTTTTAGTAGAGATGGGGTTTCACCATGTTGGCCAGGCTGGTCTTGAACTCCTGACTTCAGGTGATCCACCCACTTTGGCCTCCCAAAGTGCTGGGATTAGAGACATGAGCCACCGCGCCTGGCCCAAATTTCATTTTTTTTTTTTAGACAGAGACAGTGTCTTGCTCTGTCACCCAGGCTGCAATCAGTGGCGTGATCATAGCTCACTGCAGCCTCAAACTCCTGGGCTCAAGAGATCCTCCTGCCTCAGCCTCCTGAGTAGCTGGGACTACAGGTACATGCCACCACGTCCGACTATTATTTTTATTTTTTGTAAAGATGGGGTCTCATTATGTTGCCCAGGCTGGCCTCAAATTCCTGGGCTCAAGCCATCCTCCCACCTCAGCCTCCCAAAGTGCTGGGATTACAGATGTGAGCCACCACACCCAGCCCAAATTCCAATTTTCTAAAGAATCTGGGGCTCTCTGTGTTTTAAGACTATTAGACTCTCCCCAGTTTCAGGGGATGAATCTTGAGCAGTCTGATGGAGGGCTGGCAAACCATTGCCTAAACCCGGCCCACCACCTGCTTTTGTACGGCTCAGGAGCTGGAAATGGCTTTTACATTTTTAAGTAGTTAGAAAAGATCAAAAGTGTAATAATATCTCCTAACACATAAAAATTAGGTGAAATTCAAATCTCAGTCTCCATAAATAAACCCATTCACTTATTTATTATCATCTATAGCTGCTTTCACACTGCAACAGCAGAACAGAGTGGTTGCTACAGAAACTGTGTGGCCACAAGCCTGAAATATTTATTCTCTGGCTCTTCAGAGGAAAAGATCTTAGGAAACCAGAGGTTCTCAAACTCAGTGTCCATCAGAAACCCCCGGAGGGCACGTTTAAACATAGACTATGGGCCGGGCGCAGTGGCTCACGCCTGTAATTCTAACACTTTGGGAGGCTGAGAGTTTGAGACCAGAGCATTGTTTAAGCCAAGAGTTTGAGACCAGACTGGACAACATAGCAAGACCCTGTCTCTACAAAAAATAAAAAAATTAGCTGGGTGTGGGGGTGCACACCTCTAGTCCTGGCTACATGGGAGGCTGAGGCAGGAGGATCGCTCGAGCCCAGGAGTTGGAGGCTGCAATGCGCTATGATAGTGTCACTGTACTCCTGCCTGGGCAACAGAGACCCCGATTCTAGTAAATAAATAAATAAAAACATAGATCCCACCCCCAGAGTTTCTGATTTAGTAGGTCTGAACTGGGGTCTGAGAATTTGCAGTTCTTAAAATTGCCTAGACATGGCAGATGCTGCTGGCCTGGGGATCTCACTTTAAGAAGCACTGGTCTAAGGCAACCTTGGGAATTCCATTCCCTTGCCAGCAACTGGCTTAGAAAAGGGCACGTGATACATTTCTGACCAATGCGATGAAGGAGAAGTCAGCTGGCAGCTTCTGAGAAAATGAGAAAATGATCATAAAAAGGGACAGATGGGCTGGGCGTGGTGGCTCACATCTGTAACCCTAGTGCTTTGGGAGGTTGAGGCAAGAGGATCACTTGAGGCCCAGAGTTCGAGACCAGCCTGGGCAACAGAGGGAGACCTCATCTCTAGAAAAAACTCTGAAGTTAGCTGGGTATGGTAGCATGCACCTATAGTCCCAGCTACTCAGGAAACTGAAGGAGGATCACTTGAGCCTAGAAGTTCAAGGCTGCAGCGAGCTATGATTGCACCACTACACTCCAGTCTGGGTGACAGAGCGAGACCCTGTCTCAAAAACAAGCGGGGAACAAGTGGAAGAAGGCTCTCTTCTCTCTTGTCCATATTATCTTGAGACCATGATGGGGTGTGGCTGAGGGCAAGAGCCAGCTGCTAAGAATGGAATAGTGGAAAAGTGGAAGGAAACAAGGCCCACCATTCCACAATGGAGCCACTGAATCAATTAACCACATGGCCCCCTGCAGAGAAACAATAACTTCCATTAGCATCTACACCACTTCCAGTTGGGTTCTCAGTGATTTGAAGCCAAACACAACCTACCTGGCAACCCTACAACTTCACCCCTCACCACTGTTTGGACACTACCAAACTTAGGCCATGATGATTAAGGCCAGGCATGAGCTCCACCCTCCCTGCCACCCTATGAGGAATAAAGCAGATATGGGGAAGGTGAAAGGGCATGATTTAGGGATCCATAAAGCCCCAGATTGGAGCCTTAGTTCTACAACTCAATAATGGTGGGCTAGAGCTCTATGCACCCCATACTCTAGGATGGGGACTCATACCTGCATGGTTGACTAGTGCAGTCATGTCTGTGCATCTGAGCAGTTATTTTCTTCTCTGGACCATTATTAACCATTAGAGCTAGCATTTGTCCCCAGGTCCCGGGCACTGTGCAAGTCTTCACCTACATTATCCTACTACCTCATAAGATAGTTTGGATGTGTGTCCCCTCCAAACCTCATGTTGAAATGTGATCCCCAATGTTGGAGGCGGGGCTTGGCGAGAGGTATTTGGGTGGTGGGAGCAGATCCCTCATGAATAGCTTGGTGCCCTCCCTGAGTAATGAGTGAGTTCTCACTCTTTTAGTTCACGGCGAGGTCTGATTGTTAAAAAAGTGTTTGGCACCCTTCCTGTCTCTCTCTCACCCCTCTTCTCACCATGTGACACACCTGCTCCCCTTTCATCCTCCACAGTGAAGAAAAGCTTCCTGAGGTCTCACCAGAAGCAGATGCTGGCATCATGCTTCTTGTACAGTCTGCAGAACGTGAGCTAAACAAACCTCTTTTCTTATAAATTACTCACCCTCAAGTATTCCTTTATGGCAACGCAAAACAGGCTAAGACACCTCAATGGACTAATACATAACAGCCCCATAAGGTGAGTGCCACCATCTCCCCCACCTTACAGATCAGGAAACAGGGGCTCTGAAAAACTGTGGCTCACTCAAGGTCATACCGCTTGTTAAGTGCAGAGATAGGATTCCAACTCAGAGGCATCTGGCTCAAGAACCCATGTGTCTGTGTTTCAGGTTGCAATGCTGAGGTTAAACAAGAGGATGTGTGCTAGGAGCCCCAGCACACCACAGGGGCTGGGAAACGTTATTGCATCGAGTTTGAGTCCAACACACGGTCTCATTCCTCCACCCACCACTCAGCCTAGAAAAAGGGTCGGAAGGTTGACTCCACTTTCAGAAGCTTGCCAGCTCCAGCCAGTCAGCCAGAGTGAAGCTGACAAGAGCAATGAGGGAAATACGGAAAGATAAATCCAGATGTGGACAATGAGACCGTGTCCCCTGAGAACTGTGGTGGCAGCGGGACTCAAAGGTCCAGGCCTGCTCGGTGTGGCTGCGGCTCAGGTTCCTGGGCCACAGGGCTGCCTTACCTGCCAGTTTCCATGCCTGGCTGACTCCCCCCACCGCCCCTCTGGCTTCCACACCAGCCCACTGATGCCACCCCAGAGAACTCGGCTGTTTGCCTTGCTCCTCTAGAGGGCAGGTGGATGCGGTGAAACGGGCAGCGATTCCAGAGCCATCACAACTCCTGGCTGAAACCAAACATGACAGATTTACCATTGGGCAGGCTGCTCCATTTATTATTTAACGCTCGCAATAAATATTTGCATGACCCAGTGCTGGAGGGAACGCTCTGTGATAACTCACTGCATTTTCCTGCCAAACACCAGCACAGTCGGATTCCGAAGCTGCAGCAGAGAATATTTTATGCTATTCTAAAAATCCAGGTGATGGCCCCTTGTTAGAAAACCTTTTCTCATCCATTTCCATAGAGGAAAAAAGGAGCAGGGAGACCTTAGCTCCGAGAAGCAACTAGAGGAGGAAGAAGAGGAGGAGGAAGATGCTGACAGGTGACATTTACTTAGCACCTACTGAGTGCCAGGCCCTAAGCTAAGGACTTCACACTCATTCATTCAACACCTCTCTCTAGAGGGTAGGGTTGCCAGACTTAACAAGTAAAAATATATGACACCCAATTCAATTTTAAATCCAGTGAAATAAGGAATGATTTTTTAAATACAAGTTATGTATCTGATGTAATACTGGAAAATTATTCAATGTTTATCTAAGGTTCAAATTTGGGTGCAATGGCACGCCCTTATATTCCCAGCTACTTGGAAGGCTGAGGCAGGGAAATCACTTGAACCCGGGAGGCAGAAATTGCAGTGAGCCAAGATCATGCCACTGCACTACAGCCTGGGCGACAGAGCGAGACTCTGTCTCAAAAAAAAAAAAAAAAAAATAGAACAAACTGGGCTACAAAGTTTTGCCAGGCATGGTGGCTCACGCCTGTCACCCCAGCACTTTGGGAGGCCAAGGTGGGCAGATCACCTGAGATCAGGAGTTCGAGACCAACCTGGCCAACAGGGCAAAAACCCATCTCTACTAAAAATACAAACATTAGCCAGGCCTGGTGGTGCACGTCTGTAATTCCAGCTACTCGGGAGGCTGAGGCATCAGCATCACTTGAACCTGGGAGGCAGAGGTTGCAGTGAGCCAAGATCATGCCACTGCACTCCAGCCTGGGGGATAGAGTGAGACTCTGTCTCAAAAAAAAAAAAAAAAAAAAAAATGTAACTGGGCATCCTGTTTGTATCTGGTAACACTCCTTAAGGTTGGACTAACTATGCGAAGACACTGAATTTAAAAGGCTTTTCTTTTCATTTATTTTTTAAGAGACGTATCTGTGTAACTCAGGCTGCAGTGCAATGGCTATTCACAGGGATGATCAGGGCTCACTGTAGCCTCAAACTCCCAGGCTTAAGAGATGGTCCCACCTCAGCCTCCCAAGCAGCCGGGACTACAAGTACATGACACTGCGTCTGGTGTTCAGTGGTGCAATCACGGCTCACTGCAGCCTTGAACTCCTGGGCTCAAGCAATCCTCTTGCCTCAGCCACCAGAGTAGCTAGAACTATGGGTATACAGCACCACGCCTCGCTATTTTTTTTTTTTTTTTTTTTTTTTTTGTAGAGATGGGGTCTCAATGTGTTGCCCAGGCTGATCTCAAACTCCCGGTCTCAAGTGATCCTCCTACCTCAGTCTCCCAAAGCACTGGAATTACAGGCATGAGCCACCACGTCCAGCCTCTTTTTTTTCTTTAAGGAGGCTTATTTTTTAGTGTGGGTTAGGGAAGAGCCATGTGTGAAGTTGACTCTGGAGCAGAGATGTCAAAGATGAGAAAGAGCTACCCATAACAAAAAAACGGGGAACAGGATTCCTGGCAAAGACCCCACAAAGACCCTGGGGCTGGAAACCATGTGGGGCATTGGAGGAGTCAAGGGAGGTGACACTTTTGGAGCTGAGTAATGGAGAGGAAAGTGACAGGAGCAGACTGCACAGGGCCTTGGTCACAATGAAGGATTTGGATGCTATTCTAAGTTAAAGGGAAGGCATGGGAAAGCTTTTCAGCTGGAAGTGGCCAAACTGGGGACCGACTCTGGCTGTACGGATTTCTGAGCCTGGAGATGGCACAAAGGACCTGACATTGGCAGGAAAAGAAAAGAGGAGGAACAAGAACACGAGGAATTGCCTTAAAAGGGAGCTGGTCAGGTCTCGCCAGAAAAGTTCACGCAATAACAAACCAGTCGCCCACAACAGACATCTCCACATTTTCCCAGAGCTGTCCCCCAGCCAGGCGGCCGGAGTGAGGGGATGCCGACGGTGACAATGCTATCAATTTCCATTTTGCTTTTGCCAAATATGGAAAAGGACACTTCAAAGACTTTTAAAAATAACTTCCAAACAACTCAAGGGTGAAAAAAAAGAAAGAGGTAAAAAATTACCGTCTGCCTGCTTGAGAATAGCGATAATGAAAATAAGTGATAGAAATAAGAACAGCTGCTTTTGCACACGTTATGTCATCTGCTCCTTAGCACTCTATGAAGCAGGCAGAACAGGTCATGGTATCCCCATTTCATAGATAAGGAAACTGAGACCCAGAAACATAGGATACAACAGAGAGGAAATGATCAGGTGGGTGAGAAGCTATGTTTGTCTGGCCCCAAAGCCTGGGTTCCCCAAAGCCCTCTGCAGGCTGATATGAGCCTAACCCCAGCCCGGCTCCTGGCTCTCAGCCATCTCATCCTCCCAGCCCAGCTATGGGGAGCAAGATACCTCCTACCATGTCCCTTGCAGCCTTCCTCCCTCGCCTGCAGGGGCTTCCTGCCTGGAAAGCCTGTTCCTTTGCCCTTCTTCTCCAGAGGATTCACGTACCTCAGCACATGTTCGACGACAAAGTCACAGCACTGCAGGGACACCTCCCCTGGAGAGGAACACGATGGTAGAGTGGAAGGGGCACAGCTTTGCCATTAGAATGCCTGAGTTCAAATCCCAGCTCAATCACCAACTGGTTGGGTATCCTTAAGCTCTTCCAAGGAGTGGGGGATAATCCAATCCATCCCCACAGGATCCTGGTGGGGATTAAATGAGATGCTGTATGTAAAACATCAACACAGGGCCAGGTGCCATGGCTCACACCTGTAACACCAGCACATTGGGAGGTGGAGGCAGGAGAATCGCTTGAAGCCAGGAGTTTGAGACTAACCTGGGCAACACAGCCAGACCCCTATCTATACAATAAAATGTCTTTTTAATTAGCTGGGTGTGATAGCCCATGCCTGTAATCCCAGCTACTTGGGAAGCTGAGACAGGAAGATTGCTTAAGCCCAGGAGTTCAAAGCTGTAGTGAGCTATGATCATGCCACTGAACTCCAGCCATGGTGACAGAACTAGACCCCAACTCTAAAAAAATAAAAAACATTAAAAAAAAATCAGCACAGTGCCTGGCATACAGTCAGCACCTAATAAGTAGTAGCTGTTTTTTGTTTTTTGTTTTTTTTCCATCTCTGAAAAAAAAAATTAGCCATTTTTTAAAATTAGCTGAGTGTAATGGTATATCTCTGTAATCCCAGCTACTTGGGAAGCTGAAGCAGGGGGACTGCTTGACCCCAGGAGTTTGAAGCTTCAGCGAGCTATGATTGTGCCACTGAACTCCAGCCATGGTGACAGAACAAGACCCAATCCCTGAAAATAAATAAATCAATTGGCACAGTGCCTGGCATATAGTCAGCACCTAATAAGTAGTAGCTGTTAGAATAATTACAAAAGGCCAGGCGTGGTGGCTCACACCTGTAATCCCAACACTTTCAGAGGCCAAGGAGGGTGGATGGCCTGAGGTCAGGAGTTTAAGACCAGCATGGCCAACACAGTGAAACCCCATCTCTGCTAAAAATACACACACATGCAAAACAAATCACTGGGCATGGTGGCACATGCCTGTAGTTAGTCTCAGCTTCTTGAGAGGCTGAGGCAAGAAAATCACTTGAACCCAGGATGCAGAGATTGCAGTGAGCCAAGATAGTACCACTGCACTCCAGCCTGGGTGATAGAGCAAGACTTTGTCTCAAAACAAACAAACAAACAAAAACAAAAAAAACACTCAAATCATGGGATTGAGTGTTCAATCATTCAATCAATTTTTATTGAATGCCTACTACATGCTAGGTACTTAGGGATATAACAGGAAATAAGACATACGTGATTCTACCTTAATGAAACTTAGAAGAAGGAATATACTTATGGTATAGTGAAAGAAACATATTTATTAGAAATCAAACATAAAAAGCATAAAAAGTGTTGAAGAGTGCTCTAAAAGAACAGAGGTTTCTGTGAATCATCTACTTTATTTATTTATTTATTTATTTATTTTGAGACAGAGTTTTGCTCTGTCACCCAGGCTGGAGTGCAGTGGCATGATCTCAGCTCACTGCAACCTCCACCTCCCAGGTTCAAGCGATTCTCCTGCCTCAGCCTCCCAAGTAGCTGGGATTACAGGCACCCGCCACCATGCCTGGCTTATTTTTGTATTTTTAGTAGACACGGGGTTTTACTATGTTGGCCAGGCTGGTCTTGAACTCCTGATGTCAGGTGATCTGCCTGCCTCAGCCTCCCAAAGTGCTGGGATTACAGGCGTGAGCCACTGCACCCAGCCCAGAATCATCTACTTTAGACTGAGGCATCTGAGACGTGCTCAAAGGACATTTCAGTGGAGAACCATGGGTGTGAAGGAGGGAGTCACACGGAGACTGGGAAGGGACAGACCTTTGTAGGACAGACGGCAACACGTGCAAAGCTTGTGCTGGGAGGTGAAGGGAGAACAACTCGCTGGAGGAAGCAAGGAAGAGGAGATTTAGTTAGAGCAGACAGCCAGGATCAGAGCATGCAGGGTCTGATCATTTATTTCCAAGTTATTCTGAAATCAAAGAGAAGCAGGCTTTTAAGCTAAGAATGCAGCACATCGGCTGGCATAGAATAAGAGTTCAAAAAAAGTGTAAGCTCCCTTCCCTCTCCTGAAACAACCAAAGTAAATAAAAATGGCCCCTCTGTTTTGAATTATTTATTTATTTGTGCTTTCAAACTGTTTTCTTAAAAAAAAAAAAACTACAGAGTAGTGAGTGGGGGCGGGGGGGTAAGGGGTGGAATACTCAAAACGTGTTCAAAATCAAACGAGCCAGAAACTCCTCGCTGGAAATTTTCTCTCTAGATCTCTGCAGGAATCAGTGGAACCATGAGAGACAGAGTCGAAAGCAGCAGAGCCTGGAATTATTTCTCTAAGCAAGACCCAGACGCCAGGCAGGTAGTGAAATTGCTCCTGCCCCACCTCCATCCTTGCTGCCTATCTGAGAACAGAGTCTGCCAACCCCTCCTGATGAGAGACTGACCCCTCATAGCCACTGCAGGCTGGAAGCCATAAGCTTAAACCACTTCGATACCATGAAAGCAAAATGTATGGTTGGCAAAAAGCAAAAAAAAAAAAAAAAAAAAACTGGTTACTGGCGAGTGCAGAACCACAGTCTGGGTCGATGACAAATTATCCAGCATGAATCTTGGTGTGACTTAGGCCCCTCTTAGTCCTCTAAAATTCATCACATTTTGTTTATTCGTTCACTACCCACTTACAGTAGATGCCAAGAAATATATATAACAAGATTATAGATATAAATTTAAAATTAGGACTAAAGAAAGATAATCTAGAATAAGAGGTAAAAGCAGAACAGAGCAGGATGGAAGGTAGAATAAAGATATACAGGCCAGAAGGCCAGTTACTAAACTGGATTTGAGAACATGGCGCTGAGTTCCCTGGTGGCCAAGTCAAAAAGGGCAGTTGGAGATGTTCTCATGGTCCACAAAAAGAAACACACTTAACTTTGCAGAACAAGCACTGTCCTGCCGTGTGACCTCAGATAAGTGATTTAACCTACTTAGACTCAGCTGCCTCATTGCCAAAAAGTTAGTGAAAATTATTGAATGTTTAGGTAAAAAGTTGTAATAAAAAACAAGAATGGGAAAGGATTCCCTATTTAAAATGGTGTTGGGAAAACTGGCTAGCCATATGCAGAAAACTGAAACTGGGCCCCTTCCTTACACCTGATACAAAAATTAACTCAAGATTGATTAAAGTCTTAAATGTTAGACCTAAAACCATAAAAACCCAAGAAGAAAACCTAGGCAATACCATTCAGGACATAGGCATGGGCAAAGGCTTCATGACTGAAACACCAAAAGCAATGGCAACAAAAGCCAAAATTGACAAATGGGATCTAATTAAACTAAAGAGCTTCTGCACAGCAAAACAAACTATCATCAGAGTGAACAGGCAACTTACAGAATGGGAGAAAAGTTTTGCAATCTATCCATCGGGCTAATATCCAGAATCCACAAGGAACTTAAACATATTTATAAGAAAAAAACAACCCCATCCAAAAGTGGCCGGAGGATATGAACAGACACTTCTCAAAAGAAGACATTTATGTGGCCAACAAACATGTGAAGAAAAGCTCATCATCACTGGTCATTAGAGAAATGCAAATCATTGTCAGAGTGCTCAGAGAGGGCATGTTCCCTGGGTCTTGGTGGATTTAGAGGTCAAGGGACCATTTCTGGAAGCTCACTGTGTGCCAGGGCAGCTTATATCAGAGCTCCGCTCTTTTTCTTTTTCTTTTTTTTTTTTAAGACAGAGTCTCACTGTTGCCCAGGCTGGAGTGCAGTGGCACCATTTTGGCTCACTGCAACCTCCACCTCCCGGGTCCAAGAGATTCTCCTGCCTCAGCCTCCTGAGTAGCTGGGACTACAGGCATGCACCACCACCACACCTGGCTAATTTTTGTATTTTTAGTAGAGACGGGGTTTCACCATGTGAGCAAGGCTGGTCTCGATCTCCTGACCTCAGGTGATCCACCTGCCTTGGCCTCTGAAGGTGCTGAGATTACAGTCATGAGCCACTGCGCTTGGCCAGAGATCTGCTCTGGAAGACCCCCCAGGCTGGAGGGCACTGCCACAAGCAGACAGTATGGCGAGGGTCCCTATGACCACCTGGCAGGCAGGGTGGATTCTGGAGGGAGGTGGCCTGGGAGCAGGCTGAGGATGGGGTGAGGGCATTTGAGCAGCAGAGTGTCTGCGTGACCGGGCATAACTGGAGGGACAGTAAATGACTCTTGTGTGAGAGGATGAGGGAGGGGTGAGAGGGGCTGACTACCCCCAGGACTTGAGGTGCAGTGAGACTCCTTAGCTTTAACCAGACTCATGGGAGCCATGGAGGTTTGAGGCAGAGGTGTGGGCTGCTGGGAGAGTGAGGACTCACCATCCAGAGAGGAAGGTGAAGCTTTCAACTCTAAATGCCGTTTTATTTTCGTGTGTTTTTTTTTTTTTTGAGACGGAGTTTCACTCTTATTGCCCAGGCTGGAGTGTGATAGCACGAGCTCGGCTCACTGCAACCTCTGCCTCCCGGGTTCAAGCGATTCTCCTGCCTCACCCTCCCAAGTAGCTGGGATTACAGGCATGTGCCACCATGCGTGGCTAATTTTATATTTTTAGTAGAAACAGGGTTTCTCCGTGTTGGTCAGGCTGGTCTGGAACTCCTGGCTTCAGGTGATCCGCCCGCCTTGGCCTCCCAAAGTGCTGGGATTACAGGCATGAGCCACTGTGCCCGGCCCCAAATGTGTTTTACATTTTCTTCCTATTTGATTCATCTTTGTCGTGCAACATAAATATGCTACTTTTCCACTGATAAAAAGACAAAATGGAATTTAAAATTGGCCTGGACTTCTCAAAAAAGTCAGTGTGATGAAAACATGTTCTAGATAAAACAGAAATGAGACTGGGCATGGTGGCTCATGCCTGGAATCCCAGCACCTTGGGAGGCCAAGGAAGGAGAATCACTTGAGGCCAGGAGTTTGTGACCAGCCTGGGCAACATAGTGAGACCGCAGATCTACTAAAAATTTAAAAATTAGCTGGGCATGGTGGTGCATGCCCGTATGTCTGGAGGCTGAGGCAGGAGGATCGCTTGAGCCCAGGATCTGGAGGCTGAGGCAGGAGGATCGCTTGAGCCCAGGATTTGGAGGCTGCAGTGAGCTATGATTGTGCCACTGCACTCCAGTGTGGGTGACAGAGTGAGACCCTGTCTCTATTTAAAAAAAGAGAGACAAGATGATCAGGATGAGCGCAGTGGCTCACGCCTATAATCCCAGCACTTTGGGAGGCCAAAGCAGGTGGATCACATGAGGTCAGGAGTTTGAGACCGGCCCAGCCTAGATGGTGAAACCCCGTTTCTACTAGAAATAAAAAAATCAGCTGGGTGTGGTGGGGCACGCCTGTGATCCCAGCTACTCGGGAGACTGAGGCTGGACAATTGCTTGAACCTGGGAGGCAGAAGTTGCTGTGAGCAAGATGACACCACTGTGCTCCAGCCTGGGCAACAGGAATGAGACTCTGTCTCAAACAAAAAAAAAAAAAAAAAAAAAAAAGGGATGATCAAACACAATGCGTCAACCTCCCGGAGCTGTTGTGAGCAAGATGACACCACTGTGCTCCAGCCTGGGCAACAGGAATGAGACTCTGTCTCAAAAAAAAAAAAAAGGGGATGATCAAACACAATGCATCAACCTCCCGGAGCCGTATAAACCCTAAACCTAAACCAGGAAGCAGGCAAGCCTGTGTGTGAGTTTCCACTCTATTGCTGGTACCACTCGGCTCTGGCAACCTGGAAGGCCACCTTCCCCTGTTGTTACTGTGTAAGGAGGAAGGAGCACTGGTTTGCAAGTCAGAAGCCTGGGTTGAAGCCTCTGCTTGAGTTCCTGCTGGCTGTGGGAATGTGGGGTTACCTTTCCCGGCTGGCCTCGTTTCCTACATGTCCAATGCAGGGGTTCCAGTCACATGCATTGGGCACCATTACATGTCCAAGCTGTGCCAGGATCTAGATAAATGGCTGGGCTCAGTCCAAGGGGCCTTCCTATCTGGCAGTGAAAATAAGAGGAGATACCAAGGGCCCTGAGCCTGAGTCTGGAGGAAAAGTCATGAGCACAGGGCAGTGCCAGGGCCTGGGAGCTGCCACAGAGGAGCCCACCTTGGTGACAGACACCTGTAGGCTCATATGATGCCGAGTGCCCAACACAGGGAACTGGACAAAGGTTTCATGCACGACTCTTTTCCCTCCTTGGCTACCTTGAGGACCTTGATTATAATAGTTAGCCTTTTTTTTTTTTTCTTTTTTTGAGACTCTTGCTCTGTCGCCCAGGTTGGAATGCAGTGGCAAAATCTTGGCTCACTGCAATCTTCGCCTCTCAGGTTCAAGTGACTCTCCTTCCTCAGCCTCCCTAGTAGCTGGGATTACAGGCGTGCACCACTATGCTCGGCTAATTTTTGTATTTTTACTACAGATGGGGTTTCACCATGTTGGCCAGGCTGATCTTGAACTGCTGACCTCAGGTGATCTGCCCGCCTGGGCCTCCCAAAATCTTGGGATTACAGGTGTAAGCCACTGAGCCCAGCCGGATTATAATAGCCTTTTCATGCACCAGGGGCTTTATACTCATTATCTCATTTCATTCATATGAGTTGAAGTCAGCTTATCCCCCATTTCACAGATGAGGAAACCAAGGCCCAGAGAGGTTAGGAATTTGTCCAAGGTCACACAGCCAGGAAGTAGGATTCAAACCCAGACAGCCAGGCTGTAATACCTAGGCTCCTCTCAGGCTCATGCCCTTCCCAGGGGTCTGGGAAGCCCTGACCTGCAGCCTGTCACCTTTGTTTACCCCCCAGCCTCCAGGATATTATGTGTGCACCGGCGTGGGATCCTGGAACTGGCAGGAATTGTGGGTTGTGTTGGTCCCTGAACTCCCATCGCCTATGTGAAATATGGTTGCTTTTGTGGCTTGGGAGGCCATGGCCAGCCCCGCGATGCCATTGACTGGTGAGTGCATGCCTGGGACCAGGCTGCAAAATCCCTCACACTCTGGGGTAGTCAAGGCTTATGAGGAAGTACCCAAAACTGAAGCTGGGGTTTGGTCCAGGGAGATCCCAGTGTGCAGTACTACTTTGCAGGCAGGCAGAGGCCTCTTGGATAACATGGCCAGTGAAGCCAGATCTTGGTACTAGCTGTGCCTTACCCTGGCCATGGGCTGAAAACGTTGCCTTAAAAAATTGGCCAGGAGCGGTGGCTCACTCCTGTAATCCCAGCACTTTGGGAGGCCGAGGCCGGCAGATCACTTGAGGTCAGGAGTTCAAGACCAGCCTGGCCAATATGGTGAAACCCCATCTCTACTAAAAATGCAAAAATTAGCTGTGTGTGGTGGCAGGCGTCTGTAATCTCAGCTACTCGGGAGACTGAGGCAGGAGAATTGCTTGAACCCGGGAGGCGGAGTTTGCAGTGAGTTGAGATTGCACCGCTGTATTCCAACCTGGACAACAGTGCCAAACCCTGTCTCAAAAGAAAAAAATAATAATAATATAAAGTGACCAGGTGTGTTGACTCATGCCTGTAATCCCACCACTTTGGGTCGAGGCAGGAGGATCACTGGAGCCCAGGAGTTTGAAACGAGCCTAGGCAACAGAGTGAAACCCTGTCTCTATATTAAACACACACACACACACGCGTGCACACACACACACACACACACACATACAAAGGCAGCCAGACTATGCACTAGGAACTGCCCTGGGAATCCCTTTGTGTTCTCACAACAATCCCATTTCACATGAAGAAACCTAGGCACAGAAATATTCAGTAACGTGTCCAGGTGCGGTGGCTCACGCCTGTAATCCCAGTACTTTGGGAGGCTGAGGCAGGCAGATCACGAGGTCAGGAGTTCGAGACCATCCTGGCCAACATGGTGAAACCCCGTCTCTACTAAAAATACAAAAATTAGCTGTGTGTGGTGGCAGGTGCCTGTAATTCCAGCTACTCAGGAAGCTGAGGCAGGAGAATTGCTTGAACCCGGGAGGCAGAGGTTGCAATGAGCCGAGATCACACCACTGCACTCCAACCTGGGTGACAGAGCAAAACTCCGTCTGAAAAAAAAAAAAAGAAATATTAAGTAACTTGTCTGAGGCCACATAGTTACCAAGACGTGGGAGCTGGGACTTGAACCCAGGCAGTCTGGCTGGATTCATGCCTGCAGCCTCTGCACTCCTGCTACTTACTGTGTGAGAAGCGTCTGTTCTGTGGAAGGTTGTGGGCTGAGATCTTTCCATGACTTCCACTCATTTACCCCCAAGGCTGTTCTTAAAGACGGGCATGACAGTTATGCCCATTTTACAGATGGGGCCCTGAGGCTCACAAGGGCACGCCATTCACCCATTTCCACAAAGCTATAGTTAGTTAGCAGAGGGCAGAATTCGGCCGCCTCTCCCCTAGCTTGTAGGCTGTGATTGACACAGAGGTTTTTTTGTTGTCGTTGCTGTTGTTTGTTCCTTTTTCTTTTTTTTGAGACAGGGTCTTGCTCTGTCATCCCGGCTGGAGCGCAGTGGTGCGATGTCAGCTCACTGCAAACTCTGCCTCCAAGATGCAAATGATTCTCGTGCCTCAGCCTCCCAAGTAGCTAGAATTACAGGTGTGCACTACCACGCCCAGCTGTTTTTTGTAGAGATGGGGTTAGTAGAGATTTGTTTAATAGAGACGGGGTTTCACCATGGTCTCTACTAAACCCTGTCTCTACTAAAAATACAAAAATTACCCAGGCGTGGTGGCACATGCCTGTAGTCCCAGCTACTCAAGAGGCTGAGGCAGGAGAATCACTTGAACCTGGGAGGTGGAGGTTGCAGTGACCCAAAATCATGCACTCTAGCCTGGGGTCTCGCTTTTGCCCAGGTTAGAGTGCAGTGGCACAATCATAGTGGCTCACTGCAGCCTCAAACTCCTGGGCTGAAGGGAATCCTCCCACCTCAGCCTCCCAAGTAGCTAGGACTATAGGCATGTGCCATCATGGCGAGTTAATTTTTTGTGTGTTTTTATTGTCTCGAGACAGAGTCTTGCTCTGTTGCTCAGGCTGGACAGCAATGGCGTGATCCTGGCTCACCGCAACCTCCACCTCCTGGGTTCAAGCAATTCTCCTACCTCAGCCTCCCGAGTAGCTGGGATTACAGGTGCGTGCCACCATGCCTGGCTAATCTTGTATTTTTAGTAGAGACAGGGTTTCGCCATGTTGGTCAGGCTGCTCTCGAACTCCTGACCTCGTGATCCACCTGCCTCGGCCTCTCAAAGTGTTGGGATTACAGGCATGAGCCACTGAGCCTGGCCTGGTGACTAATTTTTAAATTTGTTATAGAGACAAGAGTCTCTCTTATGTTGCCCAGGCTGGTCTCGACCCCCTGGCCTCAAGTGATCCTCCCACCTCAGCCTCCCAAAGTGCTGGGATTACAGATGGGTGTCACCGCACCTGGCCTCTGAGGAGGATTTCATTATAAACCTGCCCTGAAGGGAGGGAATCCAATTTTACGAGAGGGTGTAGCCTGGTGAGGCCTGGATGACCTCCGGAGGCAGGGGCTTGTGCCTGGGCTGAGGCCTAAGGGACAATGGGCAGACATGAAGTTGCCCCAGGCAGAGGGTACAGTGTGGGCAAAGTCAGGAAGTGGCAGGGCTTGGATCACTCCAGGAAGAGAGAGGAGTCATGTGTCACAGGAGCTCAAGACCCAGAGAGGGAGGCAGGCAGGCAGGCAGGGACCAAGCTTGGGCACAGCCAGGAAGGCAGAGGGCATGGTGGGGCCAATGGAATCATTACCCAAGACGGGGATTTTCAGGGAAACAGCTTAGATAAGGCCAGGTGTACAGTAGCTCCCACCTGTAATCCCAGCATTTGGGGAGGCTGAGGTAGGAGGACTGCTTGAGCCTGGGAGTTCGAGACCAGCCTAGGCAACATAGTAAGACCCCATATCCATAAAAAATTTAAAAAAGGAGTTTGTGTTCCTGTAGTAGCAGACTTGGGAGGTTGAGGTGGCAGTATCACTTGAGCCCAGGAGTTCAAGGCTAAAGTGAGCTGATTGAGCCACTGCACTCCAGCCTGAGCAACAGAGAGATACGCTGTCTCAAAGGAAATACAAATTAAAAAACCAGCCGGGCATGCTGGCGTGTGCCTGTAGTCTCAGCTACTTGGGACGCTGAAGTGGGAGGATCGCTTGAGCCCAGGAGTTCAAGGCTGCCGTGAGCTATGATTGTGCCTCTGCAGTCCAGCCTGGGCGACAGAGAAAGACCCTGTCTCTTAAAAAAAAAAAAAAAAAAAAATCTTAGATAAGAGGATGCTGTGCCTCCCTGGGGGTCTTCAGTCACCCATAGTCCTGGCAAGAGAGGAGGGCCAGGAGAGAGCTTCACCCACCTGCTGTCCTGCCCATGTGACATCCGCAGGTGCTGCCATGGCCACGACTGTTGTTACACTCGAGCTGAGGAGGCCGGCTGCAGCCCCAAGACAGAGCGCTACTCCTGGCAGTGCGTCAATCAGAGCGTCCTGTGCGGTGAGTCCCCAGCAGCACCATGCCACCCACCCCGAGTATCCCCTGGGCACCCTGGCATAGCCAGATGACTTCCGTGCCCCTGTTGCAATAACCACTGCTTCCAAGTCTCTATAGACCACCCCTTGGGTATATCTAATGTAAGTGATATTTATTTTATTTATTTTTTGAGTCAGTCTCGCTCTGTCACCCAGGCTAGAGTGTGCTGATGTGATCTCGGCTCACTACAACCTCTGCCTCCTGGGTTCAAGCGATTCTCATGCCTCAGCCTCCCAAGTGGCTGGGACTACAGGCATGCACCATCACGCCCAGCTAATTTTTGTATTTTTTCAGTAGAGGTGGGGTTTCACCAAGTTGGCCGGGCTGGTCTCAAACTCCCCACCTCAAGTGCTCTGCCCGCCTCGGCCTCCCAAAGTGCTGGGATTACAGGCATGAGCCGTGGTGTCTGGCCCTAATGTGAGTGATCTTTAACACTGAGCACTTGAAAAAGAAAACCCTGAAGAAACCTAATTCTTTGATGTCTGGATGACAAGGAAGAAGATAGAAATGGCATCAGATAATAAACAGTGTAAATGTTTATCAGAAAGAGGCTGGTGGTCGGGACAAGTAGGAGGATTGCTTGAGTCCAGGAGTGCATCTCTACAAAAAAGTTAAAGGATTTTTTAACATTGGCCAGGCGTGGTGGCACACATCTGTGATCCCAGCTACTTGGGAGGCTGGGGCAGGAGGATTGCTTGAAGCCCAGGAGGTTGAGGCTGCAGTGAGCTGTGATCGAGCCACTGCACTCCAGCCTGGGTGACAGAGCAAACTCCAGTCTCAAAAAAAAAACAAATAATAATATTTTACATAACCAACCACTTCTAAAGATTAAAAAAACCCCTACGATTAAAAACCTCAGGTCCCTCAGGCAATCATACCAGATATTGAAACAAAGCAATAACATAAGGACTGCAGTATTCATTTTATTTTTATATTATTTATTTATTCTTCCTTAGTTTCTTGAGATTATCATCCGCTGAGGGTGGAAGGGGAGTGAGCAGACACACTCAGGAGGTGTCTTGAGATTATCATCCGCTGAGGGTGGAGCTGAGGGTGGAAGGGGAGTGAGCAGACACTCGGGAGGTGTCTTGAGATTATCATCCGCTGAGGGTGGAAGGGGATAGAGCAGGCACTCGGCAGGTGTCTTGAGATTATCATCCGCTGAGGGTAGAGCTGAGGGTGGAAGGGGAGTGAGCAGACACTCGGGAGGTGTCTTGAGATTATCATCCGCTGAGGGTGGAAGGGGATAGAGCACACACTCGGAAGGTGTCTTGAGGCTCAGGGAGTTATCAATTATAGAATGTTGTTGAGTTGGAGGAGGTGGCTGGTGGCCCATCCTGTTTTTTAAAGTTTCAGCTGTGAGGTAGGGCCAGTAGGGCAATCCTGAAGAATGACGATGCTCCACTGCCGCCATTCTGACCTGTAGGGCCAAAGGAGGGAATGTTTTCACACATATTCATTTGATGGACAAAATTACCGCCACCAACACAGTCTGCACCTTCTGTTGCTGGTGATAGATTTTTGCACCTTTCCATCCTCCAGGTTTCAAAATAGCAGTGTCAGTGTCATAATATCACCCTTCCACTGAGTACTGCCGACAGCTAGGGGGTAAAGAAAAGTCATTGGGACACACTGTTGTCTCCACATGCCACTGTGTCTGTCTGCAAATGTAGGCAGGCTGGGGTCCTGCCCCAGGGAAGACAGAGTCATAACAGAGTAATAAAGAAGCATGTTTGAGACACAGGAGTGTCTATGTCTATCCTCATTCCTCCCTCACAGCCATCACCAGAGCATGTTTCTTGCACCAGGTCAATAGACAGTAAGAGACAGTAAGAGAGGCATGAAAAGCCCATTGTCCACACATGTTGCAGCTTCTTTTTGGAGAATGTTTTCCAGGCCTTTTATGTTCTGTCTCTGATTCTCAGAACTCTGCAAGGTCAGTGTGACCACCCTGCTCCAAATCTAAGAAAACAGAGGTTTCCAGAGGAAGGAGAAATTGTGCCCAGGGTCACACAGCTTGCAAGAGGCAGAGTGGAAGTTGATTCCAGCTCTGCCTGCAGGACCCTCTCATTTCCCCTCTGTTTCCCTTCTTGACAAAGGATCTTCTTCACTCTGGAGGTGCCACCCATGAGAACAAAGAGCTCTGGAGAGATGTGGATTCCTGAAGAGCTGCAGGGGAACTGGGAGAGGGTTTTCTGACAGAACAATCTTACCTCAAGAAGTCAGTTAGGCATGGCTGTAATATTTCTTTTCACTCCCAGGTAATACCAAATTGTAAGTGCACTAGGACATAAAGAATACTTTTGTCCATGGAAAAATGAGGTGGGAATTCTAAACAAAGCAAGTTTTAAAACTGTGTTTCACTTCAAGTGTACAAGTCCCATCGCGTGTAATCATAGGACTCGGCAGCTTTTGAAGGTACAGAGGCCACACAAGAACCAGCTTAGCTGAGCATCATTTAAGGCCCTCATTTGGAATTGTCCCTGTGGGTAATAAGTTACATTCACTCTTCACTAATTTACAGTCAGGGCCCATTTGCTATTACAAATACGGAACCTCTGACACTTAGAATATTAGATGGGGGCCCCACTGGGTGGGGATGAAGGTGTTTTTGCGCAACACAGTTACCAACAGGGATGGGACTGTGATGCTTGTAGGCAGCCTTCCTCTCTGCCATCTCCCTCTGCAGGGCTTGAGCACAGAGCCGTAGGGAGAAAAATGTATCCATGTCCTGACCTGGCAGACTATGTCCAAAAGCAAGGAAAACAAGCAAACTTACCCGGTTGCAAAGAGGCTTTCTTGCAGAAGGGGTGATCTGAAAAAGCCAACACATGAGAAATTGAATGTTGAGAGAGTCTAAGGGCCGTGGCATCATCTGCATCAGCACTGAACTATCCTGCAACTGCGGGGAGGAAGCTCCTTACTTTGCATCTGTAGTAGTCCTCTGCCCGCCGCCGCAACGCTTGCGCACGTTGAAACATTTCCCTATGGATTACAATCACTTTCATCAGATAAAGCACCACTTTCAGGATGATTTTAAATAATCTGCCATGTTTCTGTTATCCTCACAACTGTACCCTTACACAATCTATCTCTACCTAGAAAACGTATTTCAGATGGCTAGAAGAGTACAGTCTGAGCCGGTCACGGTGGCTGACGCCTGTAATCCCAGCACTCTGGGAGGGCGAGGCGGATGGATCACGAGGTCAGGAGATTGAGACCATCCTGGCTAATACGGTGAAACCCCGTCTCTACTAAAAATACAAAAAATTAGGCGGGGGTGGTGGCAGGCGCCTGTAATCCCAGCTACTCGGGAGGCTGAGGCAGGGGAATCACTTGAACCTGGGAGGCGGAGGTTGCAGTGAGCCAAGATCACGTCATTGCACTCCAGCCTGGGTGACACAGCGAGACTCCATCTCAGAAAAACAAAAACAAAAACAAAAACAAAAAAAACTGTACAGTCTGATCCAAACTGTTGCTATATTGATTCCTCCTCTTGCTTACTGCCTGCTGACTTCTGAGATGATAGTTTCCTTCCCCATTCTCAGTATATCCCTAATTCATCCTTCATTGAGCATCTTTTATCATAAAGCTGTATTCTCTTTGTATTAATATCTTTACCGTGTTTCACAGGGCAGAAACAGCTGGGCTTATAAACAGGCATAGTCCTTTTGAAGGATGTGGTTGATCCTACAACAACACACTTTCCTAAGGATGACAACAACTCACCCCACCCCTAGAATGGCTGGTATGAACCGAGTTTCCACACAGTCTAGCTGGCAATGGGGTCAGGAGCCGTTTTGCTACTTCACATCTTTTGGTCACTGGTAAATATTAAGGTACTTTGTTTTCTGTTTTGTGAACTCTCTCTCTCTCACGATATGTCTTCTGACCATTTGTTTCTATTTCTGCATTTACTGGGTCTAAACATTGTACAAAGGTTAAAAACAACACTCCAATGGGCGTTTCCCAAGAGGGTGGGGTTCAGTTTCTGAACTCACATGTAGGTGTGTATTTCTTTCATATCCAATTTCCCATTTTCCTCTGCCTCTGACACCTGCCTCTCCTCTTCTCTGTGCTCACGTTCTTTCATGCTTAGTTTCCTCAGACTAGAAGGGAGAGAAATGCACACACATGATCCACCAGCACGTGTGGGATTCCCTCTGCCCTTCTGGCATCTGAAGGCTGTGATTCAAAGATCCCCCCTGCAACCTTCCCACAAATGAACCAACTGATTCTCACAACTGAAGGGAGAATGGACACCTCCCATTGAGGGATAAAAAAAATCACACTCTGGCCTGCTGGCAAGTCACCTGTCATTTCCAGCTCATCTTCATAGTTCCATAGTTAGTCCTATTCTTTAGTAAATATAAAGACTATTAAAAGCTTCTATGAGGTGCACTATGTGCGTCTCTGGGGTCAGTCTTGTGCTTGACACAGCGAAAGCTCATTTTAGTTCAGTGTGAAAAACCAGACCTCACCAATTCATCACAACTAACTCCATCGGAAGCAGAGGATTGCTCCTCATCTGACTCCTCCTGTGTGAGACCTGATTCTCAGTCAGAGGCTGATGCCGGAACTGAGACCATCAGCCATAGAGAGATCCTTCCAGAATATGGTGTCATTAACCCCGCAGTTCACTACTGCACTTTGCCATGATTCAGGACTGGAACTCTTGTCATCGACTTTAAAGATCCTGAAAAGGCAATCTGAATGCTGGGCGCATCTATTGAATTAGAAATGATCGGAATGGCTCCTAAGTCAGGGTGTTATGTCCTGAAAATAGGTGACAACGGCAAACCATCCACCCTGGTGTTGACTGACTTTAACAAGGTTCAATTCACAGAGATTGAGGGCAGAAAAAGGAAACGGCCTCAAAAGGGTAAGTTTGCTGTGTTGCCCTCACACCACTTGATTCATGGTCCTGATCCTAAGGATCTCACCTGATACTTGGTTTTATAGGAAGGATGTGTAAAATTCCCAGAACGCTAGGAAACAGGGACGAAAACACTTCAAAGAGAAAGTTAATGAACTTGTTTCTGACCACAGGGCATCCTTCAGCACATGCTGTCTGGAGTGGCCTCAAACAAGGAGTGTGTGGTGAGGTGCTGACAATGCAATGGGAGCAGGGTCCTGTCCCCACGCTAAAGAAGCTCACAGTTTAATGCAAATGAGAAGCCAGTGAGGACATCACTACTCCTGCTGTGCACTTGGGAACTAGAAACACAAAACCTGACTCTGGAGGGAAGCTAAGGAAGCATTCTACTCTTGAGTTGACATAAGTGCATCTGAAGCTTCTGATCTCCGATGAGAACAATGGGGGACACCAAACAGAATATAAAAACCATGATTGAATACATCAAATTGCTAACATGGCAGTAAACAGACATGAGGTGAAGATGGAGAAGAAGGAAACCCAGGACGAAAGTCAGCCTCGCATTTGGAACCCATTTCCCTGAGTTTCATTGCTGAATTCCAGAAGGAACTACTGAGATGCAAAGAAGCACAGCAGCTTTTGCACACATGCGTGGGGTTAGATGGAAAACAAGTGGATTGAGGGTCTGCCAATGAAAGCGATCCATACTGAAGTCCACTGGCTCTGGTTGAGACCCAGAAGAGTCATGCATCAGAATAGAGGTGGACAGGAAATACCCTGGCCTTTGTAGGGACTGAGCCTGCAGAGACGACCTCAATTGCAGCCTGTACGGAGGACCCCTGACCATCCCCCAGAAGTAGACTCCCATCTCTTCTGCAGCAAGATAACATGCTACTAGGCCTCAATGCATTGTTAAATATTTTTTAAAAAGTATCTCACATTTAACAAAAAAAGATCAGTCATATGGCAGCAAAATACAATGTAGTATGACCAAAACATGAAAGACTGTGAAAATGAATCTGGAGGTGACCCAAGCATTGAATTCAACAATCCAGGCTGGGTGCGGTGGCTCACACTGGGAGGCTGAGGTAGGCAGATCACCTGAGGTCAGGAGTTCAAGACTAGCCTGGCCAACATGGTGAACCCGTCTCTACTAAAAATACAAAAATTGGGCTGGGCACGGTGGCTCACGCCTGTAATCCCAGCACACTGGGAGGCCGAGGTGTGCGGATCATGATGTCAGGAGTTCTAGACCAGCTTGGCCAATATGGTGAAACCCCGCCTCTACTAAAAATACAAAAATTATCTGGGCATGGTGGCATATGCCTGTAGTCCCAGCTACTCAAGAGGCTGAGGGATAAGAATCGTTTGAACCTGGGAGGCGGAAGTTGCAGTGAGCCAAGATCATGCCACCACACTCTAGCCTGGGTGACAGAGTGAGACTCCGTCTCAAAAAAAAAAAAAAAAAAAAAAAAAATTGGCCGAATGTGGCGGCACACACCTGTAATCCAAGCTACTCGGGAAGCTGAGGCAGAATTGCTTCAAACTGGGAGGCAGAGGTTGCAGTGAGCCAAGATTGCACCACAGCACTCCAGCCTGGGCGACAGAGCGAGACTCTATCTCAAAATTAAAAAAAAAAAAAAAAAGGCTGGGTGCTGGGTGTGGTGGCTCACGCCTCTAATCCCAGCACTTTGGGAGGCTGAGGCGGGTGGATTACCTGAGGTCAGAAGTTCGAGATCAGCCTGGACAACATGGTGAAACCCCATATCTAGTAAAAATACAAAAATTAGCTGGGCATGGTGGTGGGCACCTGTAATCCCAGCTACTTGGGAGGCTGAGGCAGGAGAATTGCTTGAACCCAAAAGGCAGTGAGTTGAGATTGTGCCATTGAACTGCAGCCTGGGCAACAAGAGCAAAGCCCCATCTCAGGAAAAAAAAAAAAAAAAAAAGAGAGAAAGGAAAACCAATGCAGTACTAGCAACTCCTCTTCCCCTGAAAAAATGACAAACAAGAATGTAGGAAGGGAAAGGAATTATACAGCTTAAACTAATGAAGCAGAAAGGACAAACTCAATTTTGAACCCACTGAATTTGCCACAAATATTGTAGAAAATATTCTCAAGGACTTTACAGTTGTCTACTTTGATTGGCACATGGTTCATACAACAGTATTTGTGTCAAGGCACATCTTACTGTTCTTTGGCGGTCTTCCTCTTTCCATTGATTTTGTCATGACGGTTGACTTTTGTTGTCACCTTCATCTTACGGATTTTAGCTCGAACTTTGGTTTCCACCTGTCTCCATAAAGTAAAGATGTCTTCCAGGACAATTTTAATTCCTGGAAAGGAAGAAACTCTTTTCTTTGTGTGCATACAAATGGACTTCAGCCCTTGGTGAGAGTGAGGAGAGGAGAAGGTGAGAAACCTGAGGGCAAGAAGCTGTTCTTTCCCTTTCCAGGGCAAACTCATTTCCACACTATGGGGACTCCAACAGAGCCATACCTTCCTGTCTACGGCGGTTGGACCTCCTGGCTCTCTGCTGTACATCCGTGGATCCATCATGTCCATTTTGAGATGGGAAGATAGTCTTCAGGAAAGACACCTAGGAAATAATAATATAAGAATGACGGCTGGGCACGGTGGCTCATGCGTATAATCCCAGTACTTTGGGAGGCCGAGGCAGGTGGATCACGGGGTCAGGAGTTCAAGACCAGCCTGGCCAAGATGGTGAAACCCCGTCTCTACTAAAAATACAAAAATTAGCCGGGCATGGCAGTGGGCGCCTGTAATCCGAGCTACTCGGGAGGCTGAGGCAGAGAACCGTTTGAAGCTGGGAGGCGGAGTTTGCAGTGAGCCGAGATCACACCACTGCACTCCAGCCTGAGCGACAGAATGAGACTCTGTCACACACACACACACACACACACACACACACACACACAAAGAATGACATGAGGCTGGCAGGGTGGCTCACTCCTGTAATCCCAGTACTTTGGGAGGCCGAGGCAGGCGGATCACCTGAGGTCGGGAGTTTGAGACCAGCCTCACCAACATGGAGAAACGCTGTCTCTGCTAAAAATTCAAAATTAGCCAGGCATGGTGGTGCATGCCTGTAATCCCAGCTAGTCGCGAGGCTGAGGCAGGAGAATCACTTGAATCCAGCAGGAAAAGGTTGTGGTGAGCTGAGATTGTGCCATTGCACTCCAACCTGGGCAACAAAATTCAAACTCTGTCTCAAAAAAAAAAAAAAAAATAGGCCAGGTGCTGTAGCTCACGCCTGTAATCCCAGCACTTTGGGAGGCCGAGGCGGGTGAATCACAAGGTCAAGAGATGGAGATCATCCTGGGCAACATGGTGAAACCCCGTCTCTACTAAAAATACAAAAATTAGCTGAGCATGGTGGCCCACGCCTGTAGTCCCAGCTACTCGGGAGGCTGAGGCAGGAGAACTGCTTGAACCCAGGAGGCAGAGGGTGCAGTGAGCCAAGATCCCACCACTGCACTCCAGCCTGGTGACAGAGTGAGACTCTGTCTCAAAAAAAAAAAAAAAAAAAAATGACATGAATATACTTCACACAACTGAACTGTACACTTCAACACGGTTAGATGGTAATTATCATCTTGTAAGTATTTTACCACAGGTTAACATGTTTCACAACTTGAAAAGGAAGTAATTACCTTCAGCTCTCTGAGTTCTAGAATTTGTAACATTTCACCCCCTGCTCCTTCCTGATCTGCACTGGAGCATCTTTCTTCTGTCCCTGCTCTACTCAGAGTTCACTTTCCCTTCCCTCACATCAGCTTCGTTGAGGCTGGTTTGAACTTAACGCAAAACATTCTCACTAATGACTGAATTCCCACCAAGATTTCCATATTATCACAGTATGCTTTTAATCTTCGAAGATATTAAATATTTGTTCTCATCATAGCTAAAATGCAATGCAAATCCCATCTCAGATGTGGGTCAGATACCTATGAATCTCCTGAGGTAGTCATTGAAATGACTTTTTTCTTGAGACGGAGTGTCACTCAACCATGCTGAAGTGCAGTGGCACTACCTTGGCTCACGGCAACCTCCACCTCCCAGATTCAAGCGATTCTTGTGCCTCGGCCTCCCAAGTAGCTGGGATTACAGGTGCCTGCTACCATGCCTGGCTAATTTTTGTCTTTTTAGTAGAGATGGGGTTTCACTATGTTGGCCCATCTGGTCTTGAACTCCTGACCTCAAGTGATCCACCTGCCTCAGCCTCCCAAAGTGCTGGGATTACAGGCATGAGCCACCACACCTGGCCTGAAATAATATCTTTCAAATTCTTTGTAGAACTTGTTTTTTCCTGATTTCTGCACATAGGATTAAAAAAAAATCATGTACTAGGATTTCAAGAGAAGCAATGGGTAATCTAAAAAGATGAAAAGAGCAACCACGTCTATCCCACAGCTACTGCTAGATTTCATAGGAAAGGTAGCTGGCCCAGTTTGGAGCTAGGAGAAATGTCAAACACATGAAGAAATGAGAAGCAAAGAAATGCCATCACACATGAATGCTTCATGGCACCCATGATGTCCCTGCTTAGGAGGTAATGGTATAGATGACTAGATGACAAGGACAAAGATGAGAGGTGCAAAGTTGTCCAAGTCCAACAGCTCAACTGAACTTTCCTAAATGGAATTGTTAAAAAGTGGTAAATTTAAAAACTTCCCCTGGCTCACGTGGTGACTCACGCTTGTAATCCCAGCACTTTGGGAGGCTGAGGCGGGTGGATCATTTGAGGTCGGGTTTTGAGACTAGCCTGGCCAACATGGTAAAACCCCGACTCTACTAAAAATACACAAATTAGCTGGGCATGGTGGTGGGCACCTGTAATCCCAGCTACTTGAGAGGCTGAGGCAGGGGAATCACTTGAAGCCAGGAGGTGGAGGTTGCAGTGAGCCGAGATCACACCATTATACTCCAGCCTGGGCAACAGAGGGAGACTCCTCTTGGGGGTGAGAAAAGAAAAAAAAAAAAGCTTCCTCCAATTTATACCGAAAATTCTCTGTTCAGGACTAAGTGGCATAGAGAATGTTAAATGTGCCTAGATATCTTCATAACTCATATATTTTCTGTTTTCTACATATCTTGAAAGGCAGTGCCAAATGACGTGTAATTATCTAGGCGGTAAAACTGAAACATACTTCCTCTTCCCTTGAATATAAAAAAGCATTGTGGTTTAGTACTTTTATCTTGGATCATTGTTCAGAAGGAGGTTCAGCCCCCACACAACCACATTTTTATTGTCATGAATGGCAAGACAAAATGTAGAGCTCAACTTACGCAAAGGATAAAAGGCTCAAAAGACAAATTATGGCACAACTTAGCAGCCAAATTCTTACCAAGTATAGACTTTTGACATACTGATCTCATTCCAGTTGCAAGTGGGAACATGCACTTTGAATGATGTCATTCAAAATTACCCTGCCCAGACACACTTTTCATTGATTCTCTTGGAGGGCAGTTCTAAGAGATTCTCTGGGGCTTTCTCTGCATCATGAGACGCAGTGCAGTTCTGCCCTTCACCTTCCGGCAGTTTGTCACCTCGTCCCTATGACCTCAGAGGAACTTTGTCTCAGGCCAACTGTTTGTTCCTTGGGCTCTTTCATTTCCCCTAAAAATCATTTGCTGCCCCTCTAAATGGCCTACATCTCCATCTATCTCCCTCTACCCTCAGAAGAGGGTGCTCTTTAAGCATCAACCATCCAGCCCTTCTAGCAGTCTCATTTTTCAGCTGGTTCCCATGTTTATGCCTGTTCTATGTTTTTCTTTTCCTGTTAAGCTGTCTGTTGTCAGCTCATTTCTGCAGTGAATCTTCAGAGAGGAGATTGGAAGCTTTCCTTCCACCCATACGATAGAACTATAAAGCAGAAGAGTTTAGAAAGACTTTCCCATTTAAGTGACGAAATCTCATACTCCATTTGTGACAAATAGCACAAAGGTTAAAAAAACTTATTTTTGACCAAAAGCTCTGTTGACATTCTATTAAACACCGACCTATTTAATTTTCATAATGTAAATGGCAGATATTTTCATAATTCTTATGCTAATAAATCATTTCCCTGATTTTTTGGGTAAAACCACATATTCATAATGAAGTCCAGAAACGTGAATTGTTTCATATAATTTATTGTGATTACAAGTATACCTCTACAGAAAGTTAGTATACTCACACAAAGGTAACTTGTGCAGAGGGAGATGGCAAATTTATAACTTCTCAGAAACACAGTAATGATAAGTAACCAAGGACTTCCACCAAAGTCAGTCCCACGATGACGATGGTCAGCCAGAGTATTGATAACCTGGAATAATAATAGTTGAAATAATGAAAAGGTCAATGACACTGACAATATTTCACTCAGAAAGAATCATCCTTAGAAACCGTCAACCTCCTCCAAAAGGTAACCACATCCCTCAGATATCACCGTGGGATTCCACTGCTACAAAAAAGAACAGAAGTTAGAGAAGTCTCATGTTTTTCAGATGGCTGGTAGTGTTTTTAGGCATTGCAAATGTGGGGTGTTGTCTTTCTTGGTATAAAGCAGGGATATCCAATCTTTTGACTTCCCTGCCTATATTAAAAGAAGCAAAGTTGTCTTGAGCCACACATAACATACACTAACACTAACAATAGCTGATGATCTAAAAAAAAAAATTTTTTTTTTTTTTTTTGAGACAGAGTTCCGCTCCACTCAGTCGCCCAGGCTGGAGTGCAGTGGTGCAATCTCGGCTCACTGCAACCTCCAGCTCCTGGGCTCAAGCCATTCTCCTGCCTCAGCCTCCCGAGCAGCTGAGATTACAGGTCTCTGCCACCATGCCCGACTAATTTTTGTATTTTTAGTAGAGATGAGGTTTCACCATGTTGGCCAGTCTGGCCTTGAACTCCTGACAGGCGATCTGCCTGCCTCGGCCTCCCAAAGTGCTGGGATTACAGGTGTGAGCCACCGTGCCCGGCCATTTTTTTTGTTTTTGTTTGTTGTTTGTTTTTGAGATGGGGTCTCACTCTGTCACCCAGGCTGGAGTGCAGTGGTGTGCTCTCGGCTCACTGCAACCTCTGCCTCTCAGGTTCAAGTGATTCTCCTGCCTCAGCCTCCTGAGTAGCTGGGAGTACAGGTGCCTGACAGTGCACTCAGCAAATTTTTGTATTTTTTGTGGAGATGGGGTTTTGCCATGTTGGCCAGGGTGGTCTCGAACTCCTGACCTCAGGTAATCTGCCCGCCTCAGCCTCCCAAAGTGCTGGGATTACAGGCATGAGCCACTGTACCTGGCCAAAATCTCCTAATGTTTTAAGAAAGTTTACAAATTTGTGTTGAACTGCATTCAAAACTGTCCTGGGCCACATGCAGCCCGTCACTCATGGGTAAGACAAGCTAAGTATAAAGTAATTATCTTATCTTTTATTTTTGTTTTGAGACAAAGTCTTGCTCTGTCACCCAGGCTAGATTGCAGTGGCATGATCTCAGCTCACTGCAACCTCCGCCTCCCGGGTTCAAGCGATTCTCCTGCCTCAGCTACTGAGTAACTGGGATTACAGGCGCCTGCCACCACGCTCGGCTAATTTTTGTCTTTTTAGTAGAAACAGGGTTTCACCATCTTGGCCAGGCTGGTCTCCAACTCCTGACCTCATGATCCACCTGCCTCGGCCTCCCAAAGTGCTGGCAATACAGGTGTGAGCCACTGCACCTGGCCAGTAGTTATCTTTTCTTTAGTTATTTACTTGTTTTTTAAATTGATGTATAACATTGGATGCATTTATTATATATCACATGGTAAAAGAATCCCTCTAAATAATACTTCTCTCTTGGATTATATGAATCTTTGTCATTTAAAGCTCAGCATAAGTAAAAAAAAAAAAATACAATGAAGAGATTACTTCATTCACAAATAAGTATCGAATTTTAGTTCTTAAAAAGTAACAAGGTGGGCTGGGCGTGGTGGCTCACGCCTGCAATCCCAGCACTTTGGGAAGCCGAGGTGGGTGGACCGCGAGATCAGGAGATTGAGACCATCCTAGCTAACACGGTGAAACCCATCTCTACTAAAAATACAAAAAATTAGCAGGGCATGGTGGCACGCGCCTATAGTTCCAGCTACTTGGGAGGCTGAGGCAGAAGAATCACTTGAACCTGGGAGGTAGAGGTTGCAGTGAGCCAAGATCGCACCACTGCACTTCAGCCTGGGTGACAGAGCGAGACTCTGTCTCAAAAAAAAAAAAAAAAAAAATTACCAAGGTGGAGATCATGAAAATGGCATGAATAGCGTGGGATTTCTCTAAGATTGTTGATATTAATTCCATTAGACTCTTATGTGAGTGAAGACGAAGACTTCCCCTGAGTAAGTTCAGACAGCTTCTGATAACATTTCTACATCGATTCCTCAGGATTTAACTATATATTCTTGAAAACATCTCAATTTTAAATGTTTCTTTCAAGATGGTGAATTAAACAGAGATAGCCCTTCAACAGGTTGAACTCAGCATATGCTGAGTCTGAAATGGAAATGATGGAGTTAGAGAACCGTACAACAATGGTAATGATTTCAGAAACATGGTGTTGAGCAGAATAAAGCAGACACAAAAG
This sequence comes from Homo sapiens, assembly GCF_000001405.40. Classification (NCBI taxonomy): domain Eukaryota; kingdom Metazoa; phylum Chordata; class Mammalia; order Primates; family Hominidae; genus Homo; species Homo sapiens. The sequence continues at coordinate 2,042,434 of NT_187607.1, read as the reverse complement.
AGTACCTATGGCATGGCATGCATCTGTATACGCGAAATTCCAGAATAAGCAAGCTAAGCTATGATAAGAAAGAGACTGGCTGGGAAGAGTGAGAGTTCACTTTCTGGGGTGACATAATAGTGTAGATCTTGGCTGGGCACGGTGGTTCACGCCTGTAATCCCAACACTTTGGGAGGCCGAGGCAGGCGGATCACCTGAGGTCGGGAGTTCAAAACCAGCCTGACCAACATGGAGAAACCCTATCTCTACTAAAAATACAAAATTAGCTGGGAGTGGTGGCACATGTCTGTAATCCCAGCCACTCGGGAGGCTGAGGCAGGAGAATCGCTCGAACCTGGGAAGCAGAGGTTGCGGTGAGCTGATATTGCCCCATTGCACTCCAGCCTCAGCAACAAGGGAGAAACTGTCTCAAAAAAATAAATAAATAAATAAAATAATGTAGATCTTGAAAGGGGGTTGGTTTATGCTGGTGTATGTACTTTCCAAAGTTAGTAAACTTACACTTAAGGTTATATATTTTGGCCAGGCGCGGTGGCTCACGCCTGTAATCCCAGCACTGGGAGGCCGAGGCAGGCAGATCACGAGGTCAAGACATGGAGACTATCCTGGCGAACATGGTGAAACCCAGTCTCTACTAAAAATACAAAAAGTAGCCAGGCGTGGTGGTCTACTAAAAATACAAACATTAGCCAGGCGTGGTAATCTGAGCTACTCAGGAGGCTGAGGCAGGACAATTGCTTGAACCCCGGAAGCGGAGGTTGCAGTGAGCCGAGATCTTGCCACTGCACTCCAGCCTGGGCAACAGAGTGAGACTCTGTCTAAAAAACAAACAAACAAAAAAAAGTCATCAAACCAGATGACACAAATCAAATGACATTTCACTTTGTTTTGGTCCGTTTTGTCTGTTGGAGACAAGAGTGCAACAGCGCCATCTCGGCTCACTGCAACGTCCAGCTCCTGGGCCCAAGCGATCCTCCCACCTCAGCCTCTCCAGTAACTGGGATAACAGGTACGCACCACCAGGCCCGACTAATCTTTTTTGGAATTTTTTGTAGAGATGGGGTTTCGCTATGATGCCCTGGCTAGTCTTCAACTCCTGGACTCAAGTGATCTGCCCACCTCAGCCCCCTAAAGTGCTGGGATTACAGGCCTGAGCTGTGTAATTTCATGCCGCGTGACACAGCCCAGTAAAAAGGAAGAAACCCCGCGGGTCCAGCGTCTACTCACACAGGTGGACTGATGGCTGATAAATCCCAGCAGGAGCCAAAAGAGCAGCCACAGCACCCATCTACTCACACAGGTGGACTGATGGCTGATAAATCCCAGCAGGAGCCAAAAGAGGAGCCAAAAGAGCAGCCACCGCACCCGCATGTCCTGGTCCTTTCAGGGCGCCCTGAGGCAGCCAGGACAGAGGTGGAGGTGGCTTAGGGCAGGGGGGAGGGAAGGGGACGGGGACCGGGCCGGATCTGAGTTGGGGAGGGGGAGGGGAGGGGGAGGGGAGGGGGAGGGGAAGGGGGGAAGTAAGGGAAGGGAAAGGAGGAGAAGGGGGCTGTTGGGGAGGAGGAGGAGGAGAAGAAGAAAGGGGTCTGGGAAAGGATCCGGTTCAAATTAAGTTCTCAAGCGCTGGTGGAAGGTTTAGCTACAGGTCACGGAGAAGATCAGGGAAGCAACAGGACAGGCGGGGCAAGGGAGCGTGAGGCTTAGGAGCAATTAGAGGGAGACAAAGGTTCTGCTTTCCACCAAACCTTCTTCGGTCTGGGCCCTCCCTTAGCAACCCTGGGGCTTTAGACTCTCTCTCCACCAATCCCTGATGACCCCGGTGGTGCCTCACAATGGACATTCCAAGTAGCGCCCGCATCATCCCAATGACCCCTCCCCCATCTCAGTCCCCCACGCTCCTCCCAAGGCCAGGTCCTCTCTGGAACCTTCACAAACCTGACTTCTGGTCCTCCCCAACCAGCTCCCTGTCCCTGCTTCTGGGCGCTCCTTCCTTCCTGAGCTCCCAGGGTTCCTCAAGGTCACTTTTGGCGACAAAACATAAAAAACAAATGATGGCAGGATGGCAGGAAGAACCTCATACCCAAGCAGAGTGCCAGGTTGTACAGCCTCCGCTCAGCCATTCATATCCTAAGCAACAAAACATCAGCAGGATGCGGAAGGTCCCGATAGTAAACCATCTCCATCACATCCATGTAGCCATCCGTCCATCAACCTGTATCTCAGGAACAAATGTACATACATTCATTTTAAGCATGCATGGTACATTTACAAAAATTAACCTGACTTATTTTGTTCCAGCAAATCTCAATATATTTGAGAGCAATCAAATCACACAGCATGTTTCTGATCATAAAACTGTGCTAGAAGTCAATGATTAAAAGCTAATTCAAAATTATTATTTGCTTGGAAATTCAAAGTGCCCTTATAAGACATAAACATAAGAAAGAATCCAAAATGAAACAAGATTGCCTTTCAACTCAATGATGAGATCATAACATGGCAATAAAATGTCTCCCTCTGGCCTGGGAATTCCTCTTTGTGGCACAAGGTTGTGTGATCTCAAATCACCCCTAACCCACCTAGACATTTTAACATCCGAAACTGAGTGATGATGTCCTTATCTATGTCATCTTACTGCCCGTGTGTGTGGACTTTAAATTCTGAACCCAAATGAGGGGGAGAAAACCAAGCTGACTTTCATGACTGAGCTCTCAGGGACGTCCAAGGAATCTGTGCATTTCAAGAAACAAAGTTCATCAGCTTCTCTCCTAAGGTATTTGCCCACAATACCCAGAGGGCTTGGCCGCATCATGTGTGATGGGTGGGGAGCTCCAAGCAGGCGGGCAGGACCCAGGGGCCTGGTGACCAGGACAGACCCCCACTGTCCATCACCTTTCCTGGCCCTGTCCTCAGCTAAACTTCCCACAGGCCTTCTGCCCGATCACACAGAGTGTGCCCAAACTCTCTCAGGCCTCTGGCAGCTGAAAACCACTGCTTTAAATCCCTTTACCATTTACTATGACATAAGGTTATTGTAAACAGGAAATATTCTATTGATGCTACAAATGGAAAGCCAATGCCTTTACCATAAATAGAAAAACAACCCTAAGAAACAAGCAAAACAAAAACAAAACAGGGGCTGGGGGTGGTGGCTCACGCCTGTAATCCCAGCACTTTGGGAGGCCGAGGTGGGCAGATCACAAGGTCAGGAGTTCCAGACCAGCCTGGCCAATATGGTGAAACCCTGTCTCTAATAAAATACAAAAATTAGCCGGGTGTGGTGGTGGGCACCTGTAGTCCCACCTACTTGGGAGGCTGAGGCAGGAGAACAGTTTGAACCCGGGAGGCAGAGTCTGCAGTGAGCCGAGATTACACCACTGCACTCCAGCCTAGACGACAGAGCGAGACTCTGTCTCAAAAACAGCAACAACTACAAACAAACAAAAAACAGGATTAACAAAACTATGGAATTCAATTCTATTTATATGCTGCAGCCATGTTCCAGCCCTAGATTTGGCTGGGCATGGTGGCTCACGCCTGTAATCCCAGCACTTTGGGAGGCTGAGGCAGGCGGATCACGAGGTTAGGAGTTCGAGACCAGCCTCACCAACATGCTGAAACCCCGTCTCTACCAAAAATACAAAAATTAGCCAGGCATGGTGGCACACGCCTGTAATCCCAGCTACTCAGGAGGCTGAGGCAGGACAATCCCTTGAACCCGGGAGGCGGAGGTTGCAGTGAGCCGAGATCGTACCATTGCACTCCAGCCTGGGTGACAGAATGGAATGAGACTCTGTCTCAAAAAAAAAAAAAAAAAAAAAGAAGCCCTAGATTTCGGTTGTGTTGGTTGTAAAAGGAGAGACCCAGTAAGTGGGGGTTGTGCCGCAGATTGCTACCCACAATGGACGGGTCACTGAGCAGGTCCGGCCAACTGGGCGTTCCCTCGCTGGAGGGCCAGCACACCAGACTGCAGGTGGCGCGGGTCAGCAAGGTACCAGGGGATGTGTCACACACACAGCCCACCCCCGTCCAGTCACGCACGGACACCCTGGGCTTCCGAGCAAACCTGCTCCCACGTGGTGTGACCACATGGAGCCACAGACACCCAGCAAGGACACGCAGCCCGCACACCCCCGGTACTCCAGACACAGTGACCTGCACCAGGGCTCGAGGTTTCTCTAGGGAACCCACCTCTTAGAATCATCCAGAAACAAGTCACTCTTCACCTGTCCAGCAAAGGCCTGCTGAGAGGTGCACAGTGTCTGGAGTCCAAGCTGCGCCAAGGCGGCAGGACCCCCAGCCCAGCCCAGGACCCCCAGTAGAGCCCTCACCTCAGCGTGGAGGCCTGAGAACGTGAGGAAGGAGCTGTCCAGCACGGACGAGTCCAGGCAGCTGTCGATGTCCAGCACCTACTGCCCGGCAGGTGTGGGGCTCAGGCTCCCAGCCACCTGCAGGACAAGGGCAGTGGTCAGCGGGCGGCAGCTCAGACCTGCTCAGGACAGGGATGAGAAGCCACCTCCTCAGCAGACAGGACAGAGCCCGGTGCCATCTAACAGAATGTCCTAGAATGCTGGATATATGGGACATCTGCACCGTCCGTGATGGCAGCCCCTCGCGACATGTGCCACTGAACACTTGACAGCAGACTGGTGCAGCTAAGGAACAGAGTTTTGAATTTCATTTTTTTTTTTTTTTTAAGATGGAGTCTCGCTCTGTCACCCAGGCAGGAGTGCACTGGCGCAATCTCAGCTCACTGCAACCTCCACCTCCCGCGTTCAGGCGATTGTCCTGGCTCAGCCTCCTGAGTAGCTGGGATTACAGGTGCCTGCCACGATGCCCAGCTAATTTTTTGTATTTTTAGTAGAGACGGGGTTTCACTGTGTTGGCCAGGCTGGTCTTGGAACTCCTGACCTCAAGTGATCTGCCCGCCTCCGCCTCCCAAAGTGCTGGGATTACAGGTGTGAGCCACCACGCCCGGCCAACGTTCCATTGTAATTAACTTAAATACGAGCAGCCACATGTGGCCTCTGGTTCCTGCCACGGACTCGGGAGCAACCCCTCCTGGTCGCGGCTTATGCGCCTTCTCTGTGTGCTGCTGGGGTTAGTTTGCATGTAACCTCTTGAGGACCCCACGTGTGCATTCCTAAGGGGTGCGGCCTCCCGTTTCCGTATGAATGGGAAGAGTTCCCACCTGCTGTATTCTTGGAAAGAGTCTGTGAAGGATTGGTGTTAATTCTTCCTTAACTGCTTAGAAAAATTCTATCGTGAAGGCTCTGAGCCCAAGCTTTTCTTTGTGGGATTTTTTTTTTCTTTTTTTTGGAGATGGAGTCTTGCTCCATTGCCCAGGATGGAGTGCAGTGGCGCAATCTCGGCTCACTGCAAGCTCCGCCTCCTGGGTTCATGCCATTCTCCTGCCTCAGCCTCTCGAGTAGCTGGGACTACAGGCGCCCGCCACCATGCCCAGCTAAGTTTTTGTATTTGTAGTAGAGACAGGGTTTCATTGTGTTGGCCAGGCTGGTCTCGAACTCCTGACCTCAACTGATCTGCCCGCCTCGGCCTCCCAAAGTGTTGGGATTACAGGCGTGAGCCACCGTGCCTGGCCCTTTTTAATGTTTTATATAGATGGGGTCTTGCTATGTTGCCCAGGCTGGTCTCAAACTCCTGGACTCAGATCCGCCCACCTCGGCCTCCTGAAGTGTTGGGATTACAGGCGTGAGCCACCACACCCGGCCCGGCCACTGGGAGGTTTCTAAGGGACTAACTCGGCCTCTTCACTTGCTATAGATGTACTGAGATTTTCTTCTGGAGTGCATTTCGGAAGCGTGCACAGCCGCGTGCTTGCTTCTTCTGAGTTATCTGGCGTGCTGCTGTGCAGTTGTCCGTGGCGTCTGCTTAGCGAAGTGCCCTCGTTCTTTCACGATTCTGGCTTCTGAGTCTTCTCTCTTTCTCCCTGGTCAGTCTAGCTAAGGCTGCTCAAGTGTGTTGACCCTTCCCGAGCAGCCTTTGGTGGACGCCTTTCCCTCTGGCTGCAGCACTGGAAAGTGGCGGCCCTGGGCATGGTGCCGAGGCCCAGGCTCCATTCCCAGTACTCCCGGGTCCCCAGCCCCAGCCCACCTTGCTCCGGGACATCCGGAAGAGAAAGAGGATGGCCAGGTAGACGGGATAGACAACCACGCTGGACACCAGGCCAACAGCGACTGTGTCGACGCTCAGCGGGCTCAGCCTGGACACATGCCCCGTGCTGTGTGGAGGAGAGGAGGCCACACAGGTGAGGCTGAGGGGCAGGAAGGGCTGGGCAGGAAGAGGCTGTCCCGACCCCTACGGCACCCACCTGTAGGCAGAGTCACCAACAGCCCCGTACCACACGGCGTTGGCGCCCAGGAAGAGGCAGATGAGGAGAACGCAGCAGGTGGCCCTCTGGATGCGAGTGAAACAGCTCCGAGGCGGCCGGTCCCATATGGAGAGCCAGATGTGCTTGTCAAAGAAGCCACGCTGCAGCTCAGCCACCAGCAGGCGCCGGAAGCGCAACAGGGCTGCGTGACCTAGAAGGCAGGGAGGGCCGCACTGCAGGAGGCCACGGGGCAGGACCACCCTGCCCAACCTCCCACGGAGTGGGAACACGGAACGAGGCCTTACTCGCGGCCAGCACCTCCTTCTCCACCAGGCCCCCGTTGGCCTCCGTCTCCACCGAAAGCCAGTCATTGACCAGGAAGAAGGTGCTGCGTGCCGTCTGCAGGTCCCTGACGATGATGTGCTGCAGGAACCAGGCAGGGCTGAGCCCTGCAGAGGCGCGGGAGGGAGGTCAGGCTCGCAGGGCGCCCCAATGCGGGGGCAGAGGGGCAGAGCTTGGCAGGGTCCGCACAGACCTTTGTTGTCGTGCCACACTCGGATCTTCCACACGCTACCCAGGCTGTGCGGGGTGGCGATCCGGAAGATGTCCAGACTGTTGCGGTGGAAGGCTCTGTCGCCGTCCAGGTGCCGGTGGCCACTCCGGCTGTCCACCCCATACAGCATGATGCCCACGTGGGCCGTGGTACCTGGAGGGCAAGAGGGAGGGGTGGGAGGCTCGGTCTGCTGCCCAACACGTGTGGCATCCCAGGCAAGTCATCTCAGCTTTGGCCTCCGCGCACTCAAGGAGCCACACAGGCAGTCCCGACTTTGCACGGCTCTGCCATACACGAGGAGCTGCGGTTACTGCAATTTGTCCAATAAACAGCAGGACCTCAAGGACATGATTAAGTTACACGGAAAGAACTGTAACTTGTGACATGCAAACATGGCTGCACACGCCTCAGTCCACACCACAACCAGTGACCCGCGCTGCACACCTGTCCACGCCTCAGTCACGCCACAACCAGTGACCCGCACCACACACCCGTCCCTCAGTTCATGCACAGACTGCGAAGCGTGAAGCTGTGTCACCTCCTCTCCCAGTGACAGACCCAGGTGACAGTATTTTTTTTCTTTTTTTTTTTGAGATGGAGTCTTGCTGTGTCACCCAGGCTGGAGTGCAGTGGCGCAATCTCAGCTCACTGCAAGCTCCGCCTCCCGGGCTCACGCCATTCTCCTGCCTCAGTCTCCCGAGGAGCTGGGACTACAGGTGCCTGCCACCACGCCGGGCTAATTTTTTTGTATTTTTTAGTAGAGACAGGGTTTCACCGTTAGCCAGGATGGTCTCGGTCTCCTGACCCCGTGATTTGCCTGCCTCGGCCTCCCAAAGTGCTCGGATTACAGGTGTGAGCCACCGCGCCCGGCCGACAGTTTTTAAAAGTAGGTAATCAAAAGAACTGGGAAATGAAGATGAAAGCAACACGGAAATAAAAAATGGGAACACAGCCAGGTGTGGTGGCTCACACCTGTCATCCCAGCACTCTGGCAGGCCGAGGCAGGCGGATCACCTGAGGTCAGGAGTTCGCCTGGCTGACATGGTGAAAAATTAACTGGGTGTGGTGGCGTGCACCTGTACTCCCAGCTACTCAGGAGAATCGCTTAAGGGGAATCGCTTAAACCCAGGAGCTGGAAGTTGCTGTGAGCCAAGATCACGCCATTGCACTCCAGCCTGGGCAACAGAGTGAGACTCCGTCTCCAAAAAAAGAAAAACGAAAACAAAAAGGGAATGCCAGAAGGGCAATTCCAATAAAGGAAAATGGAGGTATTGAAGAAACAGCCACGGGGAGGGTGCTGGCACCTCCGTCTGAGAGACGAGCTATGCAGTCAGGATCGCGGGTGGATGCATGGTCTCCCACAGTGGTAGCGATGCTCATGTCACTTGTGGGGCCACGCTACTGTGCAGAACGTGGGCTGCCCACCCTGACTGACTGGCACCTACTTCCAGCTAGGAGCTGTCCTAGTCCTCAGGGACAGTGAGTGCTCACGAGGTCATTCCCAGGATGAACACACGAGCCCTTCACACAGCACTGCAAAAACTGCCTTGTTCTGACGCCTGCGACGAGACTCACTCCCAGAGGGTGCAACCAGCACAGCCAGTGAGAGCAGGGGAGGCCCTGCCACCCCGCCGCGCCCCTCACCTGAGCCCCGGCCCCAGCCTGTCTTGACGAGGATCTCGTACTTGAAGCGGCCCCGCTGCCCACAGAAGGGGATGGCGCAGCCCCGGCTGGCATCCAACTGGTCCAGCTTGTGCAGGATGGCGGCCATGACCATGTAGGTCACCAGGCACACAGCACATGTCAGCATGACGATGTAGTTTACATCCGCTGTCGGCTCCTGTGAAGACACAGCCGCCGGGCCCAGGAGGTCACGTGCAAGCTGTGCCTTCTCAGGATAGAGCCGAGCCCACCCAGGCCCTCCTCGACTCTGCAGAGGCTCCCAGGAGCACAGGGTCACTCACAGGAAACACAAAGCGTACATGGCTTGGGGGCATGAAGAGGCTGGTGCCGAAGGCGGTGAGGTGGCGGGTGAGGCAGACGGCCTGGCGGGGCGAGGTCTCCTCCAGGGGCAGCAGCCCCTCTGTCCGCCACACCACATCCTCCTCGCTGAAGTACTGGCACAGGGACGTGTACAAGCCCACGGACACCTCCAGCGCCGACCAGCGGAAGTGGCTGGAGAGGTTCAGACGGTAACTCCCCACTGGGTCTCTGGTCCTGGGAAGGGAAGGGGCAGTGGACGTGAGCCCAGGCTCCGCCAGGTTGGATGTCGGAGTCCCAGAGCCCATACCCGGTCCAGTCCCCTCGCTGCCTGCCGTCCCCACGGGGCCCGTAACCCGGGCAATGCTGACCCATGATGCCCTGCCCTGCCCTGCCAGGCCGGCCCACAGAGCTCACCCCGGGGAAATGAAGAAGGTGTAGGGCCGGTGGTCGGCACCCTGGAGGGACTCTGGGCGGATCCTCCTGCTAGCCGAGCAGTTGCGCTCATTGGGCCGGGGCTCCGAGTGCAGGTAGACTGCCAGGTAGGGCTCGGGTTCCTCAGACAGGTAGCGGCCTGGGGCAGAACGCGCAGGTCACACGCCTGCCGGGAAGCTCAACCACCCGGGGGACACCCACGATGGCCCTCCTGAGCCCACCCTCTGCCACGGGCCTGAAAGGCCATAGGAGCCTCTGCACCAGAGCTGGCACCTGCTTCTCCGTGGCCCCCAGCTCCTCTCCGGCCAGGCCCCCAACAGCCCATGAAACAGCAAATTTCACCAGAGACACCCATGGAAGCCCTACGAGAAACGCCTTCCCCCCAAGAACAAGGCCAGGGGGCCGCGTGTGCCCCACCCGCTGCACACACCGTCCAGCAGCGTATAGTTGAGCTGCAGATGCAGCACGGCCACAGGGTTGCTGCTGTCCAGGGTGACCACAGCACCGACGGAGGCCTGGGGCTGGACCACAACGGAGTTGGCGGAGCTGCAGTGGCCCCGGGCAGCCCAGTCCGAGTTGTTGGGCACCTTCACGGTGATGGCGCGCTCTGAGGCCAGCCGCTCGATGGGGATCTGGGCGCCGGCCTGTGTCTGGAACGCCATCGAGGCCACCTTGGTGGAGACGGTGTAGTTGCTGATATAGCCAAAGAGAAAGGGATTGGAGTCCACCAGAAAGACGAGCTGCACCACGTCACTGAGGTTGGCCGGGGCCCTGCTGAAAGCCTAGGGGATGGAGAGGTGGCAGCCAGGCCCTGGGGCGCCGCCATAGCACAGCAGGCTCCGCGGGTCCGAGCGCTTGCCCTGGGCCATGATCTCCTCGCCCGCCAGCGTCACGGGCTCCTCGTTGAGCACGCGGGAGCGCGTGAGGATGCGCATGAGGGCAGAGGTCAGGTTGTAGGCCTGGGACGCCACCATCCGCAATGGTGACTCGGCTCCCAGCTCTGAGCGCTGCGGTGCCCGCACGTCTGAGCTGGCCAGGTGGATGAGGTCTCCTGCAGACAGGCGTGAGGTCAGTGCAGAGACAGGGAGGCAGAGGGAGGGTGGGGGCAGGCAAAAAGGGGGAGCTGGAGGGTGGGGGCTGGGAGAAAGGGGGAACCTGAGGGGGCAGAGAGCGAGGTGCAGGCAGAAGGAAGAGGGAAGCTGGAGAGAGAGTGGTGGAGGGGGAGGGGGAAGGGGATGGGGATGAGGACGAAGATGAGGGGGATGATGGGGAGAGGGAGGAAAAAGGAAGGAAAAGGGTAGAGAAAAGAGAAAGGGGAGAAGAGGAGGAGCAGGGGGAAAGGGAGGGGAAGGGGATAAGGGGGATAAGGGAGGGGAAGGAGGATAAGGGGGATAAGGGAGGGGAAGGGGGATAAGGGAGGGGAAGGAGGATAAGGGGGATAAGAAAGATGAGGGGAATGGACAAAAGGACGGGGAGGATCGGGGGGGAAATGGAGAAAAGGGGAGAGAGATGGAGAAAAGGGATGGTAATAGGGAAGGGGGAGGGGGAGGAGAATGGGAATTGGGGGAGGGGGATAAGGATGGGAATTGGGGGAGGGGGATAAGGATGGGAATTGGGGGAGGGGGATAAGGATGGGAATTGGGGGAGCGGGATGAGGATGGGAATTGGGGGAGCGGGATGAGGATGGGAATTGGGGGAGGGGGATGAGGATGGGAATTGGGGGAGCGGGATGAGGATGGGAATTGGGGGAGGGGGATGAGGATGGGAATTGGGGGGAGGGGAGGGGGACGAAGATGGGATGGGGCAAAGGCGAGGCGGTTGTGGGGAGGAGGGAGGCAGAGGAAAGGGCGGCATGGGGCGGACGGGCCACGTGGGGCGGGCGGGTGGCGTGGGGCACGGGCCGCGGCACCTGTGATGTTGAGGATGCTGTCTCCGATGGCGGTGGGCGTCACGGTGCCCGCGGTGGTCTCTGCCTGCAGGATGCGCATCATGGCCTCCAGCTTGTGCAGCGTCTGCTTCAGGCACGAGCGGCATACGAGCTCCCTGCTGGGCCCCTGTGTGGAGCCAGCAGTGTCCAGCCCCGCTCCTGGCCCCACTCCTTGCACACGCCCTCCTCTCTACACGGGTCCTCACCTGGCTCCCACCCCCAGCCCTGCAGCTGGAGAGCCCACTTGACTGGACCCCCACAGCCTCCTCACTAAGCATTTTTTGTGGCTCTGCATGACCCAGGGCCTCCACCTGGGGAACACGTGATGCAGCCCACTGACCACACAAGGCACCTCTTCACATGAGAGAAGGAGGAGGGCAGAAGGGAGAGAGGAGAGGGAAGTGGAGAAAAGGGGGGAGAGGAGAGGGAAGGAGAGAGAAGGGGGAGAGGAGAGGGGAGGGGAGAGAAGGGGGGAGAGGAGAGGGGAGGGGAGAGAAGGGGGGAGAGGAGAGGGGAGGGGAGAGAAGGGGGGAGAGGAGAGGGGAGGGGAGAGAAGGGGGAGAGGAGAGGGGAGGGAAGGGGGAGAGGAGAGGGGAGGGGAGAGAAGGGGGAGAGGAGAGGGGAGGGGAGAGAAGGGGGGAGGGGAGAGAAGGGGGGAGGGGAGAGAAGGGGGGAGGGGAGAGAAGGGGGAGGGGAGAGAAGGGGGAGAGGGGAAGGGAGAGAAGGCAGAGAGAAGGGGGAGAGGGGAGGGGAGAGAAGGGGGAGAGAGGTGAGGGGAGAGAAGGGGGAGAGAAGGGGGAGAGGGGAGGGGAGAGAAGGGGGAGAAAGGAGAGGGAAGAGGAGGGGAGGGGAAGAGGGGAGGGAAGAGGAGGGGAGGGGAAGAGGAGGGGAGGGGAAGAAGAGGGGAGGGGAAGAGGAGAGGGAAGAGGAGGGGAGAAGAGGAGGGGAGGGGAGGAGATGAGGGAAATAGGAAGGGAGGGAAGGAGGATAGGGAAAGAGGAGGGGAGAGGAAGAAGGGAGGGAAGAGGTGGGGAGAGGAAGAGGGGAGGGAAGGGGTTGGGAGAGGAAGAGGGGAGGGAAGAGGTGGGGAGAGGAAGAGGGGAGGGAAGACGTGGGGAGAGGAAGAGAGGAGGGAAGATGTGGGGAGAGGAAGAGGGGAGGGAAGAGGTGGGGAGAGGAAGAGGGAAGGGGCGCGCCGGGGAGCGGAAGAGGAGGGAAGGGAAAGAGGAGGAGAGCGACACGAAGAGGAGTAGATAGGCTAAGAGGGATCAGGCGAGGCAGGGTCTGGGAGAGGGGAGGAGGGGAAGGGCTAGAGGAGGGGAGGGGCTAGAGGAGGAGGCAGGGGCTAGGTGAGGGGGGAGGGGCTAGGGGAGGGAAGGGGGAGGGGAGGGGTTAGGGGAGGGAAGGGGAGGGGAGGGGCTAGGGGAGGGAAGGGGGAGGGGAGGGGAGAGTGGAGGGCACAGAGCAGCATCTTCTTAGTCCCTCCCCACATCTGGGCCCCTCTTTACACCCTGGGTCCCCCGAGAGGCACCCTGCGTTCACACAGGACAGCAGAAAGGCTGAGGCTACTGAAGCAGGTCAGAGACCGAGGAACGCCACGGCAGGAAGGAGCCCAGGCTGGAGGCTCAGCTCCTCGGCCAAGCTGCCCGTCTGCCCTGGGGGGCTGAACCCAGTACCCTGGCAGGCATGCGGGGCGGGGTGAGCATGTGGGGCCATCCTACCATGCACTGGGCCAGCGCAGCAGCGATCTGCTGGATGTCATCCACAGTGTGGACCCTCAGGGACACCAGAGTCTCCGTGATGTTCTTGCGTATCTGGGCTCGGCGCTGCCGCTCGTGCTTGGGCTCTGCCGCCACGTCCAGGGCCCGCTCGTACTGGGGCAGGCAGGGGGCACAGCAAGCTGTCAGCAGGGCAGGAGGCCGGCAGGAGGCCAGCAGATGCCCACGACTCCCGGGGTGCAGTTACGTGCTAGATGCTGTGTGATGTGGGCACTGACCCGCAACACTGAGCTGTTTCTTCATGGGCAAAACAGGGTAAGCACATGGGCCCTCCTGGGCGGGGGCTGCATTGTGGAAAGCAGACGCCGGAGAGGGCCTGGTGGGTGTGGCTGCTGGGAGCGGAACGTCGGGGTGCTGCTTCAGGGTCACTGGGATTTATCTCTGGGGCCCGGGATGAGCCCTCCGCAAAGCTCCAGGCAGGGGAACAGGTCTTGGTCCCCAGCACGCATGCAGCAGATGTGAGGTCCCCTCCCAGGCTGCACTCACCTCGTTCAGCACAGTGACCAGGGCCAGCGAGTACTCGATGACGTGCTGGGGATCGGCCTGCCGCAGCAGCCCCGGGAGCACACTAGCGGTGAGCCGGTGCAGCCAGACTGTGAGCCCCATTGCGCTGCCGTTGGGCTCTGGGAGGGTGATGGCCAAAGACCTACGAGCAGAGGGGGGTGGTGAGCAGGTGGCAGTCTCGGGGGCGCCCTCCCACGGCCTGGCTCACCTGTTGAGGGCGACCACAGCGGCTCCCAGCTGGTCCTGCACCACCACGGCCAGGCCCACCTCGAAGTGTGGCCTGAAACCCGGGGGCAGCACGGCTCCGTAGCCGGAGAGGCTGCCCTTGTAGACACAGAACTCCTCGCAGTGGCCCTGGCGACAGCGCTGCAGCAGCAGGGCGTACACCAGCGGGGCGCCAGCATCCTCCGCGTCATGCCAGCCTGAGGGACGGTCCCCACGGCATCACAGGAGGGCTCCGTGACCTCACAGAGTCGGGGGATCCCGCTGCTCCCCCTACGCAGGCCTGCACTCACCCATGCATTCGAAGTGCACCTTGGTGGTGAGAGCGTGCACAGCGCCCAGTGGGAAGAGGCAGCAAGAGCCCCCCAGCGGCGGGCGGTTGGGGGACAGGGGGATGGAGGCGCAGCCCTCCTCCTCGCCAGAGCGGCCCAGCACCGTCAGCGTGAAGGTGTATCCCTCGCCGTCCCGCAGCACGCCCCGCCGCAGCACCAGTCACATGCCTGCGCTGCCCGTGGATGTGGTGGTCTCATCCAGCACCAGCGTCTTGTTGCTGAACGTACGTGCAGCCCACCGCTGCAGGCAGAAGGGATGGTGAGGGGGCGCAACCCTCTGCCCTGTCAGCCCCACTTCTGCCTGCAGGCCCCGTCCCCTCGGCCATGGGACCCATCCCCAACCCGCCCACACCCCGCTCAACACTCACCCCTCGCTTGGAGCCGCTGCTGCAATTGAGGCAGCGGCCCTCCAGGTACACGTAGGAGCTGCGGCTCACTTCGTACACGGCCTGTGCCTTGCAGGACACACACTCCAAGGACACAATGGGCACCCGGCCACTGCGGATCAGCACCTGGCGTGGGAGTGGGGTTACCTCCAACACAGGTCTATTTGGCCTGCTGGAAGGTCTGGGGGACCCGTGGAGGATGCTGCTCCCAAACTCCAGGTTTCCCAGGGGCCTGGCCACTGCCGGTGAGCTCACCCCCTCCCAGGATACTCATCCGGTTTGCCACCTTCCAACCTGGGCGGCGGAAGGGCATACACAGGGCAGAGGACACTGGGGTGTGCGTTCTGGTGTACTGGACCCAGCTGGACCCTGGCAGGAGGCAGGCAATGCTCACTGAGGGCCCCTGGGGGGATGCGTGTGGGAACAGACGTATGTGTGGGTGTGAGGACCGCAGTTGCCACGTAGGCCTGACTCACAGACTCCTGCAGCCCTTAGCCAGGGCCTGGGTCAGGAGGCTGAGCCGGGATGGAACCTGCTCCCACACCCTCCCCTCAGACGACCCCTCTGGGCAGACCCCCAATCAGGCCCGTTGAGGAAAGCAGGGACTGGGGAACAGACACCCACTCTGGGGCACCAGCAGGCCCCGCCTGACAGCAGCAGGAGCAGCCACCACGGGCTCAGGGTCACCAAGCCTCCTGGCCGGTCCAGAGTGGGGAGCATGAGGGTGAGAACCGGCCCACCACATCCAGCAACAGGGACATGGGCTGGGGACAGTGGCTGCCTCTGGGGTGGGAAGGGGCTCTTCCTCACTGTTGGTATTGCTGGGGGACTGTGTAGCTTTTGTCACTAGAGCATATGTGGCTTGAAGACTGTATGTGGAACTGTGGCAGGTTTGGAAGGAAGCAAAGCTGAAGCAGGCTGTCGTGTTACATAGAATTTGCATCAGAAACAGAGAGGGGAGAGCGCGCGGCCTCCACCAGCACTAAAACACGGAAAACAGTAGATGAGCAGGGAGGCTGGGCTGTCCAAGGCAAGTGGCCGAGGGGCGGGCGGCACCCACCGTCTGGTTGGTGGCCTCCTCCTTGCGGCCGGCCTTCCACACGGTGAGGCTGAAGGTGTACTCCACGCCAGCTGCCAGCCGTTCCCGTGGAATGGTGACCGTGCTGCTCCCGCGGGGCCCAAAGTTCAGCGCACACCCGCCAGCCTCCCTCTGCAGGCCGAGAACAAGGGGCGACGTGGCCCGAGAACCCCATCCAGTTTTAAAGCAGAGCCCGGCCCAGGAGACAGCGCGGGAGACCCCCTCCCCATGCTGGGACGGGGCCCACCAGGCACTGAGGACGGGCCAGCCCTGGTGGCAAGCTGGGTGTTCTCTGGGCTCATGGGTGTGGACGGGTGAGGGGCAGGGAGGACGGCCCTGCCACGCACTGACCTGTGTCGAAGCCACACAGGCCCACTGGAAACTGAGCGGCGTCTGGTCGCCGTCCTCCAGGTTGGGGTCGTAGGACTCGCTCCCATCCAGCACCAGGTCCTGTGTGTCTGACCACACGCGGTAGGAGCCACCCTCAGTGATGGGCACCAGGCGCTCGGGGGCCACCGTCACATTGGCCTGGATGCTCCGTGCCAGTGGCGTGTCCCCAAATGACACGACAAACACAAAGCAGTAGTGCCCCACAGGCAGCGCCAGCCGCGGCAGCACCAGCTGAGGCCGGCTCACGTCCACGCCGGGCAGGGCCACACGCGCCGGGCACCCCGGCCGCTGGCAGCTGGCGGTGCGGTACACCTCCCAGCGGTACTCAGTCTGGTAGGTGACACAGTCGCGCAGGTCAACGTAGGCATCCAGGCAGTTGCGCTGTGATCGTCGCATCAGCACCTGCAGGGGCAGGACCACGTCCACCTCCGGCTCCCGGCAGGCCAGCACCTGGACGGTCACCGTGGCCTGCGCCACGAAAAAGCTCACCAGGTTGGAGGCGTTCACCTGCACGCGGTAGTCCCCAGGCCTCAGGTAGGAGTGCTCGGCCCTGGGCTTATCTGTGTCCTGCCCTGGGGACCCATCCCCAAAGTCCCAGTGGTAGGCCACGCGCCGGGGGCTGGGGCTGGTGGCGGCCTCAAACTGCGCCAAGCGGTTGGTGAAGCAGGGGCCGCTCCGCAGGGCCACATACTGGACGGCGTCCTGAACCTCCAGCACCAGCGTGCGGTTCTCACTGCCCAGGGCGTTGAAGGCACGCACCTGGATCTCCAACAGCCCCGCGGCCACGGCGTGTAGGTGACGTCGCGGCCCGACAGGATGAACAGAGAGTCGCCCCGGACCTTCTGCAGCGAGAAGTACCAGGCGTAGGCGACCCGAGAGCCGCGCTGCACGCGGGCTGTGAAGTTCCTCTCAGTGCCCATGGCGATGCCAGGCTCACAGCAGTTGGGCACCTGCAGCCCGCTCACGGCCTCCAGCACCACGATGCGCACCTGCGCCTGGGCCCAGCTCACGTGGTTTTTGCCCTGCACGCTCACCACGTGGTCTCCGATGCGGGGGAAGCTGTGGGAGAAACGGGGCCCAGGGAGCACTTCGGGGCTGGCCCCGCCGACCTGCAGGCGGAAGGTGACAGCTGAGCCGGCAGCCAGCAGGATCTGAAAATGGACAAGCTGCCCGGGCGCCACCACCTTGCTGCTGGCCCACAGCACCAGGCCCACGATGGGCTCCTCCACCGTGAGGTTGTACGTGGCTGAGACCCAGCTGACTGCGTTGGAGGCATTGAGCCGGATGTTGAAGGTGCCAGCATCCGGGAAGACCATGGTGACATGAGGGCCACGCTTGCTGCTGCCGCCGGGCACAGCCCAGCACCAGCTCACATTGGTGCCCGTGGCCAGCTGCCCCCAAAAGGGCACAGAGGACCCGGCCGCCACGAAGCTGCCTCCCGGCTCGCTGGCCCTGATGCTGAGGCCACTCACAGGCACCTGCACATCCACTTCCACGGTGGCGTTGGCTGAGCCCAGCGGGTTCCCTGCCGTCATGGTGACCAAGTGCAGGCCGGGTGTGGGGAAGCTGTGGGTGGTAAATGGCTCGGGGGTCTCCCAGCTCAGCCCCTCCTCCAAGGACCAAGTGTATACGACACCACTGCCACCAGCCAGCTCGGCACTGAGGGTGACACTTGTGTTGACGGCAGCTGGGTTCGGGGAGGCGGCCACCATCAGCCACCCCACAGGCTCCACGAAGTCCACGGTGCAGTCAGCCCAGGCGCTGCCCAGCATGTTGGTGGCCCGCAGCTGCACATGGTAGGTGCCGGCCTCGAGCGCAGTGAGCGAGAAGCCTTTGCCGCTGCCGGCCAGGGCCGGGCCCCTGTCCCTCCAGGCAGTCCAGCTGTAGATGTTGGTGCCATCCCTGACCACGGCCTGCAGCTGTACCGTGTGGTTGGTGGGGAAGTAGCGGCCACCGCCCACCACCTGCAGCCCCTCTATGAGCTGCAGGACATAGACGAAGATGCTGTCCTGGGCGGAGCCCACCTCGTTCTCAGCTGTGACGATGATATTGAAGGTGCCCACGGAGCGGAAGGTGTAAAGAGATGGCAGGACCCCCAGAGATGGGCGTGCAGCGGTCACAGAGCACCCAGGAATAGCGCACATCACTGCCGGCCTCCAGCGAGGTGCTGAAGCTCATGCTCCCATTCAGGGGCACCACCGTGCAGCTGGCATTGACGATGAGCCCCCGCACGCGCCGCTTCACCGTCACATTGAGCCAGGCCTCGCTGCGGCTCACCTCATTGCAGCCGGCCACCCTAACGGTGAAGTCACCTGTGCTGTTGTAAGCGTGGGTGACCTCCGGACCCTCGAGCCGCCCACCGTCCCCCAGATCCCACAGGTAGCTGGCGGGGCGCCCACGGCCCACAGCAGAGAACAGGTACGGCTACTGCAGCTCCAGCCCAAGGGAGCCATTGACCTTGATGCTGGTGACCAGCACGGGCTCCTGCACCTCCACCAGGGCTGAGTCATTGGCAGCGGAGATGTTGTTGGACGCGGTGACTGTCACAAGATAGGAGCCTGGGTCTCGGTAGATGAACGTCACCTCAGGGCCCCCGACACGGGCGGGGACGGCTTCTTCGGTGCCAAAGTCCCAGGTGTAGCGGTAGGGGAACGGGGGCCAGGCACATGCCACCAGCCGGGCCTCGTCCCCGAGCTGCACAAACTGCCTCTCTGGCTGCAGGGTGACGTTGCCCACCTCTGGCTCCACGCAGATGCTGGTGAAGTAACGCGCCCTGTTCACGCGGCTGGACAGCACCAGCGCCAGGGGGAACGTGCCGCTACGCGTGAAGTTGTGTGTCACCGTCGGGCACCCCCGCATGGTCGTGTTGGAGGAGCCATCCCCAAAGGTCCAGTCGAAGAGGTAGCGGGCCGGGTTCCCGGTGACGTAGGCCGTGAGCCGCGCGTCAGGCTGAGTGGGGATGCAGGCGGCGGGCTCGACGCGCAGCACCTCCAGGACGAAGACCAGCACGTGCAGGCTCCGGGCCAGGTGGCCGGCGGGGCTGGCCGCACCCACGGTCACTGTGCAGTTCTGTGCCCGCAGGTACACATGCTCCACTGTGGCCTCTGGGCCCGACAGCACGGTGCCGTCCCCCATGTCGAAGGTCCACGTGATGTTGTCGCCCGTCTGCACCGCGGCACTGACCACCACGGGGGCGCCCTGCTCCACGGCCAGGCTCATGTCCACGCTGAGCCCGCGGAGCTCCTCAAAGACGCGCACATCCGCCTGGGCCGCCGCACCGCTCACCGTGTTGTTGACCTCCAGGCGCACGTGGTAGATGCCCCTCGAGGGATAGGTGTGGTTGGCAGCCGGCTGGCTCTGGGTCAGGACAGGGGAGCCGTCCCCGAAGTCCCACGTGTAAAGAACACCCCCAGGCGAGGGCAGCAGATGCGGGTAGAAGGTGACGGGCCGGCCGGCCACCAGGACGCCGTCACTCACACCCACAGCCTCGGAGGGCAGGGAGGCGCGCACGCTCACAGGCACCTGCTGCGTCCGGTTCTCGAAGGCATTAGATGCCAGCACGGTCAGGACGTACTCACCTGTGGGGACAGGCCCAAGTGGGGCAGCCGCGGCACCCCCACCTGCTCCCCACCCGCTCGGCAGAAGCCCCCCGCCTGAGGAGCCCGGGGTGAACGGCTGCACCTGCGGCCCAGCCTTAAGGGTCCCAGGCTCCCAAGCCACGTGCGGGACGGAGCACAGGTGCAGCAGCACTGAGGGCTGCCTGGTGAGGACGGCACCGCCTCCAAGTGCAGCTGCACTCGGGGCAGCAGAGCAGCAAGAACCAGGCCGCGGCGGGGGGCAGTTCAGGGGGCCCAGCTTCCCTGTCCACTCCCCCCACGCCTGGCCCCTCCCTCACCCCAGTAGGGACCTAAGCCATCAGCCCAGGTGAGGTCACAGTGAGGGCTGTTGGGGAGGAAGGGGGGCAGCTTGACTGGGGGACTGGGGGTGCCCCGTGCTCAGAGCCTGAAAGGCAGTGGCCCCCTCACCCCCTCATCCCTCACCTGGGGCAGCGTAGGTGTGGGTGACATTGTGCTCCACCAGCACCTGGGCCACCGAGGGGTCTGGAACCGGGAAGGACTCGTTGTACGGAGGCTGGAACTGGTGGAGGGCCTGCTCCCCATCCCCAAAGGTCCACCTGCCGGGGCGGTGGGAGGCAGTGAGTGAACCGGGACAGGGGTGCGCAGTGGCGGGGCACAGGTGCGCGGTGGGGGGGCAGGGGGTGCTTGGGACCCAGCTGAGGCTCCACTCTGCAGTCACGCCCCGGGCCTCCATTCAGGGCCCACCCGGCTGTGCTGAGGCCTCTCCCGGCTCCCGTGCAGCCTCAGGGCTCCTGTGCACCCAGTACCTCCCAACAGATAGGGAAACCGAGGCTCAGAAAAGCAACCCCCTGATGTGGGGTCCCTCGGCTGAGGCTGGGGCCGGGACAAGAGCCTGGTGCCCACCCCAAACCGGCCCCCGAGTCACTCACAGGAAGGCCACCTCCACGGCCGAGTCCACCAGCACGCCCGCCGTCAGTGCCAGCGTGGCATTGGGGGACAGCACGGCCGGCACTGTGGAGACCCGCAGGCCCTGCATCCTGTTCATCCGCTCCACGGTGATGTTGTAGTTCACGGTGACGTTGCTCACGTGGTTGGAGGCCGTCAGCTGCAGGGATAGGCATCAGTGGGCCCAGGTGGCAGGTGAGAGGCCTGGCCCTGCTTAGCGTCCCTCCCTCCACTCACCCACAGCCATGGCAGCGTCCTCGGGCAGCATGAAGCAGAGGTGAAGGTGGAGCCCGCCCCGCCCCACCCCATCCCCTCCCCTCCCCACCCCCGCCCACCTACTGAGAGCTTGAAGACCGCCGCGCTCTGATAAATGACATTGAAGACCACGTTCTGGAAGGTCAGGGACTGCTTGTCGTTGATGGTCCACCGGAAGACCATGTCCGAGCCGGCCTCCACCACGGGGCTGTACCTCTGCGGGGGGACTGGTGTCAGCCTGGGCTCTGTGGAGGACTCTGCCCTTAGCCTGTCGCCTCCTGGACACACCTCCCGTCAGGCTGGAGAGTCCCACGCGGGGCACAGAGGAGAGGAGGTGGCCGGGGCTCTGCATGCCATGGGAGCCAAGCCCGGGCTGGGACACTGACTGTCCGGCTCTCCAGCCAGCCATGTAGTACTACTAATGCCTCAACCTCTCTGTGCCTCAGTTTCCCCATCTGTAAAGCAAACCTAGTACCAGCTACAAAGAGTCCACCTCTCTCTGAGTCTTCTCAGACCCTCCCGGGGCTCCTGCCCCAGCTCCTCAGCCAGAGAGCTCGGAGCAGTGAGGGGAGGCACACGGGCCTCACAGGGACAGCACCTACACTGGCTTACAGAACCCAGGACAGGCTGCACAGGTCACGCCATTTCTGATGGCCCCTCCCAAGGCCCCTGGTGAAGGGGCAGGTACCCGCAAGACGGAGACAGCCCTGTCCCCCATGTACCCAGCATGGTGGCACCGCGGGCAGCCCGCAGTTTCCCATCAGGGGTTCAGACTCCACCTCAAAAGCCACTCGCTTTAGCCAGGTGAGAACACAGCAGAGGGCGTGAGAGACTCACGGGGGCTCGTGTGAGGTCAGGGAGCGGAGTTTTAAATTCATTTCATGAAATGAGACGGTGGAATGAGTTAGCGGAGCCGCTGTCAGAGCCGTGACTTTCCAGGAATTTAAAGCCCACCAGGTAGCCTGAGGAGCCAGCCAGCAGGACCTGCCCGGGGCCGACGTCCCCAGTAACTGGGCTGCTGCCCTCACTGGGAAGCCAGGCCTCACGCCCTGTGTGAGCACCCTGTCTGCAGGCACCTGCCTGGGGGCTGGTGGTGGAGCCTCGGCCATACTCACCACTGGGACTCCCTGCAGTACACGGGCCTCGGGGCTGGGCGTGGCGCGGAGGCCACAGATGGGCTCCTCCGCCGTCACCCGCAGGCTGAGGTTGGCCCGGCTGGCGCTGTTTTCCACCACAACGTCCATCACGTGCTCCCCCTCACCGAGCCACGGCAGTGCTACCACTGAGAACAGGGTATCATTGGTCTCCCAGGGGCAGCCGGGCACGAAGGTGGCCACCAGGGCAGGGCAGGCATTCTCAAAGCGGGCGCTGACACTGCCCCCAGGCCAGCGAGCCGTGGCCGTGGCGCTGGCACCAGAGTCCACCTGGAGCACCGAGGCTGAGCCGTTGGTGGGCACGTAGAGGCGGCCGTCGCGGGGGGCAGGGTAGATGACCCGCAGCCCAGCCACTGGGGAGACCACGTCAAAGCTGCAGGACAGGTTGTGCCTGGACACGCCATTGCCCACCTCTGCCCGGACCTCATAGCGCCCAGGCAGCCGCAGCCCAGGGTTGGGCCTCAGGCCCAGCAGCACGGTGAGCTGTTCCGTGGCTGCAAGCAGCCGCAGGGCACAGGCAGGGCAGGCCCAAGTGCCCTCCAGCTGGGCTGGCAAGTGGGGCAGCCATGACGAGGCGTTGGCGGAGAGGTACGGGGCCTGGGGACCAGGGTGGCCGGGAGCCGGCGAGCAGTGCGGGAGGGCGCCAGGGCCAGCGTCGTGCTGCAAGCCAACGAGGTCACCAGGGAGCATGAGGACATCCTGGCCGTGGAGGGTGACCTGTGGAGAGGGAGGCAGGGCTGCATCACGTCCTCACGGTCATGGCCCGTGGACCCCTGCACGACGGATGAGGGTGGACACGCAGGGCTCCCCGCTTCGTCAGCCACACCTCAGGGAGCCTCCCCACAGTGCTCGTGACAAGGACAGGCAGGACAGTTGCAGACAGGGGGACACACGGGGAGAGGACACAGGCCAAGACCTGGCAGACAGGAAGGAGCGGCTGTGCTGGGAGAGAGGAAGAGGAGGCACAGCTCGTGCCAAGGGCCCAGGCGAGAGCTTCTCCCACTGGGAGAGGGGCAAGGGCACTGCAGAGGTCGGAGGTTGGAGGTCGGAGGTCGGAGGTCAGAGGTGGCAAGGACGTGGGAGGGGCCTGCAGGCTGGGTGTGTCTGCTGCGCAGACCCAGACCCTGGGCAGCAGACAGGAAGGTGGCCTGAGGAGATGCAGGGAACAGACCCAGGTCAGGGCCACACACCGAGTACTGCGCGGGGGGCCCCGCGGGAACGGAGAAGAGGAACTCTCTCCATAGCGCATAGGGGGCCCCGAGTAGCCCTGGCCCCTGACGTGCAGCCATTGGCGCAGGCCTGGGGTGGCAGGAGGCGTCCAGCGGCAAGCAGATGTTGGCTCCAGGGCACCAGCGTCCCCCTGGCATGCACGCGGGGGCCAGCTGGGTCCTGTTGTCCGGGGACCTGCTCTCAGGCTCGCTGCCGTTCTCCGGGGTCCCTGCGAGGAGGGGAGGGTGTTGGGGCCCTCATTCGCCCACGGGCCACCGTCAGAGATGCCCAACTGCCTGCACCAGCGAGCCTGGCCTTGCTGTGAGGACAGGTCTCCCCGCCCGGGCAGCACTCCCAGCCCAGTGCTGCGTCCCTGTCTCCGGCCAGCTGACTGACCCAGGCCGGTCCCCAGGCAGGCCCCACCCGATCCACCCCCAGGACACCTGGAATGAGCTGGTGTCTCTGGAACCCCTGCTCTGTCCACCTAAGACTGGGAACCACTCTGATGGCCACAGGACCAGCAGACGTGAGAGCTCAGAGAGGCCACCCCGAGTCCTGCGGCGCCCACCACCCCAGAGTCCCACCTGCTGTGCTGAGGAGCCGGTACACCTGCAGCCGCAGCTGGGCGGGCCGCCGGAGCTCCTGGGTCCCAAATTCGGCCGTGGTGAGGAAGGCTTCACGGCTCAGACGCAGGCCCGGGAATACCATGACCTGGTGGGCAGGGGGCCGCCTCAGCTCCACAGACCCCATCCCAGCCTGAAGCCCAGACTCCCCCCACCCGAACTTCGCAGGAAGAGGGGAGGGAAGGAGAGCGAGCCATCGGACCCCCACAGGCCTGGCTCCTGTCGCTCGAGAGGAAGACTCCGATGGAAACTGTCCATGGGGGGCAGGACCCCTGACCTGCCTTTCAGGAATAACTCACCCACACTCAGAGAAAAGGGGGTAATGTGAGTAAACGCTTTCCTCTCTGCACTCTGGATTTTCCCAACCATCTTCACTGGGCACAAGCAACATTAAGGCCCCCAAGTTTTTTGGGGAGACCCACAGTGGGCAGGGCAGGCGAGGCCTCCAGGGGCAGGCAGGAGGGCAGGTTTTAGAACGTGGGGGGCCGACTACCTCCACGGGCTCATGCGGGGCTGAGAGGCCGTACTGCCGTGCCAGAGGCATCAGGGGTCCCTGCAGGTCCCCACTGGGCGCTCCCACGAGGAGGTTCTCGGCATCCTGCACTGGGCCTGGGGTGGCAAGTGCACAGTGAGGCGCCGGGCCAGGGCCCAGGACACCAGGACGAACAGACTGGGGACCGAGCCGCCCGAGAACCCCCCCACCAGCCCCTCCTCCTCAGCCCAGGCTCCACCGCGGGCGCTCGGCAGGCCCCTAACCACAGCCAGCGTCTCAGGCCCCTGCCTGGCCCCTCGCACACCTCCAGGCCGCAGCTCGCAGACGTAGCTGTGCGGCGCTGAGCACAGGTCGGTGTTACACCACCCGGTGGGCCCGAGCCGGACGCAGTGCTCGGCTGTGGCTGGGTGTGGCTCCCCGGGCAGCCAGTTCTGGCAGCTCTCCAGGCTGAAGGCCTCGCCCTGCGGCGCTGGGCCCACCTCCACCCCCTGCACAGTCGAGAAGCCGATCCACATGTCTAGGCTCCTGGGGGCGGGTGTGGGATGGCAGGGGGCTCAGGGCACTCCTCCATCCTCCCACCCTCACAGCAGCCCACTGGGAGCCCCGTCACTGTCCCCCTTTCCAGATGGGGAAACTGAGGCTCAGAGCCCGGAGAGCAGGGCCCACCAGCCCAGGCTCACAGCAGCACCCACCCACGAGGCCTGTGGGCACTGGCAGGGATCCCCGTGCAGGCCACCTCCCGTATGGCGTGCCCAGGAGTGTCCGGAGGCTGCCCCCAGCTCGTGTCCACCTCTGCATCTGCAGAGCTGACAGGAACGGCCCCACCGGCCGGCGCCACCTGCTCACCAGGGCCGGCCCAGCTCCCACCTCCCTCCTCCTGAGACTCCCCAGCCACAGGCTCTGCCCCACTGCTTCAGAGATCTCCCAACCTATGGCCCCTCGGGGGGTGGGGGCAGGCACCTGGTGACCCGGGAGACCAGGAAGCGCTGCACGGCGGGACTGTCCACCATTGCCAGGGCGGCCCCGGCCCAGGCCCGACACTGCTCCTGCGCCTGCAGCCAGGCCGCCTTCTCCACCACCAGGCGGTAGCAGTGCCCGTTGCCAGAGAAGATCTCCGTGTCCGAGGGGCAGAGCGGGTGCACCGCTGGAGACCGGTGGGAACGAGGGTGTCAACGGTCAGTGTGGGCCCAAGACGGGGGTACCAGGCTCTGCCCCATCTGGATGGCCCTGGGGAGGAAGGGGAGTGGGCAGCAGACACTCACCTCGGGCCGGCTCCTCGCCCAGGGCCACGATGCTGTAGGCGGCCTCCAGGCCTGAACCAACACGGTTCTGGATGCTGAGGTCGAGGCTCTCGTCACTCTGCACCGAGGACGGGCACACGAGCTCCAGGGCGGCAGGTGCCGCTTCCACCTGCACGTCTGTCCCCAGCAGGGCTGAGCCGGCCCCCAGGGCCAGCACGGCCATCACGTGATAGCGCCCAGGCAGCACATAGCGATGCGAGGCAGCCGGCCCAGCGGCATCCACCTCGGGGGAGCCGTCTCCGAAGTCCCAGCGTGTGGCAGTGACAGGGAGCGGGGCAGCGATGTGGAAGGCTGCTAGCTGGCCGGAGGCCAGGGGTCCGTGGGGCCCCACCAGGGTGGCCCCTGGGGAGGCAGGGAAGACGTGCTGGAGGAGGGTGGGGCCCCTACAGGTGGGGGCAGGAGGCGGCGGGGGGCCGGAGCAGAGGGACAGGCAGGCGAAGGAGGCACTGGAGGGCTGGGCTGACCCACACAGGCACCAGCCCTGCTCGGAGAGGGCTGCGAGGCCCTGGCCGGTGGAGAAGCAGAAGGCGCTGCAGGCCTCTGGCTGAAGCAGGCCTTCGTGGGCAGCTGAAAAGGACACTGCTGCCACGGTGCCTGAGCTGTTGTCAGGGAGGCAGGCGACATACTCCTCACCTAGAAGAGGCAGCCACTGGACCCCGGGTTCTGCTCCTCCTGGCTCCACCCCACACCCCCCCATCCGCCCGCCGCACTCACAGGCTCCCATGCTGTTCCCTTGGCCCGGAGGCCCCCCCCAGAGAGGCCTTCCTGAGCCCTGCCCAGTGTCTGCAGGGCCCAGGTCCCACCTGGCTGGGAAGGACAGAGCTGCCCCACCCACCGGCACTCACCACAGCCACTGTCCAGCAAGGGGATGCCAAGCAGAGGCTGGCCAGCCAGGGAGCCAGGCCCAGCACACGTGGCTGCCTCGGGCTGCACCACCCGCACCTGCTGCTCCTCCGCCCATCGCGGCAGCCACGCCAGGCCACAGTCACACTCAAACGGGTTCCCACTCAGGTTTCTGCGGGGCAGGGGCAGGTGTTGGGGACCAGGTCTGGTGGGAAGGGTCTATGCCAGCCCCCCACTGGCAACCAGGCCCTGGAGCCACCCTGACAGCACCGCCTCCCCTGCCCCAACCAAGCCGGCACTGGGGGGCTCCAAGCAGGTAGTGAACTGCCCCCAGGATCTGGTCTCAAGCCTGGAAGGGGACACGGACCAACTGGGAGGGCAGAAGGGATACTGGGGGCCTGGGGTCCAGCCAGGACCCCACCCAAAGAACCACAACTTACATTTCACTTAAATTAAATAAATTAGCAAATATTCCTTCTTCTAACGTAGAAATCTTGTTGTTGCTTATATCCCTGGAAGAGAGGGGGGATTCGGCAAAGCTGACGGAAGCCCCCACAGCTGAGCAGCAAGAGGCGGTGCCGCCAGCCCACCCGGAGTGAGCCCCGCATGCTGGCACGACTGGGGGACACTCACAGCTCTGCCAGTGCCGAGAGGTTCGCCAGGAGCCCAACGTCCAGCGCCCGGAGCAGGTTGTGGGAGACGTCTCTGAGGAGTGAGTGGCCGTGGGTCAGGGCCAGAGCCCTTAGTAGGCCAGAGGCCATCCCTGGGCCCATCCCACACATTTCCAGCATCCCCAAGCTAAGGCCTCCCACCCTTGAGCTCCCCACTCCCAGAGGTCAGGAGGGGCCTTTCTGATGGAAGACCCAAATGAACACTCATCTGGGGAAACCAAGCCAGGAGAGGCCTGGGGGCCTCAGCCCTCTGCACCCATCTCAGCCCTATGCCGAGTGCCACCTGGACCTGTCCACCCAGGGCCAGGAAGGGCACGGACCCCCAACCCATCCCACGCAGGGCCAAGGCCCCCCATCCCCTGTCCACAGTCCCCCACAGAGCCAAGGTCTCCCAACCCTGTCCACAGCCCCCACACAGACTCGAGGGGCCCCCATCTCCTGTTCTGAACCCAACAGGGTGGTCCCACTGTGGGACCACAACCAGGTATGACTGTGTGAGAAGCAGGCTCACTACCAGGCTACCAGGGAGCACAGGGGAGCAGGCGCCACCTTGAGGCATAAACCCAGAGAAACAAGACCTCCAAGACGGCCAGGCACTGGGGCACACGCCGGTAACACAGCACCGTGGGAGCTGAGACGGAAGGATCGCCTGGGCCCAGGATTTTGAAACCACCCTGGGCAACACAGTGAGACCCCGTATCTACAAAAAAATACACATTAGCCAGGCATGGCGGCATGCGCCTGTGGTCCCAAGTACTCGGGAGGTAGAGGAGAGAAAAATCACTTGAGCCCAGAGAGGTCAAGGCTACAGGGAGCTGAGATCGCATCACTGTACTCCAGCTGGGGTGAAACGGCGAGACTCTACCTCAAAAATAAATAAATACATACATAATTAATAAATAAAACATCAAAGACCAGCCGACCTAACTCCATCTAAAATACACAACTTCTACGCAAAATATAAATAAAATTAGAAAACAAACTACAATCTCAGAAAAGCACTAGCAACTTAGACGACATACTAAAGGCCAAAAATACCCTCCTGACACACAGCTAATAAAGAAAAAGTCAACTATTCCAGTTAAAAAGAAGAAAAGGAAACTGGCTGTGGTGGCTTATGCCTGTAATCCCAGTGCTTTGGGAAGGCCAGGAGTTTGAGACCAGGATGGACAGCATAGCAAGACCCCATCTCTACAAGGAAAAAAAGAATCAGCCAGGCATGGTGGTGTGGAGCTGTAGTTCCAACTACTCGGGGGGCTGAGGAGGAAGGATCGCTTGAGCCAGGGAGGTCGAGGCTGCAGTGAGCTATGATTGTGCCACTGCAGTCCAGCCTGGGCGACAGAGCAAGACCCGGTCTCGAAAGAAAAGAAAGAGAAAGCAAGAAAAGAAAGATGGCTGGGCACGGTGGCTCACTCCTGTAATCCCAGCACTTTGGGAGGCCGAGGCCGGCAGATCACTTGAGGTCAGGAGTTCAAGACCAGCCTGGCCAATATGGTGAAACCCCATCTCTACTAAAAATGCAAAAATTAGCTGTGTGTGGTGGCAGGCGTCTGTAATCTCAGCTACTCGGGAGACTGAGGCAGGAGAATTGCTTGAACCCGGGAGGCGGAGTTTGCAGTGAGTTGAGATTGCACCGCTGTATTCCAACCTGGACAACAGTGCCAAACCCTGTCTCAAAAGAAAAAAATAATAATAATATAAAGTGACCAGGTGTGTTGACTCATGCCTGTAATCCCACCACTTTGGGTCGAGGCAGGAGAATCACTGGAGCCCAGGAGTTTGAAACGAGCCTAGGCAACAGAGTGAGACCCTGTCTCTATATTAAACACACACACACACGCGCGTGCACACACACACGCGCGTGCACACACACACACACACACATACAAAGGCAGCCAGACTATGCACTAGGAACTGCCCTGGGAATCCCTTTGTGTTCTCACAACAATCCCATTTCACATGAAGAAACCTAGGCACAGAAATATTCAGTAACGTGTCCAGGTGTGGTGGCTCACGCCTGTAATCCCAGTACTTTGGGAGGCTGAGGCAGGCAGATCACGAGGTCAGGAGTTCGAGACCATCCTGGCCAACATGGTGAAACCCCGTCTCTACTAAAAATACAAAAATTAGCTGTATGTGGTGGCAGGTGCCTGTAATTCCAGCTACTCAGGAAGCTGAGGCAGGAGAATTGCTTGAACCCGGGAGGCAGAGGTTGCAATGAGCCGAGATCACACCACTGCACTCCAACCTGGGTGACAGAGCAAAACTCCGTCTGAAAAAAAAAAAAGAAATATTAAGTAACTTGTCTGAGGCCACATAGTTACCAAGACGTGGGAGCTGGGACTTGAACCCAGGCAGTCTGGCTGGATTCATGCCTGCAGCCTCTGCACTCCTGCTACTTACTGCGTGAGAAGCGTCTGTTCTGTGGAAGGTTGTGGGCTGAGATCTTTCCATGACTTCCACTCATTTACCCCCAAGGCTGTTCTTAAAGACGGGCATGACAGTTATGCCCATTTTACAGATGGGGCCCTGAGGCTCACAAGGGCACACCATTCACCCATTTCCACAAAGCTATAGTTAGTTAGCAGAGGGCAGAATTCGGCCGCCTCTCCCCTAGCTTGAAGGCTGTGATTGACACAGAGGTTTTTTTGTTGTCGTTGCTGTTGTTTGTTCCTTTTTCTTTTTTTTGAGACAGGGTCTTGTTCTGTCATCCCGGCTGGAGCGCAGTGGTGCGATGTCAGCTCACTGCAAACTCTGCCTCCAAGATGCAAATGATTCTCGTGCCTCAGCCTCCCAAGTAGCTAGAATTACAGGTGTGCACTACCACGCCCAGCTGATTTTTGTAGAGATGGGGTTAGTAGAGATTTGTTTAATAGAGACGGGGTTTCACCATGGTCTCTACTAAACCCTGTCTCTACTAAAAATACAAAAATTACCCAGGCGTGGTGGCACATGCCTGTAGTCGCAGCTACTCAAGAGGCTGAGGCAGGAGAATCACTTGAACCTGGGAGGTGGAGGTTGCAGTGACCCAAAATCATGCACTCTAGCCTGGGGTCTCGCTTTTGCCCAGGTTAGAGTGCAGTGGCACAATCATAGTGGCTCACTGCAGCCTCAAACTCCTGGGCTGAAGGGAATCCTCCCACCTCAGCCTCCCAAGTAGCTAGGACTATAGGCATGTGCCATCATGGCGAGTTAATTTTTTGTGTGTTTTTATTGTCTCGAGACAGAGTCTTGCTCTGTTGCTCAGGCTGGACTGCAATGGCGTGATCCTGGCTCACCGCAACCTCCACCTCCTGGGTTCAAGCAATTCTCCTACCTCAGCCTCCCGAGTAGCTGGGATTACAGGTGCGTGCCACCATGCCTGGCTAATCTTGTATTTTTAGTAGAGACAGGGTTTCGCCATGTTGGTCAGGCTGCTCTCGAACTCCTGACCTCGTGATCCACCTGCCTCGGCCTCTCAAAGTGTTGGGATTACAGGCATGAGCCACTGAGCCTGGCCTGGTGAGGTAATTTTTAAATTTGTTATAGAGACAAGAGTCTCTCTTATGTTGCCCAGGCTGGTCTCGACCCCCTGGCCTCAAGTGATCCTCCCACCTCAGCCTCCCAAAGTGCTGGGATTACAGATGGGTGTCACCGCACCTGGCCTCTGAGGAGGATTTCATTATAAACCTGCCCTGAAGGGAGGGAATCCAATTTTACGAGAGGGTGTAGCCTGGTGAGGCCTGGATGACCTCCGGAGGCAGGGGCTTGTGCCTGGGCTGAGGCCTAAGGGACAATGGGCAGACATGAAGTTGCCCCAGGCAGAGGGTACAGTGTGGGCAAAGTCAGGAAGTGGCAGGGCTTGGATCACTCCAGGAAGAGAGAGGAGTCATGTGTCACAGGAGCTCAAGACCCAGAGAGGGAGGCAGGCAGGCAGGCAGGGACCAAGCTTGGGCACAGCCAGGAAGGCAGAGGGCATGGTGGGGCCAATGGAATCATTACCCAAGACGGGGATTTTCAGGGAAACAGCTTAGATAAGGCCAGGTGTACAGTAGCTCCCACCTGTAATCCCAGCATTTGGGGAGGCTGAGGTAGGAGGACTGCTTGAGCCTGGGAGTTCGAGACCAGCCTAGGCAACATAGTAAGACCCCATATCCATAAAAAATTTAAAAAAGGAGTTTGTGTTCCTGTAGTAGCAGACTTGGGAGGTTGAGGTGGCAGTATCACTTGAGCCCAGGAGTTCAAGGCTAAAGTGAGCTGATTGAGCCACTGCACTCCAGCCTGAGCAACAGAGAGATACGCTGTCTCAAAGGAAATACAAATTAAAAAACCAGCCGGGCATGCTGGCGTGTGCCTGTAGTCTCAGCTACTTGGGACACTGAAGTGGGAGGATCGCTTGAGCCCAGGAGTTCAAGGCTGCCGTGAGCTATGATTGTGCCTCTGCAGTCCAGCCTGGGCGACAGAGAAAGACCCTGTCTCTTAAAAAAAAAAAAAAAAAAAAAATCTTAGATAAGAGGATGCTGTGCCTCCCTGGGGGTCTTCAGTCACCCATAGTCCTGGCAAGAGAGGAGGGCCAGGAGAGAGCTTCACCCACCTGCTGTCCTGCCCATGTGACATCCGCAGGTGCTGCCATGGCCACGACTGTTGTTACACTCGAGCTGAGGAGGCCGGCTGCAGCCCCAAGACAGAGCGCTACTCCTGGCAGTGCGTCAATCAGAGCGTCCTGTGCGGTGAGTCCCCAGCAGCACCATGCCACCCACCCCGAGTATCCCCTGGGCACCCTGGCATAGCCAGATGACTTCCGTGCCCCTGTTGCAATAACCACTGCTTCCAAGTCTCTATAGACCACCCCTTGGGTATATCTAATGTAAGTGATATTTATTTTATTTATTTTTTGAGTCAGTCTCGCTCTGTCACCCAGGCTAGAGTGTGCTGATGTGATCTCGGCTCACTACAACCTCTGCCTCCTGGGTTCAAGCGATTCTCATGCCTCAGCCTCCCAAGTGGCTGGGACTACAGGCATGCACCATCACGCCCAGCTAATTTTTGTATTTTTTCAGTAGAGGTGGGGTTTCACCAAGTTGGCCAGGCTGGTCTCAAACTCCCCACCTCAAGTGCTCTGCCCGCCTCGGCCTCCCAAAGTGCTGGGATTACAGGCATGAGCCGTGGTGTCTGGCCCTAATGTGAGTGATCTTTAACACTGAGCACTTGAAAAAGAAAACCCTGAAGAAACCTAATTCTTTGATGTCTGGATGACAAGGAAGAAGATAGAAATGGCATCAGATAATAAACAGTGTAAATGTTTATCAGAAAGAGGCTGGTGGTCGGGACAAGTAGGAGGATTGCTTGAGTCCAGGAGTGCATCTCTACAAAAAAGTTAAAGGATTTTTTAACATTGGCCAGGCGTGGTGGCACACATCTGTGATCCCAGCTACTTGGGAGGCTGGGGCAGGAGGATTGCTTGAAGCCCAGGAGGTTGAGGCTGCAGTGAGCTGTGATCGAGCCACTGCACTCCAGCCTGGGTGACAGAGCAAACTCCAGTCTCAAAAAAAAAACAAATAATAATATTTTACATAACCAACCACTTCTAAAGATTAAAAAAACCCCTACGATTAAAAACCTCAGGTCCCTCAGGCAATCATACCAGATATTGAAACAAAGCAATAACATAAGGACTGCAGTATTCATTTTATTTTTATATTATTTATTTATTCTTCCTTAGTTTCTTGAGATTATCATCCGCTGAGGGTGGAAGGGGAGTGAGCAGACACACTCAGGAGGTGTCTTGAGATTATCATCCGCTGAGGGTGGAGCTGAGGGTGGAAGGGGAGTGAGCAGACACTCGGGAGGTGTCTTGAGATTATCATCCGCTGAGGGTGGAAGGGGATAGAGCAGGCACTCGGCAGGTGTCTTGAGATTATCATCCGCTGAGGGTAGAGCTGAGGGTGGAAGGGGAGTGAGCAGACACTCGGGAGGTGTCTTGAGATTATCATCCGCTGAGGGTGGAAGGGGATAGAGCACACACTCGGAAGGTGTCTTGAGGCTCAGGGAGTTATCAATTATAGAATGTTGTTGAGTTGGAGGAGGTGGCTGGTGGCCCATCCTGTTTTTTAAAGTTTCAGCTGTGAGGTAGGGCCAGTAGGGCAATCCTGAAGAATGACGATGCTCCACTGCCGCCATTCTGACCTGTAGGGCCAAAGGAGGGAATGTTTTCACACATATTCATTTGATGGACAAAATTACCGCCACCAACACAGTCTGCACCTTCTGTTGCTGGTGATAGATTTTTGCACCTTTCCATCCTCCAGGTTTCAAAATAGCAGTGTCAGTGTCATAATATCACCCTTCCACTGAGTACTGCCGACAGCTAGGGGGTAAAGAAAAGTCATTGGGACACACTGTTGTCTCCACATGCCACTGTGTCTGTCTGCAAATGTAGGCAGGCTGGGGTCCTGCCCCAGGGAAGACAGAGTCATAACAGAGTAATAAAGAAGCATGTTTGAGACACAGGAGTGTCTATGTCTATCCTCATTCCTCCCTCACAGCCATCACCAGAGCATGTTTCTTGCACCAGGTCAATAGACAGTAAGAGACAGTAAGAGAGGCATGAAAAGCCCATTGTCCACACATGTTGCAGCTTCTTTTTGGAGAATGTTTTCCAGGCCTTTTATGTTCTGTCTCTGATTCTCAGAACTCTGCAAGGTCAGTGTGACCACCCTGCTCCAAATCTAAGAAAACAGAGGTTTCCAGAGGAAGGAGAAATTGTGCCCAGGGTCACACAGCTTGCAAGAGGCAGAGTGGAAGTTGATTCCAGCTCTGCCTGCAGGACCCTCTCATTTCCCCTCTGTTTCCCTTCTTGACAAAGGATCTTCTTCACTCTGGAGGTGCCACCCATGAGAACAAAGAGCTCTGGAGAGATGTGGATTCCTGAAGAGCTGCAGGGGAACTGGGAGAGGGTTTTCTGACAGAACAATCTTACCTCAAGAAGTCAGTTAGGCATGGCTGTAATATTTCTTTTCACTCCCAGGTAATACCAAATTGTAAGTGCACTAGGACATAAAGAATACTTTTGTCCATGGAAAAATGAGGTGGGAATTCTAAACAAAGCAAGTTTTAAAACTGTGTTTCACTTCAAGTGTACAAGTCCCATCACGTGTAATCATAGGACTCGGCAGCTTTTGAAGGTACAGAGGCCACACAAGAACCAGCTTAGCTGAGCATCATTTAAGGCCCTCATTTGGAATTGTCCCTGTGGGTAATAAGTTACATTCACTCTTCACTAATTTACAGTCAGGGCCCATTTGCTATTACAAATACGGAACCTCTGATACTTAGAATATTAGATGGGGGCCCCACTGGGTGGGGATGAAGGTGTTTTTGCGCAACACAGTTACCAACAGGGATGGGACTGTGATGCTTGTAGGCAGCCTTCCTCTCTGCCATCTCCCTCTGCAGGGCTTGAGCACAGAGCCGTAGGGAGAAAAATGTATCCATGTCCTGACCTGGCAGACTATGTCCAAAAGCAAGGAAAACAAGCAAACTTACCCGGTTGCAAAGAGGCTTTCTTGCAGAAGGGGTGATCTGAAAAAGCCAACACATGAGAAATTGAATGTTGAGAGAGTCTAAGGGCCGTGGCATCATCTGCATCAGCACTGAACTATCCTGCAACTGCGGGGAGGAAGCTCCTTACTTTGCATCTGTAGTAGTCCTCTGCCCGCCGCCGCAACGCTTGCGCACGTTGAAACATTTCCCTATGGATTACAATCACTTTCATCAGATAAAGCACCACTTTCAGGATGATTTTAAATAATCTGCCATGTTTCTGTTATCCTCACAACTGTACCCTTACACAATCTATCTCTACCTAGAAAACGTATTTCAGATGGCTAGAAGAGTACAGTCTGAGCCGGTCACGGTGGCTGACGCCTGTAATCCCAGCACTCTGGGAGGGCGAGGCGGATGGATCACGAGGTCAGGAGATTGAGACCATCCTGGCTAATACGGTGAAACCCCGTCTCTACTAAAAATACAAAAAATTAGGCGGGGGTGGTGGCAGGCGCCTGTAATCCCAGCTACTCGGGAGGCTGAGGCAGGGGAATCACTTGAACCTGGGAGGCGGAGGTTGCAGTGAGCCAAGATCACGTCATTGCACTCCAGCCTGGGTGACACAGCGAGACTCCATCTCAGAAAAACAAAAACAAAAACAAAAACAAAAAAAACTGTACAGTCTGATCCAAACTGTTGCTATATTGATTCCTCCTCTTGCTTACTGCCTGCTGACTTCTGAGATGATAGTTTCCTTCCCCATTCTCAGTATATCCCTAATTCATCCTTCATTGAGCATCTTTTATCATAAAGCTGTATTCTCTTTGTATTAATATCTTTACCGTGTTTCACAGGGCAGAAACAGCTGGGCTTATAAACAGGCATAGTCCTTTTGAAGGATGTGGTTGATCCTACAACAACACACTTTCCTAAGGATGACAACAACTCACCCCACCCCTAGAATGGCTGGTATGAACCGAGTTTCCACACAGTCTAGCTGGCAATGGGGTCAGGAGCCGTTTTGCTACTTCACATCTTTTGGTCACTGGTAAATATTAAGGTACTTTGTTTTCTGTTTTGTGAACTCTCTCTCTCTCACGATATGTCTTCTGACCATTTGTTTCTATTTCTGCATTTACTGGGTCTAAACATTGTACAAAGGTTAAAAACAACACTCCAATGGGCGTTTCCCAAGAGGGTGGGGTTCAGTTTCTGAACTCACATGTAGGTGTGTATTTCTTTCATATCCAATTTCCCATTTTCCTCTGCCTCTGACACCTGCCTCTCCTTTTCTCCGTGCTCACGTTCTTTCATGCTTAGTTTCCTCAGACTAGAAGGGAGAGAAATGCACACACATGATCCACCAGCACGTGTGGGATTCCCTCTGCCCTTCTGGCATCTGAAGGCTGATTCAAAGATCCCCCCTGCAACCTTCCCACAAATGAACCAACTGATTCTCACAACCGAAGGAAGAATGGACACCTCCCATTGAGGGACAAAAAAAAATCACACTCTGGCCTGCTGGCAAGTCACCTGTCATTTCCAGCTCATCTTCATAGTTCCATAGTTAGTCCTATTCTTTAGTAAATATAAAGACTATTAAAAGCTTCTATGAGGTGCACTATGTGCGTCTCTGGGGTCAGTCTTGTGCTTGACACAGCGAAAGCTCATTTTAGTTCAGTGTGAAAAACCAGACCTCACCAATTCATCACAACTAACTCCATCGGAAGCAGAGGATTGCTCCTCATCTGAC
Organism: Homo sapiens; assembly: GCF_000001405.40. Taxonomy (NCBI): domain Eukaryota; kingdom Metazoa; phylum Chordata; class Mammalia; order Primates; family Hominidae; genus Homo; species Homo sapiens. The sequence goes on along the minus strand of NT_187607.1, from coordinate 2,006,169 downwards.
TCCTCCTGTGTGAGACCTGATTCTCAGTCAGAGGCTGATGCCGGAACTGAGACCATCAGCCATAGAGAGATCCTTCCAGAATATGGTGTCATTAACCCCGCAGTTCACTACTGCACTTTGCCATGATTCAGGACTGGAACTCTTGTCATCGACTTTAAAGATCCTGAAAAGGCAATCTGAATGCTGGGCGCATCTATTGAATTAGAAATGATCGGAATGGCTCCTAAGTCAGGATGTTATGTCCTGAAAATAGGTGACAATGGCAAACCATCCACCCTGGTGTTGACTGACTTTAACAAGGTTCAGTTCACAGAGATTGAGGGCAGAAAAAGGAAACGGCCTCAAAAGGGTAAGTTTGCTGTGTTGCCCTCACACCACTTGATTCATGGTCCTGATCCTAAGGATCTCACCTGATACTTGGTTTTATAGGAAGGATGTGTAAAATTCCCAGAACGCTAGGAAACAGGGACGAAATCACTTCAAAGAGAAAGTTAATGAACTTGTTTCTGACCACAGGGCATCCTTCAGCACATGCTGTCTGGAGTGGCCTCAAACAAGGTGTGTGTGGTGAGGTGCTGACAATGCAATGGGAGCAGGGTCCTGTCCCCACGCTAAAGAAGCTCACAGTTTAATGCAAATGAGAAGCCAGTGAGGACAGCACTACTCCTGCTGTGCACTTGGGAACTAGAAACACAAAACCTGACTCTGGAGGGAAGCTAAGGAAGCATTCTACTCTTGAGTTGACATAAGTGCATCTGAAGCTTCTGATCTCCGATGAGAACAATGGGGGACACCAAACAGAATATAAAACCCATGATTGAATACATCAAATTGCTAACATGGCAGTAAACAGACATGAGGTGAAGATGGAGAAGAAGGAAACCCAGGACGAAAGTCAGCCTCGCATTTGGAACCCATTTCCCTGAGTTTCATTGCTGAATTCCAGAAGGAACTACTGAGATGCAAAGAAGCACAGCAGCTTTTGCACACATGCGTGGGGTTAGATGGAAAACAAGTGGATTGAGGGTCTGCCAATGAAAGCGATCCATACTGAAGTCCACTGGCTCTGGTTGAGACCCAGAAGAGTCATGCATCAGAATAGAGGTGGACAGGAAATACCCTGGCCTTTGTAGGGACTGAGCCTGCAGAGACGACCTCAATTGCAGCCTGTACGGAGGACCCCTGACCATCCCCCAGAAGTAGACTCCCATCTCTTCTGCAGCAAGATAACATGCTACTAGGCCTCAATGCATTGTTAAATATTTTTTAAAAAGTATCTCACATTTAACAAAAAAAGATCAGTCATATGGCAGCAAAATACAATGTAGTATGACCAAAACATGAAAGACTGTGAAAATGAATTTGGAGGTGACCCAAGCATTGAATTCAACAATCCAGGCTGGGTGCGGTGGCTCACACTGGGAGGCTGAGGTAGGCAGATCACCTGAGGTCAGGAGTTCAAGACTAGCCTGGCCAACATGGTGAACCCGTCTCTACTAAAAATACAAAAATTGGGCTGGGCACGGTGGCTCACGCCTGTAATCCCAGCACATTGGGAGGCCGAGTTGTGCGGATCATGATGTCAGGAGTTCTAGACCAGCTTGGCCAATATGGTGAAACCCTGCCTCTACTAAAAATACAAAAATTATCTGGGCATGGTGGCATATGCCTGTAGTCCCAGCTACTCAAGAGGCTGAGGGATAAGAATCGTTTGAACCTGGGAGGCGGAGGTTGCAGTGAGCCAAGATCATGCCACTGCACTCTAGCCTGGGTGACAGAGTGAGACTCTGTCTCAAAAAAAAAAAAAAAAAAAAAAATTGGCCGAATGTGGTGGCACACACCTGTAATCCAAGCTACTCGGGAAGCCAAGGCAGAATTGCTTCAAACTGGGAGGCAGAGGTTGCAGTGAGCCAAGATTGCACCATAGCACTCCAGCCTGGGCGACAGAGCGAGACTCTATCTCAAAATTAAAAAAAAAAAAAAAAAGCCTGGGTGTGGTGGCTCACACCTCTAATCCCAGCACTTTGGGAGGCTGAGGCGGGTGGATTACCTGAGGTCAGAAGTTCGAGACCAGTCTGGACAACATGGTGAAACCCCATCTCTAGTAAAAATACAAAAATTAGCTGGGCGTGGTGGTGGGCACCTGTAATCCCAGCTACTTGGGAGGCTGAGGCAGGAGAATTGCTTGAACCCAAAAGGCAGTGAGCTGAGATTGTGCCATTGCACTACGGCCTGGGCAACAAGAGCAAAGCTCCATTTCAGGAAAAAAAAAAAAAAAAAGAGAGAGAGAAAGGAAAACCAATGCCAGTACTAGCAACTCCTCTTCCCCTGAAAAAATGACAAACAAGAATGTAGGAAGGGAAAGGAATTATACAGCTTAAACTAATGAAGCAGAAAGGACAAGCTCAATTTTGAACCCACTGAATTTGCCACAAATATTGTAGAAAATATTCTCAAGGACTTTACAGTTGTCTACTTTGATTGGCACATGGTTCATACAACAGTATTTGTGTCAAGGCACATCTTACTGTTCTTTGGCGGTCTTCCTCTTTCCATTGATTTTGTCATGACGGTTGACTTTTGTTGTCACCTTCATCTTACGGATTTTAGCTCGAACTTTGGTTTCCACCTGTCTCCATAAAGTAAAGATGTCTTCCAGGACAATTTTAATTCCTGGAAAGGAAGAAACTCTTTTCTTTGTGTGCATACAAACGGACCTCAGCCCTTGGTGAGAGTGAGGAGAGGAGAAGGTGAGAAACCTGAGGGCAAGAAGCTGTTCTTTCCCTTTCCAGGGCAAACTCATTTCCACACTATGGGGACTCCAACAGAGCCATACCTTCCTGTCTACGGCAGTTGGACCTCCTGGCTCTCTGCTGTACATCCGTGGATCCATCATGTCCATTTTGAGACGGGAAGATAGTCTTCAGGAAAGACACCTAGGAAATAATAATATAAGAATGACGGCTGGGCACGGTGGCTCATGCGTATAATCCCAGTACTTTGGGAGGCCGAGGCAGGGTGGATCACGGGGTCAGGAGTTCAAGACCAGCCTGGCCAAGATGGTGAAACCCCATCTCTACTAAAAATACAAAAATTAGCCGGGCATGGCAGTGGGCGCCTGTAATCCGAGCTACTCGGGAGGCTGAGGCAGAGAACCGTTTGAAGCTGGGAGGTGGAGGTTGCAGTGAGCCGAGATCACACCACTGCACTCCAGCCTGAGTGACAGAATGAGACTCTGTCACACACACACACACACACACACACACACACACACAACACACAAGAATGACATGAGGCTGGCATGGTGGCTCACTCCTGTAATCCCAGCACTTTGGGAGGCCGAGGCAGGCGGATAACCTGAGGTCGGGAGTTTGAGACCAGCCTCACCAACATGGAGAAACGCTGTCTCTGCTAAAAATACAAAATTAGCCAGGCATGGTGGTGCATGCCTGTAATCCCAGCTAGTCGGGAGGCTGAGGCAGGAGAATCACTTGAACCCAGCAGGAAAAGGTTGTGTTGAGCTGAGATTGTGCCATTGCACTCCAACATGGGCAACAAAATTCAAACTCTGTCTCAAAAAAAAAAAAAAAAAAAATATAGGCCAGGTGCGGTAGCTCACGCCTGTAATCCCAGCACTTTGGGAGGCCGAGGCGGGTGAATCACAAGGTCAAGAGATGGAGACCATCCTGGGCAACATGGTGAAACCCCGTCTCTACTAAAAATACAAAAATTAGCTGAGCATGGTGGCGCACGCCTGTAGTCCCAGCTACTCGGGAGGCTGAGGCAGGAGAACTGCTTGAACCCAAGAGGCAGAGGTTGCAGTGAGCCAAGATCCCACCACTGCACTCCAGCCTGGTGACAGAGTGAGACTCCGTCTCAAAAAAAAAAAAAAAAAATGACATGAATATACTTCACACAACTGAACTGTACACTTCAACACGGTTAGATGGTAATTATCATCTTGTAAGTATTTTACCACAGGTTAACATGTTTCACAACTTGAAAAGGAAGTAATTAATTACCTTCAGCTCTCTGAGTTCTAGAATTTGTAACATTTCACCCCCTGCTCCTTCCTGATCTGCACTGGAGCATCTTTCTTCTGTCCCTGCTCTACTCAGAGTTCACTTTCCCTTCCCTCACATCAGCTTCGTTGAGGCTGGTTTGAACTTAACGCAAAACATTCTCACTAATGACTGAATTCCCACCAAGATTTCCATATTATCACAGTATGCTTTTAATCTTCGAAGATATTAAATATTTGTTCTCATCATAGCTAAAATGCAATGCAAATCCCATCTCAGATGTGGGTCAGATACCTATGAATCTCCTGAGGTAGTCATTGAAATGACTTTTTTCTTGAGACGGAGTGTCACTCAACCATGCTGAAGTGCAGTGGCACTACCTTGGCTCACGGCAACCTCCACCTCCCAGATTCAAGCGATTCTTGTGCCTCGGCCTCCCAAGTAGCTGGGATTACAGGTGCCTGCTACCATGCCTGGCTAATTTTTGTCTTTTTAGTAGAGATGGGGTTTCACTATGTTGGCCCATCTGGTCTTGAACTCCTGACCTCAAGTGATCCACCTGCCTCAGCCTCCCAAAGTGCTGGGATTACAGGCATGAGCCACCACACCTGGCCTGAAATAATATCTTTCAAATTCTTTGTAGAACTTGTTTTTTCCTGATTTCTGCACATAGGATTAAAAAAAAATCATGTACTAGGATTTCAAGAGAAGCAATGGGTAATCTAAAAAGATGAAAAGAGCAACCACGTCTATCCCACAGCTACTGCTAGATTTCATAGGAAAGGTAGCTGGCCCAGTTTGGAGCTAGGAGAAATGTCAAACACATGAAGAAATGAGAAGCAAAGAAATGCCATCACACATGAATGCTTCATGGCACCCATGATGTCCCTGCTTAGGAGGTAATGGTATAGATGACTAGATGACAAGGACAAAGATGAGAGGTGCAAAGTTGTCCAAGTCCAACAGCTCAACTGAACTCTCCTAAATGGAATTGTTAAAAAGTGGTAAATTTAAAAACTTCCCCTGGCTCACGTGGTGACTCACGCTTGTAATCCCAGCACTTTGGGAGGCTGAGGCGGGTGGATCATTTGAGGTCGGGTTTTGAGACTAGCCTGGCCAACATGGTAAAACCCCGACTCTACTAAAAATACACAAATTAGCTGGGCATGGTGGTGGGCACCTGTAATCCCAGCTACTTGAGAGGCTGAGGCAGGGGAATCACTTGAAGCCAGGAGGTGGAGGTTGCAGTGAGCCGAGATCACACCATTATACTCCAGCCTGGGCAACAGAGGGAGACTCCTCTTGGGGGTGAGAAAAGAAAAAAAAAAAAGCTTCCTCCAATTTATACCGAAAATTCTCTGTTCAGGACTAAGTGGCATAGAGAATGTTAAATGTGCCTAGATATCTTCATAACTCATATATTTTCTGTTTTCTACATATCTTGAAAGGCAGTGCCAAATGACGTGTAATTATCTAGGCGGTAAAACTGAAACATACTTCCTCTTCCCTTGAATATAAAAAAGCATTGTGGTTTAGTACTTTTATCTTGGATCATTGTTCAGAAGGAGGTTCAGCCCCCACACAACCACATTTTTATTGTCATGAATGGCAAGACAAAATGTAGAGCTCAACTTACGCAAAGGATAAAAGGCTCAAAAGACAAATTATGGCACAACTTAGCAGCCAAATTCTTACCAAGTATAGACTTTTGACATACTGATCTCATTCCAGTTGCAAGTGGGAACATGCACTTTGAATGATGTCATTCAAAATTACCCTGCCCAGACACACTTTTCATTGATTCTCTTGGAGGGCAGTTCTAAGAGATTCTCTGGGGCTTTCTCTGCATCATGAGACGCAGTGCAGTTCTGCCCTTCACCTTCCGGCAGTTTGTCACCTCGTCCCTATGACCTCAGAGGAACTTTGTCTCAGGCCAACTGTTTGTTCCTTGGGCTCTTTCATTTCCCCTAAAAATCATTTGCTGCCCCTCTAAATGGCCTACATCTCCATCTATCTCCCTCTACCCTCAGAAGAGGGTGCTCTTTAAGCATCAACCATCCAGCCCTTCTAGCAGTCTCATTTTTCAGCTGGTTCCCATGTTTATGCCTGTTCTATGTTTTTCTTTTCCTGTTAAGCTGTCTGTTGTCAGCTCATTTCTGCAGTGAATCTTCAGAGAGGAGATTGGAAGCTTTCCTTCCACCCATACGATAGAACTATAAAGCAGAAGAGTTTAGAAAGACTTTCCCATTTAAGTGACGAAATCTCATACTCCATTTGTGACAAATAGCACAAAGGTTAAAAAAACTTATTTTTGACCAAAAGCTCTGTTGACATTCTATTAAACACCGACCTATTTAATTTTCATAATGTAAATGGCAGATATTTTCATAATTCTTATGCTAATAAATCATTTCCCTGATTTTTTGGGTAAAACCACATATTCATAATGAAGTCCAGAAACGTGAATTGTTTCATATAATTTATTCTTATTTGTGATTACAAGTATACCTCTACAGAAAGTTAGTATACTCACACAAAGGTAACTTGTGCAGAGGGAGATGGCAAATTTATAACTTCTCAGAAACACAGTAATGATAAGTAACCAAGGACTTCCACCAAAGTCAGTCCCACGATGACGATGGTCAGCCAGAGTATTGATAACCTGGAATAATAATAGTTGAAATAATGAAAAGGTCAATGACACTGACAATATTTCACTCAGAAAGAATCATCCTTAGAAACCGTCAACCTCCTCCAAAAGGTAACCACATCCCTCAGATATCACCGTGGGATTCCACTGCTACAAAAAAGAACAGAAGTTAGAGAAGTCTCATGTTTTTCAGATGGCTGGTAGTGTTTTTAGGCATTGCAAATGTGGGGTGTTGTCTTTCTTGGTATAAAGCAGGGATATCCAATCTTTTGACTTCCCTGCCTATATTAAAAGAAGCAAAGTTGTCTTGAGCCACACATAACATACACTAACACTAACAATAGCTGATGATCTAAAAAAAAAAATTTTTTTTTTTTTTTTTGAGACAGAGTTCCGCTCCACTCAGTCGCCCAGGCTGGAGTGCAGTGGTGCAATCTCGGCTCACTGCAACCTCCAGCTCCTGGGCTCAAGCCATTCTCCTGCCTCAGCCTCCCGAGCAGCTGAGATTACAGGTCTCTGCCACCATGCCCGACTAATTTTTGTATTTTTAGTAGAGATGAGGTTTCACCATGTTGGCCAGTCTGGCCTTGAACTCCTGACAGGCGATCTGCCTGCCTCGGCCTCCCAAAGTGCTGGGATTACAGGTGTGAGCCACCGTGCCCGGCCATTTTTTTTGTTTTTGTTTGTTGTTTGTTTTTGAGATGGGGTCTCACTCTGTCACCCAGGCTGGAGTGCAGTGGTGTGCTCTCGGCTCACTGCAACCTCTGCCTCTCAGGTTCAAGTGATTCTCCTGCCTCAGCCTCCTGAGTAGCTGGGAGTACAGGTGCCTGACAGTGCACTCAGCAAATTTTTGTATTTTTTGTGGAGATGGGGTTTTGCCATGTTGGCCAGGGTGGTCTCGAACTCCTGACCTCAGGTAATCTGCCCGCCTCAGCCTCCCAAAGTGCTGGGATTACAGGCATGAGCCACTGTACCTGGCCAAAATCTCCTAATGTTTTAAGAAAGTTTACAAATTTGTGTTGAACTGCATTCAAAACTGTCCTGGGCCACATGCAGCCCGTCACTCATGGGTAAGACAAGCTAAGTATAAAGTAATTATCTTATCTTTTATTTTTGTTTTGAGACAAAGTCTTGCTCTGTCACCCAGGCTAGATTGCAGTGGCATGATCTCAGCTCACTGCAACCTCCGCCTCCCGGGTTCAAGCGATTCTCCTGCCTCAGCTACTGAGTAACTGGGATTACAGGCGCCTGCCACCACGCTCGGCTAATTTTTGTCTTTTTAGTAGAAACAGGGTTTCACCATCTTGGCCAGGCTGGTCTCCAACTCCTGACCTCATGATCCACCTGCCTCGGCCTCCCAAAGTGCTGGCAATACAGGTGTGAGCCACTGCACCTGGCCAGTAGTTATCTTTTCTTTAGTTATTTACTTGTTTTTTAAATTGATGTATAACATTGGATGCATTTATTATATATCACATGGTAAAAGAATCCCTCTAAATAATACTTCTCTCTTGGATTATATGAATCTTTGTCATTTAAAGCTCAGCATAAGTAAAAAAAAAAAAATACAATGAAGAGATTACTTCATTCACAAATAAGTATCGAATTTTAGTTCTTAAAAAGTAACAAGGTGGGCTGGGCGTGGTGGCTCACGCCTGCAATCCCAGCACTTTGGGAAGCCGAGGTGGGTGGACCGCGAGATCAGGAGATTGAGACCATCCTAGCTAACACGGTGAAACCCATCTCTACTAAAAATACAAAAAATTAGCAGGGCATGGTGGCACGCGCCTATAGTTCCAGCTACTTGGGAGGCTGAGGCAGAAGAATCACTTGAACCTGGGAGGTAGAGGTTGCAGTGAGCCAAGATCGCACCACTGCACTTCAGCCTGGGTGACAGAGCGAGACTCTGTCTCAAAAAAAAAAAAAAAAAAAATTACCAAGGTGGAGATCATGAAAATGGCATGAATAGCGTGGGATTTCTCTAAGATTGTTGATATTAATTCCATTAGACTCTTATGTGAGTGAAGACGAAGACTTCCCCTGAGTAAGTTCAGACAGCTTCTGATAACATTTCTACATCGATTCCTCAGGATTTAACTATATATTCTTGAAAACATCTCAATTTTAAATGTTTCTTTCAAGATGGTGAATTAAACAGAGATAGCCCTTCAACAGGTTGAACTCAGCATATGCTGAGTCTGAAATGGAAATGATGGAGTTAGAGAACCGTACAACAATGGTAATGATTTCAGAAACATGGTGTTGAGCAGAATAAAGCAGACACAAAAGAGTACCTATGGCATGGCATGCATCTGTATACGCGAAATTCCAGAATAAGCAAGCTAAGCTATGATAAGAAAGAGACTGGCTGGGAAGAGTGAGAGTTCACTTTCTGGGGTGACATAATAGTGTAGATCTTGGCTGGGCACGGTGGTTCATGCCTGTAATCCCAACACTTTGGGAGGCCGAGGCAGGCGGATCACCTGAGGTCGGGAGTTCAAAACCAGCCGGACCAACATGGAGAAACCCTATCTCTACTAAAAATACAAAATTAGCTGGGAGTGGTGGCACATGTCTGTAATCCCAGCCACTCGGGAGGCTGAGGCAGGAGAATCGCTCGAACCTGGGAAGCAGAGGTTGCGGTGAGCTGATATTGCCCCATTGCACTCCAGCCTCAGCAACAAGGGAGAAACTGTCTCAAAAAAATAAATAAATAAATAAAATAATGTAGATCTTGAAAGGGGGTTGGTTTATGCTGGTGTATGTACTTTCCAAAGTTAGTAAACTTACACTTAAGGTTATATATTTTGGCCAGGCGCGGTGGCTCACGCCTGTAATCCCAGCACTGGGAGGCCGAGGCAGGCAGATCACGAGGTCAAGACATGGAGACTATCCTGGCGAACACGGTGAAACCCAGTCTCTACTAAAAATACAAAAATTAGCCAGGCGTTGTAATCTGAGCTGCTCAGGAGGCTGAGGCAGGACAATTGCTTGAACCCCGGAAGCGGAGGTTGCAGTGAGCCGAGATCTTGCCACTGCACTCCAGCCTGGGCGACAGAATGAGACTCTGTCTTAAAAAAAAAAAAAAAAGTCATCAAACCAGATGACACAAATCAAATGACATTTCACTTTGTTTTGGTCCGTTTTGTTTGTTAGAGACAAGAGTGCAGCGGGGCCATCTCGGCTCACTGCAACGTCCAGCTCCTGGGCCCAAGCGATCCTCCCACCTCAGCCTCTCCAGTAACTGGGATAACAGGTACGCACCACCAGGCCCGACTAATCTTTTTTGGAATTTTTTGTAGAGATGGGGTTTCGCTATGATGCCCTGGCTAGTCTTCAACTCCTGGACTCAAGTGATCTGCCCACCTCAGCCCCCTAAAGTGCTGGGATTACAGGCCTGAGCTGTGTAATTTCATGCCGCGTGACACAGCCCAGTAAAAAGGAAGAAACCCCGCGGGTCCAGCGTCTACTCACACAGGTGGACTGATGGCTGATAAATCCCAGCAGGAGCCAAAAGAGCAGCCACAGCACCCATCTACTCACACAGGTGGACTGATGGCTGATAAATCCCAGCAGGAGCCAAAAGAGGAGCCAAAAGAGCAGCCACCGCACCCGCATGTCCTGGTCCTTTCAGGGCGCCCTGAGGCAGCCAGGACAGAGGTGGAGGTGGCTTAGGGCAGGGGGGAGGGAAGGGGACGGGGACCGGGCCCGATCTGAGTTGGGGAGGGGGAGGGGAGGGGGAGGGGAAGGGGAGGGGAAGGGGGGAAGTAAGGGAAGGGAAAGGAGGAGAAGGGGGCTGTTGGGGAGGAGGAGGAGGAGAAGAAGAAAGGGGTCTGGGAAAGGATCCGGTTCAAATTAAGTTCTCAAGCGCTGGTGGAAGGTTTAGCTACAGGTCACGGAGAAGATCAGGGAAGCAACAGGACAGGCGGGGCAAGGGAGCGTGAGGCTTAGGAGCAATTAGGAGACAAAGGTTCTGCTTTCCACCAAACCTTCTTCGGTCTGGGCCCTCCCTTAGCAACCCTGGGGCTTTAGACTCTCTCTCCACCAATCCCTGATGACCCCGGTGGTGCCTCACAATGGACATTCCAAGTAGCGCCCGCATCATCCCAATGACCCCTCCCCCTTCTCAGTCCCCCACGCTCCTCCCAAGGCCAGGTCCTCTCTGGAACCTTCACAAACCTGATTTCTGGTCCTCCCCAACCAGCTCCCTGTCCCTGCTTCTGGGTGCTCCTTCCTTCCTGAGCTCCCAGGGTTCCTCAAGGTCACTTTTGGCGACAAAACATAAAAAACAAATGATGGCAGGATGGCAGGAAGAACCTCATACCCAAGCAGAGTGCCAGGTTTTACAGCCTCCGCTCAGCCATTCATATCCTAAGCAACAAAACATCAGCAGGATGCGGAAGGTCCCGATAGTAAACCATCTCCATCACATCCATGTAGCCATCCGTCCATCAACCTGTATCTCAGGAACAAATGTACATACATTCATTTTAAGCATGCATGGTACATTTACAAAAATTAACCTGACTTATTTTGTTCCAGCAAATCTCAATATATTTGAGAGCAATCAAATCACACAGCATGTTTCTGATCATAAAACTGTGCTAGAAGTCAATGATTAAAAGCTAATTCAAAATTATTATTTGCTTGGAAATTCAAAGTGCCCTTATAAGACATAAACATAAGAAAGAATCCAAAATGAAACAAGATTGCCTTTCAACTCAATGATGAGATCATAACATGGCAATAAAATGTCTCCCTCTGGCCTGGGAATTCCTCTTTGTGGCACAAGGTTGTGTGATCTCAAATCACCCCTAACCCACCTAGACATTTTAACATCCGAAACCGAGTGATGATGTCCTTATCTATATCATCTTACTGCCCGTGTGTGTGGACTTTAAATTCTGAACCCAAATGAGGGGGAGAAAACCAAGCTGACTTTCATGACTGAGCTCTCAGGGACGTCCAAGGAATCTGTGCATTTCAAGAAACAAAGTTCATCAGCTTCTCTCCTAAGGTATTTGCCCACAATACCCAGAGGGCTTGGCAGCATCATGTGTGATGGGTGGGGAGCTCCAAGCAGGTGGGCAGGACCCAGGGGCCTGGTGACCAGGACAGACCCCCACTGTCCATCACCTTTCCTGGCCCTGTCCTCAGCTAAACTTCCCACAGGCCTTCTGCCCGATCACACAGAGTGTGCCCAAACTCAGGCCTCTGGCAGCTGAAAACCACTGCTTTAAATCCCTTTACCATTTACTATGACATAAGGTTATTGTAAACAGGAAATATTCTATTGATGCTACAAATGGAAAGCCAATGCCTTTACCATAAATAGAAAAACAACCCTAAGAAGCAAGCAAAACAAAAACAAAACAGGGGCTGGGGGTGGTGGCTCACGCCTGTAATCCCAGCACTTTGGGAGGCCGAGGTGGGCGGATCACAAGGTCAGGAGTTCCAGACCAGCCTGGCCAATATGGTGAAACCCTGTCTCTAATAAAATACAAAAATTAGCCGGGTGTGGTGGTGGGCGCCTGTAGTCCCACCTACTTGGGAGGCTGAGGCAGGAGAACAGTTTGAACCCGGGAGGCAGAGTCTGCAGTGAGCCGAGATTGCACCACTGCACTCCAGCCTAGGCGACAGAGTGAGACTCTGTCTCAAAAACAGCAACAACTACAAACAAACAAAAAACAGGGTTAACAAAACTATGGAATTCAATTCTATTTATATGCTGCAGCCATGTTCCAGCCCTAGATTTGGCTGGGCATGGTGGCTCACGTCTGTAATCCCAGCACTTTGGGAGGCTGAGGCAGGCGGATCACGAGGTTAGGAGTTCGAGACCAGCCTCACCAACATGCTGAAACCCCGTCTCTACCAAAAATACAAAAATTAGCCAGGCATGGTGGCACACGCCTGTAATCCCAGCTACTCAGGAGGCTGAGGCAGGACAATCCCTTGAACCTGGGAGGCGGAGGTTGCAGTGAGCCGAGATCGTACCATTGCACTCCAGCCTGGGTGACAGAATGGAATGAGACTCTGTCTCAAAAAAAAAAAAAAAAAAAGAAGAAGCCCTAGATTTCGGTTGTGTTGGTTGTAAAAGGAGAGACCCAGTAAGTGGGGGTCGTGCCGCAGATTGCTACCCACAATGGACGGGTCACTGAGCAGGTCCGGCCAACTGGGCGTTCCCTCGCTGGAGGGCCAGCACACCAGACTGCAGGTGGCGCGGGTCAGCAAGGTACCAGGGGATGTGTCACACACACAGCCCACCCCCGTCCAGTCACGCACGGACACCCTGGGCTTCCGAGCAAACCTGCTCCCAGGTGGTGTGACCACATGGAGCCACAGACACCCAGCAAGGACACGCAGCCCGCACACCCCCGGTACTCCAGACACAGTGACCTGCACCAGGGCTCGAGGTTTCTCTAGGGAACCCACCTCTTAGAATCATCCAGAAACAAGTCACTCTTCATCTGTCCAGCAAAGGCCTGCTGAGAGGTGCACAGGGTCTTGAGTCCAAGCTGCGCCAAGGCGGCAGGACCCCCAGTAGAGCCCTCACCTCAGCGTGGAGGCCTGAGAACGTGAGGAAGGAGCTGTCCAGCACGGATGAGTCCAGGCAGCTGTCGACGTCCAGCACCTGCTGCCCGGCAGGTGTGGGGCTCGGGCTCCCAGCCACCTGCAGGACAAGGGCAGTGGTCAGCGGGCAGCAGCTCAGACCTGCTCAGGACAGGGATGAGAAGCCACCTCCTCAGCAGACAGGACAGAGCCCGGTGCCATCTGACAGAATGTTCTAGAATGCTAGATATATGGGACATCTGCACCGTCCGTGATGGCAGCCCCTCGCGACATGTGCCACTGAACGCTTGACAGCAGACTGGTGCAGCTAAGGAACAGAGTTTTAAATTTCATTTTTTTTTTTTTTAGATGGAGTCTCGCTCTGTCACCCAGGCTGGAGTGCACTGGCGCAATCTCAGCTCACTGCAACCTCCACCTCCCGCGTTCAGGCGATTGTCCGTCCTGGCTCAGCCTCTTTAGTAGCTGGGATTACAGGTGCCTGCCACGATGCCCAGCTAATTTTTTGTATTTTTAGTAGAGACGGGGTTTCACTGTGTTGGCCAGGCTGGTCTTGGAACTCCTGACCTCAAGTGATCTGCCCGCCTCCGCCTCCCAAAGTGCTGGGATTACAGGTGTGAGCCACCACACCCGGCCATCGTTCCATTTTAATTAACTTAAATACGAGCAGCCACATGTGGCCTCTGGTTCCTGCCACGGACTCGGGAGCAACCCCTCCTGGTCGCGGCTTATGCGCCTTCTCTGTGTGCTGCTGGGGTTAGTTTGCATGTAACCTCTTGAGGACCCCACGTGTGCATTCCTAAGGGGTGCGGCCTCCCGTTTCCGTATGAATGGGAAGAGTTCCCACCTGCTGTATTCTTGGAAAGAGTCTGTGAAGGATTGGTGTTAATTCTTCCTTAACTGCTTAGAAAAATTCTATCGTGAAGGCTCTGAGCCTGGGCTTTTCTTTGTGGGATTTTTTTTTTTTTTTTTTTTGGAGACGGAGTCTTGCTCCGTTGCCCAGGATGGAGTGCAGTGGCGCAATCTCGGCTCACTGCAAGCTCCGCCTCCTGGGTTCATGCCATTCTCCTGCCTCAGCCTCTCGAGTAGCTGGGACTACAGGCGCCCGCCACCATGCCCAGCTGTTTTTGTATTTGTAGTAGAGATGGGGTTTCATTGTGTTGGCCAGGCTGGTCTCGAACTCCTGACCTCAACTGATCTGCCCGCCTCGGCCTCCCAAAGTGTTGGGATTACAGGCATGAGCCACCGTGCCTGGCCCTTTTTAATGTTTTATATAGATGGGGTCTTGCTATGTTGCCCAGGCTGGTCTCAAACTCCTGGACTCAGATCCGCCCACCTCGGCCTCCTGAAGTGTTGGGATTACAGGCGTGAGCCACCACACCCGGCCCGGCCACTGGGAGGTTTCTAAGGGACTAACTCGGCCTCTTCACTTGCTATAGATGTACTGAGATTTTCTTCTGGAGTGCATTTCGGAAGCGTGCACAGCCGCGTGCTTGCTTCTTCTGAGTTATCTGGCGTGCTGCTGTGCAGTTGTCCGTGGCGTCTGCTTAGCGAAGTGCCCTCGTTCTTTCACGATTCTGGCTTCTGAGTCTTCTCTCTTTCTCCCTGGTCAGTCTAGCTAAGGCTGCTCAAGTGTGTTGACCCTTCCCGAGCAGCCTTTGGTGGACGCCTTTCCCTCTGGCTGCAGCACTGGAAAGTGGCGGCCCTGGGCATGGTGCCGAGGCCCAGGCTCCATTCCCAGTACTCCCGGGTCCCCAGCCCCAGCCCACCTTGCTCCGGGACATCCGGAAGAGAAAGAGGATGGCCAGGTAGACGGGATAGACAACCACGCTGGACACCAGGCCAACAGCGACTGTGTCGACGCTCAGCGGGTTCAGCCTGGACACACGCCCCGTGCTGTGTGGAGGAGAGGAGGCCACACAGGTGAGGCTGAGGGGCAGGAAGGGCTGGGCAGGAAGAGGCTGTCCCGACCCCTACGGCACCCACCTGTAGGCAGAGTCTCCAACAGCCCCGTACCACACGGCGTTGGCGCCCAGGAAGAGACAGATGAGGAGAACGCAGCAGGTGGCCCTCTGGATGCGAGTGAAACAGCTCCGAGGCGGCCGGTCCCATATGGAGAGCCAGATGTGCTTGTCAAAGAAGCCACGCTGCAGCTCAGCCACCAGCAGGCGCCGGAAGCGCAACAGGGCTGCGTGACCTAGAAGGCAGGGAGGGCCGCACTGCAGGAGGCCACGGGGCAGGACCACCCTGCCCAACCTCCCACGGAGTGGGAACACGGAACGAGGCCTTACTCGCGGCCAGCACCTCCTTCTCCACCAGGCCCCCGTTGGCCTCCGTCTCCACCGAAAGCCAGTCATTGACCAGGAAGAAGGTGCTGCGTGCCGTCTGCAGGTCCCTGACGATGATGTGCTGCAGGAACCAGGCAGGGCTGAGCCCTGCAGAGGCGCGGGAGGGAGGTCAGGTTCGCAGGGCGCCCCAATGCAGGGGCAGAGGGGCAGAGCTTGGCAGGGTCCATACAGACCTTTGTTGTCGTGCCACACTCGGATCTTCCACATGCTACCCAGGCTGTGCGGGGTGGCGATCTGGAAGATGTCCAGACTGTTGCGGTGGAAGGCTCTGTCGCCGTCCAGGTGCCGGTGGCCGCTCCGGCTGTCCACCCCATACAGCATGATGCCCACGTGGGCCGTGGTACCTGGAGGGCAAGAGGGAGGGGTGGGAGGCTCGGTCTGCTGCCCAACACGTGTGGCATCCCAGGCAAGTCATCTCAGCTTTGGCCTCCGCGCACTCAAGGAGCCACACAGGCAGTCCCGGCTTTGCACAGCTCTGCTATACACGAGGAGCTGCGGTTACTGCAATTTGTCCAATAAACAGCAGGACCTCAAGGACATGATTAAGTTACATGGAAAGAACTGTAACTTGTAACATGCAAACATGGCTGCACACGCCTCAGTCCACACCACAACCAGTGACCCGCACTGCACACCTGTCCACACCTCAGTCACGCCACAACCGGTGACCTGCACCACACACCCGTCCCTCAGTTCATGCACAGACTGCGAAGCGTGAAGCTGTGTCACCTCCTCTCCCAGTGACAGACCCAGGTGACAGTATTTTTTTTTTTTTTTTTTTTGAGATGGAGTCTTGCTGTGTCACCCAGGCTGGAGTGCAGTGGCGCAATCTCAGCTCACTGCAAGCTCCGCCTCCCGGGTTCACGCCATTCTCCTGCCTCAGTCTCCCGAGGAGCTGGGACTACAGGCGCCTGCCACCACGCCGGCCTAATTTTTTTGTATTTTTTAGTAGAGACAGGGTTTCACCGTTAGCCAGGATGGTCTCGATCTCCTGACCCCGTGATTAGCCTGCCTCAGCCTCCCAAAGTGCTCGGATTACAGGTGTGAGCCACCGCACCCGGCCGACAGTTTTTAAAAGTAGGTAATCAAAAGAAAGAACTGGGAAATGAAGATGAAAGCAGCATGGAAATAAAAAATGGGAACACGGCCAGGTGTGGTGGCTCACACCTGTCATCCCAGCACTCTGGCAGGCCGAGGCAGGCGGATCACCTGAGGTCAGGAGTTCGCCTGGCTGACATGGTGAAAAATTAACTGGGTGTGGTGGTGTGCACCTGTACTCCCAGCTACTCAGGAGAATCGCTTAAGGGGAATCGCTTAAACCCAGGAGCTGGAAGTTGCTGTGAGCCAAGATCACGCCATTGCACTCCAGCCTGGGCAACAGAGCGAGACTCCGTCTCCAAAAAAAGAAAAACGAAAACAAAAAGGGAATGCCAGAAGGGCAATTCCAAAGAAAGGAAAATGGAGGTATTGAAGAAACAGCCACGGGGAGGGTGCTGGCGCCTCCGTCTGAGAGACGAGCTATGCAGTCAGGATCGCGGGTGGATGCATGGTCTCCCACAGTGGTAGCGATGCTCACGTAACTTGTGGGGCTACGCTACTGTGTAGAACGTGGGCTGCCCACCCTGACTGACTGGCACCTACTTCCAGCTAGGAGCTGTCCTAGTCCTCAGGGACAGTGAGTGCTCACGAGGTCATTCCCAGGATGAACACACGAGCCCTTCACACAGCACTGCAAAAACTGCCTTGTTCTGACGCCTGCGACGAGACTCACTCCCAGAGGGTGCAACCAGCACAGCCAGTGAGAGCAGGGGAGGCCCTGCCACCCCGCCGCGCCCCTCACCTGAGCCCCGGCCCCAGCCTGTCTTGACGAGGATCTCGTACTTGAAGCGGCCCCGCTGCCCACAGAAGGGGATGGCGCAGCCCCGGCTGGCATCCAACTGGTCCAGCTTGTGCAGGATGGCGGCCATGACCATGTAGGTCACCAGGCACACAGCACATGTCAGCATGACGATGTAGTTTACATCCGCTGTTGGCTCCTGTGAAGACACAGCCGCCAGGCCCAGGAGGTCACGTGCAAGCTGTGCCTTCTCAGGATAGAGCCGAGCCCACCCAGGCCCTCCTCGACTCTGCAGAGGCTCCCAGGAGCACAGGGTCACTCACAGGAAACACAAAGCGTACATGGCTTGGGGGCACGAAGAGGCTGGTGCCGAAGGCGGTGAGGTGGCGGGTGAGGCAGACGGCCTGGCGGGGCGAGGTCTCCTCCAGGGGCAGCAGCCCCTCTGTCCGCCACACCACGTCCTCCTCGCTGAAGTACTGGCACAGGGACGTGTACAAGCCCACGGACACCTCCAGCGCCGACCAGCGGAAGTGGCTGGAGAGGTTCAGACGGTAACTCCCCACTGGGTCTCTGGTCCTGGGAAGGGAAGGGGCAGTGGACGTGAGCCCAGGCTCCGCCAGGTTGGATGTCGGAGTCCCAGAGCCCATACCCGGTCCAGTCCCCTCGCTGCCTGCCGTCCCCACGGGGCCCGTAACCCGGGCAATGCTGACCCATGATGCCCTGCCCTGCCCTGCCAGGCCGGCCCGCAGAGCTCACCCCGGGGAAATGAAGAAGGTGTAGGGCCGGTGGTCGGCACCCTGGAGGGACTCTGGGCGGATCCTCCTGCTAGCCGAGCAGTTGCGCTCATTGGGCCGGGGCTCCGAGTGCAGGTAGACTGCCAGGTAGGGCTCGGGTTCCTCAGACAGGTAGCGGCCTGGGGCAGAACGCGCAGATCACACGCCTGCCGGGAAGCTCAACCACCCGGGGGACACCCACGATGGCCCTCCTGAGCCCACCCTCTGCCATGGGCCTGAAAGGCCATAGGAGCCTCTGCACCAGAGCTGGCACCTGCTTCTCCGTGGCCCCCAGCTCCTCTCCGGCCAGGCCCCCAGCAGCCCATGAAACAGAAAGCAAATTTCACCAGAGACACCCATGGAAGCCCTACGAGAAACGCCTTCCCCCCAGGAACAAGGCCAGGGGGCCGCGTGTGCCCCAACCGCTGCATGCACCGTCCAGCAGCGTATAGTTGAGCTGCAGATGCAGCACGGCCGCAGGGTTGCTGCTGTCCAGGGTGACCACAGCACCGACGGAGGCCTGGGGCTGGACCACAACGGAGTTGGCGGAGCTGCGGTGGCCCCGGGCAGCCCAGTCCGAGTTGTTGGGCACCTTCACGGTGAGGCGCGCTCTGAGGCCAGCCGCTCGATGGGGATCTGGGCGCCGGCCTGTGTCTGGAACGCCATCGAGGCCACCTTGGTGGAGACGGTGTAGTTGCTGATATAGCCAAAGGGAAAGGGATTGGAGTCCACCAGAAAGATGAGCTGCACCACGTCACTGAGGTTGGCCGGGGCCCTGCTGAAAGCCTAGGGGATGGAGAAGTGGCAGCCAGGCCCTGGGGCGCCGCCATAGCACAGCAGGCTCCGCGGGTCCGAGCGCTTGCCCTGGGCCACGATCTCCTCACCCGCCAGCGTCAGGGGCTCCTCGTTGAGCACGCGGGAGCGCGTGACGATGGGCGTGAGGGCAGAGGTCAGGTTGTAGGCCTGGGACGCCACCATCCGCGATGGTGACTCGGCTCCCAGCTCTGAGCGCTGTGGTGCCCGCACGTCTGAGCTGGCCAGGTGGATGAGGTCTCCTGCAGACAGGCGTGAGGTCAGTGCAGAGACAGGGAGGCAGAGGGAGGGTGGGGGCAGGCAAAAAGGGGGAGCCGGAGGGTGGGGACTGGGAGAAAGGGGGAACCTGAGGGGGCAGAGAGCGAGGTGCAGGCAGAAGGAAGAGGGAAGCTGGAGAGAGAGTGGTGGAGGGGGAGGGGGAAGGGGATGGGGATGAGGACGAAGATGAGGGGGATGATGGGGAGAGGGAGGAAAAAGGAAGGAAAAGGGTAGAGAAAAGAGAAAGGGGAGAAGAAGAGGAACAGGGTGAAAGGGAGGGGAAGGGGATAAGGGGGATAAGGGAGGGGAAGGGGGATAAGGGAGGGGAAGGAGGATAAGGGAGGGGAAGGAGGATAAGGGGGATAAGAAAGATGAGGGGAATGGACAAAAGGACGGGGAGGATCGGGGGGGAAATGGAGAAAAGGGGAGAGAGATGGAGAAAAGGGATGGTAATAGGGAAGGGGGAGGGGGAGGAGAATGGGAATTGGGGGAGGGGGATAAGGATGGGAATTGGGGGAGCGGGATGAGGATGGGAATTGGGGGAGCGGGATGAGGATGGGAATTGGGGGAGCGGGATGAGGATGGGAATTGGGGGAGGGGGATAAGGATGGGAATTGGGGGAGGGGGATAAGGATGGGAATTGGGGGAGGGGGATGAGGATGGGAATTGGGGGAGCGGGATGAGGATGGGAATTGGGGGAGGGGGATGAGGATGGGAATTGGGGGGAGGGGAGGGGGACGAAGATGGGATGGGGCAAAGGCGAGGCGGTTGTGGGGAGGAGGGAGGCAGAGGAAAGGGCGGCATGGGGCGGACGGGCCACGTGGGGCGGGCGGGTGGCGTGGGGCACGGGCCGCGGCACCTGTGATGTTGAGGATGCTGTCTCCGATGGCGGTGGGCGTCACGGTGCCCGCGGTGGTCTCTGCCTGCAGGATGCGCATCATGGCCTCCAGCTTGTGCAGCGTCTGCTTCAGGCACGAGCGGCATACGAGCTCCCTGCTGGGCCCCTGTGTGGAGCCAGCAGTGTCCAGCCCCGCTCCTGGCCCCACTCCTTGCACACGCCCTCCTCTCTACACGGGTCCTCACCTGGCTCCCACCTCCAGCCCTGCAGCTGGAGAGCCCACTTGACTGGACCCCCACAGTCTCCTCACTAAGCATTTTCTGTGGCTCTGCATGACCGAGGGCCTCCACTTGGGGACCACGTGATGCAGCCCACCGACCACACAAGGCACCTCTTCACATGAGAGGAGGAGGAGGGGAGAGGGGAGAGAGGAGAGGGGAGTGGAGAAAAGGGGGGAGAGGAGAGGGAAGGGGAGAGAAGGGGGAGAGGAGAGGGAAGGGGGAGAGGAGAGGGAAGGGGGAGAGGAGAGGGAAGGGGGAGAGGAGAGGGAAGGGGGAGAGGAGAGGGAAGGGGGAGAGGAGAGGGGAGGGGAGAGAAGGGGGGAGAGGAGAGGGGAGAGGAGAGAAGGGGGAGAGGAGAGGGGAGGGGAGAGAAGGGGGAGAGAAGGGGAGAGGGGAGGGGAGAGGGGAACGGAGAGAAGGGGGGAGAGAAGGGGGAGAGGGGAGGGGAGAGGGGAGGGGAGAGAAGGGGGGAGGGGAGAGAGGGGGGAGGGGAGAGAAGGGGGGAGAGGGGAAGGGAGAGAAGGCAGAGAGAAGGGGGAGAGAGAGGAGGGGAGAGAAGGGGGAGAGAGGGGAGGGGATAGAAGAGGGAGAGGGGAGGGGAGAGAAGGAGAGGGGAGGGGAGAGAAGGGGGAGAGAGGGGAGGGGGAGAAGGGGGGAGAGGGGAGGGGAGAGAAAGGGGAGAAAGGAGAGGGAAGAGGAGGGGAGGGGAAGAGGGGAAAGAGGGGAGGGATGAGGAGGGGAGGGGAAGAGGAAAGGGGAAGAGGGGAGGGAAGAGGAGGAGAGGGGAAGAGGGGAGGGAAGAGGAAGGGAGGGAAGAGGAGGGGAGGGGAAGAGGAGGGGAGGGAAGAGAGGAGGGGAGGGGCAGAGGAGGGGAGGGGAAGAGGAGGGGAGGGAGGGGAGGGAGGACAGGAGGGGAAAAGGGGAGGAGTGGAAGGAGAAGGGAAAAAGGGGAGGAGAGGACAGAAGGGGAGGAGAGGAGAAGGGGAGGAGATGAGGGGGGAGGAGATGAGGGGGGAGGAGAGGGGAGGAGGAGAGGAGAGGAGGAAGGGAGGGAGGAGGAGGGAAAAAGGGAAGGGGGTGGGGAGAGAAGGAGGAGAAGGGGAAGGGGGATGGGGAGGAGAGGAGAGGAGGGGGAAGGAGGGGGAGGGGAGGAGAGGAGGAGGGAAGGAGAGGACGAGGAGGGGAGGAGAGAGGAGGGGGATGAGGGGAGGAGAGGAGGACGATGAGGGGAGGAGAGGAGTGGGGAGCGGAGGGGGAGGCAGGGGAGGGGGAGGAGGGGAGGAAGCAGGAGAGGAGGGGTGAGGGGATGGAGAGGCCGGGGGAGGAGTGGAGGGGCTCAGCGGGATGAGGTGAGGGGAAGGTCTAGGGGAGGGGAGGAGGGGAAGGGCTAGGGGAGGGGAGGGGCTGGGGGAGGAGGCAGGGGCTAGGGGAGGGGGGAGGGACTAGGGGAGGGAAGGGGGAGGGGAGGGGTTAGGGGAGGGAAGGGGAGGGGAGGGGCTAGGGGAGGGAAGGGGGAGGGGAGGGGAGAGTGGAGGGCACAGAGCAGCATCTTCTTAGTCCCTCCCCACATCTGGGCCCCTCTTTACACCCTGGGTCCCCCGAGAGGCACCCTGCGTTCACACAGGACAGCAGAATGGCTGAGGCTACTGAAGCAGGTCAGAGACCGAGGAACGCCATGGCAGGAAGGAGCCCAGGCTGGAGGCTCAGCTCCTCGGCCAAGCTGCCCGTCTGCCCTGGGGGGCTGAACCCAGTACCCTGGCAGGCATGCGGGGCGGGGAGAGCATGTGGGGCCATCCTACCATGCACTGGGCCAGCGCAGCAGCGATCTGCTGGATGTCATCCACAGTGTGGACCCTCAGGGACACCAGAGTCTCCGTGATGTTCTTGCGTATCTGGGCTCGGCGCTGCCGCTCGTGCTTGGGCTCTGCCGCCACGTCCAGGGCCCGCTCGTACTGGGGCAGGCAGGGGGCACAGCAAGCTGTCAGCAGGGCAGGAGGCCGGCAGGAGGCCAGCAGATGCCCACGACTCCCGGGGTGCAGTTACGTGCTAGATGCTGTGTGATGTGGGCACTGACCCGCAACACTGAGCTGTTTCTTCATGGGCAAAACAGGGTAAGCACATGGGCCCTCCTGGGCGGGGGCTGCATTGTGGAAAGCAGACGCCGGAGAGGGCCTGGTGGGTGTGGCTGCTGGGAGCGGAACGTCGGGGTGCTGCTTCAGGGTCACTGGGATTTATCTCTGGGGCCCGGGATGAGCCCTCCGCAAAGCTCCAGGCAGGGGAACAGGTCTTGGTCCCCAGCACGCATGCAGCAGATGTGAGGTCCCCTCCCAGGCTGCACTCACCTCGTTCAGCACAGTGACCAGGGCCAGCGAGTACTCGATGACGTGCTGGGGATCGGCCTGCCGCAGCAGCCCCGGGAGCACACTAGCGGTGAGCCCGTGCAGCCAGACTGTGAGCCCCATTGCGCTGCCGTTGGGCTCTGGGAGGGTGATGGCCAGAGACCTACGAGCAGAGGGGGGTGGTGAGCAGGTGGCAGTCTCGGGGGCGCCCTCCCACGGCCTGGCTCACCTGTTGAGG
This sequence comes from Homo sapiens, assembly GCF_000001405.40. Classification (NCBI taxonomy): domain Eukaryota; kingdom Metazoa; phylum Chordata; class Mammalia; order Primates; family Hominidae; genus Homo; species Homo sapiens. The sequence continues at coordinate 1,983,205 of NT_187607.1, read as the reverse complement.
GCGACCACAGCGGCTCCCAGCTGGTCCTGCACCACCACGGCCAGGCCCACCTCGAAGTGTGGCCTGAAACCCGGGGGCAGCACGGCTCCGTAGCCGGAGAGGCTGCCCTTGTAGACACAGAACTCCTCGCAGTGGCCCTGGCGACAGCGCTGCAGCAGCAGGGCGTACACCAGCGGGGCGCCAGCATCCTCCGCGTCATGCCAGCCTGAGGGACGGTCCCCACGGCATCACAGGAGGGCTCCGTGACCTCACAGAGTCGGGGGATCCCGCTGCTCCCCCTACGCAGGCCTGCACTCACCCATGCATTCGAAGTGCACCTTGGTGGTGAGAGCGTGCACAGCGCCCAGTGGGAAGAGGCAGCAAGAGCCCCCCAGCGGCGGGCGGTTGGGGGACAGGGGGATGGAGGCGCAGCCCTCCTCCTCGCCAGAGCGGCCCAGCACCGTCAGCGTGAAGGTGTATCCCTCGCCGTCCCGCAGCACGCCCCGCCGCAGCACCAGTCACATGCCTGCGCTGCCCGTGGATGTGGTGGTCTCATCCAGCACCAGCGTCTTGTTGCTGAACGTACGTGCAGCCCACCGCTGCAGGCAGAAGGGATGGTGAGGGGGCGCAACCCTCTGCCCTGTCAGCCCCACTTCTGCCTGCAGGCCCCGTCCCCTCGGCCATGGGACCCATCCCCAACCCGCCCACACCCCGCTCAACACTCACCCCTCGCTTGGAGCCGCTGCTGCAATTGAGGCAGCGGCCCTCCAGGTACACGTAGGAGCTGCGGCTCACTTCGTACACGGCCTGTGCCTTGCAGGACACACACTCCAAGGACACAATGGGCACCCGGCCACTGCGGATCAGCACCTGGCGTGGGAGTGGGGTTACCTCCAACACAGGTCTATTTGGCCTGCTGGAAGGTCTGGGGGACCCGTGGAGGATGCTGCTCCCAAACTCCAGGTTTCCCAGGGGCCTGGCCACTGCCGGTGAGCTCACCCCCTCCCAGGATACTCATCCGGTTTGCCACCTTCCAACCTGGGCGGCGGAAGGGCATACACAGGGCAGAGGACACTGGGGTGTGCGTTCTGGTGTACTGGACCCAGCTGGACCCTGGCAGGAGGCAGGCAATGCTCACTGAGGGCCCCTGGGGGGATGCGTGTGGGAACAGACGTATGTGTGGGTGTGAGGACCGCAGTTGCCACGTAGGCCTGACTCACAGACTCCTGCAGCCCTTAGCCAGGGCCTGGGTCAGGAGGCTGAGCCGGGATGGAACCTGCTCCCACACCCTCCCCTCAGACGACCCCTCTGGGCAGACCCCCAATCAGGCCAGCTGAGGAAAGCAGGGACTGGGGAACAGACACCCACTCTGGGGTACCAGCAGGCCCCAGTCAGGGAGGCGCACACGCTCACAGAGGGCAGGGAGGCGCACACGCTCACAGGCACCTGCTGCGTCCGGTTCTCGAAGGCATTAGATGCCAGCAAGGTCAGGACGTACTCACCTGTGGGGACAGGCCCAAGTGGGGCAGCCGCGGCACCCCCACCTGCTCCCCACCCGCTCGGCAGAAGCCCCCCGCCTGAGGAGCCCGGGGTGAACGGCTGCACCTGCGGCCCAGCCTTAAGGGTCCCAGGCTCCCAAGCCACGTGCGGGACGGAGCACAGGTGCAGCAGCACTGAGGGCTGCCTGGTGAGGACGGCACCGCCTCCAAGTGCAGCTGCACTCGGGGCAGCAGAGCAGCAAGAGCCAGGCCGCGGTGGGGGGCAGTTCAGGGGGCCCAGCTTCCCTGTCCACTCCTCCCACGCCTGGCCCCTCCCTCACCCCAGTAGGGGCCTAAGCCATCAGCCCAGGTGAGGTCACAGTGAGGGCTGTTGGGGAGGAAGCGGGGCAGCTTGACTGGGGGACTGGGGGGGCCCCGTGCTCAGAGCCTGAAAGGCAGTGGCCCCCTCACCCCCTCATCCCTCACCTGGGGCAGCGTAGGTGTGGGTGACATTGTGCTCCACCAGCACCTGGGCCACCGAGGGGTCTGGAACCGGGAAGGACTCGTTGTACGGAGGCTGGAACTGGTGGAGGGCCTGCTCCCCATCCCCAAAGGTCCACCTGCCGGGGCGGTGGGAGGCAGTGAGTGAACCGGGACAGGGGTGCGCAGTGGCGGGGCACAGGTGCGCGGTGGCGGGGCAGGGGGTGCTTGGGACCCAGCCGAGGCTCCACTCTGCAGTCACGCCCCGGGCCTCCATTCAGGGCCCACCCGGCTGTGCTGAGGCCTCTCCCGGCTCCCGTGCAGCCTCAGGGCTCCTGTGCACCCAGTACCTCCCAACAGACAGGGAAACCGAGGCTCAGAAAAGCAACCCCCTGATGTGGGGTCCCTCGGCTGAGGCTGGAGCCGGGACAAGAGCCTGGTGCCCGGACAAGAGCCTGGTGCCCACCCCAAACCGGCCCCTGAGTCACTCACAGGAAGGCCACCTCCACGGCCGAGTCCACCAGCACGCCCGCCGTCAGTGCCAGCGTGGCATTGGGGGACAGCACGGCTGGCACTGTAGAGACCCGCAGGCCCTGCATCCTGTTCATCCGCTCCACGGTGATGTTGTAGTTCACGGTGACGTTGCTCACGTGGTTGGAGGCCGTCAGCTGCAGGGACAGGCATCAGTGGGCCCAGGTGGCAGGTGAGAGGCCTGCCCTGCTTGGCGTCCCTCCCTCCACTCACCACAGCCATGGCAGCGTCCTCGGGCAGCATGAAGCAGAGCAGAAGGCAGAGGTGAAGGTGGAGCCCGCCCCCGCCCCGCCCCATCCCCTCCCCTCCCCACTCCCGCCCACCTACTGAGAGCTTGAAGACCGCCGCGCTCTGATAAATGACATTGAAGACCACGTTCTGGAAGGTCAGGGACTGCTTGTCGTTGATGGTCCACCGGAAGACCATGTCCGAGCCGGCCTCCACCACGGGGCTGTACCTCTGCGGGGGGACTGGTGTCAGCCTGGGCTCTGTGGAGGACTCTGCCCTTAGCCTGTCGCCTCCTGGACACACCTCCCGTCGGGCTGGAGAGTCCCACGCGGGGCACAGAGGAGAGGAGGTGCCCGGGGCTCTGCATGCCATGAGAGCCAAGCCCGGGCTGGGACACTGACTGTCCGGCTCTCCAGCCAGCCATGTAGTACTACTAATGCCTCAACCTCTCTGTGCCTCAGTTTCCCCATCTGTAAAGCAAACCTAGTACCAGCTACAAAGAGTCCACCTCTCTCTGAGTCTTCTCAGACCCTCCCGGGGCTCCTGCCCCAGCTCCTCAGCCAGAGAGCTCGGAGCAGTGAGGGGAGGCACACGGGCCTCACAGGGACAGCACCTACACTGGCTTACAGAACCCAGGACAGGCTGCACAGGTCACGCCATTTCTGATGGCCCCTCCCAAGGCCCCTGGTGAAGGGGCAGGTACCCGCAAGATGGAACAGCCCTGTCCCCCATGTACCCAGCATGGTGGCACTGCGGGCAGCCCGCAGTTTCCCATCAGGGGTTCGGACTCCACCTCAAAAGCCACTTGCTTTAGCCAGGCGAGAACACAGCAGAGGGCGTGAGAGACTCACGGGGACTCGTGTGAGGTCAGGGAGCGGAGTTTTAAATTCATTTCGTGAAATGAGACGGTGGAATGAGTTAGCGGAGCCGCTGTCAGAGCCGTGACTTTCCAGGAATTTAAAGCCCACCAGGTAGCCTGAGGAGCCAGCCAGCAGGACCTGCCCGGGGCCGACGTCCCCAGTAACTGGGCTGCCGCCCTCACTGGGAAGCCAGGCCTCACGCCCTGTGTGAGCACCCTGTCTGCAGGCACCTGCCTGGGGGCTGGTGGTGGAGCCTCGGCCATACTCACCACTGGGACTCCCTGCAGTACACGGGCCTCGGGGCTGGGCGTGGCGCGGAGGCCACAGATGGGCTCCTCCGCCGTCACCCGCAGGCTGAGGTTGGCCCGGCTGGCGCTGTTTTCCACCACAACGTCCATCACGTGCTCCCCCTCACCGAGCCACGGCAGTGCTACCACTGAGAACAGGGTATCATTGGTCTCCCAGGGGCAGCTGGGCACGAAGGTGGCCACCAGGGCAGGGCAGGCATTCTCAAAGCGGGCGCTGACACTGCCCCCAGGCCAGCGAGCCGTGGCCGTGGCGCTGGCACCAGAGTCCACCTGGAGCACCGAGGCTGAGCCGTTGGTGGGCACGTAGAGGCGGCCGTCGCGGGGGGCAGGGTAGATGACCCGCAGCCCAGCCACTGGGGAGACCACGTCAAAGCTGCAGGACAGGTTGTGCCTGGACACGCCATTGCCCACCTCTGCCCGGACCTCATAGCGCCCAGGCAGCCGCAGCCCAGGGTTGGGCCTCAGGCCCAGCAGCACGGTGAGCTGTTCCGTGGCTGCAAGCAGCCGCAGGGCACAGGCAGGGCAGGCCCAAGTGCCCTCCAGCTGGGCTGGCAAGTGGGGCAGCCATGACGAGGCGTTGGCGGAGAGGTACGGGGCCTGGGGACCAGGGTGGCCGGGAGCCGGCGAGCAGTGCAGGAGGGCGCCAGGGCCAGCGTCGTGCTGCAAGCCAACGAGGTCACCAGGGAGCATGAGGACATCCTGGCCGTGGAGGGTGACCTGTGGAGAGGGAGGCAGGGCTGCATCACGTCCTCACGGTCATGGCCCGTGGACCCCTGCACGACGGATGAGGGTGGACACGCAGGGCTCCCCGCTTCGTCAGCCACACCTCAGGGAGCCTCCCCACAGTGCTCGTGACAAGGACAGGCAGGACAGTTGCAGACAGGGGGACACACGGGGAGAGGACACAGGCCAAGACCTGACAGACAGGAAGGAGCGGCTGTGCTGGGAGAGAGGAAGAGGAGGCACAGCTCGTGCCAAGGGCCCAGGCGAGAGCTTCTCCCACTGGGAGAGGGGCAAGGGCACTGCAGAGGTCGGAGGTTGGAGGTCGGAGGTCGGAGGTCAGAGGTGGCAAGGACGTGGGAGGGGCCTGCAGGCTGGGTGTGTCTGCTGCGCAGACCCAGACCCTGGGCAGCAGACAGGAAGGTGGCCTGAGGAGATGCAGGGAACAGACCCAGGTCAGGGCCACACACCGAGTACTGCGCGGGGGGCCCCGCGGGAACGGAGAAGAGGAACTCTCTCCATAGCGCATAGGGGGACCCGAGTAGCCCTGGCCCTGACGTGCAGCCATTGGCGCAGGCCTGGGGGTGGCAGGAGGCGTCCAGCGGCAAGCAGATGTTGGCTCCAGGGCACCAGCGTCCCCCTGGCATGCACGCGGGGACCAGCTGGGTCCTGTTGTCCGGGGACCTGCTCTCAGGCTCGCTGCCGTTCTCCGGGGTCCCTGCGAGGAGGGGAGGGTGTTGGGGCCCTGATTCGCCCATGGGCCACCGTCAGAGATGCCCAACTGCCTGCACCAGCGAGCCTGGCCTTGCTGTGAGGACAGGTCTCCCCGCCCGGGCAGCACTCCCAGCCCAGTGCTGCGTCCCTGTCTCCGGCCAGCTGACTGACCCAGGCCGGTCCCCAGGCAGGCCCCACCCGATCCACCCCCAGGACACCTGGAATGAGCTGGTGTCTCTGGAACCCCTGCTCTGTCCACCTAAGACTGGGAACCACTCTGATGGCCACAGGACCAGCAGACGTGAGAGCTCAGAGAGGCCACCCCGAGTCCTGCGGCGCCCACCACCCCAGAGTCCCACCTGCTGTGCTGAGGAGCCGGTACACCTGCAGCCGCAGCTGGGCGGGCCGCCGGAGCTCCTGGGTCCCAAATTCGGCCGTGGTGAGGAAGGCTTCACGGCTCAGACGCAGGCCCGGGAATACCATGACCTGGTGGGCAGGGGGCCGCCTCAGCTCCACAGACCCCATCCCAGCCTGAAGCCCAGACTCCCCCCACCCGAACTTCGCAGGAAGAGGGGAGGGAAGGAGAGCGAGCCATCGGACCCCCACAGGCCTGGCTCCTGTCGCTCGAGAGGAAGACTCCGATGGAAACTGTCCATGGGGGGCAGGACCCCTGACCTGCCTTTCAGGAATAACTCACCCACACTCAGAGAAAAGGCCTGGGGGTAATGTGAGTAAACGCTTTCCTCTCTGCACTCTGGATTTTCCCAACCATCTTCACTGGGCACAAGCAACATTAAGGCCCCCAAGTTTTTTGGCGAGACCCACAGTGGGCAGGGCAGGCGAGGCCTCCAGGGGCAGGCAGGAGGGCAGGTTATAGAACGTGGGGGGCCGACTACCTCCACGGGCTCGTGCGGGGCTGAGAGGCCGTCCTGCCGTGCCAGAGGCATCAGGGGTCCCTACAGGTCCCCACTGGGCGCTCCCACGAGGAGGTTCTCGGCATCCTGCACTGGGCCTGGGGTGGCAAGTGCACAGTGAGGCGCCGGGCCAGGGCCCAGGACACCAGGACGAACAGACTGGGGACCGAGCCGCCCGAGAACCCCCCCACCAGCCCCTCCTCCTCAGCCCAGGCTCCACCGCGGGCGCTCGGCAGGCCCCTAACCACAGCCAGCGTCTCAGGCCCCTGCCTGGCCCCTCGCACACCTCCAGGCCGCAGCTCGCAGACGTAGCTGTGCGGCGCTGAGCACAGGTCGGTGTTACACCACCCGGTGGGCCCGAGCCGGACGCAGTGCTCGGCTGTGGCTGGGTGTGGCTCCCCGGGCAGCCAGTTCTGGCAGCTCTCCAGGCTGAAGGCCTCGCCCTGCGGCGCTGGGCCCACCTCCACCCCCTGCACAGTCGAGAAGCCGATCCACATGTCTAGGCTCCTGGGGGCGGGTGTGGGATGGCAGGGGGCTCAGGGCACTCCTCCATCCTCCCACCCTCACAGCAGCCCGCTGGGAGCCCCGTCACTGTCCCCCTTTCCAGATGGGGAAACTGAGGCTCAGAGCCCGGAGAGCAGGGCCCACCAGCCCAGGCTCACAGCAGCACCCACCCACGGGGCCTGTGGGCACCGGCAGGGATCCCCGTGCAGGCCACCTCCCGTATGGCGTGCCCAGGAGTGTCCGGAGGCTGCCCCCAGCTCGCGTCCACCTCTGCATCTGCAGAGCTGACAGGAACGGCCCCACCGGCCGGCGCCACCTGCTCACCAGGGCCGGCCCAGCTCCCACCTCCCTCCTCCTGAGACTCCCCAGCCGCAGGCTCTGCCCCACTGCTTCAGAGATCTCCCAACCTATGGCCCCTCGGGGGGTGGGGCAGGCACCTGGTGACCCGGGAGACCAGGAAGCGCTGCACGGCGGGACTGTCCACCATTGCCAGGGTGGCCCCGGCCCAGGCCCGACACTGCTCCTGCGCCTGCAGCCAGGCCGCCTTCTCCACCACCAGGCGGTAGCAGTGCCCATTGCCAGAGAAGATCTCCGTGTCCGAGGGGCAGAGCGGGTGCACCGCTGGAGACCGGTGGGAACGAGGGTGTCAACGGTCAGTGTGGGCCCAAGACGGGGGTACCAGGCTCTGCCCCATCTGGATGGCCCTGGGGAGGAAGGGGAGTGGGCAGCAGACACTCACCTCGGGCCGGCTCCTCGCCCAGGGCCACGATGCTGTAGGCGGCCTCCAGGCCTGAACCACCGCGGTTCTGGATGCTGAGGTCGAGGCTCTCGTCACTCTGCACCGAGGACGGGCACACGAGCTCCAGGGCGGCAGGTGCCGCTTCCACCTGCACGTCTGTCCCCAGCAGGGCTGAGCCGGTCCCCAGGGCCAGCACGGCCGTCACGTGATAGCGCCCAGGCAGCACATAGCGATGCGAGGCAGCCGGCCCAGCGGCATCCACCTCGGGGGAGCCGTCTCCGAAGTCCCAGCGTGTGGCAGTGACAGGGAGCGGGGCAGCGATGTGGAAGGCTGCTAGCTGGCCGGAGGCCAGGGGTCCGTGGGGCCCCACCAGGGTGGCCCCTGGGGAGGCAGGGAAGACGTGCTGGAGGAGGGTGGGGCCCCTACAGGTGGGGGCAGGAGGCGGCGGGGGGCCGGAGCAGAGGGACAGGCAGGCGAAGGAGGCACTGGAGGGCTGGGCTGACCCACACAGGCACCAGCCCTGCTCGGAGAGGGCTGCGAGGCCCTGGCCGGTGGAGAAGCAGAAGGCGCTGCAGGCCTCTGGCTGAAGCAGGCCTTCGTGGGCAGCTGAAAAGGACACTGCTGCCACGGTGCCTGAGCTGTTGTCAGGGAGGCAGGCGACATACTCCTCACCTAGAAGAGGCAGCCACTGGACCCCGGGTTCTGCTCCTCCTGGCTCCACCCCACACCCCCCCATCCGCCCGCCGCACTCACAGGCTCCCATGCTGTTCCCTTGGCCCGGAGGCCCCCCCCAGAGAGGCCTTCCTGAGCCCTGCCCAGTGTCTGCAGGGCCCAGGTCCCACCTGGCTGGGAAGGACAGAGCTGCCCCACCCACCGGCACTCACCACAGCCACTGTCCAGCAAGGGGATGCCAAGCAGAGGCTGGCCAGCCAGGGAGCCAGGCCCAGCACACGTGGCTGCCTCGGGCTGCACCACCCGCACCTGCTGCTCCTCCGCCCATCGCGGCAGCCACGCCAGGCCACAGTCACACTCAAACGGGTTCCCACTCAGGTTTCTGCGGGGCAGGGGCAGGTGTTGGGGACCAGGTCTGGTGGGAAGGGTCTATGCCAGCCCCCCACTGGCAACCAGGCCCTGGAGCCACCCTGACAGCACCGCCTCCCCTGCCCCAACCAAGCCGGCACTGGGGGGCTCCAAGCAGGTAGTGAACTGCCCCCAGGATCTGGTCTCAAGCCTGGAAGGGGACACGGACCAACTGGGAGGGCAGAAGGGATACTGGGGGCCTGGGGTCCAGCCAGGACCCCACCCAAAGAACCACAACTTACATTTCACTTAAATTAAATAAATTAGCAAATATTCCTTCTTCTAACGTAGAAATCTTGTTGTTGCTTATATCCCTGGAAGAGAGGGGGGATTCGGCAAAGCTGACGGAAGCCCCCACAGCTGAGCAGCAAGAGGCGGTGCCGCCAGCCCACCCGGAGTGAGCCCCGCATGCTGGCACGACTGGGGGACACTCACAGCTCTGCCAGCGCCGAGAGGTTCGCCAGGAGCCCAACGTCCAGCGCCCGGAGCAGGTTGTGGGAGACGTCTCTGAGGAGTGAGTGGCCGTGGGTCAGGGCCAGAGCCCTTAGTAGGCCAGAGGCCATCCCTGGGCCCATCCCACACATTTCCAGCATCCCCAAGCTATGGCCTCCCACCCTTGAGCTCCCCACTCCCAGAGGTCAGGAGGGGCCTTTCTGATGGAAGACCCAAATGAACACTCATCTGGGGAAACCAAGCCGGGAGAGGCCTGGGGGCCTCAGCCCTCTGCACCCATCTCAGCCCTATGCCGAGTGCCACCTGGACCTGTCCACCCAGGGCCAGGAAGGGCACGGACCCCCAACCCATCCCACGCAGGGCCAAGGCCCCCCATCCCCTGTCCACAGTCCCCCACAGAGCCAAGGTCTCCCAACCCTGTCTACAGCCCCCACACAGACTCGAGGGGCCCCCATCTCCTGTTCTGAACCCAACAGGGTGGTCCCACTGTGGGACCACAACCAGGTATGACTGTGTGAGAAGCAGGCTCACTACCAGGCTACCAGGGAGCACAGCGGAGCAGGCGCCACCTTGAGGCATAAACCCAGAGAAACAAGACCTCCAAGACGGCCAGGCACTGGGGCACACGCCGGTAACACAGCACCGTGGGAGCTGAGACGGAAGGATCGCCTGAGCCCAGGATTTTGAAACCACCCTGGGCAACACAGTGAGACCCCGTATCTACAAAAAAATACACATTAGCCAGGCATGGCGGCATGCGCCTGGGGTCCCAAGTACTCGGGAGGTAGAGGAGAGAAAAATCACTTGAGCCCAGAGAGGTCAAGGCTACAGGGAGCTGAGATCGCATCACTGTACTCCAGCTGGGGTGAAACGGCGAGACTCTACCTCAAAAATAAATAAATACATACATAATTAATAAATAAAACATCAAAGACCAGCCGACCTAACTCCATCTAAAATACACAACTTCTACGCAAAATATAAATAAAATTAGAAAACAAACTACAATCTCAGAAAAGCACTAGCAACTTAGACGACATACTAAAGGCCAAAAATACCCTCCTGACACACAGCTAATAAAGAAAAAGTCAACTATTCCAGTTAAAAAGAAGAAAAGGAAACTGGCTGTGGTGGCTTATGCCTGTAATCCCAGTGCTTTGGGAAGGCCAGGAGTTTGAGACCAGGATGGACAGCATAGCAAGACCCCATCTCTACAAGGAAAAAAAGAATCAGCCAGGCATGGTGGTGTGGAGCTGTAGTTCCAACTACTCGGGGGGCTGAGGAGGAAGGATCGCTTGAGCCAGGGAGGTCGAGGCTGCAGTGAGCTATGATTGTGCCACTGCAGTCCAGCCTGGGCGACAGAGCAAGACCCGGTCTCGAAAGAAAAGAAAGAGAAAGCAAGAAAAGAAAGATGGCTGGGCACGGTGGCTCACTCCTGTAATCCCAGCACTTTGGGAGGCCAAGGTGGGTGGATCATGAGATCAAGAGATCAAGACCATCCTGGCCAACAGGGTGAAACCCCGTCTCTACTAAAAATGCAAAAATTAGCTGGGCGTGGTGGCGGGCACCAGTCCAGGCTACTCGGGAGGCTGAGGCAGGAGAATGGTGTGAACCCAGGAGGCGGAGCTTGCAGTGAGCCGAGATGGCACTGCTGCACTCCAGCCTGGGCAACAGAGTGAGACTCCATCTCAAATAATAATAAAAAATAAATAAATAAATAAATAAAAGACATCACTCACACCTGTAATCCCAGCACTTCGGGAGGCCGAGGCAAGCAGATCACCTAAGGCCAAGAGTTCAAGACCAGCCTGACCAACATGGTGAAACCCCATCTCTACTAAAAATATTTTTAAAAATTAGCTGGGCGTGGTGGCGCGCGCCTGTAATCCCAGCTACTCAGGAGGCTGAGGCAGGAGAATCGCTTGAACCCGGGAGGTGGAGGCTGCAGTGAGCCGAGATCACACCATTGTCCTCCAGCCTGGGTGACAGAGCCAGACTCCGTCTCAAACAAAACAAAACAAAAGACATCAGCTAGCTGGTCCAAGCACAGTGGTGTTCACAACGAATTGATCACAGCCAGGTAGAATTCTTCATTCTTTCTCCAGTTCCACTGCTTTGCTTGACCAGCCTTAAAGACACACATATACATTTTTGTCTGGGCGCGCTGGCTCACACCTGTAATCCCAACACTTTGGGAGGCCAAGGCAGGCGGATCACTTGAGGTCAGGAGTTTGAGACCAGCCTGACCAACGTGGAGAAACCCCGTCTCTCCTAAAAATACAAAATTAGCCAGGCATGGTGGCACACGCCTGTAATCCCAGCTACTGGAGAGGCTGAGGCAGGAGAATCGCTTGAACCCGGGAGGCGGAGGTTGCCGTGAGCTGAGATCGCGCCACTGCACTCCAGCCTGGGCAACAAGAGCGAAACTCTGTCTCAAAAAAAAAAAAAAAAAAGTATATATTTTTAAAAGACATTGGCCGGGTGCGGTGGCTCACGCCTGTAATCCCAGCACTTTGGGAGGCCGAGGTGGGCAGATCACGAGGTCAGGAGATCGAGACCATCCTGGCCAACACGGTAAAACCCCGTCTCTACTAAAAATACAAAAATTAGCTGGGCACGGTGGTGCATGCCTGTAAACCCAGCTACCAGGTACTCGGGAGGCTGAGGCAGGAGAATCACTTGAACCAGGGAGTCGGAGGTTGCGGCGAGCTGAGATCATGCCACTGCACTGCGGCCTGGAGACAAGAGCAAGACTCCGTCTCAAAAAAAAAAAAAAAAAAAAAAAAAAAAAGACATCAACTAATTGCAGTGTGTGGACCTTATTTGGCTCTTAATTCAAACTATTAAACCAAAAATGTGAACACACCAGGCCTTCGGTGGCATGAAGGAATTGTCTGTTGTGTTAGGTGGGTCTGCGGTATTGCGATGCCCTCCAAAATGCTTGCAGATAAAAGGGTGGCTGGAATTTGGTTCAAAACATGGGTCAGGGCTGGGCGTGGTGGCTCATGCCTGTAATCCCAGCACTTTGGGAGGCCGAGGCGGGCGGATCATCTGAGGTCAGGAGTTCAAGACCAGCCTGACCAATATGGAGAAACCCTGTCTCTACTAAAAATACAAAATTAGCCAGGCATGGTGGTGCACGCCTGTAATCCCAGCTACTCGGGAGGCTGAGGCAGGAAAAGCGCTTGAACCCAGGAGGCGGAGGTTGCCATGAGCCGAGATCGTGCCATTGCACTCCAGCCTTGGCAACAAGAGTGAACTCTGTCTCAAAAAAAAAAACAAAAAACACATGGGTCAGGAGGGGAAGGGTCGGGGCAGGGAGGGCAGGGCAGGCTCTGGGGTGGGGGGTCTGTGAGTCAGCCACGGCTCTGCCCACGTCTCCCCACGAAGCTTCGAGCCATGCAGAGCAGCACGTTTTGCAGTACGCCATCTTTTCCAAAAGCCACCACCTCTCGGCAGCATCCTTAACCCAAGGCAGGCTGTGGCCTCAGAAGCCCCGGCTGTCCTCCACCTGGAACTGGACACAGCTGTCCCTGCTGAGCTTCAGCAGCCAGGGAGCCACAAGTGGATAGGCACCTGCGTGAGCCCCCCAGGAAGGCTACTGGTGACACCCAGACAGCAACGCTCCTGGACCCTTGAACACCTGCCAGCAGCTGTGATCTGTGTCCTTCACCTCTCCCAGCTTGACCCCTCTTCCCTGGGGAAAACCCAGCCGTCTCCCCGAGGAGGAGTTTGCAGGGTAGACAGCAAAATGGCTGGGCTGCCCCACAGCACAGAGGGTGGCCTGGGGGGCCAGCCAGGGCCTTCACATCCTTCCTAGGGCCCTAGTTTCCCATGGGTCCCCTCACCCCACCTTCCAGAACTCTCCCAGCGGCGGCCCCAGGTGTGTACAGAACAGCACCCACCTGCCCACATGAGGTCACCCTGTGCCCTGTTGCACACTTGAGGGGCCTGGCATTCGGAATCTTGCCAGCTCAGGCTGGGACAGGCCACCAACCCCCAGGGTCCCCCTCCTCCAAACCCCAGGACCAGAGCCTAAGAGGACAACACAAGGCAGGGGCGGGGGCTCCACTGCTGTGCCAAGGGCCTGGAGAACACGGGCCTTGCTCTCCGCTCAGCAGCCACCAGCGCCCTTCTCTCCCGGACAGCTCCCGAGGGGCTGCTCTCATGGACACCATCAGGTGCTGGGAAGCAGGAACCACCAGGACCTGGACAGAGTCCCCAGTGACCGGCCTGGCAGACAGAGGAGCCCTCAGCTACAGCATCACAAACAACGGGTGGGGTAGGTCTGATGCAATTCTGTGGGTGCTGTTGCCAGGCAGGAGGAGGCCATCTCCACAGAGACAGCCGCGAGACACACGCGTCCGCAGTCAGGGAGCGCAGGAGCAATGTGGCCCCGAGGGGCACGGGCTCCATTGGTCCAGGAGAACCCATTCTTCTCCCACCCTCGAGACCACCCAGCAAAGCCCCAAGGACACACGGCTCCCCTAAGGAAGGGTGGCCACAGGCGGGAGTGACCCAGAAACGTTACAAAACCAAATGCCAGAACCCACCCAATGTTTAGAAAGCCTGGGGATGTGCCACGTCCCCCAGGGATCCAGCACGCACCCAAAGAGACACTGTCCCGGCGAGGAGCCTGGAGCCTGGGAAATACAAGGCATCAGACTGGTCCCAAGACTCTCCCCAGCGCTGGGGACAACTGTCTGCTTATCTTAGTCCCCTGCGCCCTTTTCAATCCAACCCTGGGTCCTGGGCACCTCATAGTTCCAAACCCCTGCTATGCACATCCCGGCTGTGATGCCTGGGACAGGTCCTGTCCTGGCTGTGATGCCTGGGACAGGTCGTGTCACCTCTCCAAACCTGTTTCCTCATCTGTGAAATGCAAATCTCCACGGTCCCTATGCCTCGGATGGTCAGAGTCAGGATTCCGCATGACGACCCCCAACAGGAGCCTGGCACAGACCTGGCTCTGGGCAGCGTCTCCATAAAGGCCACCTGTTGTTTTTATCTCCCGAAAGCGAACATGACAAGGCTTTAACCCCCCACGGCAATCCGCCCTCACCCCTGTTCTCAGGATAGCCTTGGAACCCAATAGCAGAGCGCCTGAGGCCCTTCATGACCCCAGCCCACCCGCGAGCCCACCTCCCACCCTGCCCCTACCCCTCACACCTCCCGTGGCCAGCCTCCAGCCTCACGGTCTTTGCTCACACCGTTCACCCCCCTTCTTCTGGACCCACCTCATCGCCCCTTCCTAAGCATCAGCCCAATTCTTGCACATCCATCAAATCCTTGTCCAGACACCTCCTGGAACTCTTCCCTGCAGCCCCCTACAGCCATCCCCATCTCTCCGGGTACCCCGCAGCCCCAGGCCGAATCCCAATTCCTCTCCAATTAGCGACTGTTTGTCCTCCCAGCTGAGCGCGGCCTCCGCGCCCCGCCCCCGCTGGCGTCCGCAGAGCCCCCGGGTGGGACGTCTGTCTCCAGACCCGGGGTTTTTCGGCTCCCCGGGGCCGTGCCAACCGCGGCTCCAGGCGTTCCTTATTTAGCAGGGCCGCTGTGCCGCGCCGGAGCCTCGCCCTGGGAGCGTCCTGGCCCGCGTCCTGCTTCCCGTCCCGGGCCAGGGAACGCGCCCACGCCCGCCCGTCCCGCGGCCTCTCCCGGGTGCCGCTGGGCCCGCTACTCACAGCGCTGTGGCGTCCGCGGGGATGCGCAGCGCGGGACCGAGCGTCCGCAGCCCGCGGCCCGCGGCCCGAGCAGTTGACGCGGCAGGCGGCGCCGGGCGCTAGGCCGCAGAGGCAGGGGGGCTCGCAAGGCCCGCAGCCGCGCCCGGGGCCCCCCGCCAGCGCCCCGAGCCACAGGCCCAGGCCCAGGGCCAGCGCCAGGCGGGCGGGCGCGGCGGGCGGCATCGTTAGGGCAGCGCGCGCATGGCCCCGCCGTCCCCAGGCCCGCCCGCGCGCGGAGGCCGCGGCTCAGGCGGGGCCGGCGGACGGCATGGCGGGCGCGGGGCTGGATGGGGCTGCGGCCGCGACCTGCTGCTGAGCGACGCCCGCTCGGGGCTCGGGGCCAGGCCGCTCCGGGAGCTCGGCCGCCCGCTCGGACGTTGGCGCTGCAGTGCGGGCCCCGCCGCGGCTCCTCCTCCTCCTCCCCGCGCGGCGCAGGGCGGACGGGGCGAGGGGGGGCGGGGCGGGTGCAGGCTCCGCCCCCTTCGCCACAGCGCGACCGGGCCAGCGATGAGGGACTGGCATCCGGAGGCTTCACCCTCCGCTCCACAGGGTCGGCAGCAGGGCGGGGCCTCCGGAAGCTCCGCCCCACGCTTTCCCGGGGCGCATGCGACGTGGGGCGGAGCGTCTGGAAGCTCCGCCCGTCGCACTGTAGAGTCGGCCGAGGCGCACGAGGTATTTTTCACGCTCCGCCCCTCTGCAGGCTAAAGTGCGTGGGCGGGAAGCGGTGGGCAGGGTGCCATCTGGCTCCGCCCTTCTCCTGTGGTGTGGGCCAGGCGGCGGCTTCCTCCTCCTGCAGCAGCCACAGGCTCCACTCTGATCCTTCTCCCGCGGCATGGATCCTTCTCCCGCAATCTCCGTGCGCGTCCCCAGTCAGTACCCGCAGCCTCCCGACGCACCCGCTGGCTCCAAGCCTCCCTACCCCAGGTTTCCTGGCTAAGAGAGAGACAGAGGGAGAGAGGGGGAAGAGAGAGAACAGGCAATGGGAGGTTGATGGTGAGAGCTTATTGAAAGACAAGAGGGAGGAAACCCACATCCTTCATTCCCCATCCATTCATTTATTGCCTTATTTATTCCATTGAATCTTCACAGCTCTAGAAAAAGTGTGCTACAATTATTCCCTTTATTAAATGAGGTCACTGAGGCACAGTTTAAGAAATTTGCCAGCAGGGCACAGTGGGTCACTCCGGTAATCCCAGAACTTTGAGAGGGGGAGGAAGGTGGATCCCTTGAGCCCAGGAGTTGGAGACCAGCCTGGCCAACATGGCGAGACCCCGTTTCTACAAAAATTAGCCAAAATTAGCCAAACTGGCTCACACTTGTAGTCCCAGGTACTCGAGAGGCTGAGGCCGGAGGAGCGTGTGAGCCCAGGAGGCAGTGGCTGCGCTGAGCCGTGATTGTGCCACTGCACTCCAGCCTGGGCAACAGAGTAAGACCCTGTCTCGAAAAAAAAAAAATGGAAAAAAGAAAAAAAGAACTGGCTGGGAGTGGTGGCTCATGCCTGTAATCCCAGCACTTTGGGAGGCCGAGGTGGGTGGATCACCTGAGGTCAGGAGTTTGAGACCAACCTGACCAACAAGGTGAAATCCCATTTCTACTAAAAATACAAAAATTAGCCAGGCGTGGTGGCAGGTGCCTGTAGTCCCAGCTACTAGGGAGGCTGAGACAGGAGAATAGCTTGAACCTGGGAGGCAGAGGTTGCAGTGAGCCGAGATTGCACCACTGCACTCCAGACTGGGCAATACAGTGAGACTCCGTCTCAAAAAAACAAAAAAAATCCTACCACATGTGCTCCACCAAGCTCTGTCTCCAAGGTGGCCTTGGAAGCCACATGGGGAAGGTGGCAGAGACTCTAGGAGCCTGAGCAGAAATCCAGATGATTATGAAAAATGCAGACCTACCCATCCTTATTCACCTGGGACCACCGTGAACTATATCATAAGAAATAAACCCCTATTGTACATACATGCACCATTCGAGTTGGGTCTATTTGTTACAGCAGTTTAGCCAACCCTAATCCACATATACAGTGTCAACAGTGGCTGAGATGACATGTTGCACAGACATGAGAGTCAGAAAGACCTGAGTTCAAGTCCCAGTGATGACATTTACTATCTGTGTGACCTTGAAAAGCTGCCTAACTACTCTCAGACCGTTTCCTCATCAGTTTGTTTTGAGAGTCAAATGAGAAAATTACTAAAAAGCCCTTAGCACTGCATCTAAGATGGGGAAGAGACAGTCAATGAATTCAAGTTTCCTGAAGCCCAGTTGCATCCCTGCCCTGCCCTGGGCTCTGAGAGACAGTTGCCGAAGCTAGTGTTAAAGTGAACTAAATATGGCCTGAGTGGGACTTCGTACTTCTATAGTTGAGTCCTTGTGGACAAATTGCAACCTAGCTTAATAGGTAGACAAGATTGAAAACCTAACTTAGGAGTATGCGCCTGTAACAATAGCTGAGTCTTGGCCAATCCCAGAGGCCGTAGTTCAACCGCTCATACGCTGCTGAGTGTTCAAACTGTACTCAAATAAGGCAAACGCCAACTTGTAACAATCCAGCCATTCTGTACTTCACTTCTGATTTCTGTACATCATTTCCCTTCTTTTGTCCATAAATCTTCTTCCACCACGTGGCTGCGCTGGAGTCTCTATGAATCTGCTGTGATTCTGGGGTCTGCCCAATTCGCGAATCATTCATTGCTCAATTAAACTACTTTAAATTTAATTCAGCTGAGATTTTCTTTTATCACTAATTTGAGCTGGTTTTCTAATGTTTGCAAATGGGAGGGCTGACTAATATAACACTGCTCCAAATATTAACGTCTTTCTCCCAACCCATCACCCAGGCAGAAGTGGTCCAGCCTGGGCAACCCTAGGAGGAGGCTAGCTCTCCTCTAGGAAGGCTTAGGATGCAGCCAGTGGGCAGTAACTGGCTCACTGTCCCCTGCAACTGAAATCAGAACTGGTTCCAGAAACCAAGTTGACCCCCAACCAGTCTTTCCCAAAATATGGCTCTATGCCCATCTCTGGTCAGGCTGGGCTGTTTTCCTGGACAGAGAAGTCTCAGACAAGCAGGCAGTGGTTAGTGGGCTGTGCCCAGGCTGAGAACATTTCCCAGAGAAGATGGCATCTCTGGCAGTCCCTTAAAGCCAGCAGAGGCCAAGTCATGTCCAAGAGGCCAAAAGGCCCAATATGGTGGAGACAGTATACAGTCCCCATGAATAAGGGATGCTGATGCCTTCCCTATGTACCAGGTAGTCACTGCCTGAGGGGCCCAGAGCAGCAGGAGGGCAGAGCCAGCCTGGGCAGGGGCACTGGGCCGGAAGTGGGGCTCACATCCTCAGCACACACACACACACACACACACACACACACACAAGCGAATGCACACACACACACACAAATGCACGCACACACAGATAGGTGCATTCAAACATCACATACACGTGTACATTCCTTGCAAAATCAACTTCTGCTGATAGCACAACAAACAATGGGGCCACAGTGTGGCATGGAGGAAACCCTGGAGTCTGATCTCATTTTTTTTTTTTTGCATCTGTCAGGGGATAAAGATATTTGATAAAAATCCTTGAGTCACATCCCCACCAGGTCCCTGCCTACCTGTAGACCCCATCAAGCCAGCTCCATGGCCCTTCAGATACCGCCTCACTGGGTCCCCAGGGATTGACCTCAGTCCTGGAAATGCAGAAATATCTGTATCTGTCACAGCTGAGACTGGCGGCCTTCCGCCGGCTTTCCTGGAGGCAGAGCTGGAGACAGGGACTTGGGTGGATGTGGTTTTTGTTTTTGTTTTGAAAGGGGCTTTCAGGAGAAGGGAGGTGAGGACTACAGGATGCAGAAGGGGACAGAGCAGAGTGAGAATGTGGTCCCTTAAAGTCCCGCCTTGACCTATCCCACGAGCAGCAGAGAGCACGCCACAGGATCGTCCCCACCGTGGGGCAGGGACCAGCCATTCACGTTGCTGTATCAGTTAGTCACTGGGCCATTACTGGGCATGGCATCCCATCCCAGGCAATGTGGCTCCCATCTGAGGGTGATTCTCTAGAGAAGGACAGCTGTGAGCTCTCAGCAGGTGAGGCTCCAAAAGCAGCTATACCAGTCTAGACCTCAGGGGAAGGGGGAATTCATCTCTAGGCAGGGATGATTTTCATAACATTGAACTCTTGACATGCAGGAGCACCGACCAATCAGAACAGACACGGTGACCAAACAGGCACAGCCACACCAGTGGATACCAGCGGAATGTCCACGCTGCCTCTGCGAAGGGACAGTCCCATGAGCCAAGCCCTAGACCAGCTGTTCTGGGAGCACTGCATCATTGCACTGAATTCTCACAACCGCCCCATAATGCTGGGACCATCCCCATTTTCTTGCCCAACAGCCTCCGTCTCATAGACACTAGGCGGCTCTCCCAGGGTCACACGGTCCAGTCAATAACGGGCAGAACTCGCACTCCGATCTGTCTGGCTCCAAAGCTGCTAAAAATTTTCTACTTGGCCTCACTGGCTTGACAAAGATAAAAAAGAAGGCAAGTCCTTCTTTCCAAGAGATGCTGAGGTCCCTCGGTGACACTAGGTCATGATTTTATCATGTTCAGAGGGCAATGAAAGGGACAGAAAACAAGCGATGTGTGATCTCCTGTCATGTCAAGAGACGCTGTTTTCAAAGAAACGTACGTTTCGCAGAATCAATACGCTGTGGGGCCTCAGAAAGCAGAGGCAGACACACGGCCCCAACCCGTGCACGTGGGAGCCCTGTTACAAGAGACGGCAGAAATTAAACTGAATCACCTGGAGCAAGTACATTGTAAATGTTCAATATTAATGACCCACCTCGGCCCCAAAGAAGAGAGCGTTGGGCTTTGTCCAGCTGTGTGCTCTGTTGTTAAAAGACCACCTTGTGGCCAGGCACGGTGGCTCACACCTGTAATCCCAGCGCTTTGGGAGGCCAAAGCAGGTGGATCACCTGCGGTCAGGAGTTCGAGACCAGCCTGGTCAACATAGTGAAACCCCGTCGCTACTAAAAATACAAAAATTTGCTGGATGTGGTGGCTGGCGCCTGTAATCCTAGCTACTCGGGAGGTTGAGGCAGGAGAATCGCTTGAACCTGGGAGGCGGAGGTTGCAGTGAGCCAAGATCACGCCATTGCACTCCAGCCTGGGCGACAAGACTGAAACTCCGTCTCAAAAACAAACAAACAAACAAACAACAACAGAAAACAATTTGTGCCTTAATGGGCATTCCTTTCCCTTCTTGCTAAGGGATGAGATGATGGCAGAACTTGTGGCCACTGTCCTGGAGGTTGACAAGCTTTTTCTGTAAAGTGCTAGATAATAAATATTTTGTGGGCCACACGATCTCTGGTGCAACTACTCAACACTGCCATTGTCATGCAAATGTAGCCATAGATGATAATAAATGAATGGGTGTGACTGTGTTCCAATAAAACTTTATTTATAAAACAGACAGCTGGCCAGAGTTGGGCAATGGGCAGTAGTTTGCCCCCCACTCCCCGCCCATCCGTCCTATTCCTTGGCTTTTTTGGGTACATCAAGGAGTGCAGTCTGGATGCTGGGCTATTTTATGGCCACTGGGCATAACCTTAACCTGGGCCTTTTGTCTGTTAACCTGGGTCAGTGGCTACGGTGAAGGTCGGGCAACCAAGGTTTAGATGGCTCAGTACACATTCACGCCCACAAACCAAACCAGGAAAAAGATGTGCTAAGTTGAGCATATGACACTGTTGGTACTCAAATGGTTTGTTTTTTTTTTTAAATAAATGTTTAAGTAAATTTTTTATTTTAGAACAGTTTTAGAAAAATGGTGAAAGCAGTACAGAGAGTTTCCATGTACCCCATAGCTTGATGCATTATGAACTAAAGTCCATACTTTTTTTAGGGGGGTGGGGACAGGGTCTTGCTCGTCACCTAGGCTGGAGTGTGGTGGTGTGATCATAGTTCATGGCAGCCTCAACCCTCCACCTCCCCTGGCTCAAGCGATCCTCCATCTCAGCCTCCCAAGTAGCTGGAAATACAGGTGCCTGCTACCATCCCCAGAGAATTTGTTTTTGTTTGTTTGTTTGTTGTTTGTTTGTTGAGACAGGGTCTCACTCTCATTGCCCATGCTGGTATACAGTGGCACAATCACGGGTCACTTGCAGCCTTGACTTCCCGGACTCAAGTGATCCTCCCATCTCAGCCTCCCGAGTAGCTAGGACTACAGGTGCACACCACAAGCCTGGCTAATTTTTTGTATTTTTTGTAGAGATGGGGTTTCGCCATGTCGCCCAGGCTGGTCTTGAACTCCTGGGCTCAACCCATCCGCCGGCCTCGGCCTCACAAAGTGCTAGGGTTACAGGCGCGAGCCACCGTGCCTGGCCACCTAAAGTCCATAGTTGATTCTGATTGCCTTAGTTTTTGCTTAATGTCCTTTTTCTGTTCCAGGATACCACATGGAGCATTTTGAGGAGTGCTGGCCAGGTATTTTGTAGAATGTTCCTCAACTGGGATTTGGCAGATGCTTCTCATCCTTAGTCTTGGCTTGTGTGTGTTTTGAGGAGGAGGACCACAGAGCTTAAGAATCATTCTCAGCACTCTGTATCAGGCACGCATTCTCTCAAGATGACTTGCCGCTATTGAAGTTGACTTTGATCACCTGGCTGAGGTAGTCTGTCCGTGTTCTCCACTGTAAAGTTACTCTCTCCTCTCTTTTCACACTGTACTCTTTGGAAGAGAGTCACTATGCACAGCCCACACTTAGGATGTGGGAAGTCCGCTCCACCTCCTTGACGATGGAATAGCTATATAAATTACCTGGGGCCGGGCACGGTGGCTCACACCTGTCATCCCAGCACTTGAATGGGAGGCCGAGGAGGGTGATCACTTGAGGTCAGGAGTTTGAGACCAACCTGGTCAACATGGTGAAACCCCGCCTCTACTAAAAATACAAAAAATTAGCCGAGTGTGGCAGCGCATGCCTGTGATCCCAGCTACTCGGGAGGCTGAGGCACAAGAATCGCTTGAACCTGGGAGGTGGAGGTTGCAGTAAGCCAAGATTACATCACTGCACTCCAACCTGGGCAACAGAGCAAGACCCTGTGTAAAAAAAAAAAATTAAATAAAAATAAATAAATAATCTGGAATTCTTCTGCCTGGGAGATTTGTCTCTTCTCTCTTATCTGATCATTTATAGCAGTATGGAATCATGGGTATTTATTCTTTGAATTCTAATCCAATAGTACTTTTTTGGGGCTCAAATTGTTCTGGCTTTGACCCCTGGGAGCTTTTCCATTGGCTCCTGTGTCCCTCTGAGATGCCCCATCACTGCAGCAGTTTCATTTTGTTTCATTTCGCGCCTCCTCACCCTGTGACCCTACAAGATGCTTCAGGTTCTTCTTATCTATTTCCTCCCTCGGTCCTAGGATCGACATTTGTTCAAGAAGCCTGGTTCCTTTTACTGGAGAATGGTGTTTATTGGAGAACAGAGACCTGGGCACCAGAGGTTTGTTGCTACTGGGGTATCCTTGCTTCTAGGCTCTCTTCGCTGACAGCCAGGATTAGTAACGTGTGTCTTACTAATTTGTGTATATGCACATATCCATAAATATTTCTCTATGTAGCCATCTGTATCTATATTGAGCTAAACATGTGTTCATACTGATGCCTGCCACTCTAATCCACTGCCACATGGATCACTCTAGCCTTGCCTCCTTTGCCGACCTGTAAACCTCCCGCCCCCCACCCCATCTATTACTTAATGAATTTCAGTAAGCATGTGAGGTGGGTGGTTATGGAAACCATTTTTGACCTATATATAAGATGGCAGTTTCGTCTGATTTCTCCTAAATAGAAGACGAGTGTGAAATGGTAACATGGTGTCCGTAGGAGTCATATGGATGGACCATGGCCAACCATATTATTAAGGAATATTCATGCATTCATCCATCCATCCATCCATCCATCCATCCATCCATTCATTCACCAGTGAATGAGTAAAGCATTAGGTATTCACCACACTGTCCTCTCCTGGACTTCCCCCTACCTCACGGGCCACTTCCTCTCTGTCTCTTGGGCAGGGCCCTCCTCGCCCATCCTCTGAAGGTTGCACTGTCCCAGGGCTTGGCCCCCAGCCCTCTCCTTTTCTCAGTCTTCATAAGGATACCTATTATTCAATCCCGTGGCCTCATCTGTCATCCAAAAACACTCCCAGCTCACCACGTCTCATCTCCAGCCGTGATTTCTCACCCAGGCTGCAGACTCGGGTGTCTGATAAGCATCTCAAACTCACGATGGCCAAAACAGAAGTCTCAATTTACCTACACATTTCAGTGGTTCAGCTAGAAACAAACGATTCACTTATCGTTGATTCCTCCCTTCCCTCACCTCCTGTATTAAATACATCAGCAAGACCTTTCTGCTCTATCTCTGAAGCATAGCCCCAAGCTCACCACTTCCTGCCACTGTTACTTCCATCACCCCAATCCAAGCCATTGCTGTCTTTTGCCTAAACCAACACAACGTCCTCTTTGCTTCTCTCCCTAAATTCATTCTTGCTTCCCAATAATCCAATCTCCTCAAAATTTAAAGAAGCAATTGTTTAAAAACATACATCAGATCACTCCCCTTTCCCTACTTAAACCCTCCAATGCCTTCTGTTGCCATTAGAATAAAATCTAAACTCCTTTCCAGGGCACCCACATGACCCGGTCCCTGCCATCGTTCTCATCTCTTCCTCTCAATCACTTGACTCTGGCCACCCTGGCCTCTTTGCTATTCCTGAAACTCAGGGAGCTCATTTCCTCCTGGGGGCCTTTGCAATTATGGTCCCTTCTGCCTGGGCAGCTCTTCCCCCAGATCTTTGCATAACTGGCCCTTCCCCTCCTCAGGTCTCAGCTCAGATGCTGCCTCCTCAGAGAGACCTTCCATGATACCAATCATCCTCTGTCACATTGCCTTGTTCTGCTTCTTTTCTTCGTAACGCCTGGCATTATCCAACAACTTCTAATGTGTGTGTTTACCTTTCGTCCTCCATCAGCACTGTGCTCCTAAGAGCTGAGGCTCGGTCTCTCTCACACCACTAAACCCCCAGTATGCCAAGCAGCACTCAGCACAGGGGAGATGCTCAGTTAATACTTGTTGAATGAATTAATGATGCTCCCCCTAAAACTAAACTTTACAAAGCACCCACTAGACAACAGGTTAGAAAACATTTTCTAGGCCAGGCGCAGTGGCTCACACCTGTAATCCCAGCACTTTGGGAGGCTGAGGCAGGCAGATCATCTGAGGTCGGGGTTTGAGACCAGCCTGGCCAACATGGTAAAGCCCTGTTTCTACTAAAAATGCAAAAATTAGCCAGGCTTGGTGGCAGGCGCCTCTAATCCCAGCTACTAGGGAGGCTGAGGCACGATAATCATTTGAACCCAAGAGGCGGAGGTTGCAGTGAGCTGAGATCACACCACTGCACTCCAGCCTGGGTGACAGAGAAAGACCCCATCTCAAAAACAACAACAACAACAACAAAATGTCTTCTGTAAAGACCCAGATAGCAAGTATTTTAGGCTTTTTAGGCTACCTGGTCTTTGCCACAACTACTTACATCTGGCACTGTCAGGCAAAAGCAGCCATAATCTGCAAATGAATGGGCATGGCTGTGTGCTCATAACACTTTATTTATAAAACAAGAACAGTGGGCCATAGTTTGCTAACCCCTGCACTAGCCCAGTCTAAGTCTTGAATATCATCTGTGTAATTAATTCACAGTGAGGAGTTCTCCACTGTAATAATTACTCATTCCATGAATGCATGCCACTCAGGTGAGGCGTTCTTGAAACTCTGAGAGGCAAGAAGCAAAATGTTCTTTCTCCATACCCAGGCACACTCCAGTCTGTGAAAAGGAAGCAAGAGAGGCAGGCTGCAAGTTTGATCACTGGGTGGCTGCTAGCCACCTCTCCCCCTCAGCTCCAAGAGCAGAAACAGGATGAAAACGCAGCAGCTGCCGGCTTCTGTCCTCTTGCCAGCTGCCTCTCTTGCAAGACTAGACAGGGAGGGGCAGCCGCCAGTCTCCGGAGGCACAGACTGCACAGAATTGAGGATCACTTGTTCCAATGCATTCATCTTATCTTACAAAATCTTCAAATTCCAAAAAGCACACGTAAGAAGGGCTGCTGTTTCATTCACACAGTGAAATATTGTGCATCTGAAAGAATATGTAGATGGGTGGCATCTTCAACAACCCCAGGATCACAGACGTTTAAATTTCACCCCTTCTACTGCTGTAAGGCACAGCAGAAGGAGTGTAATTTAAACGTCTGTGATCCTGGCTGGGCGTGGTGACTCTTGCCTGTAATCCCAACACTTAGGGAGCCCAAGGTGGGAGGATTGCTTGAGCTCAGGAGTTCAAGACCAGCCTGGGCAACCTAGTGAGAGCTCATCTCTACAAAGATTTTTTTTAAAAAAATTAGCCAGGTGTGGTGGTGCACTCCTGTAGTCCCAGCTACTCAGCAGGCTGAGGCACGATGATCCCTTGACCCTGGGAGATCAAGGCTGCAGTGAGCTGTGATGGTGCCATTGTACTCCAGCCTGGGGAACAGAACAAGAACCCATCTAAAAAAAAAAAAAGAAAGAAAAGTTCATATTCCAACCAAGATCTCACCATTGCATCATCAAGCATAAACACCTGCCCCCACTGAAAAAGTACAGAGGAAGGCAGTCATATCATATCTTCCCTCCTGACCTCACCAAGTTCCAGGGCAGGAAGAGTCTCGCCACCCCAGCACACAGTAGGCCCACTGGAAAATGAGTGCTCCCTTCTCTAGGCATTTCATTGTCATGGTCATAAAGTCAGGTTCATTTTTCTAATGAAAGAGAAAGCCAAAAATGGAGGCTGATTTTTTTCTTTTTTCTTTTTTTTTTTTTTTAGTCTCACTCTGTCGCCAGGCTAGAGTGCAATGGTGCGATCTCGGCTCACTGCAACCTCCGACTCCCTGGATCAAGTGATTCTCCTGTCAGCCTATCGAGTGGCTGGGACTACAGGCGCCCACCACCACACCTAGCTAATTTTTGTAGTTTTAGTAGAGACGGGGTTTCACCATATTGGCCAGGATGGTCTCGATCTCTTGACCTCATGATCTGCCCATCTCAACCTCCCAAAGTGCTGGGATTACAGGCATGAGCCACCACACCGGGCCTGGAGGGTGATTTTGACCAGGCCTTCTCAAGTTTTGGAAGGAAGTGGAGCTGACTTCTCTTCTGTTGCTTTTGCCCACCCAGGATCACTTATTCCTCTGGGTAATACAGCACCCCAGGCACAGGGGCCGCCTGTCACATGAGCGTGGGCATGGCTCATGTGCGGCCAGGCCCCAGTGATTCTGCAAAGGTTGCCCATAAGTCCTTCCCCCGCCCCAGGACTGGCATATTGATGTGGTGGGATGGAAGCTGTCCTTCTGCTGGGTCTGCAGATGGGGGCAATGTAAAGCCTGACATTGCCGGATGATGTCAGAAGCGGAACCCATAGGCAAAAGCCAGCTTTCCAGCACTCCACTCTCAGTTTCCTGCCATCTCCACTTCTGTGGATGTGTGCCCGGCATCTGCCTCTGCCCCTGCCTCTGAGAGCAGTGACTGAGCAAACAGTCCTGGACCTGGTTGAAAGGATGGGCCTGTCTGTTTCTAGCAGAGTGGTCTTTCAGAAAGCTGATTCCTGAAAGTTGGCATCAAGGGAAGCAGAGCCAGGAGGTGGAAATTGAGACTGGGTCCCGCTATGCATGAAGCCAGAGACTCTTGGATTTCTCCGTTACTTGACCAGAGGAATGCCCCATTTTGCTCAAGCTAGTTGGAGTTGGATTTCTGTTACTTGAAACCAAGAGAGCCTTAACTAATACACAACTAGAAATGCATCCATGGTCACTGCCCATTCATGTGACAGACATTTATTGAGCACTATTCCAGTTACCTAATGTTGCATGAGTTACCCCAAAACTTAGAGGCTTAATTCAGTCGTATAAGATATTCACAGATCCCGTGGGTCAAGAATTTGGGAAGACACTGTAGGTTGAACTTTGTTCTCTGCTTTGTCTTTCTTGGAAAGAGAGGACACAGCTTGAAGTCATTACTGATTTGGGACTGTATGTAATGCATATCTGTGCTTCATTGTCACTGTGTTTTTAAGTTTTCTAAACTTAAAACAGCTCATTTTCGGGGGACATAAAGAACCTGGGAAGAGCTCAGCTGGGCAGCACTGACCTGGGGTCTCTTGAGTGGTGGAAGTCAGATGTCATCTGCAGTTGCACTCACCAGAAGGCTTGACCGGGGCGGGGAAATTCGCTTCCAAGCTGGCTCACTCACGTGGTGGCAAGCTGTACATGCTGGGGGCCAGGGGCCTCACCCCTCCCCACGAGGCTGCCTGAGCACCCTCACGCAAGGCAGTTGGCTTCCCGAGAGCCAAAGTGCAATGCCTGTTACGACCTAGCCCGAGAAGTCACACATCATCACTCACTTCCACCACTTCCCACTGGTCGCACAGAGCCAGCCTGATTCAGTGTGGGAGGGGACCACACACAAAGGCAGTGTGCATCCCTGGGGGCCATCCTGAGGCTGGCTGTGTACCACAAACACCCGCCACATGCCAGGGACTGGACACACAGCCTTTGACCCCCACTGAACATCAGCCTAAACAGAAGGCAACCAAGCAAACCTTATCCCCCAAACTCTTTCCAACTCCTCCCTTAGGACGGCCCCTGCTTTTAAGTAAAGGGAATCGTGCCGAATAATTGTTCCTATTAAGGAACTAGATCTCAGGGTTTGGTCATGCAGCTCTTTGGTTACAGAAACAACGCTGATGAAATAATCGAAGGTCCTCCACCATTCTCACCCCCAGCCATGACCCCGTCCACTGCACACAGTGCTCCACGTCACTGTGCCTTTCCTAACTTTACTACAGCTTATACCTGCCTCTCCTGTACAACATCCACGTGACATCCATCTCTAAACCTCTGAGTCATCCCTAGACAAGCTGGCATGTGACTACATCATCTCATTTCATACATCAAGGGCAGGAAAACATGGTGGTTAAGAACTCTTGGACCTGGGTTCAAACCCCTGCTCTGCCACTTGACAGCTGCAAGATTGTTCAGCCTCAGTTTCTTTCTCTGAAAAATGGGGCTGGAAGCATACCTACTTCATGAACTCATGAAGCATCCACATGCATGCAAGGGCACGGCACAGCGCCCGGCACACAGTAGCTCAAGAAAGGCTGGTTGTGCCTGCTGGTGTGCTTGATCCAGAGAGGCAATCACTCATTTGCTTTTTCCTTATTTCCTGAATCTTTGTTTCTCACATTTAGGCCATTAGAGTTAAGCAGAAGGACTGCCTCTTCCTCCAGCCATCTCACCAGTCCTTCCACATACACATGCACAAACACACACACACACACACAAACACACACACACACACGTTCTCATGCTACCTTCGGCCCTTCCCATCTCCTGTAACCCCAGAAAAGAAGACCGAGTTGAAGCCGTTGCCTTAGAATGGCACTGCCCTGGCCAGGTGTGGTGACTCATGCCTATAATCTCAGCACTTTGGGAGGTTGAGGCAGAAGGATCACTTAAGGCCAAGAGTTCAAGACCAGCCTGGTCAACATAGCCGAGACCCTGTCTCTACAGAAAAATCAAATCAAATAAAAAGCTTTTAATTAAAAAAGAATGGCACCGTCCTAAAGCTCCTGAGGTGTCCTCATCAAGGATTTATGGTTGTTTTTACGGCCACTTTAATAGGCAGAAATGTGCACAGAGCAGAGTTCCCCAAGAATCTGCCATCTTAGACCATTTTGTTTTTTAAATACCTCAGCAAACAAGTCTGTCTCATATGACTTTTGTCCCATTCCAAGTCTAATAACAGCCCGGGTGCGGTGGCTCACGCCTGTAATCCCAGCACTTTGGGAGGCCAAGGTTGATGAATCACCTGAGGTAGGGAGTTCAAGACCAGCCTGGACAACATGGTGAAACCCCGTATCTACTAAAAATACAAAAAATTAGGCGAGCGTGGTGGTGGGCACCTGTAATCCCAGCTACTCGGGAGGCTGAGGCAGGAAATCGCTTGAAACCGGGAGGCAGAGGTTGCAGTGAGCCGAGATCACGCCACTGCACTCCAGCCTGGGCCACAAGAGCGAAACTCAAAAAAAAAAAAAAAGAATCTAATAACATTAATGTTTACTTCTCACAGGAGGATCAGAGGACTTCTGTCCTGAGATTGCCAGAAAAATGATGAACAGAAAATTATACACAACCGAACAGGCCCAACTTTCAAATGGACTGAGAATGACCCACACAAGTTCCACCGAGGCCAAGGGTGACCTGCAGCCAGCGACAGGGAAAGACTGCCACTTACTGGCGGCCTCCGGAACTGGAAGGAGTGTACTGACAATTGTATCTTTCGCAAGCTCTTAACCTTTATACCGTCAATAAAAACCCCATTAACATTTAAAAGGGATGTTTCTGGGTGTCCACTTGGAATAAGAGTTGGAAAACACTCCAAGAAATGGATCCTGTATTAATATCACATCTGTCCCAGATCTCCAACACTGTTCACTTTCCTTCCACGGTGCCAACACCAAGCTAGCTGATAGGTGGGAACAGGGCAGCTCTGCGGTTGGCCCCCAAGAGCCAGGGAGTCCCCCAAGCTGACCCCCTGGGGTGGCAGTGGCACCTAACAAGAACTTCCACCTTGTTTTCCCTCTCTCTGTTTTGTCCTTTTGGACTCTGCTCACGCATCACATCCAGAAAGTTCCCTAAGCTCTCCAGTGGGATGAGAACTCTGCTCTGTGCTCCTGTGGTCCTCCATGTTCCTCCACCTGGAGGCCCTCGGCTCCCTGCATTACCCCTGTCTACTTACTGACTTGCCTTCTACCCAGTGATGGGCCATGTGCTGTGAGGGCACACACTGTGTGCCCATCTATTCATTCCTCTGTGCGTGCGTTCATTCATTCCTTACTGAATGCCCACCAAGTGCCAAGCATTGGGGTACGAAGAACAAGGCAGACGGGGCCTCCCTGGCCTCTTCCAGCTCGCTGTAGAGTGTTGTCTACCCTACTCATCCTCACATACCCATGCCTGTCCTATGTGGCACTCAATAAATGTCGGATGGATGGATGTGTCCCCTCCTTCAATATCACTTAATTCACTTGATGACTTCCTGTGAGGATTAAGTTTAGCTGTTAAAATGCTGTGACTTCCTCTGGATCTCTGATGCAAGCCGGCAACCTTTAAGCCTCACCCGGCCGACGTAGGCATTTTGTTTGGCCAAAGTGTGTGGTTTTCTTAAAAAAACACTGCATTTGTGGCTAACATTTAAAATTGGGAAAATTTCACGTAAATCTTTGTTTTTCTGGCTTCTCTAGAAAAATGAACGCACATTTCTGCACAGCAGGGGTGAGCCAGAGCTGAGTCCCTAAGCTTCCCTTAGACGTGGTGGGCACACTTCAACTTGCCACAACCTCCACTATCTCCGATTTCTCTATCACTGACGCCAAAAGCTGCTGGGGACCATGTTGGCTGAGCTCGTGTTTTTCCTGCCCCAGCCAGCTTCACTCAGGACTCTGACTTGCTCTACATTTGGCTCAACTGAAGACTCCCGGGGGTTACGTGCATGTCATCCAAGAAATACATCTATGATGAGCTACAACACAAATGAATGGGCCATTTTATTGATTTTTACCTCCTAATAGTGGATACAGGTTGCCGTGGTTTCCAGCAGGATCTCAGATGCAAAGGGAAGTGAAGAAAACAGATGAATCCCTAGGGTACCCCGCCATGGAACCAAACACCACATCAACTGGAACTCTTCTTGCAAACGAAGGCTGAAGATCAAGAATGACATTCTCACACCACAGCACAGCTTAAATACTTCTTTGACAAAAATAATAATAAATTATATTTGACTCAGAAAATAAATTCTGTTCAGCAGAGTGACAGGAGGGTCCATTCATTGCATTGCACGAGGGGCTCTACGGAGGGGTGAGGATGGGTGCAGGATGCCACAGTGACAAGGGACATGGGGTGCGGGCCCAGCAGCACAGGCTGAAGTTAGCTGACGCATGCTTTTGGCTTTTATCCCACGGGCGGGTAGTGGCCGGACCCCTGGCTGTGGCCTGTCCCAAGTGAGACTGCAACTGTCCCCTTCCTCCTCACGTCCGCCTTGTCTTCTGTTTCTTGGCTTGTCTCTTTGCATCTTCTGGGCCGCTATTGTCAGAGGCTGCCTGGCCGAGCGCGCCGACTCCCTGTAGCCGGCTTGTCAACTGCAGCAGCAAAGGAATGAGCTAGAAAAGAGAGAAAGTGTGAGAGAGAGGGGTACAAAGAGGAGGCTTTTGCCAGATGAACAGCGGAGCCTCACTTCTCAACACACCTTCTTCAGACATGATCAGCAGCTGCCACGTGCTAATGGGTGGGTTTCAGTTCAAACGAGGCAGGCCTCTTACTAATGAGTCCCCAGGGATGGGCTGGCCTCTCTCCGGGCCTAATATGTCCCTAGAGGTGTTCCAGGTTTAAGGATTAGGAGATGTTACAGAAGTTTACAGCCTTGAAAGGAGACCTAAGTCTGGACTTGAGGCCTTCACGGGCCCTCCCGACCCGGAAATGTGATTTCTGTGACCCTGGACATCCCTCTGCTATCACTCCTGCAGCTGTGAGGACTCGCTCTCCCTGACATGCCCGCCATCTCCTGAGGCCTCTGGATTTCCTACCTTGTCATGGTTGTAACCGGCCAGCAGAACCAGCAGCGTCAATGGCAGGGCAATGTAGGATCCTTGTGCGATGTCCTGTTCAGGCAGCTTCCTCTGCAAACACCGAGAGCCCCATCACTCCTCACCAAGGCCACAAGCTTGTCCATCATCCACAATGCCACAGCCACCACCCACCCAGCCTTCCAAAGTGGCCACTTGAGGACACCCAGGGGCCCTCATGATCCAAATTCCTTCTATCCAAAGGAAGGAACCAAAGTGATTTGGATGTATTTTCCCATGAATCCTCTTCTGCCCAAAGCTTCACTATTTGCTTCTGAAACTCAGGGACAAAGAGATTCCAATGACAAGGCATTCCTCAGCCTCTGGACCCTCCTCCCAACTGAGGAAATGAAGAGATGCAGCTATCAGAGAGTCTTGGTGGTTGAAAAGCAACTGGGTCTCAGTTTGTTGAGTCCCAGCAACATGCAGGGACTTAGTCCTACAAGGATGTATCAAGAACCTACAGTTCTAGACCCAGGGCACACAGTGATGGGCAGCTATTCCCAGCCAGTACGGTCTAGTGAGGAAGCAAAGCAGGCACTGCTACTAGCATCCCTGTGGCCATTCTCCCTTTCTCCCAATAGAACCCCCAACTTTTATCTGGGCCACCGACAATATAGATCACCTTTTCCAGCCTTCCCTGCAGCAGGCGCAGCCCTGGAACTAAATTTTGGCCAATGGTACAGGAACAGAAGCGGTAAGTGCCACACCCTGGCTGGACCCTAGGGAAGTGGTGTGCCCTCCCTTTTGCTGGGTAGACAGCATTTGGCCAATTGCCCCATTTTGGAGAAAAGCAATGCACTGGAACAGCACAATGAGACAGAAGGGGCCTGGGTCCCCTGACGCCTTGGAGCTACCAGACTATCTCTGCACTGGTCACTCCTGGACACTTGACATGAGACAGACATTTCCATCTTGCTAAAGCCCCTGAAATGCTGGGTTCTAAAGCATCAAGTGAACCTATATCCCATTGGCCCACTCTACTCTCATAAAGGAAGCAAATAAATGGAAGGAGAACTTCCCAATAATGATAAAAACAAGTTAATGAGCCAGAGCAGTGTTCTCAGTGTAGGATACCGGGACTCCTCTCGCAGAGGTTCCCGAGGCCACAGCTATTTTCAGCCAATAGTAAGATGTGATGTGCCTTTTCCGCCCTCTTTCATTCGCAAGCACACAGTGGACTTTTCCAGAGACTACGCACCCTGATGTCATCACGCCCACAGCTAACGGAATGTGTAGCTTGTGAGTTCTTGCGTTTTCAACATCTCGGTTTTAATTACTAATATGATAAATATACACAGAGATAATCCATGCAAACTCAAACTCTTTAAAATCCTCAATAATTTTTAACAGTATAAAGGGGTCCTGCAACCAACCCATCCGAGAACTGCTGGGCTAGAGAGTGACTGTGGGGGCCGCTGTACCTGGGATGCCCTTTCATAAATGAAAGAATAAGGGCAGGAACAGATTTCCATCAACAACTGCCTACTCCTGTATCTCTGGACATCTCTTAGAACCCAACCCATTTTTCCACTGAAGTAAACACTTACTTAAAAGTTTAATTCAGGCCAGGTGCAGTGGCTCACGCCTGTAATCCCAGCACTTTGGGAGGCTGAGGTGGGCAGATCACCTGAGGTCAGGAGTTTGAGAACAGCCTGGCCAGCATGGTGAAACCCCGTCTCTATAAAAATACAAAATTAGCCAGAAGTGGTGGTGCATGCCTGTAATTCCAGCTACTCAGGAGGTGAGAATCACTTGAACCCGGGACGCAGAGGTTGCAGTGGGCCAAGATCGTGCCACTGCACTCCAGCAGGGGCAACAAAGCAAGACTCTGTCTCAGAAAAAAATAATAATGAATAAATAAATAAAAGTTTAATTCAGCAGGAATTAAGAGTGATTCAGTCTAGGCTCAGGTCCCAGGCCTCACTGGGTAAACTCAGGCAACCACGTTGAGACTCAGTTTACTCAACTATGACATGGAGATCATATGAACAACACCCACTGGGGGTGGATGCTGTGAAACTTGATGAAAGGAGTATGTGAAATGCTCAGCAGGGCATGGAATACTGAGTAAAATCCAGTCGCGAGGCTGTGGGCAGTCACATCAACAAAGAAGGAAACCAATGTGCTTACAAAGCCCCCGTGAACATGCAATGCTGAGCCACTCATCACGCGGAGGGCAGAACGAGGTGGAAACCATGTGGCTTGAGACAAACTGCCTCACTTGAGTCCTGGTTCTGCTAACACTCAGTAAGTGACTCAATCTTTCTGGGCTTCTGTGAAAATGGGAGGAATGGCACACCTGCTTGAAGGCTTGTTGTGAGGATCAACCTGTGAGGGCCCTGTACGGGGTGGCACAGAGTGGGCGCTCTCTTCATTCAACACTTGGCCCTGCTCGGGAATCCAAGCCCCAGCAGGCACAGCTTTTTTTTTTTTTTTTAATTATACTTTAAGTTTTAGGATATATGTGCACAATGTGCAGGTTAGTTACATAGGTATACAGGAAGGGGAACATCACACACCAGGGCACAGTTTCTTACATTCTCAGAAGTGACAGGCAGCAGCTACGAGGCTGGGCTGCTCGGCCACCACCAAGCAGTGTCTCCACATTCCTGCCACTGGCTCCCAGGTGTGTCCCTGAGCCCGGATGAGTTGTCTGCTAGGGGCCCCTGAGAATGTCACTGCCTGCAGCTATCAACGGCCTTCACAGAAGCCTCTCCCAGCAACTGGGCCACAATGCAGCCCCAAGCAAAGGTAAGTGGTTCTTGTATATGCTTATCTTTCTGGCACTTTCTTTTTTTTTTTTTTTTTTGAGACAGTCTTGCTCTGTCGCCCAGGCTGGAGTGCACTGGGGCTATCTTAGCTCACTACAAACTCTGCATCCCAGGTTCACAATTCTCCTGCCACAGCCTCTCGAGTAGCTGGGATTACAGGTGCGTGCTACCACGCCTGGCTAATGTTTGTATTGTTAGCAGAGATGGGGTTTCACTTTCACCACATTGCCCAGGCTGGTCTCGAACTCCTGACCTCAAATGATCTGCCCACCTCAGCCTCCTAAAATGCTGGGATTACAGGCGTGAGCC
The DNA here is from genome assembly GCF_000001405.40 of Homo sapiens. Lineage (NCBI taxonomy): Eukaryota > Metazoa > Chordata > Mammalia > Primates > Hominidae > Homo > Homo sapiens. Next base: position 1,948,627 of record NT_187607.1, on the reverse strand, counting down.
ACCACACCTAGCCCTCTCCAGCACTTTCTAACCAGGTCTCTACTGTGAGTAACAAGGAAGTGTTTCCTCGTGGGTCATGAGAAAAACTCTCTTGTTCAGGTAAGATCATATTTACAGGCTCACTGAGCATGAATCACTCTTCACAGAAGCCCAGAATCAGCAGCAGAGCTCTGCTCAAGCCCTAGCACTGCTCCACGTGAGCTGGTGACCTTGGGCTGCTCACATCTCCTTCTAGGTTCCCATCTTCTCATCTCTAAATGAAAGGTAATTCCTGTCCACCTTCCATGCAGGATGGCGTTTGAAAAGCATGAAATGGTAACTGGATAGCATGTGGAAAAAGACAATCTGGAGCCATACTTCACATCTATACCAGGAAAAACTCCAAATGGATAGAGAGATTTAAATGTAAAAACAGAAACTATAAAAGTCTGCCTGAAAAAAACACGATAAATTCCTGTAAAAGCTGGGAATGAAGAAAACCTTCCTATGACTCTAAAATCCAGAAGCAATAAGAAAAAATCAACACATTTAACACAGAAATAAAGTAAATCTTTGCAGAAACCAAGTGAAAAGATAAATGACAAATTGGGAAAAATATGTACAACAAACATTACAAAGGGTTAATATTCCTAGTATACAAAGAGCTGAAAATGGTTGAAAAAGACCAAAAATTCTATAGAAAAATAGGTTAAATAGTTCACAGAAAATACAAATGGCTCTTAACCACATGAAAAGAGAGAAATGCAATTAGAAGTACAGTGAGATAATATCACTTCTCATCTATAAGCCTGCAAAAATTGAAAAATTTGACAAAATACTCTGTTGGGGAAAAAAGGGTACTCATTCACTGCTGGCGGGAATATAAAACAGTAAAACCCCCATGGATGGGAAGTGGCCGTATCAATCAAAATTCCGTATGCATTTACCCTTTGACTCAGCAATTCCACTTCTGGGAGTCTATTCCAAAGAGAGACTGACGAACACTCAAAAACATGCATGCGTAAGGCAATTCATTAAAGGGTTATGTGTAATAGCAGAAAACCAGTAACAACACAAACGCCCCTCAACCAGGGGCTAACTGAATATCCTACATGTAGTGCCAGGATCTGAATGTGTCTGTGCCTACGTAATTCATAGGTTGAACCCTAATCCATAATGTGATAGTGTCAAGAGGACACCCTTTTTAGGAGGTGATTAAGTCAGGGATTAATGCCCCGTAAGAGTGGCCTGAGGGAACTTGTTTGCCCCTTTCCGCCTTGTGGGGACACAGCTAGGTGGCACCATCTATGAAGCAGACAGCAAGTCCTCGCCAGACCCCAAATCTGCCAATGCCTTGATCTTGGACTTCCCAGCCTCTAGTACTGTAAGAAATAAATGTTTGTTGTTTATAAGTTACCCAGTCTAAGATACAAAATAGCAGCCCAAATGGCCTAAGACACACGGTATATCCACACAGAGGAATGCTGTGTCGTTATCAAAAAAGGAAAAAGGAGGATCGGAGGATATTGTTCCACTTACAGTTACATCTTTTGAAAACAATAAAGTTCTTATTCTGCCCACTGAAAAGGCCTAGAAGCAACAACCAACACAGTAGCTATGAGGCCAGATTTTTGTTTTTAATGCAGACTCCTGTGCTACACTTTCACCCCGTCAAGTTCAGAATCAGCAGTCCTGAGGCTGAGCCCTGGACTCTGTTTTTGCTATTGCTGATGTGTCTGTTTAATCATCAGGTGACAATACTGCATCTGAGCTTTAGGAATCACTAAACAATTTTATCAAGAAGGTAAAAGATACGTGTATGTTTTGTTTGTTCCACTGTTCCAGCCTATCGGATACAGGACAGACCGTATGCAACAGATACACATATTGCAAATAGTAAGGGCCACATATTGCAATGAATTAAGCGATAAGTTAAGTTTCTTTTAACCCACAGGTATTCTGTCCATCTGTTGTTTTTTTTTTCCTTGCAATTTATTTGTCAAACAAATCAGGCTCCAGGTGGTTGTCCTGCATCCCTGTGGAGTCATTTGCGTGCTCCTGGGTCCTCCCTATTTCCTGTAAAGTAGCAGTTGGTTCTAGGGGTTTGCGTGGCCATGTACCATGTGCTCCCTCATGGAGAAGCACACGCCACACCAGCGATAGTGGTGTCCCTCCTCCCCCAAAATCATTCCTGAGCCACCGATCTAAACAATTACACTGCTCTTATTACCAGTTTCCTCCTCAAAGGGAATCGCAGGCATCAGTGCTCAGAAAAGCTAAAAACAATCTGGGGAAGCCCAGAATCCAGAAGGCAGAATGAGAAAGTGACCCAATGCCAGGAGCCCTTTAAATATCTGCCCTGCAACCTGCGACCTGGAGCACAGGTTGTATGGACATGCCTTCTTTTGCCACCCCATGGATTGTTTTGTTTTGTTTTGTTTTGTTTTGTTTTGTTTCTTCTGGAGAAAGGGTCTCACTCTGTTACCCAAGCTGGAGTGCAGGGGCATGATCATGGCTCATCGAGGCCTCAACCTCCCAGGCTCAAGTGATCCTCCCACCTCAGCCTCCTGAGTAGCCGGGACTATAGGTGCGTTCCACCACGCCCGGTTAATTTTTGTATTTTTTGTAGAGTTGGGGTTTTACCGTATTGCCTAGGCTGGTCTGAAACTCCCGGGCTCAAGAGATCCACCAGCCTTGGCCTCCCAAAGTGCTGGGATTACAGGCGTGAGCCACCAAACCCAGCCCATGGATTTTTTTTTAACTCCCTCTTTTACTTACCGTGGGATTAAAAATCAAGGTGATGTGTTTATGGTAGCCCACTGCGGTGAAAGAAACTTGAGGCAAGATGTAGTCATACTGGGATCTGGGGAGTGTGGAGTCCAGAAGCACAACATAGTTCTGTGCACACATGGGAAGAAGTTATTTTTATAAGGACAGCTCTGGCAAAGCAAATGAAAACTAAAACCTAACGTATGGCTGTGATGTAAAGAACTTTATGTTTTTAAAGAAATCCCCAAGACTACACATCCAAACCAAGGTTGCTGCCTTCAAAGTATCAACCTCAGCGGGCTATTCCATCAGTGGCGGGCATGTGTCCCCAGTGTCTCTGAGACTGTGGCTTCTGATAAGGCTGTCAGAGCCTGCAGCCTTTTTATGAGTACCCAACCTTGACAATTACGGTCCTCTGAGGATCTGACTTTATGAAACACAAAAAATTATTATGAGCCAATTCTGATGAGGGAGGTACGTGATACAACTGAGGATCCACAACGGGGCTGACTTCTAAGGGACGATGCTTGAGAGGCTCGTAAGCTGGCAAATCCTAAAAATACAGCATCCCTGGAACGGCACCAGGGGCAGCCACAGCTCTGTGTGCTGAGCACCGACCAGCTGCCAGGCACCATGCACATTGCATGAGGCCCGTCACAGCTCTGTGTGCTGAGCACCGACCAGCTGCCAGGCACCATGCACATTGCATGAGGCCCGCGGCTGCTTTGCTTTCTACCACTGGCAAGGTCGGGATCATCACCCCGTCTTATAGACGAGGAAAGTCAAGCACGAAGAGACTAAGAGTAACTTGCCCAAGGTCACTCAGCTAAGAAGGCTGCCACACATCTATGAAGGCTCTGAACTCAGGGGAAGTGTGACCCCAAAGCCCAAGATGTTTCCGCATCGCTGTAGGAAGTGACTATTTCAACACCCCTGGAGAAAGAGGAGGAGAAAATTCCGTGACAGCCTGTTTCATTATTTCGCAGCCATTTTCCACAGAGAAAGGCCAGAGTAGATCATCTTCACGGCAGGTGGTAAGGAGCCAGGAGAGGAAACGTCACCCTCTAGGCTCACACTTGACATCCTCAGGCTAAGACCACCAGAAAAGAACCAAATTCTTTGCAAAGTTTGCACTCCCCACACCAACTACAAGTTAGCTCTGTCCAAATAGAATTGATAATAAGCACTTTATAATCAGTAAATGACGGCCAGAATAATGGCTGAAAACTTCCCAGTTCCAAGGAGGGAGACATCCAGATTCATGGAACCCAAAGGACACTGAAAAGGTGGAGCTGCAAGTGTTCTACACGACACACGTTATAATCAGATTATCAAAGACAGAGAGAACGTTCAAAGCAGCAAGAGAAAAGCAACTCATCTCATTCAAGGGATCCCCCATCATGAGGAAACTGTATTTCCCTAAACTCAATAGCAGAATGTTAAAATAGAGGAATTTTTAAAAATTACAAGGCATTTTTAAAAGTGGACTTCTTAGCAGGAAAGCATGGGGTGATATGTTCAAAGTGCAAGAGTCGATCATGCCCAACAGTAGGCCTTGGTTAAATAAATCATCGCGTTTCCTAGTTTATGGACTACTGTCCATAAAAATCATAGTATGAAAGATTTGGCCAGGCACGGGGGCTCACGCCTGTAATCTCAGCACTTTGGGAGGCCGAGGCAGGTGGATCACGAGGTCAGGAGATCAAGACCATCCTGGCTAACATGGTGAAACCCCGTCTCTACTAAAAATACACAAAAAAAAAAATTAGCCGGGTGTGGTGGCGCACGCCTGTAGTCCCAGCTACTTCGGAGGCTGAGGCAGGAGAATGGTGTGAACCCAGGAGGCGGAGCTTGCAGTGAGCCCAGATTGCGCCACTGCACTCCAGCCTGGGCGACAAGGCGAGACTCCGTCTCAAAAAAAAAAAAAAAAGAAAGATTTGATGATGAGGAACAGATTTGTGATAAATTCTTCATTGAAAAGCATGGATTACAAAACAATGTACAAAACAGTGTCAGTTTTGAATTATTAAAATAAATGTCTATTTATATTTATACATGCATGCGCACACGTGCCTGAAAAAAGACCCAAAGGATACCAATCACCATGTTAGCAGTGGCTATTTCTGGATGATGGGCTTATGTCTTCTTTTTCCCAAAATCTCCTGCCATGAATATGTATTCTTTTTGTAAACAGAAAAACAATGAAGAAAAAATAATCCCTACAGAACCCAACCTCTTTTGATTCAGAGAGCGCATTTCTGCAGAGTGGTATTTAGGGAGAAAAGGAGAGAACTGTGCTTCCTTAAACTAAACAGCAGAATTATTAAAACAAAGGCAGAAGGTAGAATCCGGCCACAGGCATTACCTCGCCATCTCTGAGCAGTGGGGGGAAATGGAAGAACAGGGACTGGCCAAGGGAAACTGTCTGGATTGGATTGTCGAGGTTTTCGCTTTTGTAAAGCTTGACCTGGAGGGAGAAACAAAGTCAGACATGCTTTGAAACTGAAACACAATCAATATTTCATAGCAGACATCCTCAGGACAGCCGCTCTCTGGGTAGGTGTCTTTGGAAACATGGATATTTGAAAAAGAAAGCTCCCTCCATAGACATCACACATCCCTCTGTCATCTGAGACTCCATCCAGTTATGTATCATGCACAGAAATTAAGATTCAAATCAGATTCTGACTACCCATGTTCTTGCTCAAAATAGTAATATAAGTTAATATAATAGTAATATTAAAAATAGCTTCTAACACGTGTTGAACATCTGTAATATGCCAGGCAGGCGCCAGATATTTTATCTACATTATCGCCAATCCTGACTACAAAACAGGTATTGTTATTATCCCTATGGAGACCCAGAGAGCCAAAGTCACCTAAGGTCACACAACTTACACATGGTAGAGCCTGGGACTCAACCCCCTGACGACTCCTGAGGGTCCTTCCCGCCTTGCACTGCCTCATCATATGATGTCACCTTAACTCCACCAATCTGTTAAACTCAAAACGCATTCCATCATGTACGTGGCTCTCCACGCTGCTTCAGGAGGCACTGGAGTACTTTGTTTCTGGCTTTATTTCTGGGGTTGTTGCCTGTTCTCACTCCCACACGGGATGGGGCATGAGCAGGGTTAAGGTGCAGCCCTGGCTGATGGCAAAGGCTGTGAGGATGCCACAGTGCACCTGCCGCAAGAGAATGCCAGGACCACCTCCCTGGGCCCACACTGGCACCTTTCTACATAACACACCAGGGGAATTTTCCTAAAATGAAAGTCACAGACTGAAGGTTATGGGTCGCATTGAAGATCCCTTATGTGTTCTTTTTTCTTCTATAACATCTTAAGTAAATCTGAATTCACCGACTATATTTAAAAATCAGGTGATTTCAAATAATTCTAATTTCCAGCTTCTCCGGAAAACTGGGAAGTGACACCAACCCTGAGCCTCAATTCTAGCACAGCAACACTCAGGAGCAAGAGAGTGGCGCCCTCCCCTCCTCTCTGCCTCTTCCCCTCCCTTGTGCCCCTCATGGATGGGGCAGGAGTTCCCCAGTTTGCCCCCCACCCTACCCAACCCTCTGCACTCTCTGACATTACCTGCCTGGTCCCTACAAGCACACGCCTGCAAGCCCTGGACAGAGTGGACTAAAGCGCACACACACTTTCTCACCCATGCCAAATACTTAACTGCTTATAAAATTACAAGCGCATCTTAACAATGTACCCCCAGAGCAAATCACTAACATCCGCAGAGGGTCTGCAGGGTATTTTATAAACATTTCTTCATTAATGGTAACATGGAGATTTTGTTAGAGCTGAACAAGATTATAAGAGGTCTCTGAGTCCAAAATCTAGGTTTTGCAGAGGACGAAGTCGAGGCATGTGGAAATGAAGTGACTGGCCCAGGCAGCAAGGTGAGTCACTACTGGAGACAAGAGAAAGCCCAGACCACCTGCTCTCCAGCCCACCGTCCACCACCTCTGATACTGTTTGGATATTTGTCCCTGCCCAAATCTCATGTTGAATTGTAATCCCCCGTGCCGGAGGTAGGGCCTGCTGTGAGATGATCGGATCTTTGGGGTGGATCCCTCGTGGCTTGGTGCTGTCTTCGTTATGAGTCTTGTGAGATCTGATCATTTAAAAGTGTGTGGCACCATGCCCCAACTCTCTCTTTTGCTCCAGCTTCTCCCACATGACATGCCTGCTCCCACTTCACCTTCTGCCATGATTGGAAGCCTCCTGAGGCCTCCCCAGAAGCAGACGCCACTATGCTTCCTGTACAACCTACAGAACGAGGAGCCAATGAAACCTCTTTTGTTATAAATTATCTAGCCTCAGGCATTTCTTTAAACCAATGCAAGAACGTTTAATACGACCTCCACTCCAGAGAAAATTTTAAGTTACAAGGCGCTTTCTTTAGAATTGGCTTTCCACGTTAGATTCCATATTGTATTGATCATTGATCAGGCTTCTACTATAATTCTTTGGAAGATTAACTGATGGCAGACAGTTATCTGAAACTGGACCACATTCTCTCCCACAACTGGCAATCACTCTCCCAAATACGTGTTGTGGTCCAAGGTTCTTAAATCTCAACCTCAACCCTCAGCAGGCGGCACTCTGGAGCACCTCCACCTGTCACACCTAAGGCACGAGACAGGCACAAAACCAAAAACATCCCATTCGTACTTGTCTCAAAGCCAAAGGGAACACAATACTTGGAGCTTAAAAGTCTGGACTTACCCATAACGTAGGAAGGTATTCAGAGGAAGTGATCACATTTCCACTTAAATCAAATTGATTAATCTGCCGGAAAACTATGATGTTTACATCATCGATGTCATTATTCCCAACCTAGAGAGAGAAAGAGGGAATGCCAGTAATGAGAAAGCTGGTGGAGGAACTTCTATGCCAGCTGTCCGATGGCCTGAGAGCTGCTTCATGGCAAACTTTGCTTCTTACATTAAGGAAGCTAAGTTTGTCATTGAGTACCCTACGTCCAAGGTCACAAACCGACAGAAGATGGCTATCCCTGGCCCATAGACACATTTCATTTCGAAAGCACAGTATTTTTTTTCTACGTTTGAATTACTTGCCAACATGTTAAAAATTAGGAAATTTCATATATGAAGCCAGATTTTCCAGCTTCTCTTAAAAAAAAAGGAGAAGGATGCTCTTGCCTGTTAGAGCAGGGGCATATCCCTGGCCCATAGACACATTTCATTTCGAAAGCACAGTATTTTTTTTCTACGTTTGAATTACTTGCCAACATGTTAAAAATTAAGAAATTTCATATATGAAGCCAGATTTTCCAGCTTCTCTTAAAAAAAAAGAGGAGAAGGATGCTCTTGCCTGTTAGAGCAGGGGCAGAGTCACAGCACCCCCTCTGCGTGAGGTCTGTACATGGAGTTTGCGAGATCCCAGAGGGCCGGCCCCCTTCCCTTTCATACCTGCCCGGCCACAGTCCACATTATGCTAGTGATCCTGGCCTAAGTTACTACACCGAGAACATGCAAAGCATTTTGGTGTGAGATGCAGTCATCCCAGCCATTTAAAATGCCAACACCGTAAAGACGTCAAGGAAATCCACTTCCGGCCCGGTGCGGTGGCTCATGCCTGTAATCCCAGCACTTTGGGAGGCCGAAGCGAGCAGATCACCTGAGGTCAGGAGTTCAAGACCAATCTGGCCAACATGGTGAAACCCCGTCTCTACTAAAAATACAAAAATTAGTCGGGTGTGATGGTGTATGCCTGTAGTCCCAGCTACAGGCTGAGGTGGGAAAATCACTTGAACCCACAAGGAGGAGGTTGCAGTGAGCCGAGATCACGGCACTGCACTCCATCCTGCATGACAGGGTGAGACTCCATCTCAAAAAAAAAAAAAAGAAAAAAAAAAGAAAATCCACTTCCTAGGTCAAAAGTTCTATCCTCCCTCACAATCTTCATGCATAATGAAGCCACCTAAATAAAGCCACTAAGAGGCAGCCCCTCTTGCCCTACCTAAGCCCTCTAGTCTTCCCAATGAGAGTTACTCAGTAAGAGAAAAGCCTTACTTCAAATGATTCCCAGGCCACATTCTGTGACTCGAAGGATGTCCTCTTTAGGGATTAATTTAGCTAGGTCATGATCTTGAGTATCAAAAGACTCTGCCCACAAAATGGGAGCAGGAAAAAGGTCATCTGAACCTAAGATAACTGCGTGGCCCTGCCACCCATTAAGCCCATGTGCTATTATTGTCCCTTGATTTGAAATGCTGCTTAGGCCTTAAGTTCCTTAACTTGCAGAATAATGATCAGAGCTTACAGGGCAAGTCGCGGGGAGGATACAACAGTTCCAATTTCCTTTCTGGATGCATGACAGCAACGCTGTTCACTAAAAACCCACATAAGATGCTGCTTGTGAAGATGACACTATTCTAAGAGGACCCTTAATTAGGATGAAAGTTCCCCCCGCCACAGATGAAAGGCAGACAGCCAGAGGAGACGGGAGGACTTCTGATTAGGGAGGCACCCACACCCAGGTGCAGCGGCAGCACTGAATGCCTTACCTCAATCACCCTATGGTGGGGGAGCGCCCGCTCAATGTGGTCGTTGCCTTCTGCCTTGAGCTGAACGTGGTACACACATCCCGGCTGCAAAAAAACTCAGGAGTCAGTTCTCTAGAAAGGGGGCTTGTCGTATCGTGCCTGGTCCAAGCCTGGTTTGGCTGCACGAGATCATTAAGACAGGAGCATTTCTCTCCCCTCATTTCCTAATCTGTGGCCTGTTAACCTTAAGAGTCCAGAGTTCCTTTAAGAACACCCCTAGTGTTGAAACATCTGAAATTTTGCGACTCCTTCCATCCCAACTCAGTTTCATTTTCTCCTACCCCAAAATAAATCAAATTTGGTTTCTTATTTCAAAATTCCAAGCATACTATGTGCTCTTACTCTTCTAAGATGTTTTTCCTCTCCATCCACCCCTCCCCTCTACCCGTATATACACATTGATGGATATCTGGAATGTCCACCATAAGCATTCCCAAATGCTTGTGTTGGGTATTATTTCTGGGAAGTGGGAATTTCTGACTTCTCTTTTTAAAATTTCAAGGATCTGGCAACCCTGACTCTGTCTTCCCCCATGGCTACAATAAGCTGGAACCAAGTGACAGGCTGTCCCTTTCCACAGGCCGTGCCCACTCCACAGCCCTCACCACTCCCTATCATTTCGCACAGCCTCCTCTCCCCCGTTCATACTGCTCTTCTGGCTCCATAGGCGTTTGGCTTGAGCCCTGGCGTAAGCCATGGCCACATACTGCTAGGGAAAAGCCCTACCAAACCCATGGTTTTCCAACTCCATTGTGCCACAGATCCTTGATCTGACCTGTTGGCTAGAAAAAAGGCAAACTCTACCAATTAAAGGTAAGAACTGGGAGGGCTCCAGAGCCCCACCCCCAGCCCTCTCGCCCAACCCACTCCTAGCAGTCTTGGGGCCACCACAAGATACTTCTGGACACAGGATGAAAAAAAAGTCCCCAAAGAAAACACATTCCAAGTCTCACCAGCAATCCACGTAATCTGAACTTGCCCTCTTCGTCTGTCACGGTGTCTTCTCCGTAAATGCTGCAGTCGTTCTGGCCCACCGCTTCCATGGCAACCCCTTGTTCGGGCTCTCCGTTTAAGGAAGACACTGTGCCATAGCAACTAGTATGGCAAGAACAGGCACGAATGAGATATTCTCATGGTTATCTGAAGGACCCAAGTGTTTCCCGTTTACCAACAATTATGGGGCAAAATAGTTCAGGGGAGAACTGTGCCTCAATGACCCAGGCAACTCGGTGTGGCCGGCCCACTTTCAAACCACACCTTCCTGCCGGAGGGATAAGCTGCCATCAATTTCTTTTCTCATACATTTTGAGGGATGCTCTGGAAAATTGTAATTTAAGAAGGCTAAAGCTTTATTTTATTCTTTCTAGGCTTTATTTGAAATAATGGAGCTTTCAATAACATGGAAATAACTCACTTCCTCTTTCATTCCATATATTCAGTAGAAAATGGTCCATTTTTCTAAACCCAATCTTTCCAATTACTCTTCCTCTAAAGTGATTCTGTATAAGTCTACAAAAAATACACATATGTGTGTATCTGTGTGTATACATGTATATATGTATGCATCTCTCTATCTATAGATGTGTATCTTTTTTATTTTGTATTTTTATTTTTTTGTAGAGACGGGGTCTTGCTATGTTGCCTAGGCTGGTCTTGAACTTCCAGACTCAAGAGAACTTCCCACTTCAGCCTCCAAAAGTGCTGGGATTATAGGTGTGAGCCACTGTGCCTTGCCAGACACTCATGTGTATCTATCTATCTACAGCTGGGAGCATTCAGAAAAACTGGAAGTACTGGTTGTCTCCCAGAAGAGGAACTTGGGTGGCTAGGAGACGAGACAGAGGGGAAATTTTACACTATACTCTTTTCAGCATTTTGAAGTTTTATTCAACTGAGCACATTTTCTCCTTTTAATGATGTAATTCAGGTTTGAAACTCTTTTAAAAAATAAAAGTGGCCAGGCGCAGTGGCTCACGCCTGTAATCCCAACACTTTGGGAGACCGAGGCAGGCAGATCATCTGAGATCAGGAGTCCGAGACCAACCTGGCCAACAAAGTGAAATCTTGTCTCTACTAAAAATAGAAAAATTAGCCATGCATGGTGGCAGTCCCAGCTACTTGGGAGGCCAGGACAAGAGAATTGCTGGAACCCGGGAGGCAGAGGTTGCAGTGAGCCAAGGCTGCGCCATTGTACTCCAGCCTGGGCAAGAAGAATGAAACTCCGTCTCAAAAAATAAAAAATAAATAAAAGCTTTTAGCAACTCAATAGGCTCTCTCAAGCCAATTCCAAAATAGGAAATTTGAGACTGAACCACCAGGTTGAGCTCCTAGGAGAGAAGGGCAGCAGTCAAAACTCCTTTGCCCTCATATCTCATCTCCCTTCCCTCCCAAGTAAAATCAGTGTGAAGCCTGGGATGCGTTTCCAGGCAACAGAGGCCTGAATGTGATTCACCAGCCCAGCCCTGGAAGAGAGTGGGGTGGCCAGGGCACTTACCTGTAAGCGGTTCGGTACCCCGTGATGGTGATCTTCAGGTTCTGGCCTTCCTGCACCTCGATCATCTGTGAGGATGGCTCAAACCGGAACTCCTTCATCATGGGTTTGAAGTAATACTGGCCAGGGCTCTGCCAAGATAATCACACTGAGCCTCAGCAGCCACATCTAGGCATGGCTTAAAAGTGAGGGGCGAATGTCACGATGGACCAGAATTACACCAGGGGAGCGCCATGGCTTCCCTGGCAGCCAAAAATAGTAACCCTCTCTCTATAATCACCACTCACAGTCAGGTAGTGGCAATCACAACTCTAACAACGGCAGCTGATGGTATCACCTGCCTGCAATGACTCAGAGAGGTAGAAGTCATATTTAATTTTTCTTTTCTTTTTTTTTTTTTTTTCTGAGACAGGGCCTGACTCTGTCCCCCAGGATGGAGTGCACGATCACAGCACACCGTAGTCTCAACCTTCTGGGCTCAAGCAAATCTCCCACCTCGGCCTCCTGAGTACCTGGGACCACAGGCATGCACCACCATGCCCAGCTAATTTTTTTATTTTTTGTAGAGATGGGGTCTTCCTATGTTGCTGGTCTCAAACTCCCAAGCTCAAGCGATCCTACTGCCTCACCCTCCCAAAGCGGTGGGATTACAGGCGTGGGCCACCATACCTGGCTCATATTTGAATTTAATGAATAAAGAAACTGAGGCTCAGAGAGGCAAAGTAACTTGCCTGATAGGACACAGCAAGTAAGGAGCAGTCTGCATCACTGCAAAGTGGTGTCTTCAGATGCCCCCACTGCCCGGTCTCCAGTAGCCCCACCACAGCCACTTTGTCACCATGACTGACAAGATGACCAACTAACACACACTTCCTGAATCCCCACCAGTCAGGGCCTCCGACTGCATCTTGAAAGAAAAACTGCTGCTCTCTTCCCACCAAGTGGAATGTCTTTTCAGAAGAAACGCAAGCTAACCACCAAACAAGACTCAGCATCATAAACATGATTCTGTGGCAAAACGAGAAGACGCCTAAGAGAGCAGCCGTTGTGGCCAGGGAAATTAATTACACTGTCTTAGTGACAAGCGGGTGATCAGAAAACAAGAAGCGCGTGTGGAAGGGAACATGAATCAGCAGCATTAAGTTCGAGTAAGAGCAATACTCTAATGACCGTGGGCCCCCAAGAAACTGAAACCACTCCACATTGGCCTTCTCTTCTCACGTTGTCAAGCAACACATAAGTCTCGCATGCTGCATCCTGGCTCTCTCTCAGGGAAGACAGGCAGGTGGTAAATTGCAGAACACGTTACCAGGTTTGAGAATGTCAGAATGCCGTTGTCCTGGGTCAAGAGGTTGGAACGAAACAGGCCACCACTCAGGGATAAGAGGACTCCCGGGAGGGGCTGGTCATCCTCAGCTTTTATCTGGGGATGAGAAGGTGAGACCAGAGCAAGGTTAAACTCCTACTAACTATGAAAATAACAGTTCCACAAGTCAAGAGGTCATTTTTTCAAGGTTTTTTTCTTTTATTGTTACTCAAAGGAGGACAGGGGACCTAATCTTCCTCCCCACAGGTAACTACTGTTGTAAGTTTTGTAAGTTTGGTGTGTAGCCTTCTAGAACTTTTTTTTTTTTTTTTTTTTGAGACAGGGTCTTGCTCTGTCACCCAGGCTGGAGTGCAGTGGCACAACCTGGGCTCACTACAACCTTCGCCTCCCAAGCTCAAGCAATCCTTCAGCTTTAACCTCCTGAGGAGATGGGACTATAGGCGCACACCACCATGCCCAACTACATTTCTGTATTTTTTATAGAGACGGGTCTTGCCACGTTGCCCAGGCTGATCTCAAACTACTGGGCTCAAGCAATCCACATGCCTGGGCCTCCCAAAGTGCTGGGATTAGAGGCATGAGCCACCGTGCCCCGCCCAGAACTCTTTCTATGCCCACACAAATTTTATAAACATTACATATTATTGTTCACAGACTGGCAAGTTCATTGAGTGGGTGGAGGAGGTGAAATAAAAATGGCATGTTATATGTACAGTTCTGCAACTTGCTCTCTTCCTCAACAATTTATCCTGGTTCTCTTCTGCCAGCCAATAGAAATCTGCCTGTTTCTTAACTACTGCATAGCATTCTAAGGCAGGGTTTGACAAACCACAGCACCTACTCTTGTGGTACACAAGAGACAATTGGAATATCCCCAAATATGTATCTCTAGGCACTTAGTTTTATTTCCTGAACAATCCATTCCTAGAAGTAGAATTGTTGGATACATGCACTTTAAATTCAGAAAGATACTATCTAATTGCATTCCAAAGTGGCTGTAACCACTTACAGTCCCATAAATTATTTATGCTTGGGAAAACCCACACTTACCAAAAAATAGAGATTGTCTTAATTACAGCAAATCTAATCCCTGCAAAACAGTGTTTCGACTGTAACTTCCTTAGCACATTTCCTCAGTAACTACAGAGGCTTTGTGTTTCTGTGTTTATTAGTCACCTGCGTTACTTCCATGAATTTCCTTTTCATAATCTTTGTTCATTTTTTTTCTAGTGGGTTGTCTTTTTCTTACCAATTTTAGGAGCTCCTTGTAAAATGGGGATATTATTTATGATACAAACATTTCTTCCGAGTTTGAATATCTTTCAGTTTGGTTCCAAATGTATTCAGCAATATAGAATTTTAAATTTTTATGCGATGTAATCTGTCACTCTTTTCCTTTGGCCTATAGTTTATAAATATTCATTCTCAACGATCTCCAGACCCACCCTGTACAATCGCAGCACGCTTCTTCCCAGAAAGGACCGGTGGAAGGGAGCTAGGCAGCAAACGCCTCAGTAAGAACATTCTGTGTCCTTCAAAATGGAACAGTTATGGATGACAGCTTTAACTACTTCCCAGAAGGTACACAAACATGCTAAAGTCAACAGCTCTCCAAATTATGCTACGTGAAAGAAGTCAGACCAAAAAAAAAAAAAAAACAACAGTATATCCTGTTTGATTCCATTTATATACAGGTTGGTGCAAAAGTGATTGCGGTTTCTGCCATTATTCTCAATGGCAAAAACCACAATCACTTTTGCACCAACCTATAAAAACTCGAAAATGCAAACTAACCAATGGTGATGAAAAGCAGATCATCAGCTCAGCGGAAGGGTGGCAGGGAGGGATTACCAAGGGGCAGGAGGAAACCTTGAGGGCCACAGATGTGCTATTTTAATTGTGGAGGTGTTTTCATGGGTGTATTCCTAGGTCAAGACTACCACACTGTACCCTTTTTGTGCAGTTTATTATATGTTAATTATACCTCAGTATAACTGCCTTTTGAAAATACAGTGTTAGTTACCTCAAAGCTTACGCCTGCCAGGGCATAGGCCTTGAAGTCTCCGATGGTTCCTTCCACTGCAGTCAGAACATAGCCCTCCTTCTGTGAGGTCACCGTGTACTCCAGGTCACTGTGCAGGGGGCCAACACTGAAGAGGAGAGAGCAGAATGCTAGCAACGGCTTTGTTCACACCCTGCAGGAAGCCTTACCAAGCCCAAGGAAATGTGGGCCCCAGTTTCTTCAGAGGACTCCCACGCTGATCCCAGGCAAATGTGTCTCTAACCCGGGCTCACCTGTAGGCACCTTTGTCATCAGTAAAGACTGTGATCAGCGGTGAACTTGCCCCCTTTTCACTGATGACAATCTCGACTCCTTCCAACTCGGGGTGGATCTGGCCTTCTAAAAACAGGCCTGCCTTCCCGTGGATCTCGATCAGCTTCCCTGGGCAGCTTTCTAAGAGGGGAAGAAATAAACACAAGGATGGGGCTTGGTAGCAGAGACAGGAGCTTCTTGGTTGGGGGTTTCCCATGACAAAAGTGGCTAAAACAGATCTTAGAAGCTAGTTCCAAATGCGGTTATTTAACACCCCGGGGAGCTCAATAATCGGATACAGCCCAAGCCTCTTTCCATCCCTGAAAGGCCTTTCTCAGTGTGAAGGACTTTAGCAAGAGAATCAAAAAACGCTGAAGGCTGGGTTTTTACTACTACTCTTCCTAGGTTCTCAGGAGGCCACAGATCAGGAGGGAACACTTTACAGCAGACAGGAGGCCGTGCTGCTCAGCCTCTGGAGGACCCACTGAGAAAGACCGCCCCAAACAGCCTGCCTGCTAGAAGTCACGCTCTTCAACACCCTCTGCTTCCAAACGCGAACCACATAACACCCACAACTTAACGAAGCCAGAGTGCTGGGAAAAAAATAATAAGTGGCAAAAGACAAATACTCCACAAGTGATCACTTCAGTCATCCATTCCCCAAAAAAAGACCCTCCCATCATGCTCTGCCAAACAACAGAAAGATCATTAAAGATCATCACTGGCAGCTTTGTGCTTCATCTACCTTCTGGTGTCGACCTGATAATGTCAAAGAAAACCAAGTCCTTTTCCAAAAAGATCAACTCAATTCTAACAGCAAAAGTTACTTTTATTTATCTAAATCATTCATTCATCCATCCATCCATCCATCCATCCATCCATCCATCCATCCATCCAACCCAACCATCCATCCATCCATCCATCCATCCATCCAACCAACAGTAACATCTGTGTGCCAGAGAGGATGTAAGGTGGCTTACAAAGATGGCTTCACTATAACATCACAAATCTACTTGTAAATGCAGGCAAGGGAACAACTGCAAAGGTGTGTGTGACATTCGCTCGCTGAGTTGACATTTACCTCCACTGACAACGGCTTCCATTGAAGGGGGATAAAAGAGCAGCTCTTTAGATGACGGTGTAACAGTGATTTTCTCTCCAGACCTAAAATAATTAATATACTTCAGTTTGGCGGGTCCTATCCCCACAAAACAGAGGACACTGTAGGGAAACGCACAAGAGAGCTTACCGCGCCCAGTAAGAGAAATCATACGAGAAGGGGCCTTGTAACTCATCTACCATCTCCTGCACGGGAGGCTTGGTCATTCTTTCTTCACCTTCCTCATTGCCGTTTTTCTCCCTCTCCTGCCTGCGGGCCTCGATCTCAGCCAGCTGCTGCTCCCTCCGCAGCTCCTGCACAGACTTCAGAGGGCCTAAGACCAAGGCGGGTTCACTGTCGATGGAAGACCTAGAAGAAAGAAATGGCGGCCCCTAGGACGTGGTTGCGTATCCTTGTGGTCAGTGGGAATTTGACCTTTCTACGAGTATGGACTTGCGAGTTACAAACTGGACATCTTATCATGACACCACAGTGGCGGAGTCTTCTGTTTTAAATAAACTAGTAGTTTCACAAAAAATAACAACTGAGCTTCGCAGTGATGGTGGCAGTATCTGGTAGATCTGGGCTGGAATGAAATACGGTTGATTTTATGGCGACTGGATATAAGCTTGTAGCTTCCATGTAGGACACGGAGTTTTCTCCACACCACCATCCTCTGTTCTCCATTCTACCTTCGCTGAGAACTGCTCTGATAGAGAACTAGGCACCAAGGATACAGCATCAACAAAACAGACCACACTTCCTACCCCTGTGGAATCCACGTTTCAGTGGGAAGGGGCTGAAAATAAAGAGAAAAATAATACCAGAGGAAAAGTGCAATAAAGAAAAATAAAGCAGTGTGGGAAGACGGAGAGCCCGGAGCACTGTTTTACATTAAAGGGACAGTCAAGGCCTTTCTGATAAGGTGACATTGAGCAAAGGTCTGAAGGAAGGGAGAGAATGCGCCACGCAGCTCTCTGGGTAAACAGTAGCTTGGGCAAAGCGATGCCAAGTGCAAAGTCCTTGGAGAGAAAGCTCACTCAGATGTTCAAGCAATGGCAACACCAGTCCAGCCTGGGGCACAGGGGCCCACGGAAGAGTCATATCCAACAGAGAGGTCCAAGGGGCAGCAGATGTCAGACTGAGGCTTCACAGGCTTGGTGCCGACCTGGAGCCACTGGAGTTTTCAGTCGAGGAATGGTATGATAAAAGAAATCGTTTGCTCCTTCATGGAAAATACACAAAGCAATGGCGGAAACAGGAAGGCCAGCTGAGAAGCTGCTGCAGTGATCCCAGAGGGGGGTCAGACCAGGGCTGAGGGCCACGTGGTGAGAAGGGAAGGCCAGCTGGGAAGCTGCTGCAATGATCCCAGAGGGGGTCAGACTAGGGCTGAGGGCCACGTGGTAAGAAGCAAAGCCCAGCTGGGAAGCTGCTGCAGTGATCCCGGAGGGGGTCAGACCAGGGCTGAGGGCCACGTGGTAAGAAGGGAAGGCCAGCTGGGAAGCTGCTACAGTGACCCCAGAGGGGGGTCAGACCAAGGCTGAGGGCCAAGTGGTAAAAAGGGACTAGATGATGGGTGTATTTTGATTGTAAAGCCAAGGCTTTGTTGGGGAATTGGCTGGGCCTAGGGTTCAAGGGAAATAAGAATCAAGAAACAAGGAGAAAGCGGGAGCTGCCATATCTGAATCAGAAAAGACCACAGAGGGGCTCATGGAGGGCAACTGTCAGCAGTCGGGTGTTGGGTCTGCTGAGTACACGATTCCCAGGGGAATCCGAGTGGCTCTGTCTAGCTGGAAGATGCATTCCATACAACCTCCGGCACAAGCAAGCAACACAAACACCCTTGTGAAGTTACAAAAATGAATGTAATCAAGCTGAAAGGAGGTAACATGCAGTTACTACTGGTAAGAAGGTAGATTGCTAGTCCTATCAGTAATTCATACTTTCCAAGCAGGGAGACAGTAAATGATAGTAAAAGACAGCAACAGACCTTCGGCAAATCCACCCCCAGCTAAAAACCTGGCTCCCCATCACCAGAAACCAGGGCCAGCCCTGACATTTCTCCCGCCCTAACCCAGTGGTCACTTTAGTGCCATGTCTCATCAACTCAGTCCCTCAACGACTCTCCGACCAGTCCGTCGCTCTCCATCTCCGCAGCCACTAGTCTGGGGCCCCCATTGCCTCCCCCTGCCTCCACCACCTCCCACTCTCAGGCCTCTTCTGTCTGTTCTCCACTCGGCCAATAGGGGGACCTTCAGGAAGAAAAATGTCATTCCTCTATGTAAAACATGTCAATTGCATCATGGGACAAAGACTATGGACCTTAACATGGCCTGGCCCCCCGCAGCCTACCTGTCCTGCATGCCCCCAAGGTCAAGCTCAAAGCACTCAGAACAGTTGTCATTTTACGGTTCTGCATGTGAGTATCTGACCACTGTTCCCCCCATGAGACTGTCAATCCCATAAGTGTAGGGGCTGTGGCCTCATAAGCCCAGTGCCTAAACACTGAAGACTCTCAGTTTTTCAGTCATCATGTACTCTGCAGGGATGACGGATGGATAAACAGATGGTGGACAGAAAGATGGAAACATAGCTGGAAAGGTGACTTCAACCAGGGGCAGGAGGGAGACAGGGACTGCAATGCCCATTCTACTTGACAGAGACGGTCATGTTGCCAAAACTCTTTCATTTCTCAAGAAAATTGGGGCGTCACAGGTACCTCACCACACTGCAAAAATTCCCTGAAAGGTGACATTCACATGAACGTGACCTTCGGTGAGGGACTTGCCTTTCAAATACTTCCTCTCTCACGACCCTTCTCTTATACCAGGTGCCATCTCTATTTCCCAAGCCTTCAAGCAAAAGTCTAAAGAAAAATAGGCAATTTGAATTTGCTAAAACACTTGAAATACAATGCACAAACCCCAGAGATTTTTTTTTTCCTTAGCAAAGATGAGAAGTACAAAGAGTTCAAACAGAAATTGAAGACACTGAAACAAGCTGTCGCAACGCTCTTCCTCACCCACAGGTAATTTCTGAATCAGAAAAGGAAAGGATCAAGGCTGCTGGGAATTGACGGCAATGTCCTATAAGAGAGGGAAGGCCATTTGTATATACATCTAGAGATAAGAAATCAAAACTAATTTCCAGAGAGCCTATTAGAGACTCCCCAGGCCTCATCCACACCCTCTCCCGCCACTCTCGGCCCACTGCAGAACGCTCATCTTACTTGATAGTCACAGTGACATCCATCATTTTGTCGGTGGTGATAGTTCCAAGGACATGGTGGCGAATGGCTGTCAATGTCAAGATACTAGGTGAAGACCTACAAATCAAAGCAGAGGAAACGCTAGAACCTACTCATTCTCAGAAGATCATCAGCAATACCCTTTTTGGGCATCCTTCTTCACCCTAAATATACTACAGAAAATTGCTTTTAGTCTGGGGTAAAATAACTCTGGAGATCCAGAGAAGTATTTTAAAGAGTAAACTAATTCTCCACTCCACAACTTTATGCTTCCAATTCCCAGTGAAACCCACACACGTCTGTAAAAATACAAAAATGGCAGACTTGAACTTGACAGATGCCCATCGGTGAGGGCTGGGAGATTTGACAAAGCTTCTATTTAAGGCACTTCAAAAACACAGCCCTCTATCCTGGGGTTACAGAATTCTTGGGAAAGGGATCCTGTCTCCGGTTCCTCAGTAACTAATCCAAGTGTCTTAAAATCCTTATCTAGAAATGCTGTTGAAGGCCTAACCTTGCCTCTTTCAGAAAAAAAACAGAAAAACTCCTTTTGTTCTCTGAAGTAAATGAAGAATCCTCCACGGAATGTATACAAACACCACAAAGCATTCAATTCCCAGGCTTACGTGTCATAGGTGTAGAACGCTTGCTCAAACCGGTGGCAGGAGCGAGGGGTCACTTTGTACACACCTACAGACAGGAAATCAAAAGTAATTTTCAGAGAATGGCATCTATTACACTGAGCAATTCCGACATCTGAAATCGAGTGGCAGCTCTTTGCATGTGAAAACTCAAATGTATCGCAGATCTGCAATAATGGGATCAGAAATACTGGGCAGGCATCGTTTTCACTGCCTATGAAGGCGTCTTACCAATGACCCGATCCATGCAATGGCCCGATCACAGGCGCATGATTTTCATTTTCCATAAGGTAACAACTCACAGTAGTTAAATCTGCACAGACCAGGTGAACGGACCCATGCACGAGAAGGAACAGAAAGTACGTTTCTACTGCAAATTGGACTGAGGATAATTTCCTACTTAAAAGATTCTATTAAGGATCCAAGAGATAACCACAGCCTCAATTTCTTCCTATAAATATTCCTAAAAAGGAGGTAAGGAGTAAGGGAAGCCCCAGAAAAGTGTGAGTCTGTGTGGGAGGACACTCCGAGTAGGGGTACATTTCATCACTTGCCAGAGGAACACAGTCAATTTCAGGAAGATACAAGGAATAACAATGTATTTCCCCCAAATCATCATTAACCAGTATTTTGGCCACACTTCCTACAAAAACCTGAAATTAGCTAAAACCACCCTGCTGTTTTCATTGCACTCAACAAGCCCCAGAGTAGTTACCATCAAAAAAAAAAAAAAAAAAAAATCAGGTTTCTCTGTTTGTTTTGTTTGGTCTTTCATTCAACAAATATCGACAGAGCATCTCTTCCTGGCCAGGTATTATGCTAGGTACTGGTACACAGTGGGGAATGACAGAGCAGTGGTCCCTGTCTTCATGGAGTTTACCATCCACAGAGAGGGGGAGCATTTGACAGCCACAAACATATCAATTGTGGCACATGCAAGAAGGGGATAGAAGTGAGTGCTGAGAGCAAGAGTGTAGGAGGCAGGCCTAAGTGGCCCTGGAGGCCATCCTTCCCCAGGAAGCAATACTGAACTGATGGGTAAGAAGGCCCCAGCTAGGAGGGGCAGGAGGAGATGTCCACAGAGAACAGCATCTGCCTCACAGGCTGGCTCATTGTTTCCTCAACAGGCATCCTTCCTGCCTTGAGAACAAACCCTGGTTATGTTGAGGGTGGCAACGTGCTCAGCCTCGGGTAGCACATCCAACTGTCCCAGCCTCCCTTGCAGCTAGAAGTAACCATGTGGCACGGTTCTGGCCAATAATACAGACAAGTAGCTTACTGGAGGAGGGGGCGCAAGGAAATGTTTGCCTGCCCTCTCCTTGACTTCCTCCTTTAAACATAAGTTTTCTAACCACAGCCATCTTGAAAATACAAGGCAAAAAATAGAAGGGAAAGGCCTAAAGAATCACAAAGACACCACCCCTAACATCTACCAGCTGCTGAACCCATGCTGGCAGCCACGCACTGCCACACTTCTTTATTGAGCCAAATAAACTACCACTTGCCAATGGCACTGCTGTATGGATTTTGTTACATGTAGCCAAAGGCAGCTGAACTGACACCCAGAAGGACAGAGTGGCTGGAGTAGAGACAGTGGCAGACAGGGCTGGGTTACACAGGAGCTAAGATCAGGTTAAGGAGTTTGTATTTTATCTTGGGAACCAAACGGAGGAGCCACTGAATTATTCATTAGGAAAATGCAAAACAAAACCACAATGAGACACGACTTCACATCTACCAAGATGACTATAATAAAACAGACAATAACAAATGTTGGCGAAGGAGGTGAAGAAACCGGAACCCTCGTGCATTGCTGGTGGGAATATCAAATGACACAGCCTCTGTGGAAAACAATTTGACAGTTTCTTAAAAGGTTAAACATAAACTTATCACACAATGCAGCAATTCCATTCCTAGGTATCGAAACAAGAAAAACGAAAACATACGGACACAAAGACTTGTATAAGAATGTCCGTAACATTAGTCATAACAGCGTCAAACTGGAAACCACTCAAATATCCACCAACTGATAAATGGATACACAAAATATGATATAACCACACACCAGAATACTACACAGCAATGTAACAGAACAAACTACTGATATGTGCCATGACACAGATAAACTTCAAAAACATGTTAAATAAAAGAAGCCAAACAAAATACCAGCATCGTATGATAAACGTCCAAAAAAAGCCAATCCATGGGGACAGAAAATAGATCAGTGGCTGGCCATGGCTAGAAACAGGGATTAACTGTCAACGGGCACAGAGGATCTTACATTGTGGGTGATGAACAAATCTAAAACTGGATTCTGGCCATGGTTGTGCAACTTGATAAATTTACTACAAATCATTTTATTGTACATCTTAAATAGGTGAGTTTTATGATATGCAAATTCTGCCTCCAAAAAAAGCCATTATAAAAGAGAGAGAGGGTTGGGTGCAGCAGCTCACACCTGTAATCCCAGCACTTTGGGAGGCTGAGGCGGGCGGATCACTTTAGGTCAGGAGTTTGAGACCAGCCTGGACAATGTGGTGAAACCCATCCCTACTAAAAATACAAAAATTAGCCGGATGTGGTGGTGGGCACCTGTAATCCCAGCTACTCGAGAGGCTGAGGCAGGGGAATCGCCTGAACCCAGGAGGCGGAGGCTGCAGTGAGCCAAGATCGAGCCACTACACTCCAGCCTGGGTGACAGAGCAAGACTCCATCTCAAAAAAAGAAAGAGAAAAAAAAAATGAGAAAGAGCGAGAAGCCACTGAAAGATTTTAAGCAAAGTGGGAAATGATTCAAATTTTAAAACAGCTCTATAAAGAGAGGCCATTGGCCAATGGTATATTTTTGGAGGTGAAAGGGCCCAGTGGTGTCTACCCAACTCAAACCCAAGACAGACAGAAAAACAAGAGCAGGTTGAACACACAGAAATTGAAAGCTTGATGCAAACAGAACCAAGGTAGAAAAAAATGCCTTCAAAACCATCCTCTGGTGCCTTTCCATTTTTCTAATTCATGGCACATCAATCCTTCCAAACTTACCAGGCTTGGACAGGCAGAATCGGTTGACTCCTTTGGAGAGGTTATAAATCCCCACATTCTCACGCCCATTTCCATCCTGATAAAATTCCTAAGGGAGCAAAGCCAATACAATGACTTACTAAGAGAGATGGAGACACCAAGATGATTAATAATATTTCTCTTTCCAAACCAGTCATCTGTTTTGCCCATTAATCATTGGAGCAGTTGGGTGCCACAGGAAAATTAAAAACCTCCCAAAACTTCCAACAAAAGTGTGCTATTTTTCATTCAATCAACTAATATTTATTGAGCACCTGCTATGTGACAGACACAAGGCTGGGCCTTGGGAGTCATGACCATGGCTCCTGCTCTCACAGGGCTTATGTTCTAATACAGGAAGACAAAATCAACGCAACAACAAATAAATTAGTGATCTCAACTGGTCAGTAACGAAGCTGTGAAAATAAACAGGAAAGCAAGAGAAGAACAATCCCCACCGAGGGGTCTTTAGCTCGCTGGTCCCAGGGCACATCTCTCCTGAACAATAGGGCTGCACCTGAATGAGGAGGAAAAACCAACAACACGTGTTTCTGGAGAAGTCACAGCACTCCAGGCAGAGGGGAGAGTATGTGCAAAGGCCCCGAGGAGGGAGTGAGCTTGGTGTGGGACTGCAGAGGACCACTGTGGCTGGGGCCCGGCGAGTGAGGGGACAGTGGGAGGAGATAAAGAAGGGGTTAAGGAAGTGTCAAAAAAAAAAAAAAAAAAGGATCTTATTACAAGAGAGCTGGAAATCCACTCCACTGCTGGAAGGGAAAGGTTTCCTAAATATCTATCACTTATTATGAACCGGATATTAATCGATCTCCTATAACAAATCGACCTGTGGAGTTTTTGTAATTAAGCAGTTAGGGGAGTAAGTTGGCACATGAAACACCAGTTCCAATTCTTCTAGTTTCTCTACAGAGAAACTAAGACCTGACGATGACATCTGCCGCCGCTCGACATCAAAACATTATAGAAAATTCACGAAGGGATCTACAGAGGTGCTCCTGAAACCCATTTCACACTGCCTTTCAGGCCACAGAGACCACAGTCAACAAGAAGCTAAGATCCTGTTTACAGCTTCTTCCCCTGCACTGGAACAAATACACCAGAGAAGGTGGGGCACAATGGCTCACGCCTGTAATCCTAGCACTCTGCGAGGCCAACGCGGGTGGATCCCCTGAGGTCAGGAGTTTTAAGACCAGTCTGGCCAACATGGTGGAACTCTGTCTCTAACAAAAATACAAAAAAAAAAGAAAAAAATTAGCTGGGCATGGCGGCACGCACCTCTAGTCCCAGCTACTCGGGGGGCTGAAGCAGGAGAATCGCTTGAACTCGGGAGGCGGAGGTTTCAGTGAGCCGAGATTGCACCACTGCACTCCAGCCTGGGCAACAGAGCAAGACTCCATCTCAAAAAAAAAAAAAAAAAAAAAAAAAAAAAAATATATATATATATATATATATATATATATATATATCAGAGAAACTCACTTGGCAGTACAGAGCGGTGTACACCAAGGACACTTTGATACCTAAGAGGGTTCACTTAAGCCCTGCCATAACCCTGAGAAGTAGGTATTAAGATCTCAATTTTCGGTGAAAACTGAGGCTGAGAAGCAGTAAATGAATTTACCCAAAGCTATTATTACTAATAATATAAAGCCAGTGTGCTCTACACTGTACCAAAGGTCACCCCGAATCACCAGTCAGATTTAGTGTAGGGCCAGGACAAGGAAACCTCCTAAATACAGGGGTCCTTCCACTGAGAGAGTATAAATGCTTCCTGATTATGCGTTGCGTAACAGGTGGGTGAGTGCAGAGGCAGAAAAGGAAATCTGACTTGCCTACGTTTACAATATTCCTGGGATGTTAGTCTTTCTTGACATCCACAAGGCAAGCGCTTTTCCAAATAAGAGACTCCATAAGCCGTACATACCAGAGTGATGGCGTGAGACAGGGAACATCTCAGCATGTAGCCCGTCTGCCTGAACTCAACTGCAGACACGTCATCCTCCAGCACTTCCACCTCCAGGCTCTTGTTCTTCCAGCACCAATCCTCATGCATGATGCTTACTGCAAAAGCAAACACCAAAAACGGATACATGGGCGTGGAGCACACCACCTCCCTGCACGCCACCAGAAACAATGATCATGAATTAACTAATTTTAAAAAGCAGGTGTGTATGTAGACATAAAGATAGAAATATACACATACATATATTTATAACTAGCAGTATTTGGAATAAATTACTGCTAAAGAAAACCTGGAGTCGAGCGTGGTGGCTCATGCCTATAATCCCAGCACTCTGGGAGGCCGACGGCAGTGGATGGCTTGAAGCCAGGAGTTCAAGACCAGTCTGACCAACATAGCAAAACCCCATCTCTACTAAAAATACAAAAGTTATCCAGGCATGGTGGTGCATGCCTGTAATCCCAGCTACTCGGGAAGCTGAGGCAAGAGAATCTCCTGCACCCAGAAGGCGGAGAGGTTGCAGTGAGCCAAGGTCGCGCCACCACACTCCGGCCTGGGTGACAGAGCGAGGCTAAATTTCAAAAAAAAAGAAAGAAAAACTGGAACCAATTTCCATTACATCAAGAAAGAAATCTAATGGGGCCTGTAAGATCAGGCTGCAAGTAAGGTATTCAGGGATCCACAAACTTTTTCTGTAACTCTTTTCAGTTTTGCAGGCCACATGCTTTGTCAGCCTCAACCACTCGACTTGGCCACTGTTACACACGAGCAGCCATAGAGAATCCATAAACAAATGGGCAAGGCTGTATTCTAAGGAAACTACGCTTATAAAAGGCAGTTTTTGTAGTCTGCCAAGCCCTGCCATAACAGAAAATATTAATATAATTCCAGAAAAAGCAGTCTGTTTTATGAGCTATCCACTGCCAGCAGCCCCAAGCTGATTTCTGAAAAAGCAGAAATACAGGCAAGAAGTGGCTTCTTAAGAAGGGCAAGGAAAAGGGAAGTAACATTTGTGGGCACCAGCTACTTAGCTGGCTCTCTGCACAACGGGCTTTATAAACTTTACTTCTTTTAGTCTTATATTCTGCAGAAAGGTTCTATTACGTCTATTTTACAGATGGGAAAACTGAGTTTCAGGGAGGTCAAGTACCTTGCCATGGCCAGTACTCAGCACCAGTACTGCTAAGTTAGTAGAACACATCAGTGGAACTATTTCACACTCCTTTCTCTGGGCTTTAGAAATAAAATGCCATACGTCGGGGCACCCTCCCTTAACAGAAGCCGCCAGTGGGCTGTGCAGACAAGGTGGCGGTCAGCTCAGGGCCTGGACTCCTCCATGCTTGTCCAACGCTAAATAATGCAGTCAAGGTCACGAGGCAAAGACGACTTAAAACAAGGAAAGGTACATGGTCGTGATACAATTTGAGACCTGAGTTTTAGAAAGTTTACAAAGACAAGAAGTGTGTGAGGGCCACAGGATGTTGCATTCCAATTCTTACTTTTGTATTTTCCAGGGAGCACGTTGTCAAAGGTGAAAGTCATGGCGTTGACCTTGCCGGAGAGCTGGAGGCTCCGCTTCTCACCCTGGCGGCTCAGGGACTGTAGAGTCACCAGCAAGTCACCACAGGTGTCTGCAGGGAAAAGAAGGGAGGGCTCCATGTGACCCCTTATAAGGCTTCAGCACAGGTTCGAATCCTAACCCTATGTAATAGCTTCTTGCTACTGCTGAGCTCCTAAGAGGCAGTGGCCGGAGGCAGACGGAGCGCTTCTTTCAAGTTAACATGTACCCACCTGACTCCAAGAAGCCTCCCTCGCACGCAGGTGATCAGTAGCAAACAACAAAGGCAAAACAAAAAGTTTCCCAAATCCCACTCCTACCGGCTGACTTCTTTGAAACTATGTGTTCTTACTTTCCAGTGATATCTTACCCAAACAAGAGACTTTCCCAGAAACTGATGCCAAGAACTGTACAAAGGCCACATCCATCACAGGCCTGTCGGTCACAGTAAGAGGAAATGTCTGGGGTTTCAACGTCAGCCCTGCTCTGGTTTCTGCCTCAGGAACCATCACCTGCGGAAACGTGGATGGAACGTTAGAGGCTGCATTCGGGGAGATCTTCCCCCTGACCTACAGGGCGCTAGAACATTCATCTGGGACCAAGGCTAAAGAGATTTTGAAGGCCAAAGGTTCGTTTCCAGGCTGATTTTACAATCACAACAAATCCACGAATAACTTGTGTGAAGTAAGCACGGTTCTACCCAGATGAAAAATTAGCCTCAACAGACCGATGTGTATGAACAAAAGTCTATCTGGCCTAATTCCCCACAGGCCCGCAACGCGGACACGCCTCACTTACATACTAGAAACCATACTACATCCCAGTCACTTTTCCCGGCTTCGGATCACTTGTAGCATAAGCTCTGAACCTGTCAACACTATGTGGATGACACTTTGGTGGAATTAAGTCATTTTCTTCCTCCTATTGTTCTGCGTGCCTTTCATGGGCTAAGAAGAGGAACAGGTGAAGGTAGCAGCGGTCAACTCTTTCATCCCTAGTAAAGACGACACTGCCCTTCCTTGGAGAAGTCCATCATGCTTCCGAAAGGGCTTCCAAAGACTTGTCAATGTGGACATCTTCGCAAGAAGCCAGCTACCATCTAATAAAGTCAGCTGTCAACCCACACACCACGCTGTTCTGTGGAAGCAGGGAGAACGCAATCTCCTACCCTGTTTCCCACAGAGGGAGGGACCCCACTTTGCCCTAGAGGACAGCAGAGTCTAACAGGGAACCTTCTCGGCCCTCTCCCTTTGTGTTATTTGCTCTTCCACAGGGAGGAAGGGCAGCTGCTGATTTGATGGGTGACAGCCCACGGAAACAGTCTCTCCCCAAGGGCAGGGCCACTGCACTGAAAGGCATGGTGGGCTGACCTCTGCTCTGTCCTGTCTCTTGCTTGCTTGGGCCAGCTGTGGCTTGGGCCTTCACCATGGTGATGAGACCACAGGCCAGACCGTCTCCCCGTTCTCGGCCTGCTTGAATGGATAAGTCGCGTGGTCCCTGCCTAGCCATCTTGAAGTCAAGGCAAAGCAGGAAATGGGAAGCTCCATTTTGGCCTGGGGTCCCAGAAGCCACGCACTATGGCCATTTTTGAGCGGCCATTAGTAGAGTTCATTTTTGGTGTCCTCTTGGACTCATCGACATTCTACAGCAGCCAGAAGCCTGAAGGTAGAGGAGTGACTGGCAGCCTGATACTAATAAACATCAAGACTGGAAAAAAGAGAGGCAGATGGCATTATTTTTTAGCTGGATGCCTATCTGACTCTCCTCTACTGGTGCAGGATTGTAAAGACTTAAAAACAAGAAGTTGGAAACTGGAATGCTCCTTCTCTAACCCCATTCGACCTAATAACCCTTCTAAAAATCACTGCTTTTTCTCAAAACATTTTAAATTTAAAACAATGCATCGCACCTGCACTTTGTAAGTCCCTGGGTTTGCTTTAAAACAAAATGATCCATGAGCATCTGTCTCCACGGTGACCAAAGACTTGTCCTTGTCTTGAGATGACAGGACAACTTTGTATTTATTCATCTGCTTGACGGTGTCGGGGAAGCGAATGATTGATATCTGACCACAGACACTGAACCTGCAAAGAGAAGACCATTCATTCCAGCACGAGGACTCAATTATAACAGGAAAGGCTCTTATCGACCAAAAAAGATGCAGCCCTCTCCCAGCCCTTGTTCCTGAGAATAGTCTAATCTTAATGAAGAGACAGAATGCAATCCAGATGATTCTGGTTTTAAAAAGCAACCTTCATTCTGGTTTTAAAAAGCAACCTTCAGAAGCAAGACTGGGCATCTTTCTACAGAACAGGGGCCCGTAGTGGGGCTGTTTGTGTGTTCCGGGTGACATCTGGCAATCCCCCACTGCAGAGGCAATTTTAAGAAAATCTGCAGATAATAAAAACGTTTCAGGTAATTGGATCGTTGACAGCAGAGCGGCCTTGGACTGAGAATGTGGGCTAGCCCTTAAAAGCAAGAGCTCTAAGCTGCCTAAGAAACTGTGGCATTACCAGGCCATCAAATAAGTCAGGATTATCAAAGACGTCTTCCTTGCTTGTGATTATATATAATACATGGATGAAAGCAAACTGGGAGATTGGAACAGAAAAGGTAATTAAGTTAAAAAATGCAAAGCTAAAATTGAACTCCTTGGGAGGTAGGAGCCACAATGTAACTTATAACTGAAAAGCCCTATTAAGGTAATGATTCAGATTTGAGATTCTAAATAAGGAGTAAGGTGTTGCAAGGCATCCCTCGAATAACACACGAGAGGCCCCCCTACAACGACCATCATCCTTGGAGTGCTGGTCTTCATTTCTGAAGCAGCTGGTGTATTAAAGTGTAATAGTACATCCTAGCTGGGGGTCACAGTTGTCTTTTCAACTGTTCATTTTAAAGAATCTTCAAGAATCATTTTAGATAAAAATTAGTTACTTCTGACATAAAGATAATCAAGAATGTTGGATTCTGACAATTAGGGGTACATTAAATGTTGGAACCACCACTCCGCCTCAAATAAAAAAACAGTGGAAAACACAAGGAAATGGTGGAAGATTGTGTATGTGAAATCTAGGAATTATGAAAAACACAGCCATTTCTTCAGAGTGAAGGGACTGCCCAGCCATATGAGCTCACTATCTCCAGCATGGGTCAGCAAACTACCACCCAAGGACCCCCCTCCCGTTTGTGTATGAACTGCAAGCCGAGAAAAAGAATTTTACACTCTTAAGTGGTTAAAGTTAAAAAAAAAAATCAAAAGAAAGATAATATTTCACATGTAAAAATTACATGAAATGCAAACTGTGGTGTCCAAAAATGTAGTTGTGTTGCGCTCTGCCCATTCATTTACAAATGTCTATCTCAGCTGTTGTCCTAGAGACCGTATGGCTCACGCAGCCTAAAATAGTTATTCTCTGGCTCTCCACAGAGAAAGTGTCCCAGTCCCTGACCTAGCATATGCATTTTGGTTCTCACATTCCCCTACTGTGAACTTTCAGAATAAAAGGATGGGAAGCGAACACTGACACAATCATTCCCAAGGACCTGTCATATTCTCTTGATTTGTGTACCTGTCAGAGGACACATCACCTTGTCTATTTCCTATCAAATCTCTTTGCCTCCTTAAGTTGTAAATATTTGAACCATAAGATCTGTTTTAGCCCACATTCTTATTAAAAAGAAGTGCCTATTTTCCCTAAACCTCAAATCTATACTGGCTTAGTTTGGAAAAATAAACCAAAAGGGTGGTAGAAAAAGGTTCCGTTATACTGAAGCCCTTAAAAATTGATTTGTATCAATAAATTCTTTCAACAGGGTTTAAATACATATATGGACAGAAACAGGTAATATTGGTGGATATTGAGAGAAATCTATTTTCACAGTCATTTGGACAGAAGCCAAAGAGTTTGTTTTTACAATAAATTGAGTAATTTTTTTATTTTACTTTAAAGGAAGACTAGGCAC
Organism: Homo sapiens; assembly: GCF_000001405.40. Taxonomy (NCBI): domain Eukaryota; kingdom Metazoa; phylum Chordata; class Mammalia; order Primates; family Hominidae; genus Homo; species Homo sapiens. The sequence goes on along the minus strand of NT_187607.1, from coordinate 1,917,617 downwards.
CATGGCTCAGCCTGTAATCCCAGCACTTTGGGAAGCCGAGGCGGGTGGGTCACTTGAGGTCAGGAGTTCGAGACCAGCCTAGCCAACACGGCAAAACCACATCTCTACTAAAAAATATAAAAATTAGCCTGTAATCCCAGCTACTCAGGAGGCTGGGGCAGGAGAATCACTTGAACCCGAGAGGCGGAGGCTGCAGTGAGCCGAGATGGCGCCACCGTACTCCAGCCTGGGCAACGGAGTAAGACCCTGGCTCAACAAAAAATAAAAAGGAAAAGAAATAGTAAGAAGTATCAGTGTGCTAAAAAGGCAAATGTACTACATCGGCCAATTAAAAAAAAGAGATTTTTCCAAAAATGTTCAACAAATGCTATTTTTCTTTCTTTGACCCAAATACTCTACTTTAAAGGAGAAAATAAATATATTTCCTCCATCTCCGTGAACAGCACCGCCTCCATCTACCCAGTGGCTCAAATAAGAAACCTGTAACCTCAACAGCACAGGCCTGTGGGTGTGTTCTCCATGTGACCTACCAAATCCATCTACTCCTCGCTCCCTCGCCTGCCAGCCGCCTGGGCCCAGCCACTACCATATCTCCTCCAGACAACCATGACTGCCTCATATCTGGCCCCTCCATTCACACCATGGCTTTCCTCCAATCCATTCTCCACACAGCAGCCAGGAAGAAAAACAAACTTTTTAAAGTACCATGATCCCTATCACTCCCTTGCCAACTGATAACTCTTTTTTTTTTTTTTGAGACGGAATCTCACCCTGTCGCCCAGGCTGGAGTGCAATGGTGCAATCTCAGCTCACTGCAACCCCTGCCTCTCGGGTTCAAGCGATTCTCCTGCCTCAGCCTCCTGAGTTGCTGGGATTATAGGCGCGCATCACCATGCCCCGCCAACCTTTTGTATCTTTAGTACAGACCGGGTTTCACCATGCTGGCCAGGCTGCGCTTGAACTCCTGACCTCATGATCCGCCCACCTCAGCCTCCCAAAGTGCTGAGATCATAGGCGTGAGCCACCGTGCCCGGCCAACCAACAGACAACTCCTAACGGGTTTCCACTGCATTAGGGAGCAAAGCCCAATCCCAAAGCAAGGCTACAAGGCCCCAGAGCTCCCTGACCTCACCCACCTCCTCCAGCTGCGCAGACTGCCTTTCAGGTCCTTCCTATCCTATGCAGGCCTCTGAGCATGCTGCTTCTCTACTAGGGAAGATCTTTCTTTAGCTAACTTTTAGTCTTTACTAAGGTCTCTGCAACCCAGAGAGCCTTGCAGAGCTCCCACTCTAAATTAGCTCTTCTTGCAGCACCCTGATCTCTTCCCTGCACAACACTTGCCATAATTTAGCAGCATAAATGTATTTGTCTTTTTTGTCTTTTTTAAAAATCTTGTTATTTTTTAATTTTTATCTCTTTATTTATTTTTAGACCAGGTTATGAAACTAGCTAATTTTTGCATTTTTGGTAGAGATGGTGTTTTGCCAAGTTGCCCAGGCTGGTCTCAAACTCCTGGGCTCAAGCGATCCGCCCACCTCTGCCTCCCAAAGTGCTGGGATGGATTACAGGTGTGAGGCATTAAGCCTGGCCACAGATGTATTTGTCTTCAGTCTGTCTCCCTGGTAGGGTGAAAGCCCCATCTCTGGAACACTAGTTTGATTAATTATTAGGTACGAAGCATTTTTCAGTGCCTCATCTAGAGTAATTGCACAAAGTGTTTATGGAAGGTGGGAAAGACTTAAATCCAAGAATTACTTTCTGAGGGTAATTTGCTTCCCTGTCTTCCATTCACCACTGGACTCCTTGACCTTGACCTCCATCTGTCTACAGAAAAGAGTCACTGTGGCCTCCTCAGTGATCAAGCCAGGGGACTGTGTTCACCAGGGCCCAGCTCCCTGCACCTACCTGTTGGGCCCTACCTCCTACCCCAAACTTACTTTCTTAGCTCCTATGACCTCAGGCTCCCTAGGTCCCCCCCTGGGCCACCTGGCACTCTGTTTTTGGCCTACTGTTCTTCTAATTCTACTTGCACATACATATTTGAGGTCCTGGCTGCCACCTGCGGCCAAATCTTCAGGATTTACCATCCATCCAAGTACCTATTGAAGAGCTCCACCTAGTGGTCCTACAGACCAATGTGGCCAAATCTGAAACCTCATCACCTAACTGGCTTCTCTTTCTGTCCCCAGCCATCACACCTCTCAAGCTGGGCACCCTAAATATCTCACCAGTCTGTCCCTGACTTCCCTACAAGGCAAGCCCTTGTCGTCTCTGCTTTCAGACCTCCTGTGCCCAAGTCCTGTCCCCTTCAAAGCCACTCTACTCCATGCCATTGTTTTCAGAATGCCCTATTGAAAACAATGATCAAAGCTTGTTATATTAATGCTCAAAACCACTCATGGCCCGTTGGCCCCAGTGGGAGAAAGCCCCTACGCCCTGGTGGGGTGTGAGGAGGTGCTATGGGGTTGGCCTCATCATCACCTTCACCTGCCAGTATATTCTGCTCCAGTAGCACCCAGCTTTACACCTGCAGCCACCTCATGCTGCTGTGAGACTGCCTGACTTTGCTCATGCCGCGCTTCTCCCAAGCAGACCCTGCAGTCTCCTTCTAAGCTACTGTTTTGTGAGCACCTGTTATGTCTAAAGCTGTTCTGCAGGTTACATACAGGTGGATCTGGGATCTGACTCCAAAGCCCAAGTTCTTGGCACTACACAATCTTGCTTCAGATGATGGTAAAACCACATGAATTCAACCACAAGATGTCCCTGCCTGTACTTATAGTATAATGAGTAACTACAAGCAGGAAGAACTACACCAATGACCTGAAGCATCTTCCAATAAGCTTTCTCAACCAACAATACCATCTTCCAAAAATCCTCAAAGATTAAGCAAAGAGGGGTCCTGTGAAAGATCGTGAAAGTCAGACATGAAAGATTTTTTAATTTCACAAGCCCATTTTAATTTGAAGCAAGGGACTTTTCATTAAGCATCCGACATGTCAGTACCTTCAGTTTGTAAGATTTAGAACTAATCTTTCTTGGCCGGGTGCAGTGTCTCACACCTATAATCCCAGCACTTTGGGAGGCCAAAGCAGGCAGACAGCCTGAGGTTAGGAGTTTTGAGACTAGCCTGGACAACATATAGTGAAACCCTGTCTCTACTAAAAAATACAAAAATTAGCTGGGTGTGGTGGGGCACGCCTGTAGTCCCAGCTACTTGGGAAGCTGAGGCAGGAGAATCACTTGAACCTGGGAGGCAGAGGTTGCAGTGAGTCGAGATGGCACCACTGCACTACAGCCTGGGCAACAGGGCAAGACTCTGTCTCTCAAAAAAAAAAAAAAAGTACTAATCTTTCTTAAGTTCTTAAGCTCGGCAAAGACACACAGATCACAGGTCATTTGGTTCTACACTGGCTGCCAGCATATTTACTGGTGCTTCCAAATCCACACGATAAGCTTACCCTGTTGCAACAATGTCAGCCAGCTGAGGTGTGTTTGGTGCAATTTTGATGGTGACCGTTTCAAAGTAGAGGTGCTCTTTCTGAGCATGGATGGTGTATGTCCCTGTGGTTATGTTCTCAAGGCGGAATGAGCCATCAGCTTTTGTTTTAACTGTAAAACAAAAACACACAAACAGAAGATAAGCCAAAAACAACAGTGTATCCTTACATGTACACCAGAATACTTGGACCAAAAGCTGCCATGTTCTCATATAGTCATCAGTTCCTCTCCATTTCTCTCTGTGATCCAAAAAGAGCGCTGGCCATCAGCCTGGGGCTGCTGTGTCAGCCCACCTTTGATTTGGTTATTCAGGGTGACTACTGCTTCTGGAACACCATCTCCTTCGGGTCCGTTCAAGACCCTCCCGGTGACGGAGAATCCCATGACGTGGAACACGGGCTAGAAAACAAAGAACAAGAAGGTGCTCGAAGGTGCTCCTGTGCCAGAGCCACAAAGCCTCCTTCTGCTGCGCCGGCCACCACCTACCATGTCTGCTCCTGCCGCCCACCTCCCAACACTCAGTGCCCCGGTCCTGTGTGCCAGCCGGGCTCCCTCTCACTTTACCCACATCTGTCTTCTCTGTTGTGTTCCCAACACACTGCTGAGTGTCAAACAACAGAAAAGAAAAGTCTAGAGACTTACTTCCCTCGTTAAAAGGTCACTGACTCAAGCTTCTAGAAGCCCCCCACCCTTACCCCTGTGCCATCTCCTCCCCTCCAGATGCCCCCATTTTGGTGAACCACGTCTTCCTCCAGTCTCCCATGCACACCCCGGCATCACTTTGGATGACCCGCCCCGCTCCTCCAGCATCGATCAGTCCTGTGGATTCCACCTCTGCAAGGTCTCACGTGTCCCCTCCTGTCTTTCCACCACGACCTGAACACAGGTCCTTATGAAATCCACCTAGGCCAGGCGCAGTGGTTCACGCCTGTAATCCCAGCACTTTGGGAGGCCGAGGCAGGCAGATCACTTGAGGTCAGCAGTCCAAGACCAGCCTGGCCAACATGGTGAAGCCCTGTCTCCACTAAAAATACAAAAATTAGCCAGGTGTGGTGGCGGGCGCCTGTAATCCCAGCTACTCGGGAGGCTGAGGCAGGAGAATCACTTCAACTCGGGATGCAGAGGTTGCAGTGAGCCAAGATAGTGCCAGCCTGTGTGAAGCAGCAAGACTCCGTCTCAAAGAAAAAAAAAGAAATCCACCTAGACCACCCTCCTCCACCACCATCACTGGCTCACACGTGGTCCCGTGCTCCATGTGTCTGTGTCTGTGTCTGTGCCCCACTCGCCTGTGAGCAGCACAGCTGTGCTTTCTCTGCAGTTACTGAGTTCCAGCCCTGATCTGTGTATCCCCAAGGTCACCACTGCTAACCTATTTTAATATCTTCATCAAACTTACCAGTATCTGAAATGTCCTCGTTCGATTTCTTAGTTGTCTCCCTCCCACTAGCATGTTACCTCATGGAGACAGGGACTTTTTCTGTCTTAGTCACCTGGTACACAGCAGGCACTCAATAACTGACTCCTGAATGAATGAATGTGTGCACGCACGTGTGCAACAGCATTTGAGATGAAGCTTTAAATAATTAAATGACTTCCTTTTTATGCAGGGAGCCCTTCTTTTTTATTTTTTTATTTTTTTTTTCAGCAAATGGTTTCTTAGTGATGGTCTCACATGACAGGTAGTCCTTATTGATCTTTCCAAAAAGACATGTTTCATTCCATGCATTACCTACTTATTAATTCACATATGTACGCAACAAATATTTTTGCTGGGCACCTACTATGTGCCAGGCACTAAATCACATATTAGGAAAACAGTAAAGAATAAGACACAGTACCTGACCTCAGGGAACTTACAGGGCCCCATTCCCTGAAATTCCATTCATCATTTTCAAAATATGTATTTGGCTGTAATCTGGGAATAGCTGTCTCTGCTCACCTGCCCCCATCCTTCTCTGCAAGCTACGAGAAGCAAAGTAAAGGCTTCATCTTCTTACCCTTCTCTTTCCCCTCCAGTGTACAGCAGAACGGTCAAACACTCCACTGAATCTTAAAATGCAGAGTCTGCACCCCACTGTGCATATGACCTAAAAGTCCGCTTCTGCCAGTTTAAGCGATTTTAACACAGTACTTTCAAATGTAATTATTAAAAGAAAATGATTAAAATATAATTGCTTCGATAACTCTAACATTGGGTGGTCCACTTAGGAGAGGCTGTTATTTTCTTTTGGGATTTGTTCTAGCTAGCCAATTTTCTACAGTAACCATTTTCTACTTCTGTAATTAAAGGAGACGTAAGTGAGATGAAAAATACATTTACCATTTATGTGAGGGTCTAGGCAGTTTATCAAGCCATGTATCACACTGCCCATTCCTACCATCACGGTCCAAGCTCTGCCAGTTCTCACCTGGTTTACGGCCATGGCATCCCAACTGGTCTCCCACTTCCACCCTGACACCCTGCAAACTCTCCTCAATGCAGCTGCCAGAAGGATCACGCCACTCCTCTGCTAGGAACCTTCCAGTGGCACCAATTCTCACCCAGAGTTATAGGCAAAGTAGCCCACCAAGCCCTGCACAATCTGCCCTGTCACCTCCCTGACCCTCTTTCCGCCTCCTCCTTCCTTGCTCATTCCCTCCACTCCAGCCACCCTGGCCTCCTTGGGATGCCCCAAACCCTTCAGCACACTCCTGCCTCAGGACCTTTGCACGTGCCGTTCCCTCAGTCTTACACACTCTTCCTGCAGGAGTGAAGTATGGTTCTCTTGTTCTTTCCCTTCAGGTTGTTGCTCAAATGTCACCTTCACAGGGAGGACTTCCCAAAAACACCCTATGTACAACTGCAACCCCTGTCTCCACCCTGATACTGTACTACCTCCTTTCTTCCTTTATTTTTCTAGAGAACACTTATCACCTTCTACTGTACTTTCTAACTTATACATCTATACATGTATTGACCCTTCCTGTCATTAGAACATGAGGTCTAGCCAGGTGCGATGGCTCACACCTGTAATCCCAACACTTTGGGAAGCCGAGGCAGGCAGATCACTTGAACCCAGGAGTTAGAGAACAGCCTGGGCAACATGGTGAAACCCCATCTCTAACAAAAATACAAAAATTAGCTGGGCATGGTGGCACGTGCCTGTGGTCCCAGCTACTCAACAGGCTGAGGTGGGAGGATCACTTGAACCCTGGAGGCAATGGCTGCAGTGAGATGAGATCGTACCACTGCACTCCAGCTTGAGCCACACAGTGAGACCCTGTCTTAAAAAAAAAAAAAAAAAAAAAAATGAGGTCCACAGGGACAAGAATTTTTGCCTCTTTTGGTCACTGCTATATCCCCAGTCCTGGAATGGTGCCTGAAATGCATGTCACTGGCAATCAATAAATATATTTCATTGAATGAGTAGATTTAACTAGGAATCCAGCTCTCTACGATAAGGACATCATGGGTAAGAATATAATACCAGATGGCATTTTTTCCAACAGCCCTTCCAGATAAAATAATTGATTTTTTTTTAAAACATGTTTGCAATACCTGTGCCTAGGGATGGGAACTCAAACACCTGTCCCTCCAGAAGACAGAAAAGCCTTACCTCGATTTTCAAGCTGTCATGCTCCACTGTGAAGTCAAGTCTGGAAGGCGCCACATCAAAGGTAATCCTCTCCCCTCGATAGAACGGAATCTGGAAGGAAGAGTCTCTTAATCACTAAGAACCACTAACATGATCAATCAGCAATATTAATAATCGATCTAGCAGCCCACAAATGACAAGGGGTTCAGACAGACCAAGAGAAACATTCATCATAACTGTTGCAGATTTGAAAAGAGGAAGCCTTGCCCTTTTTGTAGCTATTACGAAGGGGTGAGTGTCTCATCTTAAGTAAGTTACTGCTTAACAGCATGTTCAGAGAACTGCAGGCCAACCATCTTTTCCTTTAACACCCAAACAGCATTGGCTTTTACTGTGTCATGAGAGTCCCAGACATAAACAGAACGGAAATCTGCTTCACTCACCACAGTGTAGCCCCCACTTGGCAAGGAATAGAAAGAGAACGAGCCATCTTCTCTGGAGACCGTGTAGCACAAATACACCAGACTCTCGTCTTGGGGCTGGAACCCAGGCACTGGTGAGACATTGCAGCCCAGGACATCCTATGCCAGGGGGTAAAAAAGACAAGACTTCCTTTTCCATTTACATGTTCTGAATACCATCAATTAGCCACATTATAGGAAAATTTTTTTAAGTTTCATGTCAATATATGTATTTCTGAAATCTAAGAAACATTAATACAGATAAAAGGAACAAAAATCTTGACATTCAAGTTGCAAAGTTAAAAACTGGCACAGTCTTCCCGGGAAAGATGACATGACTGTCCTTCCTTATCATGGGTCACCATTCTCCAAATAAGGAAACGGAAGCTCAGGAAGGTAATGTGACCGGCCCAGGGTCGCATAGCTAGGAAGAGGAATTTGTTTAAATCTGAGATTTGTTTAAACCCAGGTCTGATTTCAAAGCCTGTGTACTTTCCATCACATACCACTGCCTCCCAGTGTAGATGTGCAATGTCTTGTGAGTCAACAGAGACACATGATATTCTTGAATTTTTTTTTTTTTTTTGAGAGTCTCACTCTGTCACCCAGGCTGGAGTGCAGTGGCGTGATCTTGGCTCACTGCAACCTCCACCTCCTGGGTTCAAGCGATTCTACTGCCTCAGCCTCCCACGCAGCTGGGACTACAGGCACGTGCCAACATGCCCGGCTAATGTTTTTGTATTTTTAGTAGAGATGGGGTTTCATAATGTTGGCCAGGCTGGTCTAAAACTCCTGACCTCAAGTGATCCACCCACCTTGGCCTCCCAAAGTGCTGGGATTACAGGCATGAGCTACCACACCCGGCCTGAGACAGACGATATTCTTAAGTGTTAAAATGATAAATCAACTCAGACCTGCATTTTTTAAAACAGTACGTTCTGGTCTATAATCCCCCACCCTCCTACCCTTCACACCATCTCTTTTGTTCTTTTCTTTGCTTACCTCTTTAGTTACTAAAGAAGAAAAGAGAAGAAACTTCACGCCTTTCATGGGCTCCCCATCACTTCGGACAGAGCCAGACACATTGTAGCCAGCAACTATGAGGGGACTGGCCGCATTGGCATTGGAGTTGGTTACACGCACTGTGGTGCTTGCCTGTAACAGAAAAAGATTTTAACCTGTAAAAAAATAAACACTTGCAAAGTGCCTAACAACATGAGGACACGCTGAAGCTAAAATATTAACTGGGAAACGTAATCTATAAAATTGCTTATTCAGTATGATCACTTCTTTTCTTGAGACGGAGTCTCAGTATGTCACACAGGCTTGAGTGCAATGGTGCAACCTCGGCTCACTGCAACCTCTGCCTCCTGGGTTCAAGAGATTCTCCTGCCTCAGCCTCCCAAGTAGCGGGGATTACAAGCGCTCGCCACCACGCCCGGCTAATTTTTGTATTTTTAGTAGAGACAGGGTTTCACCGTGTTGGCCAGGCTGGTCTCGAACTCCTGACCTCAGGTGATCCGCCCGCCTCAGCCTCCCAAAGTGCTGGGATTACAGGTGTGAGCCACCGTGCCTGGCTTATCATTATTTTTTAATGCCCAAAATGAAGTGAAAGGAAATGTGGCAAAATGTAAACAATAATGATTTTGTCTATATGGTGCTATTTTACTTGTATACTTTTCCAGCTTCCAAAATTTGTTTCCACTGCTTTATATTCCTCTATATGTTCCAATTTTTTTAATGAGCATATTTTGCCTTTTTTTCTATTTTTAATGATATATAGTGTTAACTGAAGATTAGCCTAAAGCTGCCTCCTTACATATTTTAAGTTTGGCCTAAAGGTTTCTCTTACGTGTTGCCAAGTCTCACCCAATTCAAGCAGCCACCCTTCAACTACTCACAGGCAGCCAACTGTTCAAACCATGTGCAAATAAGACAAACGTCCAGCTGTAACCAATCCAACTGTTTCTGTACCTCACTTCCACTTTCTGTCCGTCACTTTCTTTTTCTGTCCATAAACCCTTTCCAATCACGCAACAGTGCCACAGTCGCTGTAAACCTATTCTGGCTCAGGGAGCTGCCCAATTGACAAATTGTTCTATGCTCAATTAAACTCTGTTTAATTTGCCTTAAGTTGTTCTTTTCACAATATGTGTATATTTTTAAACATTTTTGTTAAGGTACAATAAACACAGAGAAAAGTGTACAGATTCTAAGCACGCAGCACAGGGCTTGTCACAAATTGGGCACTGATTACCCAACAGAATAGCACCAGCAAGCCAGAAGTGCCCTCACACTTGCTTCCGGTCACTAACACCCCAGGAAGATAAACATTATCCTGACTTCTAACAACATGCTTTACTTGAAAATCCCAATCTCATATTAATAAACTCAGATTCTTCTATGCAGACAATTAACATACAATGTAAACCTTAAAATCTCTTCTATTTATAAATGTGTAAGCTCTTTCATTTCGAATAAATTTTTTTTTTTTTTTTTTTGAGATGGAGTCTCACTCTGTCACCCAAGCTGAAGTGCAGTGGTGCAATCTTGGCTCACTGCTACCTCCACCTCCCAGGTTCAAGCGATTCTCCTGCCTCAGCCTCCCGAGTAGCTGGGATTACAGGTGTATGCCACCATTCCTGGCTAATTTTTTTCTATTTTTAGTAGAGATGCGGTTTCACCATGTTGGCCAGGTTGGTCTCGAACTCCTGACCTCAAGTGATCCACCCACCTCAGCCTCCCAAAATGCTGGAATTACAGCATGAGCAACTGCGCCCAGCCTCGAATAAAATATTTTTAAATGTTGCTGCAGAAGAGAAAAACCCCCAAAACCAAAAGTCACAAACAGTAAGAAGAGACATCTAGGTGTGAAACTATCATCAATTATAAGTGCGTAAAACCTACAGAGTAAAAATAATAATAAAACAGATAGAGTAGAAGCTGAAATACTGATTCCAATGCTTCTTTAGCAAAAATGAGATACAGCTTCAATACTAACACAGAAGCTAACATGTCAAGATGTCCCTTAAGTCTTATTTCAATTTGGTCTTTCACGGCTATTACAGAACCTCACCTACTAGGTGGAGTTCCTTTTTTGATCTTTGACTATAAACTATTTCAGTCAAACAAAAAAAGATATGCTAAAGAACACTTACATACCTTCTAACCAGCTAAAGAAATTTAAAAAAATACAATTCAAGATGCTGGCGTACCCCGAAGTCCCCCTCCTCCCTCTTTCTCTAGAAGTCAGTATCATTTTGAACAGCGTCTGCTATTCCCATACATGTCTTTATAATTTTTCTACATAAGACTGTATCCTCCCTGTCCCTACTAAAAATACAAAAATTAACTGGGCATGGTGGCAGGCACCTGTAACCCCAGCTACTCAGGAGGCTGAGGCAGGAGAATCGCTTGAACCCAAGAGGCGGAGGTTGCAATGAGCCGAGATCGCCCCATTGCACTCCAGCCTGGGCAACAAGAGCAAGACTTCATCTCAAAAAAAAAAGACTGTATCCTTAGCTAGGGGCAGTGGCACATGCCTGCAGTTCCAGATCCTTGGGAGGCCAAGGTGAAGGATCGCTTAAGGCCAGGAACCAGAGGCTGCAATGAGCCATGAATATGTCACTGTACTCTAGCCTGGGCAACAGAGCAAGACCCTGTTGCAAAAAAAAAAAAAAAAAAAAAGACTGTATCTGGCCGAGTGCACTGGTTTATACCTGTAATCCCACCACTTTGAGAGCCCGAGGCTGGTGGATCATTTGAGGCTAGGAGTTCGAGACCAGCCTGGCCAACATGGCAAAATCCCATATATACTAAAAATACAAAAATTAGCTGGGCGTGGTGGCACATCCCTGTAATTCAGCTGCTCAGGAGACTGAAGCCGGAGACTCGCTTGGACACAGAAGGCCGAGGTTGCAATAAGCCAAGATCATGCCACTGCACTCCAGTCTTGGCAACAGAGCGAGACTCCGTCTTTAAAAAAAAAAAAAAAAAAAAAAGACTGTATCCATAAATGATTATCACAAGTATTTAAAATCATATTTCCTTCAACTCTGTTTTTAAATGTAGTTACATTGATATATGTAGCTCTGGTTCATTCATTACTGCTGACATACAGCAGCCTATTGTATGATGGAACCCCAATCCATTCTTCTCTTAAAAGGCATTTAGGTTGTTTACAATATTTTGCTATTACAAACAAAGCTGCAATAAACATTCTCATACATTCTCCTTGGTCACGCGTACCACAGTTTCTAGAATGTTTAGTATATTTACAGATTTCTGTTTCAGGCTGAAAAAAGAACAACAAATAAATCTCGTCAGGGCCTTCTGTTGTTGATTTAGTTTAAAATAGCTATAGTTAATAAAACAGATCTATTTCACAGCAGGAAGACAACACTGTCACCTAAAACTGAAACTAACACAAGCAACATCTGCTACAGTGAGGAGTTACACCTTATAAATAACTACCAAACTAAACAACAGCACCATTGGTTCTTCATCTAGTCCTGGAGGAACCATAAATTCTTTTCATATCCTAAATTGAAAAGCCCTACATTTGTCCCAAGACCAGCATATTATTGGCATGGCTATAGACGTAGCTGTCACTCACCTCTTTCAACGCCCAGGTTGGATGAGTTGCGAGGATTTCATAATCTCCAGGCAGAACTTTAAAAAATGCAAACCTAAGACATAAAAAATAACCATTTAACTTTCTCCAAACAACCCAAGTATTTCTAATTCTATGACTAATGTTGGCAGCACAAGAAAACAATGTTGGAATTATCGCAAACTTCCATTAGCTTGTTAAATGAGCATGAATGAAATTCAATCCTTCACTGTACAAATCTGCATAAAAGAGCGCTTATTGAGCACTTACTGTGTGCCAAGAGGGGTGCTCCATGTGCTGATCGGAAAGAGGAGTGCTTACGTCTCCCTTAATCTCAAGGATTTCTGGCATAAAACCAATCCTTGTAGCACAGCAGGGACCAGTCACAGAACATTCGACTGGGTTTGACAGAGGTGACAGGCATGAACTGACAAGGAGAAGGGGACAGAAGTGTCCAAGGAAACACATGGGAAGGGAGAAGTGGGGTGAAAAAGAACAGAACAGATGCACAGGCTGAGGGGGACGCTGACCCAAGATGATGCAAATGACACAGGGCAGGGTAAACTATGATAAGCTTTGAATCCCAGAAAAAAGGCTTTAGAGAAACACAGATAAGTCATTCTGGGTTTTTGCACAAAGCAACTGAGATAAGAAACCAGCAGCTGATGAAAATTACTCTACTAGCCATAGACAGACTAACACCAGAGTGAGCCGAGCTAAAGCTGGAAATGCTGCTGCCAGTATACTAACATGTTTATCCCTTCAAATTTGTAAGGCAACTGACAAATGAGAAGGCTAAGTCCGGTGAAATGAACTAGAAAACGCATTTGATTTCTTCTTCTGTGGTATTTTATTGTGTCAAATCTTGCCTGCAATAACTGGATAGGTCTTGGAAATCACATTACTACAAGTATTGGTAAGATTGAGGTTCTATTTCATTTTCATAATAGCCCAGTGCTACATGTTTCATTGTTTCAGTTAGTGCAGATGAAAGGTATTCAGAAGGCTCAAGACACTATTTTTTTCTAGTAAGGTCAACACCAAATTACTAGCCCAGAAAAAAAATTACAGCTCCATATTCCTGCTACACACCAGGCCTGGAGAGGCACCAGTCAAGCAGAAGTAAATGTTATTTCAAAAATGAAAACTAGTTTCAACAATAATAACTTTAAAATTGAATAACTTACTGACAGACTCATTATAAACTTCTATTTTGCAATTTACTCAGTTTGTATATTAACGGAGTTAGTAATGATTTGAACGCTTTCGGAATTATCAGTTTGAACTATTCTGGTATTAATCTTGGCATATCTGTTAACATTTACAACTCAACTATATACATCCATTAAATAAATGCTTTAAATCTGACTCAGCAAGGTCAGCTAGGCATCTGTTCCAACTACAAAGCAGTTTTGATATAATAATGATAATGATTTTTTCTAATCATAACTGAGCTAACCTATTTGAGCTAATATGCCAGGCAGCTTGAAGTAATAATATTAATTTCATCTTTCCAGTACCTTAGGAGATAGGTTCCACAATTATCTTCATTTACAAAAGAGGAAACTGAGGCACAGAGGGGTTAAGGAACTTGCCCTAGGTCAACCAGCCAGCAAATGGGGGAGCTGGGATTCAAGCCCGGGCTGGCAGGCTCCAGAGCCAGGCTGAGCTGCTAAATGAAGACCCACTAAGCCCCAGGCCTTGAAGCAGGTGCTTTATGGGTATTAACTCTTTTTTTGTTTGTTTCAGACAGGGTCTTGCTCTGCTGCCGAGGCTGGAGCACAGTGGCACATGATCACGGCTCACCGCAGCCTCAACCTTCCAGGCTCAAGCAATCCTCCCGCCTCAGCCTCCCGAGTAGCTGCAACCACAGAAGCATGCCACCACACCCAGCTAATTTTCTTCCCCCGTGGGACTCTACTTGATATAATTTTTTAAATTATTTGTGGAGACTGAGTCTCCCTATGTTGTCCAGGCTGGTCTCGAACTCCTGAACTCAAGTGATCCTCCCATACTGGCCTCCCAAAGTGCTGGCATTATAGGCGCAAGCCAACATGCCTGGCCAGTATGAACTCATATTTAATCATCTCATCAATGCTAGGCAAGATGGGTCAAATGGATTCCATTTCACATGTGGGGAACTCAGCACTCTGACGGGCATGAACTCACCCAAACTTAAGAGGCTGAATCAGGATCTGAACCCAGAACTCCCTGAATCCAAACTCCCAAACCCAGCTCCATGACCCCTGTCAGAGCCCGGCTCTAAGGCAACACTAAGAGACAGGACGCTACTCACTTTCCGCCAGGCTGTGTAACTGTGGACTGGATCTTTGCTTCGGTCCCAGTGTTTCTCAGAGACACCTGAACTCCCGCAGGACCCAGGGGCTGCCCTTTGCTGAGGACCTGCCATGGAGAAGAAAGTTAGGGCCCACCCAGCAAAGCACCCTCCTCTCAAAGCACTGGCAGTCCTGCTTACAACTCCCAGGTGGAGCCCAGGAACCCTCTTTGGGTCAAGAATCCCATTGAAAAGATGCTATAAATCATGGATATGTTTCCTGGGGATGAGGTAGGAGAGGGAACAGTAACAGTAAAATAAGACTCTATTTCAATGAATCTAAGACATCATCAGTTATAGATTCACCATTATTGGTCTGGGTGGGTGTGGTGGTTCACGCCTGTAATCCCAGCACTTTGGGAGGCTGAGGCAGGCAGACCACTTGAGGTCAGGAGTTTGAGACCAGCCTGGCCAACATGGTGAAACCCTGTCTCTACTAAAAATACAAAAATTAGCTGGGCGTCATGGCACATGCTTGTAATCCCAGCTACTCCTGAGGCTGAGGCAGGAGAATCACTTGAACCCAGGAGGCGGAGGTTGCAGTAAGCTGCAATCGCGCCACTGCACTCCAGCCTGGGCGACAGAGGGAGACTCCATCTTAAAAAAAAAAAAAAAAAAAAAAAAGTAAATGTACATAAAAATAAAAATATAAAAATTAGCTGGGTCAGGTGGCACACGCCTGTAATCCCAGCTACTGGGGAGGCTGAGGCAGGAGAATTGCTCGAACCCAGGAGGTGGAGGTTGTGGTGAGAGAGACTGCGCTACTGCACTCCAGCTTAGGCCACAGAGCGAGACTCTGTCTCAAAAAAATAAATAAATAAAAATAAAAATAAAAAAAGGTTCACCATTATTTTGCAAACCATCGATAAAGAAAAAACTACCCAAGATCCCCATCTCTAACAAGAAGCCCACACATACAGCTGGGATGGAAGGGCCTCCCCGTCACCGCAAAGGTAGAGGAGAAAGAAGTCCATCATGAAGAGAAGGACAGGAAGGAAGGAAGCACATCTCAACCGCAGGCACAGGGCGGGTGGAGGAGAAATGACTCTCCCCTGAGAATCTGAATCACGGGAGCTGGGCACACACCCGTTAGGACTCTAAATTCACACCACCGTGGCGGTCCAAAAAAATCTCAGAACTTAAATAATAGGAATCCTCCTACGTAAGTGTCAGAAGCAGATGCACGCTCTCTCTGGGAGAAGCTGACTTCAATTCACCCACAGGGACAGCAAGATGCCACAAGGCTTAGAGAGTGTGTCCTTCCAATTCGGCATCCCTGTAAAAGGCCATCCCTGACATAAACGCTAACAGCGGCTGGGTGCACAGCGTACACCTGTAATCCCAGCACTATGGGAGGTGGAGGCAGGCGGATCACCTGAGGTCAGGAGTTTGAGACCAGCCTGGCCAACACAGCAAAAGCCCATCTCTACTGAAAATACAAAAATTAGCCAGGCATGGTGGCACACACTTGTAATCCTAGCTACTCGGGAGGGTGAAGGAGCGGGAGGGTGAGGCAGGAGAATCACTTGAACCTGGGAGGTGGAGGCTGCAGTGAGTCAAGATTGCACCACTGCACTCCAGCCTGGGCAATAGAGGAAGACCCTGTCTCAAAATAAAAAATAAAAAAATAAAAACACCAACAGCCTATGCTCTGGGAGCAGAGGGGATGACCAGCAACCTCAATCTCATTCCTAAATACACCTGCTGTGTTCTACACGGATGAAGTACAGAGTTCACAGGCTCACTTGCCACTTATCCATGGGTCCCTTGTGGGATCAAAGTCCCCAGGTTAAAATATCCTGCATTTTTTTAAAAAAGGATTTAGTATACATTATAGAGTGAACAGGAAAAATAATCAAGTTCCAAAGACAAACCTTGCCATTCACAGAGAACCCAGTGAAGACAAAGTTGATGTCCCCACCCTTTGTGCAGATGTCACTGACTCCATCCACATGGAGCTCCACGGTCGTCGGCTCTGAGGAACGAAGCAGGGGAGGAAACCGGGGCACAAGACACAAAGGCAAGCTTAGTTTTGGGGTACAGTGAACCTAAGTAGAACGTATTTTTATTATTCAGGTTTCATTTTACTTTTGAACACTTAATACACTCGTTGTGTTTCCAAATCCAAAGGTACGAAAAAGTATTCTGGGAAAAGTCTCCCTCTCACCCCTATCCCCCTAGCCTCCTGGTTTCCTGCCCCAGAGGGAATTCGTGTTTAGAGTATAAAATAATTTTACAACGCCTTTCAGCTAAGTTATATCTCAGAGTTCCAGTGAAAATTCAGTGAGCACCAAATAATTTTATTTCCTGAATGCTCATCACCGACCAGGCACTGAGCTGAGTGCCTTTAATCCTCACAATTATCTTAAGAGACAGGCAGTAATAGCTGCAATTTACTGAGGGGTAAATTAAGGCACAGAAAGGTTAAAGGAGCTCCCAAGATCACAGAGCTTCTGAGTAACAGAGCCCCAATTCAACCCTAAAAGTCTGGCTCTGGATCTGTTCTCTGACCAAGGACATGAGCTCAGCCATGTTAAACCAGGAACACAAACTCCAGGGCCACAGGGGCCTCATGGGTTCGAAGTGAGCGGAGCATCCTCAGGGGGACTGTGGCAAATTGAAAGGAGACAACTGCCACTCAAGTCTGCCAACCACTACCATGCTTTGCCAGAGCTTCCAACTTCTCCGAAAAACTGGAAATCTGGATTTTATATACCATCTCTTGATTTTTCAATATCAGCAATTAACTCCATTTTTTAACTGAAGAGTTCATCATAATAGGGGTTAAGGTTGAGTTTTTGAAAGGTTAGGAAGAATATGGAGTAATGAGTAGAGAAAAAAATGGAAAACCATGAGATGAGATTTTCAGTTAAGATGAATTACACACGTGCTTGCACGCGTACATGCACACACACACACACACACACACACACAAAGACTCCAATAAAAAATGGGCAAAAGACTTGAACAGGAATCTTACAAAAATAGCTAGCCCATGGCAAACAAACATAAACATACGAAAAAGTGTGCAACCTCATTGGCCATCAGTGGAATGTAAATCAAGGCCACAGTGAGATAATACCACACCCCCACCAGAAGGGCTAAAATTAAAAAAAACTGACGATATCAAGTGTAGGTTAGGATGTGGAGCAATGGAAACCCTTGTACACTGCTGGGAGAACACAAACTGGTGCATCCACTTTGGATGTTTGCAAACACCTAAAGCTGAGCATGTATCAGCTCTATGGCTCAGCGACTTTACTCCTGTGATATACTCAGCAAAAATGCAGACACATGTATCAAAATATACATACAAGAATGTTCACAGGAGCACTGCTCTTAGTGGCCAAAATCGGTAAGCAACTCAAATGGCCATCAACAGTAGAAGAGATCACTGATACAAAATATGAATATAAAATATAAATATAGGCCAGGCGTGGTGGCTCTTGCCTATAATCCCAACACTTTGGGAGGCCAAAGCGGGCAGATCACTTGAGGTCAGGAGTTCGAGACCAGCCTGGGTCAACATGATGAAACCCCATCTCTACTAAAAATACAAAAATTAGCTGGGTGTGGTGGTGCACACCTGTAATCTCATCTACTGAGGAGGCTGAGGCACAAGAATTGCTTGAACCCGGGCAGAAGTTGCAGTGAACTGAGATCACACTCCAGCCTGGGCAACAGAGCGAGACTCAGTCTCAAAAAAAAGAAAAAAATAAAATAAAATATAAGTATTTTATAAAATATAAATAATTTTATATTTATGCATCAGAATTCTCAACAGCAAAGAGAATGAACTAAAGCTACAAATGATACAGATAAAGTTCATAATGTTGAGTGAAAGAAACCGGATATTAAAAAGTTCCCTGCATGATAGCATTTGTATAAAGTTCAAAACAGACCAAATGGATCTCTAATTTGTAGAAGGTCAGGGTGGTGGTCACCTGGAGGGTGGGGCGGGATGGCTAATGAGCACCCAGGATGGGGACTTCTGGGGTGCTGGTGAAGTGCTATCTTATTATCTGGATGGTGGATACATGGGTGTGTTCACTTAGTGAAAATTCATCCAAGGCACTTTTCTGAAAGTATAATTCAATTAAAAAGCTTATCAACAGCACCAGTTGGGGGTAGGGTGGGGGGTGGCAAACACAACACTCCTCCAGGCCACCAATCTGGACTTCTGCTTTGGCCATGAGCAGGGCTGCATTCCTCTCCAGCTTTCTGGAACGTACCAGCCAGGCACCCCCGACCCTACCCCTGACTATAAACTGATAAAAGAGCTGCTCTCACAGAGCCAAATTAGCTGTCAGCTGCCTGAGCCTCATTTTAGCCTTGGTGATGGCAGGTGCTAAATTCTTCCTTGTCTAATGCACGAGCAAGCCTGATATCAACAACGGTGATCCCTACTCCTCTCCCCAAGCCATGGACTGGGGTCACCCACACCTGCTCTACTGAAACATCAAGAGTCTCTCCTCTTCAAAAATGTAAACTACATCAAAACAGACCCTCTCTTCTGATCTCAACCCCATCCCCAACTCCCCAGCTATGCTTGAAGGCAGTTATATGAGGAAAGTTTGGAGCTTTTGTTGGGATGTGTGCAGAAGGGCTGTTTCTGAATACTGAGTACTTGCTAATTACGTGCCAGCCCCTCTGAACACTCAGTATTGGTTTATTAATCCTCCAAGTACCCAGTGGGGCAGGGACTATAACTACCCTTGCTCGACAGTGAGGAGCCAGGCTGACACGGGGGAAGTAACTTGCCCAAAGTTATTTAACTGGTAAGGTATAAGGCTGACAGTCTTCTCATCTCATGGGACATAAATCTGGATTTTTATGACAAATCTCACAATCTTTAAATGTTTCAATTAATTCCATAAAAACTTAAAAAACTGAGGGGGCTAAAAAAGAAGCCATCCTGGGATGGGAACCAAGTCCCCACTCTTGATTTCTATACTGTTCCACGGCCACGTAATGAGTGAAACTGCAAGGGAAGAGTTTCCAGAAAGGTAGAAGAAAAGATGTCTATTTTTCAAAGGTGACAGAAAGTCTTGAGGTAGATTAAGGTAAATCCGAACTAAACCAGAGTGATGGGGGCAAGGAGGGGAGGAATACAAACCCTCTTCCATACTGGAAATGATCCTTAATATTTTAATAGTTTATGCACTCTGCTAGCCTAAATTAATATTCGGCATATCATCTAATCTTTTACAAAGAATGTCTAGTGATTCAGTTAACTTACCAAAACTCCACCCTAGGGGAGGCTCAATCTTCAGAATGAAATCCCCCTAAAAGGAAAAAAAGAAAATGTAATTTCAAGAAATGAGAATTGTGACTCTGGCTAAATTTAGTTTAGTGTTATCATTTAATCTAAAATTTTTTTACACCGGAAATGAAATTCTAAGAGTAAGCCTTGTTCTTCTACATGGTACTGAGCACTGATTCTCTTCAGAAGCTACAAGCTGAAGCTGAACACCAGAAGTTTTCATCTAAACAATCAGAAGACAGTGCTGAAGCCCATTCATGAGTTCTAAAGACACTAGGTTCAGCCACTCACTGTCTTTTAATACTAAACATACTATAATTCTATTAATTGAGTCTCCCATTAAGCCCTCACATGCCTACAGTTGCACAAGTTAGCATGTATCTTCAGGAACTAAAGGCACCCCCTAAAACTAGATTTGGCCAGGCACAGTACCTCACACCTATAATCCCAACACTGTGGGAGGCCAAGGCAGGAGGGTCACTTGAGGCCAGGAGTTCAAGACCAGCCTAAGCAACATAGCAAGACCCCATCTGTACAAAAAATGTTCTTAAAAAATTAGCTGGGTGTGGTGGCAGGCGCCTACAGTCTTAGCTACTTAGGAGGAAGAGGCAGAAAGATCACTTGAGCCCAGGAGGTCAGTGCTGCAGTGAACCATAATTGTGCCCCTGCACTCCAGCATGGGCAGCGGAAGGGGATCCTGTCTCTAAACAATACGTTAACTCATTAATTCAATAAATAAAACTAGATTTTACTTATCAACCCTGGTTTCTGTTTTTGTTTTAGTTTTTTTTTTTTGAGATGGAGCCTCGCTCTGTTGCCCAGGCTGGAGTGAAGTGGTGCGATCTTGGCTCACTGCAACCTCCGTCTCCTGGGTTCAAGCGATTCTCCTGCCTCAGCCTCCCAAGTAGCTGGGACTACAGGCATCCACGTGACACCCGGCTAATTTTTTTGTATTTTAGTAGAGACGGGGTTGCACCATGTTGCCCAGGCTGGTCTCACACTCCTGAGCTCAGGCGATCCACCTACCTCAACCTCCCAAAGTGCTAGGATTACAGGCATGAGCTACCACGTCCAGCCTCCTGGTTTCTTGAGACTGATACTGATACTATTTAAAAATTAATTAAATAGATTTCAGGACAGACCCAGCTAGTCCATCTCTAGAAATCAATCCTATGCATTCTGGATGAAGAGTTAAGTTCAAGAATATTTCCTGGTGTGTTATGTTAAAATTACTATTATTTTAAAATTGGGGAAAGTCTATATGTCCAAGTAGTTAAATAAATTACAGTTTGGGTTTGACTCTGACACACTATGCAGCCATTAAAAAGAAGTCAGTAGGCTGAGCATGGTGGCTCATGCCTGTAATCCCAGCACTCTGGGAGGCTGAGGTGGGTGGATCACCTGAGGTCAGGAGTTCAAAACCAGCCTGGCCAACATGGTGAAACACCATCTCTACTAAAAATACAAAAAAAATTAGCTGGGCATGGTGGTGGGTGCCTGTAATCCCAGCTACTTGGGAGGCTGAGGCAGAAGAATCACTGGAACCCAGGAGGCAGAGGTTGCAGTGAGCCGAGATCGCGCCACTGCACTCCAGCCTGGCTGACAGAGTGAGACTCTGTCTCAAAAAAAAAAAAAAAAGTCAGTAGATCTATCTATGCTAATGTTGAAAGCATGCAAGAGGAAAAAACCAAATGTCCCTCTGGTATTGAAAGCATTAACACAGGGGAAAAAATGAAACTGCAGAATAAATCCTATTGTTTGATTTCATTTGTATTAAAAAATATATCAAAATCAAAACTATGTGTATTGACTATTTTTGCAACTTCCTATGAATCTGTATTTCCAAATAAAAGGTTTATATGTGGGAGGATGGGATTGTATAGAGGTGTTTGTGGATACATATCGATGTGCATGTGTGCTTGTGTGTATTTCCATATATACATATGCATGTGTACCCGTGGATATCTGAATAACTATAAATAGAAAGCAATCTGTTAGGATGCACATCAAAATTTTATAAGAGGGCCGGAAACATCGGCTCACACCTGTAATCCCAGCACTTTGGGAGGCTGAGGCAGGTGGTTCACTTGAGGTCAGGAGTTCGAGACCAGCCTAGCCAACATGGCAAAACCCCATCACTATTAAAAATACAAAACATTAGCTGGGTGTAGTGGCAGATGCCTGTAATCCCAGCTATTCAGGAGGCTGAGGAAGGAAAATGGCTTGAACCTGGGGGGTGGAGGTTGGAGTGAGGCAAGATCACACCACTGCACTCCAGCCTGGGCGACAGAGCGAGACTCCAACTCAAAAGAAGAAAAAAAAAAACAACAAAAAAAACCTTTATCAGATTATCAGAGGTTATCACTACAGAGGGAGGTAAAATTGGAGCGAAAAGGGTACAAATTTATTTCACATACTTCTAAAGACCTTGACTTTCTTTTTCACAAAGTTCATGAATTCATGTATTACTTGTACAATTTTTTTAACAATACTTTAAGCTGCTTGCAAGTAACGGGTTCCATGAAATCAGAGTTTCTCAGCCCTGGCACTACTGACATCTGGGCTGTCGTAGGCAGCACTGTAGCACATTTAGCTCCACGCCTGGCCACTACTCACTGGGTGACTGTAGCGCACAGCCACAGATGTCACAACAAAAACGTCTCTAGACATTGCCAAATGGTCCTAAACACAGAGAGAGCCACTGTATTCGTCAAGGCAGTTTGTAAGTTGTCTCCCTCCAAATGTGGCTAGGATTATCATATTCCACTAATAATTTACAAAACAGATGAGCATTTGCTAGTGTAGGAAAGGACATGGTTAATGCAGCCTGGTGAGGCACACTAGTGACTTCCCATCATAAGTGACAAGCAGTCCCCTCTTACCTTATCATACAAAGGGATCATAAAGTAACCATTATTAGGGGCACAGTCTGTCTGGTATTTCAAAGTCCCATGCTTGGTGTACAGCTTTATCTGGAAAGGAAGGAAGGAAAACAGAAATCATAACATTGCCTTTGGGAATTAACTACACATGTTACACCTGAATGCACTCAGTCAGTATACATTCACTGAGGACCTATTATATGCCAGCTTTTAACACGGGGCATTACTGGGGACAGAGGGAAATCAACAAACTCTCTCCCAAATCATGTGACTCAATGTTTTTCAGATTAGAAACCACCTACAGCCTATTACAATGCCTTATTTTTCAATGCTTTTCTGTTTATTTTAGTGGCTGCCTCTAGGTTGCTCGTGTAAGTTTCCGGGTCTAAAACAAATTTGCAAACTTTGCCATTAGTAAGGTGCTTATTAACATGCAAATTCCTGGCTGGGCACGGTGGCTCATGCCAGTACTCCCAGCACTTCAGGAGGGTGAGGTGGGCAGATCACTTAAGGTCAGGAATTTGAGACCAGCCTGGCCAACAAGGTGAAACCCTGTCCCTACTAAAAATACAAAAAAAGTTACCCAGGCATGGTGGCAGGCACCGGTAGTCCCAGGTACTTGGGAGGCTGAGGCAGGAAAATTGTTTGAACTCAGGAGGCGGAGGTTGCAGTGAGCCAAGATCATGCCACAGCACTCCAGCCTGGGAGACAGAGCAAGACTCCGTCTCAAAAATAATAATAAAATAAAGTAAAATAAATTGCAAATTCCTGGGGCCCACCTCTATTTCTCAACTAAAGGTCTGCAATGAGGGCCAGAAATCTTCCTTACTAACTCTGAATAATTTCAAATACTTGGAGCAACATTCATCTAGAAACTTAATTTTCTCATTACTTTCATTCTCCGAAGAAAAAGAGACTAAAAAGACATTTAATATCTGTCCTCTCTTCAAGGACTCTCTAAAACTCTTACATTCTGAGCATTACCAGACACGAAGTGTTAACCCAGTAAGATGCCCAAATGCCATCTGAGTCTTCCACGTGTTGCGTGGCCTTGGGCAAGCTCGTGTTCGGTTTCTTCAGGTGCAGACATAGAGCCACTCCTTTTCATGTGGTTGTACAGATTCACATCAATGCATATTAAGCACCTGCTACAGAATATGGATTCAAAGAAAAATCAGTTTGCGGCCAGGCATGGTGGCTCATGCCTGTAATCCCAGCACTTTGGGAGGCCAAAGAAGGAGGATCACTTGAGCCCAGGAGACCAGCCTGGACAACACAGCCACACCTCATCCCTACTAGAAAAAAAATTAGCTAGGCATGATGGCACGTGCCTGTAGCCTCAGCTACTCAGGAGGCCGAGGCAGGAGGACTGCTTGAGGCCAGGAGTCAGAGGCTTTGGTGAGCTATGATGGTGCCACTATACTCCAGCCTGAGCAACAGTGTGAGACCCTGCCTCAAAATAAAACAAAATAAAATAAGTAAAATGGAAAAAGCAGTTTGTATCACTATTTAATATCTCTCTCTGAAGAAAAAGGCAACACAGTGTAATACGTAGGGAACATACTGGGCTCAAGGAAAATTTCCTAAATGTACCTGCACAGCTCAACCACTCTGAGGCTCAGTTTCCATGTCTGTAAAAGGAAGCAGTTGGGTCTGATGCACCTAAAAGCCTCACCTCCAAAATGTTAATGCTCTATGACCATGAAACAAACCATGACACGAGCCGCTATGAAACAGTCGAATCTCACCAGCTAAGATGATGTACAAAGTGACTAACTCATAAAACGAACATTTGAACATTTGGGAAAGGACTCGTGTGAAATAAGGTTAAGCCTGTATGTAAAGTTCTCTGAGGTCAGTGACAACTTCATTCCCCAGTGCCTGAGACAGTGTCTAGCTTACTCTAGGTACTCAGTGAATTTGCTACAGGTGACAAAGAGATTCAGATGCATGCATTTAAGGCAGGGACTGGAAATTCACCAGACTAGACCGGTTAGGGAGGCAACATCAAGGGACATTCATCCAAAAGGATTCAGATCACTACAAAACCCAAGCCAAGTGTGGCAGCCTAAAGATTGGCTGGTTTTCCAGAGAAATAAAGCACCCAGTTTTTAATGTGAAACCCGCTGATTGTTAAAGTATTAGCAACCAGTATAATTTTTTTTTTTTTTAACAGTAAGGTCCCTGTTAGAGAACAAAATGTCAGTCTCATGAGAGTATGGAGTTTTGTCTGTTCTGTTCACTGTACTGCTATATCCACACTGGGGACAAGGCTTCAGTATGTGCCGGGGCTCAGTAAATAGTTGTTGACTCAATGAACACGATGTAAAAACACTCAGGATGGGAGAAAGCTAGAGAAGAATGGCGGCAGTTGCATAGGAACACAAAAAACACAATCAAGAAATAACCGTGAAATATCATGATTGTTTCTACATCTTTCATAAAGTACAATCAGGACACAGGATGGCAATGTAATCTACATCAAGATGGCCAGTATGAAATGTCTGATTTCAGAATCTGAATTACTTATGAAAGAATGAGTGTCCCACACCATCTGGACAGGCAGCCCTTGGGCTTAAGGAACACACTTTGAAATGGGTCACAAAACCTGTTCTCTGCTCTCAAGGTCACTATTAGTATGAGGGTGAGGGTGGAGGGGGGTGCCTGTCTTTTCCTTCCTTCCAGAACCCCTGGAAACTACAAGTTGCAAGAGGCCTTAGCGGCCTCTTGCATTTCAGCTTCTGAAATGCCCTGTGCCGTCTACAGCCATACCACCCTGAACGTGTCCTGTCCCCAGTGCAGACCTAGGAGGTGGCATGGGCACCCAGAAACATGTACCCAGGAAATCCTAGGAGCCCTGCCGCTGCCAGTGGGTAGATTCATTCAATGCCTGACCTCTGACCTCTTCAGTCTGAAAAAGCAGCAAACAAGGGGGCCTTGAAGAAGATCACGGATCCGCTTGTTAAAGAAATGTATCTGCTGGGTTCCACTGTTTCTCTCCCAACACCATCCTATAGGTACAAAAACTGAAACCTAGAGCAAGGGCAGGTCGCAGAGCTGGTGGGGTGTGGAACTGACTCCCTACCCCTCCCCCAATCCTCAGCAGCCCGCTTTGCAGAACACAGAGCTTCACCCTTCACTGCCAGCCCTGGAACAGCTCAAAGGTGCTTTCAGACGATCTTTGGGGTCTTATTCCCCAATCCCTCTCTTTGGCATTTCCCAGCCTCTTCCTTCGTTTTCTCCTAAATTACCTCCGAGGCACCCGCTCTTTTCCTCTTCCTTGTCCTACCCCACCATAAATCCCCTCCCAAAAATGAGGCCCAGGCCTTGCTCTGGTCCCCTCCCATCTACCGGGACAAATGACATTCTGCCCCTACCTCCATCCATCCCTTTCCTCTTTACGGGAACCTTTCTGGGTCATAATCCCACCGGGCTGATAAACATTTAACAGGACTTTACAACTTAATTAAAAAAAAAAAAAAAAAAAAAAACCTTCAGCACAAATCTCTAGGGTAATTCCATTAACTACTCATTAAGGCAATCAGGGCAGCTGGCAACTCTCCATTTTCAGAAGTGGAGGGGAGCCGGAGAAATAAAAAATAGCTTTCCGGCCCCAGGGTTGCCAATACTGATCTACTAGGTCAGTATCTATGGGATGGGAATTGATGCTCTTTAAAATCATGCCGCGGGGTTTGGAGGAGCAGTGGATTAGAACTTCGGGGGGTTCTGGGCTGTGGAGTTTGGGGGATAAGACATGTGGTCTCTAGGTTCTGGAATGTGGGTTTGGGGAAATCTGAGTTTCAGGGGGTCTGATTCGAGGAGATCTCAGGTCTAAGTTTTAAAGAAATGGAGTCTGGGCTCCAGGGAATTTAGGGTCTGGGTTTTGAGGATCTGGGGTCTGTGTTCCGGGGATCTGGAGTCGGGGTTTTGAAGAACCTGAGGTCTGGCACCCCTCAGTCCTTAGACGACCCCATGATAAGAACCTCCCCTCCAGCGCGACTGGGGAGGGGCTGCAGGGAGCCCGCGGACAGCATAGCCTCGGAAGAGGTAAGGGCTCCAAGGACTCCACACCGCCCGGTGTCAGAGACGAGGCCAGCGCGGCCCAGAGAGGCTGAACCACCGGCCCGGCGACTCGGCGCCGGGCGGCGGGGCGGGCGCTCACCTCGATGAGAGAGTAGTTGATCTCCACGTCCGACTTGACGAAGCCACCGCAGCCCACCACGATGTCCTCCGAGCCGTGCGCCGGCCCCACGCCGCTCAGCAGCAGCACCACCGCGGCGGTGACCACCGCGGGCCCCAGCGGCCCCGCGCCCTGGCCCACCAGCATGGCCCGACCTCCCCCAGCTAGACCCACCGCCGGCAGCCGGGTCCCGCCCCTCACACTGCACGCCGCAGGCTCCTTCCTCCTCCTAGGCCGGCTGACAGCCCAGGCCCCGCCCCACCGCCGCCGCCAGCCGCCGCCGCGCACGCGCGCTTCGACCCCACGGTCACAGCCCCAGAAGAGAGAACTAAGGCGCATGCTCGGCAAGGAAACGAGACCATCTCTGCCTTCTAGAGGCCTGGAGGACTCCGCGCGACATCTGGCAGGTGCAACGCAAGGTGCATGCCTACAGGGAGAAGCTCCAAAGATGAATTCTACTTTAGAATTCACCATCACAGCTGGAAAGGACGGGAGATTTCGTTGGTGGAATTATCTAACAACTTTCTCAAATCTTTCTGACCCATATATTTCGCAGGTAAAATATATAATCTCACAAAAAGCTTTAGGGCCGGGTGTGTGGCTCACGCCTGTAATCCCAGCACTTTGGGAGGCTGAGGTGGGTGGATCGCTTGAACCCAGGAGTTCGAGACCAGCCTGGGCAATATGGCGAAACCCCATCTCTACACACACACACGCACACACACACACACACACACACACGAAAAACGCTTTAGGAATTTGTGTAAGCTGGTGTATTTTTCCATGATAAATGATCGATACTTTTTTAAGCGAAACGTGTTAATGTTAGCATATTAAAGAAAGTATGTAAGATTTATTTTAATCCTAGCTCTAATAACATATGCCTAGAAACAAATTTTGATGAGTTTTCTTCCCCTAAGCAAGAAGTGCATGCAGTCAGTATACTTTGAATTAGCTCTGCAAGATGAAACATGATTTGCCTGAAAACAAGCTCAAATCCAGCATATTTTGTCCCAAGAGTGAATTCATATGTACACTGAATTTAACTACCAGTCACCACATCAAAATACACACCAAAGAGGCCGGGCACAGTGGCTCACGCCTGTAATCCCAGCACTTTGGGAGGCCAAGGCTGGCAGATCATGAGGCCACGAGATCGAGACCATCCTGGCTAACACAGTGAAACCCCGTCTCTACTAAAAATATAAACACTTAGCCGGGCGTGGTGGCGGGCGCCTGTAGTACCAGCTACTCGGGAGGCTGAGGCAGGAGAATGGCGTGAACCTGGGAGGCGGAGCTTGCGGTTAGCCGAGATCGCACCACTGCACTCCAGCCTGGGCGACAGAGCAAGACTCTGTCTCAAAAAAATAAATAAATAAAATTTTAAAAACACCAAAAAATTGCTTTTCTAACCTAATATTAGGATTTCTTCCATTTTGTCTCAAAAAAAAAAAAGCTAGTGCTTTATTTTGATAGGTTTTGTATTTTGTTTCCAAATGACAAAGTAAGACTGAATTTCCCGCTGCAATTTGCCGTTGTGGCTAAAACTTAAGCAATAAACAACTAAGAAGCACAGGTTCAAACCATACAGTAGTCAAACCTTCATGGGGGCAAGGAGGGAATGAAGGGAATGACACATTGACCTCAGGGTCATAATCATGAGCGCATCTGATTTCAGTTTCTCGTGCTGCATTTTCACTCAAATACAGTAGACTCTCAACTATTCAGTGATAATGAGAAACCATTTAAATAATTCGTCTATTTATTGGGGTTTGTTATTTATAACCACAATTGAAATAGATGCCTTTTATGCAAATCACCAGAGGATTGAAAGCCACCAATTAGAAAGTGTAGGCCTATGGAAACCTCTCATCTTACAGAATGGGAAACTGAGGCCCAGAGAGGAAAAGGAAGTTGTCTAAGACTCTGCATGCAGCCACAGGTTTTCCCGGAGCTAGAGAGCAGGAATTGGGGCCAGAAGCCGTGGCTTACTACTGTAATATGAACATGTTGGGAGTCCGAGGTGGGCAGATCATTTGAGGTCAGGAGTTCGAGACCAAATTGGCCAACATGGCAAAACCCTGTCTCTACTAAAAATACAAAAATTAGCTAGGTGTGGTGGCGCATGCCTCTAATCCCAGCTACTCAGGAGGCTGAGGCAGGAGAATCACTTGAACCAGGGAGCCACAGGTTGCAGTGAGCTGAGGTCTTGCCGCTGCACTCCAGCCTGGGCGACAGAGTGAGACTCCATCTCAAAAAAAAAAAAAAAGCAGGAAGTGGGATCCCCAAGTTTTGTTCTGGACTCACCCCAATTGATTTCTGCTGTGTTCTTCTTGACTTTCTGACTATTTCCCTCAAATTCATCTTCAAATATAGAAAGAAATGAAGCACCAGGACTGTGACAATGCCAATTCATGGGGGTGGGATTGGGGAGTGGCTTGCAGAGAGACAGGGATTTAGCTTCCCCATAATTTCCATCAGTTTCCACCAAAACCAGCTCAGATAAGCAGACATGATTTACATGGAAACAGTAGACCTGCCACACTGAGCTTCATGACAAATCCTTGGGTTCTTTCTGTCCCGAAGCTTCCAGAAGACTCAGGCAGGAGGACAGCTGAAGGGGGCAGGGGAGGGGGTGCTCCCTGGGCCCAATACTGGATTTAGAGTGATACAAAAAGATCGGGGAAAACACACTGTGGGGTACCTGCAGAAGGCAAGAGTAGAAGATGAGGACAGGACCCCAAGAATTAGCAAGGCAGCATGGAGAGTGCAGAGGATTTTAATTCTTCTCCCAAACTGAGCACCTGTGCTTGTCTGTCTAAAAGAGCCGAATATTTCATTCCTATCTTGAAACAAGTACTTGCTCACTGCAACAACAAAGAAATTGGAAAAGAAAACTAGGATTCCCCAAGATCACTGTGTTACCACATTTCCATCTTTTTATCGATGCATTTATGCTAGTATGACATCGAGTCATTTCTAAGAAGTGGTGGCTGGGTCTTTGACACTTTGCTTTAAGACCCAAGAGAGAGCTGGGCATGGTGGCTCACGCCTGTAATCGCAGCACTTTGGGAGGCCTAGGCAAGAGGATGGCTTGAGGCCAGGAGTTCCAAAGCAGCTTGGGCAACAAAGTGAGACAAGTCTCCACAAAAAAATTTAAAAATTAGCCAGGCTTGGTGGTGTGTGCCTGTAGTCCCAGATACTCCGGAGAGGCTGAGGTGGAAGGTTGCTTGAGCTCAGGAGGTCAAGGCTGCAGTGAGCCATGATGGCACTACTGCACTCCAGCCTGGGTGACAGAGCAAGACCCTGACTCAAAAAAAAAAAAAAAAAAAACAGAGACGGAGAGAGAAAAAGACTCAAGAGAGGAAGGTAAATGCCTTGGCCTTCTTCTCCATGTTCCCTAATTTAGGCATATCCTTTTCTTTTTTGCTTTAAAAAAACCAAAGCCTATTTTATATTATAATCTCTTTTATTCAATCATCATTTAGCAAGCACCTTTTCATATTCATATATGTCTTCAATGGCATTTTGTTTGCTTGTTCTGAGACAGAGTCTCGCTCTGTCACCCAGGCTGGAGTGCAGTGGCACAATCTTGGCTCACCGCAACCTTCGCCTCCCAGGTTCAAGCGATTCTCCTGCCTCAACCTCCTGAGAAGCTGAAACTACAGGCACGCACCAAAACACCCAGCTAATTTTTGTATTTTTAGTAGAAACGGGGTTTCACTATGTTTGCCAGGCTGGTCACAAACTCCTGACCTCAAGTGATCCGCCCTCATCAGCCTCCCAAAGTGCTGGGATTACAGGCATGAGCCACCGTGCCCAGCTGCAATGGCATTTTAAACCACTGGTTAGTAACCCATGGCCTCAATTATGACAGTAATAATAAAAGCTAAGTCTTCTGAGCATTTAATGTATATCTGGCAGTGTGCTAAACGCTTGCATAATCTCACTAAGTTCTCCCCACCACTCCACGGGTAGACAGTGTCCATTCCAGCAGTGAGGGGACTGTGACGTGGTCTCCATCCTATCTCCCTCGGATATTATGAAAAATATCACAGAGTGTACACCCACTGTGATATTAGGAGAAAGCTCTCCCTTGGGTATTAGAATAATATCACAGGGTGTACACTCACTGTGATATCAGGAGTAAAATCTCCCTTGGATACTATGAATAATATCACACAGTGCACACCCACTGTGACGCGGTACAACCACTGAGATATTAGGAATAATATCTCCCACGGATATTAGGAATAATATCTCCCTCAGATATTATCACACCCACTTTGATATTGGAAGTAATATCTCCCTCGGATGTTATGAATAATATAGGAGGGTGTACACTCACTGTGATATGGAGAGTAATACCTGCCTCAGATATTACAAATAATATCATAGGGTGTAAACCCACCGTGATATTGGGAGTAATATCTCCCTCGGATATTATGAATAATATCCTAGGGTTTACAAACATGGTGTACACCCACTATGATATTAGGAGTAATATCTCCCTAAAATATTACTAATAATATTACAGGGTGTACACACAGGGTGTACACCCACTGTGATATTAAAAGTAATATATCTGTAAAATATGAGTACACCCACTATGATATTAGGAGTAGTATCTCCCTAAAATATTACAAATAATATCCCCCCAGTATATAACAGATAATATCATAGGGTGTACACCCACTGTGATATTAGTTATAATAATATCTTCTTGGGATATAAGGAATAACATCACAGGGTGTACACCCACTGTGATATTAGGGGTAATAATATCTACTTAGCACATAACGAATAATATGAGAGGGTGTACACCCACTGTGATATCAGAGGAAGTAATATCTCCTCAGGGTGTACACCCACTGTGATATTAGTAGTAATATCTCCCTAAAATATTACGAATAATATTACAGAGTGTACACACAGGGTGCACACCCACTGTGATATTAAGGGTAATAATATCTCCAGAAAATTTGACACACCCTGTGATATTAGCAGTAATAACATCTCACCAGGATATAATAAATAATATCACAGGGTGTACACCCACAGTGATATTAGATGTAATAATATCTTCCCATGATGTAATGGATAATATGACAGGGCGTACACCCACTGTGATACTAGGGGTAACAATATCTCCCCAGGATATAACGAATAATATCACAGGGTGTACACCAACTGTGATATTAGGGGTAATAACATCTTCCATGAATATAGCGAAGAATATCACAGGGTGTACAACCACTGTGATAATAGGAATAATATGTCTCCAGGATAAAACAAATAATATCACAGGGTGTACTCCCACTGTGATATTAGCAGTAATGTTTCCCTCGGATATTGCAAATAATATCACAGGGTGTACATCCACTGTGATATTGAGAGTAATATCTCCCTCGAATATTATGAATAATACCACAGGGTGTTAACCCACTGTGATACTGGGAGTAATATCTCCCTCGGATATTATGAATCGTATCACACGGTGTACAGGGTGTACACCCACTGTGATATTGGCAGTAATATCTCTCTCAGATATTATGAATAATATCACAGTGTTTACAAACATGCTGTACACCCACAACGATATTAGGAGTAATATCTCCCTAAAATATTACAAATAATATCATAGGGTGTACAAACATGGTATACACTGACTGTGATATTAGGAGTAATATCTCCCTAAAATATTATGAATAACATCACAGGGTGTAAACACAGGGATACAGCCACTGTGAAATTAAGAGTAATATCGCCCCAAGATATAATCAATACTGTCACAGTGGGTACACACACTGTGATATTATGGGTAATAATATCTCCAGAAAATTTGATGAATAATATCACAGGGTATACACCCACTGTGATATTAGGGGTAGTAACATCTCTCAAGGATATAACGAATAATATGACAGGGTGTACATCCACTGTGATATTATGGGTAACAATATCTCCCTAGGATGTAACGAATAATATCACAGGGTGTACACCCACTGTGATAAGAGGAATAATAATATTTCTCAAGGATATAACAAATAATATGACAGGGTGTACATCCACTGTGATATTATGGGTAATACTATCTCCCCACTACATAATGAATAATATCACAGAGTGTACACCACTGTGATATTAGGGGTAATAACATCTTCCCCAAATATAACGAATACTATCACAGGGTGTTCACCCATTGTGATATGAGACATAATAATATCTCCCCAGGATACAACAAATAATATCACAGGGTGTACACCCACTGTGATATTAGAGGAAATAATATCTTCCCAGGATATAATGAATAATATTACAGGGTGTACACCCACTGTGATATTAGAGGGATTAATATCTTCCCAGGATATAATGAATAATATCACAGGGTGTACACCCACTGTGATATTAGAGGAATTAATATCTCCCCAAAATATAATGAATAATATTACAGAATGTTCACCCACTGTGATATTAGGAATAATAATACCTCCCCAGGATATAACCAATAATATCACAGGGTGTACACCCACTGTGCTATTAGGAGTAATAATATCTCCCCAGGATATTACAAATAATATTACAGGATGTACACCCACTGTGACAATATGGGTAATATCTCCCAGGATATTATGAATAATATCACAGGGTATACACTTACTGTGATATTAGGAGTAATAATATCTCCCCAGGATATAATGAATAGTATCACAAGGCGTACAGCCACTGTGATACTAGGAGTAATATAGTAGTATCTCCCCAGGATATAACAAATAATATCACAAGGTGTACATGCACTGTGATATTAAAGGAAATAATATCTCTTCAGGATATAATGAATAATATCACAAAGTATACACCCACTGTGATATTAGGGGTAATATTATATCTCCAAGATATAGTGAATAATATCACAGGGGGTACACCCACAGTATATTAGGGGTAATAGTATATCCCCAGAATATAACGAATAATATCACAGGGTGTACACCCACCGTGACAATATGGATAATATCTTCCAGGATGTTACGAATAGTATCAAAGAGTATACACCCACTGTGATATTAGGGGCAATATCTCCACAGAATATTACAAATAATATCAAAAGATGTACACGCACTGTGACATTAGGGGTAATATCACCCAAAAATATTACAAATAATATCACAGCATGTACACAATGGTGTACGTTCATTGTGATATTATGATATCCATAGGGTATTACAAATAATAGCACAGGGTGTACCCCCACTGTGATATTAGGAGTCATATCTTTCTGGGAGGTCACAGCGTGTACACGCATGGTGTAAATTCACTGGGATATTAGGAGTAATATCGCCCTAGAATATTTCGAATCATATCACAGGGTGTACACCCACTGTGATATTAAAAGGAATATCTTTCTAGAACATTACAAATAGTATCACAAGGTGTACACCCACTATGAGATTAGGAGTAACATCTCCCTAGAATATTATGAATAATATCACAGTGTGTACAGGCACTGTGATTTTAGGAGTACTACCTTCTTAAGATATTATGAATAATATCATAGGGTATACACCCACTGTGAAATTAAAAGCAATAGCTCCCTACGATATTACGAATAATATCACGCAGTGTACACTCAAGGTGATATTAGGAGTAGTATCTCCCTAGGAAATTACGAATATTATCACAGAGTGTACACCCACTGTGATATTGAAAGTATTATCTTTCTAGGATATTATGAATAATATTACAGGGTGTACTCCCTCTGTGATATTAGGAGTTATATCTCCCTAGGATATTACAAATCATATCACAGGGTGTACACCCACTGTGGTATTAGGTGTAGTATCTCCCTAGGATATAACAAATAATATCACAGGGTATACACCTACGGTTATATCAGGAGTTATATCTTCATAGAATATTATGAATAATATCACAGGGTGTACACCCTCTGTGATATTAAAAGTAATATCTTTCTAGGATAGTATGAATAATATCACAGGGTGTACTCTCACTGTGATATTAGCGGTAATAACTCCCTAGGATATCACGAATTCTATGACAGAGTGTACACCCACCATGAGATTTGGAGTAATATATCTCTAGCATATTATGAATAATATCACAGGTTGTACACCTACTGTGATATTAGGAGTAAAATCTCCCTCGGATATTACAAATAATATCACAGTGTGTACTCCCACTGTGATATTAGGAGTAAAATCTCCTTCAGATATTACGAATAATATCACAGGATGTACACCCACTGTGATATTAGGAGTAATATCTCCCTTGGATATTTCTAATAATACCACAGCGTTTACACACATGGTGTTCACCCACTGGGATGTTAGGATAATATCTCCCTTGGATATTACCAATCGTATCAGAGGCTGTACACACGTGGTGTTCACCCAGCGTGATATTAGGAATAATATCTCCCTCGGATATTAGGAACAGTCTCTCCCTGGGACTTAGCAGAACGTAGCCCCCCAGTGTTAAATAAGCGACCACAGCAAGAGGTAGAGGCGCAGGGACTGAAATGAAGACAAATATCTGACAAGTTTAAAACACGTATTTAAAATAGAATTTATAAAATGCTTAATCTGCCGACTCAGGAGCCCGCGGTGCAGGGTGGGGTGGGAGTTGGCAGGTGACCGCTACACCAGCAGAGTAAGACTGCAGGGCTGCGGCCCTCCCTCCTATGCCCTTCTGTTCAGACACCCGAGGGGCCCATGTGCACTCCTGGGATCATACGACCAGAAAACAGGACCCTAGAGGTTTCTTGAGTTTCTGCTTACCAGGGCGGCTGGGTATAGCCCTGCCAGCCCATTGCATAATCTTCTAAGTTCTCCCCACCACCCTCCATTCCAGCAGCGAGGTGCCTGTGACGCGGTCTCCATCCTCTCGGCCTCGACCCGGTGGTCCCCGCGATTGGACGCTTAGGCGGTCACCAGGCCTCCTTGTTACTAACGTGTGCACACCTTTCAGTTCTCTCATCAGGATGAACTCCTGGAAATTGCTGGGTCCAAAGTGTTTAGGAAGTCTGGAGTGATTCTTGTTGCAGGGGGAAGAGGGAACTATGGAGGTGTCACTGAACTTTCAGGGGTTCCGGGACCCCCCAACCCGGTGCCCGTCCCAGCTCCCCGAGCGCCTCTCTTCCCCCATCCCCCACCTCGCCTGTTTTCACCTCCCGTGGCCTCACTCCCGCCGCGCAGCTGGACCTTGCCCGGGGCCTCCCGATCCCGGAGCTCGAATCCCAGCCGGACCAGCCCAGCCCGACCAGCCCAGCCCCGCCTCTTCTCCGGCAGGATCGCGGCCGAGCAGTCTGCCCAGAGACTTAGCGACAGACAGACGCTGGGACCCACGACGACAGAAGGCGCCGATGGCCGCGCCTGCTGAGCCCTGCGCGGGGCAGGGGGTGAGTGCCCCCCATCGCGCCCCACTCTCCTTTTCCAGGCTTGGTTTGGCTGCAGATCTCTCGGGCTGCGATACTGGGGAGAGGAGAGACCCCCAAATTCCTGGACCCGGGAAGCGAGGAGACTTACTCCGGCCCCCTCACTGCAGCGGGTTGGATTTCTTTCACCAAGCCAGCAGCCGAGAGCCCAGCTCTATTTAAGGGGCCACCAGACCTCCCAGCTACTAGGGGCTTTGACTCTTCTTTGCATAAAGCTAGTGGGTCCCCCAAGCCCTCCTACCCCCGGAGAGCCCTTACCTCTCTGGTTTCTTTTTCCATTGCTCTTAGCAAAGGACTCCAGGGAGTGGAGTTCAT
Source organism: Homo sapiens (assembly GCF_000001405.40). Lineage (NCBI taxonomy): Eukaryota > Metazoa > Chordata > Mammalia > Primates > Hominidae > Homo > Homo sapiens. The sequence continues at coordinate 1,881,042 of NT_187607.1, read as the reverse complement.
GGAGTGGGGGTGGGGGTTGCAAACTGCCAGCATTTCGAGGGCCAGGGAGTTGAAGCAATAAACTGGCAATGAACTGAGGGCTTTCTCTGTGCCTAGCCTTGTGCCCAACCTTGTGCCATGCTGCTATGAACTTTGCTGCTATTAATCCATTTAATACAACTCATAGAGGTAGAGTCTCGTTTTCCCCCTTTTACAGGGAAGGAAACTGAGATACAGAGAGGTTAAAGTTTGCACAGCCGGTGAGTTGTGAAACCAGGAGGAGTAAAAAGACAGCGGAGAGAGAATTGAAGAGGCCACGTCCACTAAACTTCAAATTTCTTCTAGGGTTAGATAGGACCAGCAGACCTGCTGAGATGAAAATAACAGATCAAGCTGGGCCGGTGGCTCTTGCCTGTAATCCCAGTACCTAGGAGGCTGAGGCAGGAGGATTGCTTGAGACCAGGAGTTCGAGACCAGCATAGAGAGACCCCCATCTCTACAAAACATAAAAAAAAAAAATTAGCCAGGCCTGGTGAGGCTGCTTATGCCTGTAATCCCAGCACTCTGGGAGGCCGAGGTGGGAGGATTGCTTGAGCCCAGGAAATTCGAAGCTTTGTTGAGCTTTGATTGTGCCACTTCAGCCTGGGCAACAGAGTGAGACCCTGTCTCTAAAACATAAATTAATTAATAATAAAAAATAAAAACAAATCATACATCAAGACCACCAGTCGAACGAGGTTTGGGGTCAGATAAGCCTGGGTCAGAGTCAGCTTTGCCACTTCCCATTTGTGTGTCCCTGGGGGAGGCAGTTCCCCGACTGGTGCCTCAGTCTGCTGGTTTCTGAAATGGAGACAGTACTGTCTGCGTCCTGGAGTTGTTATAAGGATTAACTGACAGTCCATGCCTAGCAATGATTATGGAGCCCAGGTCTCCTAGACCACATGGCCCAGTTCCCTGGGTTCAAATCCCAGCCCTTCCACTCCTCAGCTGGGTAAAGTCAGCAAAGTTACTCAACCTCTCTGGTCCTCAGCTTCTTCATCTGCAAATCAATATAATTGCAACTACCTAGGGTTAATGTCAGGATGAAAGGAATTGAGAATTAGTAGGTATTCCAAAGAGTACTTGGTACATTTTTGTGTAAATGTTAAAGATCCAAAAAGTTGCCTGGCCCCCTGGGCAGGTGAGCTGGGGACCCCTGCCTTGTACCATCCTAAGGGTCCTCTTTGTGTTCCCTCAGGTCTGGAACCAGACAGAGCCTGAACCTGCCGCCACCAGCCTGCTGAGCCTGTGCTTCCTGAGAACAGCAGGGGTCTGGGTACCCCCCATGTACCTCTGGGTCCTTGGTCCCATCTACCTCCTCTTCATCCACCACCATGGCCGGGGCTACCTCCGGATGTCCCCACTCTTCAAAGCCAAGATGGTAGCTGCCATCCCTGGGAGCCTGGAACCAGGCAATGTTCGGGGGAGGCAGGGGACAGGCTGGAACCTGGTGAAGTCTTAAAGTAGACTCCTCCTATCGGGGTGTAGAAGGGAATCTGTTAATCAAACAGAGCAATATTAGAAAGGCTACAGAGGTCAACTCAGTGGAACACGGTTCTCCCAAACAGATTTTGTAATTCCGAAAATCCACGCATGCGCAAACATACGCATACACTCCCATGTTCCTGGACAGTTTATAGCTACCATAACCTGGCATTTTCCAAAACATACCATGTAGACTCTTGGATACACAAGGTAATTTTAGAGCCACATTAGGATGAACCTTTTAAAAAGTTATGCATTTATTTTTATGTTCCCCCACTGGCTGTATTATAGGACAATTTTTATATGTGATATGTATTTACCTTAGTGTGTTAAATAAACACTGGCATTCCAAGTGTGAGCCTTTCTGCTCATCCATCCTCTTCTACTCCATTCTTGTAGGCTTCCAAAGAATGTTCTTCAGAGTTCATTCATTCTTCTGCCATTGTATTAATTTTTACATTATCACCCGCCACCAACCCAGGGGTTGGCAAACTTAAAGAGCCAAGCGGTACACAGTATTTGAGACTTTGTGAGCCAGGTAATCTTCCTTCCGAACACTGAACTCTGCCATTCCAGAATGAACGCAATAGTCATAACCATAGACAATAGTCATGACTGTGTTACTTTTTTGTTTGTTTTTTTTTTTTGAGATGCAGTTTTGCTCTTGTTACCCAGGCTGGAGTGCAATGGTGCGATCTCGGCTCACTGCAACCTCCGCCTCCTGGGTTCAAGTGATTCTCCTGCCTCAGCTTCCCGAGTAGCTGGGATTACAGGTGCCCACCCCCACACCTCGCTATTTTTTTGTATTTTTAGTAGAAACAGGGTTTCGCCATGTTGGCCAGGCTGGTCTCCAACTCCTGACCTCAGGTGATCTGCCTGCCTTGGCCTGCCAAAGTGCTGGGATTACAGGTGTAAGCCACCACCCCCGGCCGACTGCGTTTCAATAAAACTTTATTTGTAGTCACTGAAATTTGGATTTCATGTAATTTTCACCTGTCATGACATATGCTTTTTGTTTTTCTTTGATGATTGATAGTTTGCCAACTTCTGCTTTAAACTGAGGTTCTTTGAGCAGTTCCTCCAACGTAACCTAGCTCTGGCCTTCCCTCTGGTGTGCCCACGTTCTCTCATTTTCTTCCTTTCTTTTATTCAATAGAGAAACCAAAATATATTAGAGAGACCCTAGAGACTTACTGGCCCAACAGAGAGTTGCTCCTTGATTTCATAGCAGGGATTGAAAAATGACTTGGAGAAAGGATAGTTTTTTACCTGGTGAGTACATTTCATTTCCTGCTGTTTCTCCATACCCAAAGTCATCTCATATGTGCACGATTGGAGCACTTCCTGCATTTTGGAAAACACTCGGTTGGCTCAAGCCCTTCCTGTGCATTATTTATATGACAGTTACAGGTCAGGAGTGATCTGCAATGCCCTTTACACATTGTTCACATTGGCACGTTGCTAGCTGGTGACCCTGGTATACTCAGTATCAGCCAGGATGTTGCAGAACCAGCTCCCAGTTGGACATGGGGCCGCCTACCAGTTTGCTGTGACCTCTCTTATTGCCCCCCAAGCTTATCTAAGCCTGTATCCTCAGGTGCTTGGATTCGCCCTCATAGTCCTGTGTACCTCCAGCGTGGCTGTCGCTCTTTGGAAAATCCAACAGGGAACGCCTGAGGCCCCAGAATTCCTCATTCATCCTACTGTGTGGCTCACCACGATGGTAATGATGCCTTCAGTCTGGAGCCCGGCTTCCTCCCAGCTGCTGCTTTGCCTGCCACAGTGGAGAACAAGGGGAAGAGAAGAGGCTCCCCTCAGCCTCCCACCCTCCCCTAAGGGGCCTCCCTGACTTTCCCGTCCAGAGCTTCGCAGTGTTCCTGATTCACACCGAGAGGAAAAAGGGAGTCCAGTCATCTGGAGTGCTGTTTGGTTACTGGCTTCTCTGCTTTGTCTTGCCAGCTACCAACGCTGCCCAGCAGGCCTCCGGAGCGGTAAGTCGGGGCGTGGGCCACCCTGGGAAACCAAAATGGTGGCTCATGCCTTGGGTCCCTTCCTTTCTCCTCCTGTTTCCACATACAACTTATTCTCTATACAGTGACACACACAAGCCAGTCACTTACACTCTAGAGACACAAAATCCACTCCCGCACCTGTCAGTACCCATCATCCCATACATTTCTTATCAACACAATTTCCTGTCTTACAGGCCCACATCACACGTGCCACTTGCACACGATGCACACACTTATAGGCACTGATTCATACATCGCACAAGTACATGCATGCACGCACACACACACAACCTGGGCACAGACACACCTGTGTGCACACATACCCCTCCGTGCACACCTCCCCTCATGTCATGGATTCACCCTCCCCATGTTCCTATGCACCTATATTTACACACTCATTCTGCACACCACTCGTATTTCTGTTGCCCAATCTGGGAAGCAGCTTTTTTTTTTTTTTTTTTTTTTTTTTTTTTGAGAGGCTTGCTCTGTCGCCCAGACTGGAATGAAGTGGCATGATCTCAGCTCACTGCAATTTCTGCCTCTCGGGTTCAAGCACTTCTCCTGCCTCTGCTTCCTGTGTAGCTGGGATTACAGGTGTGTGCCACTACACCTGGCTTATTCTAAATTTCTACTAAATTTCTACTAAAAATTTCTACTAAATTTCTACTAAAAATTTTTGTATTTTTAGTAGAGACGAGGTTTCACCATGTTGGCCAGGCTGGTCTCGAGCTCCTGACCTCAAGTGATCCACCTGCCTTGGCCTCCCAAAGTGTCGGGATTACAGGCGTGAGCTCTTGTCATTCGGCCGGAAGCAGCGTTTCTCTATTAGGAGACATGATGGGTCATTTTCTCTGTAAAGAGAAAAACATGTAGCCTAGACCAACTTCCCTCAGCCTCAGCTTTAGTAATGTTGTGGCCAGACAATTCTTTGTTGGGTGGACAGGGCTGTCTTGTTTGCTGCAGGGTGTGAAACAGCATCCCTGGCTTCTGCCCATAGGTGCCAGTAGCATACCATCCAATTGCAGTAACCCAAAATGTCTCCAGATATTACCAAGTGTCCCTGGGGGTGAGGAGGACAAAGTCACCCACCTATTGAGAAGCACTGGCCTCGACAGTGTGCTTAGCCAAGGCTTCTGGGAGAGGGAGTTATCTTAACACCAATGAACAGGCTGCAGCAGGTTTCAGATATTTTACTTCATTATTTTATTTTTGTGGAGACAACATCATGCTTTGTTGCCCAGGCTGATCTTGAACTCCTCGGCTCGAGCAATTCTCTGACCTCAGCCTCCTAAAATGCTGGGATTAGAGGCATGAGCCACCACGTCTGGACTCACAGATCATTTCTTCAGTCCAGTGGTTACTCCATCCTGCCCCTAAAGGAGAAGGTAGAGAAGCATCACCCTGTCCTTAAGGACAGAGTTTTTATTTTTTGTTTGTTCATTCTGAGACAGAGTCTTGCTCTATTGCCCAGGCTGGAGTGCAGTGGCACGATCTTGGCTCACTACAACCTCCACCTCCGGGTTCAATCGATTCCCATACCTCAGCCTCCCAAGTAGCTGGGATTACAGGCATGTGCCACCATGCCCAGCTAATTTTTGTATTTTTAGTAGAGACAAGGTTTCAATATGTTGGCCAGGCTCATCTCAAATGCCTGACCTCAAGTGACTCACCCGCCTCGGCCTCCCAAAGTGCTGGGATTACAGGCGTGAGCCACAGCGCCTGACCGAGGACAGAGTTTTTAAAAGAGTAACCTTTGTAACTAAGGGGAAATTCCACAGGTTATTCAGTAATTTCTGAAATGGTGGGCTCCCACAGTTGACATAAGTCAGCTTTTTGGGACACAGCATAGAAACAATAATACTGGGACCATATACATTCTGGGGTTCCAACCATGTGCCAGGCACTGTGGCAGGCACTTACACACGTCTCCTCACTGGATTCTCACAAGAGTTCACAGTGATGGGTTCTTTATTTTTTTAAATAGAAATAGAAACAAAGTCTCATTATGTTCCCAAGGCTGGTCTCAAACTCCTGGGCTCAAGCGATCTTTCCACCTAAGCCTCCCAAAGTGCTAGGATTACAGGCTTGAGCCAATGTGCCCCAGCCAATGATGAATTCTAGCCGTCCCATTTTAAAGATGAGGGAGACTAAGGCTAGGAGAAGGGAATGACGGCCTCAGGGCCACAAAGCTTGGGAGTGCAGAGCCCGAGTTCATCTCAGGCAAATTCAGAACAAACTTTCTGAGAGAAACAGTGGGGAAAACAGTGGGAGTTTAGGGAAGATGGGCCATATTGTCATTGGAATATCCAATTGTCTGCTATCTGCCAAAAAACAAACAAACAAACAAAAACCCAAAACTAGAAGAGTATAAAATCCAGTAGAGGAATCATGATTTAAAACTAGGGCTCTGGTTTAAAGCCATAAAACCTCAGTTCACACTAGCTTAATGAAAAGGGTAAGTCAAGGGGGTTCATTAGCTCATGCATTTATTAGCTCATACCCATGGGATCTCCCAGGCATGACTGATCCAGGCCTGGGACCAGGTACCATCACCAGATCTCCACTTCTGCCTCTTGGCTCTGCCATGTTAGCTTGATTCTCCAATGGAGTGGCAAGAAGAGCCACCAATACCTTCACACTTACATTCTAGCATGTAGCAAAGCCAGCAGAATCTCCCGATGGTTCCAGCTCTCAAGTACCCAGCATGGGGTGCTATGTGCATTCCTAACCCTGCCATGGTAGCCAAAAGACCAGAACGTATTCGTTGGCCAGGCCTCATTCACCCACCCAGCCTCGGAGTAGAGTCAGTTCTGCACAAATCACACGCCCGAACACAAGCAAAAAACTTAGGAAGAAAGAAAATCAGTACATGGAAGAGATCTCTGCACTCCCATGATTATTACAGCACTGTTCACAATAAACAAGATTTGGAAGCAACCTAAGTGTCCATCAACAGACGAACTGATAAAGAAAATGTGGTATATATACACAATGAAGTACTATGCAGCCATAAAAAAGAATGAGGTACTGTCATTTTCAACAACATGGATGTTAAGTGAAATAAGCCAGGCACAGAAAGACAAACTTTACATATTCTCACTTATTTGTGAAAGCTAAAAATTAAAACAATGTAACTCATGAACATATAGAGTAGATGGAAGGTTACTAGAGGCTAGGAAGGACAGTGGGTGGGGGAAATGGGGATGGTTAATGGGTACAAAAAAACAGAAAGAATAATATCTATTTGATAGCACAACAGGGTGACTATAGTCAATAATAATTTAATTGTACATTTTAAAATAACTAAAAGAGGCTGGACACAGTGGCTCACACCTGTAATTCCAGCACTTTGGGAGGCCAAGGCAGGAGGATCATCTGAGGTCAGGAGTTCAAGACCAGCATGGGCAACATGGTGAAACCCTGTCTCTACTAAAAATACAAAAAAAGTAGCCAGGCGTGCTGGCACACATCTGTAATCTCAGATACTCAGGAGGCTAAGGCAGGAGAATCACTTGAATCCAGGAGACGGAGGTTGCAGTGAGCCAAAATCAAGCCACTGCACTCCAGCCTGGGCAACAGAGTGAGACTCCAACTCAATAATAAACTAAAAAATAAAATAACTACAAGAGTAGAATGGATCATTTGTAACAGAAAGGATAAATGATTGCGGGGATGGAGACCTCATTTACCTTGATGTGATTATTATGCATTGCATGCCTGTATCAAAATATCTCACGTCATCCAGAAATATATATATCAGGCCGGGCGCGGTGGCTCATGCCTGTAATCCCAGCACTTTGGGAGGCCAAGGCAGGCGGATCACCTGAGGTCAGGAGTTCAAGACCAGCCTGGCCTACATGGTAAAACTCCATCTCTACTAAAAATACAAAAATTAGCCAGGGGTCGTGGCACATGCCTGTAATCCCAGCTACTCAGGAGGCTAAGGCAGGAGAATCGCTTGAACCCAGGAGGCGGAGGGTGCAGTGAGCCAAGATCATGCCACTGCACATCAGCCTGGGTGACAAAGCAAGACTCCGTCTCAAAAAAAAAAAAAGTATACACACACACACACACACACACACACACACACACCTAAAATTAAAAAATAAAAAATGCTTTAAATTAAAAAAAGAAAGAAAATTAGGGTGTTTCTGACCAGATGACAGGGCAGCAGATGCAAAAATCATTGTGGTGTGGCAGCAGGAGCATCACAATTTGGACCAGATCATCTGCGTGTCCTTGAACAAGGTGCTGTCACTTCTCTGAGCCTTGGTTTCCCCCTGAGTCAAAGGAAGCAAGTAAACTCCAGCTGATGAGACTGTGTATGGCAAGAATGCCGCATGTGCTCAGGGCAGGGTCAGTGCTCAATAAAACCAGCTCTCATCTCTGCAAACCAGAGAACCCTGGCCAAGGGGGAGCAGGGTTGAAGATTGGGGTAGAGGGTGGAACGGAGAAAGGATTTCTTTTGTGGCACAAAGAAGAAGGTAAATTGTTTCTTCATCTCATTGTCCCAGCAGCTGTGGCCAATCATCATGTGGCTAAGGACAAAACCCAGACGCAGCCCTGGCCCACCATTTGTATAGACAGAATATTATAAATTGGGTATTTGAAAATTAGGACCTGCTGGGCATGGTGGCTCATGCCTGTAATCCCAACACTTTGGGAGGCCAAGGCAGGCAGATCACTTTAGGTCAGCAGTTTGAGGTCAGCCTGGCCAACATGGCAAAACCCCATCTCTACTAAAAATATTTTAAAAAAGTTAGCCAGGCATGGTGGTGGGCACCTGTAATCCCAACTACTAAGGAGGCAGAAGCAGGAGAATCACTTGAACCCAGGAGGCAGAGGTTGCAGGGAGCCGAGATCATGCCACTGCACTTCAGCCTGGGCGACCAAGTGAGACTTTGTCTTAAAAAAAAAAGAAAGAAAGAAAATTAGAACCACTAGGAAAGCCAGGGCTCTGGCTTTCAAATACTCTTGCCCTGGTCCCCAGAGTGGGCACTGACCCAAGATCAGAAACCTTTTCTCTCCTCTGAGCACCCTCCTCTGTCTCCATTCCTTATCTTCTGCTTTCCCTCCCACAGGGCTTCCAGAGCGACCCTGTCCGCCACCTGTCCACCTACCTATGCCTGTCTCTGGTGGTGGCACAGTTTGTGCTGTCCTGCCTGGCGGATCAACCCCCCTTCTTCCCTGAAGACCCCCAGCAGTCTGTAAGTCACCAAGTTCCAACCTCATTCCTGTTCCACTTTGAGGTCTCAGTCTCCCCCAGGTGACCAAAAGTCTTTAATTTTTTTATTCATTTAGCCATTCAGCAAAAAGTGTACCACATTTCTACTCGATGCCACAGTTGGCAGACTTTTTCTATATGGGCCAAGAGAAAATATTTTGGACTCTGTGAGCCATACAGTGATCTCAGTGGCAATTACTCAACTCTGCCATTGAACGCAAAAGCAGAATATGTCAACAAATTGCATGGCTGTGTTGCAATAACACTATTTGCAGAAACAGGCAGTGGGCCAGATTTGGTCATAGTTTGCCAAACCCCGCTATGCCCTAGCAAGGGCATAAGGATCTATGGTGAACAAGCAGATAGAGTTTCTGTTCTCACGTAGCTACTGGTCAAGCAGGGGAACCAGACACTGGTCACAAAATTAAACAAATATGTTGAAAATTGGATGGTCACAGTGGCTCATGCCTGTAATCCCAACACTTTGGGAGGCCAAGGCAGGTGGATCACTTGAGGTCGAGAGTTCAAAGCCAGCCTGGCCAACATGGTAAAGCCTCATCTCTTCTAAAATTACAAAAATTAGCCAGGCATGGTGGTGCACGCCTGTAATCCCAGCTACTCGGGAGGCTGAGGCAGGAGAATTGCTTGAATCCGGGATGTGGAGGTTGCAGGGAGCCAAGACTGTGCATTTGCACTCCAGCCTGGGCAACAAGAGCGGAACTCCACCAAAAAAAAAAAAAAAAAAAAGAAGGAAAAAGAAAATTACCCTTGGGGTAAGTGCTCCATAGAAGAAGCTCATGAGAGATTGAGAGATTTACAATAGGTAACAGTGAAGCAGTCTGTGAAATCAAGAAACAATTCTTTTGTGGAAGAGACTGATCTGACATCATATAAACAGATGTTCAAATGGGGCCAGATGCAGTGGATCATGCCTGTAATCTCAACACTTTGGGAGACCGAGGAAGGAGGATTGTTTGTGCCCAGGTGTTCTAGATCAGACTAGGCAATGTAGTGAGACCCCATCTCTACAAAAAGGTTTTTAAAAATAGCCTAGTGTGGTGGTGCATGCCTGTAGTCCCACTACAGAGTAGCTCTGTGGAGACTAAAGCAGGAGGATTGCTTGAATCCAAGAGATAAAGGCTGCAGTGAGCTATGATTGCACCATTGCACTCCAGCCTGGGTGACAGAGCGAGACCCTGTATTCAAAAAAAAAAAAAAAAAAATTGCTCGAAGGCTTGAGAATAGTTAAAACTATCATAGGAATCTTTTTTGTACCTACCAGAGTAGCAACAAAATTTAAAAATTAATAAGCTGTGATGGCAAAAACGTGGTGAAATGGGCACCTTCACGCCTTATTGGTAAAGAGTACAGACTGTTGTAATCTTCCTGGAGCACCTGACAAAAATCGCACGACAGGTCTGTCTTCACAACATTTGCCGAGGGATATTGTCAAGGATCTAATTTCTTCGTTATGCAGTGTCCTTCCTTTTGAGAAGCAAAGCAAGGTTTTGGTTTCAGTATAATCATAGTTGTTCTTCTGAGCCACTGTTATTTCTTACCTTGTGGACATTGTCAGGCCTGTGGCCCAACCTCTTTTTACGCTGCCTGCTGGGAAGCACCAAGCTCACTGGTCTACACCCCTGGCAAGGAGACAGGGCACCTCGATGTTTACTTTCAGTACTAAATACACCGTCAGGGCTGGGTGTAGTGGCTCATGCCTGTAATCCCAGCACTTTGGGAGGCCGAGATAGGCAGATCACTTGAGGTTAGGAGTTTGAGACCAGCCTGGCCAACATGGTGAAACCCTGTCTCTACTAAAAACACAAAAAATTAGCTGTGTGTGGTGGCGCACACCTGTCATCCCAGCTCTTTGGAAGGCTGAGGCAGGAGAATCGCTTGAACCCAGGAGGCAGAGGTAGTAGTGAGCCAAGATCACACCGCTGTACTCTGGCCTGGGCAACAGAGCGAAACCCTGTCTCGAAAAAAAAAAAAATACACAGTTCGTCCTGTCTTCCTACCCTTGCCACATACTTCCCTTCTCCATTTTTGTCTGTTGCAGAACCCCTGTCCAGAGACTGGGGCAGCCTTCCCCTCCAAAGCCACGTTCTGGTGGGTTTCTGGGTAAGTAAAGTCGCACGGAAGGGTTGGGGTGGTGCCTCACCCGCCTGCATTTGCTGCTCTGATTCCCAGCCATGGCCCTTCCCCTGTGCTTACAAAGGCCAGCAAGTCTTTCTTCATCCCAGCCTCAGTGCTTTCTTCTTCGTGTTCAGTGTCTACCATCTGCATCCTGTTCCCATTCACTCACTGGAGTGAGATCTTGATTTGAATCCCGGCTCTGCCTGTTAGCAGGCCATGTCGCAAACCTCCGGAGTCTCAGTTTTCCCTCTGTAAAATGGGGATGACTCAACCTGCATGAGACGGAAAGTGCTTAGTGCTTGCACACAGCGGGTGCTTAATAGTAATTAGAATTGTCTCCAATACTTGATTTCAGTCATTCCACCAACATTTAATAGGCACCTACTATGTGCTAAGCCCCAGGGGTGAGGAGATAAAGGAGCAAGTGTCTACTTTCTAGAGGGTTCCAGGCAGATTGAGAAAACAGCTGCTTCTCCAGGGCCAGCTCACAAGGCACTTGAGGATGTGCTCTCTCCTAACCACACGGCATTCAGACCTCAGTAGCACCTGACATATGGATTTGAATCCTGGCCCTACCACTTCCTAGCTGTGTTGCTTTGGACAGTTACTTAACCTCTCTGTGCCTCAGTCTCCACTCCTTCAAAATGGGATTGATAGTAGCACTTAGCTCATAGGGTTGTGAAGCTTAAATAAGATGAGATCTGTAAAGCACTTAGAACAGGGCCTGGCAAATAATGAGTTTAAGTGGTAATTATTTTTTTTTCTTTTGAGATGGAGTTCCGTTCTTGTTGCCCAGGCTGGAGTACAATGGCACTATCTTGGCTCACTGCAACCTCCGCCTCCTGGGTTCAAGCGATTCTCCTGCCTCAGCCTCCCGAGTAGCTGAGATTACAGGCATGCACCACTATGCTCGGCTAATTTTGTATTTTTAGTAGAGACAGTGTTTCTCCATGTTGGTCAGGCTGATCTGAAACTCCCGACCTCAGGTGATCTGCCCGCCTCGGCTTCCCAAAGTGCTGGGATTACAGGTGTGACCCACTGTGCCTGGGCTATTCATTTTCTCTTTTTTTTTTTGAGACAGAGTTTCACTCTTGTTGCCCAGGCTGCAGTGCAATGGCACAATCTCAGCTCACTGCAACCTCCACCTCCCAGGTTCAAGCAATTCTCCTGCCTCAGCCTCCCGAGCAGCTGGGATTACAGGCGCCTGCCATCATGCCCAGCTAATTTTTGTAGTTTTTTGTAGAGACCGGGTTTCACCACGTTGGCCAAGCTGGTCTCAAACTCCTGACCTCAAGTGATCTACCCCACTCGACCTCCCAAAGTGCTGGGATTACAGGCATAAGCCACCGCACCCGGCCTAAATGGCTATTAAATAAATGAAAAATATCAGGCTTTGAATGTGTGGAACTGGTAGAAAGAGCTTAGAGGTTTTCGAAACAGCTCTACTGGGGGGTCCAGCCCCTGCTTCCCAAACTTAAGCATTTATGGACCACTCTTGATGCTTTTTTGTCCTACTGGGGCAAAAACTAAATTGAGTCACTTTTTTTACTCGAATAAACTGTTTTTAAAAAGAAACTCTCTATCACTGCTAAAATAGGAAAAATCTATAGCATCACTTGCCATATAGGAGAACTCCAAAAATAATTTCAGGGAAAATCAAGCCACGTTAATAATTTCTATGTCAGAACGGTTGCTTCCCCAAGTTGGCTCTGCATTAGAAAAGGGAACTTGGTGGCCTGGCGCAGTGGCTCACGCCTATAATCCCAACACCTTGGGAGGCTGAGGCAGGTGGATCACCTGAGGTCAGGATTTCGAGACCAGCCTGACCAACATGGTGAAACCCCATCTCTACTAAAAATATAAAAATTAGCCAGGTGTGGTGGTGGGAGCCTGCAATCCCAGTCACTCAGGAGGCTGAGGCAGGAGAATCACTTGAACCCAGGAGGTGGAGGTTGCGGTGAGCCGAGATCACACCAGTGCACTCCAGCCTGAGCAACAGAGTGAGATTCCATCTCAAAAAAATAAAAAGAATAAAAATAAAAAAGAAAAGGGAACTTGGTAAGGCTTAGAGAAGAGTCAGAGACCAGAACCAGGCAAGACCTTCTGGCTGGTGTCATCAGAAAGATTAAAGAGACCTGAGGCCAGGCACAGTGGCTCACACCCATAATCCCAACACTTTGGAAGGCCAACCCTGACAGATCACTTGAGGCCGGGAGTTCGAGACCAGCCTGGCCAACATGGCGAAATCCCATCTCTACTATAAACAAAAAAATTAGCCAGGTGTGGTGGCTTACGCCTGTAGTCCTAGCACTTTGGGAGGCTGAGGTGGGAGGATTGCTTGAGGCCAGTAGGTCGAGACCAGCCTGGCCAGCATGGTGATACACCATCCAAAAACACAAAAATTAGCCAGGTGTGATGGTGGCTTGTAATTTCAACTACTCAGAAGGCTGAGGCGTGAGAATCGCTTGAGCCAGGGAGGCGGAGGTTGCAGTGAGCCCAGATCACATCAGTGCACTCCAGCCTAGGCAACAGAGTGAGACTCCATCTCAAAAAAAATAATAATAATTTAAAAAAAAAAGCTGAGGGAGGAGTTCAAGCTTCTTCTACAATGATAGTTTTGGTCAACGGACTTCTGATTCCCAGGGAAATGTCTGTTTCCCTTGCCAAGGGCTATCCCTTGGTTTAGCCACTGAATCTCTCTGCACTTCTATTTCCTTCCCCATCTGTAAAATAGATCTATAATAATATACTCATACATTTATACAATTATAAACTATCAATTTACAGGCTGGGTGTGGTGGCTCATGCCTGTAATCCCAGCACTTTGGGAGGCTGAGGCAGGTGGATCACCTGAGGTCAGGAGTTCGAGACCAGTCTGGCCAACATGGTGAAACTCCATCTCTACAAAAAATACAAAAATTAGCCGGGTATGGTGGTGGGTGCCTGTAATCCCAGCTACTCAGGAGGCTGAGGTGGGAGAATCGCTTGAACCTGGGAGGTGGAGGTTGCAGTGAGCCGAGATTGCACCACTGCACTCCAGCCTGGGAGACAGAACAAGACTCCATCTCAAACAAACAATAATAACCTACCTTATGGGTTCATGTAAGAATTAATGAGACAATCTTTGTGAAACGAGAAATGCCCTGCAGACATTAGGTGGGGTTAGTGAATTGCTTTCTTTTTACCCAGGGGCCAGTAGAGGTACAGAGAGGTAAAGTGACTTACCCAGGGTCACACAGCTACTCGCCTGGCCAGGATCCTGCAGGGGTGAATGGCAGGAAAAGCTTTCCCTGGTGCCCCTCTTTTGCAGCCTGGTCTGGAGGGGATACAGGAGGCCACTGAGACCAAAAGACCTCTGGTCGCTTGGGAGAGAAAACTCCTCAGAAGAACTTGTTTCCCGGCTTGAAAAGGAGTGGATGAGGAACCGCAGTGCAGCCCGGAGGTAAGTGGGTGGAGGTCAAGAACTCACCTGATGCTACTTCAGAAAAGCTCATCATTGGCCGGGTGCGGTGGCTCACGACTGTAATCCCGGCATTTTGGGAGGCCGAGGCAGGCGGATCACAAGGTCAGGAGTTCAAGACCAATCTGGCCAACATAGTGAAACCCCATCTCTGCTAAAAATAGAAAAATTAGCTGGGCGTGGTGGTAGGCACCTATAATCCCAGCTACTCAGGAGGCTTGAGGCAGGAGAATCGTTTGAACCCAGGAGGCAGAGGTTGCAGTGAGTGGAGATGTCACCATTGCACTCCAGCCTGAGTGACAGGGCCAGACTCCGTATCAAAAAAAAAAACAAACAAACAAGACAAAAACAAAAACAAAAACAAAAAAACCTCATCATTTGACCCCCAGTCCAGCCCCCAACGCTACTCTGGCGGCACTGCCGCCTCCCCACCTTGCCTTCCAGCTGATCCCACTAAGTAGTATCAGGCTTAAGATATGGTTCCTCCCAGAACGCATCACAGGTTCCTACAAACGGGGAACAAACAGGTTCCTACAAATGGGGAAATGGCAGAATGACAGGCAGCAAACAGAAGAGGTATTTTAAGGCCGGGGTGGAGGGTTGGGAGGTGACTCAACACACAAGCAGCTGCTCACTTACTATATAACCTGAGCAATTCCTTTCCTGGGCCTCAGTTTTCTCATCTGTTCAGTGGGGATGTCATTAGCCCCAGCTCATAGCTTATGGGGATGAAAAAAAAGGATGATTTATGGAAAAGAACTTGCAAATGTCTTGCAAATGGGAAGTGCTCAAGCACTGTTAGTCATCCAGAGGGTGTTAAGATCTTTGGAGTTATCCACTCTGTCCACTCCTGCCCTCAGTGGCATCTCTGGAAACTTCTCTGCAGCCCTTAGAGCCTGGGATGCCTCATTTGAGAAACTCTGGTCTAGATAAATGAGCCTGCATAGGATTAGATAAAATTGGGTTAAATGCTGCCCTGCCTTCAAATAGTGATGACCTTGGACACGTTGCTTAACCTCACCGGATCTTGGTGTTTTAGGAGACAGAACAAAAAAGGAAGTTAGCTCTGTGGGAAGTTCCCTGCATACTCCGGGATTTTGTGGTAGTTGTTGCAGATGGCTGAATCCCACACATTAAGAGAGACAGAGGAGACAGAGACTGATACTATAGGCTCACACAGCTAAGAGGATCTAGCCTCAGGTGTTGCTGGATCAGGGGACTCAAATGATGTCAGGATTCTCTCCTTTCATCTCCCATCCCAACTATTATCTATGTGTTGGTCTCTCCATAAGGCCTATCCCTTCCCATGCAAGTTCAGCAAACTCCAGCAGAATAAGAGAGCATCTCTCTCCTAACGTCCATATAGTAAATCCCAAGGAAGGCCTCTAATTGGCCTGGCTCAAGTCATGTGCCTGTCAGGGGCCAATCCCATGCCCAGGGGGCTGGTGCCATGACTGGTGGTCCCTTCAGAGCCACAGAAGTGGGTAGGGGCTGTTCCCACAAAGGAAGGGCATGTGTTTTTCCAAACAGAATAAGTAGTGTGAGAGAACCAAAACATCAGTTCTCTCTCACCCCAGGCATGGCTTGCTGGACCCCCTTCACTGGGTTGTGGTATGATCTCAGCTCACTGCAACCTCCACCTCCTGGGTTCAAGCAATTCTCCTGCCTCAGCCTTCTGAGTAGCTGGGACCACAGGCGTGTGCCACCACATCTAGCTGATTTTTAAATTTTTTTTAGTAGAGACAGGGTCTCACCATGTTGGCCAGGGTGATCTTGAACTCCTGACCTCAGGGGATCTGCCTGCCTTGGCCTCTCAAGGTGCTGGGATTACAGATGTGAGCTACTGCACCTGACTCACCCTCTACTTTTGAATGATTTTACGGAAGTGGCAGAATCCAGTCCACAGGGGCTCTGGAAGGAGCCTCTGCCAACTCCTGGCATCCCCAGCCAACATGAAAATTACAGGTCACCCAACACTAGAACTAAAGGGTAGAAACATTCTCCAGAACAGTTTGAGAATCCTCCCATAAACAGTTGACAGAAAGAAAGGGGAAAGATGGGGTTATACAAAGACCAGGCTCCGTCAGCTTCTGAAACAACCGACTGCACCCACAGAGAACTTTGGTTTTCTTTCTGAAGTATTTTGCAACCACTGGGGGAAGGGAGAGGGCGTCCTCCTGAGAGGCCACACAACAGCCACCTGCTGGTCCAGTCGGCTTCACTAATTTTTGTATTTTTTATTAGAGGCGGGGTTTCTCCATGTTGCTCAGGCTATCAGACTGGCCCTGAACTCCTGACCTCAGGTGATTCGCCCGCATTGGCCTCCCAAAGTGCTGGGATTACAGGTGTGAGCCACCGTGCCCGGCCTCCACCACTCCCTTTTGTATCCCCCAACTCACACCTTGCCCATGCCACTCATGCATACCCCCTGCCTTGCCCCACCATCATTTGTGAGATCTGCACTAAATGGCCTTCAGTCCAGAGACCAGACGTCAGACAGCAATCTGGACATCTTCCTTGATGGGAGGTGAGACCTGCAGGAGAGGAAAACACTTGCTATGGAGCCTGCAGGCTGAACACACTGACTCTCTGGGTTAAACAGCTCAAATAGAACTGAGCAGAACCTCAGCCAGAAAGAAAACTTTCCAGTGAACTCTTCCCCGACCCCATTTTGCAGATGGAAACACTAAGGCTCAGAGGAGAGGAGACAGAGCAGGCATTGGAACCACAGTCTCCTGGCTCCAAAGCCAAGTTCTGTCCACCCAGCCAAGCTCCTTCCTTCCTTCTATAAATTTTTATAACAGTATGTGCAGGGGGCACTCTTATTAGGCCCTTTGCACACATCACTCAATCTGTTTTTCCCATTCATTTGACAAGTGTTTATTGAGCTCCTACTGTGTGCAGGAGCTGGACTCTATACTAGGGACATCTTGGTGGAAAACACAGGCAAAGTCTACCCACCTGGGGTTCTAACGAGACAAAGAGAGGGTTGGAGCCATGGACATGGCTGTGAAGGCAATGAATTAAATGGCAGGATCAAACAGGAAAGGGTGGGCAGGGATGCTCTCTGTATGGAAGGGGCATCTTCTTGGCTTTGAGATCCAAATGCCAAAATATTTGTGAGCAGCAGGCCACACCCACTCAGTAACAGAGCTGAACCACAACCCTCCATAGATGCCAAACCAAACACCAGATCAGACCAATAATGTGGGACAGAGACCTTGGCCTTGAAGGGTCTGGCCACCTGAGCTCACCAGAGGTTTTTCTTATGCTTCTTTTTTTATTATTATTTTATTATGGTGAGGTTGGGGGTCCTTAGTGCACAAGAAACCCTTTACAAACCATAAATCAAGATCTAGGCTCAAATCCCTGCTCTGCCCTTGCTGTGTGACCTCGGGCGGCTGTCGCCATCTCTCAGAGCCTCAGCTTCCCCTTCTGTAAAATGGAAAACCTAATAATGCTCACCTGGCAAGGGGATCCAGGGGAGTCAGTGAGCTCCTTCGTGTAAAGAGCTGATCCCAGCACGTGGCCCCGGGTCACAGATCTGTAATGGGGATTGAAATTACTGATAAGTGGCCGGGCATGGTGGCTCACACCTGTAATCCCAGCACTTTGGGAGGCCGAGGCAGGTGGATCACCTGAGGTCAGGAGTTTAAGACCAGCCTGGCTAACGTTGTGAAACCCTGTCTCTACCAAAAATACAAAAATTAGCCAGGCATGGTGGTGTGTGCCTGTAATCCCAGCTACTTGGGAGGCTGAGGCAGGAGAATTGCTTGAACCCAGGAGGCAGAGGTTGCGGTGAGCCGAGATTGCTACACTGCACTCCAGCCTGGGCGACAAGAGCGAAACTCTGTCTCAAAAAAAAAAAAAAAGAAAAGAAAAAGAAAAAGAAATTACTGATAACCTTATAGGTTGTCAGAGCCACAGGGGACTCAGCAGGGGACCACACCCATCCTCTCACACACAGAGAGAGGAGCAGTGTCCCCGCCCAGGACCACACAGCAACCGGACTGTCAGCAGCTGCATCGCCCCAGCCTCTCCTTTCTGGCCCAGGGCTTCTGACCTGCCTCACAGGGGCCCTCGGGCCTCCCCCATCTCCTCCTCTCCCTCCCTCACCTTAGCTCTTCTCTGTGGCCCCTGGTTATAGCCAAAGGCTGGGGATCTTATTAGTTTGAGGCAGCCTGAGCTTCTGTCTGCACTTTCACCCAGAGCTAGAGCACCAGGCCCCATGCCCATCAGCCGTGATTCTCCACCAGTTCAAAACCACCTAAGGGCTGGCTGATTGTGTGTGTTGGGGACGGGGTGCTGTTCTTCCTCCAGGTTGACAACACGATAGGTTGAAAAGTACATGAGAGGCCAGGTGTGGTGGCTCACATCTGTAATCCCAGCACTTTGGGAGGCCAAGGCGAGCAGATCACCTCAGGTCAGGAGTTCAAAACCAACCTGGCCAACATGGCATAACCCCTTCTCTACTGAAAATACAAAAATTAGCTGGGTATGGTGGCACTTGCCTGTAATCCCAGCTACTCGAGAGGCTGAGGTGGGACAATCACTTGAACTGGGAAGTGGAGGTTGCCGTGAGCTGAGATCACACCACTGCACTCCAGCCTGGGCGACAGAGCAAGACTTCGTCTCAAAAAAAAAAAAAGGAAAAGAAAAAAGAAAAGTGCATGGGCTCTGGAGGCAGAGAGCTGGAATCAAATTCCAGTTCTTTTACTTCTCAGCTGTGTGCCCTTGGGCAAGTTCGCTTCTCTGAGCCCCAGTTTTCTCATCTGTGAAATGGGAACAACACCTGGCTTCTCAGGGGGTCTTAGGATGACTGGGGAGTGCCTGGCACATAGTAGGTGCTCAACAGGTGTGCTTTCCCATGGCCATCTAAGAGGCCTCAGAGTGCCCTCCTGCCCTGCCCCCCAACTCCCATGATTGCCTCTTAAGTGGGTACTCAGGGTGATAAGGAGGAACAGGTGAGGGAGCCAGGCTAGATCCACACCCACCCATCTCCACTGTTGGGAAAACAACCCTTTAATGCCTGGCCCTGCCGCTGGCGGCTGAGAGTATAAAATGGGACCCAGAGCTAATCTCTCCCTTCCCCTCAGGCACAACAAGGCAATAGCATTTAAAAGGAAAGGCGGCAGTGGCATGAAGGCTCCAGAGACCGAGCCCTTCCTACGGCAAGAAGGGAGCCAGTGGCGCCCACTGCTGAAGGCCATCTGGCAGGTGTTCCATTCTACCTTCCTCCTGGGGACCCTCAGCCTCATCATCAGTGATGTCTTCAGGTTCACTGTCCCCAAGCTGCTCAGGTGAGTCCCAGACCTCAAGTGCCCTGCTAAGGTGGGTGGTCTCTTAGTGGCATCCTTCCAGGGCCAGGGGGCTTCAGCTCTCCTGCCTCTGCCTATACGTCTGGTGCTCGGGACACTGGATGGTGGGTGAGAAGGACACTGAGGAAGGGAAATGGATTAATGAGAAAGTGACTGACCCCCAGAAGGGCAAATAAGCAAGCTCTTACCTGACTGCATCAATTAGTTTTTGCTGTAAAATGCCCCAAAAGTGAGTGGCTTAAAATGACAAACATTCTTTTATTTAGTTCATGGTAATGTGGGTCAGTAATGTGGGCTGGGCTCAGCTGGGTGGTGGTTCTTTTCTTGGCTGGGTTTTCTCATGTGCCTGCAGTTGTGTATCTGAGACTGGGATGGCTGTCTCTGCTCCATGTGGGTCCCCATCCTCCAAAAGGCTAGCTCAGACTTGTTCATGTGGGTGCTTGGGAGGGTTCTAAGAAATAGACCAAAAACCACATTTTCTCTTGAGGCCTAGGCTCAGAGCCAGCATGGCTTTACCTCCACTGTACTCTGTTGGCCAAAGCCGGTTTTGTAGCCAGCCCAGATTCAAGTGGTGTCTGCTCAGCTGACATAACAAAGCATCACAGACTGAGACTGAGTGGCTTGAACAACAGAAATGTATTTTATCATGATTCTCAAAGCTGGAAGTTCGAGATTAGTATCTGCAAGGTGGTTCCATCTGAGGCCTCTGTCCTTGGCTTGCAGTTGGCCACCTCCTCCCTGTGTCCCCATATGGTCTTTCCTCTGTTTGCGCCCCCTGGTGTCTCCTTGTGTGTCTACATTTCCTCTTCTTAAAAGGACCCCATCAGATTGGATTAGGGCCCAGCCTAATGACCTCATTTTTAACTTCATTGCCTCTTTAAAGGCCCTATTTCCAAATACAGTCACATTCAGAGGTACTGGGGGTCGGGGCTTCAACATATAAACTTTGTGAGGACACAATTTAGCCTATAACAAGTGGGAACAAAAACTCCACCTCTTGATCTTGAGGAGCTGCAGTCAGATTGAAAAGGAGTATGGACAGTGGGGGAAATAACGGAGACCATTATTGCAAAAAAAACCACACTGACTGATCCTCCACACCTGGACTAGTTTGGGCCGACTGATCCTCCACATCTGGACTGGTTTGGGCAAAGGCAACACCCTTAGGCACCTCCTCTCACCAGCTGTACCTTCTCCCTCCTTCCCCTGCAAGCCTTTTCCTGGAGTTTATTGGTGATCCCAAGCCTCCAGCCTGGAAGGGCTACCTCCTCGCCGTGCTGATGTTCCTCTCAGCCTGCCTGCAAACGCTGTTTGAGCAGCAGAACATGTACAGGCTCAAGGTGCTGCAGATGAGGTTGCGGTCGGCCATCACTGGCCTGGTGTACAGAAAGGTGAGCCCTGGGGGACAAGGGCAGGTCTTCCCAGCCAGGAAAAGCAGTATCACTGAGCGGGCAGTAATGTTATCAGCAGCTGAGAACGCATTCAGTCCTTGCTTATTAGAGTCACTCACCATACATTCTCACTTCCTTAGTTATTTCTCTGTATTATATGTATTTATTTTTTTGAGATGGAGTCTTGCTCTGTCACCCAGGCTGGAGTGCAGTGGTGCAATCTCGGCTCACTGCAACCTCCGCCTCCCGGGTTCAAGTGATTCTCCTGCCTCAGCCTCCTGAGTAACTGGGACTATAGACACGTGTCACCACGCCCAGCTAATTTTTATATTTTTGGTAGAGACAAGGTTTTGCCATGTTGGTCAGGCTGGTCTCGAACTCCTAGCCTCAAGTGATCTGTCTCAGCTCCTTAGTTATTCCTGTAAGGTCTTGTGTGATCTGTCCCTAGGGTGTCTCTGACCTCATCCCGTCACCTCCTCCCATGCTCACTCTCCTCCAGCCACACAGGTCTCCTTTCAGTTCCTCAAACACTCCAGGCCCCCACCCACCCTGGGGCCTTTGCAGCTGTTCTCACTGTCTAGGCACCACTTCTACTCCCCCAATCTAATTTTAATTTTTGAGCCTGATTTTAACTTCCACTCATTCCCCCTTGAGGATAAAGGATTAACCTTCTGATAAGGTGGCCTGTCAGCTGTGTTCCCAGACAATACTGCTTGGGGTAAAAATGACCCCTAGGCTGGGCACAGTGGTGCACGCCTGTAATTCCAGCAATTTGGGAGGCTGAGACAGGCGGATCACTTGAGGTCAGGAGTTCAAGACCAGCCTGGCCAACATGGCGAAACCCCATCTCTACTAAAAATACAAAAATTAGCCAGGCATGGTGGCATGTGCCTGTAATTCCAGCTACTTGGGAAGCTGACACAGGAGAATCGCTTGAACCCGGGAGGTGGAGGTTGCAGTGAACTGAGATCACGCCACTACAGCGCAGCCTGGGTAAGAGAGCGAGACCTCGTCTCAGAACAAAAAAAAAACAAAACAAAAAAACCCAAATTGCATCTGGGCTGGAAGTTCTGTCCATTGACTGTGAATACCTGGTTGGAGGCCATAGCTTTAGACTTCTCTCTGTGCAGTGGCTCTTGTCCCTTCCGGGGACTCTGGAAGCTAAGTCCCTCGACTGCTGCCCCAAGAGCTATTGGCTCCTGTGGGGTATGGAGCATCTGAGCCAGGGCAGGTCCCGTCCCATGTAAGTGTCATTCCCTGACACCTGAGCTGTCACCTAGGGGAGGAGGGGACAGAAGGGACAGCTCCTAGGTGGCCGAGAGGGCAGCTCTTGATGCTGTCCTGCCAGAGTGCTGCGTCCCAGGCTCCTGTTCCCCTGAGCATGCCAGAGCTGGGTGTGCCCTATCCTGTCTTGAGAGTCCACATTTCCTTGAGCCTAAGAGGAAGGCCGCCTGGTGAGCAGGTATTGATCTTCCTATTCCCCACCCACCCGCCAGGAGGCCTTCTTTGATCTCCTGATGAGATCAGATCCCTCCTCTCTAACCTCTGGGCTTTTTTTTTTTTTTTTTTTTCTGACAGAGTTTCGCTCTTGTTGCCCAGGCTGGAGTGCAGTGACACAGTCCCGGCTCACTACAACCTCCACCCCCTGGGTTCAAGTGATTCTCCTGTCTCAGCTTCCTGAGTAGCTGGGATTACAGGTGTGCGCCACCATGCCTGGCTAATTTTGTATTTTTAGTAGACAGGGTTTTACCATGTTGGCCAAGCTGGTATCGAACTCCTGACCTCAGGTGATCCACCCACCTCAGCCTCCCAAAGTGCTGGGATTACAGACATGAGCCAACGCGCTCAGCCTGGGCTACTTTTTTATGTTACTCATCATAACTGCCATTAAAGCATGAGTTATAGAAATATTTTTGTTTTGTCTTATTTTTTTGAGACAGAGTCTCACTCTGTCACCCAGGCTGTAGTGCAGCGGTGCAATCTTGGCTCACTGCAACCTCTGCCTCCTGGGTTCAAGTGATTGTCCTGCCTCACCCTCCCAAGTAGCTGGGATTACAGGTGCCCACCAGCATGCCCAGTTAATTTTTGTATTTTTACTAGAGATGGGGTTTTGCCATATTGGCCAGGCTGATCTCGAACTCCCGGCCTCAAGCAATCCACCCGCCTCAGCCTCCCAAAGTGCTGGGATTACAGGTGTGAGCCACTGTGCCCGGCCAGTTATATAAATCTTTATTATAGAGCCTTGTTCCCCACCTCAAACTCCAGTCCCGGGAGAGCAAGCCTCATCTCTGTTGTTCACAGCTGTATTTTCAGTTCCCAGCTCAGTGTGAGTCACACAGTGGGCACTCTTCAAAGACTTGCTAAGTGGAGAATTTCTGTGTCCAGTCATTCCTGGATCACTTCTTCACTCCCTCACGCAGTCACAAAGGGAGGGCTGCATGTGGAATTTAGCATTCAACAGGCTGGAAGAGGTCCACTGTGACCCCAGGGTTAAGGCAGATGTGAGGCTGCCAGAGAACCAGGTTGGTGTCACAGAAGCACGTGAAAGGTCTCACCCTTGTCATGCCTTGGTCACCCTGGATTCCATTCCTTGTGTAGGCGCTTACAAGGCCTGTGACTTTGGGCAAGTTGCTCAACTTCTCTCTGCCTCGGTTTCTTTAGCCATAGGATGGGGTTAGTAAATGTTCATTTCATTGATTCTCGTCTCACATTTTTTTTTCACTCTAATACTTCCAAAATCGAGATGTCTCTTACATGTCTTAATTTAACTGGAAGTGGTATTTTCCTTGGTGAGAGAATAATAGAGAGCAATTTATCCATAGAATTTTTTTTAAAGACAGGGTCTTGCTCTGTTGCCCAGGCTAGAGTGCAGTGGCACCAACATGGCTCACTGCAGCCTCAACCTCCTGTACTCAATTAATCCTCCCACCTCAGCCTCCCCAGTAGCTAGCTGGGACCACAGGCGCACCACAACCATGCCTGGCTAATTTTTTCTTTTTTTTTCCCCCCGAAATGGATTTTGCTCTTGTTGCCCAGACTGGAATGCAATGGCTTGATCTGGGCTCACTGCAACCTCTGCCTCCTGGGTTTAAGCGATTCTCTTGCCTCAGCCTCCCAAGTAGCTGGGATTACAGGTGCCTGCCACCATGCCCGGCTAATTTTTGTATTTTTGGTAGAGACAGGGTTTCACCATGTTGGCCAGGCTGGTCTCCACCTCCTGACCTCAGGTGATCTGTCCACCTCGGCCTCCCAAAGTGCTGGGATTACAGGCGTGAGGCACCTCACCCGGCCCCCTGGCTAATTTTTTAAAGTATTTTGTAGAGCTTGGGTCTTACTATGTCGCCCGGGCTGGTTTCGAACTCCTGGGATTAAGCAATCCTCCCACCTCAGCCTCCCAGAGTGGCGGGATTACAGGCAGAGGCCACTGCACCTGGCCTGGCATTAGAGGGAATGAATATGGTAGTGCCTGCTTGGTACCATTCATGGCTGTGAGCACCCCGGGAAAGGATAAGGCTGTTCATTTAGCACAGTGCCTGTGACATGGTGAGCACTGGGCAGATGACCACCGTTATCTGTGTTAATCTGGTGTTTTCGTGCATGTTATTCATTATTATGCCTCCCGTGCTTTAGGGATCTTGGAGGATTTTCATTTTTGTCATCTCTGTGGATCCTCAAAGAGCCCTGAGAGGTTGGCCTAAGAGACTTTACTCACCCACCTCGCAGACGCGTGAAGTGGGGCTCAGTGGGTGGAGAAGCCACCTGGGGCATCCCTCTGCCCCGGCCTCCCCACTTTACTTCTCTCCTTCTGCCCACCCGCCAGGTCCTGGCTCTGTCCAGCGGCTCCAGAAAGGCCAGTGCGGTGGGTGATGTGGTCAACCTGGTGTCCGTAGACGTGCAGCGGCTGACCGAGAGCGTCCTCTACCTCAACGGGCTGTGGCTGCCTCTCGTCTGGATCGTGGTCTGCTTCGTCTATCTCTGGCAGGTATGCGAGAGGAGGAAGAGGGGATTTGAACGGAGTCCCCCACCCCCTCCTTCTCCCCCTCCTCCTTCCCCCTCCCACCCTTCCTCCTCCTGACTTAGCATTCAAGAGGCTGGAAGAGGTCCGCTGTGACCCCAGGGTTAGGGCAAGTCTGAGGCTGTGGGAGAACCAGGTTGGTGTCAGAGAGGCACATGAAAGGTTTTACCCTTGTTCTGCCTTCATCACCCTGGATTCCATTCCTGGTGTAGAAGCTTATAAGGCTTCCTCCCCTCTCCCTCTGCCCCAGCCTCCTCCTCCTGCCCCCCTCCTCTTGCACCCCTCCCTGCACCCTCCCTCCTCCTGCATCTCTCCCACCTTCTGCCCACGCACCCCCTCCTCTTCCTGCACCCCTTCCTTTTCCTCCTTCCCCCTCCTCCTCCTCTTCCTCTCTCCTGCTCCACCTTCTTCTTCCTTTCTGCTCTCTGTCATCTTCCCTCCCACTTCTTCCCTTCTCCCTTCTTCTCCTCTACCGTCCTCCCTCTCTTCCCTCTGCTCTTCCCTCTCCTTCTCTTCCCTTTCTTCTTCCTCTCCTCCTTTTTCTCCTCCCCTTCCACCCCCATCTCCTCCTTCTCCTCCTCCTCCAATCCTGTCTCAATTTGCCTACTATTGTCTGATACGATGGGAAAAGTCCTCAATAAGGATGACCTTCACTTGACCTTGGGCAGGAAGTTCACCCTCTCTGGGCCTCAGTTTCCTCTGTAGAAAGATGATGATGATGACGTTGATACTTCCCCATGTGCTACTAGGGTACCCAGTAGGCAAGTTAACCATGTTTTGAAGTTACCAGTAACCCTGAGGCACCACCATAGCCACTGTCCACAAAACACAAGAGGAGAACATTTTAGGGGGAAAAATTGCTACTTAGTGTTCAAAAAACACAAAGTAGCCATCAGGAAACAACCAAACAAAACAAACAAAACATTTACTTTCCAACTTCATTCCTTTAACGTTGTGGTATAGGATTTTCTTTTTTTAAATTAAAATCAGACTCTGGGCCAGGCACAGTGGCTCATGCCTATAATCTCAGCAATTTGGGGGGTGAGGTAGGTGGATCACTTGAGGCCAGGAGTTCCAGACCAGCCTGGCCAACCCCGTCTCTACTGAAAGATACAAAAATTAGCCGGGCATAGTGGTGGGTGCCTATAACCCCATCCACTCAGGAGGCTGAGGCAGGAGAATCGCTTGAGCCTTGGAGGTGGAAGTTGCAGTGAGCTGAGATAATGCCACTGCACTCCAGCCTGGGTGACAGAGTGAGACTCTGTCTCCAACAAATAAATAAAAGTAAAAATAAAATTAGACTCTGTATCGGGAACTGCCTAGGCTCAAATCCTCCTTCTGACCACTTACCAGTTGTGAATCTGTGTGCAAGGACCCTACTCTCTCTGTGCCTCCTGTTCTTGTCTCCAACGTGAGGATCATAATTAACAGTAGCACTCCTGCCCCAGAGGGGCTGAGGCATTAAACAAGCCCATATGTAGAAAGCACTTAAAAGGGTGCCGGGCACACAACTGCACCCTGTAGGTATTTGTAATATTATCATTAGTTACTTTTCCATAAAGGATAAGACAGTAGATGCTTTTTACACTGGAGGCCACACCATCTCTCCTGCAAATATTCATCTCTGCCCTTGGAGTGCAGAAGTGGCTGTAGACCATACTAAGCAAACAGGCATGGTATTCCTCCAATAAAACTCTATTTATGGATGCTGACATTTGAAGTGCATATCATTTTCATATGTCGTGAAATAGTATCCTTTTGATTTTTTTTTTTTTTTTTGAGACAGAGTCTCACTGTGTTGCCCAGGCTTTGGTGCAATGGCACAACTTCGGCTCACTGCAACCTCCACCTCCCAGGTTCAAGCAATTATCCAGCCTCAGCCTCCTGAGTAGCTGGGATTACAGGCGTGCACCACGACATCTGGCTAATTTTTGTATTTTTAGTAGAAACTGGGTTTCACCATGTTGGCTGGGCTGGTCCTGAACTCCTGACCTCAGGTGATCTGCCCACCTCAGCCTCCCAAAGTGCTGGGATTACGGGCATGAGCCACTGTGCCTGGCCTTGTAAAAACTGTTAATGGCATTTTGATTGTAATTGCTGAATATTCCAAAAAAAACTCGAATGCTCATGCATATGATTGTTTTTGCTAGGGCTAGGGGCCAGGACTTTTTCCAGTGTCTTCACCTTGTATTCCAGGGCCTTGCAAACAATAGGCAGGTGCTTAGCAATTACAACATAAGGCACTCAGACAGGGCTTCATGTGCAGTACATAAATGTCATCATTAGGAAGAAAGAGAGGGAGAGAGGAAGAACGTGGGAAAATTCAGGGCAATTGATCAGGTTGACCCCACCGTTGCTAAAAATCAGATGAGACCAGGCGGGGCACGGTGGCTCACGCCTGTAATCCCAGCACTTTGGGAGGTGAAGGCCGGCAGAACACTTGAGGTCAGGAGTTCAAGACCAGCCTGGCCAACATGGCAAAACCCTGTCTCTACTGAAAATATAAAAATTAGCCGGGCATGGTGGCATGTGCCTGTAATCCCAGCTACTAGAGAGGCTGAGGCAGGAGAATCACTTGAACCCGGGAGGTGGAGGTTGCAGTGAGCTGAGATCACATCACTGCACTGCAGCCTGGACGACAGAGTGAGACTCCTTCTAAAAAAAAAAAAAAAAAAAAAAAAAAAATTAGATGAGACCAACAAGATATCCATAGATAATGCACCATGTTACTTTGCTTGTGTACTTTTCCTGCCTCTTGGTAGACAGTTCCTAACATCACCGTGAGGTCTTGGTGAAGGAGGAGTGGACACTGAGGTTGCTACAGTTTAATGATACCATTTTTCCCCCAGACAGAGATGTTCATCTTCTGCTCACATTCCTTGAGTGTTTTTCCAAGCCCTGCTGTGGGCTGGTGTTTACCCTCTGCGCCCTTCTCCATTGAGCCACTAGGTAGCGCCATTGCCGCATAAATGAAACAAACTGGCCCAATGTTAGAAAATAGTGTTCCCAGGCCAGGTGGGGTGGCTCAAACCTGTAATATCAGCACTTTGGGAGGCTGAGGTGGGTGGATCACTTGAGGCCAGGAGTTCGAGACCAGCCTGGGCAACGTGGTGAAACCCCATCTCTACTAAAAATACAAAAATTAGCCGAGTGACACATGCCTGTAATCCCAGCTACTCAGGAGGCTGAGACAGGAGAATCGCTTGGGAAGCAGAGGTTGCAGTGAGCCAAGATCATGAGACTGCACTCCAGCCTGGGTCACAGAACAAGAATCCATCTCAAAATAAACAAACAAATAAATAAATAAATAAACATAGTGTTCCTAAGGACTGAGACGGGAAACTGAGGCACACAGACTGGAGTTGGGGTGGGGCTTGTCAAGAGAATGGGTCCAAATAACCTGTGCAGAAATCTCAGAAAGTCACAGCAACTTAAAAATCATTTATTCTACCCCCCACTTCCACATTTTCCAGATATAGAAACCAAAGCTGAGAGGGGGAAGATAACCATCCCAAAATCACCACGTTGGTGGGGGAGCAGGGTTGCCAGAGAAAACACAGGACATTCAGTGAAGTGTGAGTTTCAGACAAAAGGAAGAATTTCTCAGTGTATGTCCCAAATATTTCACGAGACTTAGACTAAAACCTTATTCACTCTTTATCTTCAAATGTAACTGGGCATTCTGTATGATGATTTACTAAATCTGACAACCCTTGCGAGGGATGAAATGAAGATTAGGAAAATAATTAAACGCAATAAGAGAAAATGCCAAATGAGAACAACTCTATTCCCATTTTGCAGACAAGAGAATTGCACCTAAGGGAGATGACTTGCCCCAAGGCCACACTCAAAACTCTCAGGGTCAGGATTTGAACCAGGTCCCCTGATTCCATAGGTCTCAACTTTACTGTTGTGGCTGGGAACACCCCCCAGTCCCACTCGTGTGTGTGCACAATCTGTCTTGAATATAACTCTCTCCCTATCGTGTAAGAGGGCTGTTTCCCTCCCTGACATTGAAGGACCCCACCTTCAGCAGGCATCTCCTGACACAGCAGACCCCATGAGCACAGATCCCTGGGACCTGGTGGCTGCCCTTATCAGATTCCCTGACATCCCCATCTTAGGACCCAAGTCTGACCACCTTCGGGGTCTGCAGCTGTGTTACAGAAAAGGGGTCCTGATCCAGATCCCAAAAGAGGGTTCTTGGATCTCGTGCAAGAAAGAATTCAGGGCGAGTCCATAAAGTGAAAGCAAGTGTTTGTTTGTTTGTTTTTTGAGACGGAGTCTCACTCTGCCACCCAGGCTGGAGTGCAGTGGTGCGATCGTGGCTCACTGTAAGCTCCGCCTCCTGGGTTCAAGCTATTCTCCTGCCTCAGCCTCTCGAGTAGCTGGGATCACAGGTGCCCACCACCACACCTGGCTAGTTTTTATATTTTTAGTAGAGACTGTGTTTCACTATGTTGGCCAGGCTGGTCTCAAACTCCTGACCTCAGGTGATCTGCCCGCCTCCGGCCTCCCAAAGTGCTGGTATTACAGGCATGATCCACCGTGCCCGGCCAAAAGCAAGTTTTTTAGTAAAGTAAAGATCTAAAAGAATGGCTACTCCATAGAGAGAGCAACCCAGAGGGCTGCTGGTTGCCCATTTTTATGGTTATTTCTTGATGATATGCTAAACAAGGGGTGGATTATTCATGCCTTTCCTTCTTAGACCATATAGGGTAACTTCCTGATGTTGCCATGGCATTTGTAAACTGTCATGGCACTGGTGGAGTGTAGCAGTGAGGATGACGGGAGGTCACTCTCGTAGCCATCTTGGTTTTGGTGGGATTTGGCCGCCTTCTTTACTGCAACCTGTTTTATCAGGAAGGTCTTTGTGACCTGTATCTTGTGCCGACCTCCTATCTCATCCTGTGACTTACAATACCCTAACCGTCTGGGAATGCAGCCCAGTAGGTCTCAGCCTCATTTTACCCAGTCCCTATTCAAGATGGAGTTGCTCTGGTTCACGTGCCTCTGAGAGCTGGGCTCCTCGGGATCTCCTGACATCCTGCCCCTTCTATCCCCAGCTCCTGGGGCCCTCCGCCCTCACTGCCATCGCTGTCTTCCTGAGCCTCCTCCCTCTGAATTTCTTCATCTCCAAGAAAAGGAACCACCATCAGGTTTGGCTTTTGGGAAAGGGACGGACCAGGCAGGAAGTAGGGAGGAAGCCACAGGTCCTGGTGTGGGAGATGGGGAGGGGAGAGCTGAGTGCGAGCCCACGGGTCTGGCTTTGTTCTTGTCGTCTGTGAGCTGCCCATCACTCAGACCTGCACCCCCTCCCCCTATCCTCTCAATGGACAGTGGCTCCGTCCCTCCAATGTTCAGGCCACAGGCCCTGGGTCAGTTCAATGCCTTTTTCTCTCACATCCCATCTGTCAGCAGATTTGCTTGGCATCACCTTCAAAATGCATCCAAAATGTCACACTTCCCAGCATAGGCTCTCCAAACCCCATGATCTCTAACCCAGGTCACAGCAGCAAGCCCCTGGCTCACTCCCCGCCTCTGCCCTCAGCCTCTCTCCACTCCCAGCCAGAGGAGACCTATGCAAACCAAATACGTTGTACCCCTCCTCTACTCAGACCCACAGCGGCCCCATTTTCCTCAGACTGAGCCAAAGACCCCACAGTGGCCCACCAGGCCCGCCCTGAGCTGGCCTTATTGCTTCCAACCTCACCTTCTACCCATCTCCCCTCCTTCCCTGCCTTTCCCCACACATCTCCCATCCTCAAACCTGCCCGATCTCACACATCCCTGCAGGCCTTCGCTTTAGCTGTTCCCTCCACCTGGATCACCCTCACTCCCGAAGATCCTCTGTCACCTCCCTGCAGTCAGGGCGGCTTCCCTCACCACCCTCCAGCAAGGAAATGGCACGTCCATCCCTCCCCTCCCAGCAGCAGCCTCTCCTTTGCCTGCCCTGGGATTGTTTTTGCTTTTTTCCCCCCACAGCACTTCCCACAACATACAGGGTCCTACAGGAAGCACCCGGCAGGGTTGATTGCCTTGTTTTCCTTAACTGGAAGCTTTGCAACAGCACAGGCCACTGATTGTGGCCAACTCGGCATCTAGTTAGTGCTTGGCAGGCAGAAGGTTCTCAGTAAGTGTTTGTGAACTATGGAAGAAAGGAGGGA
The DNA here is from genome assembly GCF_000001405.40 of Homo sapiens. NCBI lineage: Eukaryota > Metazoa > Chordata > Mammalia > Primates > Hominidae > Homo > Homo sapiens. Next base: position 1,849,816 of record NT_187607.1, on the reverse strand, counting down.
GGGAAGAAGGAAAGGAGGAGAGGAAGAAGGGAGGGGAAGGAGAGAAAAGGAGGGAGGGAAGGAAAGATAGGAAAGGGGAGGAAGGACAGAGGGAAGGAGGGAAGGAAAGAATTGAGGGAGGAAGAGAAGGAATGAGGGAGAGAAGGAAGAAAGGGGGGAGGGAGGGAAGGAAATGAAAGAGGGAAGAAAGCAAAGGAAAGAGGAAGAAAGGAGATAGGGAAGGAAGGAAAGAAAAGGCGGGAAAGAGAGAGGGAGAGATGGGGGATGGAGGGAAGGAACTTATTTCCTCTCTTGGCCCAGCTGTCCCAGTGTCCGTCTGTCACCTGGGCTGTTTCTTCAGCCTCCTGCGTGGACTCCTCTAAAACATTCTAGGCTGGGCACAGTGGCTGACACCTGTAATCCCAGCACTTTGGGAGGCCACACCTGTAATCCCAGCACTTTGGGAGGCCGAGGCAGGCAGATCACCTGAGGTCAGGAGTTCAAAACCAGCCTGGCCAACATGGCATAACCCTGCCTCCACAAAAAATATAAAATTTAGCCGGGCGTGGTGGCGGGCGCCTGTAATCCCAGCTACTCGGGAGGCTCAGGCAGGAGAATCGCTTGAACCCAGGAGGCGGAGGTTACAGTGAGCCGAGACCACACCACTGCACTCCAGCCTGGGCGACAGAGGAAGACTCAGTCTCAAAAAGTAAAACCTTCTCCAGGCAGCTGCCCCTCTGATGATGCCCCCGCCCCATGGTGAAGCACAAGAGACCCTGAATTCTTCTGCCTGACTTTAAAGTGCCAAGTGACCCTGCCCACACGGTCCTCTGGTCACACTGAGTGTCCTCTGAGTCATGCTATTCCCTGTGCCTGGGTTTTAGCTGCCCCCGCCACCCCCCTACCCCCCAGCCCCCACCCCCCACCCCCATCTCAAGCCCCTCCCCTCCCTCTTCTCCAGCTCCATCCCCCCATCCTCTGCCTGCTCAGCACGCACTTCCTGGTCATTTAAGATTTAGCTCAGGCTGTAATCCCAGCATTTTAGGAGGCTGAGGGCAGAGGATCACTTGAGCCCAGGAGCTCGAGGCCAACCTGGGCAACATAGTGAGACCCCAACTCCACAAAAAATGTAAAAGGTAAAAAAAAAAAAAGACGTAGCTCAGGCATTAACCACCTCCAGGTAGCCTTCCTGATGGTGTCATACCCAGGTGGGCTCAGGCTGCCTCTGTTCTCCGGGCATCAGAGGCTTCCTCCGTGGGGCACATTATCCCAGGGGCACTCCTGCAGAAGTCCAGGTACAGGATGATGGTGGTTGGACCAGGAGTGAGGGTCAGAGGTGCTGAGAGGCAGACAGGTTTGGGACGCAGTTTGGTGAGATGAATGGGATTTGCTGAAGGGTGGCTGTCAGGGTGCAGGGAAGAATTCTCAACTGTCCCTGTCTTCATCTCTCTTTTTCCCTCCGATCCCAGGAGGAGCAAATGAGGCAGAAGGACTCACGGGCACGGCTCACCAGCTCTATCCTCAGGAACTCGAAGACCATCAAGTTCCATGGCTGGGAGGGAGCCTTTCTGGACAGAGTCCTGGGCATCCGAGGCCAGGAGCTGGGCGCCTTGCGGACCTCCGGCCTCCTCTTCTCTGTGTCGCTGGTGTCCTTCCAAGTGTCTACATTTCTGGTGACGTCACTCTAGTCTCTATGCTGAGCAGCACTGGGGAAGGAGTGCGGGGGTGGGGGCAGGGTGAGGTAGGTGGAGCCCCCCAGATCCTACCACCCCGTCCATCAAAACCCACTCATTCTGGATCCTGTTCTCTCTGGGTCCCTGCTGTCTTCTACAAGAACTAATTAATCATATTATTCTAGCAAAGGTGGCAGTGGCTGATAAAGTCTGCTGAACTCTCAGAGAGAGTTCCAGGCTTCTACCGATGTGGGGAGGAGGGTACAGATGCAGGGGGGTGGCAGAGGTAGAATCCTGGGTCAGAGTGACTTCCCTGATCCTGGCCAGCAGATGTCCATAGCCACCCTGTCACTGGACGTGATCCTTGTCCTGCCATTCTGTAATTTATTTCATATTGCTGTCAGAACAACCTTCCTAAACCACAGTTTTAAAAAATTTGATACGTAGGCTGGGTGTGGTGGCTCATGCCTGTCGTCCCAATACTTTGGGAGGCCGAGGTGGGTGGATCACCTGAGGTCAGGAGTTCAAGACCAGCCTGGCCAACATGGCGAAACCCTGTCTCTACTAAAAATACAAAAATTAGCTGGTTGCAGTGGCGGGCGCCTGTAATCCCAGCTACTTGGGAGTCTGAGGCAGGAGAATCACTTGAACCCAGGAGGCAGAGGTTGCAGTGAGCCGAGATCATGCCACTGTACTCCAGCCTGGGCGACAGAGCAAGACTTCATCTCAAAAAAAAAAAAAAGCACCACAAATGGCACCAACACCTAGAGCCCTCAAGTGCTGCTCCTGCCTGCAACTTTAGAGTCATCTTCCAAGGGACTCTAGAATCACAAGTTCCACCACGTCTAGAACAACAGGGCTACCAAGATCAAAAACTCTGCTGTCCCCCGATGCCTGGAACCTAGAGGCATTAGGTTCTCCCCTAGGTTCTAGTGATGCCTAGAGCCGTGGGGCTGCGCACTCATCACCATTAGCAATGCGCTGTGTCTTTAGAGAGAGCCTTATGTAGCTTATGACTGCGGAGAGGACATGTGTTAGCAGGACTGGGAGTGGGATCTACGGAGGGAAGCACATGCGGACATGGCGGGTGGGCCACATGGACCGTGCAGGCACCACAGCTTGCCCAGGCTGCCCTATCCATGCTTGCGTGTCTCACTGTTGCCCCACGTGTCCCCCCCACCCCCCAGGTCGCACTGGTGGTGTTTGCTGTCCACACTCTGGTGGCCGAGAATGCTATGAATGCAGAGAAAGCCTTTGTGACTCTCACAGTTCTCAACATCCTCAACAAGGCCCAGGCTTTCCTGCCCTTCTCCATCCACTCCCTCGTCCAGGTGAGGTGGGTGCAAGGGCTGGAGCCATCCTGGGAGAGTGCGTGGGCTACACCTGGCTCCAGCTTCCCTACCCCTGCCATTTGCAGAGGAGAGGGAAGACAGAGTGGGAGGGAGAGGGATGGTGTGGAGCTGGAAAAGAGGCGGGTAGGGGCAAGAACAGAGGCGGGCAGAGAGTACAGCAAATACATCTGGAAGGGGTCAGCCTTTGGAGGGCAATGTGCAGACCTTTCCACACACACCTCAGAACATGCATACTTGTCCATCTGCCCAGCAATTCCACATACAAGCAATCATGTCAGTTCCCTTTTTTATACAAAGCGATTTTGTTTCTCTTCCTTTGCTATCTCTAGTCCTTTCAGCATGGTGAAAACAAGAAACGGTGGCATACCTGAGCCATCTCCATGTTTTTTATTTTTTATTTTTATTTATTTATTTATTTGAGATGGAGTCTCACTCTGTCACCCAGGCTGGAGTGCAGTGGTGCAATCTCGGCTCACTGCAAGATCTACCTCGCAGATTCAAGTGATTCTCCTGCCCCAGCCTGCCAAGTAGCTGGGACCACAGGCATGCACAACCATGCCCAGCTAATTTTTTTTTTTTTTTTTTGTATTTTTAGTAGAGATGAGATTTCACCATGTTGGCCAGGCAGGTCTTGAACCGCTGACCTCAGGTGATCTGCCCACCTTGGCCTCCCAAAGTGCTGATTACAGACATGAGCCACTGCACCCAGTCTTATTTATTTATTTATTGTGTTTTTAGTAGAGACAGGGTTTCACCATGTTGGCCAGGCCAGGCTGGTCTTGAACCCCCGACCTCATGTAATAAGCCCGCCTCAGCCTCCCAAAGTGCTAGGATTATAGGCATGAGCCACCGCGCCTAGCCGCCTTATTTATTTATTTATTTATTTATTTATTTATTTATTTATTTATATTTATTGAGACAGTGTCTCACTCTGTCACCCAGGCTGGAGTGCAGTGGCACGATCTCAGCTCACTGCATGCTCAAACTCCTGGACTCAAGTGATGCTTCTACCTCCCAGCCTCCTGAGTAGCTGGGACTACAGGCATGGGCCACCACATCCGGCTAATTTTTTTAATTTTTTGTAGAAACAAAGAGTCTTGCTATGTTCCCCAGGTCTCCAACTCCTGGCCTCAAGTGATCCTCCTGCACTTGGCTTCCCAAAGTGCTGGGATTACCGGCATGAGCCGCTGCACCTGGCCTAATCTCTATTTTAACGACTGGTCTCTTTCTTCCCCAAAGATGGGTTTGTGACTGGGAGAGAGCGCCCCCAGGTGGACAACATTTGAAATTGTTCCACACAATGGCTTGATAACCTTATTGGAAAAGCCACCATCCTCTTCCCAGATCTTGTCTGCAGAATGGCAGCTGGCTTGCTTCGGTGTCACTGATTTGTAGGATCGCAGAGGTGGGAGATCACCACCATCAAGGTCACCACTCGGGTTGCATCGTTTCCCATGAACTAGAAAGCTTTGTCCTCACGCCTCCTATGCACAGAGCTTGGTAGACAGGAAGCTTTTGCCACACATCTTGAGACACCGACACCCAAAACCTGAGTTCTTTGCTCTTCTTGCTGGGTGACCTGCGGCTTCGGTTTTCCTAGGCCCGGGTGTCCTTTGACCGTCTGGTCACCTTCCTCTGCCTGGAAGAAGTTGACCCTGGTGCCGTAGACTCAAGTTCCTCTGGAAGCGGTGAGTGCTGAGTCTGGCAGGAGGGGTGTGGGAGGGATGGGGGATGTGGGGGCCACCCCGGCCCATAATGGCAAGCCAGCATCAGCACTGGAGGGAGATGGGGGCTGCGGGCAATGGATGACACGTGCAGATCACGCCATCTGCGTGTCACTTGGAAACTGGCACCGTGCTGCTCTTCTTTCTGCTAGCCATTCAGCGACCACTCACTGAGCGCCCACTTTGTACCATCCTGGGTGTACAACAGGGAACACTCTAACACAGTGGTCCCCAAGCTTTTTGGCACCAGGGACTGGTTTTGTGGAAGACAGTTTTCCCACGGACCGGGGAGAGGCGCGTGGTTTTGGGATGATTCAAACACATTCCATTTATTGTGCCCTTTATTATTATTACATTGTACTATATAATGAAATAATTATACAACTCACCATAACGTAGAACCAGTGGGAGCCCTGAGCTTGCTTTCCGTCAACTAGATGGCCCCAAAGCGGGTGATGGGAGACAGAGATCATCAGGCATTAGATTCTTATAAGGAACACGCAACCCAGATTCCTCACATGCACAGTTCACAAGTGTTCATGCTCCTTTGAGAATCTATTGCTGCTGCTGATTTGGCAGGAGGTGGAGCTCAGGCGGTGATGGGAGTGATGGGGAGTGGCTATAAACACAGATGACACTCTGCTCACCTGCCCTGCGCTCACCTCCTGCTGTATGGCCCAGTTCCTAAGAGGCTGCAGACTGGTACCAGTCTGTGGCCTGGGGGTTGAGGACTCCTGCTCTAACAGACCAGGTCCTTGTCCTCATGCAGAAAGTCCCAGGTAATAAGCATGACAGCATTTTGATCAAGCTGGAAAATAGCAGCATTTCAAGCACCATTGCACGATGAGACTTACCAAGCTCAAGTTACCTGGGCTTCCCCCTCCACCCCATCCTTCTTTTATGCCACGGGCCAAGACACCCTCCCCCTTGTTGCACTGAAGAACCTGGGCAAACTGTGTACCTGGAAAACACCCACATAGTGGTAAGAAGCCGAGCCTGTGGCATTCAACTGCCCAGGTCCAAATCCCAGCCCCAGCACTGACTAGCTGGGTGATCCTGACAAGTAGATCATCTCTCTGAGCTTCCGTGTTCCCATCTCCAAAATGGGCATGTTAATCGTTATAGCAGCTAATTGTGACGATGAATTTAATTGATCTGGGCTAAGCCATGAGAGCTTTGATTTTTAGAAAATCTTTCAGGCAATTCTAACTACGTCTTAAGGATCAAGAACCACTAATCTAATTACACTTGTTATCACAGTGAAATAATAATAATAATTAGTAGTAGTAGCAGTAGTATTTTTGAGACAGTCTTACTCCGTCATCCAGGCTGGAGTGCAGTGGTGCAATCTTGGTTCACTGCAACCTCCGCCTCCTGGGTTCAAGCAATTCTCCTGCCTTAGCCTCTCAAGTAGCTGTGATTACAGGCGCCCACCACCACGCCTGGCTAATTTTTGTATTTTTTGGTAGAGGCAGGGTTTTGCCATGTTGGCCAGGCTGGTCTCAAACTCCTGACCTCAAGTGATCCTACCACCTCTGCTTCCTAAAGTGCTGGGATTACAGGCATGAGACACTGTGCCGGCCACAGTGAAATTAATAACACCCCCTTCACTCTGGGAAGGCTGGGATTTGATGATAATTTATTTCAGAAATTCACTAATTTTTTCCATAAATGACCAGATTGTGCATATTTTAGGCCTGTGGGCCACACAGTCTCTGTCACAACTGCTCAAAGCATGAAATAGAGAAATGAATGGATGTGGCCGTGTTCCAATAAAACTTTATTTATAAGAAAAGGCAGCAGGCAGGATTTGGTCTCTGGGCCACAGTTTGCCTCCCCCTGGATTATGTAGCCATGGGACACAGACAGAACAAGAACCCTGCGGGGTCACCCAGAAGCCAGTGAGTAGCAGGGCAATTTGTTCAGTGGGAGAGATTTCTTCCTGCAGCCTCTGCCCCTGGGGGGGCGGGGGATGGTGCCTGGGGGCCTCTCCGATGCAGAGGCCGGCCAGGTCAGGGGTCTCCTGTAAATGGCCTCTTGTGCCCTGCAGCTGCCGGGAAGGATTGCATCACGATACAAAGTGCCACCTTCGCCTGGTCCCAGGAAAGCCCTCCCTGCCTCCACAGGTACAGAACGACACCCGTAGTAACCAGCCTCATGTTTTTAGGGAGAAGATGCATGGGGCTCCTGCTGCCTCCCACCTGAGAGGTGGTGTAGGTTTCCAGCCTGGGACTGGAGGGTGGGTTAGGCTGGGCTGGGGCTCTGCCGGGGAGGTTCTCAGGATACATCTCTACCTCCTGAAGGTGGGGACCTGCACAGCATAGACCAGTATCTCCTGCAGACGGGGACCAGGGCATCTGAGCCTCCCCCATTAGGGGGAGACACCCCTGTGCTCCCAGGCTGGCCAAGACGATGCCAAGGGAGGGCTGGCTGAGAGGAGCCCCAAGGTTCAGCCCTATCAGCTGTGCTCACTTCTGTGCCTCCTGTATCAGTCCAAGGTCATGATCATCTATAGTCTCCAACTCTATCGCTTGGTCTTTGTGGCCAAAAATCTCAGACAGCCCTGAAACTCCCTAAGAAGAGAAGGAATATGCCCCAGGTAGTATTTGTATTGGTTGTCATTCACTCACTTCATCGATAGAGCACTAGGTATGGGCCACGCTCTGTTCTAGGTATTGGGGATAGGGCGAAGGAAACAGACAAGGGCCCTGCTCTCGTGGGGTGACATGCTGATAGAGGTGAGGCCCAAACAGAAAACCAGAGCAAGGGAACAGAGTACGATGGCATGTCTAGCGAGGGAAGGCTTTGCATTCAAGCCGAGATCATAAGGAAGGAGTGTCTGGGAGAAGAGCTGTTCTTTTTTTTTTTTTTTTTTTTTTTTTTTTGAAACAGAGTCTTGCTCTATCACGCGGGCTGGAGTGCAATGGCATGATCTCGGCTCACTGCAACCTCCACCTTCCGGATTCAAGCAATTCTCCTGCCTCAGCCTCCCGAGTAGCTGGGATTACAGGCGCATGCTACCACACCCAGCTAATTTTTGTATTTTTAGTAGAGATGGGTTTTACCATGTTCGTCAGGCTGGTCTCCAACTCCTGACCTCAAGTGATCCACCTGCCTCAGTTCCCAAAGGACTAGGATTACAGGCATGAGCCACCGTGCCCGGCCTGGGAGAAGAACCTTCTAGGCGGTGGGAATGGCATCAGCAAAGGTCCTGGGGCAGGAGAGTGCCTGGACCTGGGTTTCTCAACCTCAGCACGGTTGATATTTTGGGCTGAAACTCCTTTGTTGGGGGCTGTCGTGTGCATTGTGGGATGTTTAGCTGACCCCAGTCTCTACCCACTAGATGCCAGCAGCACCCCCTACTGGTTGTGACATCCAAAAATATCTCTAGATCTTGCCAAATGACTCCTGGGGGATGCAGTCACCCCCTGGTGAGAACCACTGGCCTTTTGTGTTCAAGAAACAGCAAGGAGGTCAGCAAGGCCAGGGCCGAGCAGCTGAGGCACAGAGCGGAAGGAGGCGGGAGATGTCATTCCTGATCGTCAGGACTTTAGCTTTGACCCTGAGTGAAATGGGAGTGCTGGCGGGTTTAGCTGGGAAGTGTCACGATCTGACTTGGGTTTTAACAGATCCCTCTGGTCACTGGGTGGAGGATGGGCTGTGGGACGTGGACAGGAGTGGGGCGGGACCAAGAGTAGCGGGAGGGAGGGAGGAAAGAGCCTATTTATCGCAAGAGCCAAGGCAGGAGGCCAGGCTGGTGAAACCCTCAGGCTATAGTCAACCCTGTGTGTGTGTGCGTGGTGTGCATGTGTGCACACATGTATGCGTGTGAGCATGGATTGATTGGGTATGTGCATGCACTTGTGTGTGTGTGGATGCGTGCCCACATTGTGTTGCTGTGCATGCTAGCATGCTTGTATGAGTGTGCAAATGTGCATGCATGTGTGCACGCTTTGTGTGCATGTGTACATGCACAGATGTGCACAGGATAGTTCCTCAAATAGCTAGACAAGGACTGGGAAAAAGAACAGCCCCACAGGTCCTCTTGGAGACTCCCAGAGCAGGAAAGCTCAGCTCCGTCTGGGGCTCATCCTTCCTCACAGAGGCGGGCTGAACCCTAACCAAGGTCATGTCTCCCCTCTTGCGTGTCCAGAATAAACCTCACGGTGCCCCAGGGCTGTCTGCTGGCTGTTGTCGGTCCAGTGGGGGCAGGGAAGTCCTCCCTGCTGTCCGCCCTCCTTGGGGAGCTGTCAAAGGTGGAGGGGTTCGTGAGCATCGAGGTGAGGCCACCCCCAGCCTGTCTGCTAGGATGTCCCCATCCTGAAAGTCCCACTTCCTCGCTGCCTTCCCACCCTCCCCATCCCAGCCAAGTTCACTTTCACTCATTCTCTCCACCTCTCACCCACCACTGAGAGCCCAGCTCCCACTGCTCCTCAAAACCTATCCCACCTCTGTCCCCATCATCCTCCTGTGACCAAAGTAAGTTGTGTTTTAGGGTGCTGTGGCCTACGTGCCCCAGGAGGCCTGGGTGCAGAACACCTCTGTGGTAGAGAATGTGTGCTTCGGGCAGGAGCTGGACCCACCCTGGCTGGAGAGAGTACTAGAAGCCTGTGCCCTGCAGCCAGATGTGGACAGCTTCCCTGAGGGAATCCACACTTCAATTGGGGAGCAGGTGAGAGTTTGGGGGTCTTTTTGGGACAGGGAGACATTGCAGTTGGGAGTCATTTGGGTCCCCGACTCATCATGGGCAGTATGATGGAGAAATGAGAGGAATGGTTAGGGAAGTAGCGGAGAAAAAGGGCTCAGCTCAGCGTCAAGCACGTGCTAGGTGCTCAATACGTAATCACTAATTGATAAGCAGAAATAGACACAAAGAGAGAGGCAGGGAGTTGTGGCAGGGATTGGCAGTGAGGAGCTCTCTGACAACTGAGAGTGAGAAGACCTAGACTCCTGTCTTACTCTGCCCTGCCTTGCTGAGTAATGTTGGTGTAATTGCTTCCCCTCTCTGGGCCTCACCAAGGGGTCTGGACAGAGATGTCCAAGAAACAGGATATATGCATCTGGAGCTATGGATTGGGCAGGGGTTGGCAAACTGTGACCCCAAGCCAAATCCAGCCCACCACTTGTGGTTTTGTTTTTTGTTTTGTTTTGGAGACAGAGTCTTGCTCTGTTGCACAGGCTGGCATGCAGTGATGCAATCTCGGCTCACTGCAACCTCCGCCTCCCACGTTCAAGCAATTCTCACACCTCAGCCTCCTGAGTAGCTGGAATTACAGGCACATGCCACCATACCTGGCTAATTTTTATATTTTTAGTAGAGACAGGGTTTCACCATGTTGGCCAGGCTGGTCTCAAACTCCGGACCTCAGGTGATCTCCCCATTTACCTCAGAGACAAAGCCCAAGTCATGACAATCCCTGGCAAGGTCCCTGTGACCTGGCTCTGGTATCCATTAGCCCCATCTCCCATCATCACCTCTCAGCTTTACTGCAGCCACCTTAGTCTCTGTGATATTCCCTGATCCCCCACAGCACACTCTGGCCCCAGGGCCTTTGCACTGCTGTTCCCTCTGCTGGAAAGCTCTCCCCAGGAGTCTCCAGGGCTCATCCCTCACTTCTATCACCTTCACAGAGAGGCCTTTCCTGACCACCTTATCTACCACCACAGCCACCCTACTATTGTTAGTGCACCCTACACCTGCACCTGCTTTTTCTTTTTTTCTTTTTTTTTTTTCTGAGACGGAGTCTCGCTCTGTTGCCCAGGCTGGAGTGCAGTGGCACAATCTTGGCTCACTGTAACCTCCACCTCCTGAGTTCAAGCATTCCTCCCACCTCAGCCTCATGAGTAGTTCAAGCAATCCTCCCACCTCAGCCTCATGAGTAGCTAGAATTACAGCCATGTACCACCACAACTGGCTAATTTTTTTTTGTACTTTTAGTAGAGATGGGGTTTCACCATGTTGGCCAGGCTGGTCTTGAACTTCTGACCTCAAGTGATCCACCCAGCTCCGCCTCCCAAAGTGCTGGGATTACAGGCGTGAGCCCCTGAACCTGGCTCCCCCTGCTTTACTATTTATTCTTCATAGCACTTTCCACCTGATGTGCTGTCTGCCTTACTTGTTTATGGATTGCCTGTCTCTGTCCCCTTCATGAGAATGATGGATCCATTAAGAGAGCAGCAACTTTGTTTTGCTCATTGCTGTTTCTCCAGAGCCTAGAACCATGCCTGGTTTATGATAACGAGGCAGTGGTTATTAGTGGAATGACTGAATGTAAGAATGAATGAATGGCTGGGTACGGTGGCTCATGCCTGTAATCCCAGCACTTTGGGAAGCCAAGGCGGGAGGGTTGCTTGAGGTCAGGAGTTTGAGACCAGCCTGGCCAACATGGTGAAGCCCCATCTCTACTAAAAATACAAAAATTAGCCAGGCATGGTGGCGTACCTGTAATCCCAGCTACTTGGGAGGCTGAGGCAGGAGAATCGCTTGAACCCAGTAGGCAGAGGTTGCAGTGAGCCGAGATCAAGCCATTGCACTCCAGCCTGGGTGTCAGAGTGGAACTCCATCTCAAAAATAAATAAAAATAAGTTTTAAAAGAATGAATGAAAGACAAGAAGGCCTAGATAGAAGGAATAAGTTAAAGTAATCAATAGTGCACAAGGGAAATTATAGTTAATGATCATTTACTTGTATATTTCAAGATAGCTAGAAGAGAAGGATGGTTGTGTTCCCAATACAAAAGATAAATATTTGAGGTGATGACTATCTCAGTTACCCTGATTTGATCATTACATATTGTCTACAGCAGGGGTCCCCAACCCCCGGGCCATGGATCAGCACCAGTCTGTGGCCTGTTAGGAACTGGGCAGGCAGCACAGCAGGAGGTGGGCAGAGGGCAGGCGAGTGAGGTTTCATCTGTATTTACAGCCATTCCTTATTGTTCCCATCACCGCCTGAGCTCCACCTCCTGTCAGATCAGTGGCAGCATTAGATTCTCATAGGAGCACAAACCCTACTGTAAACTGCACATGTGAGGGATCTTATGAGAATCTAATGCCTGATGATCTGTCACTGCCTCCCATCATCCCCAGAAGGGACTATCTAGTTTCAGGAAAACAAGCTCAGGGCTCCCACTGATACTGCATGATGGTGAGTCATTATATATTACAATGCAATAATAATACAAGTAGGCCGGGCGCAGTGGCTCACGCCTGTAATCCCAGCACTTTGGGAGGCCAAGGTGGGTGGATCACCTGAGGGCAGGAGTTCGAGACCAGCCTGGCCACCATGGTGAAACCCCATCTCTACTAAAAATACAGAAACTAGCCAGGCGTGGTAGTGGGTGCCTGTAATTCCAGCTACTCAGGAGGCTGAGGCAGGAGAATTGCTTGAACCCAGGAGGCAGAGGTTGCAGTGAGTCAAGATCATGCCATTGCACTCCCAGCCTGGGTGACAAGAGCAAAACTCCATCTCAATAATAACAACGACAACAGCAGTAATAATAATAATAGAAGTGCACAATCAACGTAATGTGCTTGAATCGTCCTGAAACCATCCCCCGGACCATCCCCCTGCCCCCAGGTCCATGGAAAAATCGTCTTCTACAAAACTGGTCCCTGGTGCCAAAAAGGCTGGGGACCACTGCCCTACAGGTATCCAAATACCACTTGTGCCCCTCGAATAGTTACAACTATTACATATCAATGAAAACTAAAAGAAAACAATTAAAATTTAAAATAAAAAAGTAGGACTGAAAAGCTGCCACTGGATGAGGGAATAGGGAAATGGATGGTGGTCTCAGTGGAGAAAGGGAAACAAGAGTTGGACTCAAAGAGATAGAGAGAGTGAGCAGGAGGAGACAGAGTGGATTGGGAAGTGTAGGTAACTCCTCCAGGAAGCGTGCTTGGGAAGTGGAGAAGTGAGGTCGGGTAAGGATGGAGGCATTGTTGGCTTGAGAGCGAGTGCCTTGGAAGCTGGGCCTGTCCCCAGGGAATAGGCATGTTGAGCTGTACCTCACCCTGATGGGCAGGTGTGCCCTGACCTGCCACAGCCTGGGCACCCCAGTTTCACCCTGTAGATGCTGACTCAGGCCACTGTTCCTTTTGTGGCCACAGGGCATGAATCTCTCCGGAGGCCAGAAGCAGCGGCTGAGCCTGGCCCGGGCTGTATACAGAAAGGCAGCTGTGTACCTGCTGGATGACCCCCTGGCGGCCCTGGATGCCCACGTTGGCCAGCATGTCTTCAACCAGGTCATTGGGCCTGGTGGGCTACTCCAGGGAACAGTAAGTTTGGGAACATGTGTCAGACAGTACAGGGCAAAGGCAGAGGAAGCACTTAGCATCCAGTCCTAACCCAAGTTTATCTCACCTCCCCCTTCCACTTGAGTCCAATTTCCTCTTTGTATTGGTCAGCTTTTGCTGTGACAATGTTATGTAACAAACAACCCCCAGATCCCAGCAGCTTACAACAGCAGGTGTTTCTTCCTTATGGATCTGTGATTTAACTACTACAGCTTTGCCTTGGATGATTGGCCAGGGTCAGATGTACTCCTTGTCTTCTTGTTTTGAGACACAGGCTAAGGGAGTCCCCTCTGTTTCTCTATTTGGATATGCTGTTTACAAGAAAGGCGGCAGGAGCACAAGAAGGGGAGCTGTCCCCACTCTGAGTCCAGGGACAATACCCCCACCCCAACCCCCAGCTCAGGAGGCTGGCCAAGCACATGTGTGTAACTTTTTTCTTTTTCTTTTTTTTTTTGAGATGGAGTCTCGCTCTGTCTTTCAGTCTGGAGGGCAGTGGTGCGATCTCCGCTCACTGGAAGCTCCGGCTCCCGGGTTCACGCCATTCTCCTGCCTCAGCCTCCCGAGTAGCTGGGACTACAGGTGCCCGCCACCACGCCCAGCTAATTTTTTGTATTTTTAGTAGAGAAAGGGTTTCACCATGTTGGCCAGGCTGGTCTCGAACTCCTGACCTCAGGTGATCCATCTGCCTCGGCCTCCCAAAGTGCTGGGATTACAGGCATGAGCCACTGCGCTCGGCCGTACATTTTTTTTTTCTTTCTTTCTCTCTCTCTCTCTTTCCTTCCTTCCTTTGTTTCTTTTCTTTTCTTCTTTCTTTTCTTCTCTTTCTTTCTTTCCTTTCTTGACAGAGTCTTGCTCTGTCACCCAGGATGGAGTGCTGTGGTCCAATCTCGCCTCACTGCAAGCTCCACCTCCCAGGTTTAAGTGATTCTCTTGCCTTAGCCTCCAAAGTAGCTGAGACTACAGGTGTGCGCCACCTCACCTAGCTAATTTTTGTATTTTTAGTAGAGATAGGGCTTAGCCGTGTCAGCCAGGCTGGTCTCGAACTTCTGGCCTCAAGTGATCCACATGCTTTGGCTTCCCAAAGTGTTGGGATTACAGGCATGAGCCACTGCACCCGGCCACATGTGTGTAACTTCTACCCCTTCCCTGCCCAGACACGGATTCTCGTGACGCACGCACTCCACATCCTGCCCCAGGCTGATTGGATCATAGTGCTGGCAAATGGGGCCATCGCAGAGATGGGTTCCTACCAGGAGCTTCTGCAGAGGAAGGGGGCCCTCGTGTGTCTTCTGGATCAAGCCAGACAGCCAGGAGATAGAGGAGAAGGAGGTACTAGGTGGGCTTTGCTGATTCTCCAGGCCTGGCTCCTGCCACCCTTGGGGGAAAAGGCTCGAAGGGTCCTACTGGCATGAATGGAGTGCTCTGGCCACACCCTGTCTGCAGGCCTAGGCCTGGAAGCAGACAGCTCTCTTAATAGGTCACCTTTCTCCAAGAATAGCCGATAACATCATCCATGAGCCAGGGGTTGTGCTAAGTGCTTCTGTAAAAAATACACTATTTCATTTGATTCTCACACATGCCCCAGAGGCATGTGAAGTTATTGCTGTCATTTTACAGATGAGCAAACTGAGGCAAAGAGAGTTAAATCACTTGCCCAAGGTCACAAGATTAGAACTTGAGTATGTCCAGCTCCAGAGTCTATGCTTGCAGTTGCTATGGAGACAGCCCAAGAAGGACTTTGATGCCTAGCAAGCTACACCGTGCTAGCTAGGGTTTCTAATAATCCAAAAAAACAGTGTGCTGGATACATGGCAAGGTTCTGGAAGTAAAGTTGCCAAGCCAAGCTCACTCACAATGACTGAAAAGTAGCAACTAACAGCACATCACAGAGGTTAGCTCATTTAATCAACATAATGCCCCTGTGAGGCTGGTACTAGAATCATTTCCATTTCACAGATGAGGAAACTGAGGCCCAGAAGTTAAGGAACTAGTCCCAGGTTACATGGCTTGTAAGTGGCAGCACTGGGATTTGAACCCAAGCAACTTGATTCCAGAGAATGTGTTTTTTAATTGCTACCCTCTACACTATCCCTTCATGACAAAGCAAGGATTCACATCCAGGTCTCCCTCAATCTCAGGCTTTGCTTCTTCTGAGAACATCTGCTTAGCACTGGCCCAACCTGGTTAAAACCTTAAGTGTTGATTCACAATGTCACAGTCCTGAAGCTTGAAGATAGAACTTGCCTGTTTGTGTTGGTCAGCTTTTGCTGTGATGATGCTGTGTAACAAATAGCCCCCCAAATCCTAGCAGCTTACAGTAGCAGTTACTTGTTGCTTACAGGTCTGTGGTTAAACTACTACAGATTTGCTTTCAGTTACTGGCCACACCTGGGGGATAGTGGTGGGGAGGTGTCCTTCCTAGGGGAGATGGTACCTGAGGGTAGGTGAGAGTTAGCCAGAAAAGAGCATTCCAGACACAAGGAACTGCTTGAGCAAGGCTGTTGGGGGAAACAGAGGTAACTTGACTTTGTACAGTGTTAAATGCTGTTTTTCCAACCTCAAGTTCATAGTAGGTGCTCAGTTATCACTGATTGAAGAAATGAATGAGTGAGTGAATGCCTGAAGGATGTTCCTGGAAGAACTCAGAGTGGGGTGTTGAGAGAGGTTGCTGGAGACGTGGCAGGAGCCAGATCAGGGGAAATGGATGGTCAGAGCGGTTAAGGCCACATAGTCAGTGGGTGTCAAAGTGGGTATCTGGGCCGTGTTGCGTGACAGGACTCTCTTGACCTTGCAGAAACAGAACCTGGGACCAGCACCAAGGACCCCAGAGGCACCTCTGCAGGCAGGAGGCCCGAGCTTAGACGCGAGAGGTGAGTCCACCATGGTGCCACACTCAGAAGGGCACAGGCTGAAGCTGAAGTAGCTGAAGGGACCACCCGCATCTCGGGCAGTTAGGCGGGCAACCAAAACCATTATGGATAGAGAACCTGCTGAAGTCCCCCCATGGTGCCCTGCTGAGGGATAATTTACCAAAATTGGTCCAGTTAGCCAAGATGATTAGGCCCCCATAAGGCCAGTTCATGGAATGAACAATATGCCTTCCAATTGATGGATGTCTTCAAGTGGGCCGAGGCCAGCTTGCTGGAGTTGTCTGAATGCTGCAGTAGGGCAGGACTGGTTCCTCCCCATAGCTGTAAACCACCATGCCAGGCCTGGCCACTTATGCTTTGACAGGCTGGCTATGCACAGGGCTTGGGTCTGTATGCACAGCATCACTTGACGCTGGCCAGAACACGTGGGCAAGGGGCCAGGAGGAGGCCTCCGGTCCCCTCTTTTCTCAGCTCCCTCCAGCCAGGACACAGCTGGGCTCACTGTGGAGCTGTCGGCAGCAGAAGGACCTGCTGCCTGATACTCTCCCCTCTTAATGAGAGGGGTCTTGGGAAGCAGAACAACAGGCCACTGATACCAGATGGCCTGAGCTTAAGTGCCTGCTATACAGGGGTGGTGGGCGGCAGCGATCTTGAGGGGCCTCAGTCCCCAGGGACCATTGGGGCTGACCCCCATCCCAGCTAGCCACCCTGAGGGCACTTCTCAATCACACACACACTGAGAAATCCCACCACCTTCACAGCGCACAAGAATCTGAAGTAAGATCAGATGGATAGGTAGTCATGTTAAAAGAAAACCAGTAGACACATTAAGGCTGGGCATGGTGGCTCACACCTGTAATCCCAGCACTTTGGGAAACTGAAGCGGGTGGATCACTAGTTAGAGGTCAGGAGTTCGAGACCAGCCTGGCCAACATGGTGAACCCGTCTCTACTAAAAATAAAAAATAAGTAAATTTAAAAAAAAAAGCCGGCGTGGTGGCATGTGCCTGTAGTCCCAGCTACTCGGGAGGCTGAGGCACGAGAATCACTTGAACCTCGGAGGCGGAGGTTGCAGTGAGCCGAGATTGTGCCAAATTAACCTCTAGCAAATTTAATGTGTCTGAGGTTTTTTGTTTTTTGCGGGGGGGGGTTTTGAGACAGAATCTTGCTCTGTCGCCCAGGCTGGAGTGCAATGGCACAATCTCGGCTCACTGCAATCCCCGTCTCCCAGGTTCAAGCGATTCTCATGCCTCAGTCTCTTGAGTAGCTGGGACTACAGGCACATGTGACCAGGCCCGGCTAATTTTTGTATTTTTAGTAGAGACAGGGTTTTGCCATGTTGTCCAGGATGGTCTCAAACTCCTGACTTCAGGTGTTCCACCTGCCTCAGCCTCCCAAAGTGCTGGGATTACACGCGTGAGCCACTGCACCTGGCTAACAGAGGTTAACTAAGCAAAGAATGATCCGCACATCGGGCAGTCCCTGAACCAGAATACGTCCAGAGAGGCTCTGGTACAGCCACGGGGTCAAAGATTAACAGACAGAAAAAGGAAGGTGAAGGACAGAAAACAGAAGTGAGGTACAGAAACAGCCGGATTGGTTACAGCTCAGCGTTTGCTTTATTGGAACATGGTTTGAACGGTTGGTTGCCTTTGATTGGCTGAAACTCAGTGATTGACACAGGAGTAGGTTGCAGTCTGTTTGAGTCCAATTAGGTTACAGTTCACTATGTACGGGGAAAACCTTTAGGCCAAACTTAAAATATGTAAGGAGGCAGCTTTGGGCTAACCTCAATTTAACAGAAGGTAGGTAGACATGTATATGTAGATATACAGGTATGTAGATGAATGGATAAATGGATGGATGGATAGATAGATAATATTCCTATTTTTACAGCTGAGGAAACTGAGGCACAGAGGTTAAGTCAGCCCACTCATCCACAGATAAAACATTCAAAGAGTCTTTAGCATCTGAATTGTGCATAATTTATATTCTGCCAGTTGGACTGACAAATCTGATGGTATACAGTAGGAACAAAACAATTGCACGAAAGCTTAAGCCAAAATAAAAATTCTGAGAACAGGCTGGGCATGGTGGCTCATGCCTGTAATCCCAGCACTTTGGGAGGCTGAGGCAGGTGGATTGCTTGAGCTCAGGAGTTTGAGACCAACCTGGGCAATGCAGCAAGACCCCATCTCAAAAAAAAAAAAAAAAGAAAATTCTGAGAACAGAGTTCCAATGGTGGGCAAGTTAAGTTCATCCTGTGAATTGGCATCAGAAGAATGGGCTTGCTTGACCCTGGGGTAATAGATGGCATTTAGCTGGGTACCATATGGGAAGAAGGGAAGTGTGATATCTGGTCAGTATTCTGTTAGATAAATGAATGAATGAAAGAGTACAGAGTGTACCCAGAGCTCAGTGGCTGTCAGTGGGCCTGAGGGTTAGGCACATACACCCCACCATTGGGAGAGATACTGACTTTGTCTTCATTTCCTCTAAATGACAGGTCCATCAAGTCAGTCCCTGAGAAGGACCGTACCACTTCAGAAGCCCAGACAGAGGTTCCTCTGGATGACCCTGACAGGGCAGGATGGCCAGCAGGAAAGGACAGCATCCAATACGGCAGGGTAACCACCAGCTTCACCCACCCCTCCCCACCCACTGCTGCCACCTCCAGGGGCCCAAGTCCTCCCACCAAATGTAGCACTTGGCAGTGATACTCACCTTTCTTGAGCACCTACTATGTGCCAGTAGCATTCTAGATGTTCATTTTCTTAATCCTCACAACCACCCTAAAAAATAGATATGATAGGTCTATTTCAGACATAAAGAAACTGAATTCTTTTAAAATTTATTTTATTTTGATTTTGAGAAAGTGGCTCGCTCACTCACCCAGGCTGGACCGCAGTGATGTAATCATAGCTCACTGCAGCCTCGACCTCCTGGGCTCAAGCAATCCTCCTACCTCAGTCTCTCAAGTAGCTGGGACTACAGGCGTGTGCCACCATGCCCAGCTAATGTTTGTATTTTCAGTAGAGATGGGTTTTGCCATGTTGCCCAGGTTGGTCTGGAACTCCTGGGCTCAAGTGATCCTCTGGCCTCTGCCTCCCAAAGTGCTGGGGTTACAGGTGTGAGCCACTGTGCCCAGCCAAGAAACTGAAGTCTTAAACAGTTAAGAGACTTGTTTGTGTTTTCATATCTAGCCTGGGACACAACCTGGGACTCAAATCTAGGCCAATCTGAGTCTGAAGCTTACACTGTTTCTCATCTTCTATACTGCTATGTATCTCCACCCACCTACTTACCCATTCCATCATCCACCTAGATGCTCATCCACCCACCCACCTATCCATCCCACCCACTCATTTATCCATCCCATCCATTCACCTACCCACTGATTTATCCATCCCACCCACCCATTTATCCATCCCACCCACTCATTTATCCATCCATCCCACCCCCTCATTTATCCATCCCACCCACTCATTTATCCATCCCACCCACTCATTTATCCATCCCACCTCATTTATCCATCCCACCCACTCATTTATCCATCCCACCCACTCATTTATCCATCCCACCCACTCATTTATCCATCCCACCCACCCATTTATCCATCCCACTCACTCATTTATGCATCCCACCCACTCATTTATCCATCCCACCCACCCATTTATCCATCCCACTCACTCATTTATCCATCCCACCCACTCATTTATCCATCCCACCCACTCATTTAGCCATCCCACCCACTCATTTATCCATCCCACTCATTTATGCATCCCACCTACTCATTTATCCATCCCACCCTCCCATTTATCCATCCCATCCACTTATTTATCCATCCCACCCACCCAACCACTCATTTATCCATCCCACCCACCCATTTATCCATCCCACCCACCCACCCATTCATTTATCCATCCATCCCACCTACTCATTTATCCATCCCTCCCACCAACTCATTTATCCATCCCACCCACTCATTTATCCATCCATCCCACCCACTCATTTATCTGTCCATCCCATCCACTCATTTATCCATCTATCCCACCCACTCATTTATCTGTCCAACCCATCCACTCACCCACCTACTCATTTATCCATCCCATTCGCTTACCCATCCATCTATCCCACCTAACAATACATCCAACCATTCCCTCACCTATGCATCTGTCTGTTCAGCTGTTCATCCATTCATTGATCTTTCCATCCATTCATCCACTCATTCACACACCTACCTACCTACCCACCCGCTCATTTATTCACCCACCTACCCTCTCATCCATCCAGCAAACATGTACACAATACCCACTATGTGCCAGGCTAAGTCTGGTAGAGATTAGACACTAGTGAGGATAGACGGAGAGTAAATAATTATGCTAATAAGTAAGCTATGTCCAATAACAATAAGTGCTATAAAGAAAATAAGAATGATCAGGCGCAGTGGCTCATGCCTGTAATCCCAACACTTTCAGAGGCTGAGGCAGGAGGATTGCTTGAGGCCAGGAGTTCGAGGCTGCAGTGAGCTATGATCATGTCACTGCAATCCAGCCTGGGTGACAGAGTGAGACCCTGCCTCTTAAAAGAAAGAATGATGAAATAGAGACCACTGAGAAACCATACCATGGTTGGTATGGACAGGATGCTCTGAGAAGTGACATTTGAGCTTCCCCAAAGAATGTGTGAAGGAATCAGTCATACAAAGGGCAGGAGAAAGAGCGCTCCAGGCAGAGAGAGCAGCAGGTGCAATGGCTCCGAGGTGGGAAGTAGCTTAGGGTGCCAGAGAAAGGGGTCCCATGAGGCTGGCAGGCAGTGAGTGGGGGCGAGATAAGAAGCTTGGAATTTCTTTCTTTCTTTCTTTCTTTCTTTTTTTTTTTTTTTTTTTTTTTTGAGACAGAGTTTCGCTCTTGTCGCCCAGAGAAGAGTGTAATGGCGCAATCTCAGCTCACTGCAACCTCCACCTCCTGGCTTCAAACGATTCTCTTGCCTTAGCCTCTCGAGTAGCTGGGACTACAGGTGCCTGCCACCACACGTGGCTAATTTTTGTATTTTTAGTAGAGACGGGGTTTCACTACGTTGGTCCAGGCTGGTCTCAAACTCCTGAGCTCAGGTGACACACCCGCCTTGGCCTCCCAAAGTGCTTACAGGTATGAGCCACCCCTCCTGGCTGGGATTTCTTCTAAGAGCAAGAGATAGCCATGGACAGGCCAACGACAAGATATAATTAGATTAATGTTTTCAACAGTCCCGCCTGGCTGCAGCTGTGCAGAGAACTTCAGATTTGTAGGAGCAGGACCTTAAGCCAGTGGCTGAACCTCTCTGTGCCTCAGTTTCCTTATCTGTGAAATGGAGGTTGTTATAAGGAGAGACACATGCCTGACCTATGGTGGGTGTTCAAGAAAACCCTTCTAGCTGGGTGTGGTGGCTCACACCTGTAATCCAAGCACTTTGGAAGGCCGAGGAGGGAGGATCGCTTGAGGCCAGGAGTCTGAGACTAGCCTGGGCAACACAGCGAGACTCCATCTCTTTAAAACTATGAAAATTAACAAAACATGGTGGTACAAACCTCTAGTCCTGACTACTCGGGAGGCTGAGGCGGGGGGATTACTTGAGCCTAGGAGTTCAAGGCTGCAGTGAGCCATGATCATGCCAGTGTACTCCAGCCTGGGTGACATGGGCGACAAAGCAAGACCCTGTCCTCAAAAAAAAAAAAAGAAAAGAAAAAATATTAATACTAGCTCCCTGGGGATTGTATAGGAGATGGGGGTTCTAAGGCTGGCTGGGGCCTGTCGGGGAAATGGTGCTCCTGGTGGGAGGCACAGCGGGAGAACCGGTGAGGTCTGCGTGGTGGTCCCATCTGCCATGGGCATGTTTTCTGGGAGCCTCGCCTGGCCTTGCCTCAACCCACCCCTCCCACTGGGGGCTCTCTCTGCCTCCCTCTCCCTCATGTGTGCTACAGGTGAAGGCCACAGTGCACCTGGCCTACCTGCGTGCCGTGGGCACCCCCCTCTGCCTCTACGCACTCTTCCTCTTCCTCTGCCAGCAAGTGGCCTCCTTCTGCCGGGGCTACTGGCTGAGCCTGTGGGCGGACGACCCTGCAGTAGGTGGGCAGCAGACGCAGGCAGCCCTGCGTGGCGGGATCTTCGGGCTCCTCGGCTGTCTCCAAGGTACGCCTCACCTGCCCTCCTCATCCCTCTCCTCCCAGCTGCACCAAGGGGTGCTCAGGACTCCTTTACCCCACCCCTCCCTGGGTCACCCTGTCCCCCTGGAACAGTGTGCAAAACGTCTGGGGTCCAGGCAAAGATCTGTGTCCTTAAGATGAGGCTGGAGGGAACGGGAAGGACAGGGCACATCCCTCCTTTTCTGGAAGCTTCAGAACCTCTCCCAGTCCCTCCCCACTAGCGGAAGGCGTCTGCAAGGCCTGCCTGCTGGTGGCTTTCAGTGCCTGCCCCCAAACCTCCAGACAGAGCCAGACCCTCCCTAACAAATGCATCACCGCTATCACTCCTTCTTCTCCTCGTCAAAAATGGAAAGACTTCTTCTTGAAATAATTGTAGATTCACATGCAGTTCTAGGAAATAAGGCAGCCAGCTACCTTGAACAGTCTGCCCAGTTTCTCCCATTGGTGATATTTTGCAAACTGATAGTAAAGTATCACACAAAGGATCCTGACACCCATCAATCCATGGATCTCAATTATTTATTTATTTATTTATTTGTTTATTTTATTTTGAGACAGAGTCTTGCTCTGTTGCCCGGGCTGGAGGGCAGTGCTGCCGTCTCGGCTCACTGCAACCCCCATCTCCGAGGTTCAAGCAGTTCTCCTACCTCAGCTTCCTGAGTAGCTGGAAGCTGGGATTACAAGTGTGCAGCCTGGTTAATTTTTGTATTTTTAGTAGAGATGGGGTTTCACCATGTTGGCCAAGCTGGTCTCGAACTCCTGACCTCAAATGATCTGCCCGCCTCGGCCTCCCAGAGTGTTGGGATTACAGGTGTGAGCCCTCGCACCCGGCCCTATGGATCTCATTGTGATTTCCCCAGTTTTGCTTGCACGTGGGTGTGCGCATGTTTGCCTCTGTGCAGTCGTATCCCCAGTTTAGTCTCTCGCATCCATCACGATGGTTGACAGTTGAGATACTGAACAACCCCCTCACCACGAGGCGCTCTCGTGTTGCCCTTTTGCAACCACACCCACCCTTCTCCTGCCTCGCCCACCCTGTCCCCAACCCCTGGTTCTTCTCCTTTTAATACGTGGCCTGGCTGAAGGGAGTAACAGGAGTGCACATGTGAGTTTGGCTTCTTATTTATACACACACACACATATATATAGACTGGGTCTGGCTTTGTCACCCAGGCTGGAATGCAGTGGCACGAACTCGGCTCACTGCAACCTCTGCCTCCTGGGCTCAAGCAATCCTCCCACCTCAGCCTCCCGAGTAGCTGGGACTACATGCACATGCCACCATGCTGGCTAATTTTTGTTTTTGATAGAGACGGTTTCGCCGTGTTGCCCAGGCTGGTCTCAAACTCCTGGGCTCAGGCAATCCTCCGCCTCAACCTCCCAAAGTGGTGGGATCACAGGCATGAGCCACCAGGCCCGGCCTGGTCTCAAACTCCTGGGCTCAGGCAATCCTCCGCCTCAACCTCCCAAAGTGTTGGGATCACAGGCATGAGCCACCAGGCCCGGCCTGGTCTCAAACTCCTGGGCTCAGGCAATCCTCCGCCTCAAACTCCCAAAGTGTTGGGATCACAGGCATGAGCCACCACGCCCGGCCTGGCTTCATCTTTAAAGGACAGTTGCCTCGTTTTCATGTTGATTCGTCCTCATTCACTGGGTGACATTGGCCACATCACCAAAATGCTGTGAGCCTGTGACCTCCCCTGTAAAATAGGGGGCGCCAGGCCTGAACTTGAGGACTCTTCTAGTCCTAAGAACCTGTACACCTACTCACCACAACTGCATGTACAGTGGAATACTCAAGGCGAATGGTTACTTAACCAAGAGGAAATTAGGGATTCTCAGAGTCAGCCGAGCCCTGGAATTAACCCAAATCCTCATTTGGGTGGCAAATAGCCCTTTCAAAATCCTTCCACTTCCATCCCTCATTTGATAGCTAAGGGCAAGTCTTACTCTCCCCTAAAGATGGAGAGATGGGAGCTGAGAGAGAGAAATTGGTTATGACTCTCGAATACAAAGAATAAAAAATTCAGCTCCAGGCCAGATACAGTGGCTCATGCCTGTAATCCCAGCACTTTGGGAGGCCGAGGCGGGTGGATCACTTGAGGTCAGGAGTTCAAGATCAGCCTGGCGAACATGGTGAAACCCCGTCTCTACTAAAAATACAAAAATTAGCCAGGCATGGTGTCAGTGTTTGTAATCCCAGCTACTTGGGAGGCTGAGGAAGGAGAATCGCTTGAACCTGGGAGGTGGAGTTTGCAGTGAGCAGAGATTGCACCACTGCACTCCAGCCTGGGTGACAGAGCAGGACTCCGTCTGAAAATAAACAAATTCAGCTCCAATTCAAAGTGTTTAAGCAACAAGAGAATTGATTGGCTCTTGGGACCAGTATCCCTAGATTTCTGGCTTCAGGTATGGCTGGATGTAGGGGTCCAAACAAGAAATCGCTTTATTTCCCTCCTCTGTGACAGCTTCCTGTCCAGCTTAGCTGCTGCCCCTGGCAGTAAGATGATATTCCACAGCTCCAGCTTGGCTACCTCCAACAACCAAGTACCACTTTTCCAAAAGTTCTAGTGAAGTCCCAGGTCTCCCTGTCATTGGCCTGACTTGGGTTATGTGTTCATCCCTGAACCAACTGCAGTGGTTTGGATTGGCCATGGATGAAATTTGCCCCACCCCAGAGGAGAAGTTAGCCCCACCCCAGGCATACAGATTAGCACTGGGAGGAAGGATGTGCATTTCTCTCACAGGGCTACTGCCAAACAAGTTGCCACAAACTTGGGAGCCCAGCACAATTGAAATTTGTTCTGTCGCAGTTCTGAGGCCTGAAGTCTAAAATCAAGGTGTCAGCAGTGTTAACTCTTTGTGGAGGTTTTTTTGGTTTTTTTGTTTGTTTGTTTGTTTGTTTTTTCTGAGACGGAGTCTTGCTCTGTCAACCAGGCTGGAGTGCAGTAGCACGATCTCGGCTTATGGCTCACTGCAACCTCTGCCTCCTGGGTTCCAGTGTTTCTCCTGACTAAGCCTCCTGAGTAGCTAGGACTACAGGTGCCTGCCACCACGCCCAGCTAATTTTTGTATTTTTAGTAGAGAGTAGGGTTTAGTAGGGTTTCACCGTGTTGCTCAGGCTGGTCTCGAACTCCTGACCTCAGGTGATCCACCCGCCTTGGCCTCCCAAAGTGCTGTGATTACAGGCATGAGCCACTGTGCCCGGCCCCTCGTGGAGGCTCTGATGGAGAATACACCCCAGGCTTCTCTCCTGGTTTCTGGTGGTCGCCGGCAGTCGCTGGCATTCCTTGGCTTGTAGATACACCCTCCCATCTGTGTCACCATCTTCATATCTCCTGCTGTGTCTCTGAGTATCCTCTAGTATTCTTATATAAATGGCAGTCACTGAATTTAGGACCCATCCCAAATGAATTTTGGGGGACACTCTTCAACCCATTACATCAAGAAACAAGCAGGGTACAGGCGCAGTGGCTCATGCCTGTCATCTCAGCACTTTGGGAGGCCAAGGCAGGCAGATCACTTGATCCCAGGAGTTCGAGACCAGCCTGGACAGCATAGCAAGATCCCATCTCTACAAAAATACCCCAAATTAGCCGGCATGGTGGCGTACACCTGTGGTCCCAGCTACTCGGAGGGTGAGGCAGGAGGATCGCTTGAGTGCAGGAGGTCAAGGCTGCACTGAGCCATCATCATGCTACTGCACTTCAACATGGGTGACAGAGTGAGACCCTGTCTCAAAAAAATATAATAATCAGGGTGGCCAAGCCATAAGATGTCCACCATGGGGTAGCGGGAGAGACCTGCGCAGGGCCCCGTGGGCCGCTCCTGAGGGTCTCCAGCCCTCATGCTCTTACCTCCTCTCCCTCCCCAGCCATTGGGCTGTTTGCCTCCATGGCTGCGGTGCTCCTAGGTGGGGCCCGGGCATCCAGGTTGCTCTTCCAGAGGCTCCTGTGGGATGTGGTGCGATCTCCCATCAGCTTCTTTGAGCGGACACCCATTGGTCACCTGCTAAACCGCTTCTCCAAGGAGACAGACACGGTTGACGTGGACATTCCAGACAAACTCCGGTCCCTGCTGATGTACGCCTTTGGACTCCTGGAGGTCAGCCTGGTGGTGGCAGTGGCTACCCCACTGGCCACTGTGGCCATCCTGCCACTGTTTCTCCTCTACGCTGGGTTTCAGGTACGGAGAGGTCAGGGAGGCTTCCGGGACCGGCTGAGGTCAACTCAGCCAGTCCCCTGTCTCTGGGGAAGACTCCATATATGAGGTTTCACCCAGCTGGACATCTAGGGGCTGTTCCTAGAATTCCCAGGGACAGGGACACTACAGTCTTTCTGGTATCTCCACTAGTGTCTGTCTCTAAATGTTCACATCAAAGTTCTTTTTTTTAGAGAGACAGAATCTTGCTCTCCTGCCAAGGCTGAAGTGCAATAGGTGATCATAGCTCCCTGCAGCCTTGAACTCCTGGGTTCAGGTGATCCTCCTACCTCAGCCTCTCAAGTAGCTGGGACTACAGGCACGTGCCACCATGACTGGCTAATTTTTAAATTTATTTTTGTAGGACAAGTGTCTTCCTGTGTTGCCCAGGCTGGTCTCGAATTCCTGGCCCCAAGTGATCCTCCCACCTTGGCCTCCCAAAGTTCTGGGATTACAGGGCATGAGCCCCTGTGCCCCACGGCACAGTTAAATATTAAGGGCCAGAGCCTTTCACGCGTAATGTTTTTATCCTGCCGTAATTTCTTCCTCTCCAATTATCTGGAAGCCAAAAAGGCATTGCAAGGTCTCAAAGGCTATTATATGAAGCTAGATTCTTTCAATTGCTGGGACCAGCGACCAACTAAAATTAGCTTAACCAAAAGAATAGAATTTAATGGCTTATATTTCCTTGGGGGCATGGGCCCAGTTGTCATCAGGACACAGTGACTCTCTCCATATCTTCACTCAGTGCTTCTCAAAGTGTGACCCCAGGACCAGCAGTAGTATCACCTGGGGACTAGTTAGCAAAGTACATTCTTAGGCCCCAGCCCAGGACTACTGCCTCAGATACTATGTGGGTCGGCCCATGAATCTAGGTTTTAATTAACCCTCCAAGTAATTCTGATGTACACAAATGTTTAGGAACCACTGGCTTACCTCTGGTCTAATTTTGTACACGCTCTCTTTCCAGGGCAGGTCTTATGGCCACTAGCTATCATATCATCTCACCTTAGCAACTCAACATGCAAAAAACGTTTCTTCAGCTCAGTAGTCATATATTAATCCCAGGGAAGGTTCTGATTGGCCCTTTGTGGATCATGTGTCCATCTCTGAACTCGTCACAGTAACTGAATGGATAGTAGATTCTGATACACTAGGCTGCATCATGTGACCACCTCTCTGATCAGGTCCCATGATTGACAGCACCCCAACCCAGCCCTTTCCCACAGGAAACCAGAAGTAGAAAACATGGTAGTCAGATAAAAACCATGGCTAGGGCTAGGCATGGTGGCTCACACATCTAATCACAGCACTTTGGGAGGCTGAGGTGGGCAGATCACTTGAGGTCAGGAGTTCGAGACCAGCCTGGTCAACATGGTGAAACTCCGTCTACTAAAAATACAAAAATTTAGCCAGTGTGGTGGCGCATGCTTGTAATCCCAGCTTCTTGGGAGGATGAGGCGGGAGGATTGCTTGAGCCCGGGAGGCAGAGGTTGCAGCGAGCTGAGATTGCACCACTGCACTCCAGCCTGGGTGACAGAGAGAGACTCCATCTCAAAAAACAAACAACAAAACCCATGGCTACCACTGTCCCCGACAATTGTCCTAGGTCTTCTCTAAGTTCACTTGACTCCGAGGATGGGCTGTTTCTGTCTCAAGCTTTAGAGTCAAGCAAAGATGGGTTTAAATCCAGGCTCTATCACTTACTGTGGCACTCAGGACAGCTGCTGAATCCCCCGAGCCTTGGATGTTCTCACCACTAACTGATGAATGACGCGAATGCTCACTCTGCAATGAATGAGACACTGTGTGAAAAGCCTGGCACATACAGTTGGGTGTTCAGCAAATTCAGTTCCTCCCTGCCTGCCTGTCTGCCAGCTGCACCCAACCTGCAGCTGCAAACCAAATAACGAATATTTTCTGCACATCACCTGGCATGTAACCCTTGGGTTACATGAGTGAAACTGACTTGGCCAACTGCCTTCATTGCCCCTTACAGTTTTGTTCTCCCACTGACCAGCCGTAAATGAAGTAGTCGGCCTCAGTGCTGGGAAGTGAGACACTTAAACTAAATTGGTGGTTTCTCAACCCTGGCTGTCCCTTAGAATCATCTGGAAGGCTATTTAAACAGCACCAAAGTCAAGGTGACATTTCCAGAGATTCCGATTCAGTCATTCTGGGGTGGGGCATTAGAGGTTTTTGAAGCTCCCCAGGTGATTTTCAAAAAAACCATAGAACTCTGATTCTGCAAGGAAATGAGAACCCAGAGAGGGCAAGCAACTAGCCCAAGGTCACACAGTAAGCTGTTAACAGATCCTGGTCTGGAATCCTGTACTTGGGGCTCTCTGTGCTTCTGGAAACTACCTCTCTATGTCTGTGGCTTCTCCTCTTCCCTCTCCCATCCATCCTTCTCAGAGCCTGTATGTGGTTAGCTCATGCCAGCTGAGACGCTTGGAGTCAGCCAGCTACTCGTCTGTCTGCTCCCACATGGCTGAGACGTTCCAGGGCAGCACAGTGGTCCGGGCATTCCGAACCCAGGCCCCCTTTGTGGCTCAGAACAATGCTCGCGTAGATGAAAGCCAGAGGATCAGTTTCCCGCGACTGGTGGCTGACAGGTAGGAAGAGCCAGGGCAGAGAAGACCTTGCAATTCATCCATATCCTTAGAGGGTGAGACCTGAGGTCATATTGTATGGTAGCGAGGTCACCCAGAGAGTCAGGGACATAGTTGAGGCTAGATCCCACAGGCAGTCTATCAGTTCTCACCGTGGGCAGATGGAACATGACCGAGAGATTCTCAACAGCAGGTGGGCGGGGGGTACAGGAAGAAGCTTCTGTTGCCAGGCAACTGGATCAACCTCTTTTGCCTTGGTGATAAAGCAGCCATATAAGCATCCTCAGCCATCTTTAGGTACTAAGCAAGAACAAGAACACAAGCTTTAAGCACAAATAGACACAGGTTCAAATCCCAGCTCTGCCACTTACCAGCTGGTTGATTTCAGGCAAGTTACATAACCTCTCTGAGCCTCATTTGTCAAACTGGGATCGTGCTCATGGAGTGGATATGAGGATTAAATACAGACACTCATAGGTAAGACCTGTAACATGCTTACTGCATGCCTGGCACTGTTCTGAGCAATCTATGTAGATTAATTTATTTAATTCTGCTAACAGCTTCACCAGGAAGAAACTGTTCTATAGATGATAAATCCTAGGCACAGTGAGGTTTGGAAACTTGTCCAGGGTCTCACAGCTAATACTGGCAGAGCCAGGATTTGAATCCAAGCAGTCTGGTACCAGAGTGTGGAGAGGGTCAAGTACACACTAGGTGCTCAATACATGTGAAGTCCTTTTTCCTTTCATCTCAGGTCCCCAGCCAGCTGGGGCTGTGTATTAGTCCATCTTCACACTGCTAAAAAGAACTACCTGAGACTGAGTAATTTATAAAGAAAGGAAGGTTTAATTGACTCAGTTCCACGTGGCTGGGGAGGCCTCAGGAAACTTACAATCATGGTGGAAAGGGAAGCAAGGCACGTCTTACATGGCAGCAGGAGAGGGAGAGCATGAGGTGGGAACTGCCGCATCCTTTTACGCCATATGATCTTGTGAGAACTCACTATCTCGAGAACAATATGGGGAAAACTGCCCCCATGATCCAGTCACCTCCCACCAGATCCCTCCCTCCACATGTGGGGATTACAATTTGAGATGAGATTTGGGTGGGGACACAGAGCCAAACCATGGAGGCCATGGTTCAGGCCAGGGGAATGGCAGGTGGACATGGCTTGGCAAATTCCAGGGACAGAAAAGCAGCCACACAGGGATGCTCTTCAGAACACCGAGTGTACCCCAGACCCTAAAGTGGGCTTAGTTGAGACAGGACGGTGTCATCTTCCTCTACTCCCTGAGCCTGGGTTGCATGTGGAGGCCATTGCTGGGACCCCTGTGTGTACAAAGCTGGTGTGATGACCAGTCCTTGTGCCCAGAGAAGCATCTCCCTGCAGATGAGAGTAACCACTCACCCTGCTGTCGCTTCCCTTTGCAGGTGGCTTGCGGCCAATGTGGAGCTCCTGGGGAATGGCCTGGTGTTTGCAGCTGCCACGTGTGCTGTGCTGAGCAAAGCCCACCTCAGTGCTGGCCTCGTGGGCTTCTCTGTCTCTGCTGCCCTCCAGGTACTCCCCACATCCCCAAACTGGGCTTGAGGGACAGACAGAGGCAGAGACTGTCGGACCCCTGCTAGTGGGACCTTTGAAGACCCTGTGTCCAAACCACCATGGTGTGTGGAGTCCCTCCACCAAGGAGGGACACGCAGCTCTACAAGAGCCAGACTCAGCTAAGGTGAACTTGCAACCTTGGGCAAGAGTCTTTCCTTGTGGAGTGTCAGTGTGCTCCTTGGAAAGACAGGCCAGAAATCCCACTACTTCTGATGTTATAAAGACTAGTTGAGACAAAGCATATCCTGTGGAGGACATTTCTAGTGCATTGTTAACTTTTGTTTTGTTTTGAAGACAGAGTCTCTCTCTTTTACTCAGGCTGGAGTGCAGTGGTGCAATCTCGGCTCACTGAGAACTCTGCCTCCTGGGTTCAAGCGATTCTTATGCCTCAGCCTCCCAAGTTGCTGGAATTACAGGCGTGAGCCACTATGCCTGGCTAATTTTTGTTAACTATTAACAGTATGTAATGTCAGTTCATGACATCTACGAAAAAAATATATATATACACTCATAAGCATTTGTTATGGAGGAGGCATTATTCTAAGAGCTTTATATGTTTTTGTTCGTTTTGGTTTGTTGTTGTTGCTGTTTGAGACAGGATCTCATTTTGTTGCCTAGGCTTGAGTACAGTGGCATGATCTTGGCTCACTTCAGCCTCCATCTCCAGGCTCAAGGGATTCTCCCACCTCACTTTCCCAATTAGCTGGGACTACAAGCATGCACCACCATGCCTGGCTAATTTTTTTTTTTTTTTTTTTTTTTTTTTTTTGGTAGAAACAGTTTCACCATGTTGCCCAACCTGGTCTCAAACTCTAGGTTCAAGTGGTCTGCCTGCCCCAGCCTCCCAAAATGCTGAGATTATAGGTGTGAGCCACCATGCCCAGCTGTTTTGTTTTGAGACAAGGTCTCACTCTTTTGCCCAGACTGGAGTGCAGTGGTGTGATCACAGCTCACTGCAGCCTTCAATTCCTGGGTTCAAACAATCTTCCTGCTTAGACTTCCAAAAAGCTGGGATTATAGGC
The DNA here is from genome assembly GCF_000001405.40 of Homo sapiens. NCBI lineage: Eukaryota > Metazoa > Chordata > Mammalia > Primates > Hominidae > Homo > Homo sapiens. The sequence goes on along the minus strand of NT_187607.1, from coordinate 1,818,303 downwards.
ATGAGCCACTGTGCACAAGAATTTTATAAATATTAACTCACTTAATACTGCCCACAACCCCATCAGAGAAGCACTGTTATTATCCTCATTTTACAGTCAAGGCTGCTAAGCTTAAGGATGAAGTAAGAGGCTGGAGCATGTTGGGTGGCAGTGAGGGAACTTTCCTACTGCATCCAGAAAGGCCTCTCTGAGGAGGTGACTTAGGAGGAAGTGAGGTTAACAGCAGGAAGAAAAGGCCTGGGAGTTGAAGGTTCATCCCTGGTGTGTTAGAGGAACAGCAAGAAGACGGGTGTGGCTGGAGAGGGTGGGTGAAGGCAGGGGTGCTGGGAGACAAGGTTGGGGATGGGATGGCAGGGCTAGAGCTGCTAATGGCTCATAGGGAGGAGCTTGGAGTGGTTCTAAGTGTCATGGGAAATTGGTGGCCACCCAGTCGCTGCGAGAAAGCCGTCAGAATGGAATCAGTGGGCCTGGGTCCTGCTGTGTGTCCTTGGGAGGGCCACACACCCTCTCTGATCCTGTCTACTCACCTGCATCAAGCCAGTTTGTACAAGCTGATGTCTGAGGGCTTCTTTTTGCTCTGCATGCTCTGGTTCTACTGAAGGAAGAGAGGGACCTGTTGGTTGTATCCAAATCCCAATCCCCTGGGCCCAGGTCCTCAGACTGTCCCATTCCTGCCTCCCCTCTTTACTCCCCTGGGTCTGGCCTCCCAGAAAAGGTTGGGAAACCAGGGGGGCTGTTGCAAGCCCTCAAGTGGCCTTGCCAAACCCAGCCAGAGAGGCTTTCTTGCACCAGGTGACCCAGACACTGCAGTGGGTTGTTCGCAACTGGACAGACCTAGAGAACAGCATCGTGTCAGTGGAGCGGATGCAGGACTATGCCTGGACGCCCAAGGAGGTGATGGGCGGGAGGTGGGGAGGGGGTCCCAGCAAGGACATATTGTGGGGGGGGCAATGGGTCCCTGTTGACATCTGCTACAGGCTTTGGAGTTTATACCCTCTTCTCCCCTCACTCAACCCCCACCACTATAGGTCAGAGTCACAGACAGGGTGGCAGCAGTGGTTAGGAGCATAAGGTTTGGAGCCAGGCCAAATCTTGGTTCCTTTGCTTCTGAGCTTGAGGAAAGCAGGTCACCCATGGGAGTGCAGGGAACCACAAGGAACAGCATTGCAACAGCAACATAGCTGCAACATGATAGTAACATAATGGCAACAGCAACACAATGGCAATATTCCAGAACATGAGAGTAATGCAACAGCAATGTAACAGTAATGTAACAGCAACATAACCACAATATTGCAGTACCAGAATAGCAACATAGCAGTGTAATAGTAACATAATAGAGACATTATAGTAACATGATGGCAACATTCCAGCAATACAACCACAACATAGCAATGTAATAGTAACGTAATAGCAACATTTTAGTAACATGATAGAAACAAAACAGCAACATAGCAATGCAATAGTAACACAACAGCAACATCATAACATGACAGCAACATCCCAGCAACACGACTGTAACAGAGTAACAGAGTAGCAACATAACAATGTAACAGTAACAAAACAGCAACATTATAGTAACATGATGGCAACATTCCAGCAAAATAACTGAAATTATAGTAACGGAATAGCAACATGGCAATGTAACAGTAAGAAAACAGCAACATTATAGTAACATGATGGCAAAATTCCAGCAACATAACAGTAGCATTATAAGGACAGAACAGCAACATAGCAACGCAACGGTAACAAAACAGCAACATGATATAATGTGTTAGCAATATAACAGTAACATTACAGTAACAGAACAAGGAAGAATTAATTAGTTGATGAATAGGGTAGAAGAAATTGTGAGAGATGGACAGATGAATGGATGGAATGGGATGGAAGAATGAGAGATGGAGGGATGGGATTGGAGATGGATGGATGGATGCATGGATGGATGGATGGGTGGGATGGGGTGGATAAAGGATAAGAGATGGATGGATGAATGGATGGATGGGATTGAGTGGAAGAAAGGATAAGAACAGCAGCATAGCACTAATGTAACAGTAACATAACAGCGTTGAGTTTACTGGGAGGATCAAATGAGATCCTGCAAAGAAATGATTTAATAGAGTGCCTGGTCCATTGCAAACACTCAATACATGTCTGCTGCTCTTATTAGCCCTATTTCCCAGATTGGAAAACCAAGACTCAAGGGGGTAGAATGATCTGTTCAAGGTCACGGGAACAGCAAAGGCAGTATTGGTCTTCCCACTGCACAGTCATGTCCTTTCACAAAGACAAAGAGAAATGTCTGCTCCCACTATAGAAAAAGAGATTATTTTATAATAAACAGTGGCTAATAATAACAATAAAATAGACTAAAAGTAGCCACCACCATCTGTTTTTAGCATTGACATAGTCCATGCCCTCTCTTGTTGAATTCCCATAACAACCCTGTAAAACAGCAATAAATACGTCCATTTTGCGGAAGAGAAAACTGAAGCTGATAGAGGTGGGCCATCTTGTGTGAAGTCTTAGAGGAAGGCTCCTCTGACTCAGTTTCCCCTCCTGCTCCAGGCTCCCTGGAGGCTGCCCACATGTGCAGCTCAGCCCCCCTGGCCTCAGGGCGGGCAGATCGAGTTCCAGGACTTTGGGCTAAGATACCGACCTGAGCTCCCGCTGGCTGTGCAGGGCGTGTCCTTCAAGATCCACGCAGGAGAGAAGGTGAGTGGTTCTCTCACAATGTCTTCTTCATGGAGTTTAGGCCAAAGGACTCCAGGGACAAGGCCCTAAACCCTGGGCACCAGCTACCTCCACAGTGTCCCCACCTCAGGTCCCCTAGCTTTCAGACCCATTACCCCCTAAAATGAACTCCTCACCTTCCCCAAACCTGCTTCCATCTGGTGACTTCCTCATCCACCTTGGTGTCCCCAGATGAGGAAGCAACTCCGTGACTTCCTTCTTCCTTTAACATTAACCCAGCACCTAATATGTGCTGGGCAGTGTGTTAAATGCTCCAGGTACATTTTCCAGTTTGCACAAATGGGATATTTGCTTTCAGCTGGGAGACATTGGGAAAAGCACTTCATAGCTCAGTCTCAGTTTTCCCATCTGTAAATTGGGACTGGTAATACTGATCTCTGAGTTGTTGTGAAGTTTGAGTTAATACATAGAACATGCTTAGCTCATAGAAAGTGCTCCAGAAATGTTTACTAATGCTTTTATTATTTGCGTTTTCACTCTCACAACAACCCCTAAGTGAGGTGCTAGTACTATCCCATTTTACAGATGCCTCATCAGGCCCCTTCACTGAATCCCTTTCCTCCCTCCCTCTGAACCTACAGAGGCTTCCTCCCTGTCCTCTCCTTGTCCCCTAAAAAGCAGTGGATCCTGTCTCACCAGCTCCAATCTGCTCTCCTGTGATTTTTTTTTTTTTTTTTTTTTTGAGACAGAGTCTCACTCTGTTGCCCAGGCTGGAGTGCAGTGGTGTGACCTTAGATCACTGCAACCTCCGCCTCCCAGATTCAAGTGATTCTCCTGCCTCAGCCTCCTGAGTAGCTGGGATTACAGGCACCTGCCACCACACCCGGCTAATTTTTGTATTTTTAGTAGAGACAGGGTTTCACCATGTTGGCCAGGCTGCTATCAAACTTCTGACCTCAATCACCCCCCTCGGCCTCCCAAAGTGCTGGGACTACAGGCATGACCCACCATGCCCAGCCATCCTGTGACCTTTATCAGCATGAATGACACTGCATGTCATTCCCCTGCTCAAAACCTTCTACTAGTTCCAGCTTCCCTTGGGGTAAAGTGTGAATTCCTGAGCTTGGCATTCAAGGCTCTACCCAACCCAGGCCCTGCCAACCTCCCCCTCTCATTCATTGCTCTGCCAGGGCTTAGCCAACATTGTGGAGCAGCTGCCTCTCGGCCAGGGGGGCACATGGTGCTGTGAGCTCCATGAGCTTCTAGTTTTGGAAACCCACTTGGTGTGGTTTACCTGGAGTGTTCCCCTTCCTTGAACTCCTATTGATCCTTCAAGCTTCCATGCAAGTATCCCTTCCTCCATGAGGTCTTCTCTTATTACCTCTGTCAAATCCCAGGCAGCATGAGCAGCACTGCCTTGCTTCCCTTAATTGCCAGAGGTCCAGACCTTGATAATAAACAGCATTGTTGGCTGGGTGCTGTGGCTTATACCTGTAATCCCAGCACTTTAGGAGGCCAAGGTGGGCAGATCACTTGAGGCCAGAAGTTTGAGACCAGCCTGGCCAACATGGTGAAATCCCGTGTCTACTAAAAATACAAAAATTAGCCGAGCATGGTGACAGGCACCTGCAGTCCCAGCTACTAGGGAGGCTGAGGCAGGAGAATTGCTTGAACCTGGGAGGTGGAGGTTGCAGTGAGCTGAGATCGCACCACTGCACTCCAGCCTGGGCAATAGAGCAAGACTTTATCTCAAAAATAAATAAATAAATAAATAAATAAAGCATTGTTCATCACACTGTATTACATTTACTCAATTGCACTGTTTCCTAGACCGGATGATGGGCACACTGGAGCAAGGACTCTTTAATTTCTATACTTCCGGTGCCTAAACAGGTACTTGGCATACAGTGGGGTGACCCACATGTTTCCATCATTAATTAAACAAATAATGTTGAACCCACACCATGTGTCAGACACTGAGGATGCAATAGTAGCAAGAGAGATAAGGATGGAGGGTGGATAACAGCATGGGAGATGGATAACAGAATGGACACATGGATAAGATGGAGGATGAATGGAAGGATGGATGAGGGAAGGATGGACTGGATGGATGGATGGGAGAAAATAAATGAATGAAAGGATTAGTGAATTGATGGATGAATAGGGAAGAAGAAACGAGAGACGGATAGACAGATGAATGGATGGATGAATGGAATGGGGTGGAAGAGAGATGGAGGGATGGGATTGAGGATGGATGATGGATGGATGGATGGCAGGATGGGGTGGAAAAAAGGATAAGGGATGGATGGACGGACAGACAGATGGATGGGATGGGGTAGAAAAAAGGATGAGAGATGATGGAGAGGTGTAAATAGAAGGATGAGGAAAGATGGAGGAACTAAAGGAAGGGTGGGGAGAAAGATGGGAGAGAGATATCAGGATAAGGGAAAGATAGAGAAGAACACAGATGGAAGACTGGATGGATTGATGGGTGGATATATAGAAAGGTAGACAGATGGAAAGAGAGATGGAAGGTAGACCTTTACACAATGAGGGATGGATAGACAGATCTCGGGTACAGCAGAAAGATCTCCCCAATAAATGCCCACAAACCCTCTGGTCAGAGCAGGCCTTTCCTCCCAACCCCGGGCAGGTGGGCATCGTTGGCAGGACCGGGGCAGGGAAGTCCTCCCTGGCCAGTGGGCTGCTGCGGCTCCAGGAGGCAGCTGAGGGTGGGATCTGGATCGACGGGGTCCCCATTGCCCACGTGGGGCTGCACACACTGCGCTCCAGGATCAGCATCATCCCCCAGGTGAGGCTGGTGGAGGGGGTGGGCAAAGATGGGAGGCATGGTGGGACCCGGCTCTGACCCACCGCCCCTCCCCGCCAGGACCCCATCCTGTTCCCTGGCTCTCTGCGGATGAACCTCGACCTGCTGCAGGAGCACTCGGACGAGGCTATCTGGGCAGCCCTGGAGACGGTGCAGCTCAAAGCCTTGGTGGCCAGCCTGCCCGGCCAGCTGCAGTACAAGTGTGCTGACCGAGGCGAGGACCTGAGGTATGGTCGTCCCACCATGGCTGGGACCTGCAGGTGGGAGAGGAGGGGATGGCCATGCCCTCCCCAAGGGCCTTCAGGAAATGCCTCCCCCGATAGGATTATCACTCTGTTACATTAATAACCACATGTCTCTTATCTGCAATTCCAAGCTCTGACACAGTCTCTGAATACCAAGGTTTTCCCCCCTAAATTAGCAGTTAGTCTTCTATATTTACTTGGTGGCAAAACCCAACCTCAACTGACACAGGGCTACTGATAGCCTTTATTGCTCTTGCTCAGTATTTATTTTGCTATGAAAATATTGTTTGATATCGGGTGGTAACCTCACCACTCACTGGGACTATAATATAGGATTTTTTTTTTTGGTAAATGTCAAGTGTGGACTGGGCACAGTGGCTCATGCCTGTAATCCCAGCACTTCAGGAGGCTGAGAGAGGAGGATTGCTTGAGCCCAGGAGTTCGAGACTAGTCTGGGCAACATAGCAAGACCCTATCTCTGTGGACAACAGTATTAGCCAGGTATGGTGGCATGCACCTGTAGTCCTAGTTACTTGGGAGGCTGAGGTGGGAAGAACGCTTGAGCCAGGGAGGCGAAGGTTGCAGTGAGCCGATATTGCACCACTGCACTCCATCCTGGGCTTCGTCTCAACAACAAAAAGCTGTGTGGAAAGATACACATAAAATTTACTATCTCAACCTTTTTTTTTTTTTTTCTTTTTCTTTGGAGACAGGGTCTGGCTCTGTCATTCAGGCTAGAGTGCAGTGGTGAGGTCAAGGCTCGCTGCAACCTCCACCTCCCAGGCTCAAGCATTCCTCCCACCTCAGCCTCCCGAGTAGCTGGGGTTACAGGTGTGAGCCACCAGGGCCAGGTAATCTTTTTATTTTTTGTAGAGACAGGGTTTCACCATGTTGCCCAGGCTACAGTCGAACTTGCGTAGGCCTCCCAAAGTGCTGGGATTACAGGTGTGAGCAGCCACGCCGGGCCCATCTCACCCATTTTTCAGTGTATAGTTTCTGTAGTGTTAGGTACATTCACACTGTTACACAACAGAACTACAACTCTGTACCCATGAAACCCTAACTCTCCTTGTCCCCTCCCCCAGCGCCCAGCCACCAGCATTCTCCTGTCTCTCTGAGTGTGACTACTCTAGACACTGCATAGACGCAGAATCATAGGATCTGTCCTTTTGTGACTGGCTTATTTCACACAGCATGATGTCTTCAAGGGTCATCCACATCGTAGCATGTGTCAGATTCTCTACCTTTTTAAGGCCGAATAATTTTCCACTACATGGATAGACCACATTTTGCTTATCCGTTTATCTGCCAGTAGATACCCAGGCTGTTTCCACCTCTTGGCCGTTTTGAATAATGCCACTATGAACATAGGTGTATAGGTATATGCCTTTAGAAAAACCAAAGTGGCTGGGCGCGGTGGCTCATGCCTGTAATCCTAGCACTATGGGAGGCCGAGGCGGGTGGATCACCTGAGGTCAGGAGTTCAAGACCAGCCTGACCAATATGGTGAAGCCCCGTCTCTACTAAAAATACAAAAATTAGCTGGGTGTGGCGGCAGGCGCCTGTAATCCCAGTTACGTGGGAGGCTAAGACACTGAGACAGGAGAATCGCTTGAACCCGGGAGGCAGAGGTTTCAGTGAGCCAAGATTGTGCCACTGCACTCCAGCCTGGGTGACAGAGTAAGACTCCGTCTCAAAAAAAACAAAAAAAAACCTAAGGTGTTCTGGATTTATAAACCCCTCTGACCCTGAGGGTGTCCGAAGGGCTTGTGGTAGGCAATAATTTCCAGCACTAGAGAGGCAGCGTTGCTTGGTGGGTAAGAGTATACACAGGTGACAGACTGCCTGGGCTCAAATCCAGGCCCCCCACCCCACACCCCCACCCCCGCCCCGCCCTGCCACTTACTAGCTGTAGGATCTTAGGCAACTTATCTTGTGTGCCTCAGTTTCCTCATCTGTAAGGTGGGAATAATAGCACCTACCTACCTTGCAAGGATTGAATTATATGCACAAAGTTGTTGAAACAGTGGCAGGCATAGAGCAAAGAGTAAATACTCATTTTAGTCCTGAGTCACACTCCTGATAACATCATTTCACAGAGTTGGAATTGGAGGCCTGGGGCTTGCCTGACGTCACACAGCTTAAAAGTAGTGAGGTTGGGACAAGACCCAGGCACTCTAACGCCTGCATGACCATAGTAGGTTCTGATCATGTAAAAGGATGCTGTTTCATGGAAGGGCTTACTGTGCAAGACAGCCATGCTGGGGCCCCAGGGGTCAGTTCCCACCTGGGTCAGGGGCTCCCTGGGCTCACAACCTGGAATCTCAACTCCTCCACCCTCCACGAAGGGTGCTACTCCATGCCAAGGGCTTATTCTGTGACAAGCCTACACACTTTTTTTTTTTTTTTTTTTTTTTTTGAGACAGAGTCTTGCTCTGTCGCCCAGGCTGGAGTGCAGTGGCGCGATCTTGGCTCACTTGCAAGCTCTGCCTCCCGGGTTCACACCATTCTTCTGCCTCAGCCTCCTGAGTACCTGGGACTACAAGCGCCCGCCACCACGCCCGGCTAATTTTTTGTATTTTTAGTACATACAGGGTTTCACCGTGTTAGCCAGGATGGTCTCGATCTCCTGATCTCGTGATCCGCCCACCTCAGCCTCCCAAAGTGCTGGGATTACAGGTGTGAGCCGCCGTGCCCCGCCACCCACACACTTTTATGTGCCATGTCGTCACGATTCAGTGAGGACGGATCCATTAGGAGCACAGACTCTGGGGTCAGAGGACTTGGGTTCAAATTATGGACCCACCACTAGCCTTGAGACCTTGGTCAAGCCACTGAGCTTCTCTGTATCTGTGTCCTCTTCTCTCAAAAGAAGAGAACAATAATATCTACCTTGGTGGACATTATGAGGATTGAGTGAATATATACAAGCACTTAGAATGTGTTTGGCACAAGGTGGAAACTAGAAATAGAACTGGACATAGCCATAAACAGGCCAGGCACGGTGGATCACGCCTGGAATCCCACCCAGGTGTTGTACACATCTGTATTTAAGGCCCACGTGACACCAGCCTTGAATGTCTTAGGAAGACTGTAGATTTGATTCTTGAAGCAGCAGTGAGTCATTGTAGGTTTGTTTGCAACGGCATGACTGAAGTGAAAGCTGTGCTTTCGCTGTTGGGGGAAATATAAATTAGTACAGTCACTATGGAAAATAGTATGATGATTTCTCAAAAAACAAACTAGAAATAGAACTACCGGGGCGCAGTGGCTCACGCCTGTAATCCCAGCACTTTGGGAGGCTGAGGTAGGTGGATCACCTGAGAGTTTCAAACAAGTCGGACCAACATGGTGAAACCCCATCTCTACTTTAAAAATACAAAAGCCAGGCATGGTGGCGCATGACTGTAATTCCAGCTACTTGGGAGGCTGAGGCAGGAAAACTGCTTGAACCGGGAGGCAGAAGTTGCAGCGAGCTGAGATTGTGCCATTGCACGCCAGCCTGGGTGGCAGAGCAAGACTCCGTCTCAAAAAAAAAAAGAAAAACGAAGAAGAAAAAAAGAGCCATAAACAGAAAAAAGAAAATAGCCATTTCACAGGTGGGGAAACTGAGGCACAAAGGGTTTGAATGACCTGCCTACAGTCAGCCTGCTCAAAGATGGCAGGAACAGGCTTCCTATCAGTTCTGCAGACCACAGACCCCAGACCCCATGTGTGGGGATGCCTGAACACAGGCACCTCACTCCTGCACTGCTTCAGGGACCTGTTTCTGGGCACACCCACACATCACCATGTGCCGACAAACGCACGTCCCAGCTAATTGTCCCAATCGTTCCCAGCGTGGGCCAGAAACAGCTCCTGTGTCTGGCACGTGCCCTTCTCCGGAAGACCCAGATCCTCATCCTGGACGAGGCTACTGCTGCCGTGGACCCTGGCACGGAGCTGCAGATGCAGGCCATGCTCGGGAGCTGGTTTGCACAGTGCACTGTGCTGCTCATTGCCCACCGCCTGCGCTCCGTGATGGACTGTGCCCGGTAAGGCTCCCGCCCCGGCCTGACCTCACAGCAGCCCTGCAGTGGTGGGGGAAGGAGGCGGAGGCAGTCCTGGGCCACTGGGCTTCGGGTTAGAGCTGGAGGGGTCCTGAATGGGGCCAGAGCGGGAGGAATGCCCGGGAACACATGCCAAGTGGGAAAGCTGCCCAAGGACATGCGCCCAGCACACGCTTCCAACCCAGCTGTGAGGGCCAGGGAGCCGCATGGAAAGCAGGACTTCTATGGAGAAAACCTCAGCGCAGACACACTGGGCTCTCACAGCTGCCGAGAGCCTGGGCTGGTGTCCAGAGAGCCTCTCTGTCTCCCTCTCCCCCACAGGGTTCTGGTCATGGACAAGGGGCAGGTGGCAGAGAGCGGCAGCCCGGCCCAGCTGCTGGCCCAGAAGGGCCTGTTTTACAGACTGGCCCAGGAGTCAGGCCTGGTCTGAGCCAGGACCCTCAACCGTACCCCAGTTGGACCAGCCCGCACAGCCTGCAGTGCTGGAGATGGAAGTGACCCGTGGTCATCGATAGCTCCACACGATATTGAGTCTAGACCTGTGTTTGCTCTCTGGGAGGAAAATGGCAGAGAAAGTGGCCAATTATCACAGAGCATCAGAGCCGGAAGGACCTAGCAATACACAGGTCTGCCCGGGCAGGGCCCATCTCGCCCTGTCCACCCTGCAGCCAATGTCAACAGCGACTCTCAGCCCCGCTGTACTCTGGACTCACCTGGGGGCCTCAAGCACATGCCCAGGCTCCCGGCTAGACCCTTAAATCAGAATCTCTGAGGCTGGGAACTGCCATGCTGTGTGTACTTTTTACAAATTAACACTTTTATTTTGGGATAATCCCAGACTCACATGCAGTTAAAGAAACAATAATATAGAGAGATTCGTGTACTTGGTACCCCATTTCACCCAATGGTAACATCTTGCAAAACTCTAGGATAAAGCATCACAGCCAGGGTGTTGACATTGACACAACAATCTTGCTCGATTTCCCGTTTTACCTGTACTCCTGTGTGTGTGTGTGTTTATTTTGTCCCATGCAGTTTTATCACACATGTAGGCTCATGAATCCACACCAGGGTGAGGATACGGAATAGCCACCACCATTTTCCGACCACACCCATCACTCTCGCTCCTGCCCCCAGTGACCATGCTCTGTTCTCCAGTTGTGTGTGTGTGTGTGTGTGTGTGTGTGTGTGTGTGTATTTTTTTTTTTTTTTTTTTTGAGACAGAGTCTCACTCTGTTGCTCAGGCTGAAGTGCAGTGGCTCAATCTCAGCTCACTGCAACCTCCACATCCTGGGTTCAAGCAATTCTCCTGCCTCAGCCTCCCGTGCAGCTGAGATTACAGGCGTGCGCCACCATGCCTGGCTAACTTGTGTAATTTTTATTAGATACGAGGTTTCAGCATATTGGCCAGGCTGGTCTTGAACTCCTGGCCTCATGTGATCCACCCTCCTCGGCCTCCCAAAGTGTTGGGATAACAGGCGTGAGCTACCGCACCTGGCCGAGTTTGGTGTATAATTTTAAAGCTCCCCCATAGGATTCCAATGTGCGGCCAGGACTGAGAACTACAGCCCTCGCATCTCCTGCTGCTCCTCCTCCCCCACCAGAGATGAGCTCCAAGGACACAAAAACCAGGTGCCCCCCCATGCCAAGCATGGGTCCTCTCCACGCATGAGAAAGTCAAATATGCAAGTTTGGTTTCCAAAACAAACAACAGAGGAGCCAAGACTTCACAGCCCTCAATGGGAGAATTTGCCCGAGGACTTGGTTCTTTTTTTTTTTTTTTTTTTTTTGTCCGAGACAAAGTCTCACTCTGTCACCCAAGCCGGAGTGCAGGGGTGCAATCTTGACTCACTGCAACCTCCACCTCCCGGGCTCAAGCGATTCTCCCACCTCAGCCTCTGGAGCAGCTGGGATTACAGGCGCCCACCACCACGCCCAGCTGATTTTTGTATTTTTAGTAGAGACGGGGTTTCACCATGTTGGCCAGGCTGGTCTCAAACTCCTGACCTCAGGTGATCCGCTGGCCTTAGCTTCCCAAAGTGCTGGGATTACAGGCGTGAGATACTGTGGCTGGCGGGTTCATTTCCTATATGTGGTTGCTAAAAACCAAATTCCAGCTCCCTGGGGGCGCCCCAGCACCCGTCGGAACACCTGGAGTGTTTCTGTTCACAGTTCCGCTCCAGATGCTGCTGACAGCCAAAGGCTGGACCCGGCTGAGCGTGGAGAACTTGCTGTAACCAAGGGTGGTCAATGCACAGCTTGTTGCATTCCTCACACATTTCTTTTTTTGTTTTTTGAGACAGAGTCTTACTCTGTCACCTAGGCTAAAGTGCAGTGGCAAGATCTCGGCTCACTGCAACCTCTGCCTCCCAGGTTCAAGCGATTCTCCTGCTACAGCCTGCCGGGTAGCTGGGATTATAGGCACCCACCACCACACCTGGCTAATTATTTTTGTATTTTTACTAGAGACGGGGTTTCACCATGTTGGCCAGGTTGGTCTTGAACTCCTGACCTCAGGTGATCTGCCCACCTCGGCCTCCAAAAGTGCTGGGATTACAGGCGTGAACCATCATGCCCAGCCTCCTCACTCCTCTTTCTGACAGCGGTCAGTATATTAATACTGGACTCACCAAACCAGCTGCAGGCACCGGAAAAGAGGGACTAAGTCTAAAGTAGCCAAGCCTAAGGCCACACATAGATCGCTGGGAAGGGCAGCGTGAGACATTAGACAACTCCCTAGATCCTAACATTATGTATGCTAGTCAGGGAGTCTCACTGACCTCGTGGCATTGCCGCAAGAATGACATAATACATGGATATGTGTTCGTGGAAGCACAGAAGGCAATCCCCCAGGCTTTCTGAACCTTATTGACACGTGGGGCCAGATAGTTCTGTGCTGTGGGGACATGTCCTGCACATCGTAGGACGTTCAGCAGCGCCCCTGGCCTCTTCTTCACTAGATGCCAATAACATCCTCCTTCTACCGCCACCAGACTTGTGACACTGCCATTAATCCCCCAGGGGGTCAAAGCCACCTAGTTGGGCCGGGTGCAGTGGCTCATGCCTGTAATCCCAGTGCTTTGGGAGGCGGAGGCAGGTGAATCACTTGAGGTCAGGAGTTCGAGACCAGCCTGGACAACAAGGTGAACCCCTGGCTCTACCAGACATACAAAAATTAGCCGGGTGTGGTAGCAGGTGCCTATAATCCCAGCTACTCTGAAGGCTGAGGCAGGAGAATCGCCTGAACCCAGGCAGAGAAGGTTGCAGTGAGCCAAGATCACACCACTGCACTCCAGGCTGGGTGACAGAGCAAGACTGTCTGAAAAAACACAAAACAAAAAGACCCACTTGGTTGAGAATCCCCGGTCTAACCTGCCCCGCTGCCATCCATCATCCACAGATACTTGAGCAGTGGCTTTGCTGGTGTCAGGGGTGGCAGGGCAAGAACTCCACCTTTTCTTAAGGACACAGGGCCTGCTCCGCCCATCAGGTCATGGGACTTTCTGATGGCCCATCCTCACAGGTTTTGTGATGCCCCTTTTGGCCTGGAGTAAACTTCTAACTGCAGCTTCTACCACCTTCAAAGTGGGGCAGGAAGTCCGCATTCTTGACCTGCCCCTAGTCATGCCTGCAAAGCTGTGGACCCACAACTACCTATTCCTAGCTCCATTTCACAGGTGAGGAAACTGAGGCTCAAGGGGTTGACATGACTTGCCAAGTTGACCCAGTCAGTAAGGACAGAGTGGGGATCTGTTTCTGGGTGTAATACCAAAGTCATTGCACAGGGCACATTTGTCCTTTAGAGAAAGGAAGGGCGGCAGATGCAGCCTGTCTTCTCTGGCTGGAGCTGAGCCACCTGCCTTGCAGAGTGACCCTAGGCAGGGGCTGCCATGTGGGCATTTGGCAAACTCAGCTGGGGATGACCCAGGGCCACCAGACTCTCTTTCCTAGGCTGTGTGCCAGGGAGCAGAGGGTGGGCCACAGGCGGCCAGCACGTGGGAACCGGCACCTGCCAGCCTGCTAACGAGACTGCTGTTGGGCCCACACCACGGCAGTCTGGAGACGCGCCAGAGGGGATGCCCAGGCCATTAATACCCCCGCCATGGGCTGCTGCCAGTAGGGTCTGGCTGGTGGGTGGAACACGAATTTCATCCATCAAGGCTGCAGACTTCCTCTCTGGTCAGTGCCTGCGCCCAGTAGACTCTTTAAAACTCAACAGTCCACCTCGCCACTGCAAACACGTAACTACGTATACCTGACACTGCTTTAAATGCCCGCCACGCACGCATTCAGTGGACCAGAGGAGGAAGCCACCTCACTGGGCCCCTTACTGGAACGTTTTGATGAGGAAGGTACTACCATCAGGCCCTTTTGACAGATGAGAAAACAAACAGAATGAGTGGCATCTCTGCCCAAGCAGTGTGGCTTCAGAGCCCGTGTCCTCACCATCAGTCACTCACTCTGTCACCCAGGCTGGAGTGCAGTGGCGTGATCTTGGCTCACTGCAACCTCCACCTCCCAGTTCAAGCAATTCTTATGCCTCAGTCTCCCAAGTAGCTGGAATTACAGGCACTCGCCACCACACCTGGCTAATTTTTGTATTTTTAGTAGAGACAGGATTTCACCATGTTGGCCAGGCTGGTCTCGAACTCCTGACCTCAGGTGATCTGCCTGCCTCGGCCTCCCAAAGTGCTGGGATGACAGGCGTGAGCCACCGTGCCCGGCCAGTGCGTGTTTTCATAAGGTCACTACAGCCACCAGGTTGAGGACACTGATGTGTGTGTGGGGGGCTGGGGGCAAAAGCCTCGAGACCACTGTGGCAGCTGTTGTAGGGATGCAGGGAGAAAGTGGGGTGGCTGGGACCAGCGTGGTGGCAATGGGAGGATGGGGAGTGGATAGATTCTGGGTGTTTTGCAGAAAATCAAACAAATTTGCTGTAGGACCCGATGGTGGGTGTGAGGACAGATGAACAGTTCAACACTGGAAAGCACCAGCCCCCTCCTTACGCCTCTCTGGTCTGGGGGGATCCTTTCCAATGTGGAGAGTTCTGCACAGTGAGGCCAGGGCCAGCACGTAGTAGGTACAAAACAGAGCTTCCTTCCACAGTACTTCCACTCCCCTGGATGAGGAGTTATGCCTCACTCTGCCTCCTCTTCATAAAGTGGATTAAACTTGAACTCAGCCCCGGATTCCACCTGAGCATGCAGCTGCCCCACCCCAAGACACTGGCACAGATGCACACCAGGTGGAGCTCTCTGGGACTGCTTAGGATCTGACCTGGGATTTTAAGACTCAGGGTCAGGCTTTGAGATCTAAACACATCTCACATCCCTATTAAGATTCCCGCTGGTAGATCCAACTACTACTCTTTTGAAATGGAGTCTCGGCTTGCTCTGTTGCCCAGGCTGGAGTGCAATGACTTGATTTCAGCCCACTGCAACCTTTATCTCCCACATTCAAGCAATTCTCTTGTCAGCCTCCCCAGTAGCTGGGACTACAGGCATGTGCCACCATGCCCAACTAATTTTTGTGTTTTTAGTAGAGACGGGGTTTCACCATGTTGATCAGGCTGGTCTTGAACTCCTGACCTCAGGCAATCCACCCGCCTCAGCCTCCCAAAGTCCTGGGATTACAGGCGTCAGCCACTGCACCCAGCCTCAACTACTTCTAATTTAACAAAAAAAAAGTTTTTATATAGAAAGAGTTCCACTATGTTGCCTAGGCTGGTTTTGAACTCTTCAGCTCAAGCAGTCCTCCTGTCTCAGCCTCTCAAAGTGCTGGGATTACAGGCATGAGCCACCTCGTCTAGCCAATACTGCTAATTCTAATAGTCACAACGTCACCAGTTTTTCACTGGGCACCTTCATACTCTGTGGTTCCTAATGCAAGCCAATGACATCATTCAGGCATGAGCCACCATGCCCGGCTGGCTGATACTACCTATTCTAATGGTTATGACCTTACTGGCTTTTCACTAGGCACCTTCACACTCTGCAGTCCCTAATGCAAGCCAACAGTTTCAATGGGGCATGAGTCACTGCACCCAGACACTACTACTCATTCTAATGGTCACCACCTCGCCGGCTCTTCCCTGAGCACCTTTGTACACCACAGTCCCTAGTGCAAGCCAACAATTTCAATCAGGGGACAGGAAAGCTTGAGGGAACAATGGCAGTGCTAGAACGTTCTATCTGCACATGTACTTGGTGCATGGTTTTAGGTGTGGCAGAAATGGTGTGCTCCCCAAATACAGACATTCCTTACTGCCCAGACTCACCCAGTTCGAAGTTAGAAACCGAACACACTAGTCTGACTACTCCGCTATCCAAAACTCCAGAACCACATCAGTTAGGAAAGGGAGAAATCCTTCTCTTCCACAGGCACCGCTCCATTTCCCAGCTCCCGCAGTGGTTGGGTTGGGGCCATGTGACTCATTTTGGCCAATGGGCTGTGAGTGGGATTAACTGCGTCAGTTCCGGTTTCAGACACAGAAGAGTGGGTGAGAGTCGTCCACTCTCCCTTCTCCCACTGTGGGGACCTGGAGGCCAACCCTTGGGAGGCCATGTCACAAAACCAGGACAGCCTGGATCACTTGTCACAGGGAAGTCACCTACCCTGGAGAGGCAGCTGACCCTCACCAAGAACTGCGTGAGCAAGAAATAAAGCCTTGTGATCATTTCCGAAGATTTTACGGCGAATTTGTTACTGCAGCGCAGCCTCGCCTCTCTGGACTAACATAAAGGGATTTTCAGGCCAGGTGCCTGAACCCCAGCACTTTGGGAGGCTCAGGCAGGAGGATCCCCAGAGCCCAGGAGTTTAAGAACAACCTGGGTAACATAGCAAGACCCTGACTCTATAAAAATTTTTAAAAATTAGCTGGGCACATGCCTGTAGTCCCAGCTACCCAGGAGGCTGAGGCAGGAAGATTGCGTAAGCCCAGGAGTTTGAGGCTGCAGTGAGCTATGATCGTGCCACTGCACACCAGCCTGGGCAACAGAGTGAGACCGTGCCTCTAGCAAAAAAAAAAAAAAAAAAAAAAAAAAAAAAAAAAAAAAAAAAAAAAAAAGGGCAGGGGGAGGGCAGGATTTTCAAGGATCGTTCTGGCCACATGTGATTTCTGCCTCGCCTGTGTCTTAGAACCTGACCGAGGCTACGAGTACCGCACACATCACTGCTCACAGGGTAAGTACGATCAGCCTCATTTTACAGACAAAGCAAGTGAGGCACAGAGGCTGAGTGACTTCCCCAGGGTCACAAGAACAGCAAATGACAAGAGCAGGACTCAAGCCAGGGTCTGTCCAACCCCAAAACCTGGGCTCCGTCCACCTTGCGGCTGTCCCGCCTTCCCACTAAACCCCATCTGACTAGTGATCTCTACAACTTGCCCTTTCTGGCAACAGCTCCCACTAGAGGCGACTTGTTGTCAAAAGGAAAGAACAGAAACAGGAAGATGCCACATCCTGACCCTGCAGAGGACATGGCTGGAACCCTCGCCGAGGCCCCAAAGGAAAGGGAACCATTCTTTAGAAAGAAATAAAATATATAGATATATATATATTTTTTTACTGCAAATGTTCGCATTTCCAGTGTAAGTCATTACAAAAGGATCCCCCAAAACTTAGTTTATCTAATGTGAAAGAATGGTATAACTTACAAAAAATAAATATATGCGTTTTCGCCTAAAAGAAAGATGCTCTCTGGGTTTGAAGTCGGCGGCGTAATTCTTAGCAAGTCTGAGTCTTGGGGCAGCCTCAGCTCTGGCTGCCTTCCGGATTCCACTTTGGGCTCTAACGAGACACCTTAAAGAACAGGCTTTAAAAGATGCTGCTTCCCTGTTTTCTTCCAGGAACACAGAGACCAACACGGTTTCAAACACAGGGCGAGCTTCTCACTATTTCCTGGGAATGTTACTTCTCAGCCCAACACTTCTCTTCCCAAGAAGTTCAAGTTTTGAGACTGTTTTTCTCCCCGGAACAGTACTTAAAAAAAAAAAAATCATTGATATTCAAAGATGGGTTCTTTTCGTGTCCTGGAAGAGCATCAGTAACTAAATATCAAGTTCTCCACAATGCTGCCCCCCCTGGGGGGCTAACCGGATGCCAAGGGAGAGAATTAACATCTAAAAACAAGGAAAAGACTCAAGGGGACATTTTTTTGGTACCCACTGGTAATACTTGGGAGGTATTTCGTGTTCTTTACTTTGAAAGCTTCATAACCATGAGCAGGTACCATGAGAGGGAAAGAAAAGAGGTGGTAAGAAAAAAGAACAAAATCAATCAACACTGTAAGCAACCAACACTGCTTTGGGCCAGGCCCCTAACACATTTTTCTGCTAGGACTGGCATAGTACCTTCCAGCTGGTTGCTCACTCTCAGTCTCTATTTCTAGTCAAGGTCAAATTCCCATGAGGCCATCTCCTTAATATTTACCCCACATCAATCATGGTGGGATCAGTAATAACAGCATTGATTGTTCTTACAATGTTGAACAAAAGAAAAAAGGGAAAGCCTGGAGTCGGGGTGGGTGGGGAGGGAAGCCCCAGGTGGAACGTCGGCCCTGAGACAATCCCCTGGCCCTACAGTTCCAGGTCCAGGTTAGCCGTTAGTCCAACCAGGTCCCTTCCAGGAGGACAGGCGTGGGAGTGCAGAGGCTGCCTCTGGCCCAAAACGAGAACTGGTAGAGCTGGCGCTGAGATGCTGGTTCCCAGCTTTTGAGTGCCTGGAAGACCAGATGTTGGTAAGAGGACCATCCAGGGCCCTGGGACACTGCCAAGGGGAGAAAATGATTTTCTCCAGGCCCCTCAACCACAAAACTGCAGCCCCAAGGAAATGAAGCGTTCCTGGTAGACCCAGACAAGGATGTTAGAGGTGATGGGAGCCAGAAGCATCTCAAAGACTTGCAGTCCACAGACTTCGGCTGGAGAGATCCGAGGCAGTAGGCTGAATTTGGTCACTAGGATCTTCTATACAACCAATTCCTCCAGAAGTCTGGCTGCCAAAACTCCTCCGTGGGAAGCACCAGGAAACCACTTGCATTCCTGGGGGCGTGAGGCTGTGTGTCTGTCTCAGGGCACCAGGGGCAGGGTGTGCGTGTTTTGGGTGGTTCGCATCTCTGTCTCTCCTGGGTCTTCACAGCCAGTTCCAGGCAGGGGACCGGATGGCGGTGGCTGCTGCTTTGAATATGTTTTGGTTGTCTGGGTTTGGTTTTTATGTTTTGGTTTCAGTGTGGGAGGCTTGGTTTACCAGGGGTACTGACTCCTCCCTGGGCGCTGGCATATAGGCCCTGCAGTTCTGACCAGATATGCCAGCTCTGGGGCTCACACCAAGCCGGCGTCTTTGGCCATGCTGTAGAAAAGACCTCTCTGCTGCAGGAGGTCCGATGGGGCGCCGTACTCCTGGATTTCTCCTTTGTCCAAGACGATCACCCTGAGGGAGAGGGGATACAGACATGAGGGGAAGGGGAGGGGTGAGCACCTCGTGCCCCTGGGACAACTGACCTGGGCAAGTCACTGCTTCGGGTCAGGCCCCTAACACTTTTTGCTAGGACTGGTGCAGTACCTTCCAGCTGGTTGCTCACCCTCAATCCCTATTTCTAGTCAATGTCAGATTCCCATGAGGCCAGCTCCTTAATATCTACCCCACATCAATCATGGTGTGAATGGTATTAACAGTGTTGACTGTTCACATTCACTGTTCCATTACATTCAGAGTAAAATAAAAAGATCTTACCACAGTCTACAATAACGATTGGCAACATTTTTCTGAAAAAGGCCAGATAGTAAATACTTGAGGCTCTGCAGGCCATATGCTTTCTGTTACAACTACGCATCTCTGCTGTATTTATAGTGTGAAAGCTGCCAGAGACAACAGGAAAATGAACAGATGTGGCTGCGTGCCAATAAAACTTTATTCATAAAAACACGCAGGGGGCCAGATCTGTGGCCTGTGGGCCATAGTTGGCTGACCCCTAATATTTTAGGTCCTGTAAGATTTGACACTGCCCACTTCTGTCCTCATTTCTATGTCCTATATTTCAAAAGCACCAACTCAGCATCTGCCACTTAGTAGGTGGTACTCAGTGAACTAGAAACATCATGTCAGCTGGGTGCAGAGACTCACGCCTATAATCCCAGCACTTTGGAAGGCTGAGGCAGGAGGATCACTTGAGGCCGCAGTGAGCTGTGATCCCACCACTGCACTCCAGCCTGGGCGACAGGGTGAGACCCTGTCTCAAAAATATATAAAATAAAATAGAAACTCATGTCACTTCCCTGCTTAAAACCTTCCAATGGCTTTATAGGGCTCTTAGAGTAAGTTCCAAGCTTCTCACCGTGGTTACATGGTGCTCTAAGATCCAGCCCCTGCCTACCTTTCTGGCCTAATCTCCTGCCCCTGTCCACTCAATTCCAACCTCTAGGTACATGGCCTCCTCATGCTAGCCTTCAAATTCATTAAGCGCATTCATTTTTACATTCGGCTGTACCGGCTGCCTAGAATGTTCTTCCTTTAGATCCAAGGTTGGCAAACTGTGGCCTGCAGGCCAAATCTGACCCCTTGCCTGTTTTTATGAATAAAGTTTTATTGGAACATAGCCATGCTCATTCATTCGTGCACTATCTATGACTGCTTTCACACGGCAACACTGGAGTCAAGTGGCTGAGAGGCCATGTGGCCCACAAAGCTGAAACTACCCCGGCCCTTAAGAACAAGGTTGCAGATCGCTGTCCCAGATCTTCTCAAGGCTGACTCCTTTTCATTGTTCAGGTCTCAGCTAAAATGTCACCTCTTCAGAGATGACCCACACAAAACTCAAAACCCCCCAGGACCCTGGCACTATGGCAGCATTCTGACTTTTGTGGTCCCCGGCACTGATGCCTACGGAGGTGGCTTTCTCCACACAAAATGCTAGAAATTCTATTTTATGACTGTGTTAGTATAAATAAAATCCAGGTTGGATTATATTCTTTTTTTTTTTTTTTTTTTTTTTTTTTTGAGATGGAGTCTCACTCTGTTGCCCAGGCTGGACTGCAGTGGCACAATCTCAGCTCACTGCAACCTCCACCTCCCAGGTTCAAGCAATTCTCCTTCCTCAGCCTCCCAAGTACCTGGGATTATGGGCACGCACCACCACACTTGGCTACTTTTTGTATTTTTAATGGTGACAGGGTCTCACCGTGTTGGCCAAGCTGGTCTCAAACTATCGACCTCAGGTGATCTGCCTGCCTCGGCCTCCCAAAGTGCTGGGATTACAGCCGTGAGCCACCGCACCTGGCCTGCTTCTGATTTTTTAAAAAAAATAAAACCTTTTTGTGGGCCCCACGCACTGGGCCTGCAGTGTTCAATGGAAACAGTGGCCCTGCCCAGCACTCGCTATCCCGTCTCCTTGGCAAGCGTCCTTCCCAGCACCTGCTGCCCTCTGGAATCCTGTTGGTTTATTGCTCTGTATATTTTTTGTCTCCTCCATCTAATAAGCTACTTGGTCCTGGAGGCAGGGACTTTGTCTGACAGCAGCCTACAGAGTCCCCAGTGTCTGGGAACACCGCAGGTGCGCTGACGTGAATGAATGACTAGATGATATTAGAAATACCTGGTACCACTGGGCACAGCGGTTCATGCCTGTAATCCCAGCAATTTGGGAGGCGGAGGCGGGCAGATCGCCTGAGGTCAGGAGTTCGAGACCAGCCTGGCCAACATGGCAAAACCCTGTCACTACTAAAAATATAAAAGTTAGATGGGCGTGGTGGCACATTCCTGTAGTTCCAGCTATTCGGGAGTCTGAGGCAGGAGAAATGCTTGAACCCCAGAGGCAGAGGTTGCAGTGAGCCGAGATCACACCACTGCACTCCAGAGATGAAGCGAGACTCTGTCTCAAAAAAAAAAAAAAAAAAAGAAATAGCTGGTACCATCCAGGATGAAGAGAGGATCCACCCACTGGGGCTGTCACTAGGGATAAGGACAGTGTTGAATGAATTAATGAATTAATGAGTGAGCCAGTGAGTAAGGCAAACTCCCAAAGCCTAGAGGCCACTGTGCCAGTGGCATCACCTTGTGTAGTCCATGATGGTGTTGAGCCGGTGGGCGATGGTGAGGACGGTGCAGTCCTCGAACTGTGTCCGGATGGTGGACTGGATGAGGTCGTCCGTTTCCAGGTCCACGGCTGCCGTGGCCTCATCCAACACAAGGATCTTCGTCTTCCTCAGCAGGGCCCGGGCTAGGCACACAAGCTGGCGCTGCCCGACACTTGACCGGAAGAAAAAAACCAGGAGATAGTGTTGGGTCAAACCACCCCTGACCCTGAACCTAGGCCCAGGCTGGGAGAAGCGAAAGGAGACACTCTATGTTGCTTGACCAGGAAAGCATGTCCACTCCCAACATCTGTGTCTGCAGCAGACATCACTAATCAATCAGAGCACATCTCCTATTCAGCAAGATGCAGGTTCAGAATCATTCTCAAAACAGCAGCTCACACCTACAATCTGAGCACTTTGGGAGGCTGAGGTGGGAGGATAGCTTGAAGCCAGGAATTTGAGACCAGCCTGGGCAAAAAAGCAAGACCCCCATCTCTCCAAAAACAAAAATAAACAAATTAGCTGGGTGTGGTGGCATGCTCTTGTAGTCCCAGTTACTGGGAGGCTGAGGCAGGATTGCTTGAGTCCAGGAGTTAGAGTCCGAGATCAATCCACTGTACTCCAGCCTAGGCAACAGAGTGAGACACTGTCTCTTAAAAAAAATAAAATAAAAAAAAAATAAGAGCCGGGCACAGTGGCTCACACCTAGTATCCCAGCACCTTGTGAGGCTAAGGCGGGTGGATCGCTTGAGGCCAGGAGTTTGAGACTAGCCTGGACAATGTGGTGATACCCCATCTCTACTAAAAATGCAAAATTTAACTGGGCATGGTGACAGGCACCTGTCATCCCAGCTACTTAGGAGGCAGAGGCAGAACAATTGCTTGAGCCTGGGGGCGGAGGTTGCAGATGAGATTGCGCCACTGCACTCCAGCCTGGGTGATAGAGTGAGACCCTCCGTCTCAAAAAAAAAAAAAAAAAAAAAAAAAAAGGCCTCATACCCATGCATCCCTTATCCAACTGTGGGGCCATGAGAGGTGGCTCTGGAATCAGACATGTTCCTTGCTTTGGCCAATGGGACACCAGCAAAAGTAAGGACAGCCAAAAGAATACTGTTAGATGCAATAGGGGCTTGCACGCTCTTGTGCCCCTGCCATCGCCATGACAACATGCCCAAGCTGGTCTGCTGGAGAATGAGGGATGCACGGAACATACCCTTCTTGCCCCACCTGAGGCCAAAAGCCAGCTGACCCCGAGATCAGCCAACAGCCAGCTGACTCCCAGACATGCATGTGAGCCCAGCCGAGATCAGCAGAGCCACCTGGCTGACTGCCCTCGTATGGCAGCAATGATCGTTGCTTTATGGTTGAACATGCCTGAGGCTTTATGGTTGGTTGTCATGGAGACGGATAACAGAACCAGAACCAGGCACTAACAAACACCACCAAAGCAGGACCCCAGAGGTTCCGCTGGTGTGCCAGGCATTAATGCTTTAGTTGCTGGGTCATGGACAGAGCTCCAGGATCCTGGTAGAGACCAAGACAGCTGGGGTAGTGCATGGGGACCTGGGGGCTCAGAGCAGTGCTAGTGACCAACTGGTACAGAAGACTTTCCATAGCTTAACAACTGACAGCCACTATCAACTGAATGGAGCTGGTGTGTATAAAAGGAAATGTACTGGTCATCCTGGTTATTCTACCTCATGGTACAAAGAGCCTGGATTGAGACCCGTTTTACAGATACAGAAACTGAGGCTCCAAGAGGTGAAGGGACAAATGGTCATCTGGGACTCAAATCCAGGTGACACAGATCTGGACAGAATCTTCAAACACCCCTACCGAGATGGCGCCTAGGACACCTTACCCGGTGTCTCCTTGTTCACCCCCGCCTACCTGAGGTTCTCCCCGCCTTCTGCACATTCATGGTCTAGCTTGTCAGGAAGGGCTGACACGAAGTCCTTCAGGTGGGCCAGCTCCAGGGACGTCCAGACTTCTTCATCCGAGTACTGGCTGAATGGGTCCAGGTTCATTCGGAGGGAACCCGAAAACAAAACAGGGTCCTGTTCAGAGAGAAGAGAGTGGACGGCATGTGACACCTGTGTCATGCTGACATGGATGGAGGCGACCTAAGGACTTCTGGCCAGGACTGTTGAAGGTGGGGTATCAGAGCTCCTTGGAATCACTATTTCTGGAGATGTTAATAATGGAGAAAAAGGCCAGGTACGGTGGTTCACGCCTGTAATCCCAGCACTTTGGCAGGCCGAGGCGAGTGGATCACTTAAGGTCAGGAGTTCGAGACCAGCCTGGCCAACATGGCAACACCCTGTCTCTAGTAAAAATACAAAAATTAGCTGGGCATGGTGGTGCATACCTGTAGTCCCAGCTACTCAGGAGACTGAGGCAGGAGAATCACTTGAACCCGGGAGACGGAAGTTGCAGTGAGCCAAGATTGTGCCACTGCACTCCAGAGCAAGACTCTATCTCCAAAAAAAAAATTGCCTTAATAATGGAAAAAAAAAAAAAGTCTGGAAAGTCTGAGTTTGGCAGAATACAACAGATTTCCTTTCCATACAACTTCCTGGAGCCTTCAATATGCAAGTGGGTTGAGAACCTCCAGAAATGAGACGCAGCACAGGTGATTCCTAACAGTAAAGTCCCGTGGATTCTCCCGTCATCCAACCACAGAAGAGAATCTTCTAAGACACTTTAGGGAAGATTACACTAAAAGGCAACATATTAAGGAATCCACCTGCGGGGATTGGTCTAGAAAATCCTTATTTCAGCCAAGCATGTTGGCTCACCCCTGTAATCCCAGCACTATGGGAGGCCGAGGCAGGCAGATCACTCGAGGTCAGGAGTTTGAGACCAGCCTGGGTAACATGGTGAAACCCCGTTTCTACTAAAAATACAAAAACTAGCCACGCATGGTGGTGCGTGCCTATAATCCCAGCTACTTGGGAAGCTGAGGCAGAAGAATCGCTTGAACCCAGGAGGTGCAGGTTGCAGTAAGCTGAGATCGTGCCACTGCACTGGGTGACAGAGTGAGACTCCGTCTCAGTTAAAAAAAGAAAAAAAAGAAAAGAGAAAGAAAAAGAAAATCCTTATTTCTCACCAAATACTGTGTGTTCTCACTTGTAAGAGGGAGCTAAACTCTGCGTACTCATGGTTGTAAAGATGGAAATGATAAACACTGGAGCCTCCATAAGTGGGGACAGATGGAGGAGGGTAATGGTTGAGAAACTACTCTCTCTCGGGTACTCTGTTCAATAGTTGGGTGATGAGATCCATAGAAGCCGAAGCATCAGCATCACACAATATACCCACGTAACAAGCCTGCAGGTGCACCCCGTGAATCGAAAATTAAAAAGTCTTATTTCTTGTCTAGCTCTTGGAAGGGTTAGAGATGCTCAGTCTGACTCTGGCAGCAGAGAGAGAAGACGGTGTCTTTTTGGATTTTTCTAGATGCTCTGAAACTACCCCTCCCGGGGACAGGAAGTCGGGACTGATAGTCAGTTAATTCCCACGTTGTTAATCATATACTAAGAGGAAATTCAGGGAAGCAGCAGCACAGCCTAACTTCAATAAAAACAATGAAGGCCAGCCACGGTGCCTCATGCCTGTAATCCCAGCACTTTTGGAGGCCAAGGTGGGTGGATTGCTTGAGCCCAGGAGTTCAAGGGCAGCCTGGGCAACACAGTGGAACCCCATCTCCACAAAAAAGTACAAAACAAATTTAGCTGGGTGTGGTGGCATGTGCCTGTAGTCCCAGCTACTCAGGAGGCTGGGGTGGGAGAATCGCTTGAGCCTGGGAGACGGAGGTTGCAGTGAGCTGAGATTGCGCCAGCGCACTCCACTCTGGGCAACAGAGCGAGACCCTGTTTCAGGAAAAAAAAAAAAAAAAAAAAAAAGAACGATGAAGTAGGGCCAAATGTATGTTTGCCCCAAAAATATACATACACCACTGTCAGTGCAATCATAGGGCTTGCCAGCTCTGGCTCACCCCCTGGGCCACACCCAGACCCCACCTGGGGGATGATGGTGATCTTGAAGCGGAGGTCGTGCAGGCCGATCTTGGCGATGTTGATGCCATCGATGATGATCTCTCCTTCGGCAGACTCGTTGATCCGAAATAAGCCCAGGGTCAGGGATGACTTCCCAGCTCCCGTCCGCCCCACGATGCCGACCTGCAGGACAGAAGGGCCCAGGTGTGGTGGGAATGCTGGCATCCGGACTTGTCCCTGCCCCAAAGTGCCCTCATCTCGGCCCCACCTCAGGCATCAGTCATCTGGTCAACCCAACTCGACAGCCCTCTCCCTTGCGCGCTGCCCAGAGACACTCCTTTAAGGGTGTTTCGGCCGAAGGTCAAGAAGGACTCTCTTCCCTTTGCCAGGCTCCCAAAAGGAATGACTCGGCTTTTTATAAGTTACTAGAGACCTCAAAAGAGATACAGAAGAGGCAGAAGGAATTTCCAACAAAGCCCTATTTGTTTAGACTCAAGAAACTATTAAGTAATAATCAGGCATTTCCTCATTTCCCCACTGTTTTTCACACCTTTGATGGTGAGTTTCCCATCATGAGTTGTTGAAATATCTGAAAGATTCAGGCAGATCTTCCGGCCCTTTGCTATGACCTGGTCTCCATGCATCCTCTCTTGAAGGAACTAGGTTCTCTAGCTAATGGCCAAAGGATGATGTTCCTGACCTCCAGTTCTCCCCTTCCTGCCTGGCTCTTGAGAAGTGGGCTCCTTCTTCCCTCCTACAGGGGTGTCACAGAGCAGCATGCGTGCAAAAATTCTCATGACGTGAGATAAGCCATAAAGACTCAACAAGGGCTGGGGCACGGTGGCTCATGCCTGTAGTCCCAGCACTTTGGGAGGCCGAGGAAGGTGGATCAGAGAAGGTCAGGAGTTCGAGACCAGCCTGGCCAACATGGTAAAACCCCATCTCTACTAAAACTACAAAAATTAGCTGGGCGTGGTGGCATGCACCTGTAGTCCCAGATACTCGGGAGACGGAGGCAGGAGAATCACTTGAACCCAGGGGACGGAGGTTGCAGTGAGCCGAAATAGCACCACTGGACTCCAGCCTGGGTGACAGAGTGAGAGGCTGTCTCAAAACAAAACAAAACAAAACAAAAACAAAAACAAAAACAAAAACAAAAACAAAAAAAGACAGCAAGAACATCACCCACTCTGCTCTTCTCTGTAACTCAGAGAGAAATTATCTGCTGGGAACAGAATGTTCTGAGCTTTGTGGGAGGTACGTAGGAACAGTTCAATAAGTCCATATGTTCAGAGGTGAAAGCAGCCTTGTCCCCCAGCAAATGGCCAGGAAGACTGTCAGACCAATTCCAGAGGAAAGTCTAAGGGTATCACTCAGGTCAAGGAACCTCTTCCAAGAACAGCTCGGAACCAAGAGAAGGTTCCAAAATTCTGACAATTTCTCACTTCCCTTGAGCCATCCCCCTAGAAGGGATGGTGACACCTTATTCTAGAGATCACAAATTCTAATGTTTTGGAGGGGCCAACTAGGCAATGAATGGGACAGGGAGGGACTGGGGTGAACCAGGAGGCTCACAGGTTGACTAGAAAGAGCCAGGCGGGGGAGGATTGACCTGATGTTGCCAGATGTTCTGATCTTCCAAAAAAAGCAGAAAATAAATTTTTATATTAAGTCTTCCAGATTTTTCAGTATTTGCAACTTATTCAAATTTCTTCCAGGCCAGGTGCAGTGGCTCACACCTGTAATCCCAGCACTTGGGGAGGCTGAGGCGGGTGGATCAGTTGAGGTCAGGAGTTCAAGACCACCCTGGCCAACATGGCAAAACCCCATCTCTACTAATAACACAAAAATTAGCTAGGCATGGTGGCGCATGCCTGTAGTCCCAGCTACTCGGGAGGCTAAGGCAGGAGAATCACTTGAACCCAGGAGGCAGAAGTTGCAGTGAGCTGAGATCGGGCCCCTGCACTCTGGCCTTGGCAACAGAGTAAGACTCCATCTCAAAAAAAAAAAAAAAAAAAAAAAAAAAACAACCAACCAAAAAACAAAAAAAGAACTTCTTCCAGGGGCCAGGAATGGTGGCTGATTCCTGTAATCCCAGCACTTTGGGAAGCTGAGGCGGGCAGACCGGTTGAGCTCAAGAGTTCCAGATCAGCCTGGACAACATAGTAGGACCCCCATCTCTACAAAAAATACAAAAAATGGCCAGGTGCAGTGGCACACACCTGCACTCCCAACCATGTGTAGTCCCCCCACTTGGGAGGCTGCCGCTGCAGTGGGCTGAGATCACACCACTGCACTCTAGCCTGGGTAACAGAGCAAGACCCTCTCTCAACAACAACAACAAAAAATCTTCCAAAACAAATCTGTGGGGCTCATTTGGTCTTCAGGCTGTCAGTTCACCTAAAAGCCTTCACTTCTGCAAGTTGTATGCGCTCTGAACAGCTTTTACTGCCACAGTCCACTCCCAGCCCCCCAAAAAGCCATTCAAGCAAAGGTGTGGAGCCGTGAGTGACTGGGGAGACGCTGCAGCTAGGTTCACCTGCCCGATGGCACCCTGTGCCCGACTGGGAATGGGTGAGGGAATGGGGCGATGTGTACCCACCTTTTCTCCCCCATTGATCGTGACATTGATGTGCCTGAGAACGAAGTCCAGGTCCTCTCGGTAGCGCAGGCAGTAGTTCCGGAATTCCACTCGGCCCACCTGGGGCCAGCTGCTGGGCGGAGCTGTCTCCTGGATTTGCCAGGGCGCCTTCGATCGCAGTGAAGGGAGAGAGTAAGGAATTTCCAGTCCATCTGGTAAAGCTGTGACTCCCCTGACCTCCCCTCTCACTCACTCTGCTGCCCAAGGTGGCCTCCCAGGCCTCAGCACTGGGGGGTTGCCCTTCCTGGAATGTTATTCCCCAAATGACCCCCTTGCATCCTGTGGATCTCTGGTCGATACAGAGCACCCTCTCAGCCCTGTGTCCCTCTGTCCCCTCCCGCACTGCCTTCTCCTTCAGGGCACTGCCTGTCCCCAGCCCTCTTGGGGCTCGCATGCTTGAGTGTATTCTGTCTCCCACACCCACTGCACCATCCACTCAATGAGGACAGGCTCTAATTGTTCACTGCTGTATCCCAGGGCTCAGAGCACATAGTAGGTGTTCAACACACATTTATGAACATAAACAAGAAGAGTGACACAGCTGCTGATATAGAAAGTGAACTAGTGGTAGAAGGCACAGAAACTGAGAGGACATGATCATCCCTCAGTAGGTCAGAGATACCTTCTGTAAAGCTGTCATCTCTGTGTAACAGATAATGGCTCAATGGACCATAGTTGTTCATTTTTGTCTGCCAGAATTAACGTGACGTTCATGCTCACCATTCTTTTAAAATAATTGTACAACTGATTTGTATAGACATTGTTCTTTTTTTTTTGAGACGGAGTCTCACTCTGTCGCCCAGGCTGGAGTGCAATGGCATGATCTCAGCTCACTGCAACCCCTGCCTCCCAGGTTCAAGCGACTCTCCTGCCTCAGCCTCCTGAGTAGCTGGGATTACAGACACCCGCCACCACACCCAGCTAATTTTTGTATTTTTAGTAGAGATGTGGTTTCACCATGTTGGCCAGGCTGGTCTCTAACTCCTGACCTCATGATCCGCCCACCTCTACCTCCCAAAGTGCTGGGATTACAGGCGTGAGCCACCATGCCCGCCACAGACATTGTTCTCAATATGAACATGATAGGTAAACTTTTAAAAAGTTTTTCTGATAAAATATAAATGTTGCCCCCAGATTCTTTTAACGTCAAGGAAATGAATAACAGCTTGTCAGAGACTTCCTACGGAACAAAGAATTTTTTAGGTAACTATCATTAGGCTGGATAAGGTAATAGATGTATTTCAAAAGAGCAAGTGGAGGTATATCTTATCCATATCTTTAGGCTGATGCAAAATTTTACGGTTTAGACAACAGTGTGCCATGTTATGCACAGACTGGCTCTAGGTATTTGAGGAGCGCAATACAGAGAGTTTAAAAAGTGATTTTGTAAAATCTACACTATGGTCTCTGTTTCTCCAAAGTAAATGTGATTTGTTCCTCACACTGCAGTGAGTAAAAAAGAAACAAGAAAACAATAACATAAATATTGAAGTATGTTTCAGTGTTGGGTGAATTTTGTTTTTAGATGCCAATAAAACTTACTTTTTGATAAAAAAAAATTTAAATAAATATTTATAAATGGAGTCAATGAAATGAGTGGTCTTCTCTGGACAGACACGACAATAAAAGTGAGTTACCCTGGCTGCCCACCCCGGCAGGAAGGCAAGGATAAAAGCAGCATCTGTATCGCAGTGTCTCATCCAATCCTCACAGCAACCCCATGTGGGAGGGTCCTTTCATTATCCCCAGTTTACACACAAGGAGACTGAGACACAGAGAGGGGCGGTAACTTGCCCAGGGACACACAACCCTCCTTTTGAAAAGTAGTTCAGTTCAGCATTTCCTGAGGCCCACAGCTGGATATGGCCTGGGCCAGGTTCACTGGTTTTAGCCTCGGGGAATGCACCTCCCCGTCCAGGGCACACACAGGTGCTGAACCAGGCTGCAGAGCACATGGCCAAGCTCAGGGGCACTGCAGACGGCACATAACAAGAAAACGCCGGGCAACTTTTAGGCAAGACATGCAGCCCTTTTGTGGACGTGCTATAAAATCACAGCGTTGCCGGCGCAGTGGCTCACACCTGTAATCCCAGCACTTAGGGAGGCCGAGGTGGGCAGAACACTTGAGGTCAGGAGTTTGAGACCAGCCTGACCAACATGGTGAAACCCTGGCTCTACTAAAAATACAAAAATTAGCTGGGCCTGATGGTGGGAGCCTGTAATCTCAGCTACTTGGGAGGTTGAGACACGACGATCACTAGAATCTGGGAGGCAGAGGTTGCAGTGAGCCAAGATAAAACCACTACACTCCAGTCTGGGTGACACAGCAAGACTCCTCTGTCTCAAAAAAAAAAAAACAAAAAAAAACCCCACCACCACCGCCAACAACAAAAAGTATTATTTTTTGTTTTGTAGAGACGATGTCTCACCATGTTGCCCAGGATCGTCTCAAACTCCTGGGCTCAAGTGATCCATCTGCCTTGGCCTCCCAAAGTGCTGGGATTACAGGCGTGAGCCACCGCGCCTGGCCAAAAAATAAATGTTATTATTGAGCGCTTACAATGCAACTAAGGCAAGTTGCTCTGCTCAGCACTTGAGACCCATGATCTCATCTGAGCCTCACAGCAGCCCTTAGAGGCAGTGACTGTTACTATACACAGATGCAAAGGTGCCTCATGGTTAAAGAAAAGGTTTCACAGGATAACAGGTAGATTCCACTTACGTTAAAAGAAAAAGAAACAAGCAAACAAAAGTGTTGGGGTATGTGGGAATCCACACGGGAAAGTTTTGGGGGAAATTCACCCGAATGCTAATGGGGCCTCTCTCTGGAGAGGAGAGGAACGGGGCGAACAGGAACAAACTGTCTTTCTCCACCATAAACTTCTTTGTTTTTTTGTTTTTCGAGACAGAGTCTCACTCTGTCACCCAGGCTGGAGTGCAGTGATGTTTCTTCAGCTCACTGCAACCTCCACCTCCCGGGTTCCAGCGATCCTCCCACCTCAGCCTCCCAAGTAGCTGGAATTATAGGCACCTGCCACCATGCCAACTAATTTTTGTATTTTTAGTAGAGACGGGATTCACCGTTGGCCAGGCTGGTCTCGAACTCCTGGCTTCAAGTGATCCACCCACCTTGGCCTCTCAAAGTGCTGGGATTGCAGGCGTGGGCCACTGTGTCCAGCCCTGTATTGATTTTTTCTTTTTTAAAACAACAAGTGTATCTCTATTTTATAATTTATGTACATAATTGAAGGGGAGATGCTATAACAACACAGTGAGCGGAATGGAGAGAAGTATGTGGAACTTTCTATCTATATATAAAAATACATGCAAATACAGAATAGTGGTAGGACTAATGAGGACAATTACTTTCTCTTGGGTTTGTCAAACACGATCCTTCTAAAAATATAAAAGTCAGTCAAAAGTAAAATGCTTTTAAAAACTGAACTCAGGCCGGGTGTGGTGGCTCACACCTGTGATCCCAGCACTTTGGGAGGCTGAGGCGGGTGGATCACGAGGTCAGGAGTTCGAGACCAGCCGGGCCAACATGGTGAAATCCCTTCTCTACTAAAAATACAAAAATCGCCTGTAATCCCAGCTACTCAGGAGGCTGGGAATCGCTTGAACCCAGGAGAAGGAGGTTGCAGTGAGCTGAGATCATGCCACTGCACTCCAGGCTGGAGCGAGACTTAAGTCTCAAACAAACAAAAAAAAACTGAATTCAATCTAACTGAACGCTTTAACTGGGTGAATTCCATGGCATGTGAAATTCACATGTCAATGAGGCTATTATAAAAACTAATGAAATAAGTTAGCTGGGCGGGGTGGTGGGTACTTGTAATCCCAGCTAATTGGGAGGCTGAGGCAGGAGAATCACTTGAACCCAGGAGGTGGAGGTTGCAGTGAGCTGAGATCGTGCCACTGCATTCCAGCCTGGGCAAAAAAAAAGCCAAATTCCATCTAAAAAAAAAAAAAAAAAAAACCTAATGAAATACCTTGTAAGTGAATTAAATTCAGTGTCAAGTTGGAAGCCGCCGGTGTAATACACCCTTGGTTCCTCACGGGGGCACTCACGCCATTCTTACAATGCTCACCCGTGACATGGGACCTGGTTCACCCAGTCAGAATGTTAAAGGAGTGGGCCGAGGTCACCTCTGTGAATTCCTCAGGAGGACAGACCTTACAGAGGCCTTGGTCTCACTCCCAAGGGGCATCTCTCCTCAGGAGGCCGGGTAGCATGACTCCCATGGCACTGGATAGGGTCTCTGAGGAGGCACAGGCTCAACGCCTAGGTCTGCCATTTACCAGCCATGTGATCTTGGGCAAGTAACTTCAGCTTTTTGTCTCAGTTTCCTCACCTGTAAAATGGGGGTAATAGTAGCATCTAAATTATAGGGCTGGGCTGGGCATGGTGGCTCCCGCTTGTAATCCCAGCACTTTGGGAGGCCAAGGCAGGCAGATCACTAGAGCTCAGGAGATCAAGATGAGTCTGGGCAAAATCCCGTCTCTACTAAAAATACAAAAATCAGTCCGGTGTGATGGCATATGCCCGTGGTCCCAGACACTCAGGAGGCAGAGGTAGGAGAATCACTTGAGCCTGGGAGGCAGCGAATGAGATCGCACTACACTCCAACCCGGGCAAGAGTGAGACCGTGTCTCAAAAATCAGTCATAGAGCGGGGTAAAGACTGAGTGCATTACTCTATATTAAACGTTTAAGTCTGGGCCTGACATTCTACAAGGCACTATGTGTGTCCCTGTTATCATTAATGTAGGGTGGGGGTGTCGCCAGGCATTATTGTGATTATCTATTATCACTGCTGTTCCTACTTGTGCTGCTGTTCAGGGCCTAAGAAGGCAGTTATTAAGGGCAACGCAACATCAAAGACTGGAGGCACAGGTCCTAGTCCCAGCTGTTCTACCAAGCCACGTGGGACCTTGGATCAGCTGTTGTCCCTCCCCAGGTTCCCTTTTTCTCCATCTATAAAAAGGGGACTGGGGTTCAATAACTGCAGGGTTTCCCAAACTTTGGTCAGTTCCCAGCTACATCATTCGTGTAGTATGCATGTACTCATTCTCTTGTTGTTTTAATATGCTTAATCAAGTCACTTAGACTTAATTTCTCAACTTACTTAAGAGGAAAATTTATTACAATCACAAAAGGAAAAGTAGTATTATTTTCCGTAACAGGAGTCCCCTATACAAATACATAACAGGCCAGGCGCAGTGGCTCACGCCTGTAATCCCAGCACTTTGGGAGGCTGAGGCAGGCGGATCACCTGAGGTCAAGAGTTTGAGACCAGACTGGCCAACTTAGTGAAACCCCCATCTCTACTAAAAATACAAAAATTAGCCAGGCATGATGACAGGCACCTGTAATCCCAACTATTTGGGAGGCTGAGGCAGGAGAATTACTTGAACCTGGGAGGAGGAGGTTGCAGTGAGCCGAGATTGTGCCACTGCACTCCAGCCTGGGTGACAGTGAGACTCCATCACACACACAAAAAAACCAAATTCATAACAAATAACAGAAGGTTATTTCTGATAGACAGAAGCCGTCCTGTTGAAGACTCCAAGTGTGAGGGCTGCTGTTTATCTGTCTGTTGAAGGGAGATCATCTCAATTGCTAAGGTGTTAAAGACCTGCTAGCCCCAGACTAAGACTTTCTCTGTGATACCATCAGAAGTTATGAAAGAGAAATAGAGGGGGAAACTTCTTCACAATGTGAATACCTTCTGAATGCCCTGACAGCATCCCACAGTCTCGTATATGGATACCCCAGATCTTGGGTAAAGCCGGTAAACTATTTTCACCCTAAAACCGGGCTCTAAATAAGTGCTGCAAAAAGACTGGACAAGCGTTAAGATGCACTTCTACCTGGTGAGGTATCCAGCTCAGAGGCAGAGGTGCACAGGATAGGGTCCAGAGATCTCCTTGGGGTAAAGCTACACCAAAGACCAAGAGGTCCAGCCAGGGGCCCTTGCCTACCTCCTTCTCAGTCTCTGAATACTCCTTGAGCCTCTCCACGGCCACGATGTTGGTTTCCATTTCAGATGACATCCGAACCAGCCAGTTCAAGTACGTGGTGACCTGTGAGTGGAAGAGTCACGTGGCATTTCTAGAGTAAGCGGGCGTACTTGACTTTCCTTTTTCTTTTTTTTTTTTTTTCCACTGAGATAATAGGAAACAAATTATTTTCAACAAGTATGAATTATGGGAGGCTGAGGCGGTCAGATCACCTGAGGTCAGGGGTTTGAGACCAGCCTGGCCGATGTGGCGAAACCCCATCAGTCACTACTAAAAATATAAAAATTAGCCAGGCATGGTGACGCACACCTGTAAACCCAGCTATTTGGGAGGCTGAGGCAGAAGAATCACTTGAACCCAGGAGGCAGAGGTTGCAGTGAGCCGAGATCCCACCACTGCATTCCAGCCTGGGTGACAGAGTGAGATTCCGTCTCCAAAAAAAATAAATAAATAAAAATAAAAGGTTATGAGTTATGAAACATTCAGGTAAGAAAGGTACCGAAATTAGCAACCCCAGGTATAGCCATCACCCAGGCCTGCCACATTGCCATCTCCTAAGCACACACATTTCCAAAATAACTCATGGGCCACATAATAAGAAACTGGAAAATATTTTTAGCCAGGTGACAATATGAAAACACAATGTATCATCATTTGTGAGATGCAGCTAAAGCAGTTCTTAGAGGGAAATTCATAGCTTTAAAAGCATTCCCCTCGTACCTGGAAGTATCCTCTTGGGCCACTAAGGAATCTGTGTGACTGATGGGGAAAATCCTGGCCACATGTCAAATCCGTCTCCTGCTCTAGTTGGTCACCAGGCACTGTGGCACTGTACCTGCTCCTCAAACTCCGTACCTCTCAAGTTCCTCTCCCCCATTCCTGTTGGAGCTGGAATCCAAAGCCAAGGACAACTGGCTCCCCCATTAACAGACTTTAATAATCCAGCCAAGAGCATCCCCTCTTACCTGCAATGAGTAAGACACTGAGAGGCCCACCAAGCCAGCACTGAGGCTGTGCCTGGAGATCACCGCAAACAGGGCAGCAAACAGAACGATGCAGTTGCCCACACACTCCAGCCGCACGGCCAGCCACCTGCGCCAAGACACACAGGCAGACAAACAGGCATGGAGTCAGCTCTACAGAGACTTGGCTTACAGCTCTTGGGGGAGGAAGGGGATTCTTTGCTAACTCAAGTAACTCCGCAGTAATTCCAGAGAGAGTCCTTCCTGGCACTGCTTTTTCAAAACATGCACAATGGGCGCAGGGTAGGGAGGGCCGAAGGCACGAGGCCAGTAAATCCTCATTAATCTGGCAAACCCATGGATTAAAACAGAGCTCTCCAGAGGCAATCTTCCCTGGAATCTGAAGCTTGCCTTTTTAAGAACCAACTTTTTTCTCATTGAAGCCTTTAAAATACATACACATAGGCCGGGCGTAGTGGGTCACTCCTATAATCACACACACACACATACACACACACCCACACACACACACACACACACACACACAGCCGGGCGTAGTGGGTCACTCCTATAATCACACACACACATACACACACACACACACACACACACACACAGTGCATTAACAACAACAAAAAGATGTCCTGGAAATTCCTAAATACTAAGAAGACATCAACTGTAAGAGACACTAGGGATTTAAAATAACCATCGTTTCTCGGCCTTTTGGCTAAAAACAAGTAGAAAATAACAGTCTCTTGTTACGAGACAGATCTGGGAGGGGAGTGCGTAACTAGTACGAGTAAACATCATTGTAACGTTCCCAAGCCCAGACTCTTCATTTCAAAGTGTTAAAATATACTATTTTACCCTTTAAAATAGAAACAGAAATCATGTTTTCTGTCATTTTGTTTTTTTGAGATGGGGTCTTACTCTGCCATCCAGGCTGGAGTGTGGATGACATGATCACAGCTCACTGCCGCCTCAACCTTCCAAGTTCCAGTGATCCTCCTGCCTCAGCCTGAGTAGCTGCGACTACAGGCCCATGCCACCACACCTGGCAAATTTTTGGTTTTTTGTTTTGTTTTTAGAGACAGGGTCTCCCTAGAGTGCCCAGGCTGGTCTCGAACTGCTGGGCTCAAGTGACCCGCCTGCCTTGGCCACCCAAAGTGCTGAGATTACAGGTGTCAACCAATGTGCCTGGTCATCTTATTTGTTTAAAGCTAGGTTTAGTATGGTATCATGTACCATCAGAACTATTTTATTTTACTTTTTATTTTATTCTTCTCTTCTCTTCTATTATTTCTTCAGATAGAGTTTCGCTCTCGTTGCCCAGGCTGGAGTGCAATGGTGCGGTCTTGGCTCACTGCAACCTCTGCCTCTTGGGTTCAAGTGATTCTCCTGCCTCAGCCTCCCAAGTACAGGCACCCACCATCATGCCCGGCTAATTTTTTTGTATTTTTAATATAGATGGGATTTTGCCATGTTGACCAGGCTGGTCTTGAACTCCTGACCTCAGGTGATCCACCCACTTTGGCATCCCAAAGTGCTGGGATTACAGATGTGAGCCACCGCGCCTGGCCATCTTATTTGTTTAAAGCTAGGCTTCGTATGATATCATATAGCACTAGAACTATTATTTTAATGTTCTAAAATATAAAGCATTCTAGGAAGATGGGGTGTTGATCTTTTCTCCATTGCAGCCCTTATGAACCAAGTGACTGATCCTCACTACTCCGACAGACACAGCCAGATTGTGACAAACTCCCTAAAAATTCTGAAGGGAAGTCAAGGTCTGTAATCATTCAGGGTTAGCCCACCCAGACTTACGCTATGGGATTAGAGTGTGTAAGACGGGCTAATGGTTATGGGACACCTCTGGGGTGCTGTCACTTTTTCAGAAAAGTCTATAAGGATGCAAATGGGTGAGAGGGACACTTCTCTAAATTCAGCAAATAATTAGCAAACTTCTGCCTCTTTTGGATTGATGCTATTATCTGTGATCCACAAGATGTCAATCTCCCACCCCCATCTCCTTTTTTTGTTTTTCCAGAGACAGGGTCTCACTCTGTCACCCAGGCTGGAGTGCAGTGGTGTAATCATAGCTCAATGCAACTTTGAACTCCTGGGCTGAAACGATCCTCCAGCCTCAGCCTCTCGAGAAGCTAGGACTACAGGCACACACCACCATGATGGGCTACTTTTTTTTTTTTTTTTTTTTTTTAAGAGAGATGGGGGTCTTGCTATGTTGCCCAGGCTGGCCTGGAATCTAATGGATCCTCCTGCCTCAGCCTCCCAAAGTACTGGGATTACAGGCGTGAGCCATGACATCTGGCCCACAAGATGACAATCTCATATGGTTTAGCTTAGTATTAGTAAATTGCTTCTGACACACATCACCCAGGGGTGCATGATCACCCCCAGACGGGAACAGCGGTATGAAGATACTCAATAGCAGAGTCGGTCGCTGGCAGTCTTGCATCACTAGGATGACAGTTAACGGGAAGCACTTGCAGGGCTTTCTGACTCCAGAAGAGCTGTGTCCCTGCACTTAAATGCCGCGGGCACTGCATGTCTACAGTGCCGCTGTCTGCTCTTAATGATTCATCTGTCCTCCGCGCTCATCAAGCCTCTCCATCCTTTCTGCAAGGCCGGGGTTTGGCTTTATACCCAGCTCAAGGTGCGAGGAAAAGATCGAGGCAAAGAGACAAGGTGCTAAGGCGGCCTCCTCCACCCGCTCCTGCAGGCCCACCATGCCCACCTGTTGGCCACGATGCTGGGGTAATAGGCCTTCTGGTTCTCGTCCACCTTCAGGTCACTCTGGTGGATGAAGCGCTCCTGCTCCTCGAAGGCTCGAATGACGCTGACCCCCAGCAAGGTCTCGTTGAAATGGGAATAGACCGGGGAGCGGCTGACCGACTCGAGGCGCTTCAGCTGCCGGGAGGAAGCCACGTAGAACCTCTGGGGTAGAGAACAGACGCGGGGAGTTGATGAAGGTTCCCTCCTGCCATCCTCCCAGGGCAGGGCTGTGCTGGAGAACATCTAGACGTAACCGATACCTCCAGGAGGCAAAATGTTAGAGCCGGGCTGCCCTCACAGGGGTGCCCACTCACCTGGTGAACCACAGGAATAGCACCACCAATGACAAGGACAGTGACAATAATAGCTCACGCTTATACAAAGCCCACAGCCCCAGGCATCGTTCTAAGCAGTTTTACAAACATCAGTTCATTCAATCCTCACAAAAAACCTGAGGTGCTCATTCCTATATGTGATGGGTAGACTAAGGCACAAAGAAGCTAGTTAATCTCCTCCCCAAGGTCACATGGCTAGCAAGGGGCAGAACTGGGATTCAAACCCAGGCCATCTGGGCTGCAAAGTGCTAACCTCTACCCTGTACTGCCTCTCTGAAGCCTTTCACCTCTAGGGTTTTCTGGAACCAGCAGTGTGGTTTTCAGCATAGGCTTTGAGGTCAACGAGACCTCAGTTCAAATCCTGACTCAACTACTGACTGGCAATATAAACACGACTAACACTTTACTTCTCTAAGCCTCAGTTTCCTTATCTGTAAAATGGGAACAACAAGGCTTGCTCGGCCAGGTGGGGTGGCTCATGCTTGTAATACCCGCACTTCAGGAGGCAGAGGCGGGAGATCACTTGAGGCCAGGAGTCTGAGACCAGCCCAGGCACATGGCAAAATGCCATCTCTACAAAAATAAAATATTATTAAGAAAACAAACGAAACAAAACAAAGCTTGCTTCACGGGGTCATTGTGAGGGTGACATGTAAGAGTTACAGTCTTACATGTGATGTGTATTTGCGTGGACACATTATTTCATAAATCATATAGATATGCATGATGTCACTAAGCACAGTGCCTGGTAATACTAGGTTGAACCACAGGAAATAGCTGTTTCTGTAGATAAGAAATAAGTATTAGCAGTTTCATATAGTTTGACCTAACAGTAAGCATTCAGTTAGCTGGTGACTATTGTTATCATTAAGTGACAGAATTCCGCCTGTTGATCACATCCCCTCAGGAGTGACTGTGTCCATGCAATGGCCGGTTCCAGCACACTCAGCCCAGCTGAGATGCCCATGAGGATAGGGTCAATCTCGTCACCCCCCTCCGATGGCCTCCCAGCGCTGTTAGAGTTGCCAACCATGCTTCTTCCCTCAACTCATCTCATCCTGTAACTCTCCCCTTCCTTCCCTGCACACAGGCCGCCTGCCTCCACCCACCATGCCCATCCCGTCCAGGCCATTCCTCATCACCCAGCAGATGGGAGCACAGATGTCACTTCCTCGGGAAGCCCTTCCCATCCTCCATGAGCACCTTCTCCGGGCTTCAGTGTCCCAGCTCCCGGGCTACGATGATACGTTTCACAAGCAGCTCCACCCACCCTCGCGGGCAGATGCTTCATCTGCTCTGCCTCCCCCAACCTGGGCATTCAGCCAGTGCCAGGCACCAAGAGCCTCCCGATAAGTCTTGTTAGATTCAGAACAAAAGCCAACCACCTTCTGCAAGCTTTGTGGAGCTGTGGATCAGAGGCTGCACCAGCCATGTGAGGACACTGCGCTCTCCTAGCCTAGGTTTTTCTCATCTACGCAAAAGGAACTGGTGAGCCCGGGGTTCCTGATTCCACAAGGTGCCTACAATTGCTTATCGACAGGAGAGCTGGGAAAACTAACAAAGGGTTGCTAGGAACTCGGCCTCCCTGCATCCTGCCCTGGGCCAGGTGTACTGGGCTGCTTTGGGGCAGAGTCCAACAAAAAGCATCAATAGCAGCAGGTGGCTTTTACAAGGCCTCTGTGGTTGGCAGCTTCTTTCTGGGTGGCGGCACGGGCGTTAATTGCAACCCACAGATGGAGAGTCTTCTGGGGCCCCAGAAGCTATGTAAGTGAACCCAGGTACCGCACAACCCCACGCAGTCTCAGAATAGCTGTTCTGCCAATTCCTGGAATGTGGATCAGATATAATTTCTTCTCCAGCTGTTCCCACCGCCTCCCATGAAATCCAGACCCCTCTGCATGGCTGAAGGCCCAGGTGATCTGCCCCATCTTACCCTGGACCACATCTCCTTCCTCTCTTACCAGCTTGCTTTCTGAACAATCCAGATGCAAATCGCTCTCAAGTGTGTTACCTGTTCACTTTCCTCCACTTGCCACTGCCTCTGAACCTTACTTACTGGAAAAATCTAACCTGAGATGAATATTTGTTCAGGAATGATCTTATTTTATTTTTTAAGACAGTCTCGCTCTGTCACCCTGGCTGGAGTGCAGTGGCACAATCTTGGCTCATTGCAACCTCTGCCTCCCAGGTTCAAGCAATTCTCCTGCCTTAGCCTCCTAAGTAGCTGGAATTGCAGGCGCCCACCACCGTGCCTGGCTAATTTTTCTATTTTTAGTAGAGATGGGGTTTCACCATGTTGGCCAGGCTGGTCTCAAACTCCTGACCTCAGGTGATCCACCTGCCCTGCTGATCTGATGTTTTTTTCAGACAACTCGCCCTGTCACCAAGGCTGAAGTGCACTGGCACAATGTCAGCTCACTGCAACCTCCGCCTCCGAGGCTCAAGTGACCCTTCCATCTCAGCCTCCCAAGCAGGTGGGACTACAGGTTCACGCCACCACACCCAGCTAATTTTTGTATTTTCTGTAGAGACCAGGTTTTCCCATGTTGCTCAGGCTGGTCTCGAACTCCTGGGCCCAAGCAATCCTCCTGTCTAGGCCTCCCAAAGGGCTGGGATTAAAGGCATGAGCCACTGCACCCGACCGAACTTCATATAAATGAAATCTCACAGTACCTACTCTTTTTCGTCTGGCTTCTTTTGATCACTATAACATCTCTGAGATAAACCCAAATTGTTGTGTATTAGCATTTCATTCCTTTTTACTACTCAACCATAAATTGTATAATTATATCACAATTTATTTCTCCACGGTCCTGTTAATGGACATTTGAGCTGTTTCCAGTTTGGGCGATTATGAATCAAGATGCTGAGAACATTCTAAGCACTGCCTTTGCTCTTTTTTTTTTTTTTTTTTTTTTAATATACACTTAGGAATGAGACTGCCTAGTGAGAGGATAAATGTAAATTTAGCCAAAAGCCATTAAAAAATTAACTATTCTATAATCTCAACCCTTAAAAAGACGATGTTTTCATGTATCTGCCTCCCTTCCAGTCCTGCCCACACACATTATGCATTTCATCTCGGTGATAACGACAGTGCACCTAGAACTTGGTCCTTTGCTAAAATCATTTCCTTTGTTGTTGAAAAATAAAAATCCTTGGTGCTCCAACAGCTGCGTCTTCTAATTATCCCTGCTCAAAGCCACATTGCTCCACGGTGTACCCAAGGTCCTGCTATTGGCAGACATTTAAGTTGCCTTCAACACTGCATTTGGCCTGTTTTGTTCTTTTTGGGTCTTTCAGGAAATTTTCCAGCTTGCGTATGAACACAGATAACATATTTGGTAAATGCAGGGAAAAAAAAAAAAAAAAAAAAAGCTGGCACCAATTTCAAGAGGATATAACGAGACTCCAGGAACTGGACCTACTCTCTCTGATTCCATCACTGTTCGTTCTCATCAATCATTGGGCCACAGTGTGGTGGGGCGCAGGGGCCACATGATTGAACCAAGGCCCCCTGGATGCCACCTGAACAGCTGTGCAGCGTGGTTTGAGATATGGTGAGCCTCATGGTTTCTTACTCTTGTTTTGCTTTGCAGCTGGAATGCTCCCATCTAAACAACCCATCCCTACTGGCAATTGTGCTGCGGTTAATCCTTTAGCGGTAACAGCAGTTTTGGAATTGGACAGACTTGAGGTTGCACTCTCAGCTCTCCCACTTAGCAAGATGCTCCACCTGTCAATTGAAAACATTATCTATCCTGCGATATCCTAAGAAACCACATGTGTTCAAAGAACAAAGAACATATAACCGTTTCTGCAGAAGGGATGCAGCAGAGACGACTGACTGCCTACACAATTTCTCCTTTCCCAACAGAAACTTCTCTGTTTTTTTTTAGACAGAGTATCACTCTGTTGCCCAGGCTGGACTGCAGTGATGCAATCTTGGCTCACTGCAACCTCCACCTCCCAGGTTCAAGCAATTCTCCTGTCTCAGCCTTCAGAGCAGCTGGGACTATAGGCACATGCCACCACACCTGGCTAATTTTTGTATTTTTAGTAGAGGTGGGGTTTCACCATATTGGTCAGGCTGCTCTCGAACTCCTGACTTCAGGTGATACACGCGCCTCGGCCTCCCAAAGGGGTAGGGTTACAGGCGTGAGCCACCGTGCCTAGGCCCAACTGAAAGTTTTTGCTGGGAAGTGCAATGTGCCCAGCTAAAACACGGCACTTTCCAGGGTCCCTTGTGAATAGAGGTGGTCCCATGACTAAGTTCTGGACAATTAGATGTACAGGTGTCCCTCTAATCCAAGGTTGCACTTTCCGTGGTTATATGGTTTGGCTGTGTCCCCACCCAAATTTCATCTTGAATTGTAGTTCCCTTAATCCCCATGTGTCATGGGAGGGACCAGGTGGAGATAACTGAATCGTGGGGGCAGTTTCCCCCAACCCTCATGATAGTGAGTTAGTTCTCACAAGATCTGATGGTTTTATAAGGGGGCTCCCCGACTTCGTGGTGCTCTCATTCTTCTTCCTACTGCCATGTGAAGAAGGACATGTTTGCTTCTCCTTCTGCCATGGCCTCCTCAGCCATGCGGAACTGTGAGTCAATTAAACCTCTTTCCTTAATAAATTACCCAGTATTGGGTATTTCTTCATAGCAGTATGAGGACAAACTAACACACATGGTTTCGGTTATCCATGGTCAACTGTGGTCCAAAAATAATGTGTAAGTTTTAAATTGTGCACCCTTCTGAGTAGTGTGATGAAATCCCCCCCAGTCCCATCCGCGGTGTGAATCATCCCTTTGTCCAGCAGGTCCATGCTGCAGACCCTCCCTGTCAGTTTAGTCACTTAATAGCCATATCGGTTATCAGACTGACGGCCATTGTACTGCAGTGCTTATGGGTAAGTAATCCGAATTTACTCAATAATGCCCCTGGCTGGGCTCAGTGGGTCAATGCCTGTAATCCCAGCACTTTGGCAGGCTGAGGCGGGCGGATCACTTGACGTCAGGAGTTTGAGACTAGCCTGGCCAACATGGTGAAACCTCGTCTCTACTAAAAATACAAAAACTAGCTGGGTGTGGCGCATGCCTGTAATCCCAGCTACTTGGGAGGCTGAGGCAAGAGAATCACTTGAACCCGGGAGGCAGATGTTGCAGTGAGCCGAGATTCCATCACTGCACTCCAGCCTGAAGGACACAGCTAAACTCTGTCTCAAAAAAAAAAGTAATAAAAATAACGCCTCTAATGTGGAGAAGTAGTGATACTGGCATATTGTTATAATTGTTCTATTTTATTATTATAAATTACTGCTATTAATCTATTATGCCAAATTTATAAATTAAACTTTATCATAGGTATGTATGTACAGAAAAAAACAGGATATGTAGGATTCAATACTATCTGCAGTTTAAGGCATCCATTGGGGGAGTCTTAGAATGTGTGCCTGCAGATAAGGGAGTAGTGCTGATTCAGCACCCATATGCTCCCTTGCCCTACTTCCCTTCCTTGATCTCACTGACTGAAATATAGATATAATGGCTGGAGCTCCAGCAGCCACCTTGGACCATGAGGCCAACTTAAGAATGAAAGGGGCCGGGCGCAGTGGCTCACGCCTGTAATCCCAGCACTTTGGGAGGCTGAGGCAGGCGAATCACGAGGTCAGGAGATTGAGACCATCCTGGCTAACATGGTGAAACCTTGTCTCTACTGAAAATACAAAAAAAATTAGCCGGGCGTAGTGGCGGGCGCCTGTAGTCCCA
The DNA here is from genome assembly GCF_000001405.40 of Homo sapiens. Lineage (NCBI taxonomy): Eukaryota > Metazoa > Chordata > Mammalia > Primates > Hominidae > Homo > Homo sapiens. Next base: position 1,773,899 of record NT_187607.1, on the reverse strand, counting down.
GCTACTCGGGAGGCTGAGGCAGGAGAATGGTGTGAACCCGAGAGGTGGAGCTTGCAGTGAGCCGAGATCGCGCCACTGCACTCCAGCCTGGGCGACAGAGCGAGACTCCATGTCAAATTAAAAAAAAAAAAGAAAGAAAGAAAGAATGAAAGGCTTGTATAAATATGGTAAGATTTTTTAAATTTTTAAATAAAAGCAGGTATCTGGGATATTAAACTCATGAAGCTGCCATACCAGCCCTGAACAGCCTACCTCTAAATTTCTATTATGACAGAGAAAAAGAAAACGTCTATCTTATTTAGGCTGCTATTAGTCATGTTTTTTGTTTAGTTCCTGCCTCCTGCAGGAGGCTTAAGAACTAAAGAATTTTATACTTGAAGAAATTTTAGGCTGGACGCAGTGGCTCACATCTGTAATCCCAACACTTGGGGAGGTCGAGGTGGGTGGATCACCTGAGCTCAGGAGTTTGAGACCAGCCTGGCCAACACTGGTGAAACCCTGTCTCTACTAAAAATACAAAAATTAGCCGGCCGTGGTGGTGCGCACCTGTTAACTCAGGAGGCTGAGGCAGGGGAATCACTTGAACTGGGAGGTGGAGGTTGCAGTAAGCCAAGATTGTGCCACTGCACTCCAGCCTGGGTGACAGAGCGAGACTCTGTCTCAAGAAAAAAAAAGAAATTTTAATAATGAAGTTGTCTTTATAGTGATAGGTTTTGTTTCCTTTTTGAATTGACAGGTGGAAAAGTAAAACTTAGGAAAAAACTGCATTCCACAAAAAAAGTGCATTTTGTTATTGTGAGCAAAAAAACAATTTAGGTATTCGAAACTGACAAAAACAAATCTACATGCTTCAAAAGCACCACACTGGGGACATGGTAAGATAAAACAAGGCTTTAGGTAACACTGGTATATAATGCACAGTAGGGCTTGTCCCGAACACTAAGACCTCACCCCTTACCTGGACGAAGAAGTAGATGAGGCCAAGGGGCGGGATGATGATGGCGGCGATGGGCGTGGCCAGCAGGATAACGATGCAGGCACCAATGACGTTGAACAGGGAGCCCATGAACATCTTGATGACCTCCGGGATCATGGAGTCCACTGTGTCCAGCTCCTTGGAGAAGCGGTTCACCAGGTTCCCACTGGGGGTCCGCTCAAAGAAGCTCATGGGTGACCGCAGGATGCTGTGCAGCAGGTCCACGTGCAGACAGCGGGAAGCCAAGATCCCCCCGATGGACACGGCCATGGAGTAGCCAAACACGGCGATCCCTGCAGACACTCGGAGTTAAAACTCCACAATGCAGAGAGGGAGCTGACCAGGCACTGCAGGGAGGAGTGGCCATGTGGACGAGGCAGGCCTGGACTCCCAACTTCTAATAATAATAATAATGATGAACCAGGCATGGTGGCTCACACCTGTAATCCCAGCACTTTGGGAGGCCGAGGTGGGTGGATCACTTGAGGTCAGGAGATCGAGACCAGCCTGGCCAACACAGTGAAACTCCGTCTCTCCTAAAAATACAAAAATTAGCCAGGCGTGGTGGTTGGCGCCTGTAATCCCAGCTACTCGGGAGGCTGAGGCAAGGGAATTGCTTGAATCCGGGAGGTGGAGGTTGCAGTGAGCCAAGACTGCGTCCACTCCACTCCAACATGGGCGACAGAATGAGACTCCGTCTCAAAAAAAAAAAAAATAGTAATAATAATGATGATGATAATGGCAGCTATTATTCAGAGGGTACTTCCTATGTGCTAAGCACTGTGCTGGGTTTTACATGTAACTGATTTTTATGATGACTCTGAATAACTTCTATTACTACCCAACTTACAGATAAGAAAACTGAAGTCCAGATAGGTGAACGCCTTTGCCCTTAGTATACTGTGCCTAGCAGAAGCAGAACTGGGATTTTAATCCAGACAGCCTGCTCTTAATCCCCATGCCATATTCTTCTAGACCAGGGGTCCCCAACCCCGGGGCCACAGATTGGCAGCAGCTCATGACCGGTTAGGAACCAGGCCCCACAGCAGGAGGTGAGTGGTGGTCACCTCCTGAGCATCAGCGCCTGAGCTCTGCCTCCTGTGAGCTCAGTGGTGGCATTAGATCCTCCTAGCAGTGCGAACCCTATTGTGAACCGTGCATGCAAGGGACCTAGACTGTGCGCTTCTTCTGATAATCTAACTAATGCCTGATGATCTAAGGTGGAACAGTTTCATCCCGAAATCACCACCCACCATTTCCATGAAACCAGTCCCTGGTGCCAAAAAGGCTAGGGATCGCTGTTTTAGAACAGTGCTGAGATAATTTTCTGAAATGATGGCTACTGAGCACTTGAAACGTGTCTAGTCTAATCGAATAAATCTTTAATTTTATTTTTCTTTTGAGATGGGGTCTCTCTCATCCTGTCACCCAGGATGGAGTACAGGGCTGTGATCACGGCTCACTGCAGCCTCGACCTCCTGGGCTCAAGCAATCCTCCCACCTCAGCCTCCTGAGTAGCAGGGATTACAGACATGCGCCACCACGCCCAGCGAATTTTTGTATTTTTTGTAGAAACAGGGTTTTGCCATGCTGCCCAGGCTGGTCTTGAACCCCTGGATTAAGCGATCCACCCGCCTTGGCCTCTCAAAGTGTTGGGGTTACAGGCGTGAGCTACTGCGCCCAACGTTTATTTAATTTTAACAGCTGAAATTAAAATAGCCACCTGTGTCTTGTGACTACCGCACCAGACAGCACAGCTCTGGAACAGACGTTGTTGCTGTGTGAGTTCAGGTAATACCACACCCTCTCTGTTCTCTACCTTCCCTCAATTATAATTTGTAGGCCACAGTCCTTTCCCCTAATGGCAAGGAGAGGGGAGGGGAGGGATTGAGAGACTCAAGGAGTCCATGTGTGCTCTGCTACCGCTGGGTTTTCCCAAAGCCACCTCCTGGAGATCCTGAGACACTGGTGCTTCTCTCAAACAATCCACAGGAGCGCACTGTGTGTTCCAGAGCAGCAACTTCCTAGGAACAGAGAGGCTTCCATCTCGGCCTCTTTAATCGGGAAGACACCCAATAGGCAGGGGCTCAAGTAACAGGCTCTGGAGCCAATGCTGCCAAATCCCATCTCTGCCACTTACCAGCTATGGGACCTCCTACTGGTCACTGAATCTCTCAGTTTCCTCATCTGTAAAATGGGACAATGACGCTGACCTCGGAGCACTGTGGAATGTGAAGTCCCCACCTGGCAATGTGCCTGGCATACAGAAGTACTCAAATGTGTCAAGACTATCCATTTACTGTGTATATATCATATGGACCATACATGTGTATTTGCAAACATGGCTCACATACTGCGTAGCACAGTGGATAACAGCGTGAGCTCCTGAGCCAGACTGCCTTGTTCAATGCCAATGCTGCCATGTATTAGCTGTGTGACTTTTGGCAACTGACTCAACCTCTCTGGGCCTCAATTTCTGTATCTCCAAAATGAGGGAAATATTAACTCCTACCTCACAGGACTGCTGCAAGGATAAAATAAGTTAAAACACGTGGAAGTGTTTAGAACAAATCCAAGCACCAAGTAAATGCTCAGTAAATGCCAGCTGTTAATATCAACGCTGCTGCATTTGAGGACTCCCATAGGACCACACAGAACAGTATAGAGCAGGGTTTTTTTTTTTTTGTTTATTTTTTGAGACAGGGTCTTGCTCTGTCACCCAGGCTGGAGGGCAGTGGTGCAATCACAGGTCTAACTGTAGGCTCAAACTCCTGGGCTCAAGCAATCTTGTGACCTCAGCTGCCCAAGTAGCTGAGACCACAAGCGCATACCACCACGTGACCTGTAGTTTATTTTATTTATCTATTTTTTCTAGAAATAGGGTCTCACTATGTTGCCCAGGCTGGTCTCGAATATCTGGCCTCAAGCAATCCTTTGACTTCAGCCTCCCAAAGTGTGGGATTACAGGTGTGAGCCACCATGCCTGGCCAACAGCAGGGTTTCTCAATCTTTTGACAACCAAAAGCATCTCCAGATATTGTCAAACATCCCCGAGGGACAACACTGCCCATAATTGGGAATTACTAGTATAAGCCAATTTCCGCCCTCACTCAGCAGGCAAAAGTCCGCAAATGAGACCTCATGGAAGCTCTGTCACTGTGACAAAGCAAACATGCTCAAGGGGGTCCTCCCAACCCTCAGTGCTTCCAGAGGCCTCTGTTCTCAACTGTCCTCATCTGTAAAATGGGCACACTGGAGCACTCCTCCCGTCTACCACCAAGGCCCATATGAACAAAGCACTCAAACACCCACTCTACAAATATCTGAGTGTCTACTAGCTGACAGCTACCATTTTTCTGGGTTTGGCTTGGTTTGGGGTCCCACAAAACGCTGAGGACTCTAAGGATCCATTTCTATAATTAGACAAAGCCACAACAGGGGCCCAAATCAGGCGGGGTGGGAGACAGTGGCACCAACCTTGTGAAATGCCCAGGGCTCCATAGACGCTCAGCCGGACTTTCGTGTGCTCCTGAGTCCCGTTGACGATGGGGTCATCAGTCCAGAGGCTGAGCCAATAGTTGGAAGCCAGCGCGGACACATGGTTACACATGAAAAGGAAGATGCTGAGGAAGGAGATGAAGAGTCCGATGGCCTTCATGTAGTCCCAGTACACGGAAAGCTTGACCTGGAGATCACAGGAGATAAGGCAGCTTAGCACATGCACGCACCCAGCCCCAGCCCCAGCCCCACAAGGTCGGGGGCTTCACCAGCACTGTGCCACCCAGCTGCCTGCCTTTGCTCCTACGTAGAACACCCCTCCCCTTTAGCTATTCAACAAAGTCAGCAGTAAACAAAGTCGAGGGCCAGGCGCCGTGGCTCACACCTGTAATCCCAACATTTTGGGAGGCTGAGGCGGGCAGATCAACTGAGGTAGAGACTTCGAGACCAGCCTGGCCAATATGGCAAAATCCTGCCTCTATTAAAAATATAAAGTTAGCCGGGTGTGTGGTCGGCATCTGTAATCCCAGCTAATTGGAAGGCCGAGGCAGAATTCCTCGAACCCAGGAGGCAGAGGTAGAAGCAGTGAGCCAAGATTGCCCCACTGCACTCCAGCCTGGGCGACAGAGTGAGACTCCGTCTCAAAAAAAAGAGACAAACTCAGGGTCTCTGCCCTCATGCATGGAGCTTCCAGTCGCGTGGTGAGATAGGCTCCCATAAAATCATCCCAGATAAATGCGTCATCACAGAGAAGGGCTGTAAACGGTGCACAATTCCACGTGAGTATAAAATCAGACAACCTGACCTAATGCAGTCTAGAGAGGTATTGGGGGAGGTTTTCTTCGAGGAAGTGACATTAAAGAGTTAAACCAAGGCTGGGTGCAGTGGCTCATGCCTGTGATCCCAGCACGTCGGTAGGCCGAGGCGGGTGGATTACCTGAGGTCAGGAGTTTGAGACCAGCCTGACTAACATGGCGAAACCCCTTGCCTACTAAAATACAAAAATTAGCTGGGCATGGTGGTAGGCACATGTCATCTCAGCTACTCGGGAGGCTGAGGCAAGAGAATGGCTTGAACCCAGTAGGCGGAGGTTACAGTGAGCCGAGAATGCGCCACTGCACTCCAGCGTGGGTGACAGAGTGAGACTGTCTCTAAAAAATAAAAAAAAATAAAGAGTGCTGGGCATCGTGGCTCACACACCTGTAATCCCAGCACTTTGAGGGGCTGCGGCAAGTGGATCACCTGAGGTCAGGAATCCGAGACCAGCCTGGCCAACATGATGAAATCTCACCTCTACAAAAAATACAAAAATTAGTCAGGCGTGGGGGCACATGCCTGTAGGCTGAGGCACAAGGGTCGCTTGAAGCCAGGAGGTGGAGGTTGCACCAAGCCAAACTTACTGCACACCAGCCTGGGTGACAGAGGGAGACACTGCCTCCAGGGGGAAAAAAAAAAAAAGGAGTTAAACCAGCTGAAAATGGAAAAAAGGTGGCAGAACCAGCATGTGCAAAGGCCCTGAGGTAGGAGGGAACACAGTGCATCTGGGGAACTGAGAGAAGGCACTGGTGGCTGGAGCCAGGAGATCATGGGGCAGCAAGGAACAAGAGGCTGGAAAAACCGGTCGCAGTCAGACCACACATGGCATGGGAGACTCGGGTCAGGATTCCAACTTTTAGCCAAGACTGACAGAAAGCAGAAGCCACCAATGAGTTTTAAGCAACGTGTGACATGTTGCCTGGCAACCAAGGCCAAATGTCACCTCAACACCACAACTGGGCCAGCCTCCTCCAACTCTTTTCACTCTGAGCACAGAATACCATCTCACCCATCTTCCCAGTGCCCAGTTCGCTCCAGGAGGTGAAGGTTGGAGTTTCTTTCCCTCCTATATTCCCTGTGGAGCCCAGCATGGGGCTAAACAAATGTGTCTAGCCGCCTGACATGAGAGACAGGGCAATCTGCTTTAGGCCAGCCCCCACCTAAACCACCTGACTTGGTTTCAAGAAATTCCAGGGATCTTTACCCGTGTCTGTGCTCATTGTCATTTCAAGCTTTTCATGCTGAATTTTGGGTCATGAAAATCATCTGGACTGGGTGCGGTGGCTCACACCTATAATGCCAGCACTTTGGGAGGCCAAGGCAGGACAATGACTTGAGCCCAGGAGTTTGAGACCAGCCTGGGAAACACAGTAAGACCCTGTCTCTACAAAAAATTTTAAAATTAGCTAGGTGTGGTGGTCCACACCTATAGTCCCAGCTACTCAGGAAGCTGAGCTAGGAGGAGCTCTTGAACCCAGAAGCTTAAGGCTGCAGTGAGCGTTGGTCACACCACTGCACTCCAGCCTGAGCGACACAGTGAGGCTCTGCCCCTCACCAGAAAAAAAAACAAAAATCATCTGACCCTACGGTCTAGCTGAAAGGTAACAGGTGAAAGATAACAGGTCTGATGTGTAACTGGCTGCTTCCTTTTGAGTTTTCAAGTCCCCATTCTGGAAAATGAAAAATGTGGGTGAGGAGACAGGTCATAATTAAGAATGTGTTTATTTCACCACTTGGCTTTGTCATGCGGCCAAGTTGCCTGCTGTCCCTGAAATTAGCCTGCAGCGTTCAGGAACCTCTTTCTCATGAGTAGTGGAATGTGGTGGGCTCGGGGGTCAGAAATGACAAGTGTGTGGCCAGGTGTGGTGGCTCACATCTGTAATCCCAGTACTTTGGGAGGCGGGCCAGTCACTTGAGCCCAGGAGCTCAAGACCAGTCTGGGCGACAGGGCGAAACCTCATCTCCACAAAAAAATTAAAAAAATTAGTCAAGCGTGGGGGTGCACACATGTAGTCACAGCTACTTGGAAGGCTGAGGTGGGAGAATCACTTGAATCCGGGAGGTGGAGGCTGCAGTTAGCCATGATTGTGCCACTGCACTCCATCCTGGGTGACAGAGTCAGACCTTGTCTCAGAAAAAAAAAAAAAGAAAACAAATTAAAAAAAAAAAAAAGGCCGGGCGCAGTGGCTCATGCCTATAATCCCAGCACCAGCTCTTTGGGAGGCTGAGGCAGGCAGATCACAAGGTCAGGAGTTTGAGACCAGCCTGGCCAACATAGTGAAACGCCATCTCTACCGAAAATACAAAAATTAGCTAGGCATGGTGGCGCAGGCCTGTAGTCCCAGCTACTCGGGAGGCTGAGGCAGGTAAATTGCTTGAACCCGGGAGGCGGAGGTTGCGGTGAGCGCCACGGCACTACAGCCTGGGCAACACAGCAGGACTTCGTCTCAAAAAAAAAAAAAAAAAAAAAAAAAAGACACAAAGAAACGATAAGCGTGTTGTGCCTGGCTCCACTCTGGGTCCAACTTTGACAAGTAACAAGCCCCCTGGCTTTGATGTTCCTTGAATATAAAATTGGAGTTAAATGAGGATTAAATGGGCCTGGCATCTCTGGCCCTTCCTTCCCATGTCCTGCGATTTGGGGTAACTTCTCTGGCTTCCTGGAGGGTCACTAAGGGTAAGGCGAGAGAGGACACCAGAGTCACCTCTGCCCCTTGTTACGGTCCTGACTCTGATGACAAGTTAAGGAAGAAGCCAGGAACAGACAGTCCTCGGAAGCTCTGGACACATCCGGGCAGATCTAAGAGAAAGTGCCCCAGCCCCACTCCCCGGCTACCACCTTTCATGTTTTTTTTTTTTGTTTTTCTTTATCTGCATGCTTATTTTTTACCTACTTTAAAAATTCCATTCCCTTTAAAAACAAAAACAAAAAAAACCACATTTATTTTTAAAAATAAACTTTGGATCACCACCATAAATGGAGAATTATTAACACTTGCCCAAAATAGACGATCTTTAAAAACAATAAAACAGGAGCTCAAAACCCGGTCTCCTTGTTACAAAGAGAGGATAGTGGTTGATAGGTTGAGAAGGCAGGGTAGGACCCAACTGGGACTTTCTCAGGGACGTAATCATTAGGACCAAATGAGAAATGAAAAACAGGCAGGACGCGGTGCTCACCCCTGTAATCCCAGCATTTTGGGAGGCCAAGGTGGGTGGATCACCTGAGGTCAGGAGTTCAAGACCAGCCTGGCCAACATGGTGAAACCCTGTCTCTACTAAAAATACAAAAATTAGCTGGGCAAGGTAGCAAGTTTCTGTAATCCCAGCTACTCAGGAGGCTGAGGCAGGAAAACTGCTTGAACCCAGGAGGCAGAGGTTGTAGTGAGCCGAGATCGCACCACTGCACTCCAGCCTTGGTGACAGAGTGAGACTCCATCTCAAAAAAATAAAAATTAAAAAAAGAAATGAAACAAACATTCCTCTGTCATTTAATGCGTCTGTGCACAACCGGACACCATCTCATGCACAACTGAACCCCACGTTGCAGGAAGCCCTGATTTAAAGCATCCAGCTCACCTCTAGCGAATGAGACCCCCCTGAGCTGCTCAGGCAGTCAATAGAGCAGAGACTACAAGTACTAACCCTGGAGTTGGCCAGGGTTCAAATCCCAGTTCTGCCGCTGACCAGGGGTGACCCTGAGTAAGTCACTTAGCCTCTCTGGCCTCAGTTTCTGGTGCTGCAAATAGTATCTTCACAGGTGTGTTGTGATGGACAGGTGAGTTAACATAGACAAGGCACTTTGCACAGTGCCCAGTGCACAGTGGGCGCTCTATAAACTCCAGCCACTATCATCACTTAAGGAGCGAATCTCACCTGCCCTGTCTGCGCCTTGTCAGCCTCCATCAGCTTCCAGGTCTCCTCCTTCTTGGCCTCAGCTTTCTGCAGTTCTGCGGTGCTGTTGTGGTGCCTGCTGATGTCCCCACTATAGGAGGAGGAGCTGCTGAGCTGTCTGGAGAAGCAAAGCACAAGGGTGTCAACCGTACAGATGCCTTGGGCAGGGTCGGAGGGCTCCCTGCTGGGACTGCTATTGTGGGTCTGAACCATGGCATAAGAGACGGAGTGTTTCCACATGCACACATGTAAACATATATATGAATATATGCACCACACCCCCACCATGTCACTCTCCAGGTTTATAGGTACCCAGAGAAAGGCAGTGTCTCAGGCAGGAATGAGACCCATGGGAAACGCAATCTGTGATGATCTCTGGGGGCCTGCAAAAAGCCCATGACAACTGGTATATAAAAAGTGCGTGCTTTTTTTTTTTTTTCTGAGATCAATTAGAATTCATCTCAAAAAAAAAAAAGCCAATAAAAGATATAACAGAAAGGGCACATCGTAGATCATTTTTCAAACATGAAAAAGATTCAAAATGTAACATATGATGAAAAACATAGGGCAAAGTACCCAGCTAGTTCGATTTTCTTGTTTTACAAATGTGGTGGGCACTGGGGTGGGATCTTGCCTGACTGCTCCTTCATGCAAGCGTGTTACTCAGAAAGCATTATTTGGCCAGGTGCAGTGGCTCACACCTGTAATCCCAGCACTTTGGGAGGCCGAGGTGGGCGGATCACTTGAGGCCAGGAGTTCAAGACTAGCCTGGCCAACACGGTGAAACCCCGTCTCTACTAAAAATACAAAAATTAGCCAGGCGTGGTACCGTGCACCTGCAGTCCCAACTACTTGGGAGGTTGAGGCAGGAGAATCGCTTGAATCCCAGAGGCAGAAATTGCAGTGAGCCGTGATTGCACCACTGCACTCCAGCCTCAGCGACTGAGTAAGACCCTGTCTCAAAAAAAAAAAAAAAAAGCACTTTTCGCACATCAGTGGTCATGAGCTTTATGCAGACCCCCAGAGATGATCACAGATTGCGTTGCCCACAGTTTTCTGTTCAGTGGCTGACATCGCGCCACTGCACACTGCACTCCAGCCTGGGCGACAGAGGGAGACTCATGTCAAAAAAAAAAAAAAAAAAGAAAAGAAAAGAAAAGAAATTATGGAGACCATGCAAAACACAGCTGCGGCTCACTGCCGTGGAAATTTCTATACTTTCCTCTACCCACTTATCTCCTGCACAAGATTATAAGCTAACTGAGGTCAAGAGCCCCATATGAGTCATCCCTGCACCCCCAGAACTGTGTCCCCTGAAAACACTTCCTGAAGGCCGAATAAACCTCCACCACCTCCCCTCTTTGAATTAGCGCCTGGGATTGGGTAAACTTTCCTTACCCATGAGATCTGTGCAAAGGTCTTTAGTTAAGGCCTAGTGAGGTGGAAGTGGCCCTCAAATCCGAAAGCAAGAGTGAGTTTTCAGGGAGTGGCAGAGGGAGCAATTGGAACCAACTCTGGATGGAATCTAGAATTCAAATGGGGAGCTGGGGCTTCCTGCTTCATGACCTAGGACTTCACACATCCACACACCTCGACAGAAAATCTTACATCCTTCTACACTCATGCACTGTCTGGAGTCTCCCACTAGAATTTAGGCTGTGTAAGATTGAGAAGTGACAGCGTGCTGGCAGCCCTCGCAGCCCTCGCTCGCTCTCTGTGCCTCCTCGGCCTTGGCACCCACTCTGGCAGCGCTTGAGGAGCCCTTCAGCCCGCCGCTGCACTGTGGGAGCCCCTTTCTGGGCTGGCCAAGGCTGGAGCCGGCTCCCTCAGCTTGCGGGGAGGTGTGGAGGGAGAGGAACGGGAGGGAACCGGAGCTGCACACGGCGCTTGCGGGCCAGCGCTAGTTCTGGGTGGGCGTCGGCTCGGTGGACCCCGCACTCAGAGCTGCCGGGCAGCCCCACCAGCCCGGGTAGTGAGGGGCTTAGCACCTGGGCCAGCAGCTGCTGCACTTGATTTCTCACCGGGCTTTAGCTGCCTCCCCGCGGGGCAGGGCTCGGGACCTGCAGCCTGCCATGCCTGAGCCTCCCCACCTCCCCGCTATGGGCTCCTGCGCGGCCCGAGCCTCCCGGACGAGTGCCGCCCCTGCTCCATGGCGCCCAGTCCCTTCCACCGCCCAAGGGCTGAGGAGTGAGGGCGCACGGCACGGGACTGGCAGGCAGCTCCACCTGCAGCCCCAGTGTGGCATCCACCTGGTGAAGCCAGCTGGGCTCCTGAGTCTGGTGCTGACTTGGAGGCCCTTTATGTCTAGCTAAGGGATTGTAAATACACCAATCAGCACTCTGTATCTAGCTCAAGGTTTGTAAACACACCAATCAGCACCCTGTGTCTAGCTCAGGGTTTGTGAATGCACCAATCAACACTCTATATCTAGCTAATCTAGTGGGGATGTGGGGAACTTATGTATCTAGCTCAGGGGTTGTAAACACACCAATCAGCACCCTGTCAAAACGGACCAATCAACACTCTGTAAAAACAGACCAATCGGCTCTCTGTAAAATGGACCAATCAGCAGGATGTGGGTAGGGCCAGATAAGAGAATAAAAGCTGGCTGCCAGAGCCAGCAGTGGCCACCTACTGGGGTACCCTTCCAAACTGTGGAAGCTTTATTGTTTCACTCTTTGCGATAAATCTTTCTGCTGCTCAGTGTTTGGGTCCACATTGCCTTTGTGAGCTGTAACACTCACCATCAAGGTCTACAGCTTCACTCCTGAAGCCAGCCAGAGCACAAACCCAGCGGGAGGAACGAACGACTCCAGACACGCCACCTTAAGAGCTGTAACACTTACCGCGAAGGTCTGCAGCTTCACTCCTGAGGCCAGCGAGACCACGAACCCACCAGAAGGAAGAAACTCCGAACACATCCGAACAGCAGAAGGAACAAACCCCAGACGTGCCACCTTTAAGAACTGTAACACTCACCGTGAGGGTCTGCGGCTTCATTCTTGAAGTCAGTGAGACCAAGACCCACCAATTCCGGACCATAACCATGTCCGGATGATAACCATGGCAAAAGCGACATCTACGAAGTGTTTGTCTGTTCCAGGCACCGTGCTATGCCGCATGGTCTTTGCTCTCTCCTGACCCCTGTAGCAACTGCAGGTCCGGGATCCTTTCTCAGATCTCCGCGGTCTGATACGTTTAGGCTCCGACTTTGTCAATTTTTGTTGTTGTTTTACTGTTTTCTGCTGCTGCTGTTGTTTTGTTTTCTTTTTGTTTTTTGAGATGGAGTCTCGCTCTGTCACCCAGGCTGGAGTGCCATGGCGCAATCTCGGCTCACTGCAACCTCCACCTCCTGGGTTCAAGCGATTCTCGTGCCTCAGCCTCCCGAGTAGCTGGGACTACAGGCGCCTGCCACCATGCCTGGCTAATTTTTGTATCTTTAGTAGAGACAGGGTTTCATCATGTTGGCCAGGCTGGTCTTCAACTCCTGTCCTCAGGTGATCCGCCCGCCTCAGCCTCCCGAAGTGCTGGGATTATAGGCATGAGCCACCCTGCCTGGCCGACTTAGCCAGTTTTTTAAAAGCTAGGATGGTTAATATACTGCATACGCTATAAATCCCCAGGGATCTAAGGAAGCCCTCTATAATCAAACACGAGCATACTTCCTTTTTTGTAGAGATGAGGTCTTGCTATGTTACCCACTGTGGTCTCAAACTCCTGGCCTCAAGCGATCCTCCTGCCTCAACCTCCCAAAGTGCTGAGATTACAAGCAGGAGCCACCACACCTGGCCTTGAGACAGTTTTAAATCAAATGCTGCTTCACAAAGCCTGAACCTTCCAGGCCCCGCCAAGAGACCTGAGCAAAGACCCACACCATGTAGGGAGCCCGAGTGTCAGAAGCGTGGACAGCTGGTTAAATCATGAGGCCTGTGTGAGTTGTGCCACCTGGCAAAAAGAGTGCCACATTCCTTCTTTGGGCCTCTGTACTCTGAAAAGCAAGGTCCTTGGAGGATTTGGGAGGGAAGGTAAAAGCCCAGGCCTTCCAGGACCTCAGGGGGCTGAGGCCTTTTTTTGTTCCTCCTCTTGTCCTCCCACTGGCAGGGCAGGGTCCTTAGGTTGGGGCCTTCCTCCCCGCCCTTACCTCTGCAGTTGCTTCCCTGCACTGTCCGTCACCAGCATGCCATTCTCCATTTGCTTTGCTTCCTTCCCTGGACCGCTGACGCCCGTGACCCCTGGCAGAAGAGAGACAAAGGGGGCAAGTGGGGTTATATGAGGCAGATGCTAAAACCAAGGGCAACAAAAACCGGCCACTTCAGTGAGGAGACCACAGAGCACCTGGCCGCCAGGATGATCAGAAAGTAGGAGACCTGCTCTGCAGAGGCCATGAACAGGCTGTCTGGTTGTGGAGCAGGTGGTATCTGGAGCTCAGTCCCTTGGGGTAGGGACAGTGCTTTGCAACTGTGCAGAAGGCTCCATCCACTGAGGGCACTGGGCCTGAGCCAGCATCCTGTGCCAGCAGCAATGGGTAAAACCCAGCCCAGAAAACAGTAGCCCTGCTATGTTAAGCTCACTTCCTAGGACCAGGATGCAAGGAAACGCATGAGGGAAAGGGCATAGCCCCGTGATTCCCAAGCATTGAAAGAAGAAGTGATATTCAAAATAGATAACCAATTTGACAAGGCCATCAGCCAACAGGCAGAGGCCCGGAGACCCCTGTAGTGCCAGGAGTTAACCCTTCAGTTCCTAGACCACAGAGAGGTCCCAAGAGTTCAGGGTAAAAGGTACCTGGGGCAGTGGCTGTTTCCACAGTAATAAAGTATTTCAACATTTGAACTGGGGAACCAAGTTCTGCCAACAACCAGGTGAGCTTCAAAGTGGACCCTTCCCTGATTGAGTCTTCAGATGAGACCCCAGCCCTGGCAGATGCCTTGGTTGCAGAATTAGGAAGGACACTGATAAGGACACCAAGGGACACAGCAGCTGGATATCTGCCCTGATCCCAGGAAGAATCCACCCAGCATCAACAATAATCACCGGAACATCAACAATGACAATGACAGCCAACATTTATCAAGTGCACTCGGGCACCGTGTGTCGTGTCAACACAGATCATATCTCTTTCCTGGTTCACAATAACTCAGTGATGATGATGACTACTGCCCCCACTCCGCACTGACTGCCTCATTCTTTGGTGCCAGGAGAGAAAGCAGCACAATGTAAGGCACCACAGGGCTGACCCCAGAGAAGGTGGGAGAGGACCCAGGACAGAAGATACAAAAGGGATAAATACGCAGCCAGCAGCATGGTCAGGGTGACCCTGGGAACATGCTCGGGTGATGACATGAATAAAAGCAGAGCTCAAAAATGCAAAATCTTGCAGAAACAGCCACAGGGAGACACAGACACACCTGGAAGGGAAGAGGGGGCTGCAGATCATTCCTGGACAGAGGGAGGCACTCCATGCCAGGAATTCTCAGTCTTGGTTGTAAATGAGTCACGGGGGGCTTTATAAATGAGCAGGTGGCCGCCGGGCACGGTGGCTCACACCTGTAATCCCCAGCACTTTCAAGGCCGAGGCGGGCAGATCGCTTGAGGCCAGGAGTTCAAGACCAGCCTGGCCAACATGGAAAAACCCCAACTCTATTCTAAAAATACAAAAATTAGCTGGGCGTGGTGGTGCATGCCTGTAATCCCACCTACTCGGGAGGCTGAGGCTCTAGAATTGCTTGAACCCGGGAGGCGGAGGTTGCAGTGAGCTGAAATCATGCTACCACACTCCAGCCTGGGTGACAGAGCGAGACTCTGTCTAAAAATAAAAATAAAAAATAAAAATAAAAAAAAAATCTAAAAAACACGAATAAAAGAAAATAAACCAAAAAATTAAAATTAAAAACTGAGCAGGTGCCCTCGTGTCCAGCCCAGTCCCTGCTGTGAGTCTCGATTAGAGCTCCAGGAACTGTGATATGTGGGAAGTGTTCTCTCACTTCCTGGCTGTGCCCCTTGGGGAAATGATAAATCTGTCTGAGCCTCATCTTCCACATCTGCAAAACAGGAACAGCAGACCCAACCTTCATTTGCGAGAGGGTGAAACGAGACTGCACGCAGTGCCTGGCACAGCAAGTGTTCAGTGATGGCGACCCCCGTGTTGCTTATTACTAAATACATTTTTAAACAGGTTCTACAGAGAATTCTAGGCACAGCCAGGAACTGAGAAACTCTGCTTTAAACATTCCCTTTAATGTCAGCATCTGTTTTGTTTTGTCTAAACTAACTAAACACTAACTTAAAAAACAAACAAAACACAAATAGCCACATCACTCAGGAAGGAAGAATGATACCAAGCAGGACTTCCCATGCAGCCTGTCCTCACACACATGTGTGACACTGGGAACCAGCCATGCCCTTAACCATCTTTCTCTGTGCAGGGATGAGAATGTTCCAGAACACTCCCAGGGACCCCCATCTGGAGGCTGCATGCCGCAGAGAGCCCCCCCCTCTCCTACCAGCAGCCTCAGGCCACCCTCCTATAAGCCTCAGGCTTCACTTCTCCTGGTCGTCACTGAGCGCAGCCACCATGGTCAGCTGGGAGCTTCTGCAGGCATGCAGTGCTCGCTAAGGCTGTCTTACCCTCTCAACCCACCAATTAGCCCACAGGTCGAACTGGGCAGCTGGAAAATTCCACTCTGCACGGAGGAGGACCAAGCGCCTAAGAGGAGGAATCTGAACATCAGTTAGTCCACCATCCTCTCAGCATTTTTTTTTTTCCTTGTCTTGAGACAAGGTCTTCTCTGTCGCCCAGGCTGGATTGCACTGGTGCCATCTTGGCTCACTGCAACCTCTGCCTCTTGGGTTCAATCGATCCTCCCACCTCAGCCTCCCAGGAAGCTGGGATTACAGGCATGCACCACCGTGCCTGGCTAATTCTTTTGTATTTCTAGTAGAGACGGGGTTTCACCATGTTGGCCAGGCTGGTCTCAAACCCCTGACCTCAGGTGATCCACCCACCTCGGCCTCCCAGAGTGCTGGGATTACAGGTGTGAGCCACTGTGCCTGGCCCCCTGTTGGCTTTTTGAAGGGATCAGCTCTCCCTCTTCCTACAGCCTTGGTGGGCCTGTCAATCAGGGTGCCTCAGATTCCCCCAGCCAAGGTGGGCACTGTCTGAGGTCGCCCCATAAAAGCCCCTCTCCCAGGATTTGAACCGTCATCAGTGGTCTACAAGGACCAAAGACAGTTCAAGTTCACCTGTCCTAAAAGAGTCTAGTCTCCCAGAGTTCCCATTTCCTGAGTCCTACTTGCTCAGTTCTGCCTTTGATTCATGAGTTACCTGGTATCCTTCCAGGAAACACCCTCTGTTTGTTTAAGGTGGCCAGATTCAGCTTCTGCTGCTTACAAAAAAAGCCCTTGGCTGGGACCCTAAGCCACACACTGCAGAAGGCAGGAGGGATGGGTCCAGTCTGGCCACTGGAATTCCACTAGGCGACATCCCTCTTCAGGGTCCCCACCACCACCTGCTGCAGTTCCCCAACAGGCGCTGATCACCCTGCATTGTCTGGGCCCATGTGTGTCTTGACTGTGCCCCAGGATCTATGCGTGGCAGCTCACAATCAAACTGTTGCCATTTATTGTCCATCCACTGTGTGCCAGGCACTTCATAAGCATGGTCCCCTCAAGGCATGCTGGTCACGGTAACGTGATGCATGAAACAGTAGAGCTTACCCAAGGTCATCAGTGACAATAAAGGGATCTGGGGACTCAGGCTGTATCCCCCAGTGCCAGCCTCAAAGCCAGACACACAGTAGGTACCCAGTAAATGTGTGCTAAATGAACCAATGAACAACCGGAGGGGTGAAAACACAGACATCTGACGGCACCTCCCCAGACATGCAGCGACAGTCTCGGCCCGTCTCTGGCCTCATTCTATGAGCCAAGCCAACTCCAACCCGGGCAGTACTGACCTGCTTCCTCCTCGTCCATCACTGTGCTGCCTGGGAATTCAGAAGACCCAAGATATTGTTAAGAAGCAAAGCGAAACTCCCGCCCTAAGCCCCTATCTAAATAAAGGAGTGAAGGGAGTGTCTTTTCTAAAGGGGGAGAGGCAAGAATGGCTGAAGGGTCTGCTCCATTTGTGCGTCAGTTTCCCCATCCCACACGTGCTGGGTGGATCCGGGACAAGCACACTGCACAAGACCAACCCCTTTCTCCAAAGTCATAACTGTGTTGGGTTTTTGTTTGTTTGTTTGTGACAGAGTTTCACTCTTTAGCCCAGGCTGGAGGGAAGTGGCGTGATCTTAGCTCACCGCAACCTCCGCCACCCAGGTTCAAGCAATTCTCCAGCCTCAGCCTCCCAAATAGCTGGGATTACAGGTGCCCGCCACCACACCTGGCTAATTTTCGTATTTTTAGTAGAGACGGGGTTTTGCCATGTTGGCCAGGCTGGTCTCAAACTCCTGACCTCAGCTGATACACCTGCCTTGGCCTCCCAAAGTGCTAGGATTACAGGCGTGAGCCACCATGCCTGGCCAAAGTCATAACTGTGTTTAACCATAAATAGAGCTAAACAAATAATGCAGACCAACCTTCAGTCTTCAGGCTTGTTTTTACGCAGGAGAGGAAAAGAAATAAAGTATTACAGTAGGCAGGCCAGGCATGATACTGGGAGGTGGCATGGGCATCAGCTCCAGCCCCTTTGAGGACAGACACTGCTCCTGAGAGGGGCTGGCCCCACACAGAGCCAGATGCACATGTGCCCAAGAGGAGAAGAAAAGGTGACTTAGCCCAGATATCACCCTGGACCCTCCCAGGCTGGGATGGGGGCTCCTTCTCTGTGATTTCCCAGGCCCTCAAGCAGCCCTCCATCACTGCATTTAGCACTATGATACCCTTAATTGTTTGGCGTTTGTCTCTCCCATCAGACTGTGAGCTCTCAAGGGCATGAAGTGGGTCATATCCATTACTGTATCACCAGCACCTGGCACAGCAGGTGGCCAAGTGCAGTTACACAAGATGCACACTGCACAACTCAACGTGGGGGGCACCATTCCACACAGAGGCTCACGTACCAGGTGGCCTTGTGGCACACAGCAGGCACTCTGTACACACCCGACAGACAGATGGGCAGACTGACAAGTGTATAGTCAAGTCAAGAAGCAGAGCTGACTTCCCAATGCCAGAGGGGCCCCTCTCATAGGCAGGACTGACAAAGCTGCTTTCTAAAGCAGACCTGAGAGGGGGTGAAATCCACTCCTATTTTCTCCTAGTCTGAGGTATTTATCTGCAGTGTAAACATCCAAAGCCCTCCGGCCTACCCACTGCTTATGCAGGACATGCCTTGAACAGCCAAGGTGCGATTCATCCACTCATTTAACACATTTACTGAGTGTCTACTATGTGTCAGGCTCTTTTCTTAGTCCTGGGGATGGAGAGACAACCAAAAAGCCCTCAGAGCAGCCGGGCACGATGGCTCATGCCTGTAATCCCAGCACTTTGGGAGGCTGAGGCGGGTGGATCACTTGAGGTCCGGAGTTCAAGACCAGCCTGACCAATGTGGCACAACGCCGTCTCTACTAAAAATACAAAAATTAGCCGGGCGTGGTGGCAGGCATCCGTAATCCCAGCTACTTGGGAGGTTGCGGCAGGAGAATCACTTGGACCCAGGAGGTGGAGGTTGCAGTGAGCCGAGATTGCACCATTGCACTCCAGCCTGGGCAACAGCGTGAGACTCCCAAAACAAACAAAACAAAACAAAACAAACAAACAAAACCCTCAGATCTTAAATTCCAAAGGAAGAGATCAACAATAAATGAACAAGTAGATCCATAATTTACTCCAGGCAGCAATAAGTGCCACAAAGTAATCAAAGCAGGGAAGAAGAGGGACATGAAGGCTGGGGGCCAGGGTGGAGAATGCTATAAAGTAGCAAGAGTTCTTTCTTTTTTTTTTAAAGCAAACACACGAAACTTGTAATTCAGTGACTGTCACTGAGTTCATGCAACCACCAGGTGTTGGGTTTTGGATGCTGTCAAGCCAGGTGCTGTTTCTACCCTTGACCCACGTACGTTAAGTGCTGCCCCGGGTCTGTGTATTCCGTTGCCAGTCCTCTCACTGTTTATTCCACCAACACTGCCTTTACTCAAGAAGGTTCTGGAACTCTGCTTGGGCAAGGTCCAGCAGGCCAGCCTCCCCGGAGGGAAGAATTCAACTCACAGCTTTATAGTCAACGCCTCATTTTTGACCAAAAACGGCATTCACTGGCTGCCTCACTGACCTCCTCCCCCAGCCTCGGCAGAGAAAGCTCTTCATCCTCAAAAGAGGAAGAAATCCGGCCTCTGAGGACAGCCAGAAGGAATGTGGGGGTCTGTCTGATGAACTCTCTCGGCAGCTGCTCTGTGCTGACAACTAATTTGTGTAACTTGGGGAGGTGCTTATGGCCCACTGTTAAGAAAAGAAATCAAAAGGTGGCAGGAGATGAGAAAACTCTAAGATATACTCTCAATCTTGTCAAGGGAGAAGGCCTAGGAAGGAAGGACAGGTGAAAAAGATGCCAAAGCTAACAACAGCTCCCCTTCTGGGCAGTGAGGGCAGAAAGATGTTCTTTCTCGGGAGTTTTTTTTTGTTTTTTTTGTTTTTTTTTGAGACAGTCTCGCTCTGTTACCCAGGCTAGAGTGCAGTGGCACAATCTTGGCTCACTGCAAGCTCTGCCCCCCGGATTCACGCTATTCTCCTGCCTCAGCCTCCTGACATTTCTGTATTTTTAGTAGAGATGGGGTTTCACCATGTTGGCGAGGCTGGTCTCGAACTCCTGCCCTCAGGTGATCCGCCTACCTTGGCCTCCCAAAGTCCTGGCATTACACATATGAGCCACCTTTTTTCCTGATTCTTTGTACTCTTTTGTAGTTTGCAAATGTCTACGATGAGCACATGTTGCTTTTATAATCATTAAGAAAAACTCGGTAAATACTTAAGAGGGAAAAATATTTGCCATGAGGTTAACAGATGGTTCAAGCAAGGTTTTGAAAAATGGCCACGGGCCAGGTGCCGCGACTCATGCTTATAATCCCAGCATTTGCATTTTGGGAGGTCAAGGTGGGAGGATCGCTTGAGCCCAGGAGTTCGAGACCAGCCTGGGCAACAGACTGATATCCCATCTCCATAAAAAAACATAAAAATATATAAATAAAATTTTTTAAAAGAGAAAAATGGCCACATTGTTGGAATAAAGATCCTTCTCCCAAGAGGACAAGGGAAGAATTCAGCAGTGTGAAGTCGGAGCACACAGGGTTTCTTGCTCATGGTGCTTTGGATGTCCTGGCGAGGGGATTCCCTGTCACGGGGGGCAGGGTAAGGGGGAATTCGTCTTGAGTGCTGTAGGATGTTTAGCGACATCGCTGGCCTCTACCCTGCTTGCCTGCCAGGGGCAAACCCCACTCCAGTTTTGACATCCCAACATGTCTCCAAACATTGCCAACTGTCCCCAGGGTGGGCGCAATTTGCCCCTGATGGAAAACCACTGCTCTAGGTATTAGGTTCCTAAGAAAGAAACCAGAGTCATGAAGATGTGTTTTACCTTCCAGGTATGAAGGTTAATGAGCCATTTTTTTAAATCCCTTAAAAATTTGTTCCCCTAAGGGGCTTGAGGCAATCTGTGAAAATGGTTCACTATTCACTTTATCCAGAAAACACCACAGAATCATGCAGATCAAGAGGTTCAAATCTTCGTGTTCACCTTAAGAACATTTGTGAGGCCGGGCATGGTGGCTCATGCCTGTTATCCCAACACTTTGGGAGGCTGAGGCAGGAGGATCCCTTGAGGCCAGGAGTTTGAGACCAGCCTGGTCAGCATGGTGAAACCCCATCTCTACTAAAAATACAAAAATTAGCTGGGCGTGGTGGCACATGCCTGTAACTCCAGCTACTCGAGAGGCTGAGGCACAAGAATTTCTTGAACCCGGGAGGTGGAGGCTGCAGTGAGCCAAGATTGTGCCACTACACTCCAGCCTGGGCAACAAGTGAGACTCTGTATCAAAAAAAAAAAAAAAAAAAAAAGGCCAGGCGCAGTGGCTCACGCCTGTAATCCCAGCACTTTGGGAGGCCGAGGCGGGCGGATCATGACGTCAAGAGATCGAGACCATCCTGACTAACACGGTGAAACCCCGTTTCTACTAAAAATACAAAAAAAATTAGCTGGGCATGGTGGCGGGCGCCTGTAGTCCCAGCTACTCGGGAGGCTGAGGCAGGAGAATGGCGTGAACCTGGGCGGCAGAGCTTGCAGGGAGCCAAGATCGCGCCACTGCACTCCAGCCTGGGTGACAGAGCAAGACTCCGTCTCAAAAAAAAAGAAAAAGAAAAAGAACACTCCTGAAAGCGCCCAGGCCATCAAAGGTATGCACGTACAAAAGGCCACAAAGTATCAGAAAGATGCCACTTTACAGAAACAACATGTACCATTCTGACATTATAATGGTGGAGTTGGTAGATGTACCCAGGCCAAGAAGTGGGGCTGGCCACAAGGTCGGCGGCCCAAAAAGAGCACTGAATTTCTGCTGCACATGCTTAAAAATACAGAGAGTCACACTGAACTTAAGGGTTCAGATGCAGATTCTCTGGTCCTTGAGCATATCCAACTGAAGAAAGCACCTAAGTTGCGTCGCCGGACCTACAGAGCTCAGGGTCGGTCGGATTAACCCATACGTGAGCTCACTCTGCCACATCCAGATGATCCTGCCTGAAAGGGAACAAACTGTTCCTAAACCGGAAGGGGAGGCTGCACAGAAGAAAAATATATCCCAGAAGAAATTGAAGAAACAAAAGCTTATGGCATGGGAATAAATTAGGAATAAAAGGAATGCCATTAAAAGTTAAAAAAAAAAAAAAAAAAAAAAGGAGAGAGGGAGACAAACAGTAAAAAAGATATATTTCTTAGAAATCAGTAAACTGAATATCCCGGGAGAGAGGTCGGTATGGCCCCATTCACAAGCCTGGTTCCTGCCCATCCCCCCTCAAGGATTCTCCCAAACCAAATACCAACACCTGCACCCCTTCAGCCTGGGTGTTCTAAAAAAAAGAGCTGATTAATCCAACAAGGAAAAAAGTTCCCCTTTAGGAAGAGCCAAAAATGTGGTTTAAACAAACCCAAGGTCATTGGCGCTTCGAGTTGGCTAAGGCTGGGCAAGACCAGACCCTGATGTCAAGACTTTATAGCCAGGGCCCCTCCAGAGCAATGGAAAAGGGTGGGTGGTGAGAGAGGGGGGTGCCCCAGTTTGATGTAAGACCCACTGCCAAGGACTTCTATGTAACCTCAAAGGCAGGAGGTAGGGAGGTCAAACTGGGAAAATGAACGCACGAGGTGCCAGGGTGGTGGGCGGCATTTGCATCACCAAATTAAGTGCTGATGTGTACAAAAATCACAAAGCATCTGGCAGCCTTCCATGTTCTGTATACACTGCTTGGATACTCTAGCAGCTGGGAAAGAAAGGCGGGGGTGCGGAACCTATCTGGGGCCAAGAGAGTTTAAGGACATTTTTTGCTCACCTGGACGGAAGGATAGAGAGACAGACCTCACGCTGGGCAAAAGATTCAGCTAAACCCACACATTTTGATTTAGAGAGCACAAAGGGTATTGTCACCTAAAAGTAGCCTGCCAAGCAGGTCAGTGAAAAAGTCACCGAGAAGTTGCCACAATGCATTGCTCGGGCTGAGAGATAGACAAAGGGGGATTCTGCAGCAAGAAGAAACAGGCTAGACTCAAGGTAGAACTTCCCAACCACAAGGGAATGAACATGCAGAAATTCAGTCTAATCAAATAATTTAAAAGCTGAAGGGAATGTCAGCTATCATGCACTGGCAAGAAACAAAAATCCAACTGTATTTTGAGACATGGTCTTGCTCTGTCACCCAGGCCAGATGGAGTGCAGTGGCATGATTTTGGCTCACAGCAGCCTGACTCCCAGGCTCAAGCGATTCCCCCACCTCAGCCTCCCGAATAGCCGGGACTACAGGTGTGCACCACCATCCCAGCTAATGTTTGTACTTTCAGTAGAGACGAGGTTTCACCATGCTGCCCAGGCTGGTCTTGAACTCCTAACCTCAAGTGATCCACCCGCCTTGGCCTCCCAAAGTGGTGGGATTACAGGCACAAACCACCACACCCGGCCACCAACTTTTCCTTTAAAACCACCAGGGCTCATGACAGCAGTATTCACAAGAGTCAGAAAGTGGAAAAAACCTGAATGTCCATCAACCAGTGAACAGATCAACACAGTATGGTCTATCTGCACAATGGCATATTATTCCGCAATAAAAGGAAATGAAGCTACAACATAGACGAACCTTGAAAACACCACGCTAAGTGTAAAAGCCGCCAGTCACAACATTCCACCTATTGTGATGGCATTTATATGAAATGTCCAGAATAAGCAAATCTAGAGAGACAGAAAGATTAGTGGTTGCCTAGGGCTTCGGAGGTGCTGGGGAAAATAGGGAGTCATGGCTGATGGATTGGGGTTTCTTTTGGGGGTGATTAAAAAAAGTTCTAAACCTGACTGTGGTGATGGTTGGATTTTGTGATTTAAGTGGGTTAATTGTATGTTGTATGAATTTTTGTTTTGTTTTGTTTTGTTTTTCTGAGACGAAGTCTTGCTCTGTTGCCCAAGCTGGAGTGTAGTGGCACGATCTCGGTTCACTGCAACCTCCGCCTCCAAGGTTCAAACTATTCTCCTGCCTCAGCCTCCCCAGTAGCTGGGCCTATAGGCGTGCGCCACCACGCCAGGATAATTTTTGTATTTTTAGTAGAGACAGGGTTTCATCATGTTGGCCAGGCTGGTCTCCAACTCCTGACCTCAGGTGATCCACCTGTGTCAGCCTCCCACAGTGCTGGGATTACAGGCGTGAGCCACTGCGCCCAGCCTACGTGTGTGAATTACATCTCAAGAAAGCACTTATTAGAGATCACTAGGACCTCTGCAGAGAAGGAGCTCCCACCCCAGGCAAAGGATGAGAAACTCAGAGACCAACTTGAGAACCAACCCTGCCAGCAGCTGCTGTGTATCCTGGGGCTGGTCACTTTGCCTCTCTGACACTCAGTGGCTTCCCAGGGCAGTTAGACCAAAACCCACCTGGAAGGCCCTGCAGGACAATCACTGTGCTGACCTCTTCTCCTGCCCCCCACGTCCTGGCACACCATGGTCTGGCCACACCACCCTTTTTGTTTTGTAAACAAATTGAGCTCATGCTGGTCCTGAGGCCTTTGTACTGGCTGTTCCCTCTGCCCACAACACTTCCCAGATCTTCTCCCTGCTGGCTCCTTCCCATGCCAATGCAACCTCCCCAGAGAGGGTTTCCCTATCCCCTGCCTGAGTTGCCACAATGACACCCATCACTCCTCAGCCCATGGCATTGTCTTTTTTGTTTCCCCTCCAAAGCACTTAATAGCATCTGAATTTTTTTTTTTTTTTTTTTGTAGAGTTGGGGTTTCAGTATGTTGGCCAGGCTGGTCTTGAATTCCTCCTGGCTTCAAGGGATCCACCCACCACGGCCTCCCAAAGTGCTGGGATTACAGGCGTGAGCCACTGTGCCTGGCAAATTTTTTGTATTTTTTGTAGAGATGAGGTTTCGCCATGCTACTGAGGATGGTCTCAAACTCCTGAGCTGGAGCGATCCTCCCACCTCAGCCTCTCTATGTGTTGGGATTACAAGTGTTGGGAACCACCACGTCTGGCCCTGCTGAACTGCTTTATGAGGGAGGAAAGTGAAGCTCAGATGGGTCTGAAGGGCAGGCCTCAGGTCACATAGCTGGGGAGATGAGCGGCCGGGGATTGAACCCAGACGTCACCAACCCGAGCCTGCCTGCTTAACTCCGTGCTTCACCTCACAACCCTCACATCTCTTGTGTCACGTATGTCCTCAGTTTCTCTCAGCCCCGAGAGCCAGGACTTTAATTACCATCATTCCCATTTTTGCCATAAGGACCCTGAAACTCATCAGGTCCAAGGTCATGTTCCAGGAAGGCGCTAGACCCTGCCCTGAGGTCAGCTGAGCTGAAGCCTGGTGCTCCCATCCCCTGGCCATAAAGCACCGAGACTCTCTCCCAGTTCAGCGCTGCAGGGACTAAGGTGGTTTTCCACATTGCTTCTTTAGGGGGCTCCATCCAGCTCCCACCCTCATGCCCTGAGGAGCCGCCTTCCCCAAGTGGCTGGTGGCAACCTCAAAGAGGCCAATGTGGCCCTTCAAGGTGCCAGACACCCTGAGTGGGTGGAACCCTGGGGCTGCCCCTACCGTTCTCCTCTGCATCCTGCTCCTGCTCTGTGCTGGCATAGGTACGCAGGAACTCAGCGAAGGCGCCGTCTCGAGCCAGCAGCTCCTGGTAGGAGCCCATCTCAGAGATCTTGCCGCCACTCATGACGATGATGACGTCCACCTGCGGCAAGTAGCTCATGCTGTGCGTGACCAAGATCCGCGTCTGTGGGCAAAGGGGACACCCGGCCACGTCAGTGCACATGTGTGAGACTGCCTAGCTTGGCAGAGTGAAGACTAAAGGAGGAATGAGCCGACGAACACCTGGTGGGCAAAACTCAGGTCTGAAGGTGGGACATGCACCCGCGATAACAGCATCCAGGAGCAGCTGAACCTGTGCACACGGTCCTGTAACATGCATGTGCAAAGGGCCTGCCACGCCTCAGGTGCTGAGCTAAAAGCTGGGGAAGGGGAAGGAAACAAAGACCCCTGCCCCAGATTCCAGGGCCGCAGGAGAAACGAACACTAGTAGAATAGTGCTTGCTGAATGGCAAAAACACAGCAAAAAGGGGAACGGGTGTACCAAGTGTGCGGGTTTTGCAATTTTAACAAAGGTAATGGGGAAGGTTATTTTTTAACAAAAACCTGAATGACAAGAGGTAGGGAGGGAACCATACAAGTGTGTAAAGGAATAAAAGGATGGTGCCACAGCAAAACAGTTTGTATGCAATGGCTTTTTTTTTTTTTTTTTTGAGACAGAGTTTCACTTTGTTGTCCAGGCTGGAGTGCAGTGGCACAGTCTCGGCTCACTGCAACCTCCGCCTCCCGGGTTCAAGCAATTCCCGTGCCTCAGCCCTCCCGCGTAGCTGGGATTACATGCGCCCGCCACCACACCTGGCTGATTTTTTTGTTGTTGTATTTTAGTAGAGATGGCGTTTCACCATGTTGCCCAGGCTGGTCTCAAACTCCTGACCTCAGGCAATCTGCCTATCTTGGCCTCCCAAAGTTTTAGGATTACAGGTGTGAGCCGCTGCGCCCAGCCCAATGGCTTAATTTTTTTCTTCTTTTTTTTTTTTCTTTTTGAGATAGGGTCTCGCTCTGTCGCCCAGGCTGGAGTGCAGTGGTGCGACCTCAGCTCACCACAACCTATGCTTCCTGGGTTCAAGCGATTCTCCTGCCTCAGCCTCCCAAGTAGCTGGGACTACAGATACGTGCCACCATGCCCAGATAATTTTTGTATTTTTTGTCAAGACAGGGGTCTCATCATGTTGTCCAGGCTCATCTTGAACTCCTGAACTGAAGCGATCCATTCGCCCTTGGCTTACAAAAGTGCTGGGACTACAGGCATGCGCTACCATGCCCAGCTCTGGCTTAATTTTTTTCTAAAACAACTCCCGCTGTCAGCCACCCCCAAAACCACTACAAAATATGCACATGCATACATTTTATCTGCAAATCTGAAAGTTTGGGAAGACATTCATCAAACTATTAATAGAAGTCAGCATATGTTTCCTTAAACAGCTAACGGTCAATCTTTTCAGCTTTATGGATCTTACAGTTGCCATGGCACCAACTCAGCCCTGCCGAGTTGAAGCAGCTGTAGACGATGCTTTAAAGAACAGGACACGTGCGGTGGCTCACACCTGTAATCCCAGCACTTTGGGAGGCCAAAACGGGAGGATTCCTTGAGGCCAAGAGTTTGAAACCAGCCTGGGAAACATAGTGAGACCTGTCTCCACAAAATAAAAATAAAAATAAATTAGCCAGGCATGGTGCTGCATGCCTGTGGTCCCAGGAGCTACTCAGAAGGCAGGAGGATTGATTCAGCCGAGGAGCTGGAGGCTACCATGCCATGACTGTGGCACTGCACTCCAGCCTGGACAACAGAGGAAAACCCTGTCTGCAGAAAAAAAAAAGAAAAAAAATACATTGGCCATGTTCCAATAAAGTTTTATTTATGGACACTGATATCTAAATTTAATACGATTTTCAAATGTCATAAAATATTCTTCCTGTTTAGATTTCTTCTATTTAAAAATACACACATCATTCTTAGCTCAAGAGCCATATAAAAAGCAGGCAGTGGGCCAGATTTGCTAACCCTTGCTCTCTAAGAGAAGAATTAAAGATTAGGGATGCAGGATGAAGAGGGACTATTTTATTTACTTTATTTAGATATATTTTCTGAGACGGAGTCTCGCTCTGTTACCCAGGCTAGAGTGCAGTGGCGCAATCTCAGCTCACTGCAACCTCCACGTCCCGGGTTCAAGACATTCTCCGGCCTCAGCTTCCCGAGTAGCTGGGATTACAGCCATGCACCACCACACTCGGCTGATTTTTGTATTTTTAGTAGAGATGGGGTTTCACCATGTTGGCCAGGCTGGTCTCGAACTCCTGACCTCAGGTGATCCACTGGTCTAGGCCTCCAAAAGTGTTGGGATTACTCACCGTGCCCAGCTTTATTTACTTTATATACATGCACACACACACACACACACACACACACACGCATACACACATATATTATAAGAAGATATCCATATTCTTGTACTTTTCAATTTTGTTACAATGGGCATGTATTACTTAGTAATTTTCAAAAATGTTTTGTACTATTTTAAAATATGTTTACACAGAATGTTAGTGGTATGTATGGGAACGATTACAAGAGGTCATGTAGCACGATGTTTCCTGTATATATACGTGGAACAAGATAACCCTATTTAAAAAGTTTATACACAGAGCAAAAAGACTTGAAAAAAATACAAAACCTCTAACCAGTGGAATGTGTGTAACTGCTTCCATTTTTCTTTTTCATGTTTTTCTTAATCTATATGCCCCCCATGGGGATGTGTTAGTTTTAAAATCAGCAGAAACAGCCGGGTGTGGTGGCTCACGCCTGTAATCCCAGCATTGCAGGAGACCCAGGCGGGCAGATCACTTGAGGTCAGGAGTTCGAGACCAGCCTGACCAACATGGTGAAACCTCGATTCTACTAAAAATAAAAAAAATTAGCCAGGCGTGGTGGTGGGCACCTGTAATCCCAGCTACTTGGGAGGCCAAAGCAGGAGAAGTGCTTGAACCCGAGATGCGGAGGTTGCAGTGAGCTGAGATCATGCCACTGCACTCCAGCCTGGGCAACAGTAGCGAAACTCCACCTCAAAAAAATAAAATCAGGGGGAGAAAAAAAAGAGCCAGTGTGTACCCATTACCACAACTGCCCTATAAAAAGAACACAGGAACTATTTCCTATTATGTTAAGGTGTTGTGGCAATTTTCCGACCCCTCTACCCACAGACACCTCTGCAAGTAAGAAAATGCAGCCTGCTAGGTCACAGGCAATGTCTTGGGGTGGGATTCCCCGCTAAGAAGCCAGCCCTGTGACTTAATCAGGAAGAGAGGCCTCCCTTGGCCATGGAGAGGCAATGAATTTAACTCTGCGCGGAGGACTTACCCCTATAAAGACAAGTACAAGACGGCTGTCTTAGGAAGGCTTCCAAGACAAGCATGAGAAATGTGTTCTTTAAAGTCCAATTAAAAACAAAGAAAGCCAGAGAAAGTAAAGGACTCCTAAAGGGGACACGTTCTGACTTAACCAAAGGGCGAGACGGCCCAACACCAAGCCCCACCCCGCCAGCAGGCACCTTGTTCTTCAGCATCCCCTTGGGGCCAATCACATTTTCAAAGATGTGTTTTCCCACATGGGCATCCACTGCTGAGAGGGGATCATCGAAGAGGTAAATGTCAGCGTTGGAGTACACGGCCCGGGCCAGGCTCACGCGCTGCTTCTGGCCCCCAGACAGGTTCACGCCCTGGGGAGAGACACACACAGGAGTGGGTTTCCTGGGAAATCTTGAGACTCACAATACGTAGAAGCAGGCCGAGTGTGGTGTGATCCCAGAACTTTGGGAGGCCAAGGTGGAAGGACTGCTTGAGACCAGGGGTTTGAGACCAGCCTGAGCAATATAGGGAGACCCTGTCTCTACAAAAAAAGAAAAGAAAAGAAAAGAAAAAATTAGCCAAGCCTGCTGATGTGCGCCTGTAGTTCCAGCTATTCAGGAGGCTGAGTGGGAAGATGGCTTGAGCCCAGGAGTTCCAGGCTGCAACGAGCTATGGCTGGGCCACTGCACTCCAGCCTGGGCGACAGAATGAGACCCTGTCTCTTTAAACAAGAAAGAAAGAAAGGCATAGAGCCTGCTCAGGACACAGCAGGTCCTGGGTGAAGGCCCTGCAGAGCTGCACCCACCTCCTCTTCTTTAAGTTTGATGCTGAAGGCATGAGGTCACGCCTGCACAAACCTGGAGCCAGGCCCCAGCTCCACCACCACCAAGGATGGGATCACAGGCACAGGGTTTAGCCCCACCTGTCAACTGGGCAAAAGAGAAAACCTGAATCTCCCGTGAGGTGCTGAGCAGGGCACGTGGTGCACAGCAAGTGCTCAGCAAAGGATGGCTGACGGCACCAAATCATGTTGACCAGTGGGAAGGCCGTGATCCCTTAGTCTCATGGAAGGCGCTGGTGGACGTGGTCATATTATTGTTACTGCTGCTGTTGGTGACAGCTGCCATGTTTGCCAGCTTACTCTGGATCTGTCACTGTCTGGCAAAGCCACATATAGGTGAAGCAAGGCTCCGGCCTGGGGATGCTGAAATCCAGCCCACATCCCAGTCACCAGGAGGAAGGACAATGCATGGACCAGCAGCAGCGCCAGCTCCCACCATGACAGATAAGCCAACGTCGTTTCCCTATTTGGCTGGAAATCACAGGTTACTGCCCAGTCCCTCCTGAGATGCCTGCCCTGACTCCCATGCACTGAGGTGGGGTCCTGGCAGCCACGTGCCTTCTTTTTGTTTTTGGAGACAGAATCTCAATCTGTCGCCCAGGCTGGAGTGCAGTGGCACAATCTCAGCTCACTGTAATCTCCGCTTCCCAGGTTCAAGCAATCCTCTCACCTCAGCCCCCTAAGTGGCTGGGACCACAGGTGCACGGCACCATGCCTGGCAACTTTTTGTATTTTTAGTAGAGGTGGGTTTTCACCATGTTGCCCAGGCTGGTCTCGAACTCCTGACCTCAGACAATCCTCCCACCTTGGTCTCCCAAAGTGCTGGGATTATAGGCGTGAGCTACCGCGCCCAGCCAATAATTCGTTTTTTATTTCCAAGGAGCTGCAGGCTTATCTCAATTTTTAAACATCATTCACCACGTAAGAAAGCCGACAGAGCCCCTGGCTTGTAACTAAAAACAGAAATGGGCCAGTGCTTTGCACTCTTGGTCTTCCAAGAGGGGACACACCAGACGACCACCATGGGGTGCCAGAGCAAAGTGGCCAGGCAAGCAGCAGGGGAGGCACCCCAGGCCTTGAAGGCTCAGACCAAGGTGTGGAGGTGGGCAGGGGCTGGGGGTTGCTGTGAAGCAGCAGGAAAACCTGGGAGATGGAGCACAGCAGGAGGGAGGGTCTGCAGTGGTGAGAGGCAGAGAATGGCCCTTTTAGAGATGACAAAATGAGCAGGTAACAACATGGACACAGGAACCATGCTCTCTGCAGCTCTGTGGCTGTGTGGCCTCAGGTAAGTCACTTGGCCTCTCTGTGCCTCCTTTTTCCTCAATGATTACCTAGGTATAACAACAAATTCCACCCATGGGCTTGCTGTGGGGAAGAATTACGTGTAAAATGTTTAGCATAGTTCCCAACATACAGAAAATACTCAAGTTATAGGCCGGGCGAGGTGGTTAACATCTGTAATCCCAGCATTGTGAGAGGCAGAGGCGGGCAGATCACCTGAGGCCAGGAGTTCAAGATCAGCATGGCCAACACAGCGAAATCCCATCTCTACTAAAAATACAGAAATTAGCTGTGCGTGGTGGCAGGGGCCTGTAGTCCCAGCTATTCAAGAGGCTGAGGGAGGAGAATCACTTGAACTCAGGAGGCAGAGGTTGAACCAAGAGTGAGCCACTACACTCTAGCCTGGGCGACAGAGAGAGACTCCATTTCAAAAAAAAAAAAGAACTTTGAGAGGCTGAGGCCAGCCGATCACTTGAGGTCAGGAGTTAGACACCAACCTGGCCAACATGGTGAAACCCTGCCTCGAATAAAAATACAAAAATTAGCTGTGCGTGGTGGCAGGGGCCTGTAGTCCCAGCTATTCAAGAGGCTGAGGGAGGAGAATCACTTGAACTCAGGAGGCAGAGGTTGCAATGAGCCAAGAGTGAGCCACTACACTCTAGCCTGGGCGACAGAGAGAGACTCCATTTCAAAAAAAAAAAAGAACTTTGAGAGGCTGAGGCCAGCGGATCACTTGAGGTCAGGAGTTAGACACCAACCTGGCCAACATGGTGAAACCCTGCCTCGACTAAAAATACAAAAATTAGCCGAGTGTGGTGATATGCACCTGTAATTCCAGCCCCTCAGGAAGCTGAGGCAGGAGAATCACCTGAACGCGGGAGGCAGAGGTTGCAGTGAGCTGAGATCGTGCCACTGCACTCCAGCCTGGGCAAGAGAGCAAGACTCCATCTCAAAAATAAATAAATAAATAAAAAGAAAGAAAGAAAAGAAAGAGAAAATGCTCAGTAAGTGTTAGCTATTGTGCTATTTTCAGTATTATGGCTATCTTGACAGGGACTGTGAACATATGAATCATCGACTCCCCTCCTCCCAACAGCATGCCCTCTGTCATGTGACTCTGCAGTCATGTGACCACAAAGGTAGAATGTACTTCCTTCTTGGTCCCTTGCCTTTGAGCTTGGCCAAGTGACTTGCTTTGTGAGTAGAAGGGACAGTGTACTTTAAGGGACATTGCATGCTTTTTGGGGGGCCTATCTTGGGCCTCTGCTGCCACCATGAGAAGAGCCCCCCTTTGGAAAGCTGTGGACCCCTCACCCCGGTCCCCAGCAAAAGCTCTGTAAGTGAGACCTGAGCCACACCCACAGCCTGGACCCAAGTTCAGCTGGCCTGCAGCGTGCAGCAGAGCCGCCCAGCTGAGCCCTGCCGGGTCAGCTGATAGCAGCAGACTCACAGCCCACTGAGATTGTGAGAGCATTTGTTACGCGGCAACAGCTGACTGATTCAGGGGCCAACATCCAACCTATACTGACCTTCTCGCCAATCTCTGTCCGATCCCCACTGGGCAGGATTTCCAGGTCTGGGAGGAGGGCACAGGCCTGTATCACGGACCTGTAATATGGTTCCTCCAGCTGACATCCAAAAAGGATGTTTTCTCGGAGAGAATCATTCTGAATCCAGGCCTGCTGTGGCACATAGGCCACGGAGCCCTAAGTTGCAAATGGAGAACGAGGTGAGACAGACACACAGACAGATCTGATCAACGAGACAACAGCTGGCCCACCCGCCTGCTAGGAGGGCCTCACTTCACAAGTCATTTTCATCACAACTATTGCTTTGGCAAGAGGGAAACTGACTCACAAAGGACAACAGATGCCAGGGCTGGGATCAGAACCCACAGCAGGTGAATCACTGACTCCAATATCAGGAGTCAAAGAGTTGATATCCTCGTTGATAAGATTACAGTTATTTACTTAGTAGCTAGCTATTAACTCAATGCCTACAGCGGTGATCAAAACCCCTGCTTCCAAAGAGTGGAAGTCCCTCAGGTGACGGAAAACTACTTGATTACAGTTACGGTGGACGCGAAGATAAAAAGATATAAGACGCTTTTTAAGAGTCTAACTTGACTAGGCGCAGTGGCTCATGCCTGTAATCCCAGCACTTTGGGAGGCCGAGGCAGGCAGACTGCTTGAGGTCAGGAGTTCAAAGCCAGCCTGGGCAACATAGAGAAATCCCATCTCTAAAAAAAATAGAAAAATTAGCCAGGCATGGCGCTGTGCATCTGTAGTCCCAGCTACTTGGGAGGCTGAGGTGGGAGGATCACCTGAGCCCAGGAAATGGAGGTACCACGAGCTGAGATTGCACCGTGCCACTGCACTCCAGCCTGGACCACAGAGCAAGATCCTGTCTCAAAAAAATTAAAAGACTGACCTAGTTTGGGACATCCGGGAAGGATCTTTGAGGAAATATCCTTGCTAAAAATTGAAGCAAAGACTCCTATATCAAAGCATCCATTTCAAAGGCTTATTTTTATTTCCATATGTCAGGTATCACAAACAGCATGAGAATAAAGGCTAGAGTAAGGATATTTGTTTTGTGTATTTTGCTAATGAAAATGCTGAGGTAGTTAATTCTCTATATATTTATTACGTTTGTAGAAACAAAATCTTGCCATGTTGCTAAGCCTGGTCTCAAACTCCTGGCCTCAAGCAATCCTCCTGCCTTGGCCTCCTGAAGTGCTGGGATTATAGGCATGAGCCATCATGCTCAGCTCAAACATATGTTTAGACAAGAACCAAAAAGTGAAGAATGAGTCAGTTTCATGAGGAGAAGAGGGAAGAGCATTCAAGTCCGAGGGAACAGCACATGCGAAGGCCTGGAAGTGAAAAGTACTTGGCACATTCAAGGAACAGAAAGGCCAGCGTGACAGGAACATCGATCAATCCTGTGAGGGAACGACTGGCAGAAAACACACCAGGGACAGCAAGGGGGCCTATACTTGGTGGGGAGCATGGGCTTTATCAGAGGGGCAAGGGGAGCCCCTGAAGATTTTTTTTTGAAACGAAGCCTTGCTGTCGCTCAGGCTGGAATACAGTGTCAAGATCTCAGCTCACTGCAGTCTCTGCCTCCGGGCTCAAGGGATTCTCCTTCCTCAGCCTCCTGAGTAGCTGGGACTAAAGGCACACACCACCAGGCCCACTAATTTTTGTATTTTCAGTAGAGACGGGGTTTCGCCATGCTGGTCAGGCTGGTCTCAAACTCCTGACCTCAGGTGATCAACCTGCCTCAGCCTCCCAAAGTGCTGGGATTACAGATGTGAGCCACCGCGCCCAGCCAGAAGATTCTTGAATAAGGGAATTCTAGAGAGGGCAAAGCTGACAGCAGGTCCCAGGTACCCTCATTCTTACTCTAAATTCTCAAATAATTAACCTGCTGACTTGAATATCCTAACTTTTAAAAAGCCAAAATGTCAACAGTGGTGCCTTACCATAGAACCCACAGAAATTTCAGACATAATATACACAAACCACACCAACTAAAACATTTGGGAAAAGATAAATATTTTATATACATTTCTAGCACTCCCCTTACCTAGGCCAAACAACCAATAATAAATAATCATCTGGCCTGAAATGCTAATAGTGCCAGGATAGCAGAAAGCTGGGGTTAAGGAAACAGAAAGCAATGTGGATCCCATCGGGATTTGGAATTTTCTTCCATTAATCTAGCTCTCATGGTTCATTCATCTTATTTTATGGCAGGAACTTGAAAGTAATGATAAAACATTTCTTAAAACAACAGCTAAAGGTCATTAATTTGGACCCAACCACAATGTATACTTTCTAAAGGCACTGTATAATCAAAGAAAGGGTTTTGCTCTGAAATAAAAACAATGTCATTAACTAGGCCAGGAGCGGTGGCTCACGCCTGTAATCCAAGCACTTTGGGAAGCCGAGATGGGGAGATCACCTGAGGTTAGGAGTTCTAGACTACCCAGGTCAACATGGTAAAATCCCGTCTTTACTGAAAATACAAAAATTAGCCGGGTGCAGTAATGGTGGGTGCCTATAATCCCAGCTACTCAAGAGGCTGAGACAGAAGAATCGGTTGAACCCAGGAGGCAGAGGTTGCAGTGAGTCAAGATCACACGACTGCACTCCAGCCTGGGCAACAAAAAAAACTCTGTCTCAAAAAAAACCCACAACAACAAACAACGTCATAAACTTGACATTCCCAAAGGCAGATTCCAAGAGACAAATGTGCAGTCGCACAGACACTAAAGAGGTGCGGACAAGTACACCTGGGACACATAAGGTTAAACAGTTAATAGATTTTTTCTCCTTGCAGGACTTGTCAGAGCCTTTAATTTGCTAATGTTTACTGTAAGTCTCCAAGAGGGAGGGGGCTGGAGTATGCATTATTTCCCACGCTTCTTTGAGCCTGGGGTTCTTTATCGCCCAAATGTCCTGCAAGATGAGCTGGCTGCAGACCACACTCCTGGAAATGCTGGTAGCAAAACTTCCAGGGACGTGTCGTTACACTAGGAAAAGGCCTTCATGGGGAGTGAACTAAATGCAAACAAAGGCTGTTGATTTCCAGTGGGGATTATTTGTAAAGGAGCCTCTTAAGCTCACTCCTGGGGAATTTCAACTTACTTCAAAGTACACTGTGTATTTAAAAGCAGTAAAACTGCAGTCTTCTTTTAGCTCCATATTAAGAATTCAACACTAAAAATTTAAACTGTTCCCTTTAAAAAATGTTCTAAGAAAATATTCCAACCACATAAACATTTTTGTTTTGTTACATTTATAAGAATAGATACTCAGAGATCCATAAAGATAAAGAACAATCCAAAAAGACCCAAACAGACCAAGAGACACTCAGTGACAGGCAGAGACGCAAGGGAAGGAGACACAGGCTGCGTACCAGGGAGTCTTCGTGTGTCTACTAAGTATTTCTTAAGTGGCCAAATGCGGTGGCTCACACCTGCAATCCCAGCACTTTGGGAGACAGAGGTGTGCAGATCACTTGAGGTCAGGAGTTTGAGACCAGCCTGGCCAACATGGTAAAACACCGTCTCTACTAAAAAAATATAAAAATTAGCTGGACATGGTGGCGCATGCCTGTAATCCTAGCCACTCGGGAGGCTGAGGGAGAATCGCTTGGACCCAGGAGGCAGAGGCTGCAGTGAGCCGAGATCACGCCACTTCACTCCAGCCTGCGGGACAGAGCCTGACCCTGTCTCAAAAAAAAAAAAACACAATAATAATGATAATAATAATAATAAAATAACAGCTTAATAAAGAGGTAACAAAATAAATATTTATTAAGTGCCTACTATATACTGGGCACTATTTTAAGTGCTGGGAGACAGATGGAAATAAATGATACCAAAATCCTGCCTTCTAGGACAGCACGGAACAGAACAGAAAGAACGAGAGAGAAAGAGACAGTGGAAAGATACAGGAGGAGGAGGAAAAGAGACGTTGCTGCTTTCGCTTCTGGCACAGGGACAGTCAAAAGAAACACCATCATTTCTGAGCTTTTCCTCAGACCACCAGCTTCCCCACTGCCCCTCCCCGCTGGTCCTCATCCTACCTTGATAGCCACGTGCCCCTCCACTTTGTCCATCTCAGCCAAGAGGGCTGAGAGCAGGGACGACTTTCCGCAGCCCACCTGGCCCACCACGGCCACCAAAGCACCTTCGGGGATGGAGAAGGTGATGCTGAAACGACACAACACACCTGGCTCAGCCACGCTGAATGAGGCCTGCCGGGCTAATGCCCATGGCCACCGAGCCTCAATTTACCCCAAGTAGAGAAAGAGAAAGACAGAAGGCAAGACTGTACTAAACACTGAAGGCCTCAACATTCCTTCCATTTCTACTGCTGAGTTCAGTTCAGTGACCTGTCTCAGGGGGCCTCCAGGTGGGAGGCAGGTGACAGGTGTCCCTTAGAGAAGTGAGGCAGGGAGTAACCTGAGGGATCCTGTCACAGTGGGCTTCTGGAACAGTTTTTGCCCCTTGGAGAGGCAGAAACTTTACTGGGGGCATGACGCAAGGTCTGAAAGGAGAGGACACCTCAAGACAAACTGGGGCCGGACACGGTAGCTCATGCCAGTGCTGGTAATCCCAGCACTTTGGGAGGCCAACGCAGGCGGATCACGAGGTCAGGAGCTCGAGACCAGTCTGGCCAACATGGTGAAACCCCGTTTCTACTAAAAATATAAAAATTAGCCAGGCGTGGTGGTGGCAGGGCCTGTGGTCCCAGCTACTGAGGAGGCTGAGGCACAAGAATCACTTGAACCCAAGAGGCGGAGGTTACAGTGAGCTGAGATCGTGCCACTGCACTCCGATCTGGGCAAGAGCGTGAGACTCTGTCTCAGAAAATAAATAAACCAAAAAACTCTGACAAAAAGCAGGAGTGTCCCACACACAGAAACATGGGGAGAGCCGGAGAAAGGTGTAAAGGGGTGAAGGCACAGGGTGTAACCAGGGATGCGATGGCACTGAGGTAGGTAGTGGCCAGACCTGGGAGCACCTTGAAATATGCCCTGGAAGGACGCTGTGCTAAGACACCTGAACTCTGCCAGCCGGGAGCCACCAAAGGGTTGAAAAGGGAAACGCATATGAATAAATCTGAGTTGAATTTCAGGAAGATGTCTCTATTGAAATCATCCTTTAACGAACAGCAGAAAGCAAAATAAAATAAGCTCAGCATTCACCCAGTAAGACCGGCTGTCAATGGGGCAGGTCAACCCCAGGCCACTCCCACTGCCGACGGCACCTCCAGAGCAGGGTTTCCATCCTCCCAGGGAAGGGAGGGCACATCCAAACCTTTGCTGGACTCACTTATATGGAATGTGCTTTTATTTTTTATTTATCTGTATTTAGTTACTTAAGTATTTATTTATTTTTTTGAGACAAGAGTCTCACTCTGTGGCCCAGGCTGGAGTACAGTGGCTCAATCTTGGCTCACTGAAACCTGTGCCTCCCAGGTTCAAATGATTCTTGTGCCTCAGCCTCCCAAGTAGCTGGGATTACAGGCGAGCGCCACCACATCCAGCTAATTTTTGTATTTTTAGTACAGATGGGGTTTCCCCACATTGGCCAGGCTGGTCTCGAACTGCTGACCTCCAGTGATCTGCCCGCCTCAGCCTCCCAAAGTGCTGGGATTACAGGCATGCACCACCATGCCCAGCTAGTTTTTTTATTTTTAGTAGTGACAGGGTTTCACCATGTTGGCCAGGCTGGTCTCAGACTTCGGACTTCAGGTGATGTGCCCACCTTGGCCTCCCAAAGTGCTGGGATTCTGTGCTTTTTAACTGCCACCTTTCTGATTTCAGAGTATTAGTGGAAATGCTGATAGTCGTTGCTGTCACTGATTGTTTCATTCTTATGACACTGCTGCATGGTGACACTCATCAGGCTTTTTGTTCCTGTGCTGGGAGGGGAAAGGATTATGGGGCCTGAGTGGGCAGGAAGCCCAGTGAGACAATACCTGCCACTGTCCACGTGAGACAGTACCTGCCACTGTCCACGTGAGACTGAAATATTCTTACAGGCTGATGAGAGAAAAGGGTTAGAGAAAGGTTCTGGGGGCTCATGGGGGGAAGGTAACTGAACAGGAAAACCACTGGGTCAGGAAAGGGACACAGATACAGATTAGTTGTGCAGCTCAACAAGACAGAACAGCTACAATTGAAGCAGGCAGGATTTAAGTTAGACATAAGGAAGAACTTCCTAAGCATGCAGTACCCCCATGAATTTTCAATGCAGGCCTTCTAAAGATTGTTTTCTCTGGAGAGTTTCTCTCCTTCATCATAAAATACAGCAGTGATTTGGCTACCCAGGCATGAGCTAAACCTCTAAAAGGGTCCCATCACCCCTGTGTTTTGCGGATTCCTTAAGGGGGCCTAAAAAGCTGTTGATCAAGGCCTCTGGTCAGAACAAAATGAGAGGTGCTTGACAAGTTGCCTGGGGATAAGGTCAATTTCCTAGACATCATGTGCTTTGGAAAGGTAAGGACTGTAGGGTGTGGGGTGCCAGATAGAAAGCTGGCAAGAAAGGGTGAGCTGGGCAGCTGAGGGGCACTGGAGTTCAGCAGCATCACAGCCCCTGACTGAGACTGGCCAATCAGCACACTCAGTGTCTGAAGGCATAGCGATTGCCTCACAGAGGGCACAGGACCCAATCTGGGTCAATAAGAAGCAGGCAGTTCTCCTAACAGTGGGATACACAGTGGGAGCTGTTGGGACCATTTACCATCACAAGGGGAGAGGATGCGTGAGGATAAAGCAGACCAGGAGAAAGTGAAACAAAGAAAATATGAAGAAAGTTCTGACGGCAGAGTCCCTGGATCACACCACACCTGAAAGTAGAACTTCCCAGTTACGCAAGCCAAGAATCTCCTGTATTGTCTAAGTCTAGCTGTCCAAGGCTGCTGTAACTTACAATCCCAGGGAACCCTCTGTGCTAGGCATGTGTGTCTGCTTCTCACGACAGCCTAAGCAGGTGTATCTGCACCCATTGTCCAGATGGGTAAGCTAAGTCTTAGAAAGGCAAAGTGAGTTGTTCAAGGTCACAGAGAGGGAGCACGGTGGGAATTCGAATCCACGTTTAACAAAAGCCCTGTGGCTCTCTCCACACCATCACGTGTGTCCACGTCCCGGCTTACCCATTCAGTGTGGGAGGGTCGCTCCTGGCCCAGGTGAATGTGGCATTCCTCACGGTGATGCTGTTCGTGCCCCCGCCTACAAAGCACAGAGACATGTCAGGGACAGGCTGAGCTGTGCGACTCCACATGCACAGAACACTCTCTTTCTCTGCTTGAATGGTTCAACCCCAGACGCTTGGCACGAATGGCGCTAGGCATTATTATCTGGTGACATCAGCCACGGGTTCTGAAAGAAGAAACTCAACTTGCAGTTCTGGAGGCAGCCCCAGACCCAGAAAGCAGAAGGAAACTGCAAGCAGCTTTGTCCTTGTAAGATGGGGTTGCGCCATCTGGACGATCATCTTGGGAGATGACTGCAGAGGCGGGGGCCGCATGAGGCAGGTTCGGGGCAGCTCCAGCTGGGAGGGCCGAGCAGTGGCCAAGGTCAGTGGGAAACAGCTGGCGTCCACATGCAAACCTCTCTCCACTGGGGTGGCCAGCATCAGACCGCTGGGCCCTCCTTGAGGTGCAAAGGGAGGTCGTTCACCCTTCTCCCCAGGTCCTCTGTCTTCCTCCCCCAGCCACACCACTCTACACACAGCACATCACAGCAGGTGGATCTTTCTAAAACATCCATCACGATAAACTCAAAAAAAGAGGATACGGAAGAGGAAGTGTGGTACGAGGGCACAGGGAAGGGGAGAGTGTCGGAGACAAAGCCCACGTTAACTGGTTCCATGTTTCTGTCTTCTTCTGAGACAGGATCTGGCTTCTGCACCCAGGCTGGAGCGCAGTGGTGCGATCTCGGCCTACTGCAACCTCCATCTCCCAGGCGCAGGCGATTCTCCCACTTCAGCCTCCTGAGCAACTGGGACTACAGGATGTGCACCATCACACCCAGCTAATTTTTTTTTTGTATTTTTTGTAGAGGTGGGGTCTTGACATGTTGCTCAGCCTGGTCTCGAACTCTTGGCCTCAAGTGATCTGCTTGCCTCGGCCTTCCAAAGTGCCGGGATTACAGGCATGAGACACCATGCCCGGCCAGCTCCACACTTCTAAAGCTCCTAGCACCTCTGTCTTCTTTTACTCTTCTTCCTGTTATTTTCCTTTTACTTCATGTCTCTCACTTAAAACAAAAGCAGGCCAGTCGCAGGGGCTCATGCCTGTAATCCCAACACTTCGGGAGACCGAGGCGGGCAGATCACCTGATGTCAGGAGTTCGAGACCAGCCTGGCCAACGTGGTGAAACCCCATCTCTACTAAAAATACAAACATTAGCCAGGTGTGGTAGCGCATGCCTGTAGTCCCAGCTACTCGGGAGTCTGAGACATGAGAATCGCTTGAAACCAAGGCAGAGGTCGCAGAGAGCCAAGATCGTGCCATTGCACTCCAGCCTGGGCAACAGAGTGAAACTCTGTCTCAAAAAAAAAAAAAAAGAAAAAGAAAAAACAGAAAAGCAGCTCTCTGAATTATGAGCCACCTTAAGACCATCTGGAGATAATACAGGAGTATTTTTTGTTTAAGTTGTCAAATGAAGAAATAACTTCCTCCATGCATCAAAAAAACAAAAAACCTAGAGAGAGAGGAAGGTGCTGGTTAACCTAGATTAACTTTCTCCCTCAGCTCTTCTACGAGTGGACGTGGAATGAGGAAACTGGGAGTTGCTATTTAAGGAATTTAAGAAAAGCCACTGGAGACAGAGAGGTTGCAGAGAACGGTTAGCTTGGGAGCTGGGAGCAGCCAAGGGGGCCCCCACTGGCTAGAGCGTGCTAAACATTCCAGGAAGTCCAACCACCTAGGAGGCCACTATTAGGGCAGGAAGGAGGGGCTGGGGTGCGGGCGGCACCCAGGGGCCTAGGGGTTTCCTGATGCTTGCATTGAGCTGTGAACAACTTCAGTAGCAAGAAACCACCCCCCACCCACCGCCGGCCACCTCAAATTTCAGCCTGTGGTTAGCAGAGAAATTTGACCCCAGAGTAGATGGAATCATTGCCTTATGATGTGAGGGGATGTGGGACACTGGGACAGCAGAAACCAGATGACCACAGCCCAGGAGTGTTGGGAGGAAGAGTCCAGCATCCACTTGGGCCACGGTTCTCAACTGGAGGTAACTGTGTCCCTCAAGGCACATCTGGCAATGTCTGGAGCCATTTTTGGTTGCCAAAATTGGGATGGATACTACTGTATCTAATGGGTAGAGTCCAGGGTTGCTGCTCAACATCCCACAGTGCACAGGACAGTCCCCAACCACAAAGAACAATGTGTCTCCAGATGTCAGTAGCGCCCAGGATAAAAAACCCCACACCAGGGGGCTGAGCTGAAGATGCTGAGACCATCTCGCTCAGACCAGAGAAGTGACAACTCCCAGGATCTGTTTATCATCTTCTATGCACCAGGTGCTGTGTCAAACGTGTCAAACGTTTTAGGTACCACTAAAGATACCTGAGCGCCTGCGAGGTGCCAGACACAGCTCACGCGGTATAACCGACGTTTACACACATTCAATCTTCTGACATTGGACTCTGGAGCCAGACTGTATGGGTTTGAATCCTGGGGCTACCACTTCGTACCTGGGTAGCCACAGTCAAGTTAGTTAACTTCTCTGTGCCTTTGTTTGTTTGTTTTTTGAGACAGGGTCTCACTCTGACACCCAGGCTGGAGTACAGTGGCATGATCATAGCTCACTATAGCCTTGAACTCCCGGGCTCAGCCAATCCTCCTGCCTCAGCCTCTCAAGTAACTAGGACTACAGGTGCACCACCATGCCTGGTGAATTTAATTTTTGTAGAGACGAGGTCTCACTACATTACCCAAGGTGGTCTCAAACTCCTGGCCTCAAGCAATCCTCCAGCCTTGGCCTCCCAAAGTACTAGGATTATAGGTAGGAGCCACTGCACCCAGCCTGTGCCTCACTTTTTCATCTGTAAAATAAGGCTGACAATCATGCAATCAACTTCAGAGGGCTGTGATGGGGTGTCTATGAGGCAGTGCACACAGAGCACTTCTCACAATGCTTGGCACATAGTAGGTGCTCAGTAAATCTCAGTGAGGCAACACCCTATGGCCAGGAAGAGCATGGACTCTACCGATGGGCTGTGGGTGTGAATGCTGGTTCTTCTTTTGATCAGCTGTGCAATCTCAGGCAAGTTTCAGAGACCAGTTTCTTCATCTGGAAAATGGGGGTTTCCATCACCCTCCTCCAGGGGTACCATGGTGAGTAATGGACAAGTTGGGACATTGACATCCTTGGAATGGCATGTGCATGACAGAGGCTTTATAAGTGAACGTGTCACTGCACTTAGTGCCATTAATATTTATTATTATTATTATTTTTTTTTTTTTTTGAGATGAAGTCTCACTCTTTGCCCTGGCTGGAGTGCAGTGGCGCGATCTTGGCTCACTGCAACCTCCGCCTCCTGGGTTCAAGTGATTCTCCT
Organism: Homo sapiens; assembly: GCF_000001405.40. Taxonomy (NCBI): domain Eukaryota; kingdom Metazoa; phylum Chordata; class Mammalia; order Primates; family Hominidae; genus Homo; species Homo sapiens. The sequence goes on along the minus strand of NT_187607.1, from coordinate 1,730,837 downwards.
GCCTCAGCCTCCCGAGTAGTTGGGATTACAGGTGCCCAACACCATGTCCAGCTAATTTTTGTATTTTCAGTAGAGACGGGGTTTCACCTTGTTGGCCAGGCTGATCTCGAACTCCTGACCTCAAGTGATCCACCTGCCTCAGCTCCCCAAAGTGCTGGGATTACAGGCGTGAGCCACTGTGCCCGGCCTAATATTTATTATTAAGTGCCTAGAGAGATGGTTACAAACAACATCCCTGGCTCAGGGGGATGGGCTGGGAAACGATAAATTAACAAGCTACAAAACAAACAAACTTGCCAATAAAAATGCATGGCCAGGTGCAGTGGCTCACATCTGTCATCCCAGCACTTTGGGAGGCTGAGGCAGAGGGATCCTTGAGCCCAGGAGTTCAAGACCAACTTGAGGAACAAAGCAAGACCTTGTCTCTCCAAATAAAACAATTTAATATTGAAAAAAAAAAAAAGGCCAGGAGAACTGGCTCATGCCTATAAGCCCAGCACTTTGGGAGGCTGAGGCAGGTGGATTGCTTGAGCTGAGGAGTTCGAGACCGGCCTGGACAACATGGTGAAACCCTGTCTCTACAAAACATACCAAAATATTATCCAAGTATGGTGCTGTGTGTGCCTGTAGTTCTAGCTACTTGGGAGGCTAAGGTCAGAGGATCACCTGAGCCCACGAAATCAAGGCTGCAGTGACAGCTGTGACTGCACCACTGCACTCCAGCCTGGGAAATGGAATGAGACCCTGTCTCAAAAAAAAAAAAAAATCCAAGTAACACTCAGCCAAAGAAAGGTACTTTTGTTTCCCTTATCTAGATAAAAGTGAGGCTCAGACCTAAGTCTACACAGCTTGTGGGTGATGGAGGCTGGCCAGCCTCCAGAGTCCTCATTTAGCCCAGAATAGAATCAAGGTCAAAGCCTTGGAAAGTGACTCCCACGGGGAAGCCTCAAGCAGCTGCTGACCCTCAGCAAGAAAACAAAAATGCAAGTGCAAGTTCACCCTCCTGGGAAGTGTGAGACAGGACAGAAGCCCAGGAGGCCAGGCTTCCCTTCCCTTCTGCAGGCTCTGCAGAACCCTTGTCCCCCGGGGTCTCGCAGACAAGCGGCTGGGCAGAGTCAAACCTGAGGGCAGCCAAGGGAAAGAAATGCAAGTAGGGAGGACCCAGTGGGAGATGGGAAGGCGGCCACTTCCAGAAGCCAGGACTGAACACACACACACCGTCTTTGACAGGCCGTCGCTCGATGCTGTCAGGTTCCAGCTCCTCATGGGAGAGAAAGATCCTCAGGCGTTTGAGGGAGACACTCGCCTGTACAGAGAGCAATGGCAGGGGAGAGTTATTTTTAAAAAGCATTTTTGCAAAACCAACCAAGGTTAACTTTCAAGGGTTTCCCCAGGTGTGGAGGGGCACACACCCTCCCTTATTTCTGAAGGTCCCACATTTCTTAGAACCAGTGTATACTTTAGAATTAAACAAAACAAAAAAAGAAACAGGTTTGGTTCTGCTTTGTTTTAAAATCCCACAAAAGGTATTTCAGAAAAAATGGGCGAATGGCTGGGCACGGTAGCTCAAACCTGTAATCCCAGCACTTTGGGAGGCCAAGGCAGGCAGATCACTTGAGGTCAGGAGTTTGAGACCAGCCTGGCCAACATGGTGAAACCCCGCCTCAGCTAAAAAAAAAAAAAAAAAATACATAAAATTAGCCTGGCGTGGTGGCACGCACCTGCAATCCCAGCTACTCGGGAGGCTGAGGCAGAAGAATCACTTGAACCTGGGAAGGCAGAGGTCGCAGTGAGCCAAGATCATGCCACTGCACTCCAGCCTGGGCGACAGAGTGAGGCTCCATTTCAAAAAATAAATAAATAAAAATAAAAATAAAAGAAGAAAAGGGCAGAGGCCTGGTGGAAAAGGGACTCTGGAAACGTAACAGCAAATGCAACAGAGCCAATTCAAACAGCCCAATGGGACAGGCATTTCTGAGATATTCCAGAAAACTTGGATATGGGCTGAGTATTATTGTAAAAACTTATTGTTAGTTTGCTTAGACATGATGATGGTATTACATTATGTAGGAAGAAATGCATGCTGAAATATTTGTGGGTAGAATGTAAGGGGTCTGAGATTTGCTTTAAAATTATTCGGCAAAGAAAGGAAAGAATGAAGGGATAGATAGCAGAGTTTAGCATTAAAAACAAATGAAGGGAAAGAGGGACAAGGGAGGGATACTGAAAAAGAATGAGATAAATCAACTGTGGCAAAATGTTTTGGGTTTTTTTGTTCGTTTTTGAGATGGAGTCTCGCTCTGTCACCCAGGCTGGAGTGCAGTGGCGCAATCTCGGCTCACTGCAAGCTCCACCTCCCGGGTTCACAACATTCTCCTGCCTCAGCCAACCGAGTAGCTGGGACTACAGGCACCTGCCACCACACCTGGCTAATTTTTTTATATTTTTAGCAGAGACAGGGTTTCACCGTGTTAGCCAGGATGGTCTCCATCTCCTGACCTCATGATCCGCCCACCTCGGCCTCCCAGAGTGCTGGGATTACAGGCATGAGCCACTGCGCCCAACCTTGGTTTCTTTATTTGAGACAGAGTCTTGCTCTGTTGCCCAGGCTGGAGTGCAGTGGTGCAAACATAACTCACTGCAGCCTCAAACTCCTAGGCTCAAGCGATCCTTCTGCCTCAGCCTCCCATGTAGTCACTGCAGGCGTGCACCCCACACCCATTTTGTTATTTTTTGTAGAGTAAGGGTCTCATTGCCCAGGCTGATTTTGAACTCCTGGGCTGAAGCAATCCTACCACCTCAGCCTCCCACAGTGCTGGGATTACAGGCGTGAGCCACTGCGCCCAGCCAAAAAATGCCGATGTTGAATCTGAGTGATGTGTACACGGGGTTCATGTTGTATTATTTCCTTTCTTGGAGACTGAGTCTCACTCAGTCGCCCAGGCTGGAGTGCAGTGGCACAATCTCGGCTCACTGCAACCTCGGCAACCTCCACCTCCCAGGTTCAAGCGATTCTCGTGTCTCAGCCTCCAGATTAGCTGGGATTACAGGCACCAACCAACACATCTGGCTAATTTTTGTATTTTTAGTAGAGACAAGGTTTCCCCATGTTGGCCAGGCTGGTCTCGAACTCCTGACCTCAGCTGATCTGTCTGCCTTGGTCTCCCAAAATGCTGGGATTGCAGGTGTGAGCCATCATGCTTGGTTTTTTTTTTCTTTTTCTTTTTCTTTTAATGCCAGTTTACAAACTTTAAGCTATTCTACTTCTGTGTACACTTGACATTTTTCATAATAAAATGGATTTTTTTGTTTTTGACAAAGCCTGCTATCAGCCTTGTACTACCAAATTTTACGGTTGATTTGCCTATGTAGTTAAAATGGAGTTTTCAAAAGGGATGTTCGCAATGCTCGGAAAAAGAATGTGAAAACAGTGCAGAAAAGTGACAGGAGCTTCCAGTAGTGCCCAAGTGTGACAAAACAGAAAGCCACCCCTCCTTACACAGTCAATGGCAGGAATTTTAGAGATTCTACAGGGTCTACATTGTTTCTAAAAAATAAAAACAAAAAACAAAAAAAAACAGGGTCTTACTCCCTTCACCCAGGCTGGAGTGTAGTGGTGAGACTATGACTCACTGCAGCCTCAACTTCCCAAGCTCAGCTGATCCTCCCACCCCAGCCTTCTGAGTCGCTGGGAGTACAGGGGCACACCACCATGCCTGGCTAATTTTCAAACATATTTATTTATTTATTTATTTATTTATTTATTTATTTATTTTTATTTTATTTTATTTTATTTTTTTTTACATACAGGGTTTTACCATATTGCCCAGGCTAGTCTCAAACTCCTGGGCTTAAGAGATCCACCTGCCTTGGCCTCCCAAAGTGCTGGGATTACAGGCATGTACCATCATGCCCGGCCGTAAGGTTGGGGTTTTTCTTTTTTTTTTTTTTTAATTTTGAGACGGAGTTTTTGCTGTGTCACCCAGACTGGAATGCAATGGCACGATCTTGGCTCACTGCAACCTCTTCCTCCTGGGCTCAAGCAATTCTCCTGCCTCAGCCTTCCGAGTAGCTGGGATTACAGGGACCCGCCACCACACCTGGCTAATTTTTGTATTTTTAGTAGAGATGAGGTTGCACTATGTTGGCCAGGCTGGTCTCGAACTCTTGACCTCAGGTGATCTACCCGCCTCAGCCTCCCAAAATGGTGGGAATACAGGCATGAGCCGCCGCGCCCGGCTGTAAGGTTGGGGTTTCTCAAAGCGTGGGTGGTCAAGACCTATCAGTGGGTTGTAAAATCAATCAAGTCAGACAAGAGCTACATTTTTTAAAAAAAGGATAGGAATGGCGGAGGAACAGGCTGAAGAGAACAGAGTATTTCGGAAAGATTCTTCCAGAGCATGGGAAAGCCCTGCTGCATTAAACTTGATTCATATACTCAAGTGCGAGTTCTCTGTCAAGAAGACAAATGTGTTTTCTTTCTTTCAGGCATGACCAGACGAAAGCATGGCAGCCTTTGTCCGGGCCTCATGGAGCCCGACCGGGAGTGTGATCTAGAGGCTGCGCTCGGGGGCACTTCCATGCTTTCGTGGCCTAGAACCCCAAGGCCCCCTCTCGGAAGTCGCCCCAGCTTCCCCCTGTACCTGCACGATGCTGCTGATGACCATGGGGAGAATGTTCAGGGGAAACCGGAGGATGTTGAACAAGGCCAAAGACACGAAGGCTGTCTGGGCATCCAGGATGTTGTTCTCGTCAATGGTCACGTAGACGGCAAATGTGCACAGGGCCACCTGCAAGCAGAACGCCCAGTGCTGACTGCTGTGCCCTGAGTGAGAGTCATCATCCTAGGAGCAGTGACAGGCCCTGGAGACGCGTTTGGGCCCTCCCCAGGTGGCCACAACTGACCAGCTGCTGGAGCTCGTGGAAAAACCTGGGGCAGTATCTGGCACATGGCAGGTGCTCACTAAACACTCTGGGAATGAACTGGATAAATCAACGACCGGGAGCCCAAAGAGCCGGCCTCTCCCATCAACTTTCTCAGAGATGTCCTAGAGGGGCATTCTTAGTATTCCTCAAAAGCACCAAGCACAATCCCCAAGCCAGGCCTTTGCCCCTGACGTTTCCTCTGCCTGAAACCATCTTCCATCCAGGGGGCCACCTGACTCCTCCCTCTCACCATTCAAGGGAGCTGTCTCTCCCACTTTACCCAAATAGCCCTGCCATCTGGCCATCGGCCCATGTATTTTCAGGGTCTCAGCACTGCCATTTCATTGTTACTTCCTGGAAGGTCATACAGCTTAAAAATAAAAACCATACACTTTGCCATATTTCCGCTGTGGGACCCTGGTTGAGTTATTTCACCTCTCCAGGCAAGCCCCTATTTTCTCATCTATAAAATGGAAGTCATGATAGGCTTTTAAGGGCTGTTGGCACTTATGTAGGGTGTTTATTTGCACAGGGCCCAAGCACAGTAAAACTCAACAGATGGCAGCTGTTTTTATTTCTTGTTGGAAGATTTGGTCCAAATTCCTTAGATCATTCTTCCAAGGAATCTATTAACGTGGTCACACAAGCGAGAGCCCGGTCCCACGGGAAGCCAGAGCTGGTTCGTGTTCTGGCTCTGACATTAACAAGACAGATGACGCTGAGCCATGGCACAGAAATTTTCCAGGCTCCGATGTCAAGAGGGAGGCAAGGTGCTCGAAACGACAGGGACGCATGATCCCTGGGTGCAGTGGTGCAATCATGGCTCACCACAGCCTCGACCTCCCAGGCTCAAGCATTCCTCCCACCTCAGCCTCCCGAGTAGCTAGGACTACAGGCGCATACCACCATGCCCGGCTAATTTTTTTATTTTTGTAGAGACAGGGTCTCCCTATGCTTCCTAGGCTGTTCTCGAACACCTGGGCTCAGGCCATCTGCCTGCCTCGGCCACCTAAAGTGCTGGGATTACAGACATGAGCCACTGCACCCATCCTGGCTCCCATCTTCTAAGCGGTAACGCAACACTGGCATCTTACCTAAAGATACTTTTTTTTTTTTGAGACACAGTCTCATTCTTTTGCACAAGATGGAGTGCAGTGGTGCGATCGCAGTTCACCGCAACCTCTGCCTCCCAAGGTCAAACGATTCTCATGCCTCAGTCTCCAAGTAGCTGGGATTACAGGCGCCCACCACCATGCCCAGCTAATCTTTTTGTATTTTTCTTAGTAGAGATGGGGTTTCGCCATGTTGGTCAGGCTGGTCTTGAGCTCCTGGCCTCAAGTGATCCGTCTGCCTCGGCCTCCCAAAATGCTGGGATTACAGGTATGAGCCACCATGCCCAGCCCAGAGATATTCTTTACTCGAAAGGGTCTACATGTATCTACATGATAGACTTCTCAACCATAAAAAGGAGTGAAATTCTTATACATGCTAAAACATGGATAAACCTTGAAAACATCATGCTAAGAAACCAGTCAGATGGCCAGGCGGGGTGGCTCACACCTGAAATCCCAGCACTTCGGGAGGCTGAGGCGGGCGGATCACTTGAGGTCGGGAGTTCCAGACCAGCCTGACCAACATGGAGAAACTCCGTCTCTACTAAAAATACACAATTAGCCAGGAGTGGTGGTGCATGCCTATAATCCCAGCTACTCAGTAGGCTGAGGCAGGAGAATCGCTTGAACCTAGGAGGCAAACGTTGTAGTGAGGCAAGGTCATGCCATTGCGCTTCAGGTGGGCAACAAGGGAGACACTTCGTCTCAAAAAAAAAAGAAAACAGTCAGAAAAGGCCACCTGTTGTTTGATTCCATTTATATGAAAAGTCCACAGTAGATAAACAGAGACAGACAGAAAGCAGATTACTGGTTGCCTGGAATGGAATGGAAGATTTGGGGAGCAACTGGTAACAGGTACAGGGCTTCCTTTTGGGGTAATGAAAACGTCCTGGAATTAGTGGTGATTGTCATTATCATTTATACAAAAAAACCCACTGGGTGACCTTCACACCACCACACATCACACAAAAAAACCACTGAATTGCACACTTTTAAATGGTGAATTATACCTCCATTAAAAAAATACATTTCGATCGGCATGGTAGCCCATGCCTGTAATCCAAATGCTTTGCAAGGCCGAGGAGGGAGGATCACTTGAGGCCAGAAGTTCGAGCAGAGCCAGGGCAAAAAAGCAAGGCTGTGTCTCTACAAAATTTTTTAAAAAATAAGCCAGGTGGCTGGGCTCAATGGCTCATGCCTGTAATCCCAGCATGTTGGGAGGCCAAGGCAGGTGGATCTCCTGAAGTCAGGAGTTCAAGACCAGCCTGTCTGACAGGGCAAAACCCTGTCTCTACTAAAAATACAAAAATTAGCCGGGTGTGGTGGCATGTGCCTGTAGTCCCAGCTACTAGGGAGGCTGAAGTAGGAGAATCACTTTAACCCGGGAGGTGGAGGTTGCAGTGAGCCAAGATTGCACCACTGCACCCCAGCGTGTGCAACAGAGCAAGACTCCGTCTCAAAACAACAATAATATTAATAAATAAGTCAAGCATAGTGGCATGCACCTGTAGTCCTAGCTACTAGGGAGGCTGAGGCAGGAGAATCATTTGAGCCCAGGAGGTCGAGGCTGCAGTGAGCTATTACTGTGCCCCCGCACCAGCCTGGGTAACAGAGTGAGGCCCCCATCTCTAAACAAGTAATTTTTAAAAAAGTACCTCTCCAAAGTCAACCTATTTTTCAGTGTAGAAGTCAAAGTGCTGACTCAGATCCCAAGGCCCAGCTGATTTGTAAAGTCCCTTCCCTGTACCTCATTTGGCGTCATCTGTCACTCTCCCCTCACTCCCACTGTTTCAGCCTCCATGGTTATCCCACCTATGAATGGGCACAGTAATGCCCCAGGGCCTTTGCACATGCTCTTGCTACTCCCTGGTTGGCCTCTTTACCTCCATCAAGTCTTTCCTCAAGTGTCACCTTCTCAGTGAGCTTGGACCACCCTACTTAAAACTGCAAGCCGCCCTTATTCCAAAGATCTGACTCTTTTCTTTCTATAGCACTTAGGATGGCTTTCTCTAGCACTAGGATTTATTTATTGTGCCTATTTTTCCTTGTCTGTTTCTCTCCGTGAAAAATGAATGTTCCATGACTGGAGATTATTACCTGTAGTATGCACTGCTGTATTGTCAGAGCCTAGGACAGAGCCCAGATCATGGTGCTCAGTGAATGTCTGCTGGATAGATAATGGATGGGTGGGAGTGGATAAATGGGTGGGGACGGGGTAGGTGAATTTGCCTGAGGGCAGAAGAGCACATCACAGGTGTCTCTTCAGCAGTGAAGCAAACCAGGCCTCAGGCATCTCACCACCAAAACGTACCAGCCCCCTTGGTGAGCCAAGTACCAATCGATGCCGGCTGCTGGCAGCACAGGGCACACACAGAGAGGGGACAGGACAACATCATGCGGCCCCTTTCAGGTCCATGGTCCTGGCTTCTCCAGAAGGAGGAGGTCATCTAGCCATCCACCCCTCAGGTGGTAACTGAGCACCCATCATGCGCTGGGGACTGAGGTGGGCTTGGCAACCCTGAGACGCACAGTCTAGTGGAAGCACAGGCTTTAACAGGTTCCCTGCAGGCAGTGTTTGGAAATCCGAAGAGGCTGGTAGGACGGGCACAATGACTGGGGCTCCAGGCAGCAGGAGACTGGAGTTCGCCTTGTAATAGGCGAGGGTCTAGGGTGCAAAAGCCCTTCATACACAGTGAGGAGCACCTGTCCCCTAGGTGCCTTTTCTGAGAAACGTGGAAAACCAATGAATGGAACCCCTACACTCCAGCCCACTCCCTAAAAATCCTGATGCCCTGTGTGCAGTTACCTGCTCTTCCTGCCTACCTGGCATCTATTACTCTGTTTATGGCAACATGCAATTTTCTCTGGGGGAACTGAACTTCTCCCAGTGTCAACCTATGAGCTTCAGCCACAGATGAACCTCCTCCCTCACCCCCTACCTTGGCCCCAAGCCCTGAAAGACATGACCTAGCCCTGGCTGACCCAAGCATCCTATCTCCCTGGCCTCAGTGACTGGCTCAGGAAGAAGCATGTGATCGACCACAACCAATGAGACTCAATCCCATAGCTTTGCAGGAAATATTAGGGGAAAAGAGTAAGACTCTCTGTTCACAGGGGTTGCTGAGGTGACAGGATGATCAGGAAACTACCAGCTAATAAAGAAACCACCATCAAGAAAGCAGAGCTGAGAGTCAGAGACGTTGTTATTCCCAACATTATCTTGGGAACTCCTAGATCCAGCCATGCCTGGAACCCCATTCATGCTTAAAAGTCTTTTTCTAGACTTTTTAGTTTTGTGACTCAAAAATCCCCCTCTTCTCTTACTCTAGTTGATTTAAGCTAGGTTTCTGTTATTTGCAAGACAGTTCCTAATTAATATGATTTATTTCAACCTCTCATTCATTCATGTATTTATTCATTTACCTACATACATTTACAGAGCATGAACTATTTGCCAAGGTCCCTATGCTTTGCTGGTACAAGCACAAAATGACAAGGTCTGACTGGGCATGGTAGCTCACACCTGCAATCCCAGCACTTTGGGAGGCCGAGGTGGGCGGATCACTTGAGGTCAGGAGTTTGAGACCAGCCTGGCCAACATGGTGAAACCCCATCTCTACTAAAAAGACAAAAAATTAGCCAGGTGTGGTGGCGCACACCTGTAATCCCAGCTCTTCGGGAGGCTGAGGCAGGAGAATCAGCTGAACCTGGGAGGTGGAGGTTGCAGTGAGCTGTGATTGTGCCACTGCACTCCAGCCTGGGCGGCAGAATGAGACTCCGTCTCAAAAATACAGAAATGTATAAATATATAAATAAATAAAATGACATGGTCGTGGCAGTGTCTCCATGGGCCCTAGGATATGATCAGCAGAGAACTACAGGACAGATCATTACCATAGAGAATGATGAATTATTCTAACAAAGGGAGATTCAGGGTAAACAGAAGGCAAGAAGCTCACAAATCATCCAAGACAGAAAATGTTAAATATTGACGGCTGCCTGGCGATGCTATTTTAGGAAAGTGCATTAGGTGGACGTGGTAAATGCCAGGTTTGCCATTCCAGAAAAACAGTCCCATCAGTCCCTGGATGGCATCCCTGGCCTTCCCCGGCCTCTGTGTTCCATCACACCTACCGCTGGGTAAACACCTCATCGTCTTTGAAGCACAGGAATGCACACCAGTGGAAAAAACACTCAGGCACCTTCCAGGGGAACTAAAGGCCACATATTTTATCCTAATGTAGTCAGAGGCTTCGATGCCTCGGCCAGGACAAGGTCTCCCCAGCTGACACCCAGGCCCATCTGTTTCTTGCCAAACAGCTCAACAAACTCTGTCTCTGGAAACTCCGGGAAACTAAATGGCAAGAAAGCTCAAGAAAAGGTTAAGTAAAGCCGGTAGCCGGGCTCAGTATTTCACATCTGTAATCCCAGCTACTCCAGAGGCTGAAGCAGGAGGATCGCTTTAGCTCAGGAGTTGGAGGTTGCAGTGAGCTGTGATCAAGCCACTGTACTCCAGCCTGGACAGCAAAACAAGACCCTGTCTCTTTAAAAAAGAAAGAAAGAAAGAAAAAAGAGAAGAAAAGCCAGTCCTGCTCTTAAGCATCTTCTGCTGTGGTTTCCTAATGGGGAACAGGGCAGGAAGTGATAAGCAAAGTTTGGTGACAGCCTGGAAACTGTGGGTTTTGCCAACGAATCCAATGTGCAGAGCAAAAAGCTGTGAGAACACGCTGCCCATCCCCTCCTAAGCGGGACACAAGGCACAGACCAAACCTCATCACCAGCGCCCTCTGGCTTGTATCTTTTCCTCTGAGACAAGACCTTTCAAAATGCCATCAAGGCCAGGTGCAGTGGCTCATACCTACAATCCCAGCACTTTGGGAGACAGAGGCAGGCGGACTGCTCGAGCTCAGGAGTTTGAAAACATCCTGGGCAACAAAGTGAGACCCTGTCTCTGCAAAATTACAGAAATTAGCTGGGCATGGTGGTGCATGCTTGTAGTCCCAGCTGCCTGGGAGGCTGAGGTTGGAGGATTACTTGAGCCTGGGAGGCAGAGGTTGCAGTGAGCCAAGATCATGTCACTGCACTCCAGCTTGGGCGGCAGTGTGAGACCCCATCTCAAAAAAAAAAAAAAAAAAAGAAAAAAAGAAAAAAAAAGCCATTTTGTATGTATTTATGTATGACTCTTACTATCACTTGTATAAAAGTAAAGTAAACAGAATCAAGTAACCATAACTACATGTATGACATGTATCCACCATTACAGTGATACAGATGTGGACTCTGGAAAAACACACAAGAAACATGGAGAGAGGGAAGCAAGGTGACTGGTGTTAGGAGGAAGGGCTTGGGCCTTTCACTATTGACTGTGGTTCTCAACTGGGAGAATTCTGTCCCCCAAGGGGACACTTCGCAATGCCTGGAGCCATTTTCTATTGTCACCACTGGGAAGAAGAGGGAGAGGTACGACTTAGCATCTGGCAGGTAGAGGCCACAGATGCTGGGAAACATCCTGCAATGTGCAGTCCAGGCCCTACAACACAGGGACAAAGGATGACCTGTTGGCGAATGTCAGCAGGCTGAGGTGGCCACGTGCGAAGTCCGGCTGTATGAATACCATCTGGTGCAGCTTTAATTATGTTTCACCATATGCAAATACATTACTGCCTACTTTATAAAGTAAGACCCACCGGGCATGGCGGCTCACACCTGTAATCCCAGCACTTTAGGAGGCCGAGGTGGGTGGACCACTAGAGGCCAGGAGTTTGAGACCAGCCTGGCCAACACGGCTAAACCCCATCTCTACTAAAAATACAAAAAATTGGCTTGGCATGGTGGCGTGCGCCTGTACTCCCAGCTACTCGGACGCTGAGGCAGGAGAATTGCTTGAACCCTGGTGAAACCCCGTCTCTACTAAAAATACAAAACTTAGCTGGGCATGGTAGTAGGCGCCTGTAATCCCAGCTACTCAGGAGGCTGAGGCAGGAGAATCGCTTGAACCCAAGAGGCAGAGATTGCAGTGAGCTGAGATCGTGCCAATGCACTCCAGCCTGGCGAGAGAGCAAGACTCCTTCTCAAAAAAAAAGGAGAGTCCAGGCGCGGTGGCTCACGCTTGTAATCCCAGCACGTTGGGAGATCAAGGCAGGTAGATCACTTGAGGTCAGGAGTTCGAGACCAGCCTGGCGAACATGACAAAAACCCATCTCTACTAAAAATATTAAAATTAACAAGGCATGGTAGTGCATGTTTGTAATCCCAGCTAGTCGGGGGGCTGAGGCAGGAGAATTGCTTGAACTGGGAGATGGAGGTTGCAGTGAGCTGAGATGGCACCACTGCACTTCAGCCCGGGTGACAGAGTGAGACTCAGTCCCAAAAAAAACAAAAAAAGAGAGAGTTCATCAACGCACCCCGGTAAAGTCAAGGTATTGGAGTGTAAGAAGAATGCAATGTACAAGGCAGAATGCAGGGGCATTGGAGCTGGAAGTGATCTTAGGGAACATGGAGTTACAGAAGGGCAACAAGATGTCATTTCTTGCTCAACTCTAGGCCACTGGCACCAGTCACCTGGAGGGCTGCTTGAACATAACTCAGTGGGAAAGAACCCCATGAGTGACTGTGGGTGTCTGCTGTGGGCATGAGGAAGGAGGACAGGGCCCAGTATTTGACATGCTTGGAATCTAACCCCTTCATTTTCCATGTGACAAAATCTAGAGCCAGCGAGGTGAGATGACCAGCTTTGGGGTCACACTGTGAGCTGGCAGTAGAATGTGGCAGGTGTCCTGATTCTCAGAAGAACATTCCAGTCCTCTAAGCCAGGGGCTGGCCAACAAGGATGGCTCAGGTCCACATTTGGCCCACACCTGTTTACATACGGCCCATGAGCTCAGCATTGATTTCATTTTTTTTATTTTTTTTGAGACAGAGTCTTGTTCTGTTGCCCAGGCTTAGAGTGCAGTGGCGTGACCTCAGCTCGCTGCGATCTCCGCCTCCCGGGTTCAAACGATTCCCGTACCTCAGCCTCCCAAAAAGCTTGGATGACCAGCATGCTCCACCACACCTGGCTAATTTTTTTTTGTGGGGGGCTGGGAGGGGGTGGGGGGGCAGCAGCAGGAAAGGGTCTCACTCTGTTGCCCAGCCAGGAGTGTGTGGCATGATCTTGGCTCACTGCAACTTCTGCCTCCTGGGTTGAAGCGATCCTCCTGCCTCAGCCTCCCGAGTAGCTATGACCACAGGTGCGCACCACCACTTCCAGCTAATTTTTGTATTTTTAGTATAGACGGGGTTTCACCACGTTGGCTAGGCTGGTCTCAATCTGCTAGCCTCAAGCAACCCGCCCGCCTCGGCCTCCCAAAGTGCTGAGATTACAGGCATGAGCCCCTGCGCCCAGCCAGATTTCATATTTTTTAAAAGTTAAAAAAATCAAAACAATATTACATGACACATGCAAATTCTATAAAATTCAAATTTTGGTGTCTCTAAATACTTTTTTACAGGAACACAGCCACACCCATCGATTTCCATATTATCTAAGGCTGTTTTTGCACTACGCTGGAAGAGACTGGTATTTGTGACAGAGACTGTATGGCCCGGAATTCCGAAAGTATTTACAGAAAAAGTTTCTTTACTCCTACTTTCTGCCAGTCTCTCTCGAAATTTAATGTGCATACACACCACCTAGAGAACTAGTTACAACTCAGATTCCGTTTCAGTGGATCTGGGCTGAGGCCTGAAATTCTGCACCGTTAACAAGCACCAGGTGATGCCATGGCTGCTGGTCCACGGACCAGACTTTAGGCAGTGAGGATCCACTCCGGTGTCTCTACATGTCGACCTGAACCAGAAGCAGCAGCACCTAGGGATATGTTAGGAAAGCAAATACTCAGGCCCCAACCAGACCTACTAAAACTGAAAATTTGGGTGGGGCCCAGAAAGCTGAGTTTTATAGTAACAAGCTAACAGCCAGCACTGTGGCTCATGCCTGTAATCCCAGCACTTTCGGAGGCCAAGGCGGGTAGATCTCCTGAGGTCAGGAGTTCGAGACCAGCCTGGCCAACATGGTGAAACACCATCTCTACACTAAAGATATTTTAAAAATTAGCTGAGCATGGTTGCTGCATGCCTGTAATCCCAGCTACTCAGAGGCTGAGGTGGAAGAATCGCTTGAACCCGGGAGGCAGAGATTGCAGTGAGCCAAGATAGTGCCATAGCAATCCAACCTGGGTGACAGACTGGGACTTCATCTCAATAAATGAATAAATAATAAAATATAATAACAAGCTCTCCAGGTGATTCTGATGCAGGCTTGAATTTGAACACCATCTCTCCTGCAGTTCCAGACCCTGAGAGAAGTAAGGCAAGACTAAGAAAATTCAGTGGGAGCATGAACACGCTTTCGCAAATGCTGAAACAGCTGGAGCTTCCTTAGACATTCCACCTGAAACTCAACAAAGATGAAGCAGATGGTAGTTTAACAGAAAAGTTCATATTCATAAACATGTTTAACTCTGCTTCACAGAAACTTGCCAGAAAAACATATAATTTGCCAACCTGACCAAGAAGGAATAGTTGTAATGAGCACAACATTACAAAAAGAATGACACAGTTAATAAAAAGACAGAAAGAAAAAACAAACATGGGGCATGATCTGAAGTCATCCTTCACCATTAACTGTTTTTAACTGTGCTTAAAAAGGGAATTTCCAAAGTCCATCTCTGTATGGTCTCCTGATTTGCGGCCAACTTTGCAAATTGTAAGTTGCACTGTTGTCTTTAAACTTTTCAAAGCCAGCTAGGCAGGGATAGACCCATTACCATACCCCAGGACAGGTACCAGAACTTTCAGTGTAGCATGGATCATAACAGCAAAAAAAACAGGGAACAACCTGTTTTTGCAAGGAATGGGAGAAAGGGTAATTCCAGCAGGGCGCATCTGCACGTCAGACAAGCATCCATCATGAACACAAATGAAACAAGCTGGGAGTGGTAGCAGTGCACCTGGAGTCCCAGCTACTTAGGAAACTAAAGCAGGAGGATTGCTTGGGCCCAGGAGTTCAAGGCTGCAGTGAGCTATGATCGCACCACAGTACTCCAGCCTGGGGGACAGAGCGAGACCCCATTTCAAAACAAAACCCCCCAAAAAACTAAAATGAAGTAGACCAGAATGAACGAACCAAGACTATATATTGTTAACCAAAGAAAAGAGAACACTATGTACAGTATGATTCCATTTATATCTGTCAAAGTATTTTTAAATACCTATATGCTTGTCCATTTTTCTCTAAAAGCGTACACGAAACTGTCACTTTAGAAGGGAGGAACTGATGGAAGAGAGGACAATATACTTTTCATTTTATATCTTTCTGTATTTTTTTTTTTTTTACAATGGATGACAATATTTGTTCAGCACCTGCTATGCACTGTTTTATATACTGAGGATACAGCAGTCAAGAGAAACGACAAAAATGCCCATCTGGAGCTGACATCCTAGTGGGGGAAAAGCAGACAATAAAATAAGTACATTTTATTTTACTTATTTTTTTTTTTTTTTTACTTTTTTGAGACAGGGTCTTGCTGTGTTGCCCAGGCTGGAGTGCCGTGGCTCGATCTCGGCTCACTGCAACCTCAGCCTCCCAGGTTCAAGGGATTCTCATGTCTCGGCCTCCTGAGTAGCTGGGAATATAGGCATGCACCACCATGCCCAGCTTTTTTTTTCTTTCTTTTTTTTTTTTTTTTTTAAGCAGTAACAGGGTTTCACCAGGTTGGCCAGGCTGGTCTCGAGCTCCTGGCCTCAAGTGATCTACCCACCTTGGACTCCCAAAGGGCTGGGATTACAGGCACAAGCCACCGCACCCAGCCCAAAATAAGTAAATTTTAGAGTGTGTTTAGACCATGCCACTTGACATGTGGCCTATGAGACACTGACAATCCACACTTTGTGACCAGTTGGTGACAAAATAAGGACGCAGCACCACAATGTAGATCAACTATGGCACCAAGCGTGCCGTTCGACTCAGCTCGCACTTTTTGTCTTGCAAGGCTATCTTAATGCAGGAAGCAGGGGGCACTGGTTTACATTCTGGCACAAGCTCCTTATATCACAGTAAATAGATAACGAACGGTTCCTACACAGGTTGGCTAGAAGCTGCTAAGTGTGAATAAAACAAAGGAGAATGGAGAAGATGGCAAATGTTTAAACCAAGTGTTCAGGGAAGGCCTTGCTGACATAGTGACTTTTTTGTTTGTTTTTGAGACAAGGTCTTGCTCTGTCGCCCAGGCTGGAGTGCACTGGCGTGATCTTGGCCCACTCCAACCGTCGCCTCCCAGGTTGAAGTAATTCTCTTGCCTCAGCCTCCCTAGTAGCTGGGACTACAGGCATGCGCCACCACACCCGGCTTATTTTTTTGTATTTTTAGTAGAGACTGGGTTTCACCATGTTGGCCAGGCTGGTCTTGAACTCCTGACCTCAGGTGATCCACCTGCTTTGGCCTCCCAGAGTGCTGGGATTACCAAGCATGAGCCACTGCACCTGGGCAACATAGTGACCTTTTAAAAATATTCAGGTACGCAGAGAAAATAAAACATCAAACAATGAGGGCCAGGAAAAATGTGGCTTCACTCACCAGAAAGGGCGTGCAGACCCAGGTGAAGGTGCCCACGGCTGACAGGTAGGCAGACTTCTTCAGCACCTTCAGCTCCTCCTGCCTGATGGCCAGCACCTTGTCCTTGAATGCCAGCTCCCAGGCATAAAGCTTTAGCACTTTGATCCCATTGAGAATTTCGTTCATCAGCTTGATCCGATTGTCTTTGCTCTTCATGTGGGCCACCTTGGAAGAGACGGGCAGTCAACACATCTGGGGCGACCCTGGGATCAGCCCATCACTCAACATCACCAGCTATTTTTCTCATAAACTTTATTATATACTTTGACATGTAAATGTTTTTTATATTGATTTTTTTTTTTTCTTTTCAATAGAGATGGGGTTTCACCATGCTGCCCAGGCTGGTCTCAAACTCCTGTGCTGGGATTACAGGTGTGAGCCACCGCACTGGGCCTCAACTTCACCGTCTATTAAAAATGGGCCTCCTGAGGGTGGGAGAGCTGACCCTGTAATCCCTACTAGCCCTACTCTTGAGCCCCAAGACCACACCAAAGGACCCCGCTATCAAGAAAAAAAAAACCCCTTCAAATCACGTTAGGTTAGACATTGGAGAAACATACTCAATTTAGAATCCAGGAACAGAGGCAAGAAAAACCCTTCAGGTGTACAGAAAAGAAGGGATTCAGTCCCTACTCTGCTGACCCAAACACAGGAGACATGGTGGTGGTGTTTTTCTTCTCTGTTTTCGTATTTTTTCTTTTTTTTTTTTGTGACGGAGTCTCGCTCTCTTGCCCAGGCTGGAGTGCAGTAGCACGATCTTGGCTCACTGCAACCTCTGCCTCCCGGGTTAAAGAGATTCTCCTACCTCAGCCTCCTGAGTAGCTGGGACTATAAACGCCTGCCACCACGCCTGGCTAATTTTTCTATTTTTAGTAGAGACGGGGCTTCACCATGTTGGCCAGGCTGGTTTCGAACTCCTGACTTCAAGTGATCCAACCTCGGCCTACCAGAGTGCTGGGATTACAGGTGTGAGCCACCGCACCCAGCCTGTTTTCTTATTTCTTGTCAGCCCAGTTTTCTTTTTTTTTGGAAACATCATCTCACTCTGGCATCCAGGCTGGAGTGCAGTGGCATGATCATAGCTCACTGCAGCCTTGAATTCCTGGGCTCAAGCGATCCTCCCACCTCAGCCTCCTTAGTATCTGGGACCACAGGCATATGCCACCACACCCAGTTCATTTTTGTATTTCTTGTAGAGATGGCACCTTGCTATGTTGCTCAGGCTGGTCTTGCACTCCTGGCCACAAGCCAACCTCCTGCCTCAGGCTCCCAAAGAGCTGGGATTACAGACATGAGCCCCTGTGCCTGGCCCATGGTTGTTAAAATAGTGAAATGTTTCTGTACTGGCTAGCACTGGTTCCAAATAGTGGATACTTGTGCAGTGCAGTTGTTAAATACTTTTACTACCACCCAGGATTTTGTGTATCCCAGCAACTTTTCTAAGCATTTTACATGTATTCAGACACTTAACAATCACAAGAACTCTTATCGTTTAGTGCTACAGTCATCCCCGGGTCACAGATGGGAAGAATATAAGCTACATGATCTGGAGGCCAGGGACTGAAATGGGTTGAGTCGGGCCACTCAGGGCATCCTACACATCAAGAGACTGAAGGGTGACTCAATCCTAAAGCCCCTGCCTCACCCATCCCACCCAACCCTACCACGTGAGGCCTCTCCTTCCAACAGGCCCATGTCCTGAAACTCATCTCCCTGTGGTATCGTCAGTGCAGCCTAGTGCTCCCATTTGAAATTCCACAGCACACCATAAATATCCATCAACAGAAGAGCAAAGAAATAAACTGCACCATCTCCATTATAGACCAAAAGGCACCGGGTTGGAAGAATGAATTGAAGCTATACGGCACAGCACAGAGAGGTCCCCAAAGCAGGGCGCTAAAGGACAAAAATCATGCTGCCACGTGGGCCCATTTAGGTAAAAACAGATATGGTAATAATATCACACACACAAAACATATATAATGGCCAGGCATGGTGGCTCATGCCTGTAATCCCAGCAATTTGGGAGGCCGAGGCGGGTGGATCATCTGAGGTCAGGAGTTCAAGACCAGCCTGGCCAATGTGGTAAAGCCTCATCTCTACTAAAAATACAAAGATTAGCTGGGTGTGGTGGTGGGCACCTGTAATCCCAGCTGCTCGGGAGGCTGAAGCAGGAGAACTACTTGAACCCGGGAGGCAGAGGTTGCAGTGAGCCAAGATCGTACGACTGCACTCTAGCCTGGGCAACAAAGTGAGACTCCATCTCCACAAACAAAAAAAAAAACCCACATATATAAAAACAAACCAAACTATACCATTAATCAGGTCTGTATATACATACGTAGAAAGTTGTAGAAGGATTTGCTTCTATATATTTGCAGTGGTTGAGAGAGTAGGGAAGGGGGTATCCCCTTTTAATTTATGTACTTTTGTACGATTTAAACTTTTTTTTTTTTTTTTTTTTTTTTTTTTTTGAGACAGGGTCTCACTCTGTTGTGCAGTGGCACAATCATGGCTCACTACAGCTTCGACCTCCTGGGTTCAGGTGATCCTCATGCTTCAGCCTCCCAAGTAGCTGGGACTACAGGCACGCATCACCACACGCAGCTAACTTTTCCATTTTTGGTAGAGACAGGTTTCACCATGTTTCCCAGGCTGGTCTTGAACTCCTAAGCTCAGGCGATCCACCCACCTTGGCCTCCCAAAATGCTGAAATTACAGGGGTGAGCCCGGCTTGATTTGGACTTTTTTATAATAAGAAACATCACTCTATTACTTGGGTATTCAAACTTTTTAAAATACAAAATATCTCCAAAAATAAAAAGCTGAAAGCCGGGCATGGTGGCTCACACCTGTAATCCCAACACTTTGAGAGGCTGAGGCAACAGGATCACTTAAGCCCAGGAGTTTGAGACCAGCCTGGGCAACACAGCAAGGCCCCATTTTAGAAATTAATTATTTTAATTTAAATAAAGAGATTAACAGCATGTATCCTATAAGGTAAGAGCTAATAGGGGGGAAAAAGTAGGGGGTAATTTGTACTCAACTCTTGAAAGCTGAGTCACACATACACATAATAAACAAGACCGTGGGAAACAAGGACTTTCTCAGAGGCTCACAGACCTTCTGATTCCAGTCACCGGCCTACAAGGTCTAACCATGTGTCAGGAGCTCTCAATCTTGGCTGCCCAATATAATGACCTGGGAAGCTTTAAAACATCTTGATGTCCAGACCCCACCCACAATAAGTGAATCAGAATCCCAGATATGCAGCCGGGGCATCAGCATTTGTTAAGGCTCCCCAAGTGACTCCAACTGGCAGGCAAGGCTGAGAACCCCAGGGACAGAGCAGAAGGAACTGGACTAAAATCCTCATGGAGAGGCCTCTGCCTAGGGCCCGGCTTGGGGGCCCGCAGAGACACATGCCTTACCTGATACGTCTTGGTCTTCATCGCCATCACAGCATTGACGGGCACCATGAGGACCATCACCGCCACTCCAGCCAGGACGGAAGGGCCCAGATTCTAAGGAAGGAAAGGAGACTCTTCATCACTCACCAGACAGAAGAAAACAGGGCCCGTAACAGCTTCCCCGGTTGATCCATCCCACGTGGATGCTGCTGACCAAGTTCAGGGCAAGGTGTGTTACTTTTACCCCACAATAGGGTGTTAAGAGCCTGTGGTTTCATTCCTGAGCATCTCTCCAGGTCCTCCCAATCCCTTGAAGAATAAGCAGGTCCACGCTCCTTTCTCCCAAGCCCTTGGGGCCACATGAGTTTTGCAAATTACAACTGCAGGATTCTAATTTTTTTTTTTTTTAGGAGATGAGGTCTCGCTATGTTGCCCAGGCTGCAGTACAGTGGCTATTTGCATCAGTGATCCTCCTACTTCAGCCTCCAAAGTAGCTGGGACTACAGGTAAGCATTAGGTCTTGCTACATTGCCCAGGCTGGTCTCCAACTCCTGGGCTCCAGCGATCCTCCCAATTCAGCCTCCCAAGTAGCTGTGACTAGTCACATCACCATGCCCAGCTAATTTTTTTGGTTTTTTGTAAGGACAAGGTCTCACTATGTTACTCAAACTGCTCTCGATCTCCTGGGCTCAAGTGATCCTCCCAACTCAGCCTCCCAAGTAGCTGTGACTACACTCACACCACCATGCCCAGCTATTTTTTTGATTTTTTGTAGAGACAAGGTCTCACTATGTTGCCTAAGCTGGTCTCAAACTCATGGGCTCAAGCGACTTTCCCACCTCTGCCTCCCAAGTAGCTGGGATTACAGGCGCGAGCCATCACACCCAGCTTAGATTTTTAGAAAGGTAATAAGGTAGTAAGCAGAAAAGTGTGAACACGACCACCTGACTGCTTTTCCTGCTTGAAGGCTGCTTACAAGTTTAGCCCTTGGCTAGTGTCTGCATACTTACAGGGTTTCCACCATTAACAGAATTGGGTAGAGTAGCTCAGTGTGCCTCAACTGTTTGTACAAACAATATGGTTTATGCTGAACACCGCTTTCCCTCTGGGAGTCTAGACTTTTGGTATGTGCCAAGCAAAGGCTGCTTATGTGACCTGCCCCTAATACAAACCCAGGAACTGAGCTCCTACCAAGCTTCCCTGGTTGGCAACATTTCACACACATAATCATCATGGTTGCCAGAGAATTAGTGAACCTGTGACTCTGCTGGGGACTCCTGGAAGCCTGCACCTGGCTTCTCTTGAACACCGCCCCATGTGTGCCTTAATTCCTTGCTAATTTTGCTGTATTAACTTATAGCCTTGTGGCCAGGTGCAGTGACTGACACCTGTAATCCCATCACTTTGGGAGGCCAAAGTGGTAAGATAGCTTGAGGGTAGAAGTTCGAGACCAGCCTGGGCAACACAGCAAGACCCCCATTTCTACAAAAAAATAAATAACTTAGCCAGGCATGGTGGCGTGCACCTGTAGTCCCCAGCTAGATGAGATGACAAAGTGGGAAGACTGCTTGAGGCCAAGAATTCAAGGCTGCAGTGAGCTATGATCGCACCACTGCACTCCAGCCTGGGCAACAGAGCAAGACTCTGTCCCTTAAAAAAACAAAAAAAACAATAACAAGAACAAAAAAAAAAGACAGCCCCCACAACAAAGAACTGTCTGGCCCCAAGTGTCAACAGTGCTGAGCTCAAGCAACTACCATCTAAAACAAAACGTGATGTTAGACAATTTTCTTAACGGTTCATAAACCAATCCTGAAGGCAGTTCTAGAACAAATGTTCCAAAAATATTTTTCCCATAGTAGCACTTTTACAAAAGTGGACTCCCCAAGACACCTGCTTGAAAAGACACTTTATTTAGATTTTTTTTTTCTTCTAGAGACAGGGTCTTGCCTTGTCACCCAGGTAGGAGTGCAGTGGTGTGATCCTAGCTTACTGCAGCCTCTGCACTCCTAGGCTCAAGCAATCCTCCTGCCTCAGCCTCCACGGTAGCTGGGACCACAGGTAGGCACCACCATGCCCAGCTAATTTTTTTTTTTTTTTTTTTTTTTTGTAGAGACAGGGTCTCACTATGTTGCCCAGGCTGGTCTCAAACTCCTGGCTTCAAGCAATCCTTCCACCTCAGCCTCCCAAAGTGCAGGGATTACAGGCGCATGCCACCTATATCTGTACCCAGCCTATTAGACAATTAAATTCTGGTGTTTTTTCTGAGTTTTATTATTAGAAACACTTTACTCACCTTCTGCTCTACAAATGTACAAAAAAAAACCAAACTACAGCCAAATAAACCAGTAATTTTTTCTTCTTCCTTTTTCTTTTTTTTGAGACAGAGTCTCGCTCTGTTGCCCAAGCTGGTATGCAGTGGTACAAACTCAGCTCAATACAACCTCCGCCTCCCGGATTCAGGCCATTCTCCTGCCTCAGCCACCCAAGTAGTTGAGATTATAGGCATACACCACCATGCCTGACTAATGTTTATATTTTTAGTAGAGACGGGGTTTTGCCATGTTGGCCAGGCTGCTCTCCTGGCCTCAGATGATCCACCCGCCTTGGCCTCCCAAAGTGTTCAGATCACAAGCATGAGCCATTTCGTCCAGCCCTTCTCTTTCAATAACAGATAATAATTTGAGCTGTGCCCATTATGCATCAGGCCCTGCTGGGGTTGTACCCACAGAAGACACAAAAGTCAGCTGCTATATGTCTGCAAGTAGCTAACATGTTACCCTTCAAAGAGGAGGCAGTACACTGAGCATGCAAAAAAAACAAAACAAAACTATTTCAGGGAGTGGGCTGGGCACGGTGGCTCACGCCTGTAATTCCAACACTTTGGGAGACCACAGAGGGTAGATCACCTGAGGCCAGGAGTTCAAGATCAGCCTAGCCAACATGATCAAACACTGTCTCTACTAAAAATACAAAAAAAAAAGAAAATTTAATGGGCGTGGTGGTGTAAGCCTGTAGTCCCAGCTACTCGGGAGACTGAGGTAGGAGAATTGCTTGAAGCTGGGAGGCAGAGGTTGCAGCGAGCCAAGATGGCACACCACACTCCAGCCTGGGCAACAGAGCGCGACTCCATGTCAAAACAAAAACAAAACAAAAAAAACTATTTCAGAAAGTATTATTAGATGAGTTCCTATACTAAAGTTATTGGGACTCAAAATTCAAAAGAAGAAGTCCATCTAATTGAGAAGGGAGGGTAAATCAATGGAAGTAGTGTTTGTTACAGCCTTGGGGGATGAGCAGGCTTTCATCAATTAGGAAGAAGGAAGGAAAGGTACGTGGCAAAGATCCAGAGGTAGCAAAGCACAAGGCATGTGTTGTGCTATGAGCCTCTTTGCTTATCATTTTATTTTGGGAACTCTCCCTCTCCACATGGAAGGGCTGTCAATCACATCTCTTCTGCCATGGGAGAGGACATGTGACCCAGGCTGGCCAATGAGAGAACTCTGCCTCCTGGGCCACAGTGATTGGTTCACGGGTGTGAATAGGACCAAGCCAGGCTAATCAGAGTGCTCTCTGAGACTGACTCTGGCTGTGCAGAGAAATGCTGCCTTGTCTTTTCTCTGGCACCTTTATCTATCAGGATGTTATCAGCCCAAAGCTACGGAGCCATGTAGGGAAGTACCACTGAGAATGATGTTAACTCAGAGGACAACAGGGCAGTGGGTGAAACTGAGTACTGACAACATTGCTTGATCTCCTGGATCAATCCACACCTGAAGCTAGTCCCCAGATTTCTGAGATACATGCAGCCCCAAAGTTCCCTCTATTTACTTAGGCTACTTTTTTTTTTTTTTGGAATTGGAGTTTCACTCTTGTTGCCCAGGCTGGAGTGCAATGGCCCAATCTCGGCTCACCGCAACCTCCGCCTTCCAGGTTCAAGCAATTCTCCTGTCTCAGCCTCCCAGGTAGCTGGCATTACAGGCATACACCACCACGCCCAGCTCATTTTGTATTTTTAGTAGAGACGGGGTTTCTCCACGTTGAGGCTGGTCTCGAACTCCTGATCTCAGGTGATCTGCCCGCCTCGGCCTCCCAAAGTGCTGGGATTACAGGCGTGAGCCTCTGCAACCGGCCACTTAGGCTACTTTAAGACAGATTTATATCCCTTGCAATTGAGAGAATTTTGACCACCATAATTAGGGACTAATGAATAAGTGAGTCTGGTTAGCGTTTGGGAGGATTCAAGGGGAGAAATATGATGTGTCGTCCATTGTAGGGTAGTTAATTACTGACACTGTCAAGGAAAAGAGAAAATGAAAACGCCATGCCACCAAGGAGAACATCAACCTGACAATTCAGGAAAGGAACAAAATACTGAGGAATTGGTTAACAGGCTGGAAAATAAAATATGAACCACAGCCGGAACTGCCAGGGAGCTCTACATGCCATTACCATCAACACCCACTCCCTCGGCCCACTGCCCACACGTAGAAGTCCCTCCCTGCATGCAAAGGGAAACGGCGTTAAACACACACCAGCCACAGGAGGTAGAGAGCAAGGATGACTTGCAGGGGGGCTGACCAGATCATGTTAATGTACGTGGCCAA
Organism: Homo sapiens; assembly: GCF_000001405.40. NCBI lineage: Eukaryota > Metazoa > Chordata > Mammalia > Primates > Hominidae > Homo > Homo sapiens. Next base: position 1,706,128 of record NT_187607.1, on the reverse strand, counting down.
GTCCATGAACCTCTGAGCGTCCACAGACATGAGGTTGACAATCTCCCCGACCGTGGAGGATTTTCTGGCTGAATTGGTGATCACCAGGGCCTGTGGGACAAAGGAGAGGGAAGGTGGGTGAGTGTGGCAGCTGAAGAGGCCTGACTCTCCCTCCAGACCCACGGAGAGGAAGGAGACTCTCAGGGGCAGAAATGCCGCAGATCTCTCCTCCTCCCCTCCCGACCTATCTGTCTGCCCAGGACGCCTGTGTCATCTCAAAGCCCACATTCTTATCCGCGGTGCTCAGTGCCTCCCAACCTTGAACTCATCAGTTGGCAAGGGACCCTAGGTGTCCTCGAAACCAGGGCTTCGCATGCTTTAATGTGCACACATGCGGCCGGGTTTTTCTGGGGGGAGTGGTGGGGGGTGGGGGGAGTTGTTTTGGATTCTGCAAGTCTGGGGTGTGGCCTGGGATTCTGCATTTCTACGCTTCCAGGCTGTGTCAGTGCTACTGGTCCCAGATCCCACTGAAGGACTGAGGGTGTGGGCCAGGGTCTCTAATCCTTGGCATTCTTGACATCTGGAGCCAGATAATTCTTTGGGGGGCTGTCCTGCGCACTGTAGGAGTTTTAGCAGCAATACCTGGCCTCGACCCACTACATGCCCTCGCCCCCAGTTGGGACAACCGAAAATGCCCCCAGATATTGCCAAACGTGCCCTGGTGGGGGAAAATGTCCCTAGCCCTCAAACATGATTGCACACTATCACCTCGTGAGTTTTAAAAACACTAAGACATTAGCAGGCGTGGTGATGCATGCCTCTGGGCCCAGCTACGTGGTGGGCTGAGGTGGCAGGATCGTTTGAGCCCAGGAGGTGGAGGCTGCAGTGAGCCAAGATCATGCCACTGCACTCTAGCCTGGGTGACAGAGCGAGACCCTGTCTCAAAACATAAAAATAAATAAAAAACAAAAACAATGACACCTGGGTGCCACCACAGCAATCGCAATTTCACTGGTCTGGTGCAACCTAGGTGTCAGGAAGTTTTTTTGTTTTTTCAGACAGGGTCTCATTCTGTCACACAGGCCGGAATGCAGGGATGCTATCAGGACTCACTGCAGCCTCCAACTCCGGGGCTGAAGTGATTCTTTTAACTCAATCTCCTGAGTAGACGGGACTACAGGTACGCACCACCATACCTGGCTAATTTTTTTAAATTTTCTGCAGAGCCAGGGTCTTGCTATATTGACCAGGCTGGTATTGAACTTCCAAGCCTCCAGTGATTCCCCCACCTTGGTCTCCCAAGCTGCTGGGATTACAGGCATGAGCTACAGTGCCTGGCCTGCATCAGTTTAAGCTCCCCAGGTGAGTCTAATTCACAGACAGGCCTGAGAATCACTCCTCTAGTTCATCAAGTACCTGCAAGACTGTCTCTTCCTAACCTAGGAGCCAAGCAGTTTCCTTGACCTCGAGACAAAAAAAAAAAAAAATTTATAGGGATCAAGAAGGTAATTTAGGTCCTTTGAAATTGGATGTACACAAATGCCTGCTACATACTCTTACCATGCAAGGAATGTGCCACCTGCTCAGTTCAAATTAAGAGTGACAACAGGCTGGGCGCGGTGGCTCATGCCTGTAATCCCAGCACTTTGGGAGGCTGAGGCAGGCGGATCACCTGAGGTCAGCAGTTCAAGATCAGCCTGGCCAACATGGCGAAACCCTGTCTCTACTAAAAATACAAAAATTAGCCGGTCGTGGTGGCAGGCGCCTGTAGTCCCCGCTACTCAGGAGGCTGAGGCAGAAGAATCGCTTGAACTCAGGAGGCAGAAGTTGCAGTGAGCCAATATCATGCCACTGCACTCCAGTCTGGGGGAGAGAGTGAGACCTGGTCTCAAAAAAACGAAAAAAAAAGAGTGACAACAAGCTGAAACACAGAATGTTAACAGCAGAATGAGGATCCAAACTTGGATTTCCCCACAACAAGGGCCACTGATCCATCTAAGAAACTCAATTACTCACAGCTGATACACAAAGACATCTACACGCCCACCCTTGAAATCAGCTTTCCTAACGTACAATGCCTGATGCGTGCTGTCCCTGCCACCTAAGGTCACGGAAGCTACCCTCATCCTACTGCTCCAGAAGCTGGGCTGGAAATCCCCACGCTGGCCCCAGAGTAACCCAGGGCTGCAGGAGGGGATGTGGAAGTCGGGCCACATGCCAATGGCACAGCGTCCCCTACCTTCCGATAGACAGCCCCAATGACAGCGGTCTTGATCCTCATGCCACTGACGAAGCAGATGTGGAAGTACTGGTGCAGCACGAGGGTCTGCAGGCAGGCAGTGACAAACAGCAGCACGGTGTAGAAGTAGCCCTGCCAGTCTGGGGCCTTCGTGTCATTCACGAACTTGATGAGCAACCTGCAAAGGAGCAAAGAGAGGGCCTGGAATGACTTGTGACACGTGGGGGCAGGGAAGAGAGCTTCAGTGTTGGCACTGCAACTTTCTCCTGAGCCAGATGAGCTAGACACTATCACTTCAATTTCATAGATGGAAAAACAAGTCCACAGTGGTGATCTGGCTGTGCAGGTGACCCAAACTGCTCATAAAAGAGGCCTCTGCCTTGGGGTTGTGCACTAATTGCTCTAGCTATATCTCATCACCAGCAAGTCACCCAAAGGAATTGCATAGGGAACACGAGGTAAAGAGGTAGGGAGGAAAAGAGAAGGGATGTGTAGCCCCTGAGTCACAGAGCAGCAGAGAGCCAGGTAGGAGAGAGGCAACTTCCTTTCTGACTCCCCAGTTCCTGGTTGCAGTTTTTTGTTGTTGTTTTTATTCTTTTTTTTTTTTTTTTTTTTTTTGAGACAAAGTCTTGCTCTGTCGCCAAGGTTTGAGTTCAGTGATGCAATCAGCTTGCTGTAACCTCTGCCTCCTGGGTTCAAGCAATTTTTATGCCTCAGCCTCCTGAGTAGCTGGGATTACAGGCGTGCACCACCACGCCCGGCTAATTTTTGTATTTTTAGCAGATGGTTTTACCATGCTGGCCAGGCTGGTCTTGACCTCCTGACCTCAGGTGATCTTCCCACCTCAGCCTCTCAAAGTGCTGGGATTATAGGCATGAGCCACTGCGCCCAACCCTGGTTGCAGTTTTTTCATGAGATCTGCTGGCATTTCCTTGCTCTTGGTTTCCCAAGACAATGCCATATCCTCCCCATTTGGGTTTTAGGGGAGCCTAGTGGGTTTCTGTTACTTGCAAACGATGTGGTCTTCACTAATATGGTAATTAAGTAAAGCATAAAGTAAAGCTAGGCAGTGACCATGGCTCACATCTGCAATCCCAGCACTTTGGGAGGCCGAGGCAGGAGGATCGCTTGAAGTCAGGAGCTCGAGACCAGCCTGACCAACAAAGCAAGACCCTGTCTCTATTTTTTTCAAAAAAGCTAAAGTAAAAATGGAGACATCTGGCTATGAGCCCACTTCAGGACACAGCATGACCCCAGGGTTATGACTGATGCAACTGAAAGATCAAAGCCAAGGAGGGAAAATGGAGCCCACCTGGGAGGGAAGGGGTCTTACTTTAAGATCTGCGGCCCGGAAAACATCATCAGGTCGTGGATGGCCTTGAAGAAGAAGCTCATGAGGAAGTAGGGCCCAAAGGTCTTGTATAACACCTTAAACAGAGAGGGGTTCCACTCCTTCTGTGGGGACTTGACGATCAAAGCCTCCACCTCCTCATTCGCATCCACCTTGGAACTCTCTTTCGGCTGGGCAGGATCCTTGGAGGAGTACACGACCTTCACCGGCTGCCTGGAACACAAGGAGGTGAAGCCGTTGTGGGGTCTGCCAGAGATGCAGCCCCCTACCACAGGGACATGGCCAGGGAATGTCACCCTTCAGGGAAGGCAGAGTCAAAGACAACAAGCCCAGGGAAAGAGGCAGCTCAGCACAGTGGTTACAAACACGGGCTCCAGAGCCACGGGCTCCAGAGCCACCGGCTCAAGGTCTGGCTTGGCCACTGGCCAGCTGCGTGACTTCAGACAAGGTCCTTAAGCTCTCTGGGCCTCAGTTTCCTCCTCTGTGAAATGAGGATAAAAGTAGGACCTACCTCCAAGGTAGGTAAGATTAAACGAGTTGAATAAGTTAAAGACTTAGAAAACTGATGGCTCCAAACTGATCTAGAGTCAAGGCAATCCCCATCAAAAGCCCAGCTGGCTGCCAGGTAGAAATTATGAGCTAACTTTAAAATTCACATGGAAACTCAAGGATCCAGAACAGTCAAAACAATCATGAAAAATAAGAATCAAGTTGGAGGATTCACACTTCCTGATTTCAAAACAATACAAAATAACAATCATGGCCAGGAGTGGTGGTTCACACCTGTAATCCCAGCACTTTGGGAGGCCAAGGTGGCTGGATCACTTGGGGTCAGGAGTTTGAGACCAGCCTGACCAACATAGTGAAACCCCATCTCTACTAAAAATACAAAAATTAGCCGGGCATGATGGCAGGTGCCTGTAATCCCAGCTACTTGGGAGGCTGAGGCAGGAGAATTACTTGAACCTGGGAGGTGGAGGTTGCTGTGAGTGGAGATCAGGCCATTGCACTCCAGCCTGGGTGACAGAGCAAAACTCCATCTCAAAAAGAAAGAACAACAATAGGCTGGGCGCAGTGGCTCACGCCTGTAATCCCAGCACTATGGGAGGCCGAGGTGGGCAGATCACCTGAGGTCGGCAGGTTCAAGACCAGCCTGACCAAACATGGAGAAACCTCATCTCTACTAAAAATACAAAATCAGCCCGGCATGGTGGCACATACCTATAATCCCAGCTACTTGGGAGGCTGAGGCAGGAGAATCGCTTAAACCCAGGAGGCGGAGGTTGTGGTGAGCTGAGACCACACCATTGCACTCCAGCCTGGGCAAAAAGACTCAGTCTCAAAAAGAAAAAAACAAAACAAAAAAAAGAACAACAATCATCAAGACAGGTAAAGGGATAGGCATATATACATCAGTGGAAAAAAAAAAAAAAAAAAAAACAGTCCAGCCAGCCAGAGCAACACAGCAAGACCCTATTTCTAAAAAAAAATTTTTTTTTTGACTGGGTGCAGTGGTTCATGCCTGTAATGCCAGCACTTCGGGAGGTCGAGGCGGGTGGATCACTTGAGGTCAGGAGTTTGAGAACACCCTGACCAACATGGCAAAACCTTGTCTCTACTAAAAATATAAAAAATTAGCCAGGCATGGTGGCGGTTGCCTGTAATCCCAGCTACTTGGGAGGGTGAGAAAGGAGAATCGCTTGAACTCAGGAGGAGGAGGGGGTTGCAATGAGCCGAGGTTGTGCCACTGCACTCCAGCCTCAGCGCCACAGCAAGACTCTGTCTTAAAAAGCAAATAAATAAAATTGACTGTGATGATGACTGCACAACTCTGTGAACACACTAAAAATCAGTGAATTGTATGTTCTGCATACATGAATTGTGCGGTGTATGAATATCTCAATAAAGCTGTCACCAAAAAAGTAGTCTTTATCTTATAGGGATTTTTTTTTTTTTTTTTGAGATGGAGTCTTGCTCTATCACACAGGCTGGAGTGCAATGGTGCGATCCTGACTCCCTGCAACCTCCGCCTCCTGCGTTCAAGCGATTCTCCTGCCTCAGCCTCCCGAGTAGCTGGGATTACAGGTGTGCGCTACCACACCCAGCTAATTTTTATGTTTTTAGTAGAGACAGGGTTTCACCATGTTAGCCAAGCTGGTCTTGAACTCCTGACCTCAAGTGATCTGCCTGCCTTGGGCCCCCAAAGTGCTGAGATTATGGGCATGAGCCACTGTGCCCGGCCAATAGTTCGTTCTTGTACATCACTTAGTATTCAGTTGTGCAGATGTACATAACTGGTGCATCTGTCTGTTCACTTGCTAATAGATGTCTGGCTTACCTCCAGTTTGGGTTATCACAAAGTAGCTAAGAACATTCCTGTACCAGCCTTTTATGAACATATGTTCTCAGCTCTGTTGGCTGGATGCCTGGGAAGGGGGTGACTGGTGGTATGTTCACTGTGTCTAACTTAAAAAAAAAAAAAAAAAAAACTGCCAAACTCTTCCAGAGTCACAGAAGCATTTCACATTCATGCCAGCAGAAACCACAGTCCAAAATGGCCCTAAGCTCTGAGTGGCCATACACAAAAGAGAACATAAAACCACTACACACAAACCAATGAAGCACTGGGTTTTTAAATCCAAACAATTCAAGCAATTCTCATGCTTCAGCCCCCCTGTAGCTGGATTACAGGTGAGCGCCACCACACCCGGCTAATTTTTGTATTTTTAGCAGAGACAGGGATTCACCATGTTGGCCAGGCTGGTCTCGAACTCATGAACTCAGGTGAGCCTCCCGCCTCAGCCTCCCAACGTACTGCAATTACAGGCATGAGCCACCATGCCCAGCCACACCTGACTTTTGAGAAGGAGTCACTCATGGGTGAAGAGAGGTGGTAAAAGGATCCAGGAAGCCATGCAGAGCCCCCAGCCCTGGCGTCCATCACCTGATCCCCGAGCCTAGGATACCCAGCAGCCCAGAGCTGCACGAGCTGCATTCCTTTCTCTGGTTAACAAAAGGGATCTGAGTGTAAGGGGCCACACCAGGAAATTCCAGCCTAGGACAGGGTTTTCCTTCTCACTCTCTCCAGGTTCACAGGGGTTACAGGTGCCAGATCTGGCTTATGCCTCTGGGAATAAAGCAAGCGATCCGTCTACCAATGTCCCAAGTAAATGATCCCCTGGCTCCACGCTGAGGATCTCTAAACACCAAGGTACTCACAGAGCCAGACCCTTCTCAGGTGGCCCGCTTTCAAGCCCCAAGACCCAGTTCTCACCACATCCTCCCTGGCAAGATCAAAGTGTACAGATGAATAAATAAAACTTGTACAATTAAAACCTGCCCAGCATGTACTCAGGGCTAGGGCACAGCTTATCATATCATATATCTCACTGAATTCTCAGAAAATGCTCTGGGTGAAAAATGGAGGCTCCAGTCAGGCACAGTGGCTCACGCCTGTAATACCAGCACTTTGGGAGACCAAGGTAGGTGGACTGCTTGAGCTCAGGAGCTTGAGAACAGCCTGGGCAACATGGCGAGATATCATCTCTACAAAAAAAAAAAAAAAAAATTAGCCAGGTGTGGTGGCACGTGCCTGTAGTCCCAGCTACTAGGGAAGCTGAGGTGGGAGGATCACTCCAGCCTAGGAGATGGAGGTTGCAGTGAGCCGAGATCGTGCCACTGCACTCCAGCCTGGACAAAAGAGTGACACCCTGTCTCAAAAAATAAATAAATAAATACAATGGCGGCTCCCGGTGAGGCATGAAGGGACTTCATGGACAGCCCTTGAGGTTCCCACCCTGGTCTCCCTGCCTTCACTCTTGTCCCTAAATATCCACCTTCCCCAGGACAGCCTGGGTTGTTATGAACCAGAACTCAGCTGGGTGTGGTGGCTCACACCTGTAATCCCAGCTATTTGGGAGGCTGAGGCAGGAGGACTGCTTGAAGCCAAGACTTGGAGACCAGCCTGGGCAACACAGTGAGACCTGTCTCTATACATATGTAACTAACCTGCACATTGTGCACATGTACCCTAAAACTTAAAGTATAATAATAATAAAATAAAATAAATTTAAAAAGGCCAGGCGCAGTGGCTCACACCTGTAATCCCAGCACTTTGGGAGGCCGAGGCAGGCAGATCACCTGATGTCAGGAGTTTGACACTAGACTGACCAACATGGAGAAACCCCATCTCTACTAAAAATACACAATTAGCCGGGCATGGTGGTACATTCCTGTAATCCCAGCTACTCCGGAGGCTGAGGCAGGAAAATCGCTTGAACCCGGGGGGTGGAGGTTGCAGTGAGCCAAGACAGCACCACTGCACTCCAGCCTAAGCAACAAGAGCAAAATTCCATCTCAAAAAAACAAATATAAAATATAAAATTAATTAATTAATTCATCAGCCAGGCATGGTGGTGTGCACCTGTAATCCCAGCTACTCTGGGAGGATGAGGTGGGAGGACTGCTTGAGCCCGGAATTTCCAGGCTGCAATGAGCTGTTATCATGCCACTGCCATCCAGCCTGAGCAACAGAGCAAGACCCTGTCTCTAAAATACATACATACATACATACATACATACATACATACATACAAACAAACAAACAAACAACAGAACTCACGTCACACCACTGCCCTGCAGAAAACCTGCGCCTGTGTTCTCACTGCACCTGGAATCCCACCTTAACTCTCAGAGGAGACCCCTGCAAATCCTTCTCCTGCTTCATCTCCTCCCTTTCTCCCCCTCACTCACTTTCCTCAAGCCACACAAGCCCCCTGATGCACCACGAGTGTCCTCAGAGCCTTTGCACTGGCTGCTCCCTCTACCTGGAAAGCCCTTCCTTCCCCAGATACACACAAGGCTCACTCCCTCCAATGCAAGTCTCTGCTCAAATGTGACCTTCTCAAAACAATCATACATGGTCAGCTGGGCATGTTGAACAAAAACACTTCAAAAAGCAGTAACACTCAGGATGCCAGAGGCTCGAAAACAGCCAGAGATAGACTTAGGGAGGGACAGGCACATGCTCACCAAGGGTCATGGCCACACTGGGTAGAACCTTTGACCACTGTATCTAAAACACCTCTCTCAGCCGGACACAGTAGCTCATGCCTGTAATCCCAGCACTTTGGGAGGCCAAGGCAGGAGGATCACTTGAGATTAGAAGTTTAAGACCAGCCTGGCCAACATGGTGAAACCCCGTCTCTACTAAAAATACAAAAAATTAGTCAGGCGTGGTGGCATGCACCTGTAATCCCAGCACTTTGGGAGACCGGGGCAGAAGAATTGCTTGAACCCGAGAGGCAGAGGTTGCAGTGAGCCGAGATCACACTACTGTATTCCACCCTGGGTAACAGAATGAGACTCCATCTCAAAAAAAAAAAAAAAAAAAGAAAACACACACACACACACACACACATACATACACACACACACACACACACACACACAAAAGCTTCCTCGGTTACTCTCACCCTCATTTCCTCATTTTTATCTCACCCCAACACCATCATTCTCCAAAGCTTCTTGTCAATGCATGTTTCACAACCAACGTCCTGTCTCCCATATAGAATGTCGATGGCACCCAACTAGAGTGTGTCTCTTTTGTTCCACTCTCTGAACCCTCAGGGACTAAACGTCGCTAAGCACAAAAGCAGCAGTCAGTTTCATCTGCTCAGTGGATTAAGAGCCAGGCCAGTGGAGGAGCTTCTGGATTCAAACTCTGTCCTCCTCCCAAGGCTGTGATATTGGCCTCTCCCATGGTGTCTCCAGCAACCTGCTCTCCTGACAAGCTCCAGGGGACACAAAGGTGGGCATCCGTCTTCCATGAGAGGAAGCCGAGCCAGGTGATCAGCAGAGGCGTGGATGATGAGGAATGCTGAAGCCCACACTACAAATGTGGCCTGCTTAGCGGGGGGGATGCTGCAGGTGAGGCTGAAGGAATCCAGATGAGATGGGTGATGTTAGGGGTCAAGTTGACTGGGTTAAGGGATACCCAGATTGCTGTTAAAGTGTTATTTCTGGGTGTGTCTGTGAGGATGTTTCCAGACGAGACTGGCATTTGAATGAGTGGACTGACTAAGGAAGATCCATCCTCGCCCCATGTGGGTGGCACCGCCCAATCAGCAGAGGGTCCGGACACAACAAAAAGTCAGAGTAATGGCAAATGCAGGCACTCTCTCTTCTGCAGCCAGGATGTCATCCTCTCCCACCCTTGAACATCAGAACTCCAGGATTTCTGGCCTCTGGGACTTACCCAATGACTCCAGGTTCTCAGGCCTTTGACTATGGACTGAGAATTCCACCATCAGCTTCCCTGGGTCTGAGACTTTTGGACTAGGCCTGAGCCATGCTACCAGCTTCCTGGGTTCTCCAGGTTGCAGATGACCTAGGGTGGGACTTCTCAGCCTCCATAATCACATGATCCAGTTTCCCTAGTAGATCCCCTCTCATCCTCCATCCATCCATCCATCCATCATCTATCAATCATCCATCTATCTATCATCTATCCATCTACCTACCATGTATACATCCACCAACTATCCGTCTATCATCTACCTATCATCTATCAATCTATCATCCATCTATCTATCATCTATCCATCCATCCATCCATCCTACTAGTTCTGTCTCCATGAAGAACTGTAATAAACAGGGACCCCACCTTTGCCTGCCAAAAACCTTCAACTGGGTCATGGACATGGGCCATTTCCTTACAATGCTCAGTCACAGAGGCCCAAGCTCTATCTGCCTCCCACGAGACAATTTCTCCCATCACCTGGACCACCCAAACAGCCTCCGACCGGAGTCACGAGGTCCTCTGCTGATGTCCTAGTGGCTGGCACATGGATGTCCAGATTCCCACCCACCATCTGGGTCTGACTGAAGGCCTGTATCCTGGGCATCCCCGGAATAGAATGAGGAACAGAACCCCGGTCTGGGGTTTTTCCCTGTAAGGCCAATGGGTCTGTGGGGAATCCAATGCACCACACTGGCCCCACCACAGTTTATCGTAGTAAACTTACCCCAGAACAGGCAACAGGAACAAAAACAGCCATTCTACTACCCCCATGGCCGCAATCCACTGCCCCCATGTCACCCACAATTTCATGTTCCAGTTCGTCCGGGCTCGAGACAAGTCTTATGTCCTTGTTTAATTGGCAGCTGCTTTTCTTTCTTACTGTTACATAGAATAATAACGCATCACGCAACTAATGGTGTCTCAGATTTGATGAGTTAAGGTATGTGCAGGGGAGGCACTGGCCTGATTCCCGAAGAGTGACAGAGGTGGTGCAGTGGGGCACGCCTTACATAGGGGGTAGAGCCTAAAATCCAGTACAGCCAAAATCACCCTCAAATGGGGCTTCTTTGGCTAAACAGACTTACGTGGTCAGCTGGGCATGTTGGACAGAACATTCAAACAGCAAGAACATGCAGGATGCCAGATGCTCAGAAAGAGACAGAAAAAAGTGAGACTGACTCAAGGAGGGATAGTCACGCGCCATGGCAGACAGCATCAACTGCCTGTTTGGACAACATTTTTCTTCTTTTTTTTTTTTTGAGACGGAGTCTCACTCTGTCTCCCAGGCTAGTATGCAGTGGCACAATCTCAGCTCACTGCAACCTCCGCCTCCTGGGTTCAAGTGATTCTCCTGTCAGCCTCCTGAGTAGCTATGATTACAGGCGCCTGCCACCATGCCTAGCTAATTTTTGTATTTTTAGTAGAGACAGGGTTTCACCATGTTGGCCAGGCTGGTCTCAAACTCCCGACCAAGTGATCCGCCTGCCTTGGCCTCCCAAAGTGCTGGGATTAGACACGAGAGCCACCGCACCCAGCTTCTTTCTTCTTTTCTCTGCCCAGTTGCTTTAATGACATGTGAGATCCTACCCCATTTGGCAGAAAAGCAAACTGAGGCCAGGAGGAGAAGTGAGGCATCTTGCCCAGAACCACAAAGCTAGTAACAGGCAGCACTGCCAGGGCCCCATCCTGGATTGAGGCCACAGGAGTGGAAAGGAGGTGACCAGGGCATCCTGGAGGACAAGGAAACTCACACTTACTTCCTAGTCTTGGCGCATTCCTTCTTCCAGTTCTTTACCAAAACAGGCACGACTTGTTCCGACGTGTCCTCCTTGTTTAAGGACCAGAGGTCACTGCCCTCCAGGGGCTGGCGGTAGCCCCGGACAATCAACCTGGGGCCAAGACACAAGGGGGTTAGGCAATGAGAGTCAATGACAGGAGGAGGGGGAGGACGGGGCTCACTCACTCCACACGCCTGCTGATGCTGCTCCCCTCTGCAGCACAGCTGCCCGCTGCAAATGAAGGCAGCCATGCAGCTTGGGAAGTCAGAATGCAGATGGACATTTGCATATATTACAAGCTAATTACAGCTCATTCTGTTGGGTCATGCAGGAAAAATGGCTTTTTTTTTTTTTAGTGGTGCATACAAAAGACTTAGGGAAAAAAAGATGATTTAGGAGCGAAGTATCAGGATAGCTCTTTTTTATTTTTTATTATTCGTTCACTCATTTATTTACTTGGAGAGAGGGTCTCGCTGTGTCACCCAGGATGGAGTACAGTGGTGCGATCGCAGCTCCCTGCAGCCTCCAGCTCCCGGTCTAGAGTGGTTCTCCCATCTCAACCTCCCGAGTAGCTGGGACTTTGGGTGTAAGCCATTATGACTGGCTAATTTTTTTTTTATTTTTTATTTTTGTAGAGACAAGAGTCTCCCTATGTTGCCCAAGCTGGTCTTGAACCCCCGGGCTCAAGCAACCCTCCCACCTTGGCCTCCCGAAGTCTTGGAATTATAGGCATAAGCCACCGTGCCCCGCCAACTTTTTAAAATTTTAAATTAAAAAAGGCTGATATGGGCCAGGCACGGTAGCTCATGTCTATAATCCTAGCGCTCTGGGAGGCCGAGGTGGGAGGATTTTGTGAGCCCTGGAGTTCAAGACCAGCCTGGACAACATAGGGAGACTATCTCTACGAAAAGTAAAAATAAAAAAATTAGCCAGTCATGATGGCTCGCACCTGTAGTCCCAGCTACTCGGGAGGCTGAGGTGGCAGGATTGCTCAAGGCCAGGAGGTGGAGGCTGCAAAGAGCCGTCATTGTGTCACTGCACTCCAGCCTGGGCAACAGAGTCAGACCCTATAAAAAGAAAAAAAAAAAATAGGCTGAAGGAAAAAATTAAAAAATAAAAAGGCTGACATGACAAAGCATTAGTAAGCATGAAATCTGGGTGATGAGATTATTGAGTTTTATTATATTAATCTTTCTATGTCACTCCATCCAGGCTGGAGTGTAATGGCGCCATCTCAGTGCACTGCAACCTCTGCCTCCTGTATTCTAGCAATTCTCCTGCCTCACCCTCCCAAGTAGCTGGGATTACAGGCGTGTGCTGCCCGGCTAATTTTTGTATTGTTAGTGGAGACAGGGTTTCACCATGTAGGCCAGGCTGGTCTCGAACTCCTGACCTCAGGTGATCCACCCACCTTGGCCTCTGAAAGTGCTAACATTACAGGCATGAGCCACCGTGCCCAGCAGACTAAACACTTTTATAATAAAAGGTAAAATACTTTCATGTTTTGTTCTAAAATAATTTCAAACTTATAGAAAAATTACTCAAATCATACTAAGAATTCACTCAACTCACCATTGTTAACACGTTGCCACGTTTGCAGTATCATTCTCTGTCTGTATCCATTGACATGCACACACAAACACACACACACATGCAAACACATCATCTTTTTCTGAACCACTTAAACAGTTAAAGGCCTGGCATGGTGGCTCACACCTGTAATCTCAGCACCTTGGGAGGCTGACGTGGGTGGATCACCTGAAGTCAGGAGTTTGAGACCAGCCTGGACAACACAGTGAAACTCCATCTCTACTAAAAATACAAAAATTAGCTGGATGTGGTGGCAGGTCCCTGTAATCCCAGCTACTCAGGAGGCTGAGACAGGAGAATCTCTTGAACCCAGGAAGCAGAGGTTGCAGAGAGCTGAGGTCCTGCCACTGCACTGCACCCTGGACGACAGAGCAAGACTCCATCTCAAAAAAAAAAAAAAAAAAAAAAAAAGTTAACATACAGCCTCTACATGCCTTTACCCAAGAAAAACTGGAGGTATTCTCTTCCAATCCAGGACATGCTCTTATGTAACTAGAGCACAATTTTCCAAAACAAGAATGAATGTTATTAGCATGCATCCGGGGTCCTGTAGTCATGAACAAATTACATCAACTGTCCCAGTGATGCTTTTTAATAGTAACTTGAAGAAATTATTTAAAACATCTAATTTTTTAAAACGATGTTTGTCATTAAGACAAGGATGAGACCGGGCATGGTGGTTCACGCCTGTAATCCCAGCACTCTGGAGGCTGAGGCGGGAGAATCACTTGAGCTCAGAAGCTGGAGACCAGCCTGGGCAACATGATGAAACCCCATCTCTACAGAAAGTACAAAAATCTGCTGGGCGTGGGGGAGTGTGCCTGTAGCCCCAGCTACTCAGGAGGCTGAGGCAGGAGCATCACCTAAGCCCAGTAGATTGGGACTGCAGTGAGCTACAAGTGTGCCGCTGCACTCCAGCCTCAGCGACAGAGAGAAAGCCTGTCTCAAAAAAAAAAAAAAAAAAAAAAAAAAAAAGATGATGCTTATTAGGGGCAAAAAAAGATTCTTCAAACAATCCCCACTAAGATGTTAACAACGGGCAGAAAAAGATATACAAAAAGAGGACCAGAAGGTAGCTGGGCATGGTGGCTCACACCTGTAATCCCAGCACTTTGGGAAGTCGATGCGGGTGGATCACCTGAGGTCAGGAGTTTCAAGACAAGCCTGGCCAACATGGCAAAACTCTGTCTCTACTAAAAATACAAAAAGTAGCCGGGCATGGTGGCGCAAGCCTGTAATCCCAGCTACCTGGGAGGCTGAGGCAGGAGAATCGCTTGAACCTGGGAGGCGGAGACTTGTAGTGAGCTGAGACTGACAGAGTAAGACTCCGTCTCAAAAAAAAAAGAAAGACAACCAGAAGAAGGCATACTAAAATGGTGACACTGGTTACCTCTAGATGTCTCCTGCACTGCTGATCTGCACATGTGGTTTTTTAACCCACACTTCCTGTGGTGAGACAGTATTATTTTTCTAAGGCGTGGGGGACAGGAGGGGGACAATGTCAATAATAACTATACCTAATATTTTAAAAACCCAAATCTGAAGCTAAAGCAAAAGCAGTCCAGCATATGGCTGTCCCAGGCAAAGCCTTCTGCAGAGGTGTCAGCTGCTCACGGCTCATGTGTTTATCACATTCAAGTTCACGGAACTGCCGGACAGAGTTGGTGTCTCTGAGACCACATGGCCAGCACAGGCAGATTCAAGACAACTCTGCAGAAGAGCAAAGGAGGGAGAAGTTGGGGAGGGGGAGCTGAGCATGTTCATTCGTTCATTCATTCATTCATTCACTCCCCACCACCTCCCTGAGGTCTGGGGGGCCTGGCCTTACCCTGTGATCCACCAGAAGGTGATCCTCGACAGGAAGGAAGCGCTGGACTCTGGGCAGGGATTCTAGTGGAAAGAAAGCACAGGTTTGGGAGGAAGAGGGAAAGGAATGATTTGACTTTTCATCCAGGTCAGAGCTTAGCAAGTAGTCAGCTGCTCACTCTTCCTTCCAGAGGACTAGCGTCAGCTCCACACCATTCTGCACCCCAAAAGGACCCTCTCCTAATAGCCAGGAGAAAGAAATTCATGGCAGCTCTTCCAGTTTCAGTCAACAGAGTGTCTACCATGTGCAACCACAATACAACATGCTATAGACCTGCCTTGTCTTCTATCCCCACAACAACCCTAGGAGTTGGTGTTAACGTCATCCCTACTTCACTCATTCATTCAACAAATATTTTCTGAGCACCTACTATGTGCTAGGCATTCTACAAGGTACTACAGGGTTGCCTTATATCCCCACGACAACCTCATGAGCGGGTATTACTATTGTCCCCACTTTACTCATTCAGTCACTGAATATTTATTGACCATCTACTATGTGCTAGACACTCTATCAAGAGCTTATATACTTGCATTATTTTATATCCTCATGGAATTCTATAAACATGGTATTACTATTATCTCCACTTCATTCATTCGTTCATCCAACAAGTATTTCCTGAGCACAACCCTTGTGCCAAGCACCCTGCATACAAATCTAAACAAACAGAAATGACCCCTGCCTGTATGGAGCTTGTGGTCTACTGCAGTAATCATCAGTAATACCTGCCAAGATTCTCTACTATTAGTAGCTAGCTCTTTTCTAAGTGCTTTACACAAACTACCTTATTTAATCTTCATCCTCACCTCACAAGATAAATAAAAGTATTATATCATCCCTGTTTTGCAGTTAAAAGAAACTGGGCCTGTAATCCCAGCACTTTCGGAGACCGAGGCAGGCAGATCATGAGGTCAAGAGATCGAGACCATCCTAGCCAACATGGTGAAACCCTGTCTCTCCTAAAAATACAAAAATTAGCTGGATGTGGTGGCAGGCGCCTGTAGTTCCAGCTACTTGGGAGGCTGAGGCAAGAGAATCGCTTGAACCCAGGAGGCGGAGGTTGCAGTGAGCCATGATCGAACGACTGCACTACAGCCTGGCAACAGAGCAAGAGTGTCTCAAAATAAAAATAAAATAAAATTTAATTTAACTTAAAAACTGGGGACCAGAGATGAAAAGATTTGTTCAAGGTCCCACAGCTAAAAGCGGTGGAGTGAGGATGTGAGCCCCGAGGATGTGAGCCCCAAAGAGTCAGGCTCCAGAGAGAGACATGCATCAAATGATCACATGAACAAATGCAAAACTACAACTTCTGGGCCTTGATGTGTGTCCTGAAGGGAGAGAAATATTACCAATGAGACAAAGTAAGTGCATGGGGGCTGATCTGGTGTACGAAGGTCAGAGAAGGCGCCCCCGAGGCAGACAGTCAAGCTGGCACCTGAAGGGTGAGTAGATGAGAACTAAGTAACAAGGAAAGGCAACGCATTCCCAACAGACAGCAGTGTGTGCAAAGGCCCGGTGGTAGAAGAAAGCATGGTAGACTCCAGGAACCAAGAAGGGGCCTGAGTAGTCTACACTGGAGGCTGTGCACAGTCTACACTGCAGGCCACATATTTTGGTCTTCATTCTAAGGGCAATGGGAAGTACTGAGAGATTCTAAGCAAGCTATCAAAGAACTTATTTCCCAGAGAAATGAAGATGAGCCCCAAGTCAACAACATGCAGGCAAGGAAAGGGACCGATACAGAGCTCCTGGGATGACAGACAAAGCCTGGCTTTCAACATGGATGCATCCGGGTCTAAATTCTGAAACACAAGCTTTAGCAGCAGAGGGAAGAGAGGTCACCAGGCAGTAATGAAAGCTTTAGCCAAGGACTCCACTCAAAGTTCCAGCCTTGTGCAGATATAAGGCATTTACAGAGCCCGATAAGGTGGCATACTCTCGTCCAGTGGTTTTCCATTCAAGGCTGGGCGTGCTTTTTAAAAAATACTGTATCCTGGCTGGGTGTGGTGGCTCATGCCTGTAATCCCAGTACTTTGGGAGGCCAAGGCGGGCAGATCACTTGTGGTCAGGAGTTCGAGACCAGCCTAGGCAACATGATGAAACCTCGTCTCTACCAAAAATACAAAAAATTAGCTGGATGTGGTGGTGGGTGCCTGCAAGCTCAGCTACTCGGGAGGCTGAGGCAGAATTGCTTGAATCCATGAGGCGGAGGTTGCAGTAAGCTGAGATCGTGCCACTACACTCCAGCCTAGGGACCCTGTCTCAAACAAAATAAAAATAAAATTTGAAAAAATACTGTATCCGGGCCCTACCCGCACCAGGCAATCTGATTAAGCTGGTTCTGGGTGCGACTGGGGCACTGAAGCTTTGTTTTTGTTTTAAACTTCCAGATTTTTCTTGGAAAAGTGGCTGGGCAGGAAATATGCAAGGTAAGCCAAGAACATCTTGTCACACCGGACAACAAGGAAACTAAGCATGAACAGGATTGTTAAAAGGCTCAAGAGCCAAGCAGAAGTGGCCGCTGCAGGCTAAAAGAGGGACAATTTGAGCTTTGACAAGGAGAATAAGTACAACAGGCTGAAACATACCAAGCAAGGTTTTTGTTTTGTTTTGTTTTTTGAGATGGAGTCTCGCTCTGTCGCCCAGGCTGGAGTCCAGTGGCGTGATCTTGGCTCACTGCAAACTCCGCCTCCTGGGTTCAAGTGATCCTCCCGCCTCGGCCTCCTAAGTAGCTGGGATTACAAGCATCAGCCACCACA
Source organism: Homo sapiens (assembly GCF_000001405.40). Lineage (NCBI taxonomy): Eukaryota > Metazoa > Chordata > Mammalia > Primates > Hominidae > Homo > Homo sapiens. Next base: position 1,688,262 of record NT_187607.1, on the reverse strand, counting down.
CTGGGCTAATGTTTGTATCTTTAGTAGAGATGGGGTTTCACCATGTTGGTGAACAGGCTGGTCTCGAACTCCTGACTCAAGTGATCTGCCCACCGTGGCTTCCCAAAGTGGTGGGATTACAGGCTTGAGCCACTGCGCCCAGCCTTACATGTTTATGTACACAAATTTCATATTGACGCTGGAAATAAAGAGAAACATCTGATGTTGTCAGTGAACCAGGTCATTGTTTGAACACAGAAAAAGCGGAAAGAAACAAGTATTTTCTCCACCTTTCCCAAATGTACTCATTTGGTTCACCAGGGTTGGAGAAGGCTTCCCTGAGGAAAACAGTCATTTATTCGATCACCACAGAGTGATCAGTGATCAAAGAAATGAAGGGGAAACTCTTTTCCATAAAAAAATCCCAGCTAAAACATAAAGAATGATATCATAGAAGAATGAGCCATTGTACAAACACAATGGATTACTGGAATATTTGATAATAATGAATTATTATTAAAGTTAGTATTACAGTCACATATACATGTTTTTTGTCAAGACAAGGTCTACCTATATTGATCAGGCTGGTCTCAAACTCCTGGGCTTAAGTGATCCTCCTGCCTCAGCTTCCCAAAGTGCTGGAATTACAGGCATGAGCCATCACATGCAGCCCAACAGTTACAGTTTTTAAAATTCTTATCTTTCAGATGTTATCATTAGAGAAAGTTGAGCAATGAACATCAGGAACTCTGTTATTTTTGCAACTTTTTGTGAGCCAAACTATTGCGAAATAAAAAGTCATTAAAAATAAACAAATCCATGTCCTTCAGAGATACATATTAAAACGTTCACCTATGCAATGCATGGTAAAGAGCTCATGGCAGCTGGGCGCAGTGGCTCACACTTGTAACCCCAACACTTTGGGAGGCTGAGGCGGGAGAACTGCTTTGAGTTCAGGAGTTCGAGACCAGTCTGGGCAACATGGCAAGACCCTGTCTCTACAAAAAATATAAAAATTGGCCGGACATGGTGGCACGTGCCTGTAGTCCCAGCTACTCAAGAGGCTGAGGCACGAGAATGGCTTGAACCCGGGAGGCAGAGGTTGCAGCAAGCTGAGATTGTGCCATCGCACTCCAGCCTGGGTAATAGTGAGACCCTGTCTCAAAAATAAATAAAAAGAAAAGAAAAAGAGCTCATGGTAGTTCATTATCCTATGCTGTCTACTTTATGTTTCCATCATAAAAGGCTAAATAAAAAGCTCCTCCAGTGATTCAAATACACAGCCAGGGCTAAGGATCAGGCTCCGCTCTGGGGCTCGGAGGGGTGATGAAGTTCCCAGCCCTGCCTGTCCACTGGAATCACCTAAGGAGTTTGTTAAGTGCCAAGTGCCTAGGGCCCCAACCCAGACCAACTAAATCAGCACCTCTAGGGGGAGGACCCTGACAGCCACAGATCTTTAATAAGATCATCAGATGCAGCCGGTGCATTCCAGACCAACTGAAGCCGAGTTCAGATCAGACCGTGGACCCGGACAGACCTGGGTTCTAATCCCAGCCCTGCTATATTCTAGCTGATGACCTTGGGCAAGTCCCTTCACCTCCAAGCCTCAGTTTTTACACCTGGAAAATGGGAGTCGTTTGTCCTACTGCTTGCTCGACCTATCCCCCGGGACTGCCAGGAGGGACAAATGACATGAGGCCCATGGGACTGTGTCGTAAAGCGGAATTTCTCCAACCTAAGGCGTGGAGGTAGTGGTGTTTGCTTTGTAGGCTGGGTAGAAACACTGCATTGCAGGCTGGTTTTTCATCCGGAAGAGCTGACACCTTCCTGCCCACTCCCACAGTCGGCGGGTGGGTTATCAGGGAATTGCAAATCCATTTCACCTGCAGCCCAAGCCCTCTACCCACTGTGAAAGACCAAGGTGCTGGCTGGCAGAGAGAGGAGGAAGGGGTGGGACATGGCTGTCAATGATTCATTTATTTATTGGTCAAATATATGGGCAGGACTTGCTTATAGGCCAGGATGTGGGTGAAGTGCCGCGGACGGAGCTGCAAACGAGACAGCGAGACCCCTGCCCCATTCAGCCTCCTGCCCTGGGGAAGATGGACAGTAAGTAAACCACGGTGCAAACAAATATATAATTACAATCAGAATTACAATCAGTGAGAGCTGCAACAAAGGAAAAAGGTCAGTCATTTGAGGCCCGATATCACCCCTTAATCACTGAGGGTTGAGGTAGGCAGAGGTTAACCAACCGTTTCTGGAAACGGCCAGCTGATAACAAAGGAACAAAGGAAAAGGAAGGCGGCAGGGGTGGAGGGGCAGCTTCTGTGTGAAGCAGTGCATAGCACGGGGCTAGCTGGCACGGCTCAATCCCAGCTTGCCATTTCCTAGCTGTGGGACCTTGGGTCAGTTCCTTGGTGGTGAAGATTAAATGAGATCAAACATGGTAAGTACTTAGAATAGTACCTGGCACAAAGTAACAGCCAAAGAAAGGGTAACATGAGTAGTAGTAGTAGTAATAATAATAGAAGCAGTGACAGTAGCCTCTGGTATATGGAAACATAAAACTGTACACCTTAAATATATTTTCGAGACAGGGTCTCGCTCTGTCACCCAGGCTGGAGCACGGTAGTGTAATCATAGCTCTTTGCAGCCTCGACCTCCCAGGTTCAAGTGATCCTCCCACCTCAGCCCCCCAGGTAGCTGGGACTACAGACGCACACCACAACACCCAGCTAATTTTTGTATTTTTTGTAGAGACAGAATTTCACTCTATTCCTTGAGCTAGTCTCGAACTCCTGAGCTCAAGTGATCCACCTGCCTCGGCCTCCCAAAGTCCTGGGATTATAGGCATGAACCACCGTGCCCAACCTATATACCATTTTTATTTGTCAATATACATCAATAAAGCTCAAGTGTTTGGGGGGGAAAAAACCCCAGTGGGTTCACAATACACCACTATACCAGATGCTTTATATATCAGAAGCATCTATGGCCCACAGACCAGCTATTTATAAATAAAGTTTCATTGGAACAGTCACACCCATTCATTTATGTATTATAAATGAGTATGGCAGCTTTTGAGCTACACAGCGGAGTTAGGGGTTGCCACAGACAGTGTATGGGATGCAAAGCCTCAAGTATTTATCAGCCAGCCCTTTCCAGAAAAGGTTGGCTAACCTCTGCCTACCTCAACCCCCACAACATACCAAGACACAGTGATTAAGGGGTGAAAACAGGCCTCAAATGACAGTCTTTTGCCTGCAAATCCAGTCTTCTTCAGCCTTGGCATCAACACGCAGGATAGAGACAGCCAGGGGAGGCTTGAAATGCAGCCCATATCCAGCTTAACAAGACCCTCAAATCCTAACCTTCCCTCGGCCCAGTAAAACTAAGTCCCCAGCCACTGGTAGAAAACCTGCCCTGCAAATGCAACAAGGACATTGACAGACAGAACACTGCACAGTTTTTTGTTTTTTGTGTTTTGAGACTGAGTCTCACTCTGTCGCCCAGGCTGGAGTGCAGTGGCCCGATCTCGGCTCACTGCAACCTCCACCTCCCAGGTTCAAGCAATTCTCCTGCCTCAGCCTCCTGAGTAGCTGGGATTATAGGCATCTGCCACCACACCTGGCTAATTTTTGGATTTTTTGATAGAGATGGGGTTTCACCATGTTGGCTAGGCTGGTCTCGAACTCCTGACCTCAACTGATCCGCCTATCTCGGCCTCACAAAGCGCTGGGATTACAGGCATGACCCACCGCGCCCAGCAATTGCCATTTCTAATTTGCACACTCAAAGAGCTTTGTCAAATTCTTCTCCTCAGGCCGCCTCTCTTCTATGGATCTAAACACAGATTTTCAGATTATCTCAAGTGACCGATAGGGAGGCCAACACAGGGTCCCCCCTTCACTGGCAAAAAAAAAAAAAAAAAAAAAAAAAAAAGAAATAGCCTTTTTTTTTTTTTTTTGAGACGGTTTCACTCTCATCGCCCAGGCTGCAGCGCAATGGTGCGTTCTCAGCTCACTGCAGCCTCCGCTTCCCAAATTGAAACAGTTCTCCTGCCTCATCCTGCCACATAGCGGGGATTACATGGTGCACACCACCATGCCTGGCTAATTTTTGCATTTGTAGTACAGACGGGGGTTTTATCATGTTGGCCAGGCTGGTCTCAAACTCCTGACCTCAAGCGATCCACCCACCTCGGCCTCCCAAAGTGCTGGGATTACAGGCATGAGCCACTGCACCCGGCCTGGAAACAGCCTCTATCTGACGTGGAAGGCCTTACTTGACAACAAAGACAACTAACTTCTGAAGTAGGTCAAGGATTGACAATAAAAAAGGAGGAAAAAAAATCATGGGGCACTGGATTGTAATCCAGGGAGCATGTCATTTAACCCAAACCAAGGAGAATCTTTTGACATCACACACTAGGTACAAAAGACAGAGCCACCTCCAGGGGGTTTCCCAGCCTCAGACACTGAAATACAGTAACTCCTGTCCCAGATAGCATGAAAGCAGCTTGTGAACTGGTCCCTCTTTCATTTGAAATGAAAACAATTCAGAGAAGTCCTGGCTGAAGGCAGAGGGAGGAAAAGCCTGATTCATCCAAACAGAGTGATGTGTTCTTTGGCATCCACCATATTGACATCTACGTTTGGTACCAGATGAGCTGGCCAGAAACCCTGTGGTTTGAACCAATTAGGTACGGCAGCCCCAGGCACTGATTCTTGGAGCGCAGGGTAGTTTAAGGACCTTGTCTGGGTCTTTCAGCATGTTGACCTGTTTGTCAGAAACACTCTCAGCTTTTAGTTCTAACGGGTTTTCTGCTGGTTACCTCCGCTCTGCACTGCCAAAGTGCCCCCCACAACCCCTGCACCCAGCAGGAGGCAATGCGTGCAGCAGCAATAATGTTTAGAGCAGTGATCCTCAAACGCAGCTCTGTCACCAGCATCGGTGGCACCTGGGAACTTGTTGGGAACCGCAGATGCTCGGGCCCCACCCAGACCTACTGCATCAGAAACTGTGTGGGTGGGGACCAGCAATCTGTGTTTCAAGCGTGAGAACCCAGTGGGAGGGTTCCTGACACATCACCACTCTGACCCTCAGTGTCTTCATCTGTCAAGTGGGGAGACTGATCATCCTGCCCTACTGTGAGGACTAAATAAATAATACAGTGCACCCAGCTGTTATCCTTATTATTAGACGGAGCCTAAATGTCCAGCAGTAAGAGATTTGCCAGTATAACGTAAACACTGGTGATTTGTTTGCCCTGTTGCTTACCAACTGTGCAAAATGCCTCCCTGCCCAGGACCTCCGTTTCCTCTACTGGAGCACACCCCAGAATCTTTGCCCATGCCCTTTGCCCATCAACTTGTCTGTTTTCTTTGTTTTTTTGTTTCAAGAGATGGGGTCTCACTATGTTGACCAGATTGGTCTCAAGAAATCTTCCCCGCTAAGCCTCCCAAAATGCCAAGACTACAGGTGTGAGCCACGCACCTGGCCCTTTTTCTGGTTTTTGATGCTGTAGTGGGCACAGGGGAATATCCTGGCTCAGCCTCCCTCTCTACCTGCCTGGGTGCCTGCAAAGGCTTTTTAAGTGCCACCGACCTCACCCCCATGTCCAATGTATCCTCTTCATTTGAGCCTGAGGATCTTCCACAACCTGTCCAACCTGAGTGTGTCATTCCACTGGTGAAAAACCTTTCCTCAGCTCCCACCACAGTAGGGTTAAAATTCCAAGTCCTGGCTGGATGTGGTGGTTCACCCATCCCTGTAATCCTAGCATTTTGGGAGGCCAAGGCAGGGCATCACTTGAGCTCAGGAGTTCAAGACCAGCCTGAGTAACATACAGAAACCCCATCTCTACCAAAAACAGAAAAAGTTACTTGGGCGTGGTGGCACGCAACTATGGTCCCAGCTACTTGCGAGGCTGAGGTGGGAGGATCGCTTGAGCCCCGGAGGTGGAGGGCACGGTGAGCTGAGATGGCACCACCGCACTCCAACCTTGGTGACAGAGTGAAACTCCATCTCAAAACAAACAAACAAACAAAAAATTCCAAGTCCTTATTGTGACACATAATTGCACCCTTGATCTCTGATGCTCCCTGACTCTTGCCTCTCTTTTCGCTTACATCCTAGCCCTTCCAATCTAGCCAAGCAGAATTCTTTTTTTCTTTCTTTCTTTTGAGACAGAGTCTTGCTCTGTCGCCCAGACTGGAGTACAGTGGCGCGATCTCGGCGCACTGCAACCTCCGCCTCCCGGGTTCAAGCAATTCTCCTGCCTGAGCCTCCCGAGTAGCTGGGATTACAGGCATGCACCACCACACCCAGCTAATTTTTTTATGATCAGTAGAGACGGGGTTTTACCACGTTGGCCAGGCTGGTCTTGAGCTCCTAGTCTCAGGTGATCTGCCTGCCTCGGCCTCCCAAAGTGCTGGGATTACAGGCATGAGCCACTGCACCCAGCCTAGCCAAGCCGAATTCCAAGTGATTCCCAACACCCACAAGCTCCCTCAACTGGACCTTTGCACATGCCAGTTGCTCTACCAGGAGCACCCTCCCACCCCACCACCTCCAACCATATTCACCTGGCCAGAGCCTCGCATTCCTTAGACTTGAGCATCCCCTCTCCTCCCTGGATGCTAGCCCTGGAGCCCCAGGCTGAGTCAGGGACCACTCTCCCAGCCCCCACAACTCCCAGCACTTCCCTCCCTCAGAGCCCCCACTGTCCATCCTGCAGTTGTTGGTTCAACTGCCTGCCACCCACCTTCCATCTCTCCTCCAGGGCAGTGGTCAAGGTCTGTTTCTTTCTAGCTCAGCCCCTGGCACAACACCTGATTATTAAATGACTGAAAGCATGACGGAGAAATGGAAAGAAAATGGAGTTTCAACGCTTTAATCAACGGTCCAAGATCAGGCCTTGGTGGGTGGGGACAGAGACTGATCATGAAGGGGCACGAGGGAACTTCCTGGCGTCCTTGCAGTGTTCTGTATCTTGACAGGGGTTTAAAGTATTCCTTTACCAAGATTCATCAAATGCTAACTTGAGATCAGCAATTTCACTGTATGTAAATTTTAAGCAAAAAACTCAGAAGTGTAAACAGATCTTAAACTCTAGCTAATGATTTACTTGGAAGTGGGTGCATGAAAGAATACTAATATATTTCGAAGGAAGTTTCAGATATCAAAAAAACTAGGTTCAGTGGCTCAGGCCTGTAATCCCAGTATTTTGGGAGGCTGAGGTGGGAGGATGGCTTGAGGCCAGGAGTTCAAGACCAGACTGGGCAACATAAGGAGCCCTCACGCCTACAAAAAATTTAAAAATTAGCCAAACACAGTAGTGTGCACCTGTAGGGCCCAAGCTACCTGGGAGGCAGAAGCGGGAAGATCATTGGAGCCCAGGAGTTGGAGGCTGCAGTGAGCTATGATCACACCACTGCACTCTAGTCTGCGAGACAGAGTGAGACCCTATCTCAAAAACAAAACAAAACAAAAGTAGCCGGTTGGCTGGCTGATTAGCTATCTGGTTAGACAGACAGATATGTGACAAAGCAAGTTTAGCAAAATGTTAACTGTGGCTCTAGGTACCAACTATATGACTGCTCACAGTAGAATTCTTTCGACTTTTCTGTAGGTTTAAGAATGTTCATAGTAAAATGCTGGGGGGAAAATATTACATATTATACAGACAGGACTAAAAATAACTCTTACTGCAAACGAGCTGAGTAGCTTTCACTGAATGTTCCAAACCAGTGATTTGCAACCCTGAACCACCTGGAGATCTTGTTAAAATGAGTTTGACTTGGTAGGTCTGGGATGAGGCCTGAGACCCAGCATTTCTAGCAAGCTTCCGGGGGATGTCGAGCATTCCAACTGGTCCAAGGACCTCTGCTTTCAGCTGGGACCTAATAAATGATCTCCTTTGGCCTTGATCCCCTTATCTACAAGACCCTCCTCCCCCAAACCTAAACCACAGACTCAGTGCCAATGAGAAAAAAGGCAGGAGACTGGGGACCGGCCGGAGCTCTGGCAGTCTTGGTCAGCCCTGCCCAGGCTCCCAAAAGCCTCGGCAGCCCCAGAGCCAGAAGGACAGATGGGAGGAGCCCCACCAAGCAGCCAGGGCTGGAATAGACATCTGAGTCATGGAGTGGGAGCAGGGCCAGCTGGGGAGGATTGGCCGACTCAGTGACTCAGCACGAAGTGGCCTGGAGGAGCCAGCCCTGCCAGCTCCCACCCAGGCCCTGCCTGACCTGACCCCAGCCGCCCCAGGCCTTGGCTGATCACTCTGAGGACAGGCGACAGGTGATGGATGGCCTGCTGCTGCTCTGAGGATGGGAGAGCAGCAAGCCTGGACTCTCCCCATCTTCCTGGCTCCACTGTGATTCAATCCCTGAGAGTGATGGGAAAACAAGCAAACAGGTTGTCCCGTTGTCCTCCTCCCCAGATCACAGGGCTCAGGTCTGGGACAGAGAGAGGAGGTGAAGCCAACAACAAATCGAGTTGCAACCCGTTTTCAAGAAGGGGCTGCTGACGTCCCCAAAGGAAGAGCACCGAGCCCAAAGCCACAAGTCTAGCTGATTCTCACAGGACCTGGTTCCTACCCTTCCTTGCCCCCATCTCAATTGCTAGGCTACGTTGCTAGGTAGTTATGTGGTTATTTTGTTTGTTTGTTTGTTCATTTGTTCGTTGTTTGTTTGAGACAGGGTCTCAGTCTGTTGCCCAGACTGGAGCGATCTCAGCTCACTGCAACCTCCGCCTCCCGGGCACAAGCAATTCTCCTGCCTCTGCCTCCTAAATAGCAGGGATCACAGGTGCTCAACACCATGCCCAGCTAATTTTTGTATTTTTAGTAGAGATGGGATTTCACCATGTTGGTCAGGCTGGTCTCAAACTCCTGATCTCAGGTGATCTACCTGCCTCGGCCTCCCAAAGTGCTGGGTTTATAGGTGTAAGCCACCACACCTGGCCTTGAACAAGATTTTTAAAAGCACTTAGCATCACTGAATTGCATACTTAAAATGGTTAAAATGGCAAATCTTAGGTTACATATATTTAACCCCCCAAAATGCAACATTAAAAAAAAAAATAAGGCTCTTGACACCATGCCAAGCCTTCAGAACATCTGTGCATACATCAGTCCCCTTCCTCTTTCTTGCTGGTAATACTTGAACAGGATGAAGGCAGAGAAGCAGCTTAATCTGATGTCCTGTGAGGCCTCATGCACACTTCACCCTTATGCAAGACATAATATACGTGCCACATGTACTGAGCACCTCCCCATATAACACAACAATAAATTACCACTACAGGCCCACCGTGTGCCTGGCTGTGTCTTAGGCACTGAGGTTACAAGGTGGATACTGCCACGTGAAGCCTCTAGCCTAACACAAAGCCATTATTTAGCCAAGACCCTCCCATTCAGCAGTTACAACCAAGCGAAGTGACATGATTGTGCACAACAGCCAGTCGTGAGTTCGAATCTCTGCTCTACTACTCAGGTCGAGCAAGGCACTTATGTCTGCGATTGTTTGTCTGTAAAATGAGAAAAATAGTACCAAGTTCACCAGGACTGCTGTGAGAGTCAAGTGAGACATGCATATAAAGAACTTAGCATAGTGCTAGCCAGTACACCGCAAGCATCTAATAAATGTCGATTCCCGTCCTTGCCTTGCATAGGAAGAAAGAATGCCTGCAAATGGAAAGGGGACAAAAAAGGAAGCTAAAAAGTCATCAGAGCTAAAGAAATGCTTAGACCAGGGGTGGACAAACTTCTTCTGTAAAGGGTCAGATGGTAGGTATCTTAGACTTTGTGGGTGCTACAGTCTCTGTAGCAACTACACAACTCCACTGCTGCAGCTCCAGACACCTGTAGACACTATGTGATGAACGCGAGTGGCTGTGTTCCAATAAAACTTTATTTACAAAAACAGGCAGCAGGCCAGATTCGGCCCATGGGCTACTGGCTAACTCCTGGTCTAAACTCTAATCTGCAAAAAGGTAAATGGCAACCCCATGGGGTTCCTGAACAGGAACCCAGAGGGAAGTTCAGGCTTCCTGGACAGAGAGTGTCAGCCAATCAAAGTGTTCTCTCCTGGACAGGTGCACAAATGTCAGAAATGCAGCAGCCTGCACACCCACATTTGACACCCTGCTGGATCTCACTGCACAAGAGGCAGACCACAGCCGGGCACGGTGGCTCAAGCCTGTAATCCCAGCACTTTGGGAGGCCAAAGTGGGCGGATCACTTGAAGTCAGGAGATCGAGACCATCCTGGCCAACACGGTGAAACCCCATCTCTACTAAAAATACAAAAACTAGCCAGGCATGGTGGTGTGCGCCTGTAGTCCCAGTTACTCAGGAGGCTGAGGCAGGAGAATTGCTTGAACCTGGGAGGCAGAGGCTGCAGAGCCAAGATCATGCCACTGCACTACAGCCTTGGCGACAGAGCGAGACTGCAAAGAGACAAACCACAGTGTCTTCCACCATCTTGGAAGACCAGCAGTGACACAGGAGGAGCCGAGCTGGGGGAGATGACACAGAAACAGAAAACAATGACTGGGGAGAAGAGTCAGGGTGTCCCAGCCCCACAACAGTGTAGCCTTTTAGCCGCCAGAGCTGAGAGCTTCATGTCACCCAGGGTGGCAGAGCAAATCCCAGGCCCAGGCTGCCAGGAATGCAGAAAGCACAAAAAAAGGTCCAAGTCAGATCTGTGAGTCACCCTGGTACACACACGCCCAGGGGAGAAGTGAAAGGGAATTTATCCAGATTCCCAAGGGAGATCAGAAATTAAGAAAGTCCCTCCTTCAAAAAGCTTCCAGAACCATCCATGGCAAGAGAGCTCTTCCCAGGCTCCCAGAGGAAGCTTGATGGGTTGGGTGATCCCCACGCCAGCCAGGCAGCCCCAACCAGACTCTGTTTACCCTGAGCAATCCAAGGTCTGCAGCCACCCAGTTGAGGTGTGACTTGTTTTGTATAAATCCCAGTTCTAAAGAATGGCTCGGCCAGACACGGTGGCTCACACCTGTAATCCCAACATTTTGGGAGGCCGAGGCGGGTGGATCACTTGAGGTCAGGAGTTCGAGACCAGCCGGGCCAAGATGGTGAAGCCCCATCTCTACTAAAAATGCAAAAATTAGTCGAGCATGGTGATGGGCGCCTGTAATCCCAGCTACTCAGGAGGCTGAAGCAGAAGAATCGCTTGAACCCAGGAGGCGGGGTTGCAGTGGGCCGAGATCATGCCACTGCACTCTAGCCTGGGCAACAAGAGCAAGAATCCGTCTAAAAACAAAACAAAACAACAGAAAAAAACAACAAACAAAAGACAAAAAAGAATAGCCCAACATTTGACAAACAGGGACACTCGGCTGCCACACACTTACACACACTGATACACAATACATATAACAGCCACTGACTCATGAGCCCCTCTCTTCTGTGTCAGGCACCAGCCAGGGATCCAAAATGGGGTGACCCCTGGGCTCAAGCGATCCTCTAGCCTTGGCCTTTCAAAGTGCTGGGATTACAGGCATGAGTCACCATTGCCTTTGTGAACTTTATACATATGCAAGCACACACAACACAAAGACACACACACACACATATTCAAACACACACATACATGAACATAAACACACTCACAAGCACACATTCACATATAAGCACATACACGCATATACATGCCTATGACTACCGAGACACACAAGCAGGCACATGCACACGTACACACAGATGCACAGGAATACATACACAGATGTGTGCACTTGCTCATTTCTCCAACCCAGCTCCTCTTTGGGCAAGGAAATACCAACACGGGACTCCTCAGAACATACACTGGGACATGCATTTCTTTTTTCTTTTTTTGAGACAGAGTCTCATTCTGTCACCCAGGTTGGAGCGCAGTGGTGTGATCTCTGCTCACTGCAACCTCCGCCTCCCAGGGTCAAGAGATTCTCCTGCCTCAGCCTCCCGACTAGCTGGGATTACAAGCATGCACCACCATGCCTGGCTAATTTTTGTATTTTTAGCAGAGATGGCATTTCACCATGTTGGCTGGGCTGGTCTCGAACTCCTGAACTCAACTGATCTGCCTGCCTCAGCTTCCCAAAGTGCTGCGATTACAGGTGTGAGCCACCACACCTGGCCTGAGACATAGGTTTCTAAAATCTCTTAGTTATCATCAACCTCCTCCTCCATACTGATGCCCACCAAGCCCTTTCGTCACCCACAAGGTGAGCCTCTGCCCCTCACAGAGGTTTAGGCCAAACCCAACAGAACCACAGAGGTGAAAAGTTCTCCCACTGCAATCCGCCCATTACCAGCTGACTAGCCATGAATCAGCATCAAATAGGTGCTCCAAGGCCTCCCTGCCCCATACTCACAATAAAACCCAAACAGCTCATCTGGCTCACAAGGGGGCTGTCCCACCTCTCAGGCACCCACTGTCTCTTAGCCTTCTCCTGCTGTGCTGGCTTTTCTTGCTGTTCTCTCCACACCTCCCCACCCCAGGGCCCTTGTACTTATTCCCCTCTGCCTGGAACACTCTTCCTCTAGGTGTTTGCTCCACCCACTACCTCACCCCTCTAGGTCTCCGCTCACATGCAGTTTTCTGGGCAGGCCTTCCCAGATCTCTCTTATCAAAAGCTGCACATGAGCCTGGGCAACACAGCAAGATCCCATCTCTATTTAAAAAAATAAAGAATAGGCGAGGCGTGGTGACTCACACCTGTAATCCCAGCACTTTGAGAGGCCAAGGCAAGAGGATCGCTTGAGCCCAGGGGTTTGAGACCATCTCCCCATCTTTAATTATTAATTAATTAAAAGTAAGCCAAGTTGGGGAGCAGGTGTAGGGAGAACATCAGGAGGAATAGCTAATGGATCCTGGGCTTGATTCCTAGATGATGGGTTGATCTGTGCAGCAAATCACCATGGCACACATCTACCTATGTAACGAACTTGCACATCCTGTACCTATACCCTGGAACTTAAAATAAAAGTTGAAGAAAGAAAAAAAATTAGCCAGGCATGGTGGTGTGTGCCTGTAATTCCAGCTACTCAGAAAGCTGAGGTAGGAAGATTGCTTGAGCCCAGGAGGTCAAGACTACAGTGAGCCGAGATCACACCACTGCACTCCAGCCTAGGCAACAGAGCAAAACCCTGTCTCAAAAAAAAGAAGAAAAGAATTAAGGGAAATTAATAAAGTGTTCCCTTTTGTTCTACTAGCAGAAACGGTGGCCATCTCTACACTCCTCACTGATAAGTTTCCATATTTACAGAATTTCTCTGAAACTGACAAAATAGACCAAGGATCTCAAACTCAAATCCCTCGGGCCAGGCATTTGCCACAAGTGAGGAAAGCATGCCAGTATAATACAATAGGGAGTGCCGGGGACTCCAGCAACTCCTCAGCTCTGCCCTGCAGGAATAGGCCTAATCTGTCAGAACTTTACTTTTCCAGAACATCTGGACAGCTAGAATTCATAAAAAATACCTGATTTGTAATTATCTGCTCACATTTTCCAAAATCACCATGCCAAGTGAGAAACCTACAGGCCTGCAAGACAGCAGTTCATCAATGACAAAGCAGATTCTCTCCTTCAGCTCCCCCAGCCACATCTAAGCCTCAGTTTTTCCATCTGTAAAGTAGGTGGGATGATATTCCCTGTATCAGGGGTTGAGGGAGGCTGGAACGAGATCCTGGATGGATCTAAGAAATGTTAGCTGGTACTGTGTCACGCATCTCTCTCACACACACACGCACACACACTCATCTGTGGTCACACTTACAGGGTCGTGGATGGTTTCCGAGAACAGGGGTGAGCGATCTGAGAAACAGGACAAGACGAGCTGAATGAGTAAGAGGGAAAAGTAGACGTAGAAAGTGATGTCACGAAACAGGTCCACCTGGGCATCCTACATGGTGGGGAAGGAAGGAAGAAAAAGATCACATTCTGGGGCTGGGTGTGGTGGCTCACGCCTGTAATCCTAGCACTTTTGGAGGCCGAGACAGGCGGAACACCTCAGGTCAAGAGTTGGAGACCATCCTGGTCAACATGGTGAAACCCCGTCTCTACTAAAAATACAAAAATTGGCCAGACGTGGTGGTGGGCAACTGTAATCCCAGCTACTCGGGAGGCTGAGACAGGAGAATCACTTGAACCCAGGAGGCGGAGGCTGCAGTGAGCCGAGATCACGCCACTGCATTCCAGCCTGTGTGACAGAGCAAAACTCCATCTCAAAAAAAAAAAAAAAAAAAAAACCAAGATCACATTCTGAGAGCAGGTGGCAGAAACCCACTCAGCCACAGGGACACTGCAGGCTCCCCAGGGGCTCCCAGCTCCCCCCGGGATGTAATGGCAGAAAGCCGGCTCCATCACGGGTAGTCTCACTGCTCACCGCTGCCTGATGGGAGGAAGACAGGGCTTGGGAGTGAAACAGAGCTGTATCAAGGCCTGGCTCTCTCACACTGGCTGTGGGATCTTGTCAACTTATTTAACCTTTCTGTGCCTCAGATTCCCCACCTATAAACCACCGGTGGTTCTTAACCAGGGGTGATTCTGCCTCCCAGGAAACATCTGGCAGTGTCTGGGGATATCTTCTTTGTGGTAACTTGGGAGTGTTATGGCACCCAGTCAGGGGAAGCCAGGGACACCCCTAAATGTCTACAAAGCACAGGACAGCCCCTACAACCAACGAGTCTCCAATCCAAAATGTCGATTAGTGCTGAGGCTGAGAAATTCTGTCCAAGTCACTGCAAGAGGTCAGGAAGATTATTCGTGACACATACACAGTCCCCTGCGAGGCACTTTGAAAACATGAACTCAATCAGCATCAGCTGCTATCACTCATAATAATATGTAGGCAATCAATAGTCAAATGTTCAGCTTCTTTTCCTTCCTTTGCCTCATGCCAGTCTCTAATTAGCTCCAAGATGGCAGGAACAGCAGGTTATTCCAAAAGCACACACTCCAGGTCAGGCGTGGTGGCTCACGCCTGTAATCCCAACACTTTGGGAGGCCGAGGTGGGTGGATCACGAAGTCAAGTGATCGACACCATCCTGGCCAACGTAGTGAAACCCCGTCTCTACTAAAAATACAAAAATTAGCTGGGCATGGTGGCGCGTGCCTGTGGTCCCAGCTACTCGGGAGGCTGAGGCAGGAGAATCGCTTGAACATAGGAGGTAGAAGTTACAGTGAGCCTAGATCGTGCCACTGCACTCCAGCCTGGTGACAGAGCGAGACTCCGCCTCAACAACAGCAAAAAAAAAAAAAAAAAAAGTGCACACTCCTCAAAATTCCTAGCAGCAGCACACAGCAGCCAATGTAAACAACTTCCCCAGCCAGAGCAGCAACTGATGGGACAAAGGTAACGTGAGGACAAGCCTAGGGTCCCCCAGGGGAACAGTCACTCTGCAAACACCGTTCCCGGCTCGGCTCCATCCCAGCCTGGCAAAATTTGGAGCCGCCTGTCTTGCTGTTTCCTGCTGATGGGGCCAGCCTGGCATCGGCCCACAGCTCCTGCCCTTGGAGGTCCCATGGGAGCCCCTTGGAGCAACACAGACAAATCAGGCCCTGGGGAAAGGAGGTGCTAGAAAAAAGGCTGGGGCTGATTTAGTGAGGATTTGGTGGGGTAGGAAAGTCACCAAGGGAGAAGCTAGGTGCATGTGGTACCCAGCCCCTGGTTCCCATGGCAACGCATGACTTCTACACAAGCCAGAGGGACCCAGCATCTCTCCCTCCGGGTCCACTGAAGGAAGATGAGGAAGGAGACTGCCACTTACCTCTTTTAAGGCTGTCATAATTTTGGATCTCAGGATGGCTAGGGCACACACTAGGGCTACCAGCCAGAAAGTGAGCATGATCCCTGAAGACTGAACTCCCTTCCTCCTCTCCAGCTGAATTAAAAAGGTAGCAAGCAGCTGAGGAGAGAAGCACAAGACAGGAGTTGTTGGGTTTTTTTTTGAGACAGAGTTTCACTCTTGTCGCCCAGGCTGGAGCGCAGTGGTGCAATCTCAGCTCACTTGCAACCTCCGCCTCCCAGGTTCAAGTGATTCTCCTGCCTCAGCTTCCCAAGTAGCTGGGACTACAGGTGCCCGCCACCATGCCTAGCTAATTTTTGTATTTTTAGTAAAGACGGGGTTTCACCACGTTGGCCAGGCTGGTCTCAAACTCCTGACCTCAGGTGATCCACTTGCCTTGGCCTCCCAAGGTGCTGGGATTACAGGTGTGAGCCACTGCTCCCAGCCACACTATTTCTTAATGGACCACGTAATAAATATTTTGGACTTCATGGGCCATAGACTACATCAAAACTACTCAGCTTTGCCACTGCAGTGTGAAAGTGGCCATAGACAAGATGTTAATGAATGGACATGCCTTCATGCCAATAAAACTTTATTTAAAAGAACAGGCAGAGAACCCAGTACAGAAAACAAAACCCACTTGCCCTGATGCTCAACGTTCCCGGGGTCAGCCTCTGCCCCATCGCCCCTACTCTCCGCCTCGGCCATCTCTGCTCCAGCCACACACAACTCTCAAGTTTTCCCTGTGACCCTCAGGACTTTACATGTGCTTTTCTCCGCAGCTGGTCCTCTGCCCTCAGCCCCTTAAGCTTTTTAACAACTTGCTCATTCTCAGGCTTCACCTCCACCATCCCTCCCTCAGAGAAGCCTGGCTATGCCCCAGACCAAACCAAGCTCCCCTGCCTTCACCCTCACACAGCACTCTGCAGACGTTCAAACACTTTGTGCCTTTTGAGGAATCATTTGTTTAATGTCTGTTTGCACAGCTAGACTATATGGTTGTGTCTCCAACGCTTGATACAGAGTAGGGATAAAAAAAAAAAATCAGCCAGGTGCAGTGGCTCATGCCTGTAATCCCAGCACTTTGGGAGGCCAAGGCGGGCAGGTCAGGAGTTTGAGACCAGCCTGGCCAACATGGTGAAACCCTATCTCTACTAAAAATACAAAAATTAGCCAGGCGTGGTGGTGTACGCCTTTAGTCACAGCTAGCTGGGAAGCTGAGGCAGGAGAATCACTTGAACCTGGGAGGCGGAGGCTACACTGAGCTGAGATCATGCCACTGCATTCCAGCCTGGGCGACAGAGTGAGACGCTATCTCAAAGAAAAAAAAAAAAAAACATGTGCTGGCTGCATCCTGTCCCATATTACCAGTGCCTGCATATCCTGGTTCCCTGGGATATAGTCAGAATGTTTCTGACACATTCACAGCTGAGCTGGTGGTCCTCCATTCCATCCCAGAGATCTCAGGTAGATAAAGAGAGGCTGAGGATCTCACAGGCCAGTTCACCTCTTGGCCAGCCCAGCTCAGAGTCCCCTGAGGAGTCAAAAGCCCCAACCCTCAGACTATCACCCCTGTTTCCCCCAGGGTGACAGAGGCATAAATGAACGATCAAAAGACCAGGAACGGCCAGGCACAGTGGCTCACGCCTGTAATACCAGCACTTTGGGAGGCCAAGGCACGTGGATCACCTGAGGCCAGGAGTTTGAGACCAGCCTGGCCAACATGGTGAAACCCCATCTCTACTAAAAATACAAAAATTAGCCAGGTGTGGTGGCGCGTGCCTGTAATCCCAGTTATTGGGGAAGCTGAGGCAGGAGAATCACTTGAACCCGGGAGGCAGAGGTTGCAGTGAGCCAAGATCATGCCATTGCGCCTGGGAAAAAAGAGCGAAACTCTGCCTCAAAGGAAAAAAAAAAAAGACCAGGAACAAGGAATGTTAAGGGAGGATGACCTACTCAAGTCAAAAACAGCTGACCACGTATGGTGGCTCATGCCTGTAATCCCACCACTTTAGGAGGCCAAGGCAGAGGGATCACTTGGGCTCGGGAGTTTAAGACTAGCCTGGGCAACATGGAAAGACCCTGTCTCTATTATAGTGAAATTGAAAAAAAAAAAAAAAATCCACTCTAATACCCCACTGCCAGAACACAGAGCCCAAGACCCGAATTCAGGACAAAGCAAAGCCCTTTACTCTCTCATTCCCTCCATGCATTTATGGAACGCTTACTGCATGCCAGGCACAGGGCCAGGCTCTGAGGACACAAAGGGGAATCAAACCCAGCAGGAGAGCCAGGCGTAAAGCAGGTGCCAGGCTACACGCTGGGGCCTAGACTGGAAGCTGGCCCTACCACTTACTGACCAGGTGACCTTGGGCCAGTCCTTCTCCTCTCTGTACCACACTTTGCTTACCTTATTTACAACGTAAAAGGGTTAATAAAGGGATTAGGACAGTTCTTGGCAGAGAGTGGACAGCACATATGTGTGCTATATAGAATCACGGTCTGGGCAGGGCATGGTGGCTCACACCTATAATCCTAGCACTTTAGGAGGCCCAGACAGGAGGATCACTTGAGACAAGGAGTTTGAGGCCAGCCTGGGCAACATAGGGAGACCCTGTCTCTACAAAAATAACAAACTGGCCGGGGGTGGTGGCTCATGCCTGTAATCCCAGCACTTTGGGGGGCCTAGGTGGGTGGATCACCTGAGGTCCGGAGTTCGAGACCAGCCTGGCCAACATGGTGAAATCCCATCTCTACTAAAAATACAAAATCAGCCGGGCGTGGTGGCGCGTGCCTGTAATCCCAGCTTCTCGGGAGGCTGAGGCAGGAGAATCGCTTGAATCCAGGAGGCAGAGGTTGCGGCAACTCAAGATCACACCATTACATTTCAGCCTGGGCAACAAAGCAAAACTCCATCTCGGGGGGAAAAATAAAAAAATAAATAAATAAAAAATAAATGTAGATGGGCATGTTGGTGCATGCCTACACTCCCAGCTACTTGGGAGGCTGAGGCAGAAGGATCATTTGAGCCCAGGAGTTCAAGCCTGCAGTGAGCTGTGATCTCACGCCAGTGAAGTCCAGCCTGGGCAACAGAGTATGACTCTGACTCTAAAATTTAAAAAATGAAAAATTAATTTAGAAAAATAAAGATTCATGGTCCTTGGCAACCTGGCTCCACGTTGTCTTTCCTGACCCCTCTGTCATATCCACTCTATCCCCCCAACCTTCACACCGTGTTCCTTCACCGAACACCTTGTCCTCCCTGCCTGCATCCTCCCCTTAACCTTCCACCCCTCCCTGGACACACTGTTCACCCTGCTCAGAATGTCCTGCCTTAAACTTGTTCTCTCCTTTTTTTTTTCTTTTTCTGAGATGAGGTCTCGCTCTGTCCCCCAGACTGGAGCACAGTGGTGCGATCTCGGCTTACTGCAGCCTCCACTTCCCGGGTTCAAGCAATTCTCCTGCCTCAGCCTCTTGAGTAGCTAGGACTACAGGCGTGTGCCACCACGCCGGCTAATTTTTTTATTTTTAGTAGAGACGGGGTTTTGCCATGTTGGCTATACTGGTCTCAAATTCCCGACCTCAAGTGATTCTCCCGCCTCAGCCTCCCAAAGTGCTGGGATTACAGGCATGAGCCACGATGCCCAGCCTCCCTCCTCTTTTTACAATACTCAAGGGCTACACTCTCCGAGAACTCTCTGTTCAGGGCTCAGAAGCTGCAGGTTGCAGGGGCTAAAAGCATGGCATCTGGGGTCCCACCCCTGACTCGGCTGCACATTAGTGGTGTGATCTTGAGCAGGACACTTAACCTCTCTTGCCTGGTTTCCTCACCTGTAAGATGGGAACAAAGCAGGACCCATCTCACAGGGTTGTTGTGAAAATTCAATGAATTTCAAGACACGTGAAACACCAAGAATACTGCCAGGTACATACATAGTAAGTGCTCAACAGACATCAGCTGTAATTAATAAAGTTGTTTCCTTGTCTCTGTCACTCACTAAGTTGTGTATCCCCCGGGACAGAGCAGTTTCCTATTTAGCTTAGCAACCCACCCCCTATGCCAGATAGTGAAAACTCAAGGCCATTAGACCCCAGGCAGTTAGTATATAAGTGACCAAAGTAGCCAATGCAAGAGCAAAGTGTGGCAAACGCAACAAAAGGGGGCATCTGCCACTCAATCAGTGGCAGGGAAGACAATAGGGCATGGTGGGGACTGTGGCAAACTGGACAACACATGCCCCATCCAAAGACTGCAGCTGGGGCTGGGAACAGTGGCTCATGCTTATAATGCCAGTGCTCTGGAAGGATCACTTGAGGCCAGGAGTCTAAGACCAGCCTAGACAACACAGTGAGATCCCATTTCTACAGAAAATTTTAAAATTAGCCAAAAATAAGCTGGGCGTGGTGACACACACCTGTAGTCCCAACTACTCAGAAGTCTGAGGTAGGAGGATTGCTTGAGGCCAGAAGTTTGAGGCTGCAGTGAACTATGATGGTACCATAGCACTCCAGCCTGGATGAAAGCGAGATCTCATGTCTTTAAAAAAAAAAAAAAAAAAAAAAAAAAAAAGGCTACATTTAATTTATATCCCAGCTCCAGCTGATCATTGCCTTAAAAAACTATGATTCTAGTCTTACGAGTTATTACTTTTGGTCTCCACTGAGCCCAGCAGATGGCCCAGGGGTCACAGCCAGCTCCTACTTACCATGGTGATGCCCAAGAGAGTTGGGCTGACCAGAAACACTGGGGCCAGGAATATGCCCCGACTTCTTTCCCAGAAAGAGTAGAAGAGGTCTGCCCAGCAGACGATCCACAGCAAAAATCCCAAGGCCTGGAAGAGAAGCACATACATATCCTACAACAGACCGCCCTGGAACCTCCCCCAGGGCCTGCACGAACAGCTCAGCCCCAGGGATAGGAGAACCAGCCAGCCTTCAAATGATCAGCCACAGTCCTAGGACATGGCACATATCCACTGGAATAAGGACAAGTCCTCGGTATGGTGAGCTGGCATCCAGGCCGGCACGTGATGGTCTGTAATCAGCCTGCTACGCCCCACTACCTCCAACAGGACTGTTTGTCTGGTCACCATGCTCCCCGGTGCCTGAACACTCAAGAGCTCAGCTCACAGCTCATCTCTAGCTGCAACTCCGGCGCACTGCACAAGAAAGCCCTCCACGACAACCATTCATTCAACCAGTATTTACTGAGAGCCCTCTACGGGTGGGATACGTTTCAAGGTGCATCCATTCTCAAATGATTCAGAAAAAATAAATTATAGCATGCATACAGAGAGAGAGAACAAAAGCTCATGATAAAACAAATGTAGCAAAAGATTAAAAAATCAGTGAATACAGGCCAGATTCATGCCTGTAATACCAGCACTTTGGGAGGCCGAGGCAGGAGGATCACTGGAAGCCAGGAGTTTGACAACAGCCTGGGCAACAAGGCGAGACCCTGTCTCTACAAAAAATTGTTTTAAATTAGCCAGGCATGGTGGTGTATGCCTGCAGTCCCAGCTACCAGCTACTCAAAAAGCTGAGGCAGGAGGATGGCTTGAGCCAGGAGTTCAAGGTTGCAGTATGCTGTGATCATACCATTGCACTCCAGCCTGGGCAAAAGAGCAACACCTTGTGTCAAAAAAAAACAAAAAACAACAACAACAAAAAAAAAAAAACAGGAAACAGTGACTATGAGTGATGGATAGAGAAAATCAGGCAGCAGTTCCTGGTATCATCGCAACTTTTTTTTTTTTTTTTTTTTTTTGAGAAGGAGTCTCGCTCTGTTGCACAGGCTAGAGTGCAGTGGCACTATCTCAGTTCACTGCAACCTCTGCCTCCTGGGTTCAAGGGATCCTCCCACCTCAGCCTCCCAAGTTGCTAAGATTACAGGCACATGCCACCACACCCAGATCATTTTTGTATTTTTAGTAGAGACAGGTTCACCATGTTGGTCAGGCTGGTCTCAAACTCCTGACCTGCCCGCCTTGGCCTCCCAAAGTGCTGGGATTACAGGCGTGAGCCACCACGCCTGGCCCATTATTGCAATTTTCCTGTAGCTTTAAATTATTTCAAAATAAAAGCCAACTTAAAAAAAAAATTAGGGGCCAGGCGTGGTGGTTCACACTGAGCATCCCAGTACTTTGGGAGACCAAGGCAGGAGGACTGCTTGAGGCCAGGTGTTCAAGACCAGCCCGGGCAACACAGCAAGTCCCCCCTCTCTACAAAAAATAAATTAAAAATTGGCCAGAAAAAATCTATATAAATATATTTAATTAAATAAAAAGGAGATCGGCTCAGTAAGAGGGGAAGAGCTGATAATCTCCCAGGAATGCCTTGAGAACAAGCCTATCATTCCTATTGCATAAACAGGGAAACTGAGGCTTGGGGAGGTTAAAAAATTTGCTCGAGGCCAAATACTAAGCGGCAGAGCAAAGATTTGTACCCATGTTTGTCTCCAGAGCTCCAGTTTTCACCTCCCACATTATTCTTCTGCCTTCTAGAAGAAGGAACTTAGGGTCAACTAAGTAGAAGAGAAATGTCAGTTATCACCAACCACCACTCCCCGTCCAGGTGCACCTTCCCACCCCCCACAACGAAACCCCCCAGTGACTTACAGTTTTGGTTTTGTTGAGAGGTGTCATCTGAATGTAGCCTCGGTCATGTCGGGAGAGATAGAGGAAGTAGAAGGGGAAACAGGCCCAGAGGTAAAAACAAGGCACCCACACGAGGACCGTGTTCTGAAAGCACTTGGTGAAGTCGGGGTTGCTGGTATTCCACGTGACATTCCAGTCCTGCGAACACAAACACAGGCGAGGGGTCAGCAGGACACACCCCAGAGGACAGGAGCTCGCCTGGAGCATGAAACCAGCTGCCACGGGGTTTGAAGAAACAGACAAGGCTCCTATATATCCAAGGACCTTTCAGGATGAACACGCAAACTAAAAAGATCAGTAGCCAGAAAGACTAAGAAATGAGGAACAAGGGATAAAGGTATGTGGTGTCTTCTGCACTCCCACCTGAGCAACAGAGACCCTGTCTCAAAATAAATAAATAAAAATAAAGCTCTCTTAACAGGAGCATACAGGTCAGGTGCAGTGGCTCATGCCTGTAATCCCAGCACTTTGGGAGGCCAAGTGGGCAGACCACTTTAGGCTGGGAGTTCGAGACCAGCCTAGGCAAGATAGTGAGATGCTGCCTCTATGAAAAACACAAAAAGTGGCTGAGCATGGAGCGTGCCTGTATTCCCAGCCACTCAGGCGGCTGAAGTGGGAGGAGTGCCTGAGCCTGGAAGGCGGAAGTTGCAACGAGCTGAGATCATGCCACTGTACTACACCCTGGGCAACAGAGCGAGACCCTGTCTCTCACACACACACACACACACACACACACACACACAACAGTGCATACACACAAAAAAACCCACCAACAACAAAAAGGTATGTAGCATCTCATCTCACATTAACAGTCCCCAGAACCTGTGGCAAGTCCCACTGTAGTACGAAAGATGGAGAGAGCCATTTAAAGGAACCCTGAAGGATATTCTCTTATAACCGAAGAGCCCTGTGTCATCTAGATCACTCTGACCTTGTGAACTGAGGACTTTCTAATCATCTTCATTCATCATCATCACCTTCCCCACTATGACCATCACCACCACCAATATCACTGCCAACACCATCACCACCATCATCATCACCATCGCCACCATCACCACCACCATCACCGCCACCGCCACCGCCACCGCCACCGCCACCACCACGGATAACAACCAAACTGCAGTTCTGTATGCCAGGCTTTATTCTAAGTACCTCATGTGTATTATCTCCTTTCATTCTGTAATTATTTTTATCATCTCCTTTTTCAGATGTGAAACTCAGGCACAGAAGGGTTAAATACTGTGTCCAGTATCACACAGCTGGTAAGCTCTGGAGCTGAATTCAAACTCGGGCAATGTTGTTCAAGTCTGCATTTTGCCACTGAGCTGTCCAGCCTTGGAAACAAATTTTGTTTCAATTACTTTTACTTAAAAAAAAAAAGCCTGTATTTTGCTAAAGAGCCATGCCAAATAGACAAATTCATAGATACATACATAAATAGATCAGATGTACCTGCCCAAGAATAAACCTCCACCATCAGCTGTTCTGTAATGAAGAATTTAAATTTTTCTTTTTTTTTTCTTTTTTTGAAATGAGGTCTTGCTCTGTTGCCCAGGCTGAAGTGTGGTGGTAAGATCACAGCTTCCTGTGCCTTGAACTTTTGGGCTCAAGCAGTCCTCCCACCTCTGCCTCCCAAGCAGCTATACTACAGGTGTGCACCACCATGCCCAGCTGAAGAATTTAAATTTAATTCAAGCCATAATCTGGCAACTGACTAAATAACTTTGGGAAAACTTACTACCCTTTTTGGGGTCTCAATTTCCTATCTCCACCACAATTCAATCGGATAAAATAAGAAGTACAAAATAGGTTTCCCCACCCACAGTTTGGCCCATAGATGGCTTGTTGTTATTGCTGTTGTTTTAGGCATACTTTTTGTTTTTAAAAAAATTAGATTAGATCCCAACATTTAAAATTTGATTTCCGGCTTTTTATTTTTATTTTTTTTTTTCTTGACAGAGTCTTGCTTTGTCACCCAGACTGGAATGCAGTGGCATGATCTCAGCTCACTGCAATCTCTGCTTCTCGGGTTCAAGCGATCTCGGCTCACTGCAATCTCTGCTTCCCGGGTTCAAGTGATTCTCCTGCCTCAACCTCCTAAATAGCTGGGACTGCGGTCACCCCGCTTGGCTAATTTTTTTTGAATTTTTAGTAAAGACAAGGTTTTACCATATTGGCCAGTCTAGTCTCGAAGTCCTAAACCTCAGGTGATCTGCCAACCTCAGTCTCCCAAAGTGTTGGAATGACAGGCGTGAGCCACCACGCCCGGTCTCTGGCATAACTTTAAAAATCAGAAAATCTTCTGGGCGCAGTGGCTCACGCCTGTCATCCCAGCACTTTGGGAGGCCGAGGCAGGAGGATCACGAGGTCAGGAGATCAAGACCATCCTGGCCAACATGGTAAAACCTCATCTCTACTAAAGTACAAAAAACTAGCCAGGCATGGTGGCGCATGCCTGTAGTCTCAGCTACTTGGGAGGCTGAGGCAGGGGAATCACTTGAACCCAGGAGGCGGAGGTTGCAGTGAGCCAATATCATGCCACTGCACTCCAGCCTGGCAACAGAGCAAGACTGTGTCTCAAAAAAAAAAAAAAAAATCAGAAAATCTGGTGGTGCTGGGCCCCATTCCTGTTACATGACCATCAGTAGGAGCTGGGAGGGGCCAATCTTTAGATTAGGCCCAGTTGTCCATTTGGCTGCGGTCCCCAAAAAGCCCACTTCTCCCACAGCCTTCCCATCCTACTGGCCTATGCACCCTCCAAATAGCTCTGATTCCAACAGCCCTCCCACGATCACCTGAGACCCCCATGGAGTGTCAAGGAACCCAGACCCTTACAGCTCCACAGAGCTTTAAAGCCATATCAAAAAAAAAAAAAAGTTAAAAATGAGAAATGAGGGAAATAAGATCACTTCACTTAAAAAAAAAAGTGTCAATCTGATCAAAATATACATGTTCCAATAATTAAAGAGATCTAGTTATTAGGTTGGGCGCGGTGGCTCATGCCTGTAATCCCAGCACTTTGGGAGGCCTAGGCAGGCAGTCAGGAGTCTGAGACAAGCCCGGCCAACATGGCAAGAACCCCCCATAAAAACATAATTTTTATATTTTACTAAAAACATAAAAATTAGCCGGGCAGGGTAGTGCACGTCTGTAATCCCAGCTAGTAGGGAGGCTCAGGCAGGAGAATCACCTGAACCCGGGAGGCAAAGGTTGCAGTGAGCTGAGACTGCACCACTGCACTCCAGCCTGGGCAACACAGTCTCCATCTCAAAAAAAAAAAAAAAAAAAAGTAAACCTTACAAGGCCAACACATACAAAGAGATTTAGCCAGGAAACATCAAGACACAAACCCTAAAAAGGACAAAGTTCACGTCTTTTTGGCCTGGCGTATTTGGAACACAGCCTTGTAAAGAAGAAGTTGATCGTGGAGAAGGCATGACATCTCAAAGACTGATTATTTTAATTGATTTCATACTACTGTTAATTCCTGAGGTGATGGCTGAAAAAAGGATTAAACTGTTGGTGGTCATTATATACAGAACAGCTTCTGAGCAGTTGCCAGTAAAAGCTCATTCCAAAGGAATGTGCCCTGCTAGAAAGAAAACGATACCAAGACTTGACATATGCAGTTATGTATACAAGAGACATAGTTCCAATGTTAAACATTTAATTGACCTGATCCTAGCCCCAAATTATTCCTTGCCAGGACTATGCAACTGCTTCCTAAGTCTTCACTGCCTCCAGCCTCTCCTTGTCCTACTGAGTCCTCCCCGCTACAGCCAGTGCTCCCCACCACAGTCAGTGTTCCCCACCACAGCCAGTCCTCCCTATCATAGCCAGAGAATTATCTATGTACACATCCATATGTATACCCATGGATATATTTATCACCCAACCATGAACCCATCCATCCATCCATCCACCAATTCATCCATCCACCCACCCACCAATGCATCCATCCACCCAACTACCCACTCACCAATTCATCCATCCACCCCCCCCAACCAATTCATCCATTCAGCTACCCACCTACCAATTCATCCACCCATCCACCCACCCACCAATTCATTCATCCATCCACCTACCCATTCACCAATTCACCCATCCACCCTACCCACCTACCAATTCATTCACCCATCCATCCATCCACCCACCCACCAGTTCATCCATCCATCCACCCACCCACCAATTCATTTATACATCCACCTACCCATCCACCAATTCACCCATCCACCCTACCCACCTACCAATTCATTCACCCATCCATCCATCCATCCACCCACCCACCAGTTCATCCATCCATCCACCCACCCACCAATTCATTTATACATCCACCTACCCATCCACCAATTCACCCATCCACCCTACCCACCTACCAATTCATTCACCCATCCATCCATCCATCCACCCACCTACCAATTCATCCACCCATCCACCAACCCACCAATTCATTCATCCATGCACCTACCCATCCACCAATTCACCCATCCACCCTACCCACCTACCAATTCATTCACCCATCAATCCATCCATCCACCCACCTACCAATTCATCCACCCATCCAGCAACCCACCAGTTCATTCATCCATCCACCTACCCATCCACCAATTCATCCATCCACCCTACCCACCTACCAATTCATTCACCCATCAATCCATCTACCCACCCAACAGTTCATCCATCCATCCACCAACCAATCCATCCACCTGTCTATGTATCCATCTACCCAACCAACTATCCATCCATGCATCCACCCATGTCTCCCTCTCTTTGTAATTATTTTTAATAGGTAATATATTTGTGTGCTAAAACTCTTTCAAATTACTCAAAAAGGTATACAGTGAAAAATATGTCTTTCTCCCCAAATTAACAGCCCCCCATTGCTACCCTACAGGCAAGCTACCATTGCTAACATCTTACATTCTTCCAGATATATTCCAAATACGACCTATTTTGTTGCCACAAAAGGCACTACGATACTCCATTCTATACCTTGCTTTTTTTTACTTAGCTAATATTAAAAACTGAACTTTTTTTTTTTTTTTTGAGACAAGGTCTCACTCTGTTGCCCAGGCTGGAATGCAGTGGTGCAATCATAGCTCACTGCAGCCTCAACCTCTCAGGCTCCAGCAATCCTCCCACCTCAGCCTCCTGAGCAGCTAGGACCACAGGCACACACCACCATGCCCAGCTAATTTTGTATTTTTAGTAGAAATGGGGTTTTGCCATGTTGCTCAGGCTGGTCTCAAAGTCCTGAGCTCAAGCGATCCACTCGCCTTGGCCACCCAAAGTGCTGGGATCACAGGTGTGAACCACCGCACACAGCCTTTGGAAACTATCTTTATCAGTAACATAGATGTGTTTTATTCTTGATATTTCTTTTGAACAAAGAGGTACAAGGGACAAGTCTTCTCATTCCATTCCCTATGGCCCTCCCCTCAGTTCCTCTCTCTAGAGGCAATGATCATGGGTTGCTTATGTCTTCTTTCAGAAAATATTTTATACAAAAATAAAGTAAATATACATCTTCTGTTATCAAATCGAAGGAAGCATACGTTACATAATGTTCCGTACTTTGCTTTTTTCTCTTAACCACAGATTTTAAAGATCATCCCGCAGTATACATGAACAGTTTCCTCACTCTTTGTTACGGCTGCTTTGTATTCTATTGTAGGGATGAACTTGACTTCCATCGGTCTCCTGGGGACTTGGCATTGGTGTTGCTCTTACAAACAATGCAGCATTGAATAAACAATTGAATTTCACACTCAAGCAAGAGTGTTGATAAGATCACTTTCTCTGCCAGGTGTGGTGGCTCCCATCTGTAACTCCAGCATTTTGGGAGGCCCAGGTGGGAGGATCCCATGAGCCCAGGAGTTTGAAACCACCCTGGGCAACATAATGAGACTCTGTCTCACATATATATAAACTTTCAAAAAAGGAACCTGCCAGGTCAAAGGGTGCCTACAGTAACATTTAGACAGACACTGCCCTCCAAATAGGGAACATCAATTCATACTCCAGCTGATAAGGTACAAAGGCAATTACTTCACAAAGCACAGCAGATAACAAGTTTCCGACCTCTGCCAATCTGAAGTGAAAAATATCTCTGTGTAGTTTAAGTTCCTTTTCTCTTTATCATGAGTAAAACTGAGGGTCTTTCCATATGGATTTAAAAGCAATCACGTTTTCCTGCTCAGAGGAAGATTCATAGACTTAGATATTTGCATTAATAAATAGGGCAGATCTAATGGCCTTCTCTCTTCTGCTGGGAAACAACTTCCCATGGCTCCCTATTGGCTTTTAAGAACCAACCCTGGCTGGGCGCGGTGGCTCACGCTTGTAATCCCAGCACTTTGGGAGGCCGAGGTGGGTGGATCACGAGGTCAGCAGATCGAGACCACAGTGAAACCCCGTCTCTACTAAAAATACAAAAAATTAGCCGGGCGTGGTGGCGGGCGCCTGTAGTCCCAGCTACTTGGAGAGGCTGAGGCAGGAGAATGGCGTGCACCCGGGAGGCAGAGCTTGCAGTGAGCCGAGATCGCGCCACTGCACTCCAGCCTGGGCGACAAAGCGAGACTCCATCTCAAAACATAAAAAATAAAAAAAAATAACCAACCCTTGCAGTGATCCATGAGGCCTTCCTTCTACATTCAAGTCCCATCTACTTCTCCTACAATTTCTCCCACCCTGTTCCCCAAATGTGCCTTACTCAGGCATTTACTTAAAGAAGTATTTACCAAGCTTGTTGTCAGATAATGTTCTAGACACTGTTGCAGGCACTGGAGATTCTGAAAGGCTGTGGTTCCTGCCTTCAAGGCATTCCCCAACTGCTGGTCAAATAAATGGTTTCTTCAGTCACCTCTTGCTAGATCCTCTCTCTGCAATGTCTTTCTGTCCTAACAAACTCCTATTCATCCTTCAAAATCCAACTCAGGTACCTCATTTAAAAAGCTTCCTCCACACTCCCCAAACAACCTGCCCCCAACCTTTGCAATGATCTTCTTACTTGTCCACCGTCAATTTCCTCCTTTGTTTTGGTTGTTAAGTAATAATCTGGCTAGGCACAGTAGTTTGCACTTGTAACCTCAGCATTTTGGGAGGCCAAGGCAGGAGGATCACTTGAGCCCAGGAGTTCAAGACCAGCCTGGGAAACATAATGATACCCTCTTTTTTAATAAAATAATTTAAAATTATTTTGAAAAAATTTAACAATTAAACAACAATCCATCCAGGTAGAGACTAGCTATGACCACTCACTTCCTAATTGAGCAGATGTAGATTCAAATTCAGGCCTTAACCCCATGTGAACTTGGGCAAGTCACTTAATTTCTCCAAGCTTCAGTCTCCTGATAAGTAAAAAGAGTCAGAAAAGCTGGACACGGTGGCTCATGCCTGTAATCCCGGCACTTTGGGAGGCCGACACGGGTGGATCACTTGAGCCCAGGAGTTCAAAACCAGCCTGGACAACATGGTGAAACCCGTCTCTACTAGAAACACAAAAATTAGCCAGGCATGGTGAACTCGCCTATAATCCCAGCTACTCAGTGGGCTGAAGCAGGAGATCACCTGAGCCTTGGAAGGTAGACACTGCAGTGAGACATAATCACACCATTGCACTCCAACCTGGGCAACAGAGTGAGAACCTGCTTCAAAAAAAAGGAAGGCCAGGAGCGGTGGCTCACGCCTGTAATCCCAACACTTTGGGAGACCGAGGCGGGCAGATCATGAGATCAGGAGTTCAAGACCATCCTGGCTAATATGGTGAAACTCCGTCTGTACTAAAAATACAAAAATTAGCCAGGCATGGTGGCATGCACCTGTAGTCCCAGCTACTCGGGAGGCTGAGGCAGAAGAATCACTTGAACCTGGGAAGCAGAGGTTGCAGTGAGCCCAGATCGTGCCACTGCACTCCAGCCTGGCGACAAAGCGAGACTCAGGCTGAAAGAAAGAAAGAAAGAAAGAAAGAAAGAAAGAAAGAAAGAAAGAAAGAGACAGAGAGAGAGAGAGAGAGAGAGAGAGGAGAGAGAGAGAGAGAGAGAGAGAGAGAGAGAGAGAGAGAGAGAGAGAGAGAGAGAAAGAGGCCGGGCACAGAGGCTCACACATTTAATCCCAGCAATTTGGGAGACCGAAATGGGAGGACAGCTGGAGCCCAGGAATTCTAGACCAGCCTGGGCAACACAGTGAGACCCCATTTCTTTTATTTTTCTTTTTCTATTTTTTTTTTCTTTTGAGACGGAGTTTCACTCTTGTTGCCCAGGCTGGAGTGCAATGGAGAGATTTCAGCTCACCGCAATCTCTGCCTCCCGGGTTCAAACGAGTCTCCTGCCTCAGCTTCCCGAGTAGCTGGGACTATAGGCGCCTGCCACCACGCCTGGCTAATCTCGTATTTTTAGTAGAGATGGGGTTTCTCCATGTTGGTCAGGCTGTCCTGGAACTCCCAACCTCAGGTGATCCGCCCACCTCAGCCTCCCAAAGTGCTGGGACTACAGGCGTGAGCCATCGCACCCAGCGAGACCCCATTTCTTTAAAAAAATTTTTTTGGCTGGGCACAGTGGCTCACGCCTGTAAACCCAGCACTTCGGGAGGCCAAGGTGGGAGAATCATGAGGTTAGGAGATGGAGACCATCCTGGCTAACACGGTGAAACCCTGTCTCTACTAAAAATATTAAAAAACAAATTAGCCAGGTGTGGTGGCGGGCACCTGTAGTCCCAGCTACTCAGGAGGTTGAGGCAGGAGAATGGCATGAACCCAGAAGGCAGAGCTTGCAGTGAGCCGAGATCGCAGCACTGCACTCCAGCCTGGGAGACAGAGCGAGACTCCGTCTCAAAAAAATATAAAAATTTTTTTTTAATTTTTTTAAAAGTCAGGAAAACACATCATTTGGAAGAGTTCTGGAGAGGATTCAATGGGACAATGTGTGACAGGTGCTGATACAGTCTAGAGACAATAAACCGTAGTAGCAGATACTAATAGTTGATAATAATCACCACTGCCACCACCACTGTATTGCCCAGAGATAAGAAGTCTAAAGGACAAAGAAAAGTTGTCCTTTCAAGCAAGAAAGTAAGCTACAGAAGAAACCAGAGAGCATTTAAGGACACCGGAACTCCAGGGAAGGAGAGGTCAGGAAACGCTGAGCAAAGGAAGGTGTTTCCCCTGCAGAAAGCAAATTGAAGAGCACAGGCTAGCTTCCTGCTCAGAGCCAGATGGCCAGCCCAGACCCAAAGGGCGGCTGTGGGAGGGAGCAGAAGGAAGGGAAGGAAGGCATGACGAGAGGAAATCTGACTCTGACCATGAACTATGACTGTTACAGAAAGCAGCCAACACGGGTCACCCCTGCCATCCACCCCCACATCACCTCCATCACAGCCCCTACAGCGGCCAACAGCATAGGTCACAAAGCTAAGATCATCTGAGGACCGGGCACAGTGGCTCACGCCTGTAAACCCAGCACTTTGGGAGGCTGAGGCGGGAGGATTGCTTGAGCTCAGGAGTTCAAGAAAAGCCTGGGCAACAAAGTAAGACCCTGTCTTCACCAAAAAAATTTAAAAATTATCCAGGCGTGGTAGTGCAGGCCTGTAGTCCCACCTACTCAGAAGGCTGAAGTGGGAGGATCTTTTGAGCCTAGGGGCTTGAGGCTGCAGTGAGCTTTGATCGTCCCACCCAGGCACTCCAGCCTGGGTGACAGAGTAAGAGACTGTCTCAAAGAAACAAAGTATCGGGACTGGGCGCAGTGGGTCACACCTGAAATCCCAGCACTTTGGGAGGCTGAGGAGGGCAGATCACTTGAGGCCAGGAGTTCAAGACCAGCCTGGCCAACATAGTGAAACCCCATCTCTACTGAAAAAGAAAAAAAAAATACATTAGCCAGCCATGGTGGCAAATGCCTGTAATCCCAGCTAGTCGGGCAGCTGAGGCACAAGAATCGCTTAAACCCAGGAGGTGGAGGTTGCAGTGAGCAGAGATCAGGTCATTGTCCTCCAGCCTGGGTGACAGAGCGAGACTCTGTCTCAGGGAAAAAAAAAAAAAAAAAAAAAAGGTATCGAGGCCTCCTGGATGTTCCTTACCGGCAGGGACCCTAATGTGTCCTTCTTTACTTTAACAACTCCAGGAGGTAAGAAGTGCGACTCTCACTACTGGAGGCTTCTGGGAAAAACGGTGAATAATGGGCAATACCTAAAGGCTCAAGGAAGGGACGATTCCCTGGCAGTCTGCAGGCCACTTGCTGTTCCCAACTCAAAGAATCACAGCTACCCGAGGCTGCTTCCTAATCTAGGGAAATCCAGCCAGGCCCACCACGCTCTGAGCAGAATCAGAAGGACCCAACTCTCCAGACACACAATTCAGCCACAAGAGATGAGTCCTGAACACGGTCACCGGTCACTGCACTGGCCCAGGGCCTGCCCTTTGGGGAACCTGGCCCACAGAAATCTTTACAGAGAAAGCGCAAGTCGGCTGGGCGCGGTGGCTCACGCCTATAATCCTAGCACTTTCAGAGGCCAAGGCAGGTGGATCACGAGGTCAGGAGATCAAGACCATCCTGGCTAACATGGTGAAACCCCGTCTCTACTAAAAATACAAAAAAATTCACCAGGCGTGGTGGCACAGGCCTGAGTCCCGGCTACGTGAGAGGCTGAGACAGGAGAATCGCTTGAACCCAGGAGGCAGAGGTTGCAGTGAGCCGAGATTGCACCACTGCACTCCAGCCTGGGCGATAGAGCGAGACTCCGTCTCAAAAAAAAAAAAAAAAGAGAAAGCGCATGTCCTCCCCAGCTCCCGGCTCCCTCCAACAGAGGCTTCTCCTTGCTGGACACTTCACCAGCTTGATCAAGTTGTGTCTCCATGCCCTCAGCCCTGACACTCAAAGAGTTGGGGACCCCGTCCAAGTCCGAGTGGCCCCTGACCTTTGTGTGTTCATAAAATTCCTGTTGCATAGCGTCATGTTTTCTGGGCTGAATGATGATGACTAAGGCACTAGGCATTGATCTAAGTCTTCCCATACAAGATCCTGGTGCTGACCTCCTTTCTGTACATGACCCTGGCCTTGACCTGCCTTCCTGGTTCAGCCCTGATTATCATGGAAGTCCTCGTGCACCGGGCAGCTCACTAACTTTGCCCTACACCCTTACTGCTCCCATCTGGATGGCACAGGTTCTGCACAGATGCTCCACCAGGGCCTGCAGGGATAAGGCAAGCAGGCCTGCAGGGATAACGCATGCAGCCCTGCCAGGGACCCAGCCAGCCAACTCCAGGACAGGAGGGAAGGCCACAGAGAGGATGGGGCAGACAACAGGCAGAAAAAGTGATTATGAATCTCAACTGCCACTGATGGGAGGTAATGAGGACATACTGTGTACCACAAGTTCCACTGAGGCCTGAGCATCCACTCCCAATTCAACCATCTCAATAACTCACAACCAGCTGGGTGCAGTGGCTCATGCCTATATTTCCCAGCACTTGAAGAGGCAGAGGCAGGAGGATAGTTTGAGGCCAGGAATTTCAGATCAGCTTGGGCAACACAGTGAGACTGTATCTCTACAAAAAAATTTAAAAACTTAGCTGGCCGGGTGGAGGGGTTCACGCCTGTAATCCCAGCACTTTGGGAGGCTGAGGCGGGCGGATCATGAGGTCAGGAGTTCGAGACCAGCCTGGCCAACATAGTGAAACCCTCTCTCTACTAAATGTACAAAAATTAGCCGGGCATGGTGGCGTGCGCCTGTAGTCCCAGCTACTCAGGAGACTGAGACAGGAGAATCGCTTGAACCCAGGAGGTGGAGGTTGTGGTGAGCCGAGATCAGGCCACTGCACTCCAGCCTGGACAAAAGAGTGAGACTGCATCTCAAAAAAAAAAAAAAAAAAAAAAAAACTTAGCTGGGCGTGGTGGTACACACCTGTAATCCCAACACTTTGGGGGACCGAGGCAGGAGGATCACTTGAGCCCAGGAGTTCGAGACCAGAGGTGGCAATGGAGTGAGACTCCCCACCTTCTACAAATAAAAAAATTTAAAAGTAGCCAGATGTGATGACGTTTGCCTTTAGTCCCAGCTACTCCAGAGGCTGACGAAGGAGGATCCCTTGAGCCCAGGAGTTCGAGGCTGCAGTGAGCTATGACTGCACCACCGAACTCCAGCCTAGGTGAAAGACTGAGACCCTGTCTCAAAAATAAATAAATAAGTAACTTGCAACAGTCGGGTTCTTATTGCTCAGTGGACATTTATCAGCGACTACTACCATGGGCCAAGGTCATGTGGAAGTAAAATAAAGTCTCCACTCTCACACAATTTCACTTTATGCAAAGCGGCCAAAACTACCAACAGCTAAAAAAAACAACTCTATGTATGCCCAATGGGAGCAAATGGCTTGAAGAAGAAGAAAGTGGGTGAAGCATAATGGTGGGTGGGCAGGTGCTAGTTCTTTATCAGGTAGACAGAAAGGGCCTCTGGGCCAAGATGACATTTCAGCAAAGGGCGAAAAGCAATGAAGAAACCTGTGCCGCCTTCTTCTGTCTATAGAAAGAGTAAGAGGGAAGATTCATTAGTTGCATCAGCCAAGCACCACTCTAAGTGTTTCACATTACATTTCATCCTCACACACAACTCTAGGACTCAGGTACTATAACGTAACCCATTTTACAGATACAGAACCAGGCCTGGTCATATATAACCTGCAAGCAGCATACACAGTCAGGAATTTGATGTTTCGTTTGTTTTTTGAGACGGAGTTTCGCTCTTGTTGCCCAGGCTGGAGTGCAATGGTGTGGTCTCGGCTCACTGCAACCTCCACCTCCCGAGTTCAAGCAATTCTCCTGCCTCAGCCTCGCAAGTACCTGGGATTACAGACGCCTGCTACCACGCCTGGCTAATTTTTGCATTTTTAGTACAGATGGAGTTTCACCATGTTGGCCAGGCTGTTGTCACATTTCTGACCTCATGATCTGCCCTAATCCCAGCTACTAGGGAGGCTGAGGCAGGAGAATTGCTTGAACCCAGGAGGCGGAGGTTGCAGTGAGTCAAAATCACACCACTGCACTCCAGCCTGGGCAACAGAGCAAGACTTCATATTGCAAAAAAAAGAAAAGAAAAAAAGAAAGAAAAAAAGCTAATTAATCTGCAGGGGGTAGGCCTGAAACCAGGGAGAGGAAGGCAACTACTATTTTTTGTTGTATTATCTTTCGTACTGTTTGAATTTTCTCCTCTGCATGATTTCTAAAATAATAATAAGAAAGCTAGTTCGCACTTCAAATAAATAAATAGCAGCAGGAATTGAAGGGTAGGACATTTCTAAATGCTGAGTTGGAAACAAAGAGAAAGCATGTATTTATTGGGTGCCAATAATAACAGCCAGAGTGATCACGCCAGGCACAGTGATTAAGTGCTTCCCAAGCACAGTCCATTTAAGCTTTCCAACAGCCCTACAAAGTCAGGACTATTAAAACTCTCCCCTTTCCTGGCAAGGGCTCTGAGGTCCAGAGAGTTTATGTAAATTGCTTGGGCTCGTCAACCTAGAAGAAACAGGGCCAGGATTTGAACCCACTGAGAGTCTGACACTGAGATCCACCACCTCTAAACCACGTGCTTGAACTCTAAGGCCTTTTGGTTTGTTTGGTCAGCTGGTTTTGTTTTTTGAGACAGGGTCTCACTCTGTTGCCCAGGCTTGAGTACACTGGCACCATCACAGCTCACTGCAGCCTCGATCTCCTGGGCTCCAGCAATCCTCCTGCCTCAGCCTCCCAAGTAGCTGGGACTACCTGGCACGCATCACCATGCCTGGCTAATTTTTGTATCTTTTGTAGATTCAGGGTTTTACCATGTTGCCCAGGCTGGTCTTGAACTCAGTCTGCCCGCCTCGGCCTCCCAGAGTGCCGGGATTAGAGGTGTGAGCCACCATGCCCAGCCAGAATTCTAAGGTGTTTGCAAGGTACATGGCAGACAGATGGAGCCTGAGGTCGCTTGGAGGCAAGATCTCCAGGGCCGGAGATCAAGTGAATGGCCTCAGGCCTCACAGATTCCAAATTCATCTCCCTAGAGCAGAGAAGCAAGATTTTGACTCAGACATGGAAACATTCTACAACTCTTCCCACCCACCCACCCCCGCATGTGAGCAGTGCAGGGTAGTGGTTAACAAAACAAGGTTCCAGGTCTAGGTTCCCGTCTCCACCACTTACAGATGTGTGCCCTCAAGCAGGGCTTCTTCAACCTCAGAACCGCTGGTATTTGAGCCCAAATAATTCTTGGTTGTCGGGGGCCATCCTGTGCATTGTAAGATACTGAGTGGCGTCGCTGGCCTCTGCCACTAGATGATAGTAGCACTCCCCACCTCCTCAAGTTATGACAATCAAAACTGTCTCTAGACATTGCCAAATATCTCCAGAGAGGCAAAAATCATCCCTGCTGCCCTAAAGCAAGTCAGTTCACCTCACCAGGCCTTGATTTCTTCATCTGTGAAATGGGACTAATTCTAGAACCCACCTATTACAGAGTTTAGAGAGTTATCAGGAGGGTTCAATCAGGTGACCCAAGTGCCAGGTTGCAGGAGCTGGTGTTCCCGGCAGCCAAGAGACGGATTAACACAGATAAGTGCAGGGTTCCTGTCATGCATTCATTCATTCAATCTATCATTCGATGACTGTTTATTGAGCACCTACTATATGCCTAGACCTGGGCTAGTCACAGGCATGGGGGAAAATCAGAAACGATATCTCTGTCCTCTTAAGACTCATAGTCCATCAAAGATGAAAGCTCACAGATAAGAACATAATGACAAAGAGCAGTACCTGCTGTGAAGGAAAGAGCAGGGGTGTCAGGACAGGAAGCACCAGAGTGGCGGTCTGGGCAGATGACATCCTAGCAGACTGGAAGGGTCAGGAAGAGCTGGCTGTGCAAAGATCTCGGGAAGCACATACCAGGCAGAAAGATGGCACAGGCAAAGGCCACAGTGGGGTGGGGTGGGGGGAGGATATGGCTGCACCAATGAGCTAGGACCCAAGATTGGGCGGGAGAAGTCACCAAAGGCCACCACATAGCCAATCTTGGAGGCATGGTACAGAGCATGGATTTTTTGTTCTAATTCTCACAGGAGGCCCTGGGAGTGCATTAAGCAGGGTCATGGCATCGCCTAATTCACATATTAAGACAGTGGTCCCTGGCCAGGCACAGTGGCTCACGCCTGTAATCCCAGCACTTTGGGAGGCCGAGGCGGGAGGATCACCCAAGGTTAGGAGTTTGAGAGCAGCCTGGCCAACATGGTAAAACCCCGTCTCTACTAAAAATACAAAAATTAGCCAGGCACGGTGCCATTGTGCCTATAATCCCAGCTACCCAGGAGGCTGAGGCAGGAGAATCGCTGGAACCTGGGAGGCAGAGGCTGCAGTGAGCCGAGATTGTGCCACTGCACTCCAGCCTGGGCAACAGAGCAAGAATCCATCTCAAAAGAAAAAAAGACAGCCATCCCCTTTTTGGCAGCAAGGATAGGTTTTGTGGAAGACGATTTTTCACAGACAGGGTAGGGGATGATTCGAGTGCATTACATTTATTGTGCACTTTATTTCTATGATTACATTGTCATATATAATGAAATAATTATACAACTCACCATTATGTAGAATCGGTGGGAGCCCTGAGTTTGTTTTCCTGCAACTAGATGGTCCCATCTCAGCTGTGATGGGAGACAGTGATAGATCATCAGGCATTGCATTCTCAAAAGAAGCACACAGCCTGGATCCCTCGCGCACACGGTTCACAGCAGGGTTCGCGCTCCTATGAGAATCTAATGCCACAGGTGATCTGACAGGAGGCAGAGCTCAGGCGGTGATGCAAAAGATGGGGAGCGGCTGTAAATACAGATGAAGTCTCACACGCTCGCCTGCCACTCACCTCCTGCTGTGTGGCCTGTGGCCTGGTTCCTAACAGGGCATGCATGAACTGGTGCCAGTCCGTGCTCTGGGGATTGGGGACCCCTGTATTAAGAGACCCTAGGAGAAGATCCTAGGGGAGATGGGAAAGGAGGCTGCAGCCATTGTCAAGGCAACGAAAGGGGTGACAGAGAAGCATGGTTCAAGGCCACTGCAGAGTCGGCGTGTATGGCCTTAGCACATTTACTCCTCCCCGTAACTCTAGGAGAAAGGTGAGGACCAGCAAGGTGAAGGAACAGCCCATAAGTGGGGATGCAAGGATGTCTGACTTAGATTCCATCCCGAGACAGGCACAGTGAGTACAGGTGCTGCTTTGTGACACCGCAGAGTCTACATTCACTGATCCACCTAATGAATGTTGATGGCCCTGCAGCTCCGCCCGCAGTGGGGGTCCTGCTTGGCGACACTGAGCTCTGTCCTGAAGCCCCCAGAAGAGCCGAGAGGTGCCATCCTTGCGGAACTTCACTCAACCCTGAGCTCGCTGGGGCTACTCTTCTTTTGCAGAACAAGCCCTGTACTTTTCATGTATATTGCAAGAATGAAAGGGGTCTGGAGTGGCGCTCTGTTTTGCCAACGGAAAATTAAGAAAAGGGAAAGAAGAGAAATAAGATTCACCCCACCACATACCCATAGCCCCCCGCACCCCACCACACACACACACAAAGCTTCCCTGCGATTTAGAGGCACAGGTGGCCCTAGACCCTGAGACACCCAAATTCCACTCCCTTGAGCTGGACGCTAAACGCCAGGAGGCACTAGCACTGCTGAACTAGAGACGACAGCAGTGATCTCCTAATCTCAGCCACACATGGGCCCTGAAGAGATATCTGCACTCCCGTGTTCACTGGAGCGTCACTCACAGCAACCAAGATGGAGACAACTAAATGTCTATCCGTGGTCAAGTGGACAAAGAAAACATGATCTATACATGCCATGGACTATCGCTCAGCCTTAAAAAGGAAAGAAATCCTGGCCGGGCGCAGTCGCTCACACCTGTAATCCCACCGCTTTGGGAGGTCAAGGCAGGCGGATCACAAGGTCAGGAGGTCGAGACCAACCTGGCTAACACGGTGAAACCCCATCTCTACTAAAAATGCAAAAAAAAAAAAAAAAAAAATTAGCCGGGCGTGGCGGCAGGCACCTGTGGTTCCAGCTACTCGGGAGGCTGAGGCAGGAGGATGGCGTGAACCCAGGAGGCGGAGCTTGCAGTGAGCCGAGATCGTGCCACTGCACTCCAGCCTGGGAGACAGAGCAAGACTCTGTCTAAAAAAAAAAGGAAAGAAATCCTGCCATTTGCAACAACATGGATGCGCCTGGAGAACATTATGCTAAATGAAATAAGCCAGGCACAGGAAGACGAACACTGCAAGATCTCACTCACATGTGACATCTAAAAAAGACAAACTCATAGAAGCAGAGAACAGAATGGTAGTTGCAAGGAGCTGGTGGTGGGGGAAACAGGGAGGTGTTGGTCAAAGCGTATAAAGTTTTGGTCATACAAGATGAGTCAGTCAGTCCTACGGTCTACTGTACAGAATAGTGTCTATAGCTCACAATACTATATTGTATACTTAAAAATTTGCTGATGGCCGGGTGTGATGGCTCATGCCTGTAATCCCAGCACTTTGGGAGGCCGAGGAGGGTGGATCACTTGAAGTCAGGAGTTCAAGACCAGCCTGGCCACTATGGTGAAACCCTGTCTCTACTAAAAATTAGCTGGGTGTGGTGGCAGACGCCTGTAATCCCAGCTGCTTGGGAGGCTGAGGCAGGAGAATCACTTGAACCTGAAAGACAGAGACTGCAGTGAGCTGAGATCGCACCACTGTACTCCAGCCTGGGTGACAGAGCCAGGCTCTGTCTCAAAAACAAAACAAAAAAAAATTGCTGAATGGTGCCAGGCACAGTGGCTCACACCTGTAATCCCACCTACTTGGGAGGCTGAGGTGGTAAGATCGCTTGAGCCCAGGAGTGGGAAGCTGCAGTGAGACGTGATTATGCTAATGAACTCCAGCCTGGGTGACAGAGTGAGACCAAGTCTCAAAGAAAAAGAAATAAAAATAAAACCAGAGCCCTGTCTAAGCACGGACTGCATACCAGGCACTGCGTTCAGGTTTCATGTACATCGCTCCATTTTATCACCCTAGCAGTCTATGAGGAAGGTACTGTAATGATTCCCACTTTTACAGAGAGGAACACAGAGACAAACAGGTGAGAAGATGGCCCGCGAGTCACAGGGGCAGGACCGTCCTGGATTCAAACCCTAGCAACTCTTCTGCACAACCAACCAAGGAACAGACGGGGCTTGGAGGGACGAAAGGCAAGACGACAGGGTGCTCCTAAATGCCACACTCAGAAACAACGCTGCAGAGGGGTAGCTCAGAAGCCAAGGGAAGCTGAGAAAAGGAGTGCAAGAGGCCCGTGGTTAGGTCAGGGCACCCGCTGGGCTTCTGAACATTAATCCTGTTTAGAGAGACAGCATGTGGCCTTCATTTCCCCACCGCACTCCTGAAAACATCTGGAGAAAGGCTAAAGTCTCCCAGCCCCGACACAGCAGGAGGCAAGCACGGCTGGCAGGGCCATGAGGTGAGAGGAAGGCGGCTGAAGCCAGCATCGCGTGGGCAGTGACGCGCCCTGGCATGCTGTTGGCTGGGCTGCACCCCACCCTGCCCCCTAACTCAGCAGAGCTAAGAATAAAGCCCAGTAACATCACAGGGGCAATTTCCAGACTTATCCCCATCACCCAGGAAGGCAGGGGCACGGCCATCCTTGCTCTATCCAGGCGGGTACCACAAATCCTCACGTCCAAGACACAGAACTGAACACAGTTACATGCAAAACTAATTTTTTTTTTTTTTTTTTTTTTTGAGACAGAGTCTTGCTCTGTCTCCTCGGCTGGAGTGTAATGTCATGATTATAGCTCATTACAGCTTTGAACTCCCAGGCTCAAGTGATCCTCCCACCTCAGCCTCTCAAGTAGCTGGGACTAGAGGTGCACACCACCAAGCCTGGTTAATTTTTGTATTTCTTTCCAGAGATGGGGCCTTGCTATGTTGCCCTGTCTGGCCTCAAACTCCTGGGGCTCAAATGATCCTCCCACCCAGGGCTCCCAAAGTGCTGGATGAGCCACTGTGCCCAGTCCTAAGAATCCTGTCTTAACAGGGCTTCAGTGTTGTTAAGCACTAAAAAGAAAGCAGAGGTCAGGCTGCCCATCAGTGCCCAAATGTCAGCAGCAAGCATCTTGTTCCAACCTGCTTTCACCCCAACTCTCCCAAGCACCATGAGGCCTCTCGTGGAAGGCCCGTCCTATGAAGCTGACACTCACCCTCGTTTTCTCCATCCAACCCTGGCTATCTTTGCAAGGTTGCTCCCCAGCCACTTCCTCTCCTCTTATCAGACTCTCATGTTTCACCAAATAAATCCCTTAGTCATGTTCCAGGGTCTTGTGAGGGGTCAGGCATGTGCTGGGCATAGGGATATGTCTGGGGACACTGCAGTAACAGGACAGACAGCATTCATCCATTTACAGAGCACGGTTCCTAGGGCTGAGGGCCCAGCAGTGAACAATAGGGACCAAGGGCCGGCCCTCCTGGAGCTGACAGCCTAAAGAGAAGAGACAGATGGTTTAGAAAGGAGAGGATATGAAGACATGTGTGATGAAAAGCACTCAGAGAAGAGGGCAAGCCTTGCTGAGGACGGGTATTTAAATACAGGATTGAGCCAGGCACAGTGGCTCACACCTATAATCCCAGCACTTTGGGAGGCCAAGACAAGTGGGTCACTTGAGGCCAGGAGTTCAAGACCAGCCTGGCCAACATAGCGTGGTAGTGCATGCCTGTAATCCCAGCTACTCAGGAGGCTGAGGCACGAGAATCCCTTGAACCTGGGTGGTGGAGGTTGCAGTGATCTGCGATCACACCACTGCACTCCAGCCTGGGTGACAGAGCGAGACTCCATCTCAATTAAAAATAAATAAACAAATACAGGATGGAAGGAAACAGAGGAGTAAACCAAATGGCCATCTGGAGGAAGGGCACACCAAGCAGAGAAAACAGCCAGTGCAAAGGTCCTGAAGTCAGACCAGGCCTGGCATTTCTGAGAAACCGCAGAGAGGCCAACAGGTCTGAAGAATAACAAGCAGTGAAGACAGCGAGGAAGGAAGAAGGCAGGGAGGAGACAGTCAGTGCGGGACGCACAGGCCACCGCAGGGATTCTGACTTTCACGCAGGGTGACCTGAGGAGCATGGAGTTGATGTGCCGTGATCTATGTTTCAACACCATGGTTCTCAAGTGGGGGCAAGTTTGTCACTCAGGGGACATGTGACAACATTTGGAAACATCCTGGGTTTTCACAACTTAGGAAGAGGGTAGTGCTATTGGCACTCTGTGGACAGAGGCCAGGGATACTGCTTAATGGCCACAATACATAGGACAGCCCCCACGACGGGAAATATCTGGCCCCAAATGTCAACAGTGCCAAAGCTAAGCAGCCCTGTTTGAACAGAATCCCTCCCTGACCAAGCTTCTAGTCCACATCCCCAACACACCCCTCGTCAGGCAGATGGGGCTTCAGCTCCTCACCCTGTAATACTA
Source organism: Homo sapiens (assembly GCF_000001405.40). NCBI lineage: Eukaryota > Metazoa > Chordata > Mammalia > Primates > Hominidae > Homo > Homo sapiens. The sequence goes on along the minus strand of NT_187607.1, from coordinate 1,645,320 downwards.
GGCCAGCAACTAAACCTCAGTTTCCGCATCTGTAAAATGGGAATACTAACATTATGCAAATAAGCACTTTGTTAAACATGAGCCAGAGCACACAGTAGGTGCTCAATAAATACCACTACTAGTAAAACTTCCAGATCCACTTCTTGCTATAATATCCCTCCACATTCTCTCTTTTTCTGACACAGGGTCTCGTTTTGTTGCCCAGACTGGACTGCAGTGCCATGATCTCAGCTCACTGAAACCTCCACCTTCTGGGCTCAAGTGATCCTCCCGCCTCAGCCTCCTGAGTAGCTGGGACTACAGACACACACTATCACACCCAGGTAATTTTTCTATTTTTAGGAGAGATGGGGTTTCGCCACATTGTCCAGGCTGGTCTCAAACTCCTGAGCTCAAGTGATCCACCTGCCTCAGCCTTAGGATTACAGGCGTGAGCCACTGCACCCGGCCTCCTTCCACATTCTCTAGCCTAACCAAATGATTGATTGTGTCATTCAACAAAGATGTACTGAGCCCCTACTATGTGCCTGGAACTAAGCTGAACAGGTGCAGTACACAGAATAGCCCGTAAAGATGCCTACATCCCCGTCCCCAGAACCTGAGTCTCTTACCTTTCATGGCAAAAGGGACTCTGCAGGTATCATTAAGGACTTTGGAATGGGGAGAATGTCCCAGATCAGAGGTCCCCACGCTTTTTGGCACCAGGGATGGATTTCATGGAAGACAGTTTTGCCAGGGATGGCGGGGGGTGGCTTTCAGGATGAAACTGTTCCCCCTCAGATCATCAGGCATTAGATTCTCATAAGGAGCACACAGCCTAGGTCCCTCGCATGCACGGTTCACGTTAGGGTTCACGCTCCTGTGAGAATCCAATGCAGCCACTGATCTGACAGGAGGTGGAATTCAGGTGGTAATGCTGGCTTGCCCGCCACTCAGCTCCTGTTGCATGACTCAGTTCCTAACAGGCCACAGACTGCTCGCTACTGGTTCATGGCCCAGGAGTTGGGGACCCCTGTCCTAGATGATCCAGGTGGGCCCAATGTAATCACAGGGAATTATAAGGGACAAGAGGACGGTGGGAATATCTGAGTCAGAAAAGGAGATTTGAGGCAGGGCGTGGTGGCTCATGCCTATAATCCCACCACTTTGGGAGGCTGAGGCAGGTAGATCACCCGGGGTCAGGAGTTCAAGACCAGCCTGTCCAACATGGTGAAACCCCGTCTCTACTAAAAATACAAAAATTAGCCAGGCATGGTGACATGCACCTGTAATCCCAGCTACTCAGGAAGCTGAGGCAGGAGAATCACTTGAACCTGGGAGGCAGAGACTACAGTGAGCTGAGATTCCGTCTCAAAAATAAAAAAAAAGTAAAGGAGATTTGACAACACAAGCAGGGGTGGAGGGACATGAAACCACGAATTGAGGAAGACAGGTGGCCTCTTGATGCTGGACAGGGCCAGGCCATGGATTCTCCCTGCAAGCTTCCGGAAAGAACACCAGCCGTACATTTTGGACCTCTGACTCCCGAGAACTAGAGTGATGTGTGTTGTTCTCAGTCACCAAGTTGATGGCAATACCAGCAATAAGAAACCAATAGAGACTGGGCACAGTGGCTCACACCTGTAATCCCAGCACTTTGGGAGCCCAAAGCAGGAGGATCACCTGAGGTCAGGAGTTCGAGACCAGCCCGACCAACATGAAGAAACCCCGTCTCTACTAAAAATATAAAAATTAGCTGGGCATGGTGGTGCACACCTGTAGTCCCAGCTACTCAGGAGGCTGGGGCAGGAGAATCACTTGAACCCAGGAGGCGGAAGATGCAGTGAGCCGAGATGGTGCCATTGCACTCCAGCCTGGGCAACAAAAGCAAAACTCAGTCTCAAAAGAAAAAAAAAAGAAAAAGAAACCAATAGAGCAGGCAACAAAAATAGAGCTGGTGGGGAAACAAGTGTATCAAGGCATGAACACATGTCACCTTGCTGAGTAATGCTTGTTCACATCTCAATACCCTTGCCATGTCCCTGCCTTGACATCAGACTGAGCCCAACAGCACCTCCAGTGAAGCCCCGGGTTCTGCCCTCCCAGGGCATTTCTAATGCCTTTCTGAAATACCCGCTACATCCACAGTGGAGCTGCTTAGGAAAATGCTTTAGAATGGCAGAAGCTGGGGATGATGGAATATAGGAATTTATTTTTTAAATTTCACCTTAATAGGAAATATATGACTCTGTTTTTGCTTTAAGACAGAGTCTCACTCTCTCACCCAGGCTGGAGTGCAGTGGCGTGATCATGGCTCACTGCGGCCTCTACCTACCAGGCTCAAGCAATCCTCCCACCTCAGCCTTCCAGGCAGCTGGGACCACAGGTGTATGCCACCACGCCCAGCCAATTTTTGTGATTTTTGTAGAGAAGGGGTTTCTCCATGTTGCCCAGGCTGGTCTCAAACTCCTGAGCTCAGGCAATCCTCCCACCTTCACCTGCCAAAGTGCTGGGATTACAGGTGTGACCCACACTGCACCTGGCCATGACTCAATTTTTAAAAAATATATATGTGTGTACGTATGCATGCGTGTGCATATGTTTATATAATACATATATAGGCCGGGCGCGGTGGCTCAAGCCTGTAATCTCAGCACTTTGGGAGGCCAAGGTGGGCAGATCACGAGGTCAGGGGTTCGAGACCAGCCCAGCCAACGTGGTGAAACCCAATCTCTACTAAAGATACCAAAAATTAGCTGAGCTTGGTGGCGCACACACCTGTAATCTCAGCTACTCAGAAGGCTGAGGCAGGAGAATCGCTTGAAACTGGGAAGCGGAGGATGCAGTGAGCCACGATCACGCCACTGCACTCCAGCCTGTTGACAGGGCGAGACTCTATCTCAAAAAAAAAAAAAGTATATATCAAGGTAAACAATAAAAAGTTACTCTGCCCAAATGCAATTGCCTCTTTTAGTTTCTCATTTATCCCTCTGGAATTTCTTACAAATACAGCAAATACAACTACGTAATTCTTACTTGTCTGCTTTTTTACACAGAGGTAACATACCAAATATACCAAGTGGATCTCCACGTTTTCACTTAAAAACTGGACCTTGGAGGCTGCCGCACATCTGTGCACAAAGGGCTTCCTCGTCTTATGTCCTTCTGCAAGCATCCCACCCTACCACGGAAGGGGTGGAACCCACTGTATTCACCCAGCCCCTACTGATTGCCACTTGGGAGGCTGCTCATCTTTTGCTATTCTAAACAATGACACAATGAGTTCCCTTAGAAACTGCTTATTAAGCTAAAGAAAACATGAAGAGCCTGACCCACACACCAATCCGGCTTTGCTTAATGGCTCATAAGCCTAGAGGAGGCAGAAAACAAGGGAAAAGGCCCAGGTTACTTTTGATGACCTCAAGACACACAGTGAGAAACAGAACAGTAGCAATAAATGCAGACCCAGGCATCTCTAAGGGAATTTAGTCTTTAAAATATCACTAAAGGCCAGGCGCGGTGGCTTGTACCTGTAATCCCAGTACTTTGGGAGGCTGAGGCAGGCGAATCACTTGAGGTCAGAAGTTAGAGAGGAGCCTGGCCAACATGATGAAACCCCGTCTCCAATAAAAATACCAAAATTAGCCAGGCATGGTAGTGGGCACCTGTAGTCCCAGCTACTCCGGAAGCTGAGGTAGGAGGATTGCTTGAACCTGGGAAGTCAAGGCTACAGTGAGCCGTGATCATGCCATTGCTCTCCAGCCTGGGAGACAGAGCAAGACTGTCTCAAAACCAAAAAAAAAAAAAAAAAGTGTGGTGTACCATTAGAAGACATGTGATTTGCTCAGTTCATTCCACACCTAATAAATCTTATCTGCATGACCTGGGTGAAAACCCCAGCCTCCAAATAGGTTTCCTGACTCCCCTCCCAACCGCAGACAGGGGATATCTTCAAAACACAGCCCCAGTCCCTTCACACTGCGCTGAAAACTATTCCAGGTTCTCAGAGCTCTCAGGATGGATCACAATCCCCACAACTGCAGCTTGTGGGTTCAGCCCCAACTCACTGTTCCAGGGACCCCTTCATGACTCAGGGCCTTTGCAGAGTGGGTTCCCTCTACCTGGAGTCTTTCTCCCCATCACTGCCCTGACATGCAATGCAGGGGCATCCTTCAGCTCACAGTTGAAACATTCCTTCTTGAGGGAGGCCCACCTATCTCCCCACCCCTTTCTCAAACACCCTGATCCCCCATTTAACAACTTCATGGTACTTTGTACTGTGCCTGCTAAGTACTTATCAGATTTTTTCATCAAATATTTCTCAGGCACTATTTTATACTGTATATGTTACCTTATACATTATATGACATTTGATATGAACATGCTATATAGTATCTAATACACCATGTACAGTTATCGCTAGGATGAACCATATGAATTGCCATTTGTATAGGTCATAAGTTGGCGAACCACAGCCTGTGGGCCAAATTCAGCCTGCTGCCTGCTTTTGTACAGCACACAGGCTAAGAATGGATTTCCTTTTTTTTTTTTTTTTTTTTTGACAGCGTCTCACTCTGTTGCCCAGACTGGAGTGCAGTGGTGTGGTCATAGCTGACTGCAGTCTCAACCTCCTGGACTTAAGCAATCCTCCCATCTCAGCCTCATGAGTAGCTGGGATACAGGCATGAGCCACCACACCTGGCTTTTTTTTTTTTTTTGGTAGAGACAGTGATATGGCTTGGCTGTGTCCCCACCCAAATCTCATTTTGAACTGCAGTTCCCATAATCCTCACATGTCATGGAAGAAACCCAGTGGGAGGTAACTGAATCATGGGGGTGGTTACCTCCATGCTGTTCTTGTGACAGTGAATTCTCACAAGATCTGATTTTGCTCAACACTTCTCAGCAAAAGAAGCACTTTTGCTCAGCACTTCTCCTTCCTGCCGCCATGTGAAGAAGGACGTGTTTGCTTCCCCTTCTACCATGATTACAAGCTTCCTGAGGCCTCCCCAGCCCTGCAGAACTGTGGGCCAACTAAATCTCTTCCCTTTATAAACTACCCAGTCTTGGGCAGTTCTTTATAGCAGCGTGAGAACAAACTAATACAGTAAATTGGTACTGGGAGTGGGGTGCTACTGTAAAGATACCCAAAAATGTGGAAGCAACTTTGGAACTGAGTATCAGGCAGAGGCTGGAACAGTTTGGAGGGCTCAGAAGAGTATAGCAAGATGTAAGAAAGTTTGGAACTTCCTAGGGACTTATTGAATGACTTGGACCAAAACGCTGATAGTGATATGGACAATGAAGTCCAGGCTGAGGTGGTCTCAGATGGAGATGAGGAACTTCTTGGGAAATGGAGCCAAGGTGACTCTTGCTATGCTTAAGCAAAAAGAGTGGCAGCATTTTGCCTTTGCCCTAAAGAGCTGTGGAACTTAGAACTTGAGAGAGATGATTTAGATGATTGTCAGAAGAAATTTCTAAGCAACAAAGTGTTTAAGAGGAAGCAGAGCATAAAAGTTTGAAACATTGGAAGGGTGATGATGTGACGGAAAAGAAAAACCCATTTTCTGGGGAAAAATTCAAGCCTGCTGCAGAAATTTGCATAAGTAAAACGGAACCAAATGTTAATCACCAAGACAATGGGGAAAATGTCTCCAGGGCATGTCAGAGACCTTTGCAGTAGCCCCTCCCATCACAGGCCTAGAGGTCTAGGAGGAAAAAATGATTCCATAGGCCGGGCCCAGGGCCCCCCTGCTGTGTGCTGCCTAGGGAGTTGGTACACTTTGTTCCAGTTGCTTCAACTGTGGCTAAAAGGGGCCAAAATGCTGCTCGGGCTGTGCCATCAGAGGGTGCAAGCCTCAAAAGCCTTAGGAGATTCCATGTGGTATTGAGCCTGTGGACAAAAGTCAAGAATCAAGGTTTGGGAACCTCCACCTAGATTTCAGAGGATGCATGGAAATGCCTGGGTGTCCAGGCAGAAGTTTGCTGCAGCAGTGGAGCCCTCATGGAGAACCTCTGCTAGGGCAGTGCAGAAGGCAAATGTGGGGCCAGAGGCCCCATACAGTCCCCATTGGGACACTGCCTAGTGGAGCTGTGAGAAGAGGGCCACCATCCTCCAGACTGCAGAATGGTAGATCCATGGACAGCTTGCACCGTGCACCTGGAAAAGCCGCAGACTCACAACACAAACCCGTGAAAGCCCCTTGATGGGGGCTGTACCCTGCAAAGCCACAGGGGCAGAGCTGCCCAAGGCCATAGCTAGAGCCCACCTCTCGCATAAGCATGACCTGGATGTGAGACATGGAGTCAAAGGAGATCATTTCAGAGCTTTAAGAAATGACTGCCCCACTGGATTTCAGACTTGCATGGGGCCTGCAGCCCCTTCATTTTGGCCAAATTTTCCCATTTGGAATGGGTGTATTTACCCAATGCTTGTACTCCTATTGTATCTAGGAAGTAACTAACTTGCTTTCAGTTTTACAGGCTAATAGGCAGAAGGGACTTGCCTTGTCTCAGATGAGACTTTGGAATTGGACTTTTGGGTTAATGCTGGAATGAGCTAAGACTCTGGGTGACACTTGGAAAGGCATGATTGTGTTTTGAAATGTGAGGACATGAGATTTGGGAGGGGCAGAACGATATCATTTGGCCATGGAATTATATGGTTCAGCTGTATCCCCACCCAAATCTTATCTTGAATTGTAGTTCTCATAATCCCCATGTGTTGTGGGAGGAACCCAGTGAGAGACAATTCAATCATGGGGGCAGTTACCTCCATGCTGTTCTCATTATAGTGAGTTCTCACAAGATCTGATGGTTTGATAAACGGCTTTTCCCCTTTTGCTCAGCACTTCTCCTTCCTGCCACCATGTGAAGGAGGACATGTTTGCTTCCCTTTCTGCTGTGAGTATAAGTTTCCTGAGGTCTCCCCAGCCCTGTGGAATTGTGAGTCAATTAAACCTCTTTCCCTTATAAACTACCTAGTGTTGGGCAGTTCTTTATAGCAGCGTGAGAACAGACTAATACAAACAGAGTCTCACTTTGTTGCTGAGGCTGGTCTCGAACTCCTGGGCTCAAGCAATCTTCCCACCTTGGCCTCTCAAAGTGCTGAGATTACAGGCAGAAGCCACCATGCCTGGCCAATTTTTAAATACATATTATAAGAAAGACTATTTGCCCCTGGGCCTGAGAGACCTAAAATATGTACTACCTAACCCTTCACAGAAAAAGCATGCCAACCCCTGCTCCAAGTCAAACATTGTTGAAGGTTGGCATCTTCCTATGTCTCCATCAGATGTTTATTTTATATGTTATTTTTTCGATGTCTCACTCTCCCCAGACTGTTTCTTTAGCGCAGTGAATGTACTGATGCTGTCCCTCAAAATGTCACTCCCCACTCACTGTGCAGAATTCCTGGGGTGTGGCAAGTAATCAGGAAGTACCTAGGGCATCTATGAATGGACCTCAGAACGAGTCTCAGCAAAATGTCAATTCAGTGTAACTAGCATTTGTGATCACAAGGCCAGGCACACACCACACCAGGTCTTAAATAAAAACAAGTAAGCAGGGTGATAAAAATATCTAATGTTGACTACAGTCACTTTGAATATTGAATATAGTCACTCTGGAAGGCCAAGATGGGAGGAAGGCCAAGAAGTTCAAGACCAGCCTGGGCAACATAGTGAGACCCCCATCTCTAAAAAATAAAATCTAAGAAGGGCCGAGGTGCTAAGATTTGCCTACCTGGAGACAGGAGACATGCACAATTCTGAATGTACTAAACTGAGTTGCACACTTTATAGGTGCATCATATGGTATGTGAATTATATCTCAACAAAAAAGCTGTTTATTAAAAAAGAGAGAGAGAGAGAGAATAAGCCCCAGGGTCATTTTGGCTATACGCAATTTTCACCTTACACGTGCTGCCTTTAGCACCTAACACCCTCCTCAAAAGAATTAATAAATACACTTAGACCTCACTTTATCATCTCAGGAAGAGCGTATCTCATCTAGACTACTTCACATTTGTGGAAAAAAAATTTTGTTTTTTTTTTGTTTGTTTGTTTGTTTGTTTGAGACAGAGTCTTGCTCTGTCTCCAGGCTGGAGTGCAGTAGTGCAATCTCAGCTCACTGCAACCTCCGCCTCCCAGGTTAAAGTGATTTTCCTGCCTCAGCCTCCCAAGTAGCTGGGACTACAGGCACACACCACCACACCCAACTAATTTTTGTATTTTTAGTAGAGATGGGGTTTCACCATGTTCACCAGGATGGTCTCGATGTCTTGACCTCATGATCCGCCCACCTGGGCCCCCCGAAGTGCTGGGACTACGGGTGTGAGCCACCACGCCTGGCCAAAAAAAATTTAAATGCATGTTTTCTCCTGTTGCTATTAATATGTTGCTTGTTGCCTTAATAAGCCCAGGGTTTCTCACCCTCAACACTACTGACGTTTTAGGCTGGATACGTCTGTCCCGTGTATCACAGGATGTTTATAGCATTCCTGATCCTAACCCAACAGACACCAACTGCACCCCCATCCCAAACTGTGACAACAAAAATGTCTCTAGACATCAATGAACGTCCTCTGAGAGGCAGATCACTCCCCATTGAGATCCACTGCCTTAATATTTTTTTCTATGTGGTCCCACTCCTGCCACCAGTATTTAGTGACTCTGAAGACCCAACCACCGGCCCACCCATTCATTTAAAAAAATTACTGAGCTTTGCTTGTATCAGGACTTGAACCAGAAACAACCACATTTATATCCTGCCCTCAGAAAGCTTAGAATCTTGAATATAAGATACGATTTGTCCATAAATGGCCATTACAAAAGATTTTAAAAGCACAGAGTACCACCAAAGAGATACACATAAAAGGCAAGAAATATCCAGAAAAGAGTTTCACAAAGCAAAAAGGAAAACTCACTTTCCTCATTCATACAGCAAGGACAATACCTGTTTTTTGTTTATTTGTTTGTTTGTTTGTTTGTTTGTTTGAGATGGGGTTTCACTCTGTTGCCCAGGCTGGAAAGCAGTCGTGTGCAATCACAGCTCACTGCAGCCTCAACCTCCTGAGCTCAGGAGATCCTCCCTCCTCACCTGCTCCAAACTAGTTAGAACCACAAGTGCATGCCACCAAACCTAGCTAAATTTTTTTTAAGAGATGTGGTCTGGCCATGTTCCCCAGGCTGGTCTCAAGCTCCTGGCCTCAAGCAATCCTCCCTGCTCGGCCTCCCAAAGTGCTGGGATTACAGGCATGAGCACCATGTGCAACCAATACCTGCTTTTCATCAGAGACATTGTGAAGACGAGACTTATATATTATTTCATTTTCACCCCATTTGAAATGGGTAGTATTTTTTCCATTTTGCTGAGGAAGAGACTAAGGCACAGAGAAGTAAAGCAACTTGCCCAAGGTTGTACAGCCTGTAAAAAGAAGAAAACTTCAACACAGGCAGGTTAGCTCACTGCTGCATGTAATGCCTCCTTAATATGGATAAAATCATTCATGTGACAACAGATGGATGCCCAGTGATCACTCTATTCCTGGAAGTTGTTATTTCCACTTGAGAGGTCAAAGCAGGCTTCTTGAAGTAAGTAAAATCTAAGAAGGGTTGGCTGGACACAGTGGCTCACACCTGTAATCCCAGCACTCTGGAAGGCCAAGATGGGAGGATCACTTGAGACCAGGAGTTCAGGACCAGCCTAGGCAACACAGACCTCCATCTCGAAGGGCCAAGGTGCTAAGATTTGCCAACATGGAGACAGGAGGGAACCTCACTCCAAGAGGGACACACATAGAAGATAGTCACAAGCTTAGGGGGTATAAGCTGGCCACAGAGGCTCATGCCTATAATCCCAGTATTTTGGGAGACCGAGGCAGGAGGATCACTTGGGTCCAGGAGTTCCAGAACAGACGGCAACACAGTGAGACCCCATCTCTGTTAAAAATAAAAATAAATAATAATAAATGGGACAAAGAGCCAGAAGAGGACCAGATGGCCAATACAGCTGGGAAGACAGGCCAGAGCCAGAATGAGTTAAGTGAAGGAAAATGAAACTTCACTTAGGATTCAAACCAGGAAAATGCTGCATCACCCAGACTTTGCAAAAGCTCCCAGAAGTTGTGAAACTCAGAGGGAAATTTTCTGGCTTACCCTTTTCTTGAATATAGCTAAGAACAGGAAACTGGAAAAACCACCGTCATCTTCAAACACTCCTTCGGAGACACCCCAGTCTCCACCACTCCCTCTCCCCCGACCCCAGAGCCTTCCATCTCAAGGAGTGTCCTGCCTCACCCATCTCCCTGCCCTATGACAAACTGAAATCCTCACTCCCCATCCTGGCCAGCCGGCATCACAACACAGATGGCCCAGGGGCAGGCAGGGTTGAAAGGAGTGACCATGACTTGGTGGTCAAGGGCACAGGCTCTGGGGCAGCAGATCTGGGCTCGAGTCCCTGTCCTACTACTTCCAGGCTGTGTGGCCTGGGGGAAGCCACCCAATCTCTCTGGCTTTCAGTTCCCGTGTGTCAAATTAAAAGAATAACACCCATCTCTCATGGCTATTGCACACAATGTTGGGAAGATAGAATACTCGTTAGGGGTTGAGTTTGCTGCAGTTACTTCTACCATAGTATTATCACTACTATGGCTATTGTCATCATCACTGTTGGAGTAAACAGCTCATAAAGCCACGTGCCAAAATGCTGAAGCCCCCTTAGTAGACTGACTAATCCTCCAGCCTCCAAGATTAGCCAAAGTCATCTGGCACAGCCTGTTGGAAAAGACTCCTCTCTGGCCCACCCCAGGGTGTTTATGGGGCAAGATGGAGCATGGGGTACCGGCCAGGCCCTGGAGACAGACTGCCTGGGTTTCAGTCTAGTCCTGTCATTTACTAGCTGGGTGACTTCACCTCTCTCTGCCTCCTTTCCCCACCCATAAGGTAGAAACAATCACAGTCCCTGCTTCACAGGGAACTTGTCACCATTAAGTCATTATTAGCACTTCAAAGGCATTAACAACAGTCCCTGGCACTTAGGAAGTGCCAAAGAAGCCTTAACGATCCGCCTTTTCTCTGTTGAGTTTTTTCTTTTTTGAGACAGAGTTTTGCTCTTGCTGCCCAGGCTGGAGTGCAGTAGTGCAATCTCGGCTCACTGCAATGTCTGCCTCCCAGGTTCAAGCAATTCTCCTGCCTCAGCCTCCCGAGTAGCTGGGATCACAGGCATGTGCCATCACCACGCCTGATTGATTTTATATTTTAGTAGAGACGGGATTTCACCATTTTGGCCAGGCTGGTCTCGAACTCCTGATCTCAGGTGATCCGCCCACCTCAGCCTCCCAAAGTGCTGGGATAACAGGCGTAAGCCACCGCGTCTGGCCTCTGTTGAGTTCTAAGTGTCTCTTTCTCTCCTACCTGTCATTTCCCCCCAAAGCAAGACCATGTCCATTTAATTCTCCTGATGCATATAGGACATGCTTATTAAACACTCATTCAACAAATAAAAGGTGGCCAGGTGTGGCGGCTCACGCCTGTAATCCCAGCACCTTGGGAGGCTGAGGCGGGCAGATCACCTGAGGTTGGGAGTTCCAGACCAGCTTTACCAACATGGAGAAACCCCGTCTGTAATAAAAATTCAAAATTAGCCAGAGATGGTGGCGCATGCCTGTAATCCCAGCTACTCAGGAAGCTGAGGAAGGAGAATCGTTTGAACCCAGGAGGCAGAGGTTGCTGTGAGCCGAGACCCCACCATTGCACTCCAGCCTGCGCAACAAGACCAAAACTCAGTCTCAAAACAAAAAAAAACAAAAAAAACAAAAAAAACCACCACAAAACATAAATAAAAGGTGATTAAATCTATCTGAAGAGCAATCCAGAAAGCAGGCAGAGAAAAGCCTAACCACGCATACCCCATTTTCACCCAACAATCCTACTTTAGGGACAGGAGTCTAAAGGAAATAACTCCAGCAAGAAAAGGAACAACGTGTACAAGCTGGGCCATTTCACAACAGCAAAAAACCAGGAGAACTCCCAAGCACCTAAGAGCCAAGCAAACTGGGGCAGATGATCCGATTAAAAAATGACCCTGCTGTCACAAAACGAACTGTGCAACCTCCTGCACCCCAGGAGAGGCCACCCCTAAAGGTAGCAGGTAGCACTAGCCATGGGGCTTACATTCTTGGGCGAGGATTTTTAAACCATGTGTAAAAGCAGAACGAGAAATACAGCAGGCAACATCTCTGACTGCCGAAGAGCTGTGCTTAAGAGTGAGGGGGAGGCTGGGCATGGTGGCTCACACCTGTCATCCCAGTACTTTGGGAAGCCAAGGCTGGGGGGGATCACTTGAGGTCAGGCATTCAAGACCAACCTGGCCAACATGGTGAAACCCTGTCTCTATTAAAAATACAAAAATTAGCTGGGCATGGTGGCAAACAACTTGTAATCCCAGTGACTTGGAGGCTGAGATGGGAGGATCACTTGAACCCAGGAGACGGAGGCTACAGTGAGCCGAGATCATGCCACCGCAGTCCAGCCTGGGCGACAGAGTGAGACTCTGTATCATAAAAAGAAAAACAGAAAGAAACTAGAAGCTATTATTATACTGCATTGATTCTAAGACTCTGTTTCTTCCTATTTTGCTATCTTTGATATTTGTCTGTGTCTCTCGATTAGCCCATCCTGTAAACACTGCTGGCTACATTTTTATATCCTAACATCTCTGAAACTGGGAAGTATGTCATAAATACTGGCCTCTAGGATTCCATGAAACGCAGCATGTCCATATCAACAGCCTGGTCTCTCTAACTGAATGATTAAGGGATGGTGAGAGGCTTTTTTCTAAGTTTCCAGAATTAAGAAGGAAAAGTTAAAAAATTCCCTTACTTCTTAGCCACGCCAACTCAAGGAGACAGGCAGTCACCACACCCCCCACTCCCCACTCCCACTCTGTAACCGCTCAATTAACTTTAATGGGGGTCTGAGCATCATTGTCAAGCTACCTGACCAGGCCAGCTCAGGCAAACCCACCAGCAGCCTGATCTCTGATAATCTCAAGCTGCCTTCTTGTCTCCACAAGGCCCATGCCCAGGCCAGGTTTGTTTTTGCCAAACCGAGGCAGACAGGAGAAAATAAATAATAAAATCTCCCACTTGCCAAAGCACAGCCCTTTCCAAAGCATGTGGTCACCAAGAGGCCCTGATTCCTGCCAGGTCCCAGGAATACTCTCTGCAAGGTACAGTGTTCTTTTAGAAGCACTCACATAGGATTTGCCTGGCAAGAGGGCTATCATTTCAACCACTTCAGCTTCAGGGTCAATAAGCTGTGTCCTCACCAGTCTCTATAAGGGACATATCTTGAATTCATATGCACATTCTTTTTTTTGAGACAGGGTCTCACTCTGTCACCCAAGCTGGAATACGGTGGTGCAATCGTGGCTCACCGCAGCCTCAACCTCCCAGGCCCAGGTGATCATCCCACCTCTGCCTCCTGAGTAGCTGTGACCATGGCCATGCACCATCATACCGGGCTAATTTTTTTTTTTTTTTAATTTTGTGTAGAGACTGGGTCTCGCTATGTTGCCCAGGCTGGTTTCAAACTCCTGGGCTCAAGCCATTCTCCAGCCTTGGCCTCCCAAAGTGCTGGGATTATAGGCATGAGTCACCACGCCCAGCTCACATGAACATTTTAAACTGCATCACACGATTGCTGGAGATCTGATAGTATCTTGAGAATGGACCTTGAAAACCAACAAGCAGGCTACACCATTGCTGATAGTCACCCAGGAGAAAACACAATCACGATGGACATATTGCAGCATTACCCTAACATGGCTTGTATATAACTCCTGGCAGCAGGTGGATTGCGTCCATGCCAGGGTTTCTCAACTGCAGTACTACTGACATTTGGGACCAGAGGATTTTTCATTATGGAGCCCATCCTGTATTGTAGGATATTTAGCACACCCCCTGGCCTCTACCCACTAGACTCTAGGCGTGCGCTCCCTGCCCCATCGTGACAGCCAAAAATGTTTCCAGACATTGCCAAATGTCCCCTGGAGACAAAATCATCCAGAGTTAAGAACCACTGATAATAGGCGATTTAAAGAATATCTTTTTTTCTTAGTAGTGCTATATTTACTTTAATAGCTATTAAAGTAAGCACATAAATATAACCAACCTGTGACTTCAAAGACATTCTAAAGTGATATGAAACTTCCTTTTGCGATAACTTTGTTAAGGCTTAAAAAGTGAATTGATTGAAAGAAAAACATTAGCTGAGTGTGATGGCTCATGCCTGTCATCCCAGCACTTTGGGAGGCTGAGGTGGGCAGACGACTTGAACTCACAAGTTCAAGAGCAGCCTGGGCAACATGGTGAGACCCCATCTCTACAAATATAAAAATTAGCCAGGTATGGTGGTGCATGTGGTAGTCCCAGCTACTCTGGAGGCTAAGGTGGGAGGATAGCTTCAGCCTAGGAGGTAGAGGTTGCAGCGAGCTGAGATTGTGCCACCACACTCTAGCCTCGGCAACAGAGCCAGCCAGACCTTGCCTCAAAAAAAAAAAAAAAAAAAAAAAAAGTTAAAAAATAAGTACATGTTGGACAATATTGGCTGGCTTACTCAAAAGTTTCTCCCTTGCTGTTTCCTCCTAGAGAAGCATAAAACCAAATGCTCATTTTTCCTGCCTCCCTTGCAGCTAGAGGTGGTCATGTAATCCAGTTTCAGCCAAGGAGACATGACCAGAAGTCTGCAATGTGGACAGAAGAGCCTTTGAAGAAGGCTTGGACTTTCCTGAATAGAAAGGAACCCATGAGGCTGGTGCAATCCCTCCCTCTTCCTACCTTGAACCCAGATATATTGCCTAGGGCTGTAGCAGCCATTTAGGGGCCTTGAGGAAAAGACAAGAAAACAGCAGAGATGTCAGTCCTAACAACCCTGCATCACTAATCCAATGCCAGCAACTCCAAGAGGTACTGGAATTCCTGACATGTAAAAAATAAACAAATGAATACCTTTCTGCTTAGGCTGCTGAAGTAGGGCTGTTTCTTGAAGCCAGATGCAATCCTAACAGATACAAGGTAAGAGATAGATGTCAAAATCCTGAAGACTAGACTCAAATGACTGAGGGGCAAAACAGCTGGGGAAAGGGCAGGCTTTGAGTCAACCTGCTGGGTTTGAATACCGTGTCCACTCCTTGCTAGTGACATGATCCTGCGCATGTTTAACTGTGTCACAGATTCCCCATTTAAAATAAAAAGTCATTACAGCAACCACCCAGCATGACTGTGGGCCTGAAACAAGTTATGTGCAGAGAGGGCTGGGCATACCACACAACACAGAGTGACCTCAACGCATGTTATTTTATTTATAAAATCAACTCCTGGAGGTTCCGTCTCTCAGCTTTGGAGCCCCCCACCCTCTGTCTCTGTACAGGGGACCTTCTTCCTTCTCCCTTCCTTCTTGCCTATTAAACTCTCCACTCCTTAAAACCACTCCACGTGTGTCTGTGTCATTTTATCTAAACCGGCATGAGGACCAAGAACCCTGGTGTTCCCCCACTCATCGGAGCCGTATCATTTTGGTGTGTTGGCCAGGAAAGGAAATTATTTCATCAGACTGAAGCAATCAAACTCAAAATGGTGCTGTAACCTGAAGCACACATGGACACGCCATTCTTCCGAGGACCCTTAGATCCACCCCAGGAGGAGCCCTAGCTGCTGTTCCCCATTCAACGCCCCTTTTCACCAGGAAGTAGCCAGAAGAAGTCGTCGCCCAAAACCCCCTAACAGCAGTTAATGTGGCATCTCCACAGGGGGTAATGTAGGAGTTAAGCAATTATTTTAGGCAAATAGAGAGGAAAAGGGGTCCTTGGGAAATGTTTGGTTTTTAAAGCAACTCCGGAAAAGTTTCTTGTAAAGCCCCGGCTCTTAGAGCCAGGCCAGCAACCTTTGATATGCAAATGCAAGCCATTAGAAACTGGGTCCACCCAAACATGGCGATTCCCACAGCCTTCTTGCCCTTTCCCCACATGTTCCTAGCAACATGGCCGCCACCACACCTCCCCAAGTGTGCAGATCATGGTACCCTGCATTTGCATATTAAAAGGCTAGGTGGGAGGGCCAGCTTTTTCATGCGCTACGTGAAAGACATGCCTAGTCAAACCAATCCCCTGAGGCCTATGCAAATCAGACACTGCCTCTTCCAGCCTCTGTACATATACCTAGCTGCTATCTGTGGCAGCTGGGGTTCCCTCTCTCAGCTTTGGAGCCCTCCTCCGTCTCTATACAGGGGATCTTATTCTCCCTTCTTTCTTGCCCCTTCTTGCCTATTAAACTCTCTGCTCCTTTAAATAAACAAACAAACTCTTACCAAAGTCACACAAGCAAGATGGGGATAAGGCAGACTAGAAGTGATTAGTCATTGGTTCTTTCCAACACTTGAGAAGGAGTTGTCTTTAGGGACTGAGTTGAAGGCCAGGTATAATGGCTCACACCTGTAATCCCAACACTTTCGGAGGCCGAGGCAAGAAGATGGCTTGAGCTCAGGGGTTTGAAACCAACCTGGACAACACAGGGAGACCTCATCTGTACAAATTAAAATATATATATAATTTTAAAGAAATAATTGTGTTGTAAATATCCCTGTCTTAGAGCTAATGCCTAAGCAAGGAGGGGGGAAAGAAAGCTGCCAAGGCTTCCCACAGGATCCAAGTCCTACAGGCCCAATTCTCAGCCTCCTTCTGGTTCTTTTTCTCTTCCCTACTCTTTGACTCCAGCCACAGTGGCCTTCCTCATTAAGCCAGTGCTTCTGCACATGCATTTCCCACTGCCCAGAACATTCTTACCTTCTGCTTTTGCCTATACAGCAGAAACTGCTAGCTGCGCTCCAGTATCAACTCTCCCTCATCCCTGAGTAACATCTTCAGCTGGGTACATCCTGCTTAGAAAGGAAACTACATTTCCCAGCCTCCTTTGCAGCTAGAGGCACCACATGACTAGGTACAAGCCAATGGGATGTGACGAGGAGAGACGTAGGCAACCTCCAGGTTGTGCCCTTACTCTGCTTTCCTACTGGCTGCCATGTGGACATGGAGATGCATCATCTTGATCCATGCAGATGAGGACAGCAGAGCAACAAGATGGGAGGGGCCTGGGACCCTGATTATTTTGGGGACAGAGCTGCCACACCAGCTGGGATTTTTACATGAGAGAGAAATGAGCTTGTATCTTAACCCACTATATTTGGGGTCTTTGACACACATAGCCAAACCTGTATCATCAAACGGGTTCCCCACTTAAGGAGTCTCCTTTTTTCTCTCCAACCAGATGAAACCCCGCTATTGCACTCACCGGGCACCACGCAGCTCCCCTTCATAGCACTTCCTGATGATTATTCATTTATTTGGCCATTTCCCCAACAAGACTGGGGCTCAAGGAAGGCAGGGAACCATGCTCTGTATACCGCTCGATTCCCAGCATGGAGCCCAGGTAAGGGCTATGCAGGACCCTCAGAGACTGTCACCTGAATGGGACCAGTCAGGCCATGGGACCCATTCATGGGCACTGACCCTCGGAGATTCTACCTCCTGCAAAGAGCTCCTGAGAGGGTCTAAGATACCCACTCACCCAAGTCTTGCCTCGAATTTCCCCAGGACCTACCTGTACACAGAGGTTTAAAAAAAAAAAAGACTATGGGCTGGGAGCAGTGGCTCAAGCCTGTAATCTCAGCACTTTGGGAGGCAGAGGCAGGGGGGATCACCTGAGGTCAGGAGTTTGAGACCAGCCTGGCCAACATGGCAAAACCCGTCTCTACTAAAAATACAAAAAGTAGCCGGGCGTGGTGGCACATGCCTGTAATCCCAGCTACTCGGGGGGCTGAGGCAGGAGAATCACTCGAACCCTGGCAAAGGAGGTTGCAGTGAGCCGAGATCACGCTACTGCACTCCAGTCTGGGCAACAAGACAGAAACTCTCTTAAAAAGAAAAAAAAAAAAAAAAAAGACTGACCAGCTGCCTAAAGAGGAAACAATTATCAGCAATTACTCAGATCCATGTTACATTTCATCTGCAATTAAATATCAATTAACAAAAATGCATCATAATCAAGATGCACCAGCCCACGCAAACAAAAAAATAAAGACTATATGTTTTGTTTTGTTTTTCTGAGACAGAGTCTTGCTCTGTTGCCCAGGCTGGAGTGCAGTGCCATCATCTTGGCTCTCTACAACCTCCTCCTCCCAGGTTCAAGTGATCCTTATGCCTCCCCCTTCCCAGTAGCTGGGATTATAGGCAAGCGCCACCACAGTTAATTTTTGTATTTTTAGTAGAGATGGAGTTTCACCATGTTGGACAGCCTGGCCTTGAACTACTGACCTCAAGTGATCTGCCCACCTCGGCCTCTCAACGTACTGAGATTACAGGTGTGAGCCACCACACCTGGCTGACTGTTTTCAATACAAAAAAAAAAAAGAAAAAATATTAGCTGGGCATGGTGGTGGGCACCTGTGGTCCCAGCTACTCCAGAGGCTAAGGTGGGAGGATTGCTTGAGCCTGAGAGGTCATGGCTGCAGTGGGCCATGATCGTGCCCCTGCACTCCACCCTGAGCAACAGAGGAGATCCTGTCTCAAAATACACATATATATGTTTTTGTAGAATCCCGTTCTTGTTCTTAAAAAATACCATGTATTTATGGCTGGGCACGGTGGCTTAGACCTGTAATCCCAGCACTTTGGGAGGCTGCGGCAGGTGGATCACTTGAGGTCATGAGTTTGAGACCAGCCTGGCCAAAATGGTAAAACCCCATCTCTACTAAAAATACAAAAATTAGCTAGACATAGTGGTGCATGCCTGCAGTCCTAGCTACTCGGCAGGTGAAGGCTGCAGTGAGCAGAGATCACGCCACCTGCACTCCAGCCTGGGTAATAGAGCAAGACTCTGTCTCAAAAAAAAAAATTACTATATCTTTAGGATCTGTGGAGAAGAGAGGCTGAAAATTAAAAACATCAACCTGCCAATAAGATTGTCTCTAGAAGAGGCTGGCCATGGTGGCTCACCCCGGTAATCCCAGGACTTTGGGAGGCCGAGGTAGGCGGATCACCTGAGGTCAGGAATTCGAGACCAGCCTGGCTAACACAGCAAACCCTGTCTCTACTAAAAATACAAAAATTAGCCGGGCATGGTGGTGCATGGTACACACCTATAACCCCAGCTACTCGGGAGGCTGAGGCAGGAGAATCACTTGAACTTGGGAGGTGGAGGTTGCCGTGAGCCGAGATCACTGTACTCCAGACTGGGCAATGGAGCAAGACTCCGTCTCAAAAAAATAATAAAAGAAAATTATCTCTAGAAGGGATTTTCATGTTTCACTCATTTCTGCACTGTTTTCATTCTATACTGTACCCCTTATAACATCAGACAAGACAAAGAGTAGGAGAAAAGACGTCCCTTTAAGTAATTCAATCTCTACCATGTTTATAGTAACAGAAAACCTGGAACTTCCAAAATATGTATATGTCAGCAGTTCTCAGAGTTGTGATAGTCTGGCTTCACACAAATGCTATGATTTAGGTAGTTAAACAAGTTTTTTTTTTGTTGTTTTTTTTTTTTTTGGAGACAGTGCCATGCTGTTGTCCAGGCTGGAGTGCAGTGGTGCAATCATAGCTCACTGCAGCTCAACCTCCCAGGACCAAGCAAACCTCCCGCCTCAGCCTCCTGAGTAGCTGGGACTACAGGCATGTCCCATCATGCCCAGCTAATAATAATAATAATAATTATTATTATTATTATTTTGTAGAGATGGGGTCTTTCTGTTGCCCAGGCTGGTCTCAAACTCCTGGGCTCAAGTGATCCTCCCACTTCAGCATCACTAAGTGCTGGGATCAGACGACAGCAACAGTGCCCAGTCCAAGTTTTCTTAAACCTAAACTACAAATAAAACTGCAGAATGAATCTCCCCACATATCAGTCCAATTTCAGAGCTGAAACCTGATACCCATCTTGTCCAAGAGACTCACCCAGACCTGGCCACCCTACAGACAGATGCTCTATAACAACAGGGTGAATTAACCTGAATCGTCTATACTGATTTTCAAACCTAGGCTCCTGAACTTGGCCTCTTCACCCAGCATACACCTCCCTGGCTTTCTCTGGAGCTACAACATCTCTTCACCCCAGCCTCCTCCACCCCATCCCCATGGCCCTTTGGAGAATATAGAGGGTGTGACTCAGAGGTGAGCCTTTTCTCCAAACACTCCCCTACCAAGTATGCAGAGAACTGGACATAGGCCAGCTTTGTCCCAAGTACCAAGCGTCAAACGGCTCACTCCACGGATCTCAGGGGGCAGGGGACCAAAGTTAAAGATGAAAGAGCCCTATTAAACCACTGCAGGCCAGGCACAGTGGTGCCCACCTGTAATCCCAGCACTTTGGAAGGCTGAGGCAGGAGAACTGCTTGAGGCCAGAAGTTTAAGGCTGCAGTGAGCTATGTTCATGCCACTGCACTCCAGCCTGGGTGACAGGGCAAGACCTCATCTCTAAAAAAAATTAAAAATTAGCTGGGCATGTTGACAAGCATCTATAATCCAAGACACTCGGGAGGGTAAGGCAGGAAGATCGCTTGAGGCCAGGAGTTCAAGGCTGCAGTGAGCCATGATCATACCACTGCACTCCAGCCTGGGCAACAGAGTGAGTCTCTGTCTCTAAAAAAAAAAAAAAAAGAGAGAGAGAAAAGCAAACTACAATTGCAGCACTCAGAGAGATCCTGATCTAACATGCGATCCTGGGTTAGTAAATTAGTGAAGCCTTATCAAAGGGCTCGCAGATAAGCCAACCTAATTATAACTACTGGGTTACCCTTCCCAGTGCCAGACAGCTCCAATTTTCTTCCTGGCCACGGGTCTCCAGCCTTACAAGGCTGATGGAGGAACCCTAGAAAAGCCTGACTTTTTTTTTTTTTTTTAAGATAAAGTCTCTCTGTCACCCAGGCTGGAGTGCAGTGGCACAATCTCAGTTCACTGCAACCTCCGCCTCCTGGGTTCAAGCAATTCTCCCGCCTCAGCCTCCCGAGTAACTGAGATTACAGGTGCCTGCCACCACGCCAGCTAATTTTTGTATTTTTAGTAGAGATGGGGTTTCACCATGTTGGTCATGCTGGTCTCCAACTCCTGACCTCGTGATCCGCCCACCTCGGCCTCCCAAAGTGCTAGGATTACAGTCGTGAGCCACCGCGCCCTGCTGTGCCTGACATTAACATGCACCATCGTCCACTCTGAATAATAACCACAGCAGTAAGTAACCTTAGACCCTGCTAGAACGGTGAGCTGGGCCAGCTCACTTTTAGAAAATAAGACAATGGCTAGAGTGAAGCCTTTTCAGATGTTATTCATTCCACTCCTGAGAACATCATCTAAGGAAATAAGCCAATACGCACTCTACCCATGTGGTATTCAGGACAGTGTTTTCTTTAAAAGAAAAATAAAAATGACTGGGTATGGTGGCTCTCGCCTGTAATCCCAGCACGTTGGGAGGCAGATCACCTGAGGTCAGGAGTTCGAGACCAGCCTGGCCAACATGGTGAAACCCCATCTCTACTGAAAATACAAAAATTAATCAGGCATCATGGTACACATGTGTAATCCCAGCTACTCCAGCGGCTGAGGCAGGAGAATCACCTGAACCCAGGAGGCAGAGGTCACAGGGAGCCAAGATTGCGCAATGCACTCCAGCCTGGGTGATGGTATAAGATGCTGTCTCAAAAAAGTTAAAAAGGGAGAAAGGGGCTGGGCACAGTGGCTCATGCCTGTAATCCCAGCACTTTGGGAGGCCGAAGTGGGCAGATCACAAGGTCAGGAGATCAAGACCATCCTGGCTAACACGGTGAAACTCCGTCTCTACTAAAAACACAAAAAAATTAGCCAGGCGTGGTGGCAGGTGCCTGTAGTCCCAGCTACTTGGGAGGCTGAGGCAGGAGAATGGCGTGAACCTGGGAGGCGGAGCTTGCAGTGAGCCAAGGTCGCACCACTGCACTTCAGCCTGGGCGACAGAACAAGACTCCGTCTCAAAAATAATAATAAAAAAAAAAAAGGAGAAAGAAAACACAGCAACCCAAATGTCAAACCACAGATAATAATTATGTGATTATAGCCCACCAACACAGGGAACTATCGATTGGACATTTATAGGTTTAATTAAAAAGGTTACGTGGGTACATGGGAAAATACTTATTACAGTAAATAAAAACATAGGAGACAGTATGCAAGCTACAAATGCAACCTTGCAAAACTACATACTAGTAAGAACAAGACTCAAATGTTAATATGCCAATAGGAAAACAATAGCCTGTAACAAAATATTTATACAATACAGGTGATGGACAAAGAGGAAAGGTCCCACAATAACAAGAGCCCTTACAAACTAACAGGAAAAAGACAAACTAGTCCAGGCATACCCAAAAAGGACTCAGAAAGACACACTGAAAATACACAAATTGCTGGAAAATATGTTGCAGGATACATAGCTTCTAATTGTAATTGAAATGCAGATGAAAATATATTTTAGCTATCAAATTAACAAACTTTGATCCCAGCACTTTGGGAGGCCAAAGCCGGAGGATCGATTCAGTCCAGGGGTTCAAAACCAGCCTGGGTAACATAGGGAGATCCTGTCTCTACAAAAAATAAATTTAAAAATTAAAAAAAAAAAACTGGCAGAGTAATGATTACAACATAATCCATTTTGATTTAAATGTTATTTAAATTTATAAATATTTATAAAATTTCAAAGAAAAAATACAAGAATACATTGGTTATTGGTTAGCCCAAGAGATTACTGATATGGTCTGGCTCTGTGTCCCCACCTAAATCCCATCTTGAATTGTAATCTGAATTGGAATCCCCACATATTAGGGAAGGGACATCATGGGAGGTGATTAGATCATGGGGACGGTTCCCCCATGCTGTTCTCCTGATCCTTGCTATGCTTTAGCAAA
This sequence comes from Homo sapiens, assembly GCF_000001405.40. Taxonomy (NCBI): domain Eukaryota; kingdom Metazoa; phylum Chordata; class Mammalia; order Primates; family Hominidae; genus Homo; species Homo sapiens. The sequence continues at coordinate 1,622,359 of NT_187607.1, read as the reverse complement.
GAGACTGGCAGCATTTTGACCCTGCCCTAGAGATCTGTGGAACTTTGAACTTGAGAGAGAAGATTTAGGGCATCTAGGGGAAGAAATTACTAAGCAGCAAAGCATTCAAGAGGAAGCAGAGCATAAAAGGGTGGAAATTGGCCGGGCGCAGTGGCTCACGCCTGTAATCCCAGCACTTTGGGAGGCCAAGGTGGGCAGATCACTTGAGGTCAGGAATTCGAGACCAGTCTAGCCAGCATGGTGAAATCCTGTCTCTACAAAAATACAAACATTAGCCAGGCATGATGGCGGGTGCCTGTAATCCCAGCTACTCGGGATGCTGAGGCAGGAGAATTGCTTGAACCCAGGAGGCAGAGGTTGCAATGAGCCGAGATCATGCCATTGCACTCTAGCCTGGGCAACAGAGAGAGACTCCATCTCAAAAAAAAAAAAAGTGTGGAAATTTGCAGTCTGACAATGTAAAAAGAAAAACCCATTTTCTGAAGAGAAATTCAAGCCGGCTGCAGAAACTTGCAAAAGTAACAAGGAGCCCAATTCCAAGACAATGGGGAAAATGTCTCCAGGGCATATCACAAACCTTCACAGCAGCCCCTCCCATCACAGGCCTAGGAGGGAAAAACGGTTTCCTGGGCTGGGTCCAGGGCCCCCCTGATGTGTGCAGCCTTAGGACTTGGTGCCCAGCCACTCCAGTCATGGCTAAGAGGAGCCAAGGTACACAGCTCAGGCTGTGCCTTCAGAGGGTGCAAGCCCCAAGCCTCGGCAGCTTCCATGTGGTATTGAGCCTGTGGGTACATAGAACTAAAGAACTGAGGTTTGGAAACCTCCACCTAGATTTCAGAGGATGTATGCAAATGCCTGGATGTCCAGCCAGAAGTTTGCTGCAGGGGTGGAGCCTTTATGGAGAACCTCTACCAATGCAGTAAAGAAGGGAAATATGGGGTCAGAGCCCCCACACAGAGTCCCCACTGGGGTACTGCCTAATGGAGCTGTGAGAAAAGGGCCACCATCCAGAACCCAGAATGGTAGATCCACCTGCAGCTACATCGTGTGCCTGGAAAAGACGGAGACACTCAACGCCAACCTGTGAAAGCAGCCAGGAGCGGGGCTATACCCTGCAAAGCCACAGGGGCAGAGCTGCCCAAGGCCGTGGAAGCCCACCTCTTGCAACAGTGTGACCTGGATGTGAGACACGGAGTCAAAGGAGATAACTATGGAACTTGAAAGTTTTATGACTGGCCTATTGGATTTCAGACTTGCATGGGGCCTGCAGCCCCTTTGTTTTGGCCAATTTCTCCCATTTCAAACGGGTGTATTTATCCAATGCCTGTACCCCCATTGTATCTAGGAACTAACTAACTTCTTTTGATTTTACAGGCTGATAGGTGAAAGAGACTAGATTTTGTCTCAGATGAGATTTTGGACATAGACTTTTGAGTTAATGCTGAAATGAGTTAAGACTTTGGGGAACTGTTGGGAAGGCATAATTGTGTTTTGAAATATGAGAAAGATGAGATTTGGGAGGGGCCAGGGGCAGAATGATATGGCACGGCTCTGTGTCCCCGCACAAATCTCATCTTGAATTGTAATCTTAATTGTAATCCCCACGTGTTGGTGGAGGGACCTCACTGGAGGTGATTAGATCATGGGAGCGGTTCCCCCATGCTGTTCTCCTGATAGTGAGTCCTCAGAAGATCTGATGGTTTTATACCGGCTTTTCTCCTCTTTACTCTGCACTTCTGTCTCCTGCCACCATGTGAAGAAGGACATGTTTGCTTTCCTTTCCACCATCATTTTAAGTTTCCTGAGGCCTCCCCAGCCATGCAGAACTGTGAGTCAATTAAACCTCTTTCCTTTATAAACTACGCAGTCTCAGGTATTTTTTCATAGCAGCATGAACAAACTAATATCAGTACCATGTTCAGGCTTTATTTAAATATCTTTGTATTGTTTGTTCTGTCATATGGAACACATGTCACTTGTGATCAGAAAACTCTGCAATTAAATTAGTTTAGGTGTAAAAATCAGAGTGACATTAGCATGGTGAGACTATCAGTAATGTTTTTACACATTGTTAAATTATTGATTTAAAAGCAATTTTTAAAATAAGTCCAAAGATGTTTAAAATTTAAACACATCTTTTAAAAAACTGAACAAAACCAAAGCACACTTCTGCTTTGATCTCCTGACCTCTGGAAAGTAAGGTTTAACTTAACTGGGCAAAGCCCTCTCACACACAGCCAAGCAACATGGGCCTGATCACTTCCCAGCTTGCTCAATTTTTCTGATATGGCAGGAAAACAACAGGTGCTTAATAAGTGCTGGTGGGCCCATTAGTGGGAGTATAAACTGCTGCAGTAACCTGACAATTAACTATCAAATTTCAAAATGCACATACTGTCAACCTAGCAATTTCCTGTGGGAAAATTTATTCTGCTGAATCATTTACATATATTTGCATACATGTGCCTTCAGTGCAGCACTGCTTATCACAGCAAGAAACCAGGAACTGGGAATGACCTTGATAGACACCAAGAGGGGAATGGGTGAATACATGGCTCAGCCATTTAACAGGCAAATGCGTGGCTTGTTTAAAAAAAAAAAAAAAAAAAAGTTGATTTGATTGGCTTTTACTTTCAATTTGCATGGGCTTAAAATGGCAAGAAAATCAACACTGGTTAAGTGAAGAGAACAAGAGACAAAACAGTATTTAAAATACCCAACTAGGGAGGGAAAAAATGAATATGTAAACATATACACACAAACGAACACGTTCTTGCACATACATTTGCATATACTTGAAACTTTTCTCGAAAAACACCCAAGAAACTATCATCAACAACCATCATCAATAACGGCTACTTCTGGGAACAAAGGGCAGGGTGGGAACATACTAAAACTTTTATTTTTCCCTTTATATTCTTCTAGAATATTCACCTTAAAGTATTAGCATCATCAACAAAGTTGCAGTACAAGATCTTCCTCCTGCAATCAGCCAGATCAATTCAACAACATCTTGTTTTAAAACAAGAGTTTTCTAGCAACCTATAGAAAGTCCTCTTAACCACAGGAAAAAAGTACCTCATCATCTTACGAACAAGCCTTTGGCGGAGAATCAAAGGCAACTGGGGAGTGGGGAAACCCAAGTTGGTCTTGATCACAAACGTTTCAGTTAAGGTTCTGAGAAAGAGAAGAGACTCATAAAACAAAATAAACTGAATTTTTAAGACCTGAGATTCAGCAGGGCGTAGTGCCTCATGCCTGTAATCCCAGCACATGGAAGGGCCAAGGTGGGTGGATTGCTTGAGCCCAGGAGTTCGAGACCAGCCTGAGCAGCATAGCAAGACCCCCATCTATTTTAAAAAAAAAAAAAAAAAAAAAAAACCTGCGTTTCATTCAAACATAAACAGATCAGAAGGTTCTTGCTTCTGCCAGGGACCATGCATTGTTCTACTTCCTTGCTGAGCTGGTAAGCGCCTTCCCTGGAAATTCCAGGACCACAAGCCATTGTGTTAGTGCTTTATGCATTTTGCCGAATGCTCCAGGCTAGATTTTTATGAGATGGGCTCTGCAGTTCCTTTGAGTTAAACTCCTCAATACTTTAACCACACCATGATCTTCCTCAAGGCCTATGCACATTCTCTTCCCACTCTGGGACTCCCTTCCCCCACATCCTTGCATGGCCAGCTTTGCCACTGAGCTCTGGGGTCAAACCTCACCGCCTCCGAAAGGCCTTCTGTGGACATCCCTCCGTAGTAGTTTGCACCTCACCCAGTTTTTCCCGGTTCAAGTCTTTGCAGCACTTGCCAGCATCTGAAATCATTTCCGTCACCCTCAGTGTAAACCCCATGAGAACATGGGCCTGGTCTGTCCTGTTCACTGTTGTATCCTCAGTGCCTAGAGCAGCAGCAGCACATAGTAGCTGCTCAATTAATAATGACTGAATAAATGAATGAATGAAAAGCAGTGTGGGAAGAACAATACAATGAACCCAGGGGTATCAAAGACCACACGAGGCTGGGCGTGGTGGCTCACACCTGTAATCCCAGCACTCTGGGAGACTGCTTGAGCTCAAGAGTTCAAGACCAAACTGGGCAACATAGTGAAACCCCATCTCTACAAAAAAAAATACAAAAATTAGCCGGGTGTGCTGGTGCATGCCTGTAGTCCCAGCTACTTGGGAGGGTGAGTTGGGAGGGTCACTTGGCCTGGGAGGTCGAGACTGCAGTGCAGTGGTACAATCAGCTAGGGCGACAGAACAAGACTCCATCCATCAATCAGTCAAACACCACACAAATTTCTTGTACTGGGAAGACTTAGACATCACACATATTCTCCAAACAAGTATTACCTAGGAGGCCAGTAAAAGGTACACTGAGGTTCCTCAGAGAGAAAACTCACAGAGAGGAAGATAAAAGCTCCATAAAAATCTCAATTACTACTTGAGGGTTACAGGATGCTAGCCTAGAGCCTCCCTCCCTAGACAGGTTTCTCAGAGAGAAAACTCACAGAGAGGAAGAGAAAACCTCCATAAAAATCTCAATTCCTGAGGGTTACAGGATGCTAGCCTAGGGGCACCCTCCCTGGTCATTAACACCCACTTTCCAGAACCTGGCAACCTCCCCAGGAGATGAATCCCACAGTTAAACTAAGGGGACACTTAAGTGGAATCTCAACTTTGTAATCGTCCACTTCTCCTGGGGCACTTTAAAATGAAGGAGTAGAGCTTCAAAGCTGATCTCTCAAGAAAGCCATTTTCGGCTGGGCATGGTGGCTCACGCCTGTAATCCCAGCACTTTGGGAGGCCGAGGCAGGAGGATCGCTTGAGCCCAGGAGTTTGAGACAAGCCTGGGCAACATGGTGAGACCCTGACTCTACAAAAAATACAAAAATTAGCCGGGTATGGTGGTGTGCACCTCTGGTCCCAGCTACCTGGGAGGCTAAGGTGGGAAGATAGCTTCAGCCCAGGAGGTCGAGGCTGCAGTGAGCTATGATTGTGCCACTGCACTCCAGCCTGGGTGACAGAGGGAGACCCTGTCTCAAAAGAAAAAAGAAAGAAAAAGAAAAAGAAAGCCATTTTTGTTTTCCCAGGGGAGAATGAACTGTCACAACTCCAACTGGGAAAATGGAAAAAGGTAAAAAGACACAGCCCTCAGTAAAAAAGAAACTGCCGCAAGTTTCTTCTCTAGCTAATTGGAGTTTAACCTCCTTAACGTCTCATTAAGCTTCTCCAAGGCAACCCCAGTAAGCCAATTACACTAGAATTTCCACAGCCCACAACCTCCTAGGGAAATGCAGGATGAGGAGGAAGGTCTTGCTCCATGTTTCTCCCCCATATTCCTCCACACCAGTGGCTGTGTGATTTCACACCCCAGGGAACATATGGAAACATCTAGAGGCATTTTCGGTTGTCACAACAAGAGGAGGTGCTACCAGCATCTACTAGGGGGTAGAGGCCAGGTTTGGGGCTAAGACTACGCTGCACAGAACAGCAACCAGGCCACAAAGAATGATGTGGCCTACATGTCAACGGGGCCGACACTGAGCAACTGTGCTCCATGTCCCCACCCGCAAAATACAGCTTCCTCAAAGGCCCCGTTCAACCATTCAGCCTCTAAGAGGTAAGTGCAGGTCCCCAGCACCACTCCACCCACAGGGATGCTGCCCTATCCCAGTTTTCTTGCTAAGCGGGGGGAAGCTTGCCTCAGGATGTCTGGCCATTAATTAATTTTGGCAAAATGTTTGGGCAAGTTTTCACGAGCTAGAGTTGTACTGACCACACTAAGAGCTGATCATCAAAGCTAGGCCTTACTTCGCCATGAAAATCTGAAGCCAACATACCAATCAGATGCTAACTTCAAGGTTGGCCTGCAAAGCAGGAGATGCCAACTCAGATACCAACAGGTGCCAAAGTGGGTTCCATCCATGCAAGAAGCAGACCAGGTGTGAGGAAGCACAATTTTAAAAAGGCAACAGGCCAGGCACGGTGGCTCATGCCTGTAATCCCAGCACTTTGGGAGGCTGAGGAACTCAAGTGATCCACTTGAGTTCAGGAATTCAAGACCAGCCTGGCCAATATGGAGAAACCCCATCTCTACTAAAAATACAAAAATAAGCCGAGTGTGGTGGTGCGGGCCTGTAATCCCAGCTACTCGGGAAGCTGAGGCAGCAGAATCACTGGAACCCGGGAGGCAGAGGTTGCAGTGAGCCGAGATTCCACTACTGCACTCCAGCCTGGGTGACAGAGCGAGACTTCGTCTCAAAAAAATAATATAAAATAAAACAAAGGCAACAAACATTTGGCCTTAAAATTAAAGCAACAACAGGGAGGGGTGGGGACTGCGGCAAACTGGAGCAACTCAGAAACGGACAGCCTCAGCGGACCGCTACCATGTATAAATGTGGGCCTGGGGCTAGCAGAACTTCTGATTTTTCAAGGGAAGCCAGAAATCCAGATGTTTCTGTGAAATCTGCCAATGAATAAACATTGTAGGGCGGGCCACAGTGGCTCATGCCTGTAATCCCAGCACTTTAGGAGGCCGAGGCGGGCGGATCACGAGGTCAAGAGATCGAGGCCATGCTGGCCAACATACTGGAAACCCCGTTTCTATCAAAAACACAAAAATTAGCTGGATGTGGTGGCGTGCCCCTGTAGTCCCAGCTACTGGGGAGGCTGAGGCAGAATTGCTTGAACCCAGGAGGCAGAGGTTGCAGTGAGCCAAGATCGTGCCACTGCACTCCAGCCTGGCAACAGAGCAAGACTCCGTCTCAAATAAATAAATAAATAAAATTGGAAATCACAGTCATTCCTATAATTAAAATCAAGCCAAACCAGCACAGTGGTGAGCTATATCTAACCCCTAGCTTGGAACTCATACCTCAAACACTCAAATTCTAATGTTGATTGAGCCCCCACTGTGTGTGAGACACTGAGTCCTGGGAAAAGAGGGGTGGACAAAACCCTGTTCTGACCTTTCCAAGATGAAATAGAAGCTGTTCTGCCAAGCACGGTGGCTCACACCTATAATCCCAGCACTTTGGGAGGCCAAGGCAGGCAGATCGCCTGAGTTCAGGAGTTCACCACCAACCTGAGCAACATGGCAAAACCCTATCTCTACAAAAAAAAAAAAAAAAAAAATTAGCTGGGCATGGTGGTGTGTGCCTGTAGTCCCAGCTACCTGGGGAGCTGAAGTGGGAGAATTGCTTGAGCTCAGGAGGTTGAGGCTGCAGTGAGCTGAGGTCGCGCCACTGCACTCCAGCCTGGGTGACAGAGCAAGACCCTGTCTCAAAAAAATAAAATAAAAAAACAAGCCATCTGATGAGAAAGCTGGAGGACTCAGTTTATCTGAGTGTTCATTCCAGACAGTTAAGTGATTATTTCATCCTTAAAATCCTTACAAAGAAGTTTCGACACCGCCCAAAAGCCACTGTAATACTTCATGTCATTCATTTATTCAACAAACAGCTGACCCTTGAACAACACACATTTAAACTGCACGGGTCCACTTATACTCAGATTATGCTTCTGCCTCTGCCATCCCTGAGATAGCAAGACCAACCCCTCCCCTTCCTCCTCCTCCTTAGCCTCCTCAACGTGAAGACAATGAAGATGAAGACCTTTATGATGATCCACTTCCACTTAATAAATAGTAAAAATCTCTCTTATGAATTAATCTTAACATTTTCTTTTCTCTACCTTGCTTCACTGTAAAAATACAGTATATAATATATATACAAGGTATGAGTTAGGCCAAGTGCAGTGGCTCACGCCTATAATCCCAGCACTTTAGGAGGCCGAGGCAGGTGAATAGCTTGAGGCCAGGAGTTTGAGACCAGCCTCGGCAACACAGCAAGCTCCCCATCTCTATCAAAAAACAACCAACAACAACAGAATTAGTGTTATCAACTGCTTATGTTCTCGGTAAGGCTTCCAGTCAACAGTAAGCTGTTAGTAGTTAAACTTTTAGGGAGTTGAAAGTTAGACCTGAATTTTCTTTCCTTTATTGTGTTTTTTTTTTTTTAGACAGAGTCTTACTCTGTCACCCAAGCTGGAGTGCAATGGCGCGATCTCGGCTCACTGCAGTGTCCGCCTACCAGGTTCAAGCAATGCTCATGCCTCAGCTTCTCAAGTAGCTGGGATTACAGGCACCCGCCACCACACCCAGCTAATTTTTGTAGAGACAGGGTTTTACCATGTTGGCCAGGCTGGTCTCAAACTCCTGACCTCAAGTGATCTGCCTGCCTTGGCCTCCCAAAGTGCTGAGATTACAGGCATGAGCCACCACACCTGGCTAATTTTTGTAGAGATGGGCTTTCACCATGTTGGCCAGACTAGTCTGGAACTCCTGACCTCAGGTAATCCACCTGCCTCGGCCTCCCAAAGTGCTGAGATTACAGGTGTAAGCCACCGCGCTGCATCCTAAATTTTCAACTACATGGGGCATCAGCACTCCTAACCCCTGAATTGTTCCAAGGTCAACTGTTATTTACTAAGCCCCAGGCACAGTTCTAGGTGCTGGGATTACAGCCGTAAACAAACACAGGCCAAAATCCCTGCCCCTATGGAGCCGATCTTTTGGTAGGAGTTTACAGAGTAGGCACAATACTTAAGCAAAATATTACGTGTATTAGAAGGCAGTAAGTGCTACTGGGGGTGTAGATGGGGGACAGAGATTTGCTAGTGGAGGGAAAGAACGGGATGCCTGAGGTGACACCTGAACAAAGTTTGAAGGTGAGGGACATAGTAGGTAGGAGAAACAGCAAGTGCAAAGGCCCTGAGGCAGGGACAGGCCTGGCCACAAGTGTGGCTGGAGGAGAGTGAGACAGAAAGCAGCCAGAGAAGAGGTCAGGGAGGCCAAGGGGACAGATGCTGCCCAGCCTTCGAGGCCACTGTAAGCCCTTTGGCTTGTACCCTCAAGGAACTACTGCAGGGTTTTAGTAGAAGAGGGACAGCTGGGCCAAGACTAGACTGTAGGGGTCAAGGGCAGAGTAGGCACAGCAGCGAACAGGTGGCTGTTTTCTTTTTTTTTGAGACGGAGTCTCACTGTCACCCAGGCTGGAGCGCAGTGGCGAACTCTCGGCTCACTGCAACCTCCAACCCCACTGGGCTCAAGCGATTCTCCTGCCTCAGCCTCCCAAGTAGCTGGGATTACAGACGCCCACCACCAGGCTCGGCTAATTTTTGTATTTTTAGTTGAGACAGGTTTTCACCATTCTGCCCAGACTGGTCTCAAACTCCTGGCCTCAAATGATCCGTCTGCCTTGGCCTCCCGAAGTGCCAGGATTACAGGCATGAGCCACGGCGCCTGGACTGAGGTGACTGTTCAAATCCAGAAACTGGCCAACGATGACTCGAGCCAGAGTGGAAGTCGGGGAAGCCATGAAAAGCAGCCCGTTTGAGGCAACGGGCAACACGATTTGCTGACAGATGTGATAGGAATGGGAGGAGAAAAAGAGAAGTCAAAGCTGGAGACTGACATGGGAAGAGGAAGCTCACGTTCTTTAGGAACATGGTCAGTGGGAGACACCCACATAGAGAGATCAGTTCCTAAAAGTTGTGTCCACAAACAGAAAAGGTTTTCTTCCCCCCCATCTACCACCAGGTCCCAAAGGCGAGGCACCCCCTCCAGGCTATCACAAATGGAACTTGTCCTCAGAGAAAGAGAACACGACCCTTCAGGAGAGTCTTGGCCAAAGGGACCGGCTGCAGCTGCCTTCTGCAGGGCCCCTGTGGCTGCAGTGGCTCCATTTGGCCAAGGAACCCTGAATCCGCTCCTGATTGGCCTGAATCACGAACCCATTTGGACCAGGAACCCCTGAGTCCACTCCTGCCCAGGCCTCTCCCGGGTCACCCTCATCTCCTCCCAAAGCCATTCACCTTGCCACCTTGCACCCTGTCATGTCACCATCCTGGACCTCAGTGTCCACATCCACGAAATGGGGTGGGTGGAGAGGAGGGCCCCCCAAGATCTGACATCCCTTTCCACTCTAACACTCCATAAGGAAGGGAGAGAGGAAGGGTCTGGAAGGAGGGGCAGCCAAAAAGGGGGAAAACAGGCTGAGCGCGGTGGCTCACGCTTGCAATCCCCAACACTTTGGGAGGCTGAGGCAGGTTGACCACTTGAGGTCAGGAGTTCAAGACCAGCCTGGCCAACATGATGAAACCCCGTCTCTATGGGGGTTTTGTAAAGTTTTGTAAAAATACAAAACTTAGCCAGGCATGGTGGCTGTGCGCCTGTAATCCCAGCTACTCGGGAGCCTGAGGCAGGGGAATCATGTGAACGCAGCAGGCAGAGGTTGTAGTGAACCGAGATCACACCACTGCACCCTAGCCTGGGCGACACAGCAAGACACCATCTCAAAAAAAAAAAAAAAAAAGGGTGGGGAGGGGAAAACAGAGGAAGTAGGAGAAGGCTAAGGGATGGATTTGAAAACCAAAGCCACACTTGGAGGAGGGGAAAAATTGGCTCGTCGTACACTGCTGTTGAGCCAAGGGGAAGAATTAAACCAGGGATCAGACTGACTCCAAGGCCCAGACCTAGCCCCAAGAGGAATTCCTAATAGCTTCTAAGATATTCTTCCTTGGCGGCTAAGTCAGATATTCAGGGGGTTACTGAGTTGGTGGATGCCACAGAGCATCTCAGAGGTGCACATCAACCCTGGGACCAGCTCACTCCATCGACGGTGACACACACCTGCGGCTTCCTTCTGGTCTTCTCCAGTGGCAGTTGGTGCAACAGCAAAAATTAACTGGAGAATTCCAGGTGGCAACGACCACTGATCTTTACTGAGCGCTGTGTGCCAAGCAGCAACATTTTAAGTCCTTGCTAAGGATTAACTCACTTATTCCTCAAGTCACCGCTATTCACTAGGTACTACGTTATCCCACATAGGGAAACTGAGGCACGGAGAGATGACGTAACCTGCCTCAGCAGCAGAGGCGAATTTGCTCTGAGCCACCACACTATACTGCTTAATACCAAGTTGTTTCCTCTGCTTTTCCATAATTTCCAATTTTTCTACACAGGGCCTGAAGCACAATTTTTTTTTTCTTTTGAGACAGTCTCTCTGTCGCCCAGGTTGGAGTGCAGTGATGTGATCTCAGCTCACTGCAACCTCTTCCCAGGTTCAAGCAATTCTCCTGCCTCAGCCTCCCAAGTAGCTGGAATTACAGGCGTGAATCACCAGGCCCAGCTAATTTTTGTATTTTTAGTAGGGATGGGGTTTTGCCATGTTGGTCAGGCTGGTCTTGAACCCCTGACCTCAGGTGATCCACCTGCCTTGGCCTCCCAAAGTGCTGGGATTACAGGCATGATCTACTACACCCGGCCCTCTTTTTTTTGAGACAGGGTCTCAGTCTGTGGCCCAGACTGGAGTGCAGTGACCGTGATCTCAGCTCATTGCAACCTCCACCCCCACAGCCTTCAAGTGATTCTAGTGCCTCAGCCTCCCTAGTAGCCGGGACCACAGGTGCCACACCACCATGCCAGGCTTTTTTTTTTTTTTTGGTATTATTAGTAGAGACGGGGGTCAATCCATGTTGCCTAGGCTGGTCTCGAACTCCTGACCTCAAGCAATCCGCCTGCCTCAGCCTCCCAAAGTGCTGGGATTACAGGCGTGAGCCACTGCACCCGGCCTGCTTTTTTTTTTTTTTTTTTTTTTTTTAATGAACTCACAAAAAGTCCCAGGCCCATTTTTCCAACCATCATGCCAATATCAACCACAAAGCAGCGCCTCCTACCAGTCCCACCCCCATGAGAAAAGAAAGCCAAGGGCTGCTGTGACCTGTCCTCAGGCCCTATTTTCCGTTTTGATAGCAAAGTTCTCCTTTTCTCTTCCCAGAGCATCTGTCTGAGTAAAGGTCAACAGAACACTTATCATGGGCCATTTCCATCTTCTGGGTTTTCTGGACATTTCCTGCGGCTCAGAGGCAGACAGTAGCCCAGAAACAAAGCTCTGACAGAGTCACCCGAGGCCCACTAACCTTGACTTCTAAGCACATGACCTTGGTCACAACAGGAGCCAGGCACGGGTGCCTCACTGCCTTTTCACAGCCCAATCCCATCTCCACCAGCTGAAGAAAAGGGGAATCCAAAGGAAGAACAAGGAGCTTAAAACACACAACTTCATCTTTGGAAAAAATAATATTTAATACTAACCATTGTTTATCTCCGTGCAGGGCACAAGCTGAGCCACTTACAAGATTAACTCATTGACCCTTCGCAACAACCCAAGAAGGCTGCCACATTTTTGGCTCCTGTCCAATTTTAGAGATGAGGAAAGTGAGGCACACAGAGGGAAAGTGGCTTGCTCAAGGTCACACAGTTATCTGACTGCCTGGGAGGCCAGTCGCTCCTGGCCTCGGACACGCTACCTTGAAAAACACAAAAACAGCCGGGCACAGAGGCCCATGCCTGTAATCTCAACACTTTTGGAGGCCAAGGCAGGAGGATCGCTTGAGCCCAGGAGTAGGAGACCAGCCTGGGCAATATAGTGCGAATCTGTCTCTATAAAAAATACAAAAATTAGCTGGGCGTGGTGGCACACGCCTATAGTCCCAGGTACTTGGGAGGCTGAGTTAGGAGGACCACTTGAGCCGGGGAGGCAGAGATTGCAGTAAGCTGAGATCGTGCCACTGCACTCCAGCCTGGGTGACAGAGCAAGACTCTGTCTCAAAAAAGAAAAAGAAAAAAAAAAGAAAAGAAAAAAGCAACAACTACCTACTTTCTAGCTTTCAGTTAATTATATTTCAATTTTCCCACTCAGGCCCCAGTTGCCTCCTCTCAAATTCTGGTTCCAAGGCACCTCCAACAAGTCTTGGAATCCAGACAGCAGAAATACGCAAGGTCAAACACGGGGATGGGGTACCTACCAGAGGCAGAGATCAGCTACAATTACCCCCAAGCAAAACCCAACCACCTGGCAATTTCTGTGGCAGAAAGTCCTTAACGAAGGAAAAAATAAAAAGAAAAAAGAAAATAAAAATTTTAAAAAATATTACAACTGGACTTCGTGAATGAGTTTCTTAAGATAAACAAAGCGCACCCCAAACATACTCATTAGCCATCAACTACCAATTGCCATCAATAAAATACGTCCTGATACAAAACCTCATGGATGTTCACCCTGTTTTGCCCCCTCCTCAATTCAGAAGAAAATAAACAAGAGAATATTCTGGAATTCACAGCAACACAAACCCAGATCACCATGTGAATCTTTGCAAAAAATAATCTTGCTGTTACTACACCTGGCAACAAGGAAGCCACAGGTTTTCCCCTGCTAAAGAAAGTCCATCTGCAAAGAGGCTCCAATCACCCCCAGACCCTCAAGGCAAAGTCTGTGTTCTATTTCCACCCCTGGGGTTACTCTCCAACCCCACTGGCTTAAAATGGGAGATATATCAAAGTGTGGTAGGTTATTAAACACAATGATACCCTACTAAAAAAAACAAACAAACAAAACCAAACCCTCCAATGGGGCCCTGGAGGATGACTTTTCAACACTCCAAATGCAACCCTCGAGGAAAGGCCGGCAAAACAGGACAAGAAAGTATTTTTGGAAGCTGATCACCAGCTCCTAAGAACCAAGGCTGTTTCTCCTGATTCCTAAACAAAAGAGGAGAGAGAAACAGTCGTGTCCAGATTTGCCTACTGCGTTCACCAACAATCAAGACAGCACGAGACAGAAGTGCCTGCCTTCCTGGAACAAAGAGGCAAATCGCATTACGGAGAAGCTGAAGCCCAAAAGACTGGGGCTTAAACCACAGCAAGTGGACTCCAGACACCCAGTCAGGCTCCGCAGGCCACGTTACAGAAGAAAACTTGCCGGGGTTAAATCTAAGGGGCATCCCCAGAGAGGAGCTCCACGTGTTGCAGGGAAGGGAGGGCAGGACCACAGCTACCAGGGTCCTGGGCGTCCTCAGCTGCACCCCAAGTCTGCCCCGAGCCGAGGGTCAGGTAGGGCACATCAAGGGTGGACATCCCCCTTCTTCCCTGGTTCCCCCAAACTTCCCCCGCAGTATCTAAGTAGAAAGAACAAAAAAAACAAAGCTAGGTAACCACAGAAGAGTAATGTGGCTTGTACGACAACTTTGGGGAGACAATGAAAGTCCCTTTCTACAATCTAAGCCCCTCCCCAGCTCACCCCGTTGGTCACGGAGTATTTTTCGTGAAAAGGGGGGACCCTAACCACAAAAAAGATGGGAAAACAGAAGCAGAGAGACACCCCTCTTCCCGCCCCCCATCTCTAGCGTCCCCTTCCCTGGAAGGTTGTTTTTACAGACGGGAACCCCAAAACAGGAAGGCCTCCTCACGGCGGCTCTGACCCGACCCGACCCTCCAAAACCCCAGGGCTGGGCACGCGGCCCCCCACGCTCTGCTCCGCAGGAACTGAGTCACCCAAGTTTCCCCCATGCCTTGCACCCCCGAAAGGGGCTGGGCCGCGGGCGACGTGAGGGTCCCGGGCCCCCGAGGCCGGCAGCAGAGCGGGGAGCGGGGTGCCCCGGGCGGCTGCGGGCCCGGTGCTTTCCCTCCCCGCCGGCCTCCCTCCGTCCCGCCGGCCTCACGCGGCCCCCGGCACGTACCCAGAGCGGGTCGGAGCCATCGGCGCTGCAGAAGCCCCGGAGCGCCATGCCGGTGGCGCGGGCGGCGGCGGGCACCGGGCGGCGGGTGATCGGGCCCGGTTGCTGGCGCGGGCGGCGGCGGGCACCGGGCGGCGGGTGATCGGGCCCGGCTGCTGGCGCTAGCGCTGGCGGCGGCGGCGGCGGCGGCGGCGGCGGCGGCGCAGGGAGCCGGGGCCGGGGCCGCAACGCCGCCTGGTTGGCCCGCGCGTCACGGGGATGCGGCGGCCCCGCCCCACCCCGCCCCGCCCCGGCGCCCGCTCACCTCGCGCGTCTCGGCGTGGGCAGCCGGACCAGCCACCTCTCGGCGCCCCGGGCCTGGACCCCGCGCCACCCCCACCCCAGATCCTCCAAGGCTTAGGCCCACCCGCTCGCGGACGGGCCTGGGGAGCGTTGGCTCGCCTTCCGGAAGCGCCTGGGATCTTTGGGGCCACACACCCTGCGACCACTTTTCAAATCCTGTTTAAGGACAGTATCCGTCACCAGGGGAAAATAACGTGAACGGAGCCCCCTGCCTGGAGTGTACCGGGCGCCTTAACTGTGCCCTCATTTCATCCTGTAAAGTCTCCACGTTCATGAAGGAAGAAACCCAGGTGCAGAGAGGTTGAGTGATTCCCTCTGCCCAGGGTCACCTGGCTAATCACTTGCAGGGCTGGGATTTGAACCCGGTCCGCTGACTCCAAAGCTGAGTCACACAGAAGGAGGTGAATACTGTTATTCACCTACCTTTTACAGATGGGGAAACTGAGGTTCAGAAAGGCGAAGTGACTTGCCCGAGGTCACACAGTTAATAAGGAGTGAAAGTGGAAGTGAGATTCAAACCCGTGAGCAGCCTGATTCCGGAGCACTGATGACCCAGACGGCGCCAGTCTCCATCACTAACAGCTGTTGACCTCACCTGTGTGCAGAGCGCCTTTGCTTCTTCTCAACCTCTTTAAGCATCACTTAGAAATAACCAGGTTATTGATCCTCACCTCAGAGGTAAGGAAACTGAAGCCTGGAGACATGATAATCGTAGGCCAGGCATGGTGGCTCGTGCTTGTAATCAAGCACTTTGGGAAGCCGAGGCGGGCCGATCACATAAGGTCAGGAGTTCAAGACCAGCCTAGCCAACATAGCAAAACCCTGTCTCTACTAAAAACACAAAAATTAGCCGGGCATGGTGGCGGGCACCTGTAGTCCCAGCTACTTGAGAAGCTGAAACAGGAGAATCACTTGAACCTGGGAGGCGGAGGTTGAAATGAGCTTAGATCACACCACTGCACTCCAGCCTGGGCAACAGAGCAAGACTCTGTCTCAAAAAATAATAATAAAAAAAATTAATATGCATTCACAGTGACAAGGCTTCCTAAGGCTGTGTTCTTAGCAATTTACACAAATTAACTTGTGCAATCCTCACAACCCCATGAGGTAAGAAGTAGTATTATCCCCATTTTGCAGATGAGGCCACTAAGGCCCAGAAAGACAGAGTACATTGTCAGGGATTATTTAGATGGTAAGTGATTAAGCCAAACTTTGAACCCAAGAAGTCTGGCCAGGGAGGTGGGAAGTCTATAATACCATCCATTGCGCCATATTAGTTTTGAACTGTTTCATAGGCAGACAGGTAGAGACAGAGGAGCTAGGGCGAGGCCGCAGAGTGTAAATTTCACTGTGATACCAGCGATGCCTTTCTTTTCTCCTCTCCTCCTTAATCTCCTGCCTGATGTGGGTTTCCATAACACATGCACACAACAGCTGCACCAAATAAAACAGAAACAGTGTGTGCATTTGAGACCTCCCCCCAATCAAAGGACCTAGCGAGGGAAGGAGGAAGGAGGAAGGTAGATAGGATTGTTTTCTGTGATTTTTTTATTGGCCCGGGTCCCCCAAGGGTGAATGAGTTTCTAAGGGATAATTACTTTCATGTAATAATGCCAGTTATGCTGTTGCTTGACCTTTATACTGTCAACAAATATTTATTGAGCATTTACTATATGCCAGATGTCTTGCTAGGAACAAGATAAAATTGCTACTCTTATATAGCTTAAAGGATTGGAATTTTTTTGGATTGGGATTTTTTTAAGTGTTTCTTATGGTAAGATGGCAGATGTTAATCAAATATTATATTTTTGAAAGGGTATTTACAGGCCAGAAGTAGTGACTCACGCATGTAATCTCAGTGCTTTGGGAGGCCGAGGTGGGAGGCTCATTTGGCCCAGGAGTTCAAGGCTACAGTGAGCTATGATTGCACCGCTGCACTGCAGCCTGGGTAACACAGCGAGATCCTGTCTCAGGAAAAAAAAAACAAAAAAAAAAGCCAGGGAAGGGGAGATATGTACAACTATGGTCACAGCTAGAAAAAAAAAGTGGTGGCCGGGCATGGTGGCTCACGCCTGTAATCCCAGCACTTTGGGAGGCCAAGGCAGGCAGATCACTTAAGGTCAGGAGTTCGAGACCAGTCTGACCGATGGTAAAACCCCATCTCTACTAAAAATACAAAAATTAGCTGGGTGTGGTGGCAGGCACCTGCAGGCTCAGCTACTCGGGAGGCTGAGGCAGGAGAATCACTTGAACCTGGGAGGCGGAGGTTGCAGTAAGCCAAGATCATGCCACTGCACTCCAGCCTGGGCGACAAAGCAATACTCTATCTCAAATAAATAAATAAATAAATGTAAAAATACAAAAATTAGCTGGACATGGTGGTGGGTGCCTGTAATCCCAGCTATTCAGGAAGCTAAGGCAGGAGAATCACTTGAACCCAGGAGATGGAGGTTGCAGTGAGCTGAGATGGCCCCACTGCACTCCAGCCTGGACGACAAAGTGTGACTCCATCTCAAAAACACAAACAAAAAAAGTGGGCAAAAGTGGGCCTAAGTTAGCAATTTATACCACCCTTGCTGGGGGGTGGAAGTCAGAGAAGGCTTCCTGGAGGAAGAGGCTTTCAAACTGAGATACAAGGAACGCGTCTGGGTTCCTTGGGCCTGGGTTGTGTTCTGGGCAGAAGAAAACAGTTTATAGCAAAGTTATGAAGCAGGGAGGGTCCTTGGAGGAAACTGAAGACAGCCTGGATGGCAGGAACCCAGAGAAGAAGCAAAAGAAATCCATCCGGAGCAGGTGGGGTCAGAAGGAGCCAGGGCAGGCAGGTACCCGTCGGCCAAAGGAGGGGCAGTGGGAACCACTGGTGGGTTTTAGGCAGGGCACAAGACAGAGTTGGATTTCTTTCCATGTTTTATTCATTCACTCTTTATTCATCCTTTCAACAAATATTTATTGAGCAAGCACATGAAAACATGCTCAACTTCATTAGTCATCAGGGAAATGCAAATAAAACCCCAGTGAAATACCATCATACACCCACCAGAGTGACTGGAAACAAAGACTGAAAATTACGAGTGCAGACAAAGACGTGGATTAACTGGAAAAGGCACGCTCTGTTGGGAGGTATATAAATTGGCTTAACTACTTTGGAAAACTAACAATTTGGCTGGGTGCAGTGGCTCATGCCTGTAATCCCAGCACTTTGGGTGGCCGAGGCAGGTGGATCTCTTGAGCTCAGGAGATTGAGACCAGCCTGAGCAACATGGTGAAACCCCATCTCTACAAAAAATACAAAAAGGTGGGCCAAGGTGGGTGGATTGCCTGAGCTCAGGAGTTCAAGACCAGCCTGGCTGACATGAGGAAACCCCATCTCTATTAACAATACAAAAAAATTAGCCAGGCATGGTGGCACATGCCTGTAATCCGAGCTACTCGGGAGGCTAAGGCAGGAGAACTGCTTGAACCTGGGAGGCGCAGGTTGCAGTGAGCTAAGATCGCGCCACCGCGCTCCAGCCTGGGCGACAGAGTGAGACTCTGTCTCAAAAGTAAAATAAAATAAAATAAAATTAGCTGGGCGTTGTGGCACATGCCTATAGTCTCAGCTACTTGGGGAGCTGAGGCACAACACTCACTTGAACCCAGGAGGCACAGGTTGCTCTGAGCCAAGATCGCACCACTTCACTCCAGCCTAGGTGACAGAGTGAGACTCCATCTCCAAAAAAGAAAGAAAACTAATAATTCGTGCTAAAGTGAAACATACAATTACATAGTGACACAGAAATTCCACTCGCCTCCAAAAGAAAGGTGAGCTTACATCCACCAAAACACATCTACAAAAAATGTTCATAATAGCAACAATATGTATGAATCCCACAAAACACAACAAGGAGCAAAACAAGGCAGACACAAAAGAGCATATTTGCCATGATCTCATTTACACGATGTTCAACAATAGGCAAAACTAATATACATTATTCAAGAGCCAGGCACTGTGGCTCATGTCTGTAATACCAGCAATCTGGGAGGCCCAGGCAGGCGGATTGCTCATCAGGCCAGAAGTTTGAGACCAGCCTGGGCAACATAGTGAGACCTCATTTCTACAAAACAAATTTCTTTTTTTTTTTTATTTTTTGAGACAGACTCTCTCCCTTTGGCCCAGGTTGGAGTGCGGAGGCATGATCTCAGCTCACTGCAACCTCTGCCTTCCGGGTTCAAGTGATTCTCCTGCCCCAGTTTCCCAAGTAGCTGGGATTACAGGTGCGTGCCACGGTGCCTGGCTAATTTTTTTGTATCTTTAGTAGAGACGGCGTTTCACCATGTTGGCCAGGCTGGTCTCAAACTCCTGACCTTGTGATCCACCTGCCTCGGCCTCCCAAAGTGCTGGGGTTACAGGCGTGAGCCACCATGCCTGCCTCAACAAAACAATTTTAAAGATTAGCTGGGCATATTGGCACACACCTGTGGTCCTAGCTACTCAGGAAACTGAGATAGGAGAATTGCTTGAGCCCCAGAGTTCCAGACTGCGGTGAATTGTGTACGATTGCAACACTGCACTCCAGCCTGGGCAACAGAGGTAGACCCTGTCTCTGAATAATAATAATAATAATAATAATAATAATAATAATAATAATAACAACAACATATGTTGATCAAAGTCAAGATAGGAAGAAATGTCCTAGGGAGATGTAAATGTTCTATAACTTGATTTGGTGGTAGTTATGTGGTTTTAAACATATATATATATATATATATATATATATATATATATACACACACACACACACACACACACACACACGTACACACACATTTATATTTTAAAATTCATTGAGCTTGGCTAGGTGCAGTGGCTCATGCCTGTAATCCCACCCATCACTTTGGGAAGCCAAGGTGGGTGGATCACTTGAGGTCAGGAGTTCAAGACCAGCCTGGCCAACATGGCAGACCCGCATCTCTACTAAAAATACATAAATTAGGTGTCCTGGTGCATGCCTGTAATGCCAGCTACTCTGGAGGCTGCAGCAGGAGAATCACTTGAACCCAGGAGGCAGAGATTGCAGTGAGCCGAGATCGTGCCACGGCACTCCAGCCTGGGCAACAGAGTGAGACTCCGTCTCAAAAAAAAAAAAAAAACTTCATCAAGAGGACATTTAAAGTTGCTGTACTTTGCTCTATGAAAGTTAAACTCAATTAAAAAAATTTTTTTGAGCTATGATCTTGCTCTTGCTCTGTTCTTCAGGCTAGAGAGCAGTGGGTGCTCACTGTAGCCTCAAACTCTTGGACTCAAGCAATCTTCCTGCCTTAGCCCCCCAAGTAGCTGTGACTATGGGGGACACCACCACGCCTGACTAACATTTTTTGCAATATTTATGTAAAATGGGATCTCACTACGTTACCCAAGTTGGTCTTGAACTCCTGGCCGCAGGCGACCCTCCTGCCTTAGCCTCCCAAAGCGCTGGGATTACAGGCATGAGCCACTGTGCGCAGCCTCAATTAAAATTTTTAAAATAGAAAATAAATAAACGAGAGTCGGGCACGGTGGCTCACGCCTGTAATCCCAACACTCTGGGAGGCCGAAGCGGGTGGATCACCTGAGGTCAGGAGTTCAAGACCAGCCTGACCAATATGGTGAAACACCGTCTCTACTAAAAATACAAAAATTAGCCAGGCATGGTGGCGCATGCCTGTAATCCAAGCTACTCAGGAGGTGGAGGCAGGAGAATCACTTGAACCCAGGAGGCAGAGGTTGAGGTGAGCCGAGATGGCGCCACTGCACTCCAGTCTCAGAGACAGAGTGAGACTCCATCAAGAAAGGAAAGAAAGAGAGAGAGAGAAAGAAAGAAAAGAGAGAGAGAGAAAGAAAGAAAGAGAAAGAGCGAGAAAGACAGACAGCGAGAAAGAAAGAAGGGAGGGAGGGAAGGAGGGAAAGACAAGGAAAGAAAGAAAAGCAAGAAAGAAATTTATTGCGAGTCTCCTGTGTGCCGGATACTGTATTAGGTGCTGTAGACACAGGAGTGACCAAAACAAAGAAGGAAGTAATTATAGACCAAACCAATTAGTCTACCATTTTCCAAAAGCGGAAACTGGGTTTAGAGGGAAGAAGTAATTTGTTGCAGATCCAGCAGCTGGGATGTGGCAGAGATAAGGCTCAGCTCTGCTCCTAACCACCAAGCCTCTCTGTGCAACTCTTTCAGCCACAGGCTCAAACCACCCCCTTTGCCTTATTTCTAAGCCCCTTCCTCCCCATTAGGGGCTCTCACAATGTAACAAACCCTTAGACCAACAGACTCGGCCCTGCATCAAACCCACTCAACTGGCAGCAAAGTGATTCATGATTAAAATGCAAGATTTGAATTTTGGATTTCAAGCATCACTAAACTGATAGGTAGCACAGAGAATGCCAGAGTTCCTCTTTTTATTTCCTGTAATCACAGCACTCTGTTCTTGTTCATTTATTTAGGAGTACTTTTCACTATTTGTAATCATTCATTTATTTATTTGCTCCATATGGCCTCCCCTGCCAGACTGAGAGCATTTTTTTAATTTTATTTTTATTTTTTTTTAAGATAGAGTCTCGCTCTGTCGCCCAGGCTGGAGTGCAGTGGCAGGATCTTGGCTCGCCGCAACCTGCATCTCCCAGGTTCAAGCGATTCTCCTGCCTCAGTCTCTTAAGTAGCTGGGACTACAGGCACACACCACCACGCCCAGCCAATTTTTGTATTTTTGGTAGAGACGGGGTTTCACCATGTTGGCCAGGCTGGTCTTGAACTCCTGACCTCAAGTGATCCGCCCGCCTTGGCCTCCCAAAGTGCTAGGATTACAGGCGTGAGCGCCTGGCCCAGATTGGGACCTTGAAGCTGCTGCTACCTGTGACCTGAACTTCTGTACCTACCTCCTCCTTGGTCTCCCCACTTCCTTTCTTTCCCCACTACAATCAGAATGCCTCACAGCAGCCCCAGGGGACCTAGTAAAGCACCCTGCATGCAGCTTCCCATGGCCTCCCTTTGTCCTTGGTATAAAATCCTGCTGGAAAAAAATACAACAATTCTACTTCTAGGTATATAACCAAAATAAGAGAGGCCGGGCGCAGTGGCTCACGTCTGTAATCCCAGCACTTTGGGATCCCGAAGCAGGTGCATTACCTGAAGTCATGAGTTCGAGACCAACCTGACCAACAAGGAGAAATCCTCTCTCTACTAAAAATATAAAATTAGCCGGGCACAGTGGCGCGTGCCTGTAATCCCAGATACTCAGGAGGCTGAGGCAGGAGAATCGCTTGAACCCAGGAGGCAGAGGTTGTGGTGAGCCAAGATTGCACCATTGCACTCCAGCCTGGGCATCAAGAGTGAAACTCCGTCTCAAAAAAAAAAAAAAGAAGTAGTGAAAGCAGGGGTTTGAACAGATATTTGTACACCCATGTTCACAACAGCATTATTCACAGTAGCCAAAAAGTGGAAGCAGGCCGGGCATGGTGCTTCCTCCCACCTTAGCTTCCCGAGCAGCTGGGATTACGGGTTGGCACCACCACGCCCAGCTAATTTTTGTATTTTTAGTAGAGATAGGGTTTTGCCATGTTGGCCAGGCTGGTCTTGAACTCCTGGCCTCAGGTGACCCGCCCACCTCGGCCCCCCAAAGTGCTGGGATTACAGGTGTGAGCCACCATGCCCGGCCACTTCTTTTCTTACCATTTAATTACCCTAAGTTATATACAAGTCATATACTAGATGTATTTATGGTGTCTTGTAAGTATGTAAATCCTTTTCTTTTTCCCACTAGAATTTCAGCTCCATGATGGAGGGATTTAGCTATGTTTTGCTCACTTATGTACTCAGAACATTTAGACCAGGGGTCAGCAAAGTTTTTCTGTAAAGAGCCAGATTGTAAATTTTTTAGGCTTTGCAGGCCCTGCAGTCTCTGCCACCATTTCTCACATCTATCATGGGAGTGCAAAGGCAGCCATAACAAATACATAAATGAGGCTGAGCGTGATGGCTCACACATATAATCCCAGCACTTTGAGAGGCCGAGGTGGGAGGATTGCTTGAGCCCAGGAGTTCGAGACCAGCCTGGCCACCAGGGACTAACCTTTAGTGAGAAAGTCAGGTTTATTCATTTATTGAAAACAAGGAAAGGCTGGATGGTGGCTCACGCCTATAATCCCAGCACTTTGGGAGGCCGAGGCTGGGGGATCACTTGAAGCTAGGAGTTCAAGACCAGCTGGGGCAACATGGCAAAACCCCATCTCCACAAACAATACAAAAATTAGCCAAGCATGGTGGTACATGCCTGTATTCCCAGCTACTCGGGAGGCTGAGGTGGGAGGATTGCTTGAGCCCAGGAGGTAGAGGTTCTACTGAGCTGTGATTGCACCACTGCACTGCAGCCTGGGCAACAGAGTGAGACCCTGTCTCAAAAAAAAAAAAAAAAAAAAAAGGAGGGAGAGGGACACCAGAGCAACTGAGCAGCTGTGGGTTGCTTCACCAAACAAAGGCAAAAATTAACTTCTAAAGTTTAGTAAATGTGGACCACTTTGTTCAGGGAACCCTTATCTGAATTGCTGTGCCTGGGTATCCAACTGCCCAGATCCTCCAAGCAAGAAGAAAAAATTTCATTTGTACTGACATATTTTCTTTTCTTTTCTTTTTTCTTTTCTTTTTTTTTTTTTTTTTTTTTTTTGAGACAGAGTTTTGGTCTTGTCGCCCAGACTGAAGTACAATGGCACGATCTCAGTTCACTGCAACCTCTACCTCCCAGGGTCAAGCAGTTCTGCCTCAGCCTCCCAAGTAGCTGCAATTACAGGCACCCGCCACCATGCCTGGCTAACTTAAGTGTTTTTAGTAGAGACGGGGGTTTCACCATGTTGGTCAGGCTGGTCTCGAACTCCTGACCTCAGGTGATCCACCTGCCTTGGCCTCCCAAAGTGCTGGGATTACAGGCGTGAGCCACTGCACCCGGCCTGCACTGATATATTTTCAAACTGCAAATTATCTATGATTTCCTGGAACAAAGTTTCTCAGCAAGTCAGAAAGCAGTGGTTCACAGTAGGAAGTCACCATGGCACTTGACAGCTGCAGTGTCCTTGGGAGAAATATTATTTCCTGTTATCTTTGCAGATATCTTTGTCTGGTTTTGAGGGGTTTTATTTTTTTCTGGAGAAGGTCTTGCTCTGTTGTTCATGCTGGAGTGCAGAGTGCAGTGGTGTGATCATAGCTCACTGCAGCCTCGAACTCCTGGGCTCAAGCAATCCTCCTGGCTCAAGCGATCTGCCTGCCTCAGGCTCCCAAAGTGCTGCGATTACAGGTGTGAGCCACCATGCTTGGCCTGTTTGTTTGTTTGTTTCTTTGAGACAGGGTTTCCCTCTGTCACCCAGGCTGGAGTGGCATGGCATGATCAGAGCTCACGACAGCCTCATACTCCTGGGATCAAGGGATCTTCTTGCCTCAACCTTCCTAGTAGCTGGGACCACAGGCACGTGCCACCATGCCTAGCTAATTTTTGTATTTTTCTTTGTAGATATGGTGTTTTGTCATTTTGCCCAGGCTGGTGTCAAACTCCTGGGCTCAAGCAATCCTCCTGCCGCGGCTTCCCAAAGCTCCGGAATTACAGGTTTGAGCCAACATACCTGACCCATTGCAGGATGTTTTAGCCTCATTCCTGGCCCCTACCCACCAAATGCCAGGAATGTACCTGCACACACACCCTGACGTTGTGACAACCAAAAATGCCTCCCTACGTTGCCAAATGTCCCCTGGGAGGGCAAACTCGACCTGGTTGAGAATCATTGCTGGATAGGACCTCAGACTGGAAAGGGACATGATTTGATGTACAGTTTTGAAAGGCCATTCCCTGTGCCCAAAATGTGTTCCCAGCCTTAGACGAGTGCATTGCATTCATCTGGACACAGTGATTGGTTCAAAGAGATCATGTGACCTAGTCACAGCCCAAGAGTCACAATGTAATTTGGGCTAAGAATCTGGGGAAAGAAGCCAGGTGCGGTGGCTCACGCCTGTAATCCCAGCACTTTGGGAGGCCAAGGCGAGCAGATCACCTGAGGTCAGGAGCTCCAGACCAGCCTGGCCAACATGATGAAACCCCGTCTCTATTAAAAATACAAAAATTAGCCGGACGTGCTAGCGCATGCCTGTAATCCCAGCTACTCGGGAGGCTGAGGCATGAGAATCGCTTGAACCCAGGAGGCAGAGGTTGCAGCGAGCCCAGATGGTGTCAATGCACTCCAGCCTGGGGCAACAGAGTGAGACTTCGTCTTTAAAAAAAAAAAAAGAATATGGGGAAAGAGAGTCTTGCTTCTGACTCCTCTCACTGGAAGTCTGAGGGGACCCAGGTACCTGAATGACATCCATCGTGTCCCTGCTACATGAAGCCTGAGGCTGGGGCCAACAAACGGCAAGCAGAAGTCAAGAAAGGGAGAAAAACAGACTCATGATGGCTTCATTTGCATCCTGGATTCAGCCCTACCCATGAACGTTTTATTTACAGGATCCCCAAATTCAGACTTTCAGATCTTTTACCAAAAATGGCCTAACTGTCATGAGAGACCTTGGGCTTGGGCTTCAGTCTTCCTCATAGCTCTGCTCTGCGTGGACTTTCCCTGCCAAGCCCAAATCCTCACCTTCAAATTCTGCCAGTTTCAGTGCCTCATGCCTGTAATCCCAGCACGTTGGGAGGGTGAGGGAGGCAGATCACTTGAGGTCAGGAGTTCCAGACCAGCCTGGGCAACATAAGGAGACCCCTGTCTTTATTTAAACAAAAAACAAAACGAATAGAAAAGAGACCAGGTGCAGTGGTGGCTCACTCTTGTAATCCCAACACTTTGGGAGGCCAAGGTGGGCAGATCACTTGAGGTCAGGCATTCGAGACCAGCCTGGCCAAAATGGCAAAACCCCATCTCTACTAAAAATACAAAAATTAGCTGCGCGTGGTGGTGCATGCCTGTAGTCCCAGCTACTCAACAGGCTGAGGCAGGATAATCACTTGAACCCGGGAGGCGGAGGTTGCAGTGAGCCAAGATCGTGCCACTGCACTCCAGCCTGGGCGACAGAGCGAGCCTTTGTCTCAAAAAAAAAAAAACAAAAAAACAAAAAACAAAACAAAAAACCCTGAAAATGTCAATTATATATGGAATATCAGTAGCACAATGTATGGCTGTTGTAACATGGTACCGAAGTCCAAGATCAAAATGCTGGTAGATTCAAGTGTCTGGAGAGGACCTGCTTTTCTAGATAGCTGTCTTTTCACTGTGCCTTCCTATGATAAGTGGCAGGGGATCTCTCTGGGGTCCTTTTTATTTATTTATTATTATTTCAATTTTAAGTGGAGATGTCGTCTCACTATGTTGCCCAGGCTGGTCTCAAACCACTGGGCTCAAGCGATCTCAACACTTTGGGGGCCTTGGTAGCTGAACCATTACAAGCGTGAGCCACCACATCCAGCCTGGGGTCCCTTTTATAAGGGCACTAATCCCAGTCATGAGAACTCCACTGTCAAGACCTAATCATCTCTCAAAGGCTCACCTCCTAATACCATCACCTTAGGGGTTAGGATTTCAACATATGAATTTTGGGGGATATAAACATTCAGAATATAGCATGGAGACTGTAGTGAGTTAAAACTGAAAACTGCTTAGAATTCAGTTTAAAGAAAAGTTACACTCCTCCCACCCCATAAAGCAAGTGAACTGTATTGATCCCAACCACAAAAATTAGACATTCTAGATGAATGTCTTTGAGAAAATGAATGAGAGAGGGTCCAGATGTAGCAAGAGACAGAGTAGAAGAAGGAGTGAGAAATCAATGCAACTATCAACAGGAGAATTCAATGAGAGGCACTTAAGAATGGTGAGATCCCTGGCTGGTCGTGATGGCTCACACCTGGAATGCCAGCACTTTGAGAGGCTGAGGTGGGTGGATTACTTGAGCTCAGCAGTTGGAGACCAGCCTGAGCAACATGGCAAAACCCCGTCTCTACCAAAAATAGACAAAAAAAATTAGCCAGCTGTGGTGGTGCACACCTTTGGTCCCAGCTACTTTGGAAGCTGGGAGGATCACTTGAGCCTGGGAAGTTGACGCTGCAGTGAGCCACAATGGCATCACTGCACTCCAGTCTGGGTGACAGAGCAAAACCCTGTCTCAAAAAAATGAAAATAAAAATAAAAAAGGGTTGGGTGCGGTGGCTCACGCCTGTAACCCCAGCACTTTGGGAGGCTGAGGCTGGCGGATCACTTGAGATCAGGAGTTCGAGACCAGCCTGGCCAACATGGCGAAACCCAGTCTCTACTAAAAATACAAAAATTAGTTGGGCATAGTGGTGGGTGCCTGTAATCCCAGCTACTCAAGAGGCCGAAGCAGGAGAATCACTTGAACCCAGGAGGCAGAGGTTGCAGTGAGCCGAGATCACGTCACTGCCTGGGCCTGGGACAGCCTGGGCCTGGGTGACAAAGCAAGGCTGCGTCTCAAATAAAAAAGAAGAAAATTTGAGTTGCTCAACACACATGTTCCTATCTGAGGTTGAATGAGGCCACACCCTGACTTCTTGTTTCAGCTGTCCTATTGTAAATGTCCTTTTTTTTTTTTTCTTTTTTTGAGATGGAGTCTCACTCTGTCTTCCAGGTTGGAGTGCAGTGGCTCGATCTCAGCTCACTGCAACCTCTGCCTCCTGGGTTTGAGCAATCCTCCTGTCTCAGCCTCCCGAGTGGCTGGGATTACACGTGCCCACCACCACGCCCAGCTATTTTTTGTATTTTTTGTAGCGACGGGGTTTCACCATATTGGTCAGGCTGGTCTTGAACTCTTGACCTCAGGTGATCCACCCACCTCGGCCTCCCAATGTGCTGAGATTACAGGCGTGAGCCACTGCGCCAGGCCACAAATGTCCTTTTTGCAGCATTTGTGTGCCATAGGTTTCACATTTCTGTGGTATTTATTATTGATTTTGCTGTTTGAAATGGCCCCCAAGCATAGCACTGAAGTGCTATCTGGTGTTCCTAAGAAAATACATGTTTTGGGTCCGGCGCGGTGAATAGTGCCTCTGTCGACATGTGTGTATGTGCATCTATGTGAGTGCATGTTTTCATTTATTTTGTGAATATTCTAGGAGTAGAATTGCTGAGATATATGGTAATTCTGTGTTTAACTTTTTGACGAATCATTAAACAGTTTTTCTCAGCAGCTGAACCATTTTGCATTTCCACCAGCAATGCATGAGTGTTCCAATATCTCCACATTCCTGTCAGCATTTGTTATTTTCTGCATATTTACTTATTTATTTATTTATGTAATTTAGAGATAGGATCTCACCCTATTGCTCTGGCTAGAATGCAGTGGCATGATCATAGCTCACTACAACCTCAAACTCCTGGGTTCAATCCTCCCGACTCAGTTTCCCAAGTAGCTAGAACCACAGGGGTGTGCCACCACTCCCAGCTAATTTTTTAATTTTTTGGAGAGATGGCAGTCTTGCTATGTCGCCCAGGCTGGTCTCAAACTCCCGGACTTAAGTGATCCTCCTGCCTTGGCATCCCAGAGTGCTGGCATGAGTCACTGTTCCCAGCTGCACCCCCCAATACACACACTTTAAAAAAAAATTGTAGCTGTCCTAGTGTGTGTGAATTGAGACCTCACTGTGGTTTTTGTCTGTGTTTCTCTAAAGACTAATGATGTTGAACATCTTTTTATGTGCCTGTTGGTGATTTACGTATCTTCTAGGAATGTCTATTCAAGTCCTTTGTTCATATTTGTTTCCCTTTTTTATTGCTGCCGCACAAATTAACTTTGTTCATGTTTTAATTACATTAAAACATAGACTTTTATCAGATACATGGTGTGCACATATTTTCTCCCATTCTGTACATTGTCTTTTTACTTTCTTAATAATATCCTTCAATGCACAAAAGTTTTTAATTTGATGAAGTCTAATTTGTCTATTTTTCTTTTTTGGCTTGTACTTTTGGTGTCATATCTAAGAATTAATTGCCAAGTCCAAGATCATGAAAATTCATCCTTGTGTTTTCTTCTGAGAGTTTTATAGTTTTAGTTCTTATATTTATAATAATTTTTAAGGTAATTGCAAGGTTAGGGTCCAACTTCATCCTTTTGTACATGTTTATCCAGTGGTCCTAGGACAATTTTTTTAAAAGGCTATTCTTTCTCCCATTGAATTGTCTTAGCACACCTGTCAAAAATCAATTGACCATAATTGTATAGGTTTATTTGTGGACTCTCAATTCTATTTCATTGGTTTATATGTCTGTTCTTAAGCTAATACCACACTGTTTTGATTACTGTAGCTTTGTAGTAAGCTTTAAAATCAAGAAATATGAGCCCTCCAACTTTGTTCTTCTTTTTTTCAAGAATGTTGTGGCTGTTTGGAGTCTTTTACAATTCCATGTGAATTTGAGAATCAGCCTTTCCACTTCTGCAGAAAAGACCAATGAAATTGCATTAAATCTGTTGATTGCTTTGGGTAGTATTGACATCTTAACAATATTGAGTCTTCTAATCCATGCACATGGGATGTTTTTCTATTTGTTTAGGTCTTCCTTAATGTCTTTCAGCAATGTTTCATGGCTTTCAGTGTACAAATTTTGAACATCTTTTGTTAAATTTATTACCAAGTATTTTTATTGTTTTTGGTGCTATTGCAAGTGGATTGTCTTAATTTTCTTTCCTTAGTTTAATTTTCAGGTTGTTCGTTTACAGGTTGTTCACAGAATAATTGTTCAATTATTCTCTGAATAATTCTAACCAGGCCAGGCATGTTGGCTCACGCCTGTAATCCCAGCACTTTGGGAGGCCAAGGCAGGTGGATAACCTGAGGTGAGGAGTCCAAGACAAGCCTGGCCAACATAGTGAAGCCCCATTTCTACTAAAAGTATAAAAAATTAACTGGGCATGATGGTGCATGCCTGTAATCCCAGCTACTTGGGAGGCTGAGACAGAAGAATCTCTTGATCCAGGGAGGCAGAGGCTGCAGTGAGCCGAGATCATAACACTGCACTCCAGCCTGGGCAACAGAGTGAGACTCTGTCTCAAATAATAATAATAATTCTAACCAATGAAGTATGATTGGCAAAGACGTGTGTCATTTTCAATCATACCTCATTGGTTAGAATTTTTTTATTTTTATTTTATTTTCTTTTTGAGATGGAATTTCACTTTTGTTGCCCAGTCTGGGGTGCAATGGCATGATCTCAGCTCCGGGTTCAAGCGATTCTCCTCCCTCAGCCTCCCAAGTAGCTGGGATTACAGGCATGCACTGCCATGCCCAGCTAATTTTTGTATTTTTAGTAGAAATGGGGTTTCGCCATGTTGGCCAGGCTGGTCTCAAACTCCTGACTTCAGGTGATCCACCTGCCTCAGCATCCCAAAGTGCTGGGGTTACAGGCATAAGCTACCATGCCCAGCCTTGGTTAGAATTATTCACAGGGTCAGGTATGACTACCACAACCTTCAATGAGGAGATTGCAGAATTCTTCTCTGAAATTCCTGGCTTCAAACGATCCTCCTATTGGCTTCCCAAAGTGCTGGTATTACGGGTGTAAGCCACTGCACCCGACCAGTATATCTTTTAAAAGAAACATTCAGGGAACAAAAAGGAGCTCTCAGAAATTAAGAAAGCAAGAAGTAAAAAAAGAAAAGGGAAGAAGAAAGAAATTGCTGAAATCTTGCAGAGATCAGAGAAAATGGAGAACATTAGAAGGTCACACAAAAAGATCCCACATCTAAATAATAAGCATTTCAGAAAAATAAAACTGACAAAACACAGGAAAAAAAGCTGTAGATGAAATAATAAGAGAAAAAATTTCGGAACTTACAGGTGTGATAATTTTGCACTCCAGCCTGGGTGACAGGGTGAGACTCTGTCAAAAAAACAAAACAAAACAAAACAATTGACCATAGATGTATGGGTTATTTCCAGACTCTCGATTCTATTCCACTAATCTATATGCCTATCTTCCTACCAATACCAAACTTTTCGATTATTGTTGCTTTGTAGTAAATTCTGAAGTCACCAAGTGTGAGTCTTCCAACTCTGCTCATTTTTCAAGATTGGCTGTTGGGTGCGATACCATGTGAATTTTAGGTTTGAATTTTCCAGGTCTGCAAACAAGGACATTGGGATTTTCATAGAGATTACATCAAGTCTATAGATCACTTTGGAGTAGTATCGCCATCTTAACAATATTGAGTCTTCCAATACATAAACGTGTATTTTTAGAGATATATGGCATGGCATTTAAAGTAATCTATCATGATCTGTGTAACTTCCTCTAAAGTATTTCAACAGACCACAATAAGATATTACTCTAATTGTGCTAGAATGGCTATAATGGAAAAGTAAACAACAGCGTCAAAAAGGAATGTGGGTTCTGGTTTGTCTTCCTCTCCCTAACTTGATGTCTAGCTTTTTTTTTTCTTTGAGATGGAGTCTCGCTCTGTTGCCAGGCTGGAGTGCAGTGGCACAATCTCGACTCACTGCAACCATTGCCTCCTGGGTTCAAGCGATTCTCTTCCCTCAGCCTCCCAAGTAGCTGGGACTACAGGCACCCACCACCATGCCCAGCTAATTTTTGTATTTTTATTAGAGACGGGGTTTCACCATGTTGGCCAGGCTGGTCTCAAACTCCTGATCTCAGATGATCCACCTGCCTCGGCCTCCCAAAGTGTTGGGATTACAGGCGTGAGCCACTGCGCCCAGCCCACAGTTCATTTTTGGTTTTGTTTTTTCCTCCCAAGAGTGTCTTGGGTTGTTTGACTCCCTTTTATTCCCCTATCAGTTTTGGAATCAGATTGTCAAGTTCTGCAAAAAAAAAAAAAAAAAAAAAAGGCTGAGCTTTTCATTGGGATTAAATTTGATCTATGAATCAATACAAGAGTTGGCGCCTTCAAATCTAGGCTCTTCCAATCAATGAACATGTATATCTCTCCATTTATTTAGGTCTTCTTTACTGTCTCTCAACAAAATTTTTTAATAGTTTTTATAGAGGTTCTGTAAGTCCTGTATGAGATGTTATATCTTACCAGGTACTCCCTGGGTACAAGAGGGAGAGTTGCTTTTCACCCTTTTGAACTGTTTGAAGTTTTTTCTAACCACATGCATATATTTTTCAAAATAAAAATTATTAAGATTTTTGGCCCTTCTGTCTGGCGGCAGCAATCAGGTAAGCCAAGATGGGTGCATACAAGTACATCCACGAGCTGTGGAGGAAGAAGCAGTCTGATGTCATGAGCTTTCTTCTGAGGGTCCGCTGCTGGCAGTACCGCCAGCTCTCTGCTCTCCACAGGGCTCCCCGCCCCACCCGGCCCGATAAAGTGCACCAACTGGGCTACAAGATCAAGCAAGGTTATGTTATCTACGGGATTCGTATTCTCCGTGATGGCCGAAAATGCTCAGTTCCTAAGGGTGCAACTTACGGCAAGCCTGTCCATCATGGTATTAACTGAAGCCTACAGTTGATTGCAGAGGAGTGAGTTGGACGCCACTGTGGGGCTCTAAGAGTCCTGAATTCTTACTGGATGGGTGAAGATTCCACACACAAATTTTTTGAGGTTATCCTCATTGATCCATTCCATAAAGCTATTGGAAGAAATCCTGACACCCAGTGGATCACCAAACCAGTCCACAAGCACAAGGAGATGCGTGGGCTGGCATGTGCAGGCCAAAAGAGCCATGGCCTTGGAAAGGGCCGTAAGTTCCACCACACTATTGGTGGTTCTTGCCGGGCAGCTTGGAGAAGGCGCAATACTCTCAATCTCCACTGTTACCACTAATATAAGTAAAGTTTGTAAAACTCATACCTAATAAACAATTTAGGACAGTCAAAAAAATTACTAAGATTTTTGAGCCAGGTGCAGTGGCTCAAGCCTGTAATCCCAGCACTTTGGGAGGCCGAGGCTGGCAGATCACCGGAGGTCAGGAGTTCGAGACCAGCCTGGCCAACGTGGCGAAACCCTGTCTCTACTAAAAATACAAAAATTAGCTGGGTGTGGTGGTGCACAAGTGTTATTCCAGCTACTCAGGAGGTGGAGGCAGGAGAACCGCTTGAACCCGGGAGGCAGATGTTGAAGTGAGCTGAGATTGCGCCACTGCACTCCAGCATGGGTGATAGAGTGAGACTCCATCACAAAAAAAAAAAAAAAAAAAATTATTAACATTTTTGAATCAGCACTCTATTATCATTGTTTACACATCAAAACTATCAGTAGGCATACAGTGGAAAGTCTCTCTCCCACTCCTGGACCTATTCACAATATTCCCAATCCTTCCTTCTCAATAGGTAATGGCTATAAATTAATATCTTCTTTATCCTTCCAGAATTCTTCACGCACATGTCCTTAAATGTATACTTTCTCTCGTCTCAAGATAAATGCCATAGACTGTGTGTCTTTTTGCAGAATCTCTTGCAAGACTCTGTGAACACAGTGAGAAAACATGGACCCAGGAACTGTTCCTTACATTCAGCTGAAGCTGAGTCTGCAAGTCCCAATGCATGCCAATAAAGAAAGTTCTGCAGGCCAGGTGTGGTGGCCCATGCCTGTAATCCCACCATTTTGGGAGGTCAAGGTGGGCAGATCAACTGAGGTCAGGAGTTCAAGAGCAGCCTGGCCAATATGGTGAAACCATGTCTCTACTAAAAATACAAAAAATTAGCCGGGCATGGTGGCATGCACCTGTAATCCCCGCTACTCAGGAGGGTGAGGCAGGAGAATCACTTGAACCCGGGAGGCAGAGGTTTCAGTGAGTCGAGATTGTGCTAGCCTAGGCGACAGAGCGAGACTCCGTCTCAAAAAAAAAAAAAAAAAGGAAAGCTCTGCAGAGTTCTCCAGGGTTACACTCTGTTCTCTGCACTACACCCCCAACTTTTTTTTTTTTTTTTTTTGAGACGGAGTTTCACTCTTGTTGCCCAGGCTGGAATGCAATGGTGTGATCTCGACTCACCGCAACCTCCACCTCCCAGGTTCAAGCAATTCTCCTGCCTCAGCCTTCCAAGTAGCTGGGATTACAGGTGTGTGCCACCATGCCTGGTTAATTTTGTGTTTTTTAGTACAGACAGGGTTTCACCATGTTGGCCAGGCTGGTCTCAAACCCCTGACCTCGTGATCCGCACACCTGGCCTCCCAAAGTGCTGGGATTACAAGCGTGAGCCACTGCACCCGGCCTGCATTGCACTTTTTAATTTTTGATCACCATTTATTAAGTTACAAAGAGCCAGGCCCAGTGCTGCGCTAAGCACTTTACATATTTGGCATGTTTTTTCTTTTTTACTCCTTCCAGCAGCCAGGGCCTATGAACTTACAGAAGGCATGATGCCTAAGGCCCACAATACTTTTAGGGCCCCATGAAAATGTTTTACTTCTTTTAAAATCAGAAGAAAAAATAAACATAACCCTGCCTTTATTACATATATATATTATTTTTAGTTTTTAGTTTTTGGTATTTTTGAGCAGGAGCTCTGGCGCCCAGGCTGGAGTGCAGTGGCACAATCATGGCTCACTGCAGCCTTGACCCCCTGGGCTCAGGCAGTCTTCCCACCTCAGCCTCCCGAGGAGCTGGGACCACAGGTACATGCCACCACTTCCGGCTAATTTTTATATTTTTTATTTTTTGTAGAGAAAGGGTCTTGCCATGTTGCCCAGGCTGTTCTTGAACTCTTGGGATGAAGTAATTCTCCCACTTTGGCCTCCCAAAGTGCTGGGATTTCAGGCATGAGCCACTGCACCAGGCCTTGTTATATTCATCCTTATACTAACACAGTCATAAAATATGATTTAAAACACTTTTTTTCTTATGGAGGAAGGAACCCACCAAAAAAATCCATGTGACTGAGTGTGGTGCCGGGTGTCTGTAGTCCTAGCTACCAGGAGGCTGAGGCAAGAGAATCACCTGAACCTGGGAAGCAGAGGTTGCAGTGAGCCGAGATCATGCCACTGCACTTCAGCCTGGGTGACAGAGTAAGACTCTGTCTCAAAAAAAAAAAAAAAAAAAAAAAAAAAAAAGGCCAGCAGTGGCGCACACTTGTAATCCCAGCACTTTGGGAGACCAAGGCGGGTGGACCACCTGAGGTCAGGAGTTCGAGACCAGCCTGGCCAACATGGTGAAACCCCGACTCTACTAAAAATACAAAAAATTAGCTGGGCATGGTGGCAGGTGCCTGTAATCCCAGCTACTCGGGAGGCTGAAGCAGGAAAAATCAGTTGAACCCAGGAGGCGGAGGTTGTAGTGAACCAAGACTGTGCCACTGTACTCCAGCCTGGGCAATAAGAGCAAAACTCTGTCTCAAAAAGAAAAAAAATCATAATGTGGCCAAACCAGCAACCCTATGACATGGGTATTATTGCTATGCAGTTTATCCAAGGGAGGAAACTAGTCTGAGAAGTGATTTAGCCCAGGTCAGGTGGCTGGAAGGGGTGGGAACATGGCCTTGAACCCAAGCCTAGTGACTCTAAAGCTCTTATGCTGGGCCACTCAGCTGAAGAGACTCCAGTCAGCACTTTCCTATGGAAGGGACGTGTTTGGTCACAACTGGGAAGTTGTACCCCACAAAAAGAAGGCTCTGGGGAAATGTGATACAGTCTTCAAATATTTTAAGGGCTGTCATGTGGAAAAGGATTAGCTCTTTTGTGTTACTTCCCAGAGCTGAGCTAGGATAGGTGGGGTGTGTTGCAGGAAAGGTAGGGTGTGTGTGTCTGTGTGCGCGCGCGCGTGTGCGTGTGCGTGTGCGTGTGTGTGTGTCTCGCTCTGTTACCCAGACTGGAGTGCAGTGCAGTGATCGCCACTCACTGCAACCTCCGCCTCCTGGGTTCAAGTGATTCTCCTGCCTCAGCCTTCCGAGTAGCTGGGACTACAGGCATGCACTACCACACCCAGCTAGTTTTTGTATTTATAGTAGAGATGGGGTTTCGCAATGTTGGCCAGGCTGGTCTCTGGCTCCTGACCTTAGGTGATCCACCCTACTCAGCCTCCCAAAGTCCTGGGATCACAGGCGTGAGCCACCGGGCCCCACCAGGAAAGTAGATTTTGGCCCAGTGATATAACAAACTTACTGGATGTGATAAGCCCACTGTCAGTGGTGGTTTATTCTTAAGATCAAAGATGTGGAGTTTGACCCCAGTCACAGACAACAGCGTTGTAAACAAGGCTGTATTGCAGGGGATTGCTGCCTTGGGAGGGGAGTTGGACAAGAATTCGATGGATTTTTATGTCCCTTTCAACTCTAAGATTCTATGTTTGCAGGGCCCAGCACGGTGGCTCACGCCTGTAATCCCAGCACTTTGGGAAGCCAAGGCGGGCAGATCACCTGAGGTCGGGAATTCGAGACCATCCTGGCCAACATGGTGAAACCCCGTCTCTACTAAAAATACAAAATTAGCTGGGCATGGTGGCGTACTCCTGTAATCCCAGCTAGTCGGGAAGCTGAGGCAGGAGGATCACTTAAAGCCGGGAAGCAAGGGTTGCAGTGAGCCTTGATAGCGCCATTGCACTCCAGTCTCGGTGACAAAGCGAGACTCTGTCTCAGAAGAAAAAAAAAAAAAAGATTCTATGGTTGCAAATAGCAGCAGCTCAGCAGTGTAGAGTTGAATTCCCCACCAAACCAATTTTACCAATTGTTATTGAGACTTTTTATGTACCATTGGTGGGAGTATGAATGGATACTCTTTTGAAAGTGTTATTTGGCAGTATTTATTAAAATTTAGACTATTTGGGCCGGGCGCAGTGGCTCACGCCTGTGATCCCAGTACTTTGGGAGGCTGAGGCGGGCAGATCGACTAAGGTCAGGAGTTCGAGACCAGCCTGACCAACATGGTGAAACTCTGTCTCTACTAAAAACTACAAAAAGTAGACCCAGGCGTGGTGGCTCACACCTGTAATTCCAGCACTTTGGGAGGCTGAGGCGGGCAGATCACCTGAGGTCGGTTGTTCAGCCTGACCAACATGGAGAAACCCCATCTCTACTAAAAACACAAAATTAGCTGGGCGTGGTGGCGCATACCTGTAATCCCAGCTATTCGGGAGGCTGAGGCAGGAGGATTACCTGAATCTGGGAAGCGGAGGTTGTGGTGAGCAGAGATGGCGCCATTGCACTACAGCCTGGGAAGCAAGAGCAAAACTCCGTCTCAAAAAGAAAAAAAAAAAAACTACAAAATGTAGCCAGGCATAGTGGTGGGTGCCTATAATCCCAGCTACTTGGGAGGCTTGAGGCAGGAGAATGGCTACAACCTGGGAGGCGGAGGTTGTAGTGGGCTGAGAATGTGCCATTGCATTCCAGCCTGGGCGACAGAGTGAAACTGTTTAAAAAAAAAAAAATTTCGACTCTTCAGGCAGGGCACGGTGGTTCTTGCCTGTAGTCCCAGCAATTTGGGAGGCCAAGGCGGGCGGATCACGAGGTCAGAAGTTCGAGACCAGCCTGGCCAATATGGTGAAACCCTATCTATACTAAAAATACAAAAAGTTAGCTGGGCATGGTGGTATATGCCTGTAATCCCAGCTACTCGGGAGGCTGAGGCAGGAGAATCGCTTGAACCCAGGAGGCAGAGGTTGCAATGAGCCGAAACCGTGCCATTGCATTCTAGCCTGGGCAACAGAGCGAGACTTTGTCTCAAAAAAAAAAAATTAGACTGTTTATACTTTTTGACTTAGCAATACTTTTTTTTTTTTGAAACAGAGTCTTGCTCTACCGCCCAGGCTGGAGTACGATGGTGCAATCTCAGCTCACTACAACCTTCCCTCCCAGGTTCAAGCAAATCCCCTGCCTCAGCCTCCCGAGTAGCTGGGCTACAGGCACGCACCACCACACCTGGCTAACTTTTTTGTATTTTTGTAAAGATGGGGTTTCGCCACGTTGGCCAGGCTGGTATTGAACTCCTGACCTCAGGTAATCCACCTGCTTCAGCCTCCCAAAGTGCTGGGATTATAGGCATGAGCCACTGCACACGGCCTAACAAACATACTTAATAAGTAAATCATGGAGTGGGTAGCAGGTGAGAAAGGCTGTGACGAGAACTTGCGATGCGGGGTGGAGGTGGTGGAGGGTTGCAATTTTAAGCAGAGTGGTCAGGGTAGGCCTCACAGAGAAGGTGATATTTGAGCAAAGCATTAAAGATCATGAATAGGACACCTCCCACTCTTGTTCTAAGGTGGAAATTCACCAGGAGTTACTTTTTCCTTTTTCTTTGTTTTAGAGGCAGAGTTCTCACTATATTGCCCAGGCTGGTCTTGATCTCCTGAGCTCAAGCGATCCACCCACCTCAGCCTCCCAAAGTGCTGGGATTACAGGTGTGAATCACTGCACCCAGCACTGGGAGACACTTGTGAGGTGCCTGGCATCCAGCAGGCTCTGAAGGACGGTCGCTATTATTGTTCATTTTAGTCCTGAAATGAACAGGAGCTCTCAAAGCGCTTACCTAAGGAAGATGTCTAAGAGCATTGCAGTTTGCAAATGAAGAGTGGGCAGGGTTTGGGTTATGGTAACTGTTTTATCTGCCTCCCCAGAAAGGAAACAAAGTATCTGGTCAGCGGGGAAGGTTTCCACCTGTGCGCTCTGTTTGCCAGCGAGCCTGCGGGCCCCTGTGGCAATCCACCCATTGTGTTTCCATCAGCGTAACTGCATGCGGGAGGCTCCTCTGCACTCTCAGTCCTTGAAACATCCCCCACAGGGCCTCCCCAATTAGGCAACGATAAAGCCATTGGTGTGGTCAGATCCCTCCTGGGACAGGATGTTAACCCTCAGCAGCTCCTGAACCATGGGAGCTGGTCCCTGTCAATGTCACGGAAACAGAACAAGAGGAGGCTTCAAAGAAATCAGTTGCCCGCACTCCCTGATTGCAACCAGGCCTTATCTAGTGCCTTTTAAAAATGGCCCTGACCCTTTCTTCTTATTTATTAAATTATTTATTTATTTATTTATTTTTGAGACAGGGTCTTGCTCTGCGGCCCAGGCTGGAGTGCAGTGACTCGATCTCTGCTCATTGCAACCTCCGCCTCCCAGATTCAAGCGATTCTCCTGCCTCAGCCTCCCAGTAGCTGCAATTACAGGTGCCTGCCACCACACCCGGCTAATTTCTGTATCTTTAGTAGAGACAGGGTTTTCCCATGTTGGCCAGGCTGGTCTCCAACTCTCTGGCCTCAAGTGATCTGGCCGCCTCAGCCTCCCAAAGTGCTGGGATTACAGGCCTGAGTTCCCGTGCTCGGTCTCTTATTACTTTTTAAAATGAGACAAGGCCCCACTCTGGTTTTGCCACGTTGCACAGGCTGGAGTGCAGTGGTGCGATCACGGCTCACTGCAGCTTCAACTTCCTGGGCTCAGCTGATTCTCCCAACTCAGCCTTTCAAGTAGCTGGTACTACAGGCACTCACCACCACGCCTGGCTAATTTTTGTATTTTTTGTAGAGTCGGGGGGCGGTGTCTTGCCATATTGCCCAAGCTGGGCTCGAACTCCTGGGCTCAAGCGATCCGCCCACCTCGACCTCCCCAAATGCTGGGATTACAGGCATGAGCCACCGTGCCTGGGCCCTGACCTCTTCTTCAGGGTAACAGATATCTGCTAGGATCTGCTGTGGCTTCTACGTTCCCTTAAGCAAAGAGACGTGCTTCTTCAAGGGAGAGGAGAAAAAATAGATTTCAACCCAAAGCCAGTATAAGCACCCCAAGAGAGGTCAATAAAATCTCAATTTGGAGGTGAGGAAAGCCTTTATTGGCACCCAGGACATTGGTGTTGGGATTAAGAGGACAGACTGGTGGGGTTTTGACACACACAAACGAAGGATGGTGTCTTAGGCACATGGCACAGCAAAGAAAAAGGCTTGCAGGCTGTAACTATGGGACATATTCAAGCTGTCCTAAGCAGTTCCTTTTGACTGAAGTATCATGATAAAGAAAATAATACATAATAGTAATAACAAACATTCTTTATATGCTTGAAACCACTTTTATAAAAATCATAGTAATAAGGGTAATTTAACATAATTGACTGGGCGCGGTGGCTCACGCCTGTAATCTCAACACTTTGGGAGGCTGAGGCGGGCAGATCACTTGAGGTCAGGGGTTCAAGACCAACCTGGCCAACATGGTGAAACCCTGTCTCTACTAAAAATAGAAAAATAAGCCAAGCATGTTGGTGCAAGCCTGTAGTCCCAGCTACTCCGGAGGCTGAGGCACTAGAATTGCTTGAACCAGGGGGGCAGAGGCTGCAGTGAGCTGAGATCAAGCCACTGCACTCAAGCCTGGGCAACAGAGTGAGACTCTGTCTCAAAAATACAAATTTAATATTATTGACTCTATCTTGTTTTCACTATGCTAAATTGTTTTTCTTTATTTTTGTATAGAGGCCACAGTACTCTTTTTTTTAGAAAATGAATTTTTTTGTTATTGTTTAATAATTAAAACCAGCCAGATGTGGTGGCTTAAGCCTGTAATTCCAACACTTTGGGAGGCTGAGGTATGAGGATCACTTGAGGCCAGGAGTTCAAGTCCTGCCTGGGCAACAAAGTGAGACACCATCTCTATAAAAAATTTTTAAAATTATCTGGGCATGGTGGTGCATGCCTGTAGTCCCAGCAACTCAGGAGGCTGAAGCGAGAGGATCAGTTAAGCCCAGGAATTTGAGGCTACAGTGAGCTATGATTATACCATTGCATTCCAGTCTGGGTGACAGAGTGAGACCTTGTCTCTAATAAATTAATTAATTAATAAAAATTTTAAAATTGACAGAAAGTCTTACAAGTCTATAAGATCTACTTCTGTCTGTTATGTCTATGTTTATATGTGCCATGAATATATAATATTTCACTACTGAAATATATTTTTAAAAGCTCTAATCAGTTGACTTAACCACTTAAATTGAATATTTCATCAAAAAATAAAAACTTTAAGTATCTTTTAGTTCACATGACTTTAATAATCTTTAGTAAATAAAGACAGTTTTTCAATTATTAGTAAAATAAAAACATCTTCAGAATGTGAACATTTGGTGTAAATTAGACAAGTCTGGTATTGTCTTTACTAAGACCTTTCAGGTCCTAAACTACTTTTATAAATTTTTTTCTTAGACTGGGACTCACTCTGTTGCCCAGGCTGGAGTACAGTGGCATGCTCACTGCAGCCTCAACCTCCCTGGGCTCAGGTGATCCTTCCACCTCAGCCTTCCAAGTAGTTGGGACTATAAGCACGTACCACCATGTCTAGCTCACTTGTGTATTTTTAGTGGAGATCGAGTTTTACCATGTTGGCCAGGCTGGTCTCTAACTCCTAGGTTCAAGGCGTCCACCAGCCTCTGCTCCCAAAGTGCTAGAATTATAAGCATGAGGCACCATGCCTGGCCCTTCTATAATATTTTAAATAATTGTTGGACTTGTCTATTTTAAAGCCCTTAGATTGTAGATAAGGCCTGGGGATGTGTAGAATTAACCATGTCCCCTGCCTATCCTAAAAAGCATCATATATTATTGACATATATTATTACTGTCCTAGACTCTGTACCTGGTACATAATTAAAATTGCCTACCTCCTTAGTTTTTCATTAAAAATAAAAGTCAGTAATGGCTGGATGCAGTGGCTCACGCCTGTAATCCCAGCACTTTGGGAGGCCAAGGCGGACAGATCACCTGATGTCAGCAGTTTGAGACCAGCCTGGCCAACATGGCGAAACCCTGTCTCTACTAAAAATACAGAAATTAGCTGGGCATGCATGGTGGTGCACACCTGTAGTCTGAGGTACTCGGGAGGCTGAGGCAAGAGAATTGCTTGAACCCGAGAGGCGGAGACTGCCTAAGAGTTAACATTATAATATATGTAATTAAAACTACTAAAGGAACAATTTTACATACAAAGGTAAAATTTAGTTTTTTAAACAAAATTTTCATGTAATATTAAAAAACAGTAAAAAAATGTTTCTTTGCAGGAGGGACAGATTCAGTTAGCCTCATACTGTCTTTATTGGGTCTTGTTTAAAACACTGAGTCTCACATCTGTTAAAAAATAAGTCTTTGCCTCTTGAAAATTTTTGAGTTATCGGCTGGGCGCGGTGGCTCACGCCTGTAATCCCAACACTTTGGGAGGCCAAGGCAGGTGGGTCCCTTGAGGTCGGGAGTTCGAGACCACC
Organism: Homo sapiens; assembly: GCF_000001405.40. Lineage (NCBI taxonomy): Eukaryota > Metazoa > Chordata > Mammalia > Primates > Hominidae > Homo > Homo sapiens. The sequence goes on along the minus strand of NT_187607.1, from coordinate 1,580,332 downwards.
CTGGCCAACACAGTGAAACCCCATCTCTACTAAAAGTACAATAATTTGCTGGGCATGGTTGTGGGCACCTGTAATTCCAGCTACTCAGGAGGCTGAGGCAGGAGGATTGCTTGAACCCAGGAGGTGGAGGTTGCAGTGAGCTGAGATCACGCCACTGTACTCCAGACTGAGCGACAGAGAGAGACCCTGTCTCAAAAAAAAAAAAAAAAAAAAAAAAAGTTGAAATCATACAAAGTACTTTTGGCCGGGTGCGGTGGCTCACACCTGTAATCCCAGCACTTTGGGAGGCCGAGGCAGGCGGATCACCTGAGGTCAGGAGTTTGAGACCAGCCTGGCCAACATGGTGAAACCGCATATCTATTAAAAATACAAAAAGTAGCTGGGTGTGGTGGCGGGTGCCTATAATCCCAGCTACTTGGGAGACTGAGGCAGGAGAATTGCTTGAACCCGGGAGGCGGAGGTTGCAGTGAGCTGAGATCAGGCCATTGCACTCCAGCCTGGGCGACAGAGTGAGACCCTGCCAAAAAAAAAAAAAAAAAGTAATTTCTTCAACCACAACAGAATAAAACTAGAAATCAACAAGAGAAAGAAAATTTTTAGATTCACAAATATACGATTATGTAGAAATTAACATAAACAATGAGTAAAATAAGACATCATAAAAAAATTTTTAAATATTTTGAGATGAATGAAAAAGCAGTACAACTTACCAAAACTTATGAGATGCAGCAAAGACAATGCTCAGAGGGAAATTTATAGCTGTAGTCACCTACATCAAAAATGAAAGAGGGTGGGCGCAGTGGCTCACGCCTGTAATCCCAGCACTTTGGGAGGCTGAGGCGGGTGGATCACCTGAGGTCAGGAGTTCAAGACCAGCCTGACCAACATGGAGAAACCCCATCTCCACTAAAAAGACAAAATTAGCTGGGCATGGTGGCACATGCCTGTAGTCCTTGCTACCTAGGAGGCTGAGGCAGGTGGATCACTCGAACCCATGAGGCGAAGGTTGTGGTGAGCTGAGATCGTGCCATTGCACTCCAGCCTAGGCAACAAGAGTGAAACTCCATCTCAAAAAAAAAAAAAAAAAAATGAACACTTGAGGCCAGGAGTTTGAGACCAGCCTCAGTAATATAGCGAGACCCTATCTGTATGAAAAATACAAATAAAAAATCTAGCCAGGCATCGTGGCACATGCCTGTGATCTCAGCTACTTGGGAGGCTGAGGCAGGAGGATCACTTGAGCCCAGGAGTTTGAGGCTGCAGTGAGCCATGATTGCACCACTACACTCCAGCTTGGACAACAGAGCAAGACCTTGTCTCAAGCAAAAAAAGAAAGACAGATCTCAAATAAATAATACATTCTTCCACCTTATGGGATTAGAAAAAGATCAAACTATGCCGAAAGCAAGCAGCAGCAAAAAAACAATAAAAATTACAGTGAAGATAAATAAAATATAGTATTCTATAAAAGCAATAGAGTCAACAAAACCAAAAACTGGTTCTTTAACAAATCAGCAAAATTGCTAAACTTTTGGAAATACTGATGCCCCCAGAAGAAGAATGGAGATGGCCCAAACCACTAAAATCAGGAACCAAAGATTACTACAACCCTTACAAAAATAAAAGATTATAAGAGAATACTATAAACAATGACATGTCAATTAATTGAATACACCTGGAAGAAATGTACAAATTTCTAGAAACACACAAATTACCAAGACTAACCCAAGAAAAACTAGGAAGTCGGAATAGATCTATAACAAGGAAAGAGATGGAATTGGTAACAATTTTTTAAAGTTCCGTAAGGAAAAGCTCAGGACCCGATGGCTCCATTGGTGAATTCTACCAGGTATTTGAATAATTAAGGCCAATTCTTATTAAAATCTTCCCAAAACTAGAAGAGGAGGCAACATTTCTGACCCACTCTATGAGGCCAGCATTACCCTGATACCAAAGCCACACAATGACATTACAGGAAAAGGAAACTATAGACCAATGTCCCTTATAAATATAGATGCAGAAATCCTAAAGAAAATACTAGCAAATCAAATCCAGCAGCATAGAAACATATTATACATATGTGTTAACAGATGAGACTTATCCCAAGAATGTAAGGGTGATTCATTATAAGAAAATCAGGGCAGGGCGCAGTGGCTCACAACTGTAGTCCCAGCTACTTGGCATGCTGAGGTGAGAGAATCACTTGAGCTGGGGAGGTTGAGGCTGCGGTGAACCATGTTTGTGCCACTGCACCCCACCCTGGGTGACAAAGTGAGACCCTGTCTCAAAAAAGAAAAAACTCAGCCAGGCACGGTAGTGCACGCCTGTATTCCCAGCACTTTTGGCAGACCGAGGCAGGTGGACCATTTGAGGTAAAGAGTTCAAGATCAGCCTGGCCAACACGGTGAAACCCCGTCTCTACTAAAAATACAAAAAATAAAAATAAATTAGCTGGGCGTGGTGACACACGCCTGTAATGCCAGGTGTTAGGGAGGCTGAGGTAGGAAAATTGCTTGAACCCAGGAGATGGAGGTTGCAGTGAGCCGAGATCATGCCACTGCACTCCAGCCTGGGAGACTGAGTGAGTCTCCATCTCAAAATAAGTAAATAAATAAATAAATAAATAAATAAATGTTATTCACAACATTAATAGAATTAAGGGATAATGTAGAAAACAGCCTTTGACAAAACCCAACACCTTTTCAGGATTTAAAACAAAACAAAACAAAACAACAACAACAACAACAAAGAATACTGAAATAATAAAGACCAGAAGAGAACTTCTTCAACAGGATAAAGGGCATATATAAAAAACTTACACCAGGCCAGGCAAGGTGACTCACTCCTGTAACCCCAGTACTTTGGGAAGATTGCTTGAGCCTAGAAGTTTGAGACCAGCCTGGGCAACATAGTGAGACGCTGGCTCTATTTATTTATTTATTTTTATTTATTTATTTTTTGAGACGGAGTCTCGCTCTGTCGCTCAGGCTGGAGTGCGGTGGCATGATCTCGTCTCACTGCAAGCTCCACCTCCTGGGTTCAGGCCATTCTCCTGCCTCAGCCTCCCGAGTATCTGGGACTACAGGCGCCCACCACCACGCCCGGCTAATTTTTTTTTTGTATTTTAGTAGAGATGGAGTTTCACTGTGTTAACCAGGATGGTCTCTATCTCCTGACCTCGTGATCCGCCTGCCTCGGCCTCCCAAAGTGCTGGGATTACAGGCTGAGCCAGCGTGCCCGGCCTGCTGTTTCTATTTATAGAAAGAAAGAAAAAGAAGGAAGAGAGAAAGAAGGAAGGAAGGAAGGAAGGAAAGAAGGAAGGAAGGAGAAAGAAAGAAAGGAAGAGACTTACACCATATGCAACAGTGAAAGGCTTACAAATTTAAAGATTTCCCCACAAAGACCAGGAACAACACAAGGATGCCTGCTTTTACCACCTCTTGTCGACATTGCACTTTAATGTTTTATTGATTGATTGATCTATTTTTTATTGATATATGAATGGATTTTTTTTCTTTTTTTATTATACTTTAACTTCTACAATACATTTGCACGACGTTGCACGACGTGCAGGTTTGTAACATAGGTATACATGTGCTATGTTGGTTTGCTGCACCCATCAACTCGACATTTACATTAGGTATTTGTCCTAATGCTCTCCCTCCCCGCCCCCACTACCCCCAACAGGCCCCAATATGTGAAGTTCCCTGCCCTGTGTCCATGTGTTTTCATTGTTCAATTCCCACCTATGAGTGAAACATGTGGTGGTTGGTTTTCTGACCTTGTGATAGTTTGCTAAGAATGACGGTTTCCAGCTGCATCCATGTCCTTGCAAAGGACATGAACTCATCCTTTTTTATGGCTGCATAGTATTCCGTGGTGTAGATGTGCCACATTCTCTTAATCCAGTCTATCATTAATGGACATTTGGGTGGCTCCAAGTCTTTGCTATTGTGAATAGTGGCACAATAAACATATGTGTGTATGTGTCTTTATAGTAGCATGATTTATAATCCTTTGGGTATATACCCAGTGAAGGGATTGCTGGGTCAAATGGTATTTCTGGTTCTAGATCCTTGAGGAATAGCCACACAGTGTGTGGCTATTAAGCAGAATGGTTGAACTAATTTACACTCCCACCAACAGTGTAAAAGCATTCCTATTTCTCCACACCCTCTCCAGCATCTGTCGTTTCCTCACTTTTTAATGATCACCGTTCGAACTGGCGTGAGATGGTATCTCATTGTGGTTTTGATTTGCATTTCTCTGATGACCAGTGATGATGAGCATTTTTTCATGTGTCTGTTGGCTGCATAAATGTCTTCTTTTGAGAAGTGTCTGTTCATATCCTTTGCCCACTTTTTGATGGGGTTGTTTGTTTTTTTCTTGTAAATTTGTTTAAGTTCTTTGTAGATTCTGAATACTAGCCCTTTGTCAAATGGGCAGATTGCAAAAGTTTTCTCCCAATCTGTAGATTGCCTGTTCAGTCTGATGATAGTTGCTGACCAGGCTGCAGCATCACAGGTTGATCTTGGACTGCTTCGCTAGCAGTGACCAAGGCTCTGTGGGCGTGCGACCTGCCGAGCCAGGAACGGGAGAGAATCTCCTGGTCTGCCAGTTGCTAAGACCGTGGGAAAAGCACAGTATTTGGATGGAAGTGTACCGTTCCTCCAGGTGCAGTCTGTCACGGCTTCCCTTGCCTAGGAAAGGGAAATCCCCTGAACCCTTGCACTTCCTGGGAAAGGCGACACCCTGCCCTGCTTCAGCTCACCTCTGTGGGCTGCACCCACTGTCCAACCAGTCCCAGTGAGATGAACCAGGTACCTCAGTTGGAAATGCAGAAATCACCTGTCTTCTGTGTTGATCTCGCTGGGAGCTACAGACCGGAGCTGCTCCTATTTGGCCATCTTGGAAGTGACTCATCTATTTTTATTTATTTATTTTTGGAGACCGCTTCTCTCTCTGTCACCCAAGCTAGAATGCAGTGGCACGATCTCGGCTCACTGTGGCCTCTGCCTCCTGGGTTCAAGCAATTCTCCTGCCTCAGCCTCCCAAGTAGCTGGGACTACAGGTGTCGGCCACCATGCCCAGGTAATTTTTGTATTTTTAGTAGACACAGGGTTTCACCATTTTGGCCAGGCTGGTCTCGAACTCCTCACCTCAGGTGATCTGTCCACCTCAGCTTCCCAAAGTGCTGAAATTACAGGCGTGAGCCACTGTGCCTGGCTGAACATTGCCCTTTAATGTTTTAAAATGTAGGTTTTATTATTATCTACCTATGCTGAGGCCAACAAATTAGGAGACAACTGTCATTGAAAAGGTAGTTTGCAGCTGGGCGTGGTTGCTCATGCCTGTAATCCCAGCACCTTGGGAGGCCGAGGTGGGTGGATCACTTGAGGTCATGAGTTCTAGACCAGCCTGGCCAACATGGTGAAAGCCTGTCTCTAGTAAAAAATACAAAAATTAGCTGGGCGTGGTGAGGGCACCTGTAGTTCCAGGTACTTGGGAGGCTGAGGCAGGAGAATCACTTGAACCCAGGAGGTAGAGGTTGCTGTGAGCCAAGAGCATGCCACTGCACTCCAGCCTGGGTGACAGAGCAAGACTCCATCTCAAAAAAAAAAAAAAAAAAAAGAAGATCAACGCACAAACATCAGCCACATTTCCATAAACTAGCAATAAACAATCAGAAAGTAAAATTAAGAAAACAATTTCACTTCCAATAGAATAAAAATAAATAAATTTAACCAAGTAGGAGTAACACTAGTGCCCTGAAAACTACAAAACGTGGCTGAAAGCAAATACGAAGACCTAAATAAATAGAAAGACGACGTCACATGTTGATATGGTTTGGCTCTTTGTCCCCACCCAAATCTCATCTTGAATTGTACTCCCATGATTCCCACGTGTTGTGGAAGGGACCCAGTGGGAGATAATTGAATCATGGGGGCAGTTTTTCCCGTACTGTTCTTGTGGTAGTGAATAAGTCTGACAAGATCTGATGGTTTTATAAGGAGAAACCCGTTTCACTTGGCTCTCATTCTCTCGCTTGCCACCGCCATGTAGAAAATGCCTTTCGCCTTCCACCATGATTGTGAGGCCTCCCTAGCCACATGGAACTGTAAGACCATTAAACCGATTTCTTTTGTAAACTCCCCAGCCTTGGGTATGTCTTTATCAGCAGCATGAAAACAGACTAATACACGTGTTTATGAATTAGAAGACTTAATATTGTTAAGATGATAATACTATCCCAAAGTGATCTATGGACTTGATATAATCCCTATGAAAATCCCAACGTCCTTGTTTGCAGACCTGGAAAATTCAAACCTAATATTCACATGGTATTGCACCCAAGAGCCAATCTTGAAAAATGAGCAGAGTTGGAAGACTCACACTTGGTGATTTCAGAATTTACTACAAAGCCACAATAATCAAAAGGTGTGATACTGGTATGAGGATAGGCATATAGATTAGTGGAATAGAATTGAAAGTCTGGAAATGACCCATACATCTATAGTCAATTGATTTTTTCTTTTGAGACAGCATTTTCTCTGTTGCCCTGGCTGGAGTGCAGTGGCGCAATCACAGTTCATTGTAACCACTACCTCCTGGGCTCAAGCAATCCTCCCACCTCAGCCTCCCACATAGCTAGTAGCTGGGAGTATAGGCACGTGCCACCACACCTGGCTAATGTTTTTTGTTTTTAGTACAAATGAAGTCTCGCCATATTGCTGAGGCTGGTCTCAAACTCCTGGGCTCAAGCAATCCTCTCACCTTGACCTCCCAAAGTGCTGGGATTACAGTCGTGACCCACTGCACCCAGTGTGGTCAGTTGGCTTTTTGTTGTTGTTTGTTCGTTTGTTTGTTTTCGAGATGGAGTCTTGCTCTGTCACCCAGGCTGGAGTGCAGTGTCGAATTCTTGACTCACTGTAACCTCCACTTCCTGGATTCAAGCAATTCTCCTGCTTCAGCCTCTCGAGTAGCTGGGACTACAGGCACCCACCACCACGCCTGGCTAAGTTTTGTATTTTTAGTACAGACGGGCTTTCACCCTGTTGGCCAGTCTGATCTTGAACTCCTGACCTCAGGTGATCCACCCACCTTGGCCTCTCAAAGTGCTGGGATTACAGGTGTGAGCCACCATGCCCAGCCAGTGAATCGGCTTTTGACAAGCGTGCCACGGCCATTCAATAGGCGAAAGAACAGTTTCCCTCTCTCTCTTTTTTTAAAAATTTCAATAGATTTTGGGGTACAAGTGGGTTTTGGTTACATAGATGAATTATATAGTGGTAAATTTTGAGATTTTAATGCACCCATCATCACCCAAGTAGTTACACATGTACCCAACATGTAGTCTTCATCCATACCCTCCTCTCATCCTCCCCCTTCTGAGACTCCAAAGTCCTTTATATCACTCTGTATGCCTTTGGGTACTCATAGCTTAGCTCCTACTTATAAGTGAGGACATACAATATTTGGTTTTCCATTCCTGAGTTACTTCACTTAGATTAATGGCCTCCAGCTCCATCCAAATTGCTGAAAAAGGCATATATTTTTTTTCTTTTTTTTGAGATGGAGTCTTGTTCTGTCATCCAGGCTGGAGTGCAGTGGCATAATCTCGGCACACGCAACCTCCACCTCCCGGGTTCAAGCAATTCTCCTGTCTCGGCCTCCCAAGTAGCTGGAACTACAGGTGCACACCACCATGCCTGGCTAATTTTTACACTTTTAGTAGAGACAGGGTCTCGCCATGTTGGCCAGGCTGGTCTTGAACTCCTGACTTCTGGTGATCCACCCACCTTGGCCTCCCAAAGTGCTAGGATTACAGGCATGAGCCACCGTGCCCAGCCTAAAAGACATAATTTAATAGAACAGTCTCTTCAACAAATGACCCTGGGACCATGAGATATCCACATGCAAAAGAATGAAATTGGACTTTGAACTCACGCCATAATATTAACATCTAAATTATAAAAGTTAAAACTATAAAATACTTAAAAGAGAGCCCAGAGGGAAATCTTCATTATCTTTGGCTTGGCAATGGTTTCTTAAATATGACACCAAAAACACAAGTGACAACAGCAAAGGTTGAGAAACTAGACTTCATCAAAATTAAAACCTTTTATGCATCAAAGAACAGTATCGAAGGACAGAAAAGGCAGTTCACAGAATGAGAGAAAATATTTGCAAATCACATATTTGATAAGGCTCTACTGTCTGGAATATGTCAAGAACTTTACAACTCAACAACAAAAAAAGCAAAGCACCCAGTTTTTAAAAATGGGCCCCGGATTTGAAGACATTTCTCCAAAGAAGATCTACAAATGGCCAACAAGCACGTGAACAGATGCTCAACATCATTCGTTATTAGGGAAATGCAAATAAAAACCACAAAGAGATGCCACTTCACACACAATAGAATGGTTATAATTTTTAAAAATGGAAAATTACAGCCAGGCGCCATGGCTCACGAGGTCAGGAGTTCAAGACAAGCCTGGCCAAGATGGTGAAACCCCATCTCTACTACAAATACAAAAAAATCATCCAGGCACAGTGGCAGGCCCCTGTAATCCCAGCTACTCAGGAGGCTGAGGCAGGAGAATCGCTTGAACCCAGGGGGCAGAGGTTGCAATGAGCCGAGATCACGCCACTGCACTCCAGCCTGGGCGACAGAGTGAGACTCTGTGTCAAAAAAAAAAAAAAAAAAAAAAAAAGGAAAATTACAAGCCTGATGGGGATATGGAGAAACTGGAAGCCTTGTACATTGCTGCTAGGAATGTAAAATGGTACAGCCTCTATGGAAAACAGTTTGGCAGTTCCTCAAAAAGTTGAACATAGAATTACAATATGACCCAGCAATTTAATGCCTGGGTGTATACTAGTATACAGGTGTTCAAACATTAACTGGCACACAAATGCTCATAGCAGCACTATTCGTAACGGTCCATAAAGTGGAAACAAATCAAATGCCCATCAATTAACGACTGGATAAATAATATTTAGTTTATCTATGCAGTGGAATATCATTCAGACATGAAAAGGAAGAAAATACTGATGCATGCTACAACTGGCATGAACCTTGAAAACATCATGCTACAAAAAAGAACCCCAGTCAGGCGCAGTGGCTCATACTGGTAATCCTAGCACTTTGGGAGGCCGAGTTGGGCAGATTGCTTGAGCTCAGGAGTTCCAGACCAGCCCAGGCACCATGGCAACAGCACGTTTCTACAAAAAAATACAAAAATTAGCCAGGGGTGCTGGTGCACACCTGTAGTCCCAGCTACTTGGGAGGCTGAGGTGGCAGGATCTCTTCAACCTGGGAGGTCAAGGCTGTAGTGAGCCATGATATGAAAGAAAAGAGGAAAGAAAAAGAAAAAGAAAGGAAGAAAGAAAAGAAAGTGGAAAGAAAGAAAGAAAAAGAAAGAAAGAAAGAAAGAAAGAAAGAAAGAAAGAAAGAAAGAAAGAAAGAAAGGGAGAGGAAGGAAACAGACACAGACACAAAAGACCACATATTTTATGAATATATTTATATGGGATGAAACACACGGAATAAGCAAAGCCGGAGAGACAGGAAGTAGATTGTGGTTCTCAGGGCCTAGGAGGAGGGGCGGAATGGAGAATGTTTGCTTAATGGTTATGGTTTTTTGTTTTTTGTTTTGCTTTTTGTTTTTTTCTTTTGTTTTGCTGTGGTAAAAATGTTCTAGATAGTGATGATAGCTGTGGAACATTGTGAATGTGACAAAAAACAGTGAACTATTCACTTTAAATGGTGATTTTTTTTTTTTTTTTGAGACAGGGTATCACTCTGTCACCCACGCTGAAGTACAGTGGAGTGATCATAGCGCACTTCAGGCTCCTGGGCCCAAGTGATCCTCCTGCCTCAGCCTCCCTAGTGGCTGGAACTACAGGCACACACCACCATGCCTGGCCCCAAAGGGTGATTTTAAAAATGTTTTGTGAATCTTACCTCAAAAAAAGAAAGAAGGCCGGGCGCGGTGGCTCACACCTGTAATCCCAACACTTTCGGAGGCCGAGGTAGGCGGATCGCCTAAGGTCAGGGGTTCAAGACCAGCCTGGCCAAAATGGTAAAACCCCATCTCTACTAAAAAATACAAAAATCAGCCAGGCGTGGTGATGGGTGCCTGTAATCCCAGCTACTTAGGAGGCTGAGGCGGGGAGAATTGCTTGAACCCAGAGGCGGAGGTTGCAGTGAGCCAAGATCGTGCCACTGCACTCCAGCCTGAACGACAAAGCTGGACCATGTCTCAAAAAAAAGAAAAAAAAAAAGAAGGAAGGAAAGAAAAAAGAAAGAGAGAGAGAGAGAAAGAAAGAAGGAAGGAAGGAAGGAAAGAAAGAAAGAAAGAAAGAAAGAAAGAAAGAAAGAAAGAAAGAAAGAAAAAGAAAAAAGAAAGAAAAGAAAGGAAATGTAACTCAAATCAGGCCAATGAGATACGAGGAGAGTTTTGTTAAATGTTTCCGAGGAAGTTCTTCCTGGCGCTCTGGCAGAGATCCTGGAAGTCGTTCTATTTTCTCCTCTGAACATTGTAATCCTTGAATATAAGGCCTCAAACAGTGGTGATCATCCCACCAACCCTTAAAAAAATGGTGCCTGTCTGTGGTCCTCACGAAATGAGCACTTGCCCAAAATTGTGCCCTGTGCTATGGAAGTGCCGAGTAGATGATTGGGGGCTGACATTCAGCCCGTATGTGTGGTTGTATCTTCCCGAAAAAGGAGATTTTGTTTGTTTGTTTTTAAGGAAATTGTCTGCTGCCCAGAGGAATCTCTCTCTCTCTCTCATCCATCTGTCCGTTCATCCGTCCATGGCCCATCCATCTGACCATCTATCCTTCCACCCATCACCCATCCACTTGTCAATCTATTCATTCATTCATTCATTCAGTTGTCCATCCATTCATCCACCACCCATCCATCCATTCATCCACCTGTCCATCCATCCATCCTTCCATCACCCATTCAACTCATCCATCTATCAATTCATTCATCTGTCCGTCCATCCATCCACCCATCCATCTCTTTATTCCTCATTCATTCAATACTAGAATATTCAAAGTCCCATGTCAGGTTTTTTGTTTTTTGTTTTTTAAGACAGGTTGGCTCTGTTGCCCAGGCTGGGGTGCAGTGGTCCCATCTTGGCTCACTACAACCTCTGCCTTCTGGGCTCCACCTCAGCCTCTCGAGTAGCTGTGACTACAGGCATGCACAATCATGCCCAGCTAATTTTTGTATTTTTTGTAGAGACGAGGTCTTGTTATGTTGCCCAGGCTGATCTCAAACTCCTGGGCTCAAGAGACCTACCCACCTTGGTCTCCCAAAGTGCTGGGACTACAGGCGTGAGCCACCACATCAACTGGAATACCTTTTTCTAATTTGGTTAAGATGACCATATATTACAAGTGGCCAGCCTGGGGTAAGCCATGAGAATATAAAGAAAGATAGCCACAGTCACAGGCATAAGTCAACCCTTAAACCTGCCAAACTGACCAGGCATGGTGGCCAACGCCTGTAATCCCAGAACTTTAGGAGGCCAGGTGCTGGATCACTTGAGGCCAGGAGTTCAAGACCAGCCTGGGCAACATGGTGAAACCTGGTCTCTACTAAAAATACAAAACTTAGCCAGGCAGGTAGTCCCAGCTACTCAGGAGGCTGAGATGGGAGGGTGTCTTGAACCCACAGGTGGAGGTTGCAGTGACCCAAGAGATCACGCCACTGCACTCCAGCCTGGGCAACAGAGCTAGACCTTGTCTCAATAAATAAATAAACCTGTCAAACATCTAGACTTCTGGTTATGTTTAAGATTAATCTTTTTTTTGGCCAGGCGTGGTGACTCATGCCTGTAGTCCCAGCGCTTCGGGAGGCCAAGTTGGGTGGATCACTTCAGGTCAGGAGTTCGAGACCAGCCTGGCCAACATAGTGAAACCCCCTCTGTAAAAAAATACAAAAATTAGCCAGGCGTGGTGGCGCGCGCCTATAGTCCTAGCTACTCAGGAGGCTGAGAATCGCTTGAACCCAGGAGGCAAAAGATGCAGTGAGCCAAGATCGTGCTACTGCACTCCAGCCTGTGCAACAGAGAGTGACTTCATCTTAAAAAAAGAAAAAGAAAAAGAAAAAAAATAGGCTAGGCACGGTGGCTCACGCCTGTAATCCCAGCACTTTGGGAGGCCAAGGCGGGCAGATCACAAGATCAGAAGTTCGAGACCAGCCTGGCCAACATGATGAAACCCTGTCTCTACTAAAAATACAAAAATTAGCTAGGTGTGGTGGCACATGCCTCTAGTCCCAGCTACTCAGGAGCCTGAAGCAGGAGAATCGCTTGAACCCGGGAGGCGGAGGTGGCAGTGAGCCAAGACCATGCCATTGCACTCCAGCCTGGGTCACAGAGTGAGACTCCGCCTCAAAAAAAAAAAAGAAACAGAAAAAGAAAAGAAATTGATATTTTAAAACCAGTAAGAGAGTTTGATTTGCAACCAAAAAAAAAAAAAAAGTTTAACCAATAGGAGGTTATTTTGTTTTAAGAGCAGAAAAAATAGGATGAAAGTAAATCAGATAGGTAGCTACCTATTTGACACATTCCTCCAGCTTACCCTGAATAAACCTGCCCAAGTATGTCCACTATCCATCCATCCCCTGAAAGGGACTGAGGAAGATCTATTATCTAGACAAATTCTTCTGGGACATAATATTTGGACATTTTAAACTTCCCCATAATCTGTCATGCATTTTCTGTTTGATTCATCATTGATCGACAAGCCAATTACTGTTCTTACCTACCATTTTATATTCAGGGACATTTAGTTCTTTTTTTCTTTTTTTTGTTTTTTTTTTTTGTTTGTTTGTTTTTTTTGGCGAGACGAAGTGTCAATCTGTCACCCAGGCTGGAGTGCAGTGGCGCGATCTCGGCTCACTGCAACCTCCACCTCCCAAGTTCTCATAAATGTTTTCTAGAGTTTTTTGGAACCCCAAATTTAATATGACATTCAGACCAAGATGCAATAAACAAACATTTATTGATCACAAAAAAAAGAGAGAAGGCTAGGTGCAGTGGCTCACACCTGTAATCCCAGCACTTTGGGAGGCCGAGGTAGGTGGATCACTTGATCTGCCAGAAGTTTGGGGCCAGAAGTTTGGGACCAGCCTGGGCAACATGGCAAAAACCAGTCTCTACTAAAAATACAAAAAGTTAGCTTGGAGTGGTGGTGTGTGCCTGTAATCCCAGCTACTCAGGAGGCTGAGGCTGGAGGATCACTTGAGCCTTGGAGGTGGAGGTTGCAGTGAGCCAAGATTGCGCCACTGCGCTCCAGCCTGGGTGACAGATCGAGACTCTGTCTCAAAAAAAATAAGAAATGAAAGAGAGAGAGAAGGAAGAGAGGCCAGATGAAGTGCTGGAGGCTTCTGAAGTGGTACGTAAGAACCAGGAATGGAGAATGTGTAGTTAGGGACAGGAAGAGAAAAATCCTAACCATAGTGTCTTTATTTATTTATTTGTTTGTTTGTTTGTTTTTTGAGATGGAGTCTCACTCTGTTGCCCAGGCTGGAGTGCAGTGGCACAATCATGGCTCACTGCAACCTCTGCCTCCCAGGTTCAAGCCATCCTCCTGCCTCAGACCCTCTAGTTGCTGGGATTACAGGCACGTGCCACCATGCCCGGCTATTTTCTGTATTTTTAGTAGAGATGGAGTTTTGCCATTTTGGCCAAGGTGGTCTCAAACTCCTGACCTCGGGTGATCCACCCGCCTCGGCCTCCCAAAGTGCTGGGATTACAGGCATGAGCCACTGCGCCCACCGATGGTGCCTTTAAACAGTACTCTTGATTCCAGGTGACAGAAATTCAAATTAGCCTAAACCATCATGTATTGGCCCATGAATCTAAAATGTCCAGTGGCAGAGCTGGCTTTGGTCATAGTCCAGGAGCTCAATGGTCTGTGTCACTTCGTTCTACTTTCTCTTTGTTGGTGTCATTTCAACAGGTTATTCTCTGGCAGAGGCAAAGGTGACACCCAACCACTCCTGCCTCTATCCTACCTAGCAACCCCAAGGCAATACACTCTGTCTTGTCCAATAGCTGCAGCAGATGTCTTGGGTTTGAGCCTCATTGGCCCTTCTGAGTGTCACATGACCACACCCGAACCAATCAGTGAGACTGGCGAGGCTGGGTGAACTGTCTTGAATGGCTAGACCTGGGTCTTAACACCCACCCCTGCAGCCAGCCCCACTGAGAGGGCTGAGGGCGGGTGAGTCAATGGTTCCCCAAAGGGAATTTAGGGTACTGTTTCTGAAAAAATGGACAATGAAGGCTGAGTGGAAACAGCAGTCATGGAAAGCACACAACAGACAAGTGCCTTTCTCTCTGCCTCTGCCACTCAAGGCCGCCTTAAGTTCCTCCAGTGTGCTAATTGTTCCCCCGGGTCTTTTGAACACGTTGTTCTGTGTTTTTTGAATGCTCTTCCATACCTGTGCCTAAGTAACACCTGCTTATCCTTCAGCTGTCAGCCCCAACATCATCTTCTCAGGGAAGCTGTAGCACTTGTATTTTCCAAAAGTGGCCACAATTATTCATTCATGAGTAGATGCTCAATAATATCTTTTGAATGAACGCATGCATGAATAAAAGGTTAAAATGTAAACAAAGTGATCTTACACTCTTATTGAGAAGGGTGGCCTGTGTTCCCTTCCGTTGAATCCAGATGAGCTTGAGGCTACTGTGGAACTGACATGGTGTGACTTTTTTTTTTTTTTTTTTTTTTTTTGAGATGGATTTTCACTCTTGTCACCCAGGCTGGAATGCAATGACGCAATCTCGGCTCACTGCAACCTCCACTTCCCGGGTTCAAGCGATTTTCCTGCCTCAGCCTCCCAAGTAGCTGGGATTACAGGCGCATGCCACTACACCCAGCTAATTTTTGTATTTTTAGTAGAGACGGGGTTTCACCATGTTGGCCAGGCTGGTCTCTAACTCCAGACCTCAGGTGATCCATCCGCCTCAGCCTCCCAAGGTGCTGTGATTATAGGTTTGAGCCACTGCACCTGGCCAATAATATCTTTTGAATGAATGAATGCATTAATGAAAAGTTAAAACGCAAACAAGGTGACTTTGACACTCCTATTGTGAAGGGTGGTCTGTGTTCCCTTCCCTTGAATCCAGACGAGCTTGAGGCTACTGTGGAAGTGACATGGTGTGACTTCTGAAACTGGTCATAAAAGGTGAAAAGCTGGCCGGACATCGTGGCTCACATCTGTAATCTCAGCACTTTGGAAGGATGAGGCAGGAGGATCATTTGAGACTAGGAGTTCAAGACCATGGAGGAGTGGAGTGGACTGGGCTGTGACCTGCCAAGGGCAACAAGCAAGACCCTGTCTCTCTCTCTCTCTCTTTTTTTTTTTTAATAAATATGCCAGCCTGGCCAACATGGCAAACCTAGCCTCTACTAAAAATACAATAATTAGCTGGGCGTGGTGGCGCTCACTTGTAGTCCCAGCTACTTAGGAGGCTGAGGCACAAGAATCACTTGAACCCAGGAAGTGGAGGTGGCAGTGAGCCAAGATCATGCCACTGCACACCAGCCTGGGTGACAGTGAGACTTTGTCTCAATTGAAAAAAAAAAAATATGAAAAGCTCCCACTTGGCTCTGTTAGGATGCTCCATCTTGGAACCCAACCACCATGCCATAAGGAAGCTCAAGCAGCCCGTGGAGGGGGCCCCCATAGAGAAGAAATGGGATCCCTGCCCACAGCCCTGGCTGAGTTCCCACCTGACAGCAAATACCAAATTGCCAGCCATGTGACTGAGCCATCCACAAAGTGGGTCTTCCAGAATCTTGATAACATTGTACTCAGTGACAGAAGCCAGACACAATAGGCCACGTAGTGTATATTCCATTTGAAGTGTCTAGAACAGACAGATCTATAAAGACAGAAGATAGATGAGTGTTTCCAGGGACTAGGGGAAGAGGGAATAGAAGAGACTGCTAATGGTATATATTCTGTTGTTGTTCTTGTCATTGTTGTTTAGAAACAGGGTCTCATTCTGTCACCCAGGCTGGAGTGCAATGGTGCGATCATAGCTCACTGCAGCCTGGAACTCTTGGGCTCAATTGATCCCCCTGTCTCAGCCTCCCGAGTAGCTGGGACCACAGGTGTGCGCCACCACATCCAGATAAGTATAGGATTTCTTTTTAGGGAAAAGGAAATATCGTGGAATTAGATAGCAATAGTTGTACAATCCTGTGAATATACTAAAAAGCATTGAATTGTATGGTTTCACATGGTGAAATTTATGGCATGTAAATTATATCTCAGAGACAACCAAAAAAAAGTGGGTCCTCCAGCCCCTGTCAAGCTGCCCCATGTTGAGCATGGCATGTGGAACACAGACTTGCTGTCCAGGCCACATCCTGCCCAAATTGCAGATTTGGGGGTGAAATCAATGATTGTTGTTGTTTTAAGCCACTAAGTTTTAGGACAGTGTGTTGCATAGAAACTCGTGCTGTCCAACCTGGCTAACTTTGTGAAACCTCATCTCTACTAAAAACACAAAAATTAGCCAGGTGTGGTGGCACACGCCTGTAATCCCAGCTGCTTGGGAGGCCGAGGCATGAGAATCGCTTGAACCTGGGAGGCAGAAGTTGCAGTGAGCCGAGATGGTTCCACTGCACTCCACTAAAAATACAAAAATTAGCCAGGTGTGTTGGCACAAGCCTGTAACCCCAGCTACTTGGGAGGCTGAGGCATGAGAATTGCTTGAACCTGGGAGGTGGAAGTTGCAGTGAGATGAGACGGTGCCACTGCACTCCAACCTGGGCAACAGAGCAAGACGCCATCTCAAAAAAAAAAAAGAAAAAGAAAAAAAGAAAAGAAAAGAAAAAAGAAAAAGAAAGAAAGAAACACATGCTGATATGGAAGCCTTCCATAACCACCAACCTAGGCTAGGTTATGGCCCCTGACTGTCTCAGAATCTCTGCATTTTTCATTATAGTATTTATCTGAGTTTGTAATTAAATATTTGATGAATTGCTGCCCTTTCTCTTGGCCAGTGAGCTCTATGTGAGTAGAGACCGTGTTTACTTTTTTGAGACAAAGTCTTGCTCTGTTGCACAGGCTAGAGTGCAGTGGTGTGATCTCAGCTCACTGCAACCTCCACTTCCTGGGTTCAAGCGATTCTCCTGCCTCAGCCTCCCAAGTTGCTAGGATTACAGGCATGTGCCACCACCATGCCCAGATAATTTTTGTATTGTTACTAGAGACGGGTTTTGTCATGTTGGCCAGGCTGGTCTCGAACTCCTGACCTCAAGCGATCCACCCACCTTTACCGCCGAAAGTGCTGAGATTACAGGCATGAGCCACCTCACCCAGCCAGGATCCTGTTTATTATATTTACTCTAGTATCCTTAGTGCCTGGTACATAGTAGATGCTCAATAATATCTTTCGAATGAATGAATTCATGAATGAAAGGTTAAAATGCAAAGAGATTTAGGGTCCAAGTGGAGGGTTCCTAGGGTCTTCCTAGTTGAGTAGGAGACAGAGTGACCAAAGAGCAGGTGGAAGATGGAGGTGAGGTAGAGGATTTGCGGAGAATGGAGAACATCTGGGAAGGGGAGAGGAAGGATGAGGAATTTGACAAGAGAAAACTGGAGCATAAATATGTTCTTACACACCTAATCCAGGCCATCTGGTGTCGAGGCGACAAGAATGGAGACCATGGAGGAGTGGAGTGGACTGGGCTGTGACCTGCCAAGGGGGGAATGGTGAGGAAATAGCCACTTTTGTGTGTGTGTGTGTGTGTGACAGGGTCTAGCTTTGTCCACCAGGCTGGAGTGTAGTGGCATGATCTGGGCTCACAGCAACCTTAGTCTCCCGGGCTCAAGTGATCCTCCCACCTCAGCCTCCCAAGTAGCTGGAACTGCAGGTGGGTATCACCATGGTCAGCTAATTTTTGTAATTTTTGTACAGATGGGGTTTCGCCATGTTGCCCAGGGTGGTCTTGAACTCCTGAGCTCAGGTGATCTGCCCGCCTCAGCCTCCCAGAGTGCTCAGATTACAGGCATGAGCCACTACGCCCAGCCCACTTATCGAGTGCCTATTATGTCCTAGGCACTGTGCTAAGTTGTTGCATGCATTAGTTCATTTTATTTATTTATTTATTATTTAATTAATTTTATTTTTTAAAAATTTTATTTATTTATTTAATTTAACTAAGTGCTCTTCATGCATTAGTTCATTTTATTTATTTATTTACTTATTTATTTATTTAATTTTTTTGAGACAGAGTTTCACTCCTGTTTCCCAGGCTGGAGTGCAATGGCGCCATCTTGGCTCACTTCAACCTCCGCCTCCCAGGTTCAAGTGATTCTCCTGCCTCAGCCTCCCAAGTAGCTGGGATTACAGGCACCCGCCACCACACCTGGCTAATTTTTGTATTTTTAGTAGAGATTTAGTAGAGTAAAGTGCTGGGATTACAGGCGTGAGCCACCGCGCCAGGCCCATCTTATTATGATATTATTATTATTATTATTATTATTATTATTATTATTATTAGTTTTTGAGATGGAGTCTAGCTCTGTCACTCAGGCTGGAGTGCAGTGGCACAATCTCAGCTCACTGCAACCTCCACCTCCTGGGTTCAAGCGATTCTCTTGCCCCAGACTCCCGAGTAGCTGGGACTACAGGTGCAAGCCACCACACCTGGCTAATTTTTGTATTTTTAGTAGAGACGGGCTTTCGCCATGTTGGCCAGGCTGATCTCGAACTCCTGACCTCAGGTAATCCACCCGCCTCGGCCTCCGAAAGTACTGGGATTACAGATGTGAGCCACCGCACCTGGCCCATTAGCTCATTTTAGCCACGATAATATCCCAGGAGTTAGGTACTATTATGGCCTCCTTTTAATAGCTGTAGAAATGGAGGCCCAAGAACGTGTGTGGTGGCTCACACCTGTAATCCCAGCACTTTGGGAGGCCAAAATGGGCGTAATACTTGAGGTCAGAAGTTTGAGACCAGCCTGGCCAACATGGCAAAACCCCATCTCTACAAAAATACAAACATTAGCTGGCATGGTGGTGCATGCCTGTAATCCCAGCTCGTCAGGGGGGCCAAGGCAGGAGAATTGCTTGAAGCCAGGAGGCAGAGGTTGTAGCAAGCCAAGATTGCGCCACTGCACTCCAGCCTGCACAACAGACGGAGACTCCAACAAAGAAAGAGAGAGAGAGAGAGAGAGAGAGAGAGAAGGGGAGGGGAGGGGAGGGGAGGAGAGGGGAAAGGGAAAGAAAGAATGAAAGAAATGGAAGCTCAGAGAGGTGCTTTTTTTTTTTTTTTTTTTTTTTGCCCAAGGCCACACAGGTACCCAGGATTCACCATCCAGTTCAGTGTAACAACAGAGCTTGCGCAGATAACCAGGATGCTGCAGTGGGGCTCTAGGTGGAAAATCAAAGCTTCAAGGAGATCAGGGACATGTGTGTAAGAATCTTCTCGCAAACCAGGGCAGCAGGGAGGGTCCAGTCATGGAACCAGGTGCCACCTCACCTGGCTGAGTTCAAGATTGGCTCTAACCCAAATCACCTGCAAGACCTTGAGCAACATACTTAACCCTTCTCTGCTTCAATTTTATTTTTGTTACATTGATCAAAAGTCAGAAAGGAAAGGAAGTCCTCATTGATACAGAGGTTAGGAAAATTGGAAGAGATTTTGGAGAGGGTATCAGGTTTATCCTACATTCTTTATCAGCATGAAAAAGTCCTCCTTTGGGCTTTTTGTTTGTTTTGATTTTTGTTTTTTGTTTTTGGGGTTTTTTTTGAGACAGAGTCTTGCTCTGTCGTCCAGGCTGGAGTGCAGTGGTGTGATCTCGGCTCACTGCAGCCTCCGCCTCCCAGGTTCCAGCAATTCTCCTGCCTCAGCCTCCTGAGTAGCTCGGACTACAGGCGCCCACCACCATGCCCAGCTAATTTTTGTATTTTTAGTAGAGACAGGGTTTTGCCATGTTGGCCGTGCTGGTGTTGAACTCCTGACCTCAGGTGATCCACCCACCTCGGCCTCCCAAAGTGCTGGAATTACAGGGTTGAGCTAGCCAAAAAAGTCTTCACTTGGTTAAGCACAGTGGCTCACACCTGTAATCTCAGAACTTTGGGAGGACAAGGTGGGAGGATCACTTGAGGCCAGGAGTTCAATACCACCTTGGGTAACATAACAAGAATTTGTCTCTACAAAATATTAAAAAATAAAAAAAAATTAGCCAGGTGTTGTAATGGTACGCACCTGTAGTCCCAGCCACTCAGGGAGGTTGAGGTGGGAGAATCGCTTGAGCCCAGGAATTCAAGGCTACAGTGAGCTATGATTGTACCACTGCACTCTAGCCAGGGCGACAGAGCAAGACCCTATCTAAAAAAAAAAAAAAAAAAGGCCGGGCACAGTGGCTCACGCCTGTAATCCCAGCAATTTGAGAGGCTGAGGCGGGTGGATCACTTGAGGTCAGGAGTTTGAGACCAGCCTGGCCAACATAGTGAAACCCCATCTCTACTAAAAATACAAAAAATTAGCCGGGCGTGGTGGTGGGTGCCTGTAGTCCCAGCTACTCAGGAGGCTGAGGCAGGAGAATCACTTGTACCCGGAAGGTGGAGGTTGCAGTGAGCCAAGATCACGCCATTGCACTCCAGCGTAGGCAAGAAGAGCGAAACTGCATCTAAAAAAACCAAAACAAAACAAAACAAAAAACTCTTCACGCTAGGATCTGTGAGTTCACAGAACAATTACACATCATAGATTTGTCTAGTCCAGCCCAAGTATCAAATACTCTGTCTACTTACTGGACAGATGAAACTAAAGGACCTTGAACCGGGCATCAGACTGTTTTTGCGTCTGGCCAAGTCTCTTTCCAGCTGTTTGACCTTGGGCAGTTCCCTTTAACTCCCTAAGGCTTGCTTTCTTCATCTTAAAATCAGGATGACAGTAGCATCTACCTCTTGAGATCACGTGAGAAATAAATGCAATGACGCATGAATAATGTTTCATACTGTATCTAGTATAGGGTGAGTACTTCTTCAAAAATAACAGCCACACCTTTTCCTAGGATTGCATGCAATGCAATAATATTGCAAATAAAGGCGGTTGTTGTTTTCTTCCTTAATAAATCAGGAGAGAATTAGGATTCTTTTGGGATTCAGACTAATCTCTTTGAACCAGCAGTTTGGATTTGGTTGCCATAGTGTCCTGGGCCATGAATGGCTGATAGAGAGACATGTCATATTTTCAACAGTTGCCTTGACTTGTCTGATGAGATGCCGTTTCTATTAAGTAGCTGTCTCCAATTTGTAAAATTCCATCTGTGGCTTTCCCCAACCCTTATTTTCCAACAGCCTCTCACTCCAGATCCTAAGAAAAGGCATATCTACCTGGAAGAAAAGAACTAAATCTTGGTAAAAGACATTTACCTTTTCTGAACTCAACCTTTAGTTTTTGTTCAACTGAGTTCCCCTGACAAAATGCATTTCAGCAAGATTTACTTCCAGAATTTCTTTATCTCTAATGCTTTTAGTAAAGAAGGCATTGAATGAATTTATTGCTCATCCCTCTGAAAGTGACCTGAGAATGTCAATGTACCTGTAGGATTTATTTTACTTCCTCTAAAGGACTGACAGTAATATCCAGCACCTTCCCCCCACTAAAAACATTCCACTTTGAGGCCAGGTGCAGTGGCTCATGCCTGTAAGCCCAGCAATTTGGGATGCCAAGGCGGGAGGATCGCTTGAGCTCAGGAGTTTGAGACCAGTCTGGGCAACATAGTGAGACCCCATCTTGATTAAAGAAAAAAAGTTCACTTTGAAACCTCTGGGCAGAGTGCAGTGGTTCACACCTACAATCCCAACAATTTGGTAGGCTGAGGCAGGAGGATCGCTTGAGGTCAGGAGCTTGAGACCAGCCTGGACAACATAGTGAGACCTTGTCTCTACAAAAAAAAAAAAAAAAAAAAAAAATTTTAATGAAACTTCTCACGTGACAATTTTAATCATGAGAACTATGTACATGCCACAGTCTGGAACTTGGGATCTCAAATGGTCATGGATTCCGTGTTCTCAGTCCCCATACAGAAGGGAGGAGGGCTGGCCTTTGGACTCCCCCAAATCTGGGTTTGAATCCCAGCTCCACCACTTTAAGTCTGGTTGCTCTGGGCCAGTTATTTAATGTTCTCTAAACATCAGTTTCGTCTGTGAGATGAGCTACCTTGCAGGACTTCATTCGGTCCTTCTACAAATATTTGTTCTACCGGAGCAGAGCAGGATAACAAGGCATCTGTCCTGTAAAGCAGTCCATTGGGCACCCAATGTGAAACAGAGCCTCAGCCCCACATAGGCTGCAATGCCACAGTGTGGTCCAGGGTTAGGGAATTCTGGGGAGCTCTGAGGGTGCCTACATTCCTGCTGTGCTCCTGGCACACATTGAGGAGAACGCCCTCTGCTCTGAACTTACTGAGTGATGAGTCACCCTTGAGCACCTGAGGAAGTGGAGCAAGTAGACCACAGGCAGCCTGGACCTGCCCCTGGTTTCTAGGATTGAGTCACAGCCTCCCTGGAAGACTTGAAAGAGAGATCAATTCGATCAAGGCTCCAGGGCTGGATCAAAGCCTAGGAAGTGGGGGAAAGGGAGGAGGAAGTTGGGCTTCTCCACGGTCCCAGCAAAGGCCTCAGCCTACAAATATTCTACAGATATTTGAAGAAGGACTGAATGAAGTCCCGCGAGGTAGCTTATCTCACGGATGTAACTGACATTTAGAGAACGTTAAGTAACTGATCCAGAGCAACCAGACTTGCAGTGGTGGAGCTGGGATTCGAACCCAGATTTGGGGGAGTCCAAAGGCCAGCCCTCCTCCCTTCTGTATGGGGACTGAGAACAAGGAATCCAAGATTATTTGAGATCCCAAGTTCCAGACTGTGGCATATACATAGTTCTCATGTTTAAAATTGTCATGGGGAAGCCGGGCGCTGTGGCTCATGGCTGTAATCCCAGCACTTTGGGAGGCAGAGATGAGCGGATCACTTGAAGTCAGGAGTTCAAGACCAGCCTGGCCAACATGGCGAGACCCCATCTCTACTAAAATATATAAAAATTAGCCAGGTGTGGTGGGCACCTGTAATCTCAGCTACTTGAGAGGCTGAGATGAGAATCACTTGAACCTGGGAGGCGGAAGTGGCAGTGAGCTGAGATCGCACCATTGCACTCCAGCCTGGGTGACAGAGTGAGACTCCGTCTCAAAAAAAAAATTGTCATGTGGGAAGTTTCATTTTTTAAAAAAATGTTTTCATAGAAACAAGGCCCTACTATGATGCTCAGGCTGGTCTCAACCTTGTGGCCTACAAAGGCCTCAGCTTACTCCCTCAGCAAGCTCTGCCAGTGAGGCGGTCCTACAGAATTGTCCCAAACTGGGGTGAGAGGGCTGGAACTTGATACCCCAGCATGGACCAGGCATCGGAAGCCGCCTCCCCTCGAGCCAGGGGTATGACCTCGGACCTGGGAGAAGGGCATTGGTGATGCACCTCTGTTGGAAGCTTCCTTTATCTCTATGCCCCTCCCTCTTCTCAGACCTTTCACCCCCCAAGATACATTTGAGAAGAAGAATCGAATTAGCCAGGAAAGCTTTAGGAAGAAATGACATTTAAACAGACCTGGAGACCAGGCACGGTGGCTCATGCCTGTAATCCCAGCACTTTGGGAGGCTGAGGCAAGTGGATCGCTTGAGCCCAGGAGTTTGAGACCAGCCTGGCCAACATGGTGAAACCGCATCTCTACTAAAAATACGAAAAATTAGCCAGGTGCAGTGGCGCACACCTGTAGTCCCAGCTACTCGGGAGGCTGAGGCAGGAGAATGGCGTGAACCTGGGAGGCGGGGCTTGCGGTGAGCCGAGATCGCACCACTGCACTCCAGCCTGGGCAACAGAACGAGACTCCGTCTCAACAACAACAACAACGACAACAAAAAGGTAGACTGAGACCTGGAGAATGAGCAGAAATTAACCAGAACAGGAGGAAGTTTCCAGGCTGGGGGATGGGCACATGCAAAGGCCCAGTAGAGAGGGGGTTGGGGGAGAGAAAAGAAGAGAGGAGGGCGAGGGAGAAGAAAGAGGAGGAGGGGGAGGAGATAGAAGGGGAGGAGGTTGAGGAGGAGGAGGAGGGCTGGGAGGAGGAAGGAGGAGGAGGAAGAAGATGAAAGAGGAGGAGGGGGATTGGGGAGCAGAAGAAGAGAAAGGAGGAGAAGGAAGAGAGAGAGTTTGGGGGAGAGAAGGAGGGCAGGGGGAGAACAGAGAAGTGTCTGCAGTGAAACTGAAACAACCGAAAACGGCTGAGCAACGTTGGGTGAGTGGAGCAGAACTGGGGTCAAGTTGCACTGACTCAGCCATTTACTCAGAAGCAACTTCAACCCTCCAAACCTCAGTTTCCATCTGTAAAACAGGCATGATCACATCTGTCTCTCAGCTGTCTTCAGGATGCCATGAAACGACACACACACAATAAGGGCACCATCAATGTGAGTTGCTCTTTTTTATTATTATTGGCTATAGCTGAAAAAAAAAATAATGGTTAATCTGTTAATAATATACCTGTGGCCTAGAAAAAGTATGAAAAAGAATTCAAGAGTGGACAAATGTTTTCTTCAAGTGCCGGGTAAAATATTTTAAGTGAGTTCTGTTGCAGCTTCTCAATTCCTCTGTTGCCGTGTAAAAGCGCCCATAGACAATGCCTTAAGAAACAGGCAGGCGGCCAGATGCGGTGGCTCACGCCTGTAATTAATCCCAGCACTTTGGGAGGCTGAGGTGGGCAGAATGCTTGAATCTAGGAGTTCAAGACCAGTCTGAGCAACATGGCGAAACCCTATCTCTACAAAAAATACAAAAAATTAGCTGGGCATGGTGGCATGCACAAGTAGTCCCAGCTACTTGGGAGGATGAGATGGGAGGATTGCCTGAGCCAGGGGAGGTTGAAGCTGCAGTGACCCCTTATCATGCCACTGCACTCCAGCCTGGGTGAGAGTGAGAACCTCTCTCAAAAATAAAAAAAAAAAAAGTGGGGGGCATGGCTGTGTGCTAATAAGATTACAGGCTGGGCATAGTGCCTCATGCCTGTAATCCCAGCACTTTGGGAGGCTGAGGTGGGAGAATTTGTTTGAGACCAGGAGTTTAAGACTAGCCTGGGCAACATAGCGAGACTCTGCTTCTACAGAAAATAAAAGAAGTAGCCAGGTGTGATGACACACACCTGTAGTCCCAGCTACTCAGGAGGCTGAGGTGGGAGGATCCCTTAGACTGGGATGTTGAGGCTGCAGTGAGCTGTGACTGCACCACTGCAGCCCAACTTGGGTGACAGAGTTAACCCCTGTCTGGAAAAATAAAAAAAAAGAAAAACAAAAGATTTTACATTTCTACAAACATTTTATATTTCTATGGAAAAAAAAAAGAGAGAGAGAAAAAAATGTGCACCTCTCGCATGTCACACATGGATTACCACTCACTCCCACTATTTGTTGGTCCAGCCACATTTCCACAATTGTGTGGGTGCCTGAAGGGTCAAAAGGACTCCTATAGGCAGCCTATGGGGCATGGCGCTAGACGGGCCCTCAACAACGAGCAAGAGATACTCAAGACAGTGAAGAGGAGGGGCTATTGGGCTGTACTTGCCCACAGCTGGTTGTGCACAGTAATGCATGTACATAGTTAAAAGTTAAAATTAGGCTGGGCACGGTGGCTCACACCTGTAATCCCAGCACTTTGGGAGGCCGAGACAGGAGGATCACTTGATGTCAGGAGTTCGAAACCAGCCTGGCCAACATGGTGAAACCCTGTCTCTACTAAAAATACAAAAATTAGCCAGGCATGATGGTGTGCACCTGTAATCCCAGCTGCTCGGGAGGCTGAGGCACTAGAATTGCTTGAACCTGGGAGGCGGAGGTTGCAGTGAGCCCAGATCGTGCCACTGCACTCCAGCCTGGGCAATAGAGCAAGACTCAGTCTCAAATAAATAAATTAATTAATAAATTAAAATAAGTCTATGGACAAAAGTAAGGCTGGGTGTGGTGTTTTATGCCTGCAACCCCAGGCCTTTGGGAGTTCGAGGCAGGAGGATTGCTTGAGCCCAAGAATTTGAGATCAGCTTGAGCAACATGGTGAGACCCCATCTCTACAAAAAATAAAAATAGCTGGGCGTGGCGGCACGTGCCTGTGGTCCCAGCTACTCGGGAGGCTGAAGGATCAGTTGAGCCTGGAGGTCGAGGCTGTAGTGAGCTATGATGGTGCTATTGCATTCCAGCCTGGGCAACAGAGACTGTCTCAAAAAGAAAAAAAAAAGTAAGTCTCCATCGAACACTGACCCTCAATCACCGAGTCCTCACCAGAGAACATTTTTTATTTTTTTGAAACACAGTTTCACTATGTTGCCCAGACTGGAGTGCAGTGGTGTGATCACGACTCACTGCAACCTGGACCTCCCAGGCTCTGCAGGTCTTCTCACCTTAGCCTCTGGAGTAGCTGGGACTACATGTTCACTCCTACACGCCTGTCTAATTTTTGTAATTTTTTTTTTTTTTGTAGAGATGGGGTTTCACCATGTTGCCCAGGCCGGTCTCAAACTTCTAGATTCAAGCGTTCATCCCGCTTTGGCCTCATAAACTGTGGGGATTATAGGCATAAGCCACTGTGCCTGGCTACAAGTTCTTTTTTTTGTGTGTGTGAGGTGGACTTTAGCTCTTGTTGCCCAGGCTGGAGTGCAGTGAAACGATCTCGG
Organism: Homo sapiens; assembly: GCF_000001405.40. NCBI lineage: Eukaryota > Metazoa > Chordata > Mammalia > Primates > Hominidae > Homo > Homo sapiens. The sequence goes on along the minus strand of NT_187607.1, from coordinate 1,553,558 downwards.
CTCACTGCAACCTCTGCTGCCCGGGTTCAAGTGATTCTCCTGCCTCAGCCTCCTGGGTAGCTGGGATTACAGGCACCCGCCACCACACCTGGCTAATTTTCCTGGGTAGCTGGGATTATAGGCATGCTCCATCATGCCTGGCTAATTTTTATATTTTTAGTAGAGACGGGGTTTCACCATGTTGCTCAGGCTGATCTCAAACTCCTGACCTCAAATGATCCATGCGCCTTGGCCCCCCAAAGTGCTGGGATTACAGACGTGAGCCACCGCGCCCGGCCTACAAGTTTTTACTTCACTTGGGCAAACACTTAGTTTTGGGATTACTGGGCCAAGTGTACCTATGACTTAATAAGCAATTGCCAAACTGCTTTCCAAAGTGACTATACCACTTTGTCTTCCCACCAGTAGTACATGTGTGTTTGCCAACAGTATTGTCAGTAGTCTTTATTTTAGCCTTTCTGAAAGGTGTGCATAGTTTTTTCTACTATCAACAGTGAATGAATATTCTTATACTTATATCCTTTGTAAGTAGGTGTGATTATATCTGTAAGATACATTCTTAGAAGTAGATTTGATGAGTCAAAGGGTGTGAAAATCTGATGAGATATTGACAAACTGCCTTCTGGATGGTGGTGTTGATTGCCTACCTACCAACTATGTATGGCAGTGCCTGTTTCGACATATCCCCAGCAATTCAGTGTTACTCAATGTCAGTGCATGTTTTTAATGTATGTATAAAGGTATTTATTTTTTCAGAGATGGGGTCTTGCTCTGCTGCCCAGGCTGGAGTCCACTGGTACAGTCATAGCTCACTACAGCCTTGAACTCCTGGACTCAAGCAATCCACCTGCCTCAGCCTCCTGAGCAGCTAGGAATACAGGCATGTGCCACCATGCCCAGCTACTTTTTTTTTTTTTTAAAGACATGGGTTCTTGATTTGTTGGCTTGGCTGGTCTCAAACTCCTGGCTTCAACTGATCCTCTCGCTTCAGCCTCTCAAAGTGCTGGGATTACAGGCATGAACTGCTGTGCCTGGTCATTAGTACATGTTTTTTGTTTGTTTGTGAGACAGAGTCTTTCTCTGTCGCCCAGGTTGGAGTGCAGTGGCGCATTCTCAGCTCACTGAAACCTCTGCCTCCCGGGTTCAAGTGATTCTCATGCCACAGCCTCCCAAGTAGCTGGGATTACAGGTGTGTGCCACCACACCCAAATAATTTTTTGTATTTTTAGTAGAGACAGGGTTTCACTATGTTGACCAAGCTCGTCTTGAACTCCTCCTGGCCTCAAGCAATCCGCCTGTCTCAGCCTCCCAAAGTGCTGGGATGACAGCCATGAGCCACCACACCTGGCCAGTATGTTTTTAAATACAATTTTACTTGAGACAATTGCATGTAAGTATCCATCTCATAGGGTTGTTGGTGAATACTTAATGTAAAGCTTTTAGAGCAGTCCTTGCCATACAGAGAGTATAATGAATGTTAGCTACTGTATGATTACCACTGCCAATCGGTCAATCACATTATTATTTGCCTCTCTCTCCGAGTTCCTCATCAACATATTCAGGAGTTTTTTGGATATAAACTTTCTCAAACCGTGTTTTTTCTCTGCTCACACATCAACACACCAATAATCAACACAGAATACTTCTGTGGACCCCAGAAATGTGTGGGGAAATCCCCCCACCAGCAAGCATACAATCTTTTTTTTTAGGTTTAGCCTCACTCTGTCACCCATAGCATGATCTCTGCTCACTGCAACCTCTGCTTCCCAGGTTCAAGCGATTCTCCTGGCTCAGCCTCTTGAGTAGCTGGGATTACAGGTGCATGCCACCACACCCAGCTATTTTTTGTATTTTTAGTGGAGACAAGGTTTCACCATGTCACCAGGCTAGTGTGGAACTCTTGACCTCAAGTGATCCACCCACCTCTGCCTCCCAAAATGCTGGGATTACAGACTTCAGCCATTGCGCCTGGCCAGCAAACAATCAGTTCTGCAGCTGACGCCAGCTGGGTGTCCTTCAGTTTAAATCTGACATCTTCGACCTGAAAATAGTGTCATTTCCCACAGGGTGATAGCTCAGTCCCCAAGACTGCCTTCCTTCAGACACCAGTCGCAAGTTTGGGCCTCTGAAACTTCTGATGGACCGCCTTCAAGTTGGAGCTTCCACAACCCCCATTTTGGGTTCCATTAATTTGCTGGAGTGGCTCAAAGAATTCAGGGAAACACTTAATTTTGTTTATACAGATGAAGTGACACATAGGGCAAAGTATAGGGGAAGGGGTGTGGAGCTTCCATGCTTTCCCTGAATGCAACACCCTTCAACAACCTCCACGTGTTCTGCTATCCAGAAGTTCTCCCAACCCAGTTCTCTTGGGTTTTTATGGGACACTTTATTACATAGGTGTGATTGAACACCGTGTAGAAATGTGATTGGACAGGCCAGACGTGGTGGCTCACGCCTGTAATCCCAGCACTTTGGGAGGCTGAGGTGGGCGGATCACCTGAGGTCGGGAGTTCGACACCAGCCTGACTAACATGGAGAAACCCCATCTCTACTAAAAATACAAAATTAGCCAGGTGTGGTTGTACATGCCTGTAATCCCAGCTACTTGGGAGGCTGAGGCAGGAGGATTGCTTGAGCCCGGGAAGCAGAGGTTGAGGTGAACCGAGATCGTGCCATTGCACTCCAACCTGGGCAACAAGAGCGGAACTCTGTCTGGAAAAAAAAAAAATTAGCCAGGCATGGTGGTGCACACCTGTAATCCCAGCTACTTGGGTGGTTGAGACAGGAGAATCGCTTGAACCCAGGAGGGAGAGGTTGCAGTGAACGGAGACTGTACCACTGCACTCCAGCCTGGGCGACAGAGCAAGACTCCGTCTCAAAAAAAAAAAAAAAAAAGAAAGAAATCTGATTGGACAGAAAGTGCCTGATCTAAACCCAGCAAAGCCTGTCTGCTCAGACTTTTCTTGGGCTCTCTGTGCAGCATTTCTTCCTTGAGGGTAGCAGGCAGAACCCTTTCTGGAATGAGGGTCTTTTGACCCACAGTCAGATTAGAGTCCTGCTTGGGGCAGGTCAGAGGTGGACAGGAGAAGATCAGAGAGGGAGATTCTGTTTCCTGAGGCCTAAAGTGCCTCAACATTATAATGAGGTGAATGGGAGTTAGATGCCAGGAATCGTGGAGATGAAAATCAATACCTATATCATAACACCACAGGAGTGCTTTTTCTGAGGGACTTAAAAATACCACCTATGGAATTTAGTTAATCCCCAAAAATCTCTTGAAATGCTGGCCAGGTATTCAGTCACTGTGGTTTTACAGAGTAGAGAAACAAGATAGGACCTTTTCAAGGTTACAGAACAGATATGTGTCCCATAATCAAAAATTAATCCAGTCAAAAATTAATCCAGTTTGGAATAGGAAGAGATTCCTCTAGGTTACAATCACTTTCAAACTTTTCTGATGGCTGATCACTTTAAGAAATACAACAGGTACCAGAACACACATGTGTACCTGAAAGGAAAGTTCTAGAAAACCATACTTCTATGTTTTCTATTTGTTACATTCCATTTCACTGAAAATGTACTCATGGGGATCTACTAATAAATAGATTTCAAAACCTACTATTTGGTTAACCAGCAGTTTAAAGAGCATTATCCTAGACTCTAGGTCAAGATACTCTGCCTGGCCCCCCTTTTTTTTTAAGTCTCAAGAAAAAGTAAGAGAGAAAGAGGAAAGAGAGAGAGAAAGAAAGAAAGAAAAGAAAGAAAGAAAGAAAGAGAAAGAGAGAAAGAGGGAGGGAGGGAGGGAAGGAAGGAAGGAAAGGGAAAGGGCGGGGAGGAAGGAAGGAAGGAGAGAGAGAGGAGGGAGGAAAGGAAGGAAGGAAGGAAGGAAGGAAGGAAGGAAGGAAGGGAAAGAAAAGGCATCTCCCCTTGTCACCAGGCTAGAAATGCAGTGGTATGGTCATGGCTCACTGTAGCCTCCACCTCCTAGGCTCAAGCAATCCTCCTGCCTCAGCCTCCCGAGTAGCTCGGACTACAGGGACACATGCCAGGCTAATTTTTTGTTTTGTTTGCTCGGTTTTTTTGTTTGTTTGTTCGTTTTGGTTTTTTTTGACACGGAGTTTCACTCTTGTCGCCCAGGCTGGAGCACAGCGGCGTGATCTCGGCTCACTGCAACCTCCACCTCCCAGGTTCAAACGATTCTCCTGCCTCAGCCTCCCGAGTAGCTGGGATTACAGATGCCTGCCACCATGCCCAGCTAATTTTTGTATTTTTGGTAGAAATGGGGTTTCACCATGTCGGCCAGGCTGGTCTCAAACTCCTGACCTCAGGTGATCTGCCCTCCTCGGCCTCCCAAAGTGCTGGGATTACAAGCGTGAGCCACCGTGCCTGGCTGTTTGCTCTTTTGTTTTGTTTTGTTTTGTTTTGAGTCGGAGTCTTACTCTGTTCCCCAGGCTGGAGTGCAACCTCTGCACCCCTGGCTCACTGCAACCTCTGCCTCCTGGGTTCAAGCAATTTTCCTGCCTCAGCCTCCCGAATAGCTGGGATTACAGGCCTCTGCCACCACGCCCGGCTAATTTTTGTATTTTTAGTAGAGATGGGGTTTCACTGTGTTGGCCAGGCTGGTCTCGAATTCCTGACCTTGTGATCTGCCTGCCTCAGGCCTCCCAAAGTGCTGGGATTACAAGCGTGAACCACCGCACCCGGCCTTGTTTGCTCGTTTTTAAAGACAGGTTCTCCCTATGCTGCCCAGGCTGTTCCCCCTCCCTTTAAAAAAAATAGTTAACAATTATTGATTGTATATTTCAAAATAGCTAGAATACTTGTAATGCTTCCAACACAAAGAATGTTTGAGGTGATGTTTATCCCAATTGCCTTGACTTGATAATTACACATTGTATATGTGTATCAAAATATCACGTCCCTCCCCATAATTGTGATATATCAATTTTTCTTTCTCTCTTTTTCTTTTCTTTTTTTTTTTTTTTTTTTTTTTTTTTTGAGAAAGGGACTCACTCTGTCGCCCAGAGTGGAGTGCAGTGGTACAATCAGCCGTCCAGGCTCAAGTGATCCTCTCTCCTCAGCCTCTCGAGTAGCTGGCATGCACCATCATATCTGGCTAATTTTTTTTTTTTTTTGTAGAAATGCGTCTCATGTTGCCCAGCTTGGTCTAGAACTCCTGAGCTCAAGCAATCCTCTATCCTCGGCCTCTGGAGTAACTGGGACTACAGGCATGCACCACCATGCCCGGCTAATTTTTTGTATTTATTTTGGAGAGATGGGGTCTTGCATTGCCCAGGCTGATCTCAAACTCCCGAGCTTAAGCAATCCTCCCTCCTCGTCCTCCCAAAGTGCTGGGATTACAGGGATGAGCCACCGCACCTGGCCAATGTATCAGTTTTAAAAACAATAGGCATGGAACCAAAAGTATGCTGGAAGTTCCTCGGAAAGAGGTTTCCTTGCTCTTAGGTGGTTTTTTTTTTTTTTTTTTTTTGAGGCGGTGTCTCGCTCTGTCGTCCAGGTTGGAGTGCAGTAGCGCGATCTCATCTCACTGCAACCTCTGCCTCCCAGGTTCAAGCGATTCTTGTGCCTCAGCCTCCCAAGTAGCTGGGATTACAGGCTCCTGCTACCACGCCCGGCTAATTTTTGTACTTTTTTTTTAGTACAGAGGGGGTTTCACCAGGCTGGCCAGGCTGTTCTCGAACTCCTTACCTCAGTCTCCCAAAGTGCTGGGATTCCAGGCGTAAACCACCGTGCCCTGGCAGCTCTTAGGTGTACTTTTTTTTTTTTTTTTTTGAGACGGAGTCTCACTCTGTCGCCCAGGCTGGAGTGCAGTGGTGCCATCTCGGCTCACTGCAAGCTCCACCTCCCGGGTTCACGCCATTCTCCTGCCTCAGCCTCCCGAGTAGCTGGGAGTACAGGCGCCCGCCAGCACGCCCGGCTAATTTTTTGTATTTTTAGTAGAGACAGGGTTTCACCGTGTTAGCCAGGATGGTCTCGATCTCCTGACCTCGGGATCCGCCCGCCTCGGCCTCCCAAAGTGCTGGGATTACAGGCGTGAGCCACCGCGCCCGGCCACTCTTAGGTGTACGTCTAATCGATGTTTATTATTTAGCCAAGTGTTTGGATCTCACCGGCATTACAACTGGAATCATGCAACCTCACACTCAGTTTAGGGTACATTATTCCCCTGTTCCTTTTCCTTTACTTCCATGGGATGTTGGAGCTTATTCCTTCATTAGTTAGTTCCATAAAAAGCTCCTGGACTCCTTACATGCACTGTGTAAGTGCGAGTGGAAGAGGACAGGCTGGTGACCTTGGTTAAGTCTCTTCAGCGATGGAGGACTCTGTTTCCTTCATTGTAAAAACGGCGTGATCATAAGGAAATAATGCGCTAAGGCGTCACAGTAAGTGCTTAATACAGTGGTTCTCGAGGTGTGATCTCCAGACCGACCAGCAGTACCAGTACCACCTGGGAACTCGATAGAAATGCAAATCCTAGGGCCTCACCCCAGATTTACAGAATCAGAAACTCTATGGGGAGGACTAGCAAACAATCCGTTTAAACAAGTCTTGGAGGTGATGAGGATTCATGCTCAAGTTTGAGAACCGCAGGGTTAATAGGTGGTAACTACTAGCAGTTGGTACTTGAGGCTGCAGAGACAATGAAAAACTCAGCTGGCTAAAGTTAAGCACTAAGGTGCCAGCAGCACCCCACAGGGCTCTCCACTGCCTCAGTCCCCGCCCTCCCTGCCGTCTCACTCAACTGGGCCTTCCGAGAGCGCTCGCTGATTGGTGGAGTCTCTGGTCGACATTCACTACCCACTCAACCGCAGAGCTCATAAACTGAGAGGGGCGGAAGTGGGCGGGGCGAGAGCTGTGCGCCTATTGGCTACAGACCACGCCGCAGGGTGAGTGGGGCGGAGCTGCGCGTGCGCAGGGCCGCGGTGCGGCCCTGGCGGCCGTTGAAAAATGGCGACTGTGGCAGAGTTGAAGGCTGGTGAGTGCGAGCAGGGAGGCCTCCACATGGGAAGCGTCGGGCCTTCATCTTGTGGAAAGGATGGGATGGGAGGAGAGCGCGCGGAACACATGGGTTGGCTTTTACAGGCGTCATTCTTCGGTGTGAGGGCCTGCGGGGAGCGTCTGGCTGCTGTCTTGGCCCGTGCGCGGGGAGCTCTTATGGGGAAGAGGTTGCCCACTGGCGAGTTTTAAGCCAGTTTGGAGCTAAAGGAGGAGTTGCGTAATCTTCAGGCATCTAAGAGGCCTACAGGCCTGCATCTTGGGCCCCTGGCTCATCTTCTTGGACCCTGCCGGGGGCTGGAGGACTTGGACCAGGCTTGGCACTCAGGGCTGATGACTACAATTCCCACAACCCCTATTGGGTTAGGCACTGCCCTAAACAATTTGCTTGGTTGTCTCGTTGGGTCCTTACAACAACCTGTTAAGTAGCCCTCCCCTCCTTGCTTTTTTTTTTTTTTTTTAAAGAGAGGGTCTCTCTGTCGCCCAGGCTGGAGTGCAGTAGCGCGATCACAGCTCACTGCAGCTTCGAACTCCGGGACTCCAGCTATCCTCCCACCTCAGCTTCCAGAGCAGGTGGGAATACAGGGGCTCTTCACTACGCCCGGCTAATTTTTGTATTTTTTGTAGACACGGGGTCTTACTGTCGAACTCCTGGTCTCAAGCTATCCTCCTGCCTTGGCCCCCTCAAAGTGCTGGGATTACAGGTGTGAGCGCCTGGCCCCTTTTTCATCAGAAGAAACTAGAGGCAAAAAGTTTGCTGGCCTGGCCATTCTCCTGTCTTTTCAGGAAAAGATACTCTAAGCTAGTTATGTTTGAGTCATTAATGACATTTGTACGCTGTTTACTTTGAAGCAAATGTCCAGACAAGTAATAGTAATAATAGTTATCATTGAGCCTCATGTGTCAGGCACTACTCAACTCAGCCTGTGTGTTACCTGATTGTAACAACCCTATGCCCATTTCATAGACTGGGAAACGAGGTACTGAGAAGTGAAATAGCTCAAAGTGATTTCACTGGAAAGAGACACAGCATGGGAACCTAGTTGTGACGCACTGGAGCGCCAGGTCTTAATCACTGAGCAAGATTGCTGTCCAAAAAATAAAACCAGTTCCACTTTGCAGGGAACCCAGGGTTTAAACTAGTAATTCTTAGATATTTTAGGGAGGAGACGTGTATAAAAGTGTGTATTTGGGGACAGGGCTGGTGAACAATCATAAAACAGAACAGGCATGCATCTGTCCACAAGAACAGACTTCACGAGTCTACAGATGCTGTTCCCAGGGAAATACACATCACATGTAATATTGCATACATTTTCAGAGGATTTAAAGGTACACTTGGAATGGGCCAAGCACAGTGGCTCATGCCTGTAATCCTAACACTTTGGGAGGATCGCTTGAGCCCAGAAGTTTAAGACCAGCCTGGCCAACATGGTGAGACCCCATCTTTATTTAAAAAATAAAAATTAAAAAAAAGAGCCGGGCATAGTGGCCTGTGGTAGTTCCAGCTACCCCACAGGCTGAAACAGGAAGATAGCTTGAGCCCAGGAGATAGAGGTGACAATGAGCTACAGTGGTGCCACTGCACTCCAGCCTGGGCAACAAAATGAGACCTTGTCTCAAAAAAAAAAACAAATTAAAAAATAAAATAAAAAAGGTACTCTTGAAATATAAGCGAGGTTAAGACCTTTCCGAAGAAGTTTTGATGGCGCAGTGTTCTAAGCATAATAGAGGGAAAGGTAAAATGCTATGGACCTCCAAAAGAAACCCGGTGAAAACTTGTTTGCCAGCCAGTTACCTTACATTTTATGGGCATTTACCTTTTTTAAGCACGATCACGTTTTTCCTTCTTACTTGGTTCTATCTCTGAGAGGTAGAGCTCATTATTTTAGAGAAGGCAACTGAGGCATGGGTTGGTAATCCACCACTGAGGTGCTGATGAGACATGCTAGCTTTCCTCATTCCACTGTCACTAATTCTCGTTTCTCTGTCCAGTTTGAGGCTGTCCTGTGTGCAATACAGAGTAATTGGGACAGGATCCTTGCCAGTGACAAAATCTCTCCATCCAATTTCCAAAGATGGAATTAGAGAATAGGGGTTCAGTTATGATTCTAAGAGTACAATAAGGCTGTACCTTCCTTTTATGGACCTGTTACAAACTCTGATCTGGTGATAACTGTACTTAACCTATCTGCAAGAAGGTTGAAGGGATGCTTTAAAAATGAGGGGAAAGAAAGGTCAAAAGTCAGTGAAGATTCTATCTCTTTAGTCATATGATCCAGGGTTATTGTTGACGTTATTTATTGAAGCTTAGAAAGATCTTATGTCCATACTGACTTGGATAAGCTCCTGGGCTCTCTTTATGGATTTTTGTTATTGTGATGTACTTACTTGGTGCCTTTGGCAGGGTGCAGAACAGTGTTAAACTACATTGATTTCCCAGTAGTGTACAGCAATGTATTATAATCCTTCTAGGTGACACCTACTGAGCTCTTGCTCTGTTCTTGACTCTGTGGATGAGATGTGTTCATTCTCTGAAGTTGTCATTTAGCCAGTAGGAACTGTTTGAAAATAAAAGTTGCAGATCACTACAAGGGATGGTGCCAATTCAGTCCTAAGATCCCCATTATCTATACTAAGTATGTACAGCCAAATCCCATGATCATAACTGCTTTGTCATGGTGACTCTGGCTAATCAGTAAGTTAGATTTCCATTCTGCATACACATCCCTGACTCCTTAAGATGGCATTGATACAGTCACGTGGTAGATTTCTAACTAGGCTTAAAATTTCAGAATCCTACTGTTCTAAGGAATTAACTCATAGTTGTCTTTAAAACAACGAGGCCAGTGGGCGCAGTGGCTCATGCCTGTAATCCCAGTACTTTGGGAGGCTGAGGCGGGTGGATCACGAGGTCAGGAGATGGAGACCATCCTGGCCAACATAGTGAAACCCTGTCTCTACTAAAAATACAAAAATTAGCCAGTCGTGGTATCGCACACCTGTAATCCCAGCTATTTGGGAGGCTGAGGCAGGAGAATTGCTTGAACCAGGGAGCCTGGAGATTGCAGTGAGCCGAGATCGTGCCACTGCACTCCAACCTGGCGACAGAGCGAGATTGTTTCAAAATAACAACAATGAAAAACCCAACACCTTTTCACTCCCTAAAGCGTTGTGGATTATCAAAGGTTTGTGTTTTTTTTTTTGGTTGGTTGGTTGGTTGGTTGTTTTAAACAGAGTCTCACTCTTTCGCCCAGGCTAGAGTGCAGTGGCACCACCTCAGCTCACTGCACCCTCCACCTCCCAGGTTCAAGTAATTCTTGTGCCTCAGCCTCCCAAGTTGCTGGGACTACAGGTGCGTGCCACCACACCCGGCTAATTTTTTGTATTTTTTTAGTAGAGAGGGGGATTTCACCTTGTTAGCCAAGATGGTCTCAATTTGCTGATCTCGTGATCCGCCCGCCTGAGCCTCCCAAAGTGCTGGGTTACAGGCATCAGCCACCATGCCCTGCCATCAAGGTTTTTACACAGTAACCCAACAGACTTCTTTTATGGAATGTAGTTGTTTTCTTTAATCATCTTTCTAGACCAGAGGTTGTTAGTGACAAGCAGAACCTGTGTGCAGTGGCAGACACTCTTGAAAATATATGAGAGACTGGGGCTTAAGTTCAGGTCTCAGTAAGCAACTATAATCCTATCCCCCGCCTTTTCCCCTCACTAAAGAATTATGTATTGGCCAGGCACGGTGGCTGACACCTGTAATCCCAACACTTTGGGAGGCTGAGGTGGGTGGATCACGAGGTCAGGAGATTGAGACCATCCTGGCCAACACAGTGAAACCCCGTCTCTACTAAAAATACAAAAAAGAAATAGTTGGGCGTGGTGGCACGTGCCTGTAGTCCCAACTACCCTGGAGGCTGAGGCAGGAGAATTGCTTGAACCTGGGAGGCAGAGGTTGCAGTGAGCTGAGATCGTGCCACTGCACTCCAGCCTGGGTGAAAGAGCGAGACTGTGTCTCAAAAAAAATAATAAATAAAATAAAAAAGAATATGTATTAGACTACAGCCCCTGACAGTGCTGATGATGTAGGAATAAACTTGAATTTGCTCAAATATATTAAGACTAAATCACTGCAACATGAGAACTATATGTTTTAGTATAAACATGGCTGGTGGTAGTGTAATTGTTTAATAATTTGTCACAATGTTTAGATTAAGAGCTGCTTGAGAGCTGTTTTTGTACCATTTACCTTTTCAACATTTCTTTTCAAAGTATGCCTAAGAATGACAAATTTACTCTGTAACTGAAGCCTTAATATTTTATATCGAACAGTTTTAAAGGACACCTTGGAAAAAAAGGGGGTATTAGGGCATTTAAAAGCAAGGATCCGAGCTGAAGTTTTCAATGCCCTAGATGATGACCGTGAACCCCGACCATCATTGTCTCATGAAAACCTTCTAATTAATGAATTAATTCGAGAGTATTTAGAATTCAACAAATATAAGTATACAGCATCTGTCCTCATAGCAGGTAAGTGGTTATTATTTATCACATAAAATCTGTTTCTCCCCTTTCCCCAATTCTCAGAAACTGTTTATCCTAGAAATCTAATTCCCTTACCAGATAGTGCCATCTGGGTGACTGGGACACAAAAATCACATGGGTTCTTTCTGTAGCTTAAACAGATTCTTACAAGAGAAAATACATAACTAAATAATCACTTAAACTAGGCATATACTTGGAAAAATCATCTATAATTCCTGTAACCGAGAATAAACAATTGTTGACGTTTTGTCCTGTTTGCCACCAGTTTTTTCCTGTGTATTAAGCTTTAAAAATATACGCTGATTAAGTATATTATTTGTTAAAAAATAGGCTGGGTAGGTGGCTCACACCTGTAATCTCAGTGCTTTGGGAGGCCGAGGCAAGATTACTTGAGCCCAGGAGTTCGCGACCAGCCTGGGCAACACAGGGAGACCCCATCTCTGGAAAAGAGTTTTTAAAATTAGCCATGCATGGTGGCACGTGTCTGTTGTCCTAGCTGAGGCTGAGCAGGGGTCGGGGAGGGGGTGATCATGTGAGCCCATGTGCTCTGGGCTTTAGTGAGCCATGATCGCATCACTGCACTCCAGTCTGGGCAACAGAGAGAGACCCTGTCTCTTTTTTCTTTTTCCAGAGACAGAATCTCACTCTGTTGCAAAGGCTGGACTGCAGTGGTGCGATCATGGCTTATTGCAACTTTCACCTCCTGGGCTCAAGCAGTCTTCCTGCGTCAGTCTCCTGAGTAGCTGGGACCACAGGTGCATGCCTCCATGCCCAGCTAAATTTTTTTATTATTTATAGAGATGAGCTCTCACTATGTTGCCCAGCCTGGTATTGAACTCCTGGGCTCAGGTGATCCACCTATCTCACACTCCCCAAATGCTGGGATTACAGGCATGAGCCACTGCACCCAACCCCTGTGTTTTTTTTCTTTCTTTTTTTTTGAGACGGAGTCTCACTCTATTGTGATCTCAGCTCACTGCATCCTCCGCCTCCTGGGTTCAAGCAGTTCTCCTGCCTCAGCCTCCCGAGTACCTGGAACTACAGGTGTGTGCTGCCAGGCCCGGCGAATTTTTGTATTTTTTAGTAGAGACGGGGTTTCACTATATTGGACAGGCTGGTCCAACTCCTGTCTCTTAAAAGAAAAAAAACTGTCCCTGTCTATATATAGATATGTAGATATATGTCTATTTGTGTGTGTGTGTGTGTGTGTATCTAGATAGATAGATAGATAGATAGATAGATAGATAGATAGATAGATAGATATAATGGAGATAAAACTTTGAAATATTACTACTATGTAGTGCTTAGGTACATTTACAAATGTATGTATCTAAAAGCATGGTATTTATAAAGGACTAGGCTGGTATATTAGGTTGTTTTTGGATTGCTATAAATAAACACCTGAGACTGGGTAATTTATGAAGAGAAGAGGTTTTTTTGTATGTTTGTTTGTTTGTTTGTTTGTTTGTTTTGAGACAGAGTCTTGCTCTGTCACCCAGGCTGGAGTGTGGATTGATCTCGGCTCACTGCAACGTCTACCTCCTGGGTTCAAGTGATTCTCCTGCCTCAGCCTCCCAAGTAGCTGGGACTACAGGCCATGCCCAGCTAATTTTTTGTATTTTTAGTAGAGACAGGGTTTCACCGTTAGCCAGGATGGTCTCAGTCTCCTGACCTCGTGATCCGCCCTCCTCGGCCTCCCAAAATGTTGGGATTACAGGCGTGAGCCACCGCACCCGGTTGAAGAAAAGAGGTTTACTTGGCTCACGGTTCTGCAGACTGTACAAGCATGGCACTGGCATCTGCTTAGCTTCTGGGAGGCCTCAGGGAGCTTTTGCTCACTGCAGCAAGCACGTTACATGGTGAAGGCAGGGGCCAAGGGTGGGGAAGGTTAGTGCCACACACTTATAAATGACCTGTTCTCATGAGAACCCACTCACTGTGGTAAGGACAGCACCAGGCCATGAGGGATCCACCCCCATGACCCAAACAACTCCCGCCAGGTCCCACTTCCAACACTGGGGAGTGCATTGCAACATGAGATTTGGGCGGAGACAAATATCCAGACTCTAGCAGCGGGAAACTCCAAACTCATCCTAGTGATAGGAGGCAGAGAATGATATTGGGGGTTGGGGGTGGGGAGATAAAGATAAATTCCCTTTATCTGTTGAATTTTATTTCTTGAGAAATAAATTTGCTCTTCAAGTGTAACAGTTATTGAGTGGTGAGAATATTTTTAATATCTTCTGCTGACTTTTAAATGTCTTCTTTCAAAAAAGTGAGGAGAGACTGGATGGATATAAATAAGTCAGAATCCTGGTTACCCCTGGACTTGGTGGGGTGGGGGATGCAGCTGGGGGTTGGTCTGAGGCACCCTGAATGTGTGTCATCGGATTCCCTCGTTTCAGGTTCCATCTCTGCTTTGACTACTTCATGCCTCAGCAAAGAAGCGAGGCCAGGAAGTAGATTTTGCAAGAGAGAATGAATTCTTTGTGAAGTTAGAATTTTTCGTTACAGATCCTTTATTTAATATTAAACATACGTCTGAACTACATAAAGACTCATGATTTTTATGGTTTAAGGATCTTTGATATCAGCATCTCTGCTTTCCTTTGTTTGTTATAGATGGCTGTATGATACCAGTTACACCCAGAAAAGAAGAAATTATGAAAATAGTGGGGACTTGGGATTCACTAGAATGAAATATAGTGACAGTAGTCAAGTTTTCATATTAAATGGTTTGGCTTTTTTTAAAAAACTGGGATATAATTTACATACAATAAAATTTACCTTTTAAACTGTACAGTTCTGTACTTTAGTCAAATGCCTGCAGTTGTGTAATTACTACCAGATCACAATCAAGATATCACCAGCCTTTTTGGCACCAGGGACTGGTTTCATGGAAGACAATTTTTCCATGGACCTGGGAGGATGGTTCAGGATGATTCAAGCATACTCCATTTATTGTGCATTTTATTTCTATGATTGTGTTGTAATATATAATGAAATAATTATAACTCACCATAATGTAGAATCAGTGGGAGCCCTAAGCCTGTTTTCCTGCAACTAGATGGTCCCATCTGGGGGTGATGGGAGGCAGTGAGAGATCATCAGGCCTTAGATTCTCATAAGGAGTGCACAGCCCAGATCCCTCGCATGTGCAGTTCACAATAGGGTTCACGCTTCTATGAGAATCTAATTCTGCCAACAGGAGGCTGAGCTCAGGCAGTGATGCTAGTGATGGGCAGCAGCTGTAAACACAGATCAAGCTTCCCTCACTTGCTTGCCCACTCCTCACCTCCTGCTGTGTGGCCCAGTTTCTAATCTGTGGCTCGGGGGTTGGGGACCCTTGCTGTAGATGGAACCGTACATGATGTAGCCTTTTGAGTCTGCCTTTTTTCACTTAGTGTAATACATTCAAGATTCAGCCATGTTTGTTTTTCCTTTGAACACTGTTCTATTGTGTGGCTGTGCTAGTTTGCTCATCTATGACCAGTTGATGGGCATTGAGTTGTTTCTAGTTTTAGCAGTTAGGAATCAAGCTGCCATAAACATTTACATACAGGTTTTTGTGAGAACATAAGTTTTCATTAATCTTGGGTAGAAAGCTAAGAGTGAGATTGCTGGGTTGTGTGGTTAAGTGCACGCTCACCTTTATAAGAAAACTGCTCAACTGTTTTCCAAAGTGCCTGTACCATTGTGCTTTCCCACCAGCAAAGTGTGAAAGTTCCAGCTGCCCCACACTTCAGGTTAACTTTAATTTTTATTTATAAGTATTGTCACCAAGTGGATATTCTTTTCAAAAATAAGTTATTGATAAACAGACTTCCAAAATTTAGTATTATAATTTGGATATAGAAATGGTATTTTTCCAACCAAACACTGGGGAATTTAAAAAGTGAATTTATGTTAAACTGTATTAAGACATGCATTTAACAAAAGAGATATTTTGAAAGTCATAAAATCACAGGCAATTTGATCTGTCTTGGTGTGTGTTGTCATCATTCTTCCAAAATCTAAAAAGTGTATGTCTGGTAAATGTGATTCTTTTCAAAATCTTATTTGCTTTTTAGTTTAATAGACTGAGTGTTCTCATGAATTTATTTCTCCCAGAATCTGGTCAACCTGTAGTTCCGTTGGACAGACAGTTTCTCATCCATGAACTAAATGCATTTGAAGAATCAAAGGATAATACAATGTAAGAAATTTTTTTAAAGAAGTTTCCACATATTGTATTGAGTCATAATTGCACCATGGTGGTTTTACTTCATTTTAATTCAAGTATTTATTCAGATCTAGTGTGTGTCAAGCATTGTCCTAAATCCAGGGTGTGCAGCAGTGAATAAGTCAGATGAGATCTGTGTTTGCTGAAGCTACAATTACATGGCTTCAGAGTGACTCAGCATCTTCTTTCTGGAGTTAGCTCCTTTTGACTTCTTGATCCTTTGTCCTTCTAAGGCTTTGTTTGTTTTTTAATTTATAATTTCAACTTTTATTTGTATTTTCAAATTATTTTTGTAGAGGCAAGGCCTCGCTTTTTTGCCCAGGCTGGTCTCGAACTCCTGACCTCAAGTGATCTTCCTGCCTTGGCCTCCCAAAGTGCTAGGGTTGCAGGTGTGAGCCCTCCATGCCTGGCCTCTGAGACTTTGCCTTGTCAGTTGTTTTCTTCATATTTAACTCTTCCTTCACTCCAACTTAGGAATGTACTCAGATCTCTCCTCTCCTAAAACAAAAACAAAAACAAAAACAAAAACTATGAACTTCCAACCCCAAGCTTCTGCTCGAATACCTTTTTCTACCAAGATTACTGAATCAGCCCACTGCTTTCGTTACTATTACTCTGTCCTTTGCCCTCTGTGTACCTCCTCTCACCAACTATGCTCTTGAAAAGGAGGATGACCACTTTCTAGTTTTCTTAGTTTTTTTCTATTTCAGTGTTTCTTAAACTTTTTCTGGAGAGTCCCTGTATAGCCAAAAAAAAAAAAAAAAGTACATAGGAGACCTGAGAACATAGCTTAAAGCAGCCTTTTTTTAAATCTAGAACTTTCTTTGAAGCCTTACGTTTTCTCATCCTAAAAGTTCTTAAGGCCAAGTGAGGTATCTCGTGCCTGTAATGCCAGCACTTTGGAAGGCTGAAGTGGAAGGATCACTTGAGCTCAGGAGTTCAAGACTAGCCTGGACAACATGGGGAAACCCCATCTCTAGCCAGACGTGGTGGCTCATGCCTGTAGTCCCAGCACTTCAGAGGCTGAGGCAAGTGGATCACCTGAGGTCAGGAGTTTGAGACCAGCCTGGTCAACCTGGCGAAACCCCATCTCTACTAAAAATAACAAAAAGATTAGCAAGGCATGGTGGCGTGTGCCTGTAGTCCCAGCTGCTAGGGAGGCTCAGGCATGAGAATCGCTTTAACCTGGGCAGCGGAGGTTGCAGTGAGCCAAGATCACACCACTGCACTCTAGCCTAGGTGACAGAATCAGACCCTGTCTCAAAAAAAAAAAAAAAGTTCTGAAAGTTGTTTGCTTTACTATATAAATGTTTTAAATGACATTCCAGTTAAATCTAACTCTCCCACAAATCCTTGTGTAAAATTAATGTTCCAGGATCATATACTACCTTTGTCATTGTGTGTATAGTGAAGTCCCTGTTGCTTAGCGTAGCACTTTACACCTCTTTCTACCCGTCTGTTGTTCTATCTGCTCACACCTGATTTCTGATTATGCCTGGAAGACACTTTGCAACTTTATGCTGCTTTGCCTTGTAAACCATTCCCTTATCCTAGAAGCCCTACATCACCTTTCTCCCTCTTCTATTGGAGCATCTTAACTTCTATTGGAGCATCTTTCCTTTCTGTTGGCCCTGTTCAGATAGTAACTCCTTTATGGCATTTTCCTCTTTCTCTTCCTCTCATCTTCCCTTGTTTCTTTTTTTTTTCTTTTTTCCTTTTTGTGAGATAGGGTCTCGCTCTGTCGCCCATGCTGGAGTGCAGTGGCCCCATCTCAGCTCACCGCAATCTCCTCCTGGGTTCAACTGATTCTGCCTCAGCCTCCTGAGTAGCTGGGATTACAGGTGTGCACCACCATGCCCAGCTAATTTTTTTTCATATTTTTTTGTAGAGATGGGGTTTCACCATGTTGGCCAGGCCGGTCTCGAACTCCTGGCCTCAAGTGATCTGCCCACCTCCACCTCCCAAAGTGCTGTGAGGTTTTTTTGTTTGTTTTTTCAAGGCAGGGTTTCACTCTGTTGCCCAGGTCTCTAGAGTGCAGCGGCTTGATCATGGCTCACTGCAGCCTCGAACTCCTGGGCTCAAGCGATTCTCCCACCTCAGCCTCCCATGTAGCTGGAATTACAGGCATACGCTGGCATGCACCATCATGCCTGGCCAATTTTTGTATTTTTTTTAGAAATGGTGTTTTACCATGTTAGCCAGGCTGGTCTCCAATTCCTCAGCTCAAGTTATCCACCTACCTTGGCCTTCCAAAGTGTTGGGATTACAGGCATGAGCCACTGCACCTGGTAACAAGTGTTTTGAAAAGTATAAAAATTGTATAATTGAGAACAGTGGGAAAAATAATTGGGGGAATCTAAGCGTGACTTAGGATGAGCAGTGAGTTATTACATCATTTAATACAAGACATCATTTTACATTTAGCAGTTGATGGAAATAAGCAATGACTATTACTGGCTTCTTGGTAGCTTTTGAGATACCTACTTCAGATGAAAGTATTAAGAAGTTTGTGCTCACTTTAACAGCACATAAACTAAAATTGGAGCGGTACAGAGATTAGCATGGCCCCGGCAAAGGGATGACACGCAAATTCGTGAAATGTTTCATATTTTTTTAAAAAAGAAGGCCGGGCGCATTGGCTCACGCCTGTAATCTCAGCACTTTGGGAGGCCGAGGCGGGCAGATCACGAGGTTAGGAAATGGAGACCATCCTGGCTAACACGGTGAAACCCCGTCTCTGCTAAACATACAAAAAATTAGCCGGGCAAGGTGGCGGATGCCTGTAGTCCCAGCTACTTGGGAGGCCGAGGCAGGAAAATGGGCGTCAAACGGGGAGGTGGAGCTTGCAGTGAGCCGAGATCGTGCCACTGCACTCAGCCTGGGCGACAGAAGCGAGACTCCGTTTCCAAAAAAAAAAAAAAAAGTAAGTTTGAGAGAGGATGAGGAAGCAAAAAAAAAAGTTGCTAAAACGGCTTTATTTTTTAAAAGTTAGGTAACTTCTTTAAGCCCTTGTTTCTCACACTTCAGTGATTGGCATTCACAGAGTTTGCCATAGTCACATATTACTCATATTATTTACTTACAGATCTGCAGTGCTGCATCTGAAACCACTGAGGCCAGATACATGTTTGAAAATCCAAATGCTGTCGGGTTTTAAAATGACATGCCTGTAGTCCTAGCTACTTAGGAGGGTGAGGCAAGAAGATTACTTAAATCCAGGAGATTGAGGCTGCAGTGAGCCATGATCTTGCTGCTGCACTCCAGTGTGGGCCACACAGCGAGAGTTCTTTTTTTTTTTTTCGAGACAGAGTCTCACTCTGTCGTCCAGGCTGGAGTGCAGTGGCGTGATCTCGGCTCACGGCAACTGCCGCCTCCCAGGTTCAAGCGATTCTCCTGCCTCAGCCTCCCAAGTAGCTGGGACTATAGACGCATGCCACCACGCCTGGCTAATTTTTTGTATTTTTAGTAGAGACGGTTTCACCGTGTTAGCCAGGATGGTCTCGATCTCCTGACCTCATGATCCTCCTGCCTCGGCCTCCCAAAGTGCTAGGATTACAGGTGTGAGCCATCGGCCCAAGACTTCAATTCTTTAAAAAAAAAAAAAAAGTAATATGGTACATCTACCAAATACTACATGTATGTGCCAGGGAGTCCTAAAGTAGTATTCCACAATCACATTAATATTTTCTTTCTCTTTTTTTTTTTTTTTGAGTGCAATGACATGATCTCAGCTCACTGCAACCTCTGCCTCTTGGGTTCAAGTGACTCTTCTGCCTCAGCCTCCTGAGTAGCTGGGATTACAGGAGCATGCCACCACACCCGGCTAATTTTGTATTTTTAGTAGATACGGGGTTTCTCCATGTTGGTCAGGCTGGTCTTGAACTCCCGACCTCAGGTGATCCTCCTGCCTTGGCCTCCCAAAGTGCTGGGATTACAGGCTTGAGCCACCACACCCAGCACATTAATGTTTTCACACAAAGTAAGATAAAGTCTGTAATAGCCTTGTTAATAGCCTTGTTAGGTCAACCCTTGCCATCTGATGATTTTTTGCCAGATATATGAAGAGAATCCAGTTTTCAGAATTTTGCATTTCAGAATTACAGGCAAGTTATTGTGAGGCCGCACTTTTCTTTATCTTTTTGAAACTTATTTTAAAAGATAAACCTTAATCCATGAATTTGCAAGTTGCCTCTCCCTTCTGCACTCAAGCGATCCTCTCACCTCAGCCTCCCAAGTAGCTGGGACCACAGGTGCATATTACCTTCTGTGGCTAATTTAAAATAAAATTGCTGTAGAGCTAGGGGACTCGCTATGTTGTTCAGGCTGTCTCAAACTCCTGTTTGAGGCCAGGCTGGCCCCCCAAAGTCCTGGGATTACAGGCCTGAGCCCCCATGTCCAACCCAAAATTTTAATCACAAGTACATTTTTTTGAATATTTATTTAAAAAATAAAACTTTTAACATTTAAAAATCATCTTGAACCAGTTAACACTTTGGGGAAGATTAAAGTAAACAAAGAGACCTGTTTTATATTACTAGGTGACGCTTTCATAAGAGTTGCGGCATCTTATTAAATAAAGAAACTTACTTTCCTGGTTTCCCTGTGGCATGGAAAAATTAGTGTGATATTATTCCAGAATTTGGTAGCTTAGAACAACAACATAGATTATTTGTGGAATATTCGGGGATTTGGGATTGGCTTAGTCACGTAAGTCTAGCTCAGGCTCCCCCTTGAGGTTGGAGTCAAGATGCCAGCCAGGGTTGTAGTCGGAAGCCTTGAATGTGGCTGAACTATCTGCTTCCAAACTCATAATGATATTGACAGGCGGCCTCAATTCCTTACTGCATGTAACTTTCCAGGGCTGCTGAAGTGTCCTGAGGCATCTGACTTCTCCCAAAGGCAGCAATCCAAGAGAGAAAGCAAGGAGGAAGCTGCAGGGCCATTACCACGTGGCCTCTGAAGTCAGCTTTGTGCCAGTTAGAAGTGAGTTCAGCTCACACTCAGAGGGCAATGAGATTCCATCTTTGGAAGGGAGCGTCGTACTGTAAACCATTATACCAGCTAGTAAATAGATACATATCTCAAAAAATAAATCCTCCCCACAAATATATACACCTACTATGTACCCACAAAAATTAAAAATAAAGATTAAATCCTTTTAATTGTGTTTTCAAATTTGAGATTGGAAACAAAGGAAAACATTTCCATTGTACCACTCTTGATTGTCAGCAGAGCAGCTTTCCTTGATGCAAGAGTACTAATATAAATTCCCAGGCAGCACACTGTAAGGAAAACAATATGGGATTTGGGGTTCAAGTGTAAACTTTGTTTACTATCTGGGGGAATCTCTAGCAAATCTCCTGGCTGTGGTTTTCTCCTTTATAAATTGCAGTTGATGATCTTGACATTACACGATGAGGATTAGATGAGAAGAGGTATACGTTCTGTAAACTATAAAGAAGATTTTAAAATAATAGGTAATATAAATATTAATCTAAATAAATGTTAGCTACACAGGAGCTAACATTTATATACCATTTCATATGTGCCAGGCACAGTAAAAAACACTTGACATTTATTAACTCATTTAGTGCATAACAGCCCTATAAGGGAGGGACGGTGCTTATCCTAATTTATAAAGGAAGAAACATTTATGAGGCTGGAGAGGTTAAGAATCTTACACAGAGTCCCACAGCTAGCAAATGGCAAAGCCAGAATTTGAACTCAGGTCACCTGGCTCTCAGGACCTAAGACTTTTTCAGGGCAAGGACTTATTAATCAAGAGGTGTTTATTGAATACCTGTTGTGTATTAGATGGGGTTAGGTATTGGGAAATACTCTACTGGACTTTGGAGTTTAAAAGAGATTCCTGTGGATTGATAGAAATGATATTTCAGTGTAGATGAGGTTTAAGTTGTTAACATGTTTTCTCTGGGTTTTAAAATTGTCATGAAATTAAGTGGTACTCTTAAATTTAAAAGTATGAACAATTTGCATTTTGGATAATCATGCCGCTTTTTAAAGTCTAGTGAATCACTTGGTCTTTTTGATGTCAGAGGTTACCTTTTAAAGAATAAATGTTTTAAGCTTTTCCCGTTTATGCAGATTTATTAGCTTTTGGTTTTGTTTTGTTTTCTTCCTGCTATAGACCTCTTTTATATGGGATTTTAGCCCATTTCTTGCGTGGAACTAAGGATGGCATCCAGAATGCATTTCTGAAAGGGCCTTCACTTCAGCCTTCAGACCCAAGTCTTGGCAGACAACCTAGTAGAAGAAAGCCAATGGGTATGAGTTTTCCAAGATTCATCATTTAGCTGTCAGCAAATATGTTTTCTTCCTATATATTTTTCTTTTGGAGTCTTTACTGAGCTTTTGAGTCATAGTTTAATTCTGCTTGTATCTAATATGTCTAGCCTATGTTACTCCAAGAAACAGAATGCTTTTTGTAAAGAATCTTGGACAGGGAAGGGTGGGAGGCATAACTGGGCAGAATTCTTAGATGTAATTTCTTTATAGAAGTATTTAAAACTCTGGGCTAGGCACAATGGCTCATGCCTGTAATCCCAGCAGTTTGGGAGGCCGAGGCAGGTGGATCGCTTGAGGCCAGGAGTTTGAGACTAGCCTAAGTGACATGGTGAAACCCCATCTCTATTTTTTTAATTAAAAAATTATATTAATTAAATTTAAAAAAAAACAAAAAAATACTGAAAACTCCAATTTTCATGTAAATTGTAAGTATTTGGAGCAGCTTAGATCCTTGGTATACTGAATAAATAGCTTTTTATCAAGTGATTATTTTTTTTCCTCTCCATGACTGCAAAATAAAAGGTAAGATTGCTAAATACAGATAGAGAAGTCATTTGCATTTTTAGGATACTGTTTATGTTACAGTGGAAGTTACCTACAAGTTACAGATTGTTAGGAGAATCGCCCACATTTCTTTCAGATTGCCTGTTTTTTAAATGAGCTTTTGGTAGCTTTTAAATTTTTATGTATTTTTTTGAGACATAAAAATACATAAATTTTTATGTATTTTTTTGAGACATAAAAATACATAAATTTTTATGTATTTTTTCTAGTCACTCTGTCGCCTGACTAGAGTGCAGTGGTGCTATTATAGCTCACCGTAACCTTGAACTGCCGGGCTCAAGCAATCCTCTCACCTTCTTGCCTCAGCTTCCCAAGTAGCTAGGACTTCAGGCACCACACCCAGCTAATTTTTTAATTTTTGTGGACATGGAAGTCTCAACCGTGTTCACTAGGCTGGTCTTGAACTCGGTCTTAAGTGATTTCCCACCTCAGCCTCTCAGAGTGTGGGGGTTACAGGCACGAGCCTGTACCTGGCCCTGACTTATTTTGATTATCCCAGCAATGGGATCCCATTTTCACCATTTGAATTGAGTGGGTTATAGCTCAGTGTTTGCAGTTGTGGTAGAGAGCTGATCAATTTTTTTTTTTTTTTGAGACAGAGTCTCGCTCTGTCGCCCAGGCTAGAGTGTAGTGGTGTGATCTCGTCTCACTGTAAGCTCTGCCTCCTGGGTTCATGCTATTCCCCTGCCTCAGCCTCCCAAGTAGCTGGGACTACAGGCGCCCATCACCACACTCGGCTAATTTTTTGTATCTTTAGTGGAGACAGGGTTTCCCTGTGTTAGCCAGGATGGTCTTGATCTCCTGACCTCATGATCCGCCCACCTTGGCCTCCCAAAGTGCTGGGATTACAGGCTTGAGCCACCGCGCCCAACCAAGAGCTGGTCAATTTTTAAGGACAGTTAAAGGTGGGGTTTAGGCTGCCAATTATCAGAACAAATGTAAATCTTGAATGTTGACACGAACTTTTAGGAAACTTTTAGGAAACGCCTAAAATGTGGATTGCCTTTGTAGTTTCCTAAACTGCTATGACCAGTAGTGACCGTGTTAGATGCTTGGTGTCTCTTGAGGTCTGAAAGTAAACAGTGAATCAGGATAACCTATTTTGGAGGTGGTTTCTGACTGCACTAGGAGATATCTTTCTATATATATTAGAATGCTGAACTGGATGGAACGTTGGAAAATAAGTCATTCCCATCTACTTATTTCATAGTTGAGAAAACTTTAAGAAGGTTCCAATACTAAGAGGTTAAGTAACTCAACTAAGACCTGTAGCAGATAATTAGTAGCAGAATCAGCACATTTGATTGCTGTTCCCGTATACCTTTCCACATATAGATTATGGAGAAGTTTTCCAAATTCTCTTTTTAGGGATTGGTAAGGAACTGACATTACTGCCTACTAATTGGCAAGTACTTAACGAGCAAAATAAAACATTAATAGTGCAAGTACATGAGTAAATCTCTAAATTTTTTAAATAGTAAAAAGTTCCCTTTAACTTTCCTTTCTTCCTTCTTGCCTCTCCCTAACTCCTCAGTTCTTCTCCCTTTTTATAGAAGGTGTCCCTGTTAGCAGTTTGCAGGGTATTCTTTGGGACTCATTTCTATTTTATTTTATTTATTTTATTTTATTTTATTATTATTATTTAAATTTTAGATGGACTGTCACTCTGTCACCCAGGCTGGAGTGCAATGGCACAATCTCACCTCACTGCAACCTCCGCCTCCCAGGTTCAAGTGATTCTCCTGCCTCCCAAGTAGCTGGGGCTGCAGGCATGTGCTACCACACCCGCCTAATTTTTGTATTTTTAGTAGAGATGAGGTTCACTGTGTTGGCCAGGCTGGTCTCCAACTCATGACCTCAGGCAATCCACCCCCCTTGGCCTCCCAAAGTGCTGGGATTACAGGTGTGAGCCACTGCATCTGGCCATGCCCAGCCCCTTCGGGACTCATTTCTGTGTATTTAAATATATATACATTGTTATGGTGCACGTTATCCTGCAATTTGCTTTTTTTTACTTGTTGATACGTGTAGATCTCGTTTTTAACTTTGTTTCATATTCCAGAGTATTATTACAATCATCCTTTTTTTAATTTTAGAGATGAGGTCTTACTCTGTCATCCAGGTTGGAGTGCAGTGGCACAATCATAGCTCACTGTAGCCTCAAACTCCTGGGATCAGTCTTTCCACATCAGCATCCCAAGTAGCCGGGACTATAGGGGTGCACCACTGCACCTCGCTTATTTTTTAATTTTTTGCAGTCAGGGTCTTGTCCTGTTGCCCAGGCTACTCTCCCACCTTATAATCACTCTTATTTAGTTTTAAATATTTTGCTTTTACGGTATTGTGATGTAACATTGTATCTTTGTCCACACATTACAGTATTGTGATGTAACATTGTATCTTTGTCTACACGTT
The DNA here is from genome assembly GCF_000001405.40 of Homo sapiens. Taxonomy (NCBI): domain Eukaryota; kingdom Metazoa; phylum Chordata; class Mammalia; order Primates; family Hominidae; genus Homo; species Homo sapiens. The sequence continues at coordinate 1,528,486 of NT_187607.1, read as the reverse complement.
TCTCTTGTGTGGATGCCTAAAGTAGAGTTGTTGGTTCAAAGGATATGCATATTTAAAAATGTAGTAGATATTGTCTAATTCCCCTCCAAAAAGGCTTTATCAGTCTATACACTTACCAAGAATATATGACAATATGAGTTTCTGAGTTCAGTTGTCACCAGTGGATATTGTACACCTTAACACTTCTTAACACAGCAACCCCAAGTCATTGATACTATCAGTCCCATAAAGAAAAATAACCGCTTGAGAAATAACTTTCTGGTTTGTAAGTTTCATAATCAGCCTTGTTAATACTCACGGCTCATGACTAGTAAGAAAGTTATAAGGAACACTATTTCCTAACCAATTTCTGTTCTTCTGAGATGAAAGCGGTAGATTACGCATACACCATAGAGAGAAAGGTATTTATGGAGGGAGGGAGGGAAAGAGACACCTAGACACACGACCTGTACACCACTAAAGTGCCAGGAACATCAGAATCGAGTTCAAGTCAGTAAAGCCACCTTGGGTGCCTGTTCTGTGGAAAGCTCTGCAGACAGCTCAGAAATGAGGATGACTGCTGAATGAATCGGGGAAGAACAGTGATTTTGCAAATTATTTTCTTGGTCATCAAAAATTTTATTGACACAACCTCTTTGTGTAGTGCCTTGAAAGTTGTCAGCCAGAACTGCATCATGTTTCAGTAACACACTTAAGCTTTCCATTTACTTCCTCAACTCTAGCTTACTGTCTCCGTAACTCTTATTTGACAGCATTGAAAAGGTTATGAAGATACTAAAATCCTTATTCTACATCACAGCACCTTGTCTCCACAGAAGCTCATTCAACAGAAATATCAAACCCTGAGACTAAATTGGCTTTTACTTGAAAATAAGTTCAGGCCAGGCCACGGCAGCTCACCCCTGTAATCCCAGCACCTTGGGAGGCCTAGGTGGGCAGATCACTTGAGGTCAGGAGTTCGAGACCAGCCTAGCCAACATGGTGAAACCCTGTCTCTACTGAAAATACAAAAATTAGCTGGACGTGGTGGTGTACGCCTGTAGTCCCAGCTACTCGGGAGGCCGAGGCAGGAAAATCGCTTGAACCCAGGAGGTGGAGGTTGCAGTGAGCCGAGATTGCGCCACTACACTCCAGCCTGGGCGACAGAGCGAGACTCTGTCTCAAAAAAAAAAAAAAAAAGGAAAGAAAGAAGTCCAAAGCATGCCAAGATGAAAAAGTGCTTCTCTCATCCAAGTTTTCAGTGCTGAAAAAAAATGAAGAGGGTTTATGTAGGCACACCCACCTTTGAAATGACAGCCAGTGCATTTGTACTGCTGCTGTTAGTGCTTGTAATCTTGAAGGCAAAGTAGTTTTTGCTATTCAACTTTATATATATATACACACACACACACATTTTTTTTCTTTTTTTTTTTGTTTTTAAGAGATAGGGTCTCACTCTGTCTCCCAGGCTGGAGTGCAGTGACACAATCATGGCTCTCTGCAGCCTTGACCTCACAGGCCCAGGTGATCCTCCCACCTCAGCCTCCCAAGTAGCTGGGACTACAGCTGGGACTACATTCCTGGCGAAGATTTTTATTGTAAATGAAAGACCAGATTTTTATAATAGGGACAGTCATCAGCTTAACTTTATTGCACATCTATCAAGCATAGTAGACTTCATTTTTTATAACACTTTTCTAGAAGACCTAAAATTGTTACCTTCTGAGGAAATTGTTAATTTTTTTTCTGTCCAGCAAAGTTACCTAAAATAAAGGGAGAGAGATTTCCATCTGTTTTCCAGACCCTTAAAGTAGTATTGGCACTGAGAATAAGCAGCTGAGAACTAATAAAGCGTGTGTATAATCACATTGTAGAATTAGAAAACCCAGTGATAAAATTGCATTTTCTAGCAGCTTATCTAAATTTATGTATATATTTTTTCCTATTATCAAAGTTGTTGCAAGAAAGATGTTTTATCAGTTGTAGAAAGTGTTTGGGGTTCATATATTCTCAAGAATCTAGTTTTTGCATTACATTTTTGTTGCATTAGGATATTAAGTCTCTAGGTTCTTTTTTTTTCTTCTCGAGACAAGAGTCTTGCTCTGTCGCCCAGGCTGGAGTGCAGTGGCACGATCTCGGCTCACTGCAACCTCCACTTCTGAGTTCAAGCGATTCTCCTGCCCTCAGCCTCCCAAGTAGCTGGGATTGTAGGTGCCCGCCACCACGCCTGGCTAATTTTTATATTTTTAGTAGAGACAGGGTCTCTATCTCCTGACCTCAGGTGATCTATTTGAAGTGGTTTTCATTGTGTTGTAATTGAAGAGCTTTGGCAACCCTCAAAATGCTGATTGAACACCTTGTCCTTTCTTGCAAATTTCATTCCTTACATGTAAGAGAGAGGTTTGTAACTACTTATGCATGGGTTTACTGCAGGTTGTACTCTACTCAAAAAAAAAGTCAAGAAACTCTTTTGAATAATTAGAGTCCCTAATGCCAGACATTTCTGATTTCTTTCTTTTTTTTTTTTTTTTTTTTGAGACCGAGTTTCACTCTTGTTGCCCAGGCTGGAGTGAAATGGCACGATCTTGGCTCACTGCAACTTCTGCCTCCCAGGTTCAAGCAATTCTCCTGCCTCAGCCTCCCGAGTAGCTGGGATTACAGGCGCCTGCCACCACGCCCGGGTAATTTTTGTATTTTGAGGAGACACGGGGTTTCACCATGTTGGCCAGACTAGTCTATAACTCTTGACCTCAGGTGATCCACCCACCTCGGCCTCCCAAAGTACTGGGATTACAGGCGTGAGCCACCACGCTTGGCCTCTGATTTCTTCAATAGTGTTTAAAAAATAATGGGTTTTTTTCATTGTCCTAAACCATCTAAAGTACTCATAGAATATTAAATATGTAACATCCTAAGATATTTGTAGCTATGTCTACCTATCTGTGTGTTTTGACTTGGGATAAGTATTAACATTGGTTTCTGTGCATTTCAGATGACCACCTAAGAAAGGAGGAACAGAAAAGTACTAACATTGAAGATCTTCATGTTTCTCAGGCAGTCAACAGATAATGCTTTGTTTGGGGTATCTTTTGTCTTAAAATTGTATTATTAATTAAATAACTTATTTATTGTCCCAATGTTACCAAAATGCACCACTAATGTTTGTAGAAATTGGAGTTTCTACAAAACACCCCTCATGTTTAACTACATTTGTGAATAAAAGCTAACTCTTGTCATCTAGCTTATTGGATTTGACTTGAAAAAAAAAGTATTGTTTTTACGAAGTATTTTTTGTTTTTTTGAGATGGAGTCTCGCTCTGTCACCCAGACTGGAGTGCAGTGGCACGATCTCGGCTCACTGCAATCTCTGCCTCCCGGATTCAAGTGATTCTCCTGCCTCAGCCTCCCAAGTAGCTGGGAAAACAGGCCTGTGCCACCACACCGGAGTAGTTTTTGTATTTTTAGTAGAGATGGGGTTTCACCATGCTGGCCAGGCTGGTCTTGAACTCCTGACCTCAGGTGATCTGTGTGCCCCAGCCTCCCAAAGCGCTGGGATTACAGGTGTGAGCCACTGAGCCCAGCCATTTAGGAAGTATTATAAAGGCCCTTAAAGTTTGTAAGGAAATGAAAGGGCTTTGTATTACCTTTTCAATAGGCAACAATGTACTTTTTCTTTCCTTAGACTTTGGCTTACTGGAAGATTTAATTAAAAGGTAGAGGAGAAGTAAATTTGCTGTAATAATTTTGCTGTAAATAAAACAAAGAGTTTATTTTATTAGATAAAGAATGTGAAGTAAGCATGAAGAGACAGGCTTTGGGAGAAATACCAGAAAGGGATTTTTCAAAGATGGCATTGTTTAATCTCCGTGTGGCCCTCGGTTGTGCAATCACAGATGAGCCAGAAGAGGGCCAGCCCCCTACTTGTTTGGGCTCCGAAACTCTTACCAAACATCAATTTTTATTCTTGGGATAGAAAAATAGTATGTGCTATCTCTAATACGCTACTTCGATATTTATTAAAGAAGTATTTTTAATGTAGTGTCCACAGGCTCATTTCATTGAAAACAACTGACTATGATGATAGACAGCTCCTGATTGGCAAAAGTTCGATGGTATATTCAGAATTAAATTTTGCCTGCGCACCTAAACACTGACAACATTTAGCTTAAAGGTTTTCCATGGAGAAGAGTGGTAAGAGCTGTAGTTAGCAAAATTGGCATCCTCTTTAGGGTGTCAATTCTGTGCTGCTTTGCAAATTGTTGAAACTTTTGATTTTCTGTTTGGCAATGCTAGTCAGTGTTCACTTCTTACAGATTAGCCAAGAATTTTTATCTAAATGCAGAAACTTATTAATGAAATCCATTTAAACTATACTTACACAACATTTTGGGAGGCCCTGCTGGTAAAATTATATATGGATGCAGAAGTATTGCAAGAGTCCATTTTCCATTTTTAAATCTGCAATATCTGATTACATTGATGAATTCCGTTGTATTGTATGTGTGAATATAAATATCTGAATTCTCCCGGGGGACTTGGTTTTCGTCCAAGGATGTTGGCAGTGGACACTTAGTTTACCTCAGGAATTGCAATCATGTAAGACTATATTCGGAAAAAATGCTGGAGTATATAATTTTGGATACTGATATAAAATCATCAAGATGGAAGTTAAGCAGAATTGTCACGTGTAGTCCATAGCGCTTTTATATGCATTATTCTGTAATTTGTTTGTACTGCGGCAACTTTTTATACTTTCAATGTATCATTTAATAAAAAAAATAAGCAAGTCACTTTGGTGCAAAGGGTGTTCATATCACTGTTCTCTCATCAAAAGCCACACATCAAAAACAGAAGAATGATTGGAGATGGCTGCCATGCCTTCCGTTGGGATCTTCAGAAGCTTCGCTGTTGAGGGGTGGAGGCGGGGGTACTTTCCTGCCGTCTGCACATGTTTATAGGAAGGAAGGAAAAGCACAGAGGACAAGCCAACCCTTCTCATAAATGTGTTATATTTAAGTACCTTACTCGTGGGTTTCTTGGAATTGTCGGGAGAACTTATCTTCTAGAGATGCTACAGAAGTTTTAGGAGAAAACTTGGATTTACACAAAAACAGGATGGGAATGGGAACTGAAGAGGGATTTAGGAAATGTACAACTTGGGTGATCTAAAACCTCATAGCAGGAGCAGAGGTGGCTTTTGAAGAAGATAAATTTAAGCTTAGTGTATATGCTTGCACAGAACAAACTAATAGCCTTATAATGATGTGCAAGAACACATTTGTGTATCACTCACATACCTTTATGTTGATGTAAAATTTGATGTGTTCTTTTAAAGCCAAGTGTACATGAAAGATGAACATTTGTGAGAATATGCCTTTAAAGGCATTTGGGACAATGCTTCCCGGCCACTTGGTACTTGATTTTTTGGTAACAACCACGATTCGAGGATTGTGTGGTGTTCAGGAATCTTATTAAAATAAAAGTGAAATAAAACTGCTGGCCAGGCTTGGTGACTCAGGCCTGTAATCCCAGCACTTTGGGAGGCCGAAGCGGGTGGATCACCTGAGGTCAGGAGTTTGAGACCAGCCTGACCAATATGATGAAACCCCATCTCTACTAAAAATTAAAAAATTAGGCGCGGTGGCATGCGCCTGTAATCCCAGTTACTCAGGAGGCTGAGACAGGAGAATCACTTGAACTGTGGAGGTGGGGGTTGCAGTGAGCTAAGATCGAGCCATCGCACTCCAGCCTGGGCAACGAGTGAAATTCCGTCTCAAAAAATAAAAAATAAAAAAAAAAAAGCTACCTTTAGGCTGGGCATGGTGGCTCACGCCTGTAATCCCGGCACTTTGGGAGGCCAAGGCGGGCGTATCACCTGAGGTCAGGAGTTCGAGAGCAGCCTGGCAAACATCGCAAAACCCTATTTCTACAAAAAATACAAAATTAGCCAGGCGTGGTGGCATGTGCCTGTAATCCCAGCTACTGGGGAGGCTGAGGCAGGAGAATCGCTTGAACCCAGGAGGCGGAGGTTGCAGTGCGCTGAGATCACGCCATTGCACTCCAGCCTGGGCGACAGAGTGAGACTATTCTCTGGAAAAAAAAAAACAAAACAAAACTACTTTTATAAAAGTAGACTCGTTTTTTAGAGCAGTTTTAGGTTCATGGCTAAATGGACTGGAAGCACAGAGCTCCTGACTGCCCCCTGCACCCATGCATGTCTAGCTTCTCCCACTGTCAAGATCCGGCATCGAGTGGCACATGTATTCCAATGGGTGGATCTATTTTGACACATTATTATCACAAAAAGTCCATAGTTACATTAGGGTTCACTCTTGGTATTGTACAGATGCTCTTTGACTCATGGGATTACATCTCAAAACTATCACAAGTTGAAAATAAGTCAAAATGCATTTATTTATTTATTGGATAGGGTCTCACTCTAGCACCCAGGCTGCAGTGCAGTTGTGCGATCTGGGCTCACTGCAACCTCCGCCTCCAAGGCTCAAGTGGTCCTTTGCCTCAGTCTCCTGAATAGCTGGGACTATAGGCACATGCCACCACACCTGGTGAATTTTTGTATTTTTTGTAGAGACAGGATCTCACTATGTTGCCCAGGCTGGTCTCGAACTCCTGAATCCAAGTGATCTGCCCATCTTAGCCTCACAAAGTACTGGGATTACAGATGTGAGCCACCATGCCCAGCCCAAAATGTATTTAATACACCTCACCTACCGAGCATCTTAGCTTAGCCTAGCCTACTTAACATGTTCAGGTCACTTAGATTAGCCTACCATTGGGCAAAATTATCAAACACAAATCCTATTTTATAATAAAGTGTTGACCATCTCATGTAATTTATTGAATACTGTATTGAAAGTGAAAAAACATGGTTTTGTCGGTATTCAAAGTACGGTTTCACTGAATGCACCATTTTCCCACCTTCATAAAGTTGAAAAATCGTTAAGTTTAACCATTATAAGTTGGGGACTGCCTGCACATTCCATGGTTTTGGACAGATGTCTAGTGACATGTATTCACCATTTTAGTATCATGCAGAGGAGTGTCACTGCCCTAGAAAATCTTCTCTACTCCACCTATTCCTGTCTCTTCCAGAATGTTGTATAGTTGGAATCGTACAGTACGTGGCCTTTTCAGATTAGCATCTTTCATTTAGTAACAAGCATTTAAGTTTTCTTCCTGCCTTTTTTTTTTTTTAGACAGAGTCTCGCTCTGTCACCCAGGCTGGAGTGCAGTGGTACGATCTCGGCTCACAGCAAACTCCATCTCCCTGATTCAAGCGATTCTCCTGCTTCAGCCTCCTGAGTAGCTCAGATTACAGGTGTCCACCATCACACCTGGTTAATTTTTGTATTTTTAGCAGAGACAGGGTTTCACCATGTTGGCCAGGCTGAACTCGAACTCCTGACCTCAGCTGATCCATCTGCCTTGACCTCCCAAAGTGCTGGGATTACAGGCATGAGCCACAATGCCCAGCTGTAATTTTCCTTCGTCTTTTCATGCCTTGATAGCTCATTTGTTTTTAGCACTGAATAATATTCCATTGTTATGTATCCATTCACCTACTGAGGGACATCTTGGCTGCTTCCAAGTTTTGGCGATAGTGAGTAAAGCTGTTATAAACTTCATGTGCGTGCAGGGTTTTGTATGGACAGAAGTTTTCAACTCTTTTGGGCAAATCCTAAGAAGAATTTTCTGGATTATATGGTAAGAGCGTGTTTGTTTTTGTTTCTGTTTGTTTGTTTGTTTTTGTTTTTTTATTGAGACGGAGTTTCACTTTTGTCGCCCAGGCTAGAGTGCAATGGCATGATCTTGGCTCACTGCAACCTCTGCCTCTCAGGTTCAAGCGATTCTCCCACCTCAGCCTCCTGAGTAGCTGGGATTACAGGCGCCCGCCACCATGCCTGGCTAATTTTTGTGCTTTTAGTACAGATGGGGTTTCACCATGTTGGCCAGGCTGGTCTCGAACTCCTGACCTCAGGAGATCCACCTGCCTCAGCCTCCCAAAGTGCTGGGATTACAGGCGTGAGCAACCGTGCCCTGTGTGTTTCATTTTTAAAAAACTGTAGAACTACTTTTATTGAGAGTTTTAGGACCCTTCCTGATAGACATAGAGAATCTATCAGGAATGTCATGAACCAAATCGTGACATCAGAATTGGAAACTGATGATGAAGGAAAGAGCATTGCAGGTTACTATGCAATGCAGTCTAGTATCGGGAGAAGTGTGAGGTCCATCATGGGGGCCACCATGAGTGAAACAAAAGTGCTTTTGTGCAAGAGTTGGAGCATGGCCCTGCTTGTGGTCAGGAACGATGTTCCTTTATTCACAGATCTTGGGCCAGATCTACCTGACTCTATATGAGTCAAGTAGATCAAGGCTGATAACACTTTAAAATTATTAAATCTTCTTTTTTTTTTTTTTGAGATGGAGCCTCTCTCTCTAGCCTAGGCTAGAGTGCAATGGTGTGATCTTGGCTCACTGCAACCTCCACCTCCCAGGTTCAAGGGATTCTCCTGTCTCAGCCTCCCAAGTAGCTGGGACTACAGGCGTGCACAACCACACCCGACTAGTTTTTGTATTTTTAGTAGTGATAGGGTTTTACCATGTTGGCCAGGCTGGTCTCGAACTCCTGACCTCAAGTGTTCCCTCCACCTTGGCCTCCCAAAGTGCTGGGATTACAGGTGTGAGCCACTGTGCCCGGCCAAAAAATATTAAATCTTGAGGCACATGCAGGAGTAAGCCATGCTCAGACCCAATCTTCGATGTTACTAAAAATTGGAGGGGATCACACTTCATGGTTTTGTTTTGTTTTGTTTTTTTGAGACAGGGTCTTGCTCTGTTGCCCAGGCTGGAGTGCACTGGTACGATCACAGTTCACTGCAGCCTCAAACTCTGGGGCTCAAACAATCCTCCTACTTCACTCTCTAGTTGGGACTACAGGCACACACTGCTGTGCTCGACTAATTATTATTATTATTATTATTATTATTATTATTATTATTATTATTATTTTGTAGAGACAGGGATCTTGCTATGTTACCTAGGCTGTTCTTGAACTCCTGGGCTCAAGCGATCCTTCCGCTGCAGCCTCTCAAAGTGCTAGGATTACAGGCATGCCCAGCCACTTTGGGGCTTTTTTAAGCCAACAGCAAAAAAAGACTATAAGAGAGAAATTTCCCCTTGGCTGTCTTGTTTCATGGATTCGTGGAAACTCCTATTAAACAGCCGGTCACAGAAAAAGATATGCCAAGGAAAATTACTTGACAGCACTCAGTCAAAGTGACATTTTAAAAAGAGACTATTGCCTCCTCCATCTTAAAAGAACTGACCTTTTGAGCCATGAGAAATGAAACAGAGGCATCTGATCGAATGATAACAATGCACTTCTGAAGATTCAAACATCGGAACTTCATGCATTGGACACATATCTATTGAATGACTCTTAAGTGAACATACTGTCCCTGCCTGCTTCCAGAGGGTACTAGAGAGGTCGGAGATGGTTCATAAAGGCCTTCACATGTGCTGTCATATTTAACAATCAGAAAGGTACTTGAGGCAAAGAATCTGATCATCTTTGTTTTTCCTTGAGAAAATGCGCTCAGAGAGGTTTACTGACAATCCCAAAGGTGCTTGGTTGGTGCTTAAGAGATCTGGGTTTAAAACCTCAGACTGCTGTCTACTATGGCCTGTGTCAGAAAGACTGGGGTTGGAATTCCTGTTCCACCACTGCTGTGTTATTTAACCCCTCCAAACCTAGATTCTCAACAATAAAATGGGGGTAGGGAGGGAATTAAAGTATGTACCTTATTTTTTAGAGACAACATCTTGCTCTGTCGCCCAGGCTAGAGTGCAGTGGTGCAATCATAGTTCACTGTAGTCTCAACCTTCCAAGCTCAAGAGATCCTCCTACCTCAGCCTCCCTAGTAGCTGGAACTTCAGGCTACACTACGCCCAGCTGCTATTTATTATTTATTTATTTATTGAGATTGCATCTCACCATGTTGCCCAGGCTGGCTACTTAAAAAAAATTTTTTTTTTCAAGACAGGGTCTCACTCTGCCACCCAGGCTGGAGTACAGTGACAGAGTCTCAGCTCACTGCAACCTCTGCCTCCCAGGCTCAAGTGATCTTCCCACCTCAGCCTCCCAAGGAGCTGGGATTACAGGTACCCACCACCACACATGGCTAACTTTTTATTTTTTGTAGAGACAGGGTCTTGCTATGTTGCCCAGGCTGGTCTCAAACTCCTGAGCTCAAGCAATCCTCCTGCTTTGGCCTCCCAAAGTGCTAGGATTACAGTTGTGAGCCACCATGCCTGGCCTTGGCCACTTTAGTTTTGCTTTTTTTTTTTTTTTTTTTTTTTGAGTTGGAGTCTTGCTCTGTCATCCAGGCTCCCAGGCTGGAGTGCAGTGACACAATCTCAGCTCACTGCAACCTCTGCCTCCTGGGTTCAAGCAATTATCCTGCCTCAGCCTCCCAAGTAGCTGGGACCACAGGTGTGCACCACCATGCCCAGCTAATTTTTATATTTTTAGTAGAAATGGGGGTTTCACCATGTTGGCTAGGCTGGTCTTGAACTTCTGACTTCAAGTGATCCGCCTACTTTGGCCTCCCAAAGTGCTGGGATTACAGGCAAGAGCCACCGTGCCCGGCTGCCTACTTTAATTTTTAATAAAGGGTTGTTATATAAGGGGTAGGTGAGAGAATGAAGTAAAATTGAGTGTTACAGTCTCCAGTTGTTAATCACATTATAATTATTCTCTTTTAAAAGTTACCAACAAGTTATTTAAAGAATCGAATGGAACCCTTTGGAAATACAGTGTTCATGCCTCTAGTATTAATGCCAGTTTTTACTTCGAGGCCAGCAAGCTAGATTCCGATGGCCTTCCCTTTCCAGGATGGGAAGCGGATGATTGACTTCAATTTTCCCCCTTCCGTTACTTCTCTGCTCCACATCATTTCTGTGCTGATGCAGGGACGATTTCCACTCCTTTTACAGCGTAGATGTTAAAAGCCTGTGCGGAGCAGCTCATTCATCATTTTCCGCAGAGCTTTACCCCTCACTTCCCCAGCCAGCTAAATGCAGGCTGTTCTTGACTCTCTGATCTAGGCCCATTGCAGGGTGAGGGCCAGGCTCAGGAGTTTCCAGGGTGAAAACCAGGTAAGCTTGATGTTGGAAGGATGAAGAAGGACCCAAAAGGGTCTGAGATGCAGAGCTCTCCAGATGGGCCTGGGAGCCTGCAGGGGAAGAGGCCTCTCTTTATATCCCGGAGGCCTGGTGCAACTCTAGTTGGTTTCATGTTTGTTGCGAGTAACAGCAGCTCACATGAAGCGGTGCACCATGTTCATTTTACATGGATCATCTCAAGGACTGCTTACAAAAAGGCCAGGAAGTAGCTGATGTTCTTCCCATCTTACAGGTAGGGAAATTGAGGCATGGAGAGGCAAAGTTACTTGCCCATGGTCATATAGGTAGAAAGCAGCACTGGCAGATTCAAAGCCAGACATCTACTCTCAGATACACGCCCTGGGCCTCAAGGCCAGTTTGCCTGGGCATTTCCCTTTAATGTCTCCTCTCTGGAAGTGAATGGTGTCATCAGAAAGGTTCCAGTGCCAGCACCAATCAATGACTGTCCCAGTGAGAGCTTGGTCAAATCCCTTTACCCCTGCAGGGACTCAATTTTCTCACCTGCAAAATGGGGGTATTAATAAAGCCACCCCCCGCACCCCCGGCCCCCAGCCCCTCCACCTGGTTGCAAGAGGAGTGGTTGTAGACTAAGGGCCTGCGTCAAGTACAGAACCCAGGAGGGGTCTGCCCAACTTTAACCCTCTCTCCAAATCCTCTAGCCTGAAGCAGCAGAAACCCACGTGGGACTGGGGGCTGCCCCCTTCCGGGCCTTCCCCAAGCAGAGGGGTCCCCATCTAGCCCCGCGGGGCAACGGCGGCCGGTGGCTGCGTGAAGGGCCCCCTCCCCCGACGCCGGGGAGCAGGAAGGCCACTCGGCACCATATTTAGTCAGGGGGAGCCGGCAGCCCAGAGCTGGTATGCGGCGCTGGGAATTCCTGCAGGAAGGAGTCCGCGCCTGCCCTTTTTGGGTTGTCTCCCGCCCGCCGCTCCCGCCGCTCCCGGGGAGGGGGACCGGCCCGGCCCGGCCCGGCCCGGGAACCTCGGAGGAGCTGGTGCCGCGCGGGGAGCGGAGCGCCCGGGCTGCCCGCGGGTCCCCGGCCTGGCGCGGGGCCAGCCCACCGCCTCGACTTCCTTTTATGGCCTGTGTGTGCGTGCGTGGACAGGAGCGGGGAGGGAGGGACGGGGAGAAGACGGAGAGCCTGGGGAAGAGAGAGAGAGAAAGCGCAGAGATAGGAGTGAGACACGCGGGAGAGATGGAGAGCAAGAGACACAGAGACCAGAGACAAAGTGAGACAGGAGGGAGAGACAGATACATCGACAGATCTAGAGAAGCGAGAGGGACAGAGACAAAAGATAGAGCGAGAGACAGCAATGATCAGAGTGACAGACATGCAGAGACAGTGGCAGAGACAGAGCGAGAGAGCCTGTGATGGAGAGAGACAGGGAATGCAATTTTAGGCGAGGAATCCTTGGGGAAGGGAAGTTGTTGAAGGGAACTCGCAGACTCTGGGGGCACACCCACTTTCTCCTTGGATCTTGACACTTGCATCTTGTAAATAACGTAATTATCACCGCCACCGCCTTCCCCCATTTTGTAGCTATGGACACCAAGTCTCAGAGAAGTGAAGTGACTTGCCCAAGGTCACGCAGCTGGCGAGTGGCGCACAGGGGAGGGGGACAGCTGAAATAATCACAGTGGGCTTATTTTTAATTTTTATTTGTATTTTGGTCGTGGTGATGTGGGTGGAGGTGGAGATGGCAAGTTGGGAAAAGTAAAAACTTCCCCTTCCTGCACGGTTCCCAGCAAGGGTGGGGGCCTCCTGTCTTGCACTTTGCAAAGTTCAAGAAATCCCCTTTCCCTACCCTTCACGCTGCACAGCCGGCCCTCTTTCCAGACAGTGCGATGCCAATAAAATGGGAAGTGGGGTGGGAGATGTCAAGTCAGATCCACCACAGCCCCGACACGGGGAGGAAGAGGTTAAAGCCTTTGCGGCCGGAACCGACTCAGGGAAGACGTTCTCAAGCATCCCGCACAGACACTGCCTGCTCGACCCCCTTTCTCTAGGGATCCGGAGCGTCTGCGACCGCCTGGGGCCGGGGCTGAGACTCCCGTCCCTGTGCGCACCTGTTCCGTGCGCCCTTGTGCGGTGCGCACCTGTTCCGTGCACCCTTGTCCCGAGCGCCCCAGCTCCTTGCGCTCCCGCCGGGGGTGCGCCCTGCAGGGGGCGCGGCGAGGGGGCCGCGAGGGACCCTCCCCAACTCCACCCCTTCGGCCTCCTCCCCTTTCCCAGCCGCGGGCAGCTCCGGGTCTATAAAGAGAGGCGTCCGAGACGCGCAGGGAGATTTGGACGCTCCGGCCTGGGAGGTGCGTCAGATCCGAGCTCGCCATCCAGTTTCCTCTCCACTAGTCCCCCCAGTTGGAGATCTGTAAGTAGTAGTTGTCATTCTGGGGGCAGATTGCAGGGGAGGGGGGTGTTAAAAGTCCTATAGGGTATTCTATAGGGGCTGGGGTGCACTTAGGGGTCCCTGTTGTCAACCTCGTAAGGGCCATGGTGGGGGCAGAGTTGTGATTTGGATTTCTCTCTGCCTTATCGTCTTAGATTATCCTAGACTTTCCCCAAACAGCATTTCTCAAGATTGCCAGTGAGAAGTACCATTTTGGGGGTGCTTATTAACGATATCAATGCCTGGACCCAACTCCATTTCCCAACTCTAGAATCCCCAGAAAAACTGCCTTAAAAAAAAAAATTAGTCCCGAGTGATTCTTGTTAAGAGGCTAATCCAGGAGATATGCTCCCTTGGAAATCTCAGAGGTCCGGTGCAGACAATCAAGGCATCTCACTTTTATTCTAGGCACCAAAAAATTTACAGCTGAACTTCACTGAAAAGTCACTTGCTATCACACAGACGGGCAAAGTGAGGCTCCTTGTGGATTTGACCGTATTGCACAGTTGTGTTGATAATGCATTAAATCAGTTAAAAACACATGGGCATAGGCTTAGCAGAAAGGAGTGTTTTTTTTTTTTTTTTTTTAATCAGTTTAGGGGAGGTTCTTCTATGTTGAGAACCCCTGGGAGATAAGGCTGGTTGTGATCTAGTTTGTTACAGCCCACTTTTTCCTCTTCTCCAAATTAAAAAAAAAAAACAAACTCACCCAGGTTGACCCCAAAGGGCCCCCAGATACCCAGGTGGGCTCCAAAGTCTCCATTTGCTTCCGCGATCTGCAGGTGCATTAGGTAAGATTACACTAGAATTTCCCGCAGAGCCACCTGTGTCAATGCCACTCTCGTGCCCAACCAAATGGGTAAAACGAGAGAAAGTGTGGCTACTGCCTGTTGTAAGTTTTCTTCCAGCACAGGGTCTGGTAGGGATTTTGCCACTTGAGAAAAGGTACCATCCAAAGCCATGCTTGTCAAGAAGTAAAAGAAAATATTTAGAAACCCAAGGCGGGAGTGTTTAGTTGCAGTATGAAGAACTGAGAGATTAAATGGTGAACTGTCCGTCCGGGGTTTGGCAAAAAGAATGCAGGCTATTAATAAACTGCTTTGCATAGTTTTTTGTTTCTTTGATTTACTTAACGATACTATTTTAGAATTGTTCAGAGACGGAACTTGACGCTGAACTGAAAGTCATTAGGTGGCAGGGTGTGAAATAAGATAGGGAATTTTGTTTGAAGGAAATTGATGTTTTCCCTTTGAGATAGCTACCGTTGATGGAACACTTCAGTGCCACATGCTGTTGCAACATTTAACTTAATTTATCTCATTTAATCTTTGCAACAACTTCATAAGAAAGGCTTTATGATGCCTGTTTAGTATACAAGGCAGCTGAGGCTCAGAGAGGTAAACTGTCACACAGCCAGCAAGTGGTAGAACCCATTCCCGGGTCAGTTTGAGTCCAAGTTCATACCCTTGACCCCACTATCTTTCTTCTTTACCATGGACACAAACTTGTTGGGGTCAGGTTTCTGGTGGGACTAAATGCTTCCAACAAAGTAAATGTTTATCACCGTGTCCTTTGAAGAAAACATAAACTGACTTTTTGCACATTTAAAATAAAAGGCACTGTTTGTCCCCTGATTGAGGGGCTGACCTAGCTGAAACCAGTGACCCTAGGTGGGCTGCCATGCCGAGAGTCCAGAACGTGAACTAGCTGGGTCTTTTCCGAGAAGCCGCCAGGCTTGCCTTGTAAACACCATGTTTTTTTATTATCATGTCCGAAATAGATGTGTTATTCCGTACAAGGTATCTGTTATGGATTTGTTATCATTACTTTTCCGTGGGAGGGCAGAGATTGAGGCAAACATGCCCATTTATGGAAGTGTTTTCCATGAGGCCATCCCCGGCCCCCTCGTCAGTTACCCAGCCTTGCACCGCAGCCCGGTTGGTCCTGGCCCTGGGGATTTGTCTACCATGTCCCTCACCCATTGAAGAACTAGTGGAGAAACCCTAAGGCGAAGAGATTTGGGAGGAAAGTGGGATTCTTTTTTCCTACCCCCTCTTATTCAGAGGTTTGATTTTTTTTGGGTGGGGGGTGGGAGGGAATTGTCTCCTTTCCACAGGTCTTGAATCCAAACAGGTGGGTCTTCCACATTAGGCACAAGCGTGTAATTCCAAGAGCAGATATATAGTAGATTTTTCTTGAAAACCAAGTTCAATTTTCAATCCAGTAGAATCATAGAAGGTCATAAGCAAATTTAAAAATCATCTCCCGCACCTCCCCAAACCTCACTTTCTCATCCGGGAAATGGGGCTAATGAGAATAACTCATGTTTTTTGGGCACTTTTGCCTGGCGAGATGCTAAACCCTTTGTGGACATTATCTTACGTCTTCATAACAACCCTTTAGAGTAGATACTGTTATTATAACTGGCTTTATTTTACACATATGGAGTCTGAATAACTTGCTTAAGATAGCTCAGCTAACCAGTAAGGAAAACAAGATTCTACAAATCTAGGTCTTTCTAACTCCAGAGTTTCACAGATTACCCTCATGGGAGGATTTGATGAGCTAATGTGTATGAAGGGTTTAGCACAGTGCCTGGCCCCTGGTAAGCTTTAGTGATGGTTATTTATAGCAAACACAACCAGAGAGTTCAAGATGTTTGCTCAGTATGGCATGGCTCATCTTTGGCAGAACCGGGAAGCCTAAACTATGTGGCCGTTAAAGGAGAAGCTTCTCTTAATTTTCTTCCCTTTGATCTCATAAACCTCGTTTCTATTTGGGCTGAAAGTGGTGATTAGAATCTTTAATATATTAAGCTACCATTCCTTACCTGGATTGGGAATGTTACAAATTCCAATTACATTTGTTTAGGGTTTTGTTTGTTTGTTTTTGAGACAGAGTCTTGCTCTGTCGCCCAGGCTGGAGTGCAGTGGTGCAATCTTGGCTCACTGCAACCTCCGCCTCCTAGGTTCAGGCACTTCTCCAGCCTCAGCCTCCTGAGTAGAGAGTAGCTGGGTTTATAGGCGCCCACCACCATGCCTGGCTAATTTTTTGTATTTTTAGTAGAGATGGGGTTTCACCATATTGGCCAGGCTGGTCTCGAACTGCTGACCTCAAGTGATTCGCCTGGCTTGGTCTCCCAAAGTGCTCAGATTACAGGCGTGAGCCACCGCGCCTGGCTTATTTAGGGTCTTGATGGCATACTTTAAGGGATGGCCTTTTTGCTCTCTAGGTCTTCTCCTTCCACTCCTGACCTTTCAACTTTTAACCCTGGCCACACAATGGAGGAAAGACTGAATTTAGAGAAAGGCAGGCAAGAATTTGAAAGAAACCTTGTATGTGATCCAAGGACAGAGGAAGAAGCTGCTCACAGTGGCTGAAAGGGGAGGTCGGACATCTGTGACTTGTATCAGGGTTTCAGGGGCTAAGGAGGAACAACCTCATCAAAGTTGCTAGGAAAGGGCCATAGAGGCCAGGTATGGCAGGTCATACCTGTAATCCCAGCAATTTGGGAGGCTGAGGTGGGGGGATGGCTTGAAGTCAGGAGTTTGAGACCAGAGTGGGCAACATAGCGAGGCACCATCTCTACAAAAAAATTTTTAAAATGAGCTGGGCATGGTGGCATGCATCTGTAGTCCTAGTTATTCAGGAGGTTGAGTGAGGCAGGAGGATTGCTTGAGCCCAGGAGTTCAAGGCTGCCGTGGGCCCTGATTGCATCACTGTTCTCTAGCCTGGGCAACAGAGTGAGACTCTGTCTCAAAAAAAAGGTGAGGGGCATAGAACTTTACTGTACCAGGCTGAAAAATACAAGGCCCAGAGAGGGCAAGTGACTTGCCTAGCATCACCCAGCGAGTTTTGGGCAGAGCTGAGACTTGTAACTCGAAGACCTAAGGATCTTCCACAGGCTAATGAATAGCTTGTTTGTGCTCAAGGGATGAAGCAGTGAGTTGTTAGGACAGGACTGTGAATAGGGCTGACATATTCAGATGTGTCAAACATCACTAATGCCATCTCTGAGTAAATTAGGCTTCAAACAGATCGGGATTCTAATCCTGGCTCCCCAACTTTTGCAAGGGAGGGCCTTGCATTTACCTTTCAAGACCCCGATAGGCTTAGCAGGAAAATGGGAATAATAGATAATGCCACTCTTTCATCCTTGGACTTTTTGTCTAATTATATGAATTTATCTGTAGGATAAATTCCCAGAAATGCGCTTGCTGAGTTAAAGGGCATGCGTATCTAAAATTAATAGATATTGCAAATGACTGGCTAAAGACATTGCAGACCAGGCGCAGTGGCTCACGCCTGTAATCCCAGCACTTTGGGAGGCCGCAGCAGGTGGGTCACCTGAGGTCAGGAGTTCAAGACCAGCCTGGCCAACATGGTCTCTGCTAAACCCTATCTCTACTAAAAATACAAAAATTATCTGGGCATGGTCGTGGGCACCTGTAATCCCAGCTACTCGGGAGGCTGAGGCACGAGAATCGCTTGAGCCTCAGAGGCAGAGGTTGCATTGAGCCGAGATCACACCACTGCACTCCAGCCTGGGCAAAGAGTGAGACTTGGTCTCAAAAAAAAAAAAAAAAAAGGCATTGCAAATTGCAACTTGTTGCAGTCACATATGACAGCAGTCCCCATCCTCTTGGCACCAGAGACTGGTTTCGTGGAAGACAATATTTTCCAGGGTGGAGTGGGGAGGATGGTTTTGGGATGAAACTGTCCCACCTCATCATCAGGCATTGGTTAGATTCTCATAAGGAACGTACAACCTAGATCCCTTGCAGGTGGAGTTGGCAATAGGGTTTGTGCTTCTGTGAAAATCTAATGCTGCTTATCTGACAGGAGGCGGAGCTTAGGCAGTGATGGTCACTCACCCACCGTCCCCTCCTGCTATGTGGCCTGGTTCCTAACAGGCCATTGACTGATACTGCAGCACAAGGGTTGGGGACCCCTGACATAGGAGACTATACATTTATTTTAAGCTGTGGTATGCCAGAATTGTAAAATATAAAACACAGTGGGGCTTTTAGGGCCAGAAATAATCAGTTCTTGCTCGCTTCCAGAAGCATCCTTCACAGGGGCTACCGTAACTCTTGCCAACCAAGTTCTCTTGGTTGGGAGGAAAAAATAGTGTTATGCATTAAGAGAACTTCTTTCTGGAGTTACTTGAAACCATTGGTATTCAGATGATTAGGCAGATGTCACAAGGCAATAAGAATGTGACAGGTTCACCATTCACTTTTTTTCCTGTAAAAGTGAAGTAGGGCTTTCTTGGGAACAAGCCCTTGGGAGGTGGGGGGATGTGAATGGTGAGGGGAGGGTAGAAATGGTGGAGTAGGGTCAGGGGCAAGAAAGGGACTTTCTGCTAAGAATTAATCGGGTGTCCATTTACTCTTAGCAGAAAACTAGGATTAGATTCTGGATTGTACTCCTGACTCCAAATTTTACAAGTGGGGGTCTTGCATTTACCTTCCAGGACCTCGGTCATCTTAGCAGGAAAATAGCAATAGCAGGTGATGCCACCTTACAGAGCGCTTAGGAGACAGTGAGATGGTCTATATAGGAAGCTGTCTGGCCTGATACCTGATGAATACAAGGGGCCCAATAAATACAGTGGCTGTTATGAATAATAGATCTAAACTGCCTTTTTGGTACTACTGGGGACCTGCCAAGCAGGTGCATTTAGAGTGCCCAGTGCCTCTCCCTGCGACACATTTGATGCCTCCCTACACCTGGACCAGGCCTTGAGCGAGGATTTCCACTGCAGAGGTCCTTCCAGCTGGCGAATTGTGTTGCAGATCAGGTTCAGAGAACTTCTGTTTTGCCTGTGTGGCATTCATTCATTCGTTTATTTGAAATAGAGATGGGATCTCACTGTGCTGCCCAGGCTAGTCTAGAGCTCCTAATTCAAGCAATCCTCTTGGCTTGGCCTCCCATAGTTCTTGGATTACAGGTGTGAACCACTGTATCCAGCCCTTTATGACATTTAGAATATGAGCAATTTTTCTTTTTTCTTTTTTTTCTTTTTGAGATGGAGTCTCACTCTGTCACCCAGGCTAGAGTGCAGTGGCATGATCTTGGCTCACTGCAACCTCTACCTCCCAGGCTCAAGCGATCTTCCCACCTCAGCCTCCCGAGTAGCTGGGACTACCGGCATGTGCTGCCATGCCTGGCTAATTTTTGTATTTTCTGTAGAGATGGGGTTTCACCATGTTGCGCAGGCTGGTGTCAAACTCCTAAGCTCAAGCGAACTGCCTGCCTTGGCCTCCCAGTGTTGGGATTACAGACGTGAGCCACAGTGCTGAACCCTGCATGGTATTTAGAATATAAGCAATACTCTAACATCTGGTCTGGGTCACTCTGTATTACTTACCTGATCTCCAAAAACATTTGGGTTTTTGTCTCTGGTCCAAAATCTTTAGCCAATGGCTTGGCAGTAAAATCCTGAGGGAAGCTGTTGACCAGGTGAGGTGATGTGCAAATCCTATACTCTCTGGGCTCTGGGATATTTAATTTACTATTTATTTATTTATTTTCAAGACAGAGTTTTGCTCTTGTCGCCCAGGCTGGAGTGCAGTGATGGGATCTCAGCTCACTGCACCCTCCACCTCCTGGGTTCAAGCGATTCTCCTTCCTCAGCCTCCTGAGTAGCTGGTATTACAGGCGCCCACCACCACACCTGGCTATTTTTTGTATTTTTAGTAGAGACGGGGTTTCACCATGTTGGCCAGGCTGGTCTTGAACTACTGACCTCAGGTTATCCGCCTGCCTCGGCCTCCCGAAGTACTGGGATTACAGGCATCAGCCACCATGCCCGGCCTAATTTACTTTTTATTAATGCTGAAGCAGAGAGGGCAAGATCTTTTGCCCCTGAGTTCTTCTGGGAAAAATGAAACTGATGGTAAAACAAACTAAAGCAACCTGACATTCTCAGTTGGTCCAGTTTCAGCCCTTTGACTGGGAGTCACAGACGGGTCCCATAAAATGGTAGAGCTGGGCCAGCCTACCATTGATTTATTTTCCCTAAATGAAAAATACAAGGCCCAGAGAGGGCAAGTGACTTGTCCAGAGTCACCCAGCAGGTTTGGGGCAAAGCTGAGACTTGTTACTTGACATCCTAAGGTCTTCCAGAGGCTAATGATTAGCTTGTTTGTGCTCAAAAAATGAAGCAGCCTGGGCGCGGTGGCTCATGCTTGTAATCCTAGCACTTTGGGAGGCTGAGGCAGGCAGATCGCTTGAGCTCAGGAGTTTGAGACCAGCCTGGGCCACAAAGTGAGACCCCTGTCTCTACAAAAAAATGCAAGAATTAAAAAATTAGCTGGGTGTTCTGGTGCGTGCCTGTGATCCCAGCTACTTGGGAGGCTGAGGTGGGAGAATGGCTTGAGCCTGGGAGGCAGAGTTTGCAGAAAGCAGAGATCGCGCCACTTCACTCTAGCCTGGGCAACAGAGCCAGACCCTGTCTCAAAAAAAAAGAATGAAGCAGTTGTTGGTCAGGACAGGACTGTAAACAAGGCTGACACACTCAGATGTGTCAAACATCGCTAATGCCAAAGGTGACAGAGTCATTTGTTTTCATCCAAACATTCGAGAAAGTTGGACGAGGTGACTCACGCCTGTCATCCTAGAGCTTTGGGAAGCCAAGGCAGGAGGATCATTTGAGATCAGGAGTTTGAGACCAGCCTAGGCAAAATAGCAAGACCCCCATCTCTACAAAAAATAAGCCGGGCATAGTGGCCCACACCTGAGGTGCGAGGATCCCTTGAGCCCATGAGTTTGAGCCTGCAGTAAGCTATGATTGCACCACTGCACTCCACCCTGGGCATATAGTGAGACCCTTCCCCCAACCAAAAACATTGAGAGCAGCTCTTGATGAGTGAACTGTACTTCGTGGTCAGCAGTTCTGGGTAGTAATTTCAGAGATGTCCTTTCAGCCCTTGGAGCTGATGCAGGACCTTAAACATGAGCGATGGTGGAGGAGGGAGGGTTGGGAAGGTGCATCAAGGTAGATGAAGAGTGTCCCTGGGGTTGGGCCAACTGGCGGTCCGTCTCTGGTCCAGTGTGTTCACCTTGCCCCCGTCTGATCTTCTGCAGTTGGTATTCCGAGTTGAGTTTGACTAAGTGAGAGCTGCTCTCAGCTTTAACTGCCTTTCCCAAGACAGCCCTTGTTTTTATTCTAAAGCTGTGGTTCTCAACTGGAAGCAGTTTTGCCACCCCAGGGGACATCTAGCAGTGTCTGGAGACATTTTTGATTGTCATGAGTGGAGGAAGGGGTGCTACTGGCATCAGGTGGGCAGAGACCAGGGATGCTGCGGAACATCCCACAATGCACGGAAGAGCTCCCCTCATGACACAGAATGACGCAGCCCAAGAGTCACAGTGCAGAGTTTGTGGCCAGCTGCGGTGGCTCACGCCTGTAATCCCAGCACTTTGGGGGGCCAAGGTGGGAGGATTGCTTGAGGCCTGGAGTTCAAGACCAGCCTGGCCAATATGGTGAAACCTCATCTCTACTAAAAATACAAAAATTAGCCAGGCATGGTAGCGCATGCCTGTAGTCCCAGCTACTTGGGAGGCTGAGGCACGAGAATCACTTGAACCCAGAAACGTGGAGGTTGCAGTGAGCTGAGATTGCGTCACTGCACTCCAGCCTGGGTAACAGAGCGAGACTCTGTGTCAAAAAAAAAAAAAAAAAAAAGACTTAGCAACTATTATTACTAGTATTAGTATTATTAATTTGTCAGGCTCACTGAATTTTCTCAAAAATTTGGCAAATTTTTAGGAAAACATTCTCAAAACATTTGGCAAATCTGTGGCTAAATGTTGTTTTGGGGACCCAAGGCTCGTAGGAGCAAAACAGCTTTCAGGTTTCCGGATCTGCCAGAGACTCAAGTGTCCTGTTGTGTGTTTTGTGTCTCAATGAGGGAAAGGGGAATATGTAGCACCTTCCAGATGGATTTGACCTTGACTGCGCCACTGTTTGAAGAGCTTCTCAACCTCCGCAGCTCCACCCCAGCCCAGATATTTCAGGGAATTAGGGTTCCAAGGGGCATGCTATGGAAAACACCATTCTAGCATGAGTCGAAGCTTCTCATCCCCCATCTTGCTGTCTTTTGACCAAAGCAGATTTTGCACGTCGTAACTGTCAGAGACATCAAAGCCAGAGGGAATCCAGCCTGCTCCAAGCTCTCCTTTTTTGTACAGAGACTGAATCTTTGCACTTGATCTTGTTTGTGTTTTTAAGTCTGAGGTTAGACAGGGTCCCAGGCAATGGAGGCGTGCGTGTCCTTTTATTTTTCTGTTGTAGCTTTTGCTATTTTTTCTGACTTTTAAGGCAACTCATCCACATGGCAATTAGGAAGAGCCCACTTAGGGCTGGGCGCAGCGGCTCATGCCTGTAATCCCAGCACTTTGGGAGACCGAGGCAGGCAGATCACTTGAGGTCAGGAGTTCAAGACCTCAGCCTGGGCAACATGGTGAAACCCCATCTCTACCAAGAATACAGGAAAATAGCTGGGCATGGTGGCAGGTGCCTGTGGTCCCAACTATTTGGGAGGCTGGGGTGGGAGGATCACTTGAGCCTGGGAGGCGGAGGTTGCCGTGAGCTGAGGTCATGCCACTGCACTCCAGCCTGGGCGACAGAGCAAGACCCTGTCTCAGAGAAAAAAAAAAAAAAAAAAAAAGAAGTCCACTTTACTTGTCATAGTGCTTAGAACAAATGAAACACTCTCCTAGCCCTCTTGGGATGTAATTGGCTACCACCTGCACAAACTCTTCATTATTGCACAAGAATATCAATATACTTAATGCTACTGAACTGTGTTTAAGTGGCCGAGGTGGTGAATGTTAGCTGTATTTTACCACAATTAAAGATAAGAGGGAAGGAAAATGAAGTGTACTTTACAACCAAAAAAGTACGCTTGATGTGCAAAAAAGTGTGCAGCTTGATGAATTTTCAAGAGGATATATTTTTTATAGATGGGGGTCTCACTCTGTCACCCAGGCTGCAGTGCAGTGGCATGATCATGGCTCACTGCATCCCCGACCTCCTGAGCTTAAGTGATCCTCCCACCTCAGCCTCCTGAGTAGCTGGGACTGCAGGTGCACACTATCACAACCGGTTAATTTTTGTATGTTTGCTAGAGACAAGGTTTCACCATGTTGACCAGGCCGGTCTCAGCCTCCTGGGCTCAGGTTATCCTCCTACCTCAGTCTTCCACACAGGTAATTAAAAAACATTTTTTCTTAGAGATGGGTCTTGCTGTGTTGGCCAGGCTGGTCTCAAACTCCTGGGCTCAAGTGGTCCTCCCATCTTGGCTTCTCAAAGTGCTGGGATTACAGGCGTGAGCCATGTCACCTGGCCCAACAGTTTGATGAATTTTCAGAAAGTGAACACTCATAGGGCTGGCATTCAGATGAAGATCTAGAGGTCAACCCTCACAAGCCCCCCTCACGTTCTGTCCTTGCAATCATTGCACACCCGAGACTCATTCATTCCTTATCTGAGTTCTATCACCGTAGATTAATTCTGCCTGGTTTTGGACCTCAGTTCAATAGTCACAGAACCTGTGCTTTTTGTGACCACCTTCTTTTGCTCAAGGATGTGTTGTGAGATGTCCTTTTTTGTGGTGTGGAGCTGTAGTTTACTTCACCTGATTCGAGTCCTATTTTGGGTGTTTGTAATGTGTCAGGTACTGTGCCAGGTGCCTTACAGGATTGATTCCTTTATGGGCATCTGACAAGCCCACCCACCTTATGTGAAAGGCAGAACCAAATAGACTCCAGAATGAGACCCAGGTTTGGGTCCCAGCTCTGACACTTCTTTTTTTTTGAGATGGAGGCTGACTCTGTCGCCAAGGCTGGAGTGTAGTGGTATGATGTCGGCTTACGGCAACCTCCACCTCCCGGGTTCAAGTGATTCTCCTGACTCAGCCTCCCAAGTAGCTGGGGCTACAGGCACGTACCACCAATCCTGGCTAATTTTTAATTTTTGTATTTTTAGTAGAGACAGGGTTTCACAATGTTGGCCAAGCTGGTCTCAAACTCCTGACCTCAAGTTATCCTCCCACCTCAGCCTCCCAAAGTTCTGGGATTATAGGCATGAGCCATCACACTCGGCCTACTTGTGATCAATCTTACTTCATCTTCACACCCTCCCATTTCTCTTACGCATCCTCCAGTTTCTCTCTCTCTCTCTCCTTCTTTCTCTCTCTCTCTCTCTCTCACACACACACACACGATCTGCTGCGACACCTTAAGAAACAAGAGATTATCAGGGAATGATTGAATATTTTGCCGCATTTCCTATTTTGCTGCCTGTTTAAACTAACCTTGGTTATACTATTAAAAGAAGACGCGTCGTATCAAGCCACTTCTGTGACTATGGCTGTCCAGAAATAAACATAATTAAAACATCCAACAGTAGTAAATGCTATTGGTTAGGAATGAGCGAAGTGGCTTAGAGTCACCGGAAGTGAGAAAGGGTATAGAAACAGAAGGTACTTGGTGTAGATCAGGGGTGTCCTATCTTTTGGCTTCCCTGGGCCACCCCAGAAAAAGAAGAATTGTCTTGGGCCACACGTAAAATACACTAGCACTAATGATAGCTGATGAGCTAAAAAAAAAAAAAAAAAATCGCGAAAAAATATCATACTGTTTTAAGAAAGTTTATGAATTTGTATCGGGCCACATTCAAAGCCGTCCTGGGCCCCATGCAGCCTGTGGGCTGCAGGTTAGACAAGCTTGGTGTAGAGAGTTTCATCTAAACTTCATGGCAGCTCTGCAGGGCACCCGTTAGGTCCCCAGTATTAATATACAGTAAATCTGAGTCTCAGATCTACGTAAGTCACCCAGAAGCACGCATTCTGCAGTGGCAGAGTCACGTTTGAATTAGCATCTGATTGCAAAGTCTGGGTGTCTTTACATGACTACAGGTTATCTTACCTCTCAAGAGGAGGCAACCAATCAAATGTTGCCAGCACCAATGAACTTGTACTTTATTTAGGCTCAGAAAGATCTTTTAGGCTAATGAAAATGCCCTATATTTATGAAATGTTCTCGTTCTCTGTGGCTTTCTCTTTTTTGAGACAGGGTCTCACCCTGACACCCAGGCTGGAGTGCAGTGATGTAATCATAGCTCACTGCAGCCTCAAACTCCTGGGCTCAAGCAACCCTCCTGCCTCAGCCTCCTAGTAGCTGGGACTACAAGCACGCATCATCATGCCTGGCTGATATTTTTTTTAAGGGATGGGGTCTTGCTATAATGCCCAGTCTGGTCTCGAACTCCTGGGCTCAAGCAATCCTCCTGCCTTGGCCTCCCAAAATATGGGATTATACATGTGGGCTACTGCCAGCCTCTTTTCTTTCAATTATTTTTTAATCTATGGGTTCCCCTCCTTTTTGTTTGTATTTTATTTGTTAAAGAAAGAGAGTACTGGCCGAGCGTGGTGGCTCACACCTGTAATGTCAGCACTTTGAGAGGCCAAGGCCGGTAGATCACCTGAGGTCAGGAGTTTGAGACCAGCCTGGACAATATGGTGAAACCCCGTCTCTACTAAAAATACAAAAATCAGCCAGGCGTGGTGGCATGCACCTGTAATCCTAGCTCCTCGGGAGGCTGAGGCAGGAGAATCACTTGAACCTAGGAGGTGGAGGTTGCAGTGAGCCAAGATCCCGCCATTGCACTCTAGCTGGGCGACAGAGCATAGTCTCTCACCTTTGGGAGTTTACTGCATTGTTTAGCATGCTCTCCTGTGCCTTGCATTTTCCATAGACAGGCGTCAGATCTGGAGGCTTCATCACCTTCATCCCCCATCTCCATCCCCTTTTCTTTTGAGCAAGAATATGTCATTAGTGGTAACGGCACTTCCTGTAGTGGCCCATCTGCAGGCATGTAATGTTTATAATGTCTAGTCAGCTCTCTCTTTTTGTGATGTTAGGGTTAATTAGTAGATTTAGGTGATGGCAGGCGGACCCATCCCTTAAAAATTCCACAAGAGCTCTTCATCTGATATAGTCAGTCTTGTGGTGGGGACCCTAGACCAGCATCATCATCATCACCCGGAAGCTGGTTAGGAATGCATATTCTTGGGCCCCATCCCAGTCCTACTGACTCAGAAGCTAATGCACCAGGAAATGTGAGCCCCATTGGCCTAATGGTTTTAGCAATTACTGGTAGAACTTGCCAACTTGCCAAGACCCTTTCTTTCTTCCTTTCTTTCTTTTTTTTTTTTTGAGACGGAGTCTCACTCTGTCGTCCAGGCTGGAGTGCAGCGGCGCATCTCCACTCACCCACTCACTGCAAGCTCCGCCTCCCAGGTTCACACCATTCTCCTGCCTCAGCCTCCAGAGTAGCTGGGACTACACGCGGCCGCCACCACGCCCGGCTAATTTTTTTTTTTTTTTTTAGTAGAGACAGGGTTTTGCCGTGTTAGCCAGGATGGTCTCGATCTCTTGACTTCGTGATCTGCCCGCCTCAGCCTCCCAAAGTGCTGGGATTACAGGTGTGAGCCACTGTGCCCGGCCTCTTCCTTCCTTTCTTCTTTCTTTCCTTCCTTCCTTCCTTGGCAAAGTCTTGCTCTGTTGTCCAGGCTGGAGTACAGTGGCATGATCTCGGCTCATTGCAACCTCCACCTTTGGAGTTCAAGTAATTCTCCTGCCTCAGCCTCCTGAGTAGCTGGAATTACAGGCACATGCCACTATGCCCAGCTAATTTTTGTATTTTTTAGTAGAGACAGGGTTTTCCCATGTTGACCAGGCTGGCCTCAAACTCTTGACCTCAGGTGGTCCGCCCACCTGGGCCTCTCAAAGTGCTGGGATTACAGGTGTGAACCACCGTGCCCAGCTTGAGACCCACTATTAGCTTTATAAACAGTTACATCCTAGTTTTATTGTTCTGCATGTATTCGCTGGAATTCTTCCATGTAGAAGGGAGTCTTTTTTAAGATAGGGTAACTGGAGTCAGGGGCAGGACACTGTTGGTCTTACTATGAGCTAAGCCAAATTCAATAACAATTTTAAAATGCAGAAAGGAGGATTGTTAAACTTAGGACAATACATGTTGTCTACCAGATCTTTATTTCTCTTTCTGGATATCTGAAGTGATTATTCAGATTTAGATGGGATTTCCTCATTTCTCTGCCCTTTTTTTTTTTTTTTTTTTTTTTTTTTTGGATGAAGTCTTGCTCTGTTGCCTGGGCCAGAGTGCAGTGGCACCATCTCAGCTCACTGCAACCTCTGCTTCCTGGGTTCAAGCAATTCTCGTGCCTCAGCCTCCCGAGTAGCTAGGATTACAGGTGCCTGCCACCAAGCCCAGCTAATATTTTTGTGTTTTTAGTAGAGATCAGGTTTCGCCACGTTGGCCAGCTGGTCTTGAACTCCGGACCTCAAGCAATCCTCCTACCTCAGCCCCAACAAAGTGCTAGGATTACAGGTGTGAGCCACCGCACCTAGCCGCCACTTTTTTTTCATCAGCTACGATATCAGGTCTCCCAGCAGAAAATCTCTGAGCAAATCAACTTCCAGGTTTGTTTTTCGTTTTTTTGAGACTGAGTTTCGCTCTTACTGCCCAGGCTGGAGTGCGGTGAGAGGCACAATCTTGGCTCACTGCAACCTCCACCTCCCGGGTTCAAGTGATTCTCCTGCCTCAGCCTCCCGAGTAGCTGGGATTGTAGGCGCATGCTACCACGCCCAGCAACTTTTCGTATTTTTAGTAGAGATGGGGTTTCACATGTTGGCCAGGCTGGTCTCGAACTCCTGACCTCAGGTGTTCCACCGGCCTTGGCCTCCCAAAGTGCTGGGATTACAGGCATGAGCCACTGCACCCAGCAGCAGGTTCTTAAAATTAGTTTTTTAATTATTATTTTCAGCCCTGAAAGGAAAAAAATAGGTATTGGAATATCTGCCACTCCCATTCTGTCTTGCAAAATCTGCATCACCCAAAAGGTTGGGTTTCAGGAGTTGGCTGCTCAGCTCTAGGGATCCAGGAGTGGGACATGGGTCTTTATTCTGTCGCTGTGGGATTTGGGGCCCAAGCGTGGGGATTATCAGTGAATTCAAAGGAGTTGTGAATTCCCTGCTGAAGGAGGGATGTCAACCACGCATAGATCCTGGTGGCCATATGTCCTCACTTAGCCAGCAACTCAGTTCTTTGGAGCCCAGCAGCAAGAGGTAGAAGGGGCTGTAAGCCAGTGTTTCCAGGACAGCCCCTGCAGCTATGGTCAGAGAGTCAGGAACGGGGGGCCGGACAGGCCTATAGAGTGTGTTGTCTCTGTCCCTCTCCTCATAAACACATCTGGATAACGACAGATAACGTGAATCTACCATCCATGGGCTTCCCATGTAGACAGGACATTTAATGACCTAATCTTCCATCAAGAGAGACTTCCCCTTCTTAATTTAGTTACCCTAAGGAACAATTTGTATAGAAAACGCAGAATCAAGATTTTCACATTTCCACCCCACTTTCTGTACCCATTTAAAAAATAATGCATTTGGGGCTGGGCACAGTGGCTCATGCCTGTAATCCCTTCACTTTGAGAGCCCGAGGCTGGTGGATCACTTGAGGTCAGGAGTTTGAGACCAGCCTGGCCAACTTGGCGAAGCCCCGTCTCTACTAAAAATACAAAAATTAGCTGGGTGTGATGGTGCACGCCTGTAATCCTAGTTACTCGGGAAGCTAAGGCAGGAGAATCGCTTGAACCCAGAGGCAGAGGTTGCAGTGAGCCAAGATTGCACCACTGCACTCCAGCATAGACAACAGAGCAAGACTCCATCTCAAACAACAACAACAAAAATCATTTTGAACAAATGCATTTAAATATATTTGTCTTTCCACCCTTTTTGGGGTGTTAGGGTGATGGACATATAATTATTTTTCTTATTGATATTCACACTGTCTCGTATTTGACCAGATAGAACCCTGGTATAATATTTTGGTATGCAGTTTTCTAGACTTTTAGAAATGTACACACAAACATATAAAATGAAGACAAATACTTTATGACAAATATTTTAATCAGCTTTATTGAGGTATAATCTATATAAAGTAAAACTCACCGATTTAAAACAAATTCAAGTTTTTTTAAGTGTACAGCTTGAGTGAGTTTTTTCAACTTAAAAAATTTATTTCTTAATTGACAAATAATCATACATGTTCATGGGGTCCATAATGATTTTTTTAGTTGTTTGGTTGGATGGTTTTGAGACAGGGTCTCGCTCTGTGGCCCAGGCTGGAGTGCAGTGGCATGATTACAACTCACTGCAGCCTTGACCTCCTGGGCTCTAGCCATCTTCCCGTCTTAGCCTCCTGAGTAGCTGGAACCGTAGGCATGCACCACCGTGCCAGGCTAATTTTTAATTTTTTTACAGAGACAGGGGCTTCTTATGTTGCCCAGGTTGGTCTTGAACTCCTGGCCTCAAGGGATCCTCCTGTCTCAGCTTCCCACAGTGCTGGGATTACAGGTGTGAGCCACTGAGTCCAGCTCTTAGTAATGTTTTGATATTAATACATATAATGTGTGGGGAGATAAGATCAGGATAATTAGCATATCCATCATCTCAAGCATTTGCCATTACTTTTATTTTGCTACTTCCTATATAATGACATTTATCATCTCTTTGTGTTGGGAACATTCAATGTCCTTCTTCTAGCTCTTGGAAACGATGTAATATTTTATTGTTCACTTTACTCATCCTATAGTGGATAGAACATTCTTAATGAGTTTTGACAAATGTATACAGTCTTGTAAGCACCACCATGACCACAGGGAATACTTTTATCACCCCGAAAGGTGGTGCCTCTTACCTCTTATGTACCTCTTCTGTGCCTCTTACTAATCCATTCCTTTCCTTGCCACTGGCAACTCTTTTTTTTAATTTTTTTGAGACAGCGTCTCACTCTGTCACTCAGGCTGGAGTGCAATGGTGCAGTCTCGGCTCACTGCAGCCTCTGCCTCCCAGGTTCAAGTGATTCTCCTGCCTCAGCTTTTTGAGTAACTGGGATTACAGGTGTGCACCACCATGCCCGGCTAATTTTTGTATTTTTAGTAGAGATGGGGTTTTACCACATTGGGCAGGCTGGTTTCAAACTCCTGACCTCAAGTGATCCCCCCTGCCTTGGCCTCCCAAAGTGCTGGGATTACAGGTGTGAGCCACCGTGCATGGCCTCCTCTGGCAACTCTTGATTGCCTGTCACCATAGATATGCCTTTTCTATTTTGCCATTACTTTTTTTTTTTTTCGAGACAGAGTCTCGCTCTGTCGCCGAGGCTGGAGTGCAGTGGCGCGATCTCAGCTCACTGCAACCTCCGCCTCCTGGGTTCAAGCAATCCTCTTGCCTCAGCCTCCTGAGTAGCTGGGACTACAGGTGTGTGCCACCACACTCCATTAATATTTGTATTTTTAGTAGAGACAGGGGTCTCACCATGTTGCCCAGGCTGGTCTTGAACTCCTGACCTCAGGTGATCCACTCACCTCAGCCTCCCAAGGTGCTGAGATTACAGGCGTGAGCCACCGCGCCCGGCCGCCATTACCTTCTATCTCAATAACCACACTTACGTTTGCACCAGCCTAATAGTTTTTCGTATTGAAGGAGTAATAGAGCGTGTGGCCTTTCTGATTTGTTTCACTGAGCATGATGCTTTTGAGACTCATTTATTTTATTGCATAATTTCTTTCCTTTTACTGAGTTTCCAGTTATATACCTTGGGTTGTTTGTTTGTTTTTAAGGCAGAGTCTCACTCTGTCACCCAGGCTGGAGTGCAGTGGCTTGATCTTGGCTCACTGCAATCTTGACCTCCCAGGCTCAGGTGATTCTCCCACCTCAGCCTCCCAAGTAGCTGAGACTACAGGTGTGCGCTACCATGCCTGGCTAATTTTTTGTATTTTTTGTAGAGACAAGGTTTTGCCATGTTGCTTAGGCTGGTCTCCAACTCCTGGGCTCAAGGAATCTGGGTAATTCTATGTTTAATCGTATGAGGACTCTTATTTTGCAGCGCACAGTTAGACTTGACCATCTTCCCATATTAGCACGTGTACACTTACTTCCGGCTTCTTCTTCTTTTTTTTTTTTTTTTTTTGAGATGGAGTCTGGCTCTGTCACCCAGGCTGGAGTGCAGTGGCACTATCTTGGCTCACTGCAACCTCTGCCTCCTGGGTTTGAGCAATTCTGCCTGAGCCTCCCAAGTGGCTGGGATTACAGGTGCACACCATCACACCTGGCTAATTTTTGTATTTTCAGTAGAGACGGGGTTTCACCATGTTGGCCAGGCTGGTCTTGAACTCCTGGCCTCAAGTGATTTGCCCACCTCGGCCTCCCACAGTGTTGGGTTTACAGGTGTGAGCCACCTTGTCCAGCCCTACTTCCTGCCTCCTGAGCACTGGGTAGTATTTCACAGTGTGGAAATAGCATGGCTTATGTATCCAGCTGTATGTTGGTGGACATTTGGGTTGTCTGACTTTTGGTATTTTAGGCGATGACACACATCCCTTTCTGAAGGGCCTTTGGGTGGTCTCTGTTCTTTGACCACATACACAATACTGCAGGTCTTTGTACTTGGTGGGATGTCTCTGCAGACCGAGTTCCTAGACAGGGCAAGGTGAGTGGTTGGTCTGTCTTCCGGGCTTGGTTGTGGTCTGATTCTGACCCTGTTACCTTATTCCACAGGGGACCAACAAGGCACCATGGCGCAGAAGGGCCAACTCAGTGACGATGAGAAGTTCCTCTTTGTGGACAAAAACTTCATCAACAGCCCAGTGGCCCAGGCTGACTGGGCCGCCAAGAGACTCGTCTGGGTCCCCTCGGAGAAGCAGGGCTTCGAGGCAGCCAGCATTAAGGAGGAGAAGGGGGATGAGGTGGTTGTGGAGCTGGTGGAGAATGGCAAGAAGGTCACGGTTGGGAAAGATGACATCCAGAAGATGAACCCACCCAAGTTCTCCAAGGTGGAGGACATGGCGGAGCTGACGTGCCTCAACGAAGCCTCCGTGCTACACAACCTGAGGGAGCGGTACTTCTCAGGGCTAATATATGTGAGTATTGCAGGCAGCCAGGTACCTACTCCTGGCCTCATAAGGAAAGTAGGCATTAGAAATGTGTTGGGAGGGCTGGGCACAGTGGCTCATGCCTGTACTCCCAGCACTTTGGGAGGCCGAGGTGGGCAGATCACCTGAGGTCAGAAGTTCGAGACCACGCTGGCCAACATGATGAAATGCCGTCTCTACTAAAAATACAAAAAGTAGCCAAGGGTGGTGGTGCGCATCTGTAATCCCAGCTACTGGGGAGGCTGGGGCAGAGGAATTGCTTGAATCCAGGAGGTGGAGGTGCAGTGAGCCAAGACTGTACCACTGCACTCCAGCCTGGGTGACAGAATAAGACTCTGTCTCAAAAAAAAAAAAAAAGGAAATGGGAGGCTGAAGGTTTGATCGAGGGAGATTGCAAGATGAGGTGGAATCATTCCAAGGTGGGTTCACATCTCAGCCCTTGAAGAGGTTATTTCCTCTCTCGAAGCCTTGGTTTTCCTATCCGTAAAATGGGAATAATCACCCTCATTACAGACAGGAGGTGTGACAATCCCATGTCATCACATGTGCCAAGTGCCAAGACGTATGATAAACTCTCAACAGATTTCATTGGCATCGTTCTCTGTCCTTCCTTCCTCTTGAAAGTAAAGAAGAGCTCATAACCACTTTGGAAAGGCTGGTTTGTCTTGGCAGCCAGGTGGGTAGGAGACATGAGGATGTGGCTAGGTTTTAGGGAGGCCTTCCTTGTCACAGAGGGGAATGTTCAGGTTGGTCGTAGGACTATTTTAGGTAGACTTGCAGAACAGAGTGGACTAGAGATGGCACAATATGGTAGCCACTGGCCACTCGTGGCTAACTAAATTTAGATTTAAATTAATTAAAAGAAACATTAGACCAGGTTTGGCGACTCATGCCTGTAATCCCAGCACGCTGGGAGGCCAAGGCGGGTAGATCACTTGAGGTCAGGAGTTTGAGACCAGCCTGGCCAACGTGATGAAACCCTGTCTCTACTAAAAATGCCAAAATTAGCCAGGCATGGTAGTGCACATCTGTAATCCCAGCTACTTGAGAGGCTGAGGCAGGAGAATTGCTTGAACCCGGGAGGCAGAGGTTGCAGTGAGCCGAGATGGTGCCGTTGCACTCCAGCCTGGGCAATAAGAGCGAAACTCCATCTCAAAAAAAAAAAAAAAAAAAAAAGAAACATTAAAAAATTTATTAGCTGGGTGCGTGGGCTCACACCTGTAATCCCAGCACTTTGGGAGGCCAAGGTGGGTGGATCACCTGAGGTCAGGAGTTCTAGACAAGCCTGGCCAACATGGTAAAACCCCGTCTCTACTAAAAATACAAAAATTAGCTGGGCATGATGGTGTGCGCCTGTAATCCCAGCTACTTGGGAGGCCGAGGCAGGAGAATCGCTTGAACCTGGGAGATGGAGGTTGCAGTGAGCCAAAATCGCGTTATTGTACTCCAGCTTGGGCAATAAGAGCAAAACTTCATCTCTAAATAAATACATAAGTAAAAGACAATAAAAAATAACAAATTTATTTCTTTTGTTGTGTTGGCCCTAGGTCAAGTAGTCAATAGCCACCTGTGGCTAGTGGCTGGTGTACTGGGTAGCATAAGTGCAGAATGTTCCCATTATCATAGAAAGTTCTGTTGGACTGCTTGGACTAGATGATTGGGGCTTGGAGTGTGATGTTGTGGGGCACGGGTCGCCAGACTGATGTGCAGAGGTCACCCAACCCGGCCTATGTCTATGTCTTCTCTCTGAAAGGCCTTGCTCACCCTCGAGCAGGTTACCTCATGCCTCTGAAGCTTTGTTTCCTTTTCTGTAAAATGGATGCAAGAATAGTGCCAGCCTCTTGGGAGCCGGGCATAGTGGCTCATGCCTGTAATCCCAGCACTTTGAGAAACTGAGGCAGGTGGCTCACTTGAGCCCAGGAGTTTGAGACCAGCCTGGGCAACACAACGAGACCCCATCTCTGCAAAAATAAATTAGCCAGGTGCAGTGGTGCGTACTCATAATCCCAGCTACTCAGGGAGGCTGAGGCAGGAGGATCACTTGAGCCCAGGAGTTCAAGGCTGCAGTGAGCTATGATTGTGCCACTGCACTCTAGCCTGGGTGACAGAGCAAGACCTTGTCTGTTTCAAAAAAAAAAAAAAAAAAAATAGTACCAGCTTCATGGAGTGGGTTACTCTAAATAGAAAGCACTTAATACACTTCCTGCTACATGTTAAGTGCAGGCACTGAAAATGTTAAGTGTTACTAGATTGGTTTTTGCTGTGGTCATGATCACTTTTGATTTTACTAGTAAGATGTTCTTCTTCCATCACTTGGCATCCTTGTGTCTCTTTGGTTCTGGTCTGTACATTTTGCCAAATGAAAATTACAAAAAGCCCCTTGTCATCTCTAAAAATGTCCTGCACATTTTTTTCCTAATTAGGAAACTAAGACACGTTCACTATGGAACACTTGGAGAGTTCAGAAAGCATAGTGAACACAAAACAGAAAAATTAGTCCTTAACCAGAGATGCGGTGCATTCTTTGTCTCTTTGTGAGCATGGTATCTGTTTACATATTTAAAAGCCTATTGGGCACACAGTTTAGTGACTTGCTCTTTTTTCCATTTGGAAATGCTCAGTGTTGACTTGTGTAATATATCTCAGGAAGCCCCAAAGATACCCCTTGTAAGGGGTAGTATAGAATCTGTCATGGGGATAGGCCATTTTTCCACTGTTCTTATAGATATTTCAGAAGGAGTTAGAGTGGCTTTTTAAAGAGCCAAATGGTAAGAGTGAGCAACTTAGCAACTCATAACTTTTTTTTTTTTTTTTGAGATGGGGGCTTACTCTGTCTTTGAGGCTGGAGTGCAGTGGTTCTATCGTAGCTCAGTACAGCTTCCAAGTCCTGGATTCAAACGATCCTCTCACCTCAGCCTCCTGAGTAGCTGTGGACCACAGGTGTGCACCACCACACCTGGCTAATTAAAAAAAAAAAAAAAAACTTCTGTAGAGACTGGGATCTCACTATATTGCCCAGGCTGGTCTCAAACTCCTGGCCTCAAGCCATCTCCTGCCTTGACTTTTCACGGCGCTGGGATTACGGGTGTGAGCCACTGTGCCTGGCCGTAACTATTAAATATGTCCTCCAATCCAAGTGCTGTACATTGACACATTGTATTTTATTTAACACAGCATCCCCTGAGTTAAAAATGTTTGCCCCTTTTAGGGAAGGAAGCTGAGGTGCAGTGTTGCAAAATGTATCTTTACTTTCTTAAGTAGGGGAAGTCTCTTGTCTGTGGCACTGTTTGTATGGAAAAATTATTGATCTGGGGCTGTTTGTATGGTGGACATTTTCTTTTTCTTTCTTTCTTCTTTTTTTTTTTTTTGAGATGGAATTTCACTTTTGTTGCTCAGGCTGGAGTGAAGTGGAGCGATCTTGGCTCATTGCAACCTCCACCTCCCGGGTTGAAGTGATTCTCCTGCTTCAGCCTCCCGAGTAGCTGGGATTGCAGGGATGTGCCACCATGCCTGGCTGATTTTTGTATTTTTAGTAGAGACGGGTTTCACCATGTTGGCTAGGCTGGTCTCCAACTCCTGACCTCAGGTGATCCACTTGCCTCGGCCTCCCAAAGTGCTAGGATCACAGGCCTGAACCACCACGCCCAGCCAGTATGTTGGATATTTCTAAAGAGGCCCGTCTGTAGGGAGCTAGAGGGAAAATTGGACTCTTTGGGGCCCAGGTCTTTCATCTAAGACGTATCATCACCATCTAGGGAGTTTCAGGACAGGCCTGTGTATTCATCTCACCTGCTGTCCTCAAATAGAAATCAGAAAAAAAAAGGGCATATGAAGGTCCTGAGACCCAAAATATCTTCTGACAGCAGATTAAAAATAAATGAATCAAAGCTTCAAATTCCTGCTATGCTTCTCTGGACAGATTAGATTAAAATCCTTTCAGCCTTGTGATGATGGTCCCGCTCTTCTCTTGTTCCTTTCTGGTCAGTTTAATTGCTTAATAGAAACCGTCGTCCATGACGGAGAAGATAAAGAAGGAAAGGGGTTGGGGTGGGGGAGCACAGTAACTTACTCTCCCAGCCCATAATAGCAGCATGCATGAGTCTTGTTAATAGGCGGGTAGTGAGGTGATACCAGGTCCGTGGTCTGGCATGCATGACTTTGCCCTCTGTGATGAAGATAAACTTTCTCCTCCGTTCTGCAAGGCTCGCCTCAAACGATGTGCCCTTGAGAAGGTTCTGGCAGACCTCTTGTGCTCTTGGATCTAGAAGAGTCTATAGAAGCCAGAGGAGCTTTCCTCCTAATCTTAGAGATGCAGGTTCTGGGCTCAGCAATGTCCAGCAGTCTACCTAAACTGCTGAAGACCGTTTGTGGCATACCTGGCGGGGAGCATGGCTTTGACGCCTGGTCCTAAGGGTCCCTTGGTCTTCTGAATGCTGTCTTTTGGCTGAGTTCGTCTGCCTCGAGTTAGTTAGTTCGTTCCTCCCTTCCTTCCTTCCTTCCTTCCTTCCTCCCTCCCTCCCTCCCTCTCTCTTTCTTCCTTTCTTTCTCTGTCTTTCTGTCTTCTTTTTTCTTTCTTCTTTTTTCTTTTTCTTTCTTTTGAGATGGGGTCTTACTCTGTTGCCCAGGCTGGAGTACAGTGGCATGATCTCAGCTCACTGCAACCTCTGCCTCCTGGAACTCAAGGGATCCTATCTCAGTCTCCTTAGTAGCTGGGACTACAGGCATGTAGCACGATGCCCAGCTAATTTTTTTGTGTTTTTGGTAGAGGTGGGGTCACACCGTATTGCCCAAACAGATCTCGAACTCCTGAGCTCAAGCAATCTTCACCACTTCGGCCTCCCAAAGTGTTAGGATTACAGGCATGATATTGTGCCACTGCACTCCAGCCTGGGTGACAGAGTGAGACTACATCTCAAAAAAAAAAAAAAAAAAAAAAAAAAAAAAAAAAAAAAAGATGAGGTTGCTGAAGCTCAGATGTGCTTAGTCCCACCACTGGAAGGTGGGCAGAGCTGGGATTCAGACAAGGTCTGTGTGAGTCCAGGGCCAGGGTGACTACCTATGATTAGTAGCAAAGGGCTCTTGGGGTAATAGGCTTAGAGCAGGAGGTGATGGTCGTGGGCTGGAGCAGGAGGGGACAGTGCCAGAGGCCTTGTTAGCTTTGAGGTAGACAAGCTTTAAGTGCAGAGCAAGAAGGAATTGAACCTTTTATTATGATTCCTTGAGCACCTAACTAGGTGCTAGACTAATGATTACAACCTGCTAACACAGAGGAGTGATTTTTGTTTTTAAATTGAGTTAACTTAATATATCAAAAAAAGAAATCTGTTTCTGGCATTGCTCGAAAAAGCAGAGGACCTGACACTGCAGAATGCAGAGTGCGAGTAGCAGTCCCTGTGAGATGGGCTTTTTGCTCTGCTTTTCCGCAGACCTCACCACTCCCTGTCGTCTCCCAGGCCATGGTAACCATTGACCGTGGCACCTCTTTTGTTCACTCACACACGCCCTGCTTCACTCATGCCTTACCTGCTTTGTCTCTGTAGACAGTGGGACCCTCCACCCTATACCAAACCTCTGGGGTTGGGAAAATCATGATCCAGAGCCAAGGTGGATGGGCCCCCCTGCTCATTGGAACTCCAAGCCCAAGTCCCTGAACCATGAACCCCAAAGGACATTTTTCCAGTTCTGGTTCTGCTTCTGGAATGCCCAGGGGGTCAGGAGAAGCCCTCCTTCCAAACTTTAGCAGGTGACAATTTTTCCGCCTTAGAGACCTGGCCCAGCAATCTTAGCCTACTCTGGAAGCAGTGTCCACCCGGGGACACAAGGAACAAGCAGATTGTGAACAGAGGCCTCCTGGGTGCCAGCCACTGCACTGGTCCCTAGAGGGTAGAAAGACACTGTAACTGGAAGCTGCCCTTTGTCAAGCCCCAAGCATTAGCCCTTCTGATCTTTTTTTTTTTTTAACATGGAGTCTCGCTCTGTCACGCAGGCTGGAGAGCAGTGGTGTGATCCTGGCTCACTGCAACCTCCATTTCCTGAGTTCAAGCGATTCTTGTGCCTCAGCCTCCCAGTAGCTGGGATTACAGGCACATGCCACCACGCCCAGCTAATTTTTGTATTTTTAGTAGAGAAGTGGTTTCACCATGTTGGCCAGGTTGGTCTTGAACTCCTGAACTCAGATGATCCTCCCACCTCCGCCTCCCAACGTGCTGGGATTACAGGCATGAGCCACTGCACCCAGCCTTCTGATCTTTCAAGTCATTATTGCTTCAAAGAACCTCCTCCAGTAATACAAGGATAATCTATGCAAAGACCTCAGGAGAATATTTAAAAATAAGTATGTATCACAAAAAGCAGCCCTCTTCCCTGGAGGCAAACATGATTCACAGGTTCATGTATGTACACACACACACACACACACACACACACACACACACCCCAAACATAAGAAAAAGTCACTCCTTGTATGTTTTGCAGTATGATTTTTTTTCCACTTAACCCTACCTTATAGTTTTTTCTGTCTGTTCATAACTATCTAGTCAGACTTCAAATATGTTTTTGAATAGGTAAGACATGCAAATATGAAATAAAATAGTGTATAAGGGAATATAGAACTTCCCCCTTCGTTCCTATTTCTCGCCCTTCCAGTTCCCCTTCTTAGAGACACTGTGGTTGCTGGTTACATATGTAGCCCTCCAGTCATGTTATTTATTTATTTATATTATTTTTCGAGATGGAGTCTCACTCTCTCACCCAGACTGGAGTGAAGTGGCATGATCTTGGCTCACTGCAACAGCCCCCTCCCAGGTTCAAGCAATTCTCCTCCCTCAGCCTCCCAAGTAGCTGAGACTACAGGCGTGTACTACCACACCCAGCTGATTTTTGTATTTTTAGTAGAGAGGGGGTTTTGCCATGTTGGCCAGGCTGGTCTCGATCTCCTGACCTCAGGTGATCCACCTGCCTCGGCCTGCCAAGGTGCTGGGATTACAGGCTTAAGCCACTGTGCCCAGCCTATTGCTTTTTTTGTGATAAAGTCTCACTCTGTCACCCAGGCTGGAGTGCAATGGTGCGATCTCGGCTCCTGCAACCTATGCCTTCTGGATTCAAGCGATCATCCCGCCCCAGCCTCCTGAGTAGCTGGGATTACAGGTGTGCATCACCACACCCAGATAATTTTTGTATTTTTTGTAAAGATGGGTTTTTGCCATGTTAGCCAGGCTGGTCTTGAACTCCTGACCTCAAGTGATCCACCCACCTCAGCCTCCCAAAGTGCTACAATTACAGGTGTGAGCTGCTCCATCCAGCCTCCAGTGATGTTTTATACACATGCAGCCACATAGAGAGCCCCTCCTGCACCCCTCCAAAATGGCAGCACAGGCCCCGGCTGTTGTGCGTCTCAATCTTTGCATCTAACTGTGTATTTTGGCCATTCATCCATGGTAGTAGAGAGAGGGCCACTGCACAGTCTTCTGCTATAGGGATGAACCATAATGATTAAGCCTGTCTGCTATTGACAGGTATTTAGGTTGTTTCTAGTCTTTTTGCTCTTAAAAGCAAGGCTGCAGCAAAAGCACGTGCTTGGTGGACCACGTCTGTCTCTAGGTTGGGTATTTAGAAAGCCGTGATATTGCACTGCAGCTTCATAAAGAAGCCGTGATTATCCATCACTTTACTGAGGAAGCTCAGGGGTAGGTCTGTATGCACAAGTCAGGCAGGTGATAAGGCAAAGCCAACACTCTGCCCAGGCCTGTGTGTCTTTTTTTTTTTTGAGACCAAGTCTCGCTGTATCACCCAGGCTGGAGTGGAGTGGCACAATCTCAGCTCACTGCAACCTCTGCCACCTGAGTTCAAGCAGTTCTCCTGCCTCAGCTTCCCGAGTAGCTGGGATTACAGGCACGCGCCACCACACCTTGCTAATTTTTGTATTTTTAGTAGAGATGAGGTTTCACTGTGTTGGCCGGGCTGGTCTCGAACTCTTGACCTCAGGTGATCCACCCACCTTGGCCTCCCAAAGTGCCGGGATTACAGGTGTGAGCCACTGCGCCCGGCCATCCCTGTGTGTCTGAAAGCCAGTGTTCCTTCCACTTCCCTCCCTTCCCTCCCTGTTCCTCATTTCTGCTGCAGGCCCCGGGAGCACCCCCTGCTCAGGGCTCTGTGGCTGACCATATAAAGCGTCAGAGAAAAACTGGAGCTGCTTCCTAATACGGTCACAAGAGGGAAATCCTGGGCCTGCAGCTGGGACTTGCTGGTGGCACAGGGCCCATGAGATGCCGGCTGGGACACAGGAGGCTGGGATGTTGAAACCTCTGAATTTAACCAGCTGGAGAGGGGCTCGTGGGGCCAGAGAGGCAGAAACACAGCCAACTATGGTTGGGCTGGGTCGAGGTGAAGGAGAAGTGGCTGAATAATGTGGGAGGAAGAGCCCGATGCTGAAGCCCCACGACCCTGCCGTGAGATGTGCGGCTGCCTGCACCAGTCTTACCTTCACTCCATCGTCATACCCTGGCTTGCTTAGAAAGCTTTTACAGAACTCAGCAGAGATTCAGATCTACCTGGAAGTATGGATTAAGTGCTTGTTGTGTGCACGGCACTGGGAGA
The DNA here is from genome assembly GCF_000001405.40 of Homo sapiens. NCBI lineage: Eukaryota > Metazoa > Chordata > Mammalia > Primates > Hominidae > Homo > Homo sapiens. Next base: position 1,487,289 of record NT_187607.1, on the reverse strand, counting down.
GATGTCCCAAACAAAGAGGATGGAAGTCATATTCCTCTTTCAGAAGCTAGTGATGGAGTTGAAAAGGCAGTGTGGTCCTTCCTTCTTTTTAAAAATTCATTTTATTCTTTTTTTTTTTTTCTTTGAGACAGTCTCACTTTGTCACCCAGGCTGGAGTGTGGTGGCATGATCTCGGCTCACATAACCTCTGCCTCCTTGGTTCAGGTGACTCTCCTGCCTCAGACTCCTGAGTAGCTGGGATTACAGGCATGCGCCACCACACCCAGCTAATTTTTGTATTTTTAGTAAAGACGGGGTTTTGCCATGTTAGCCAGGCTGTTCTCAAACTCCTGACCTCAAGTGATCTGACCTCCTCGATTTCCCAAAGTGCTGGCATTAAAGGTGTGAGCCACCATGCCCGGCCTCTTCCTTCTTTTTAAAAATTCCTTTTATTCTTTTCTTTTCTCTATCTCTCATCTCTCTTTCTTCCTTTCTTTCTTACTTTCCTTCCTTCCTTCCTTCTTTTTTTTTTTTTTTTAGAGTCTCACTCTGTTGCCCAGGCTGGAGTGCAGCACCATGATCTCAGCTCACTATAACCTCCACCTCCTGGGTTCAAGTGATTCTCCTACCTCGGCCTCCCGACTAGCTGGGATTACAGGCGCCTGCCATCATGCCTGGCTAATTTTTGTATTTTTAGTAGAGACGGGGTTTTGCCATGTTGGCCAGGCTGGTCTCGAACTCCTGACCTCAAGTGATCTGACCTCCTTGGCCACCCGAAGTGCTGGGATTACAGCTGACTGAGTGTCTACCCTGTCCCTGGCACTGTGCGGGGTGCAGGAGATACAGTAGTGTGTGGGTCACAGTCCAGGAGGTAACATTTAGGCAGAGCTCTAAAAGAGGAGAGGGAACCAGCTGTGGGAAGATGAGGGGAAAAGTGTTCCAAGTGGAGAGAACAGCATATTGAAGGCTCTAAGGTGGCAAGACTTCCCTCTCGTGAAATGAAGGGAGCATAGTAAGAGTCACTAAATAACATTGATTGAGCACCTACTACATACCAGCCGCCATGCTAAATGCTTTTCGAGCATTATCTCGCAGCACATCTATGAAGGGCTTGTTCGTATGCCTCCCTGTTTTGTAGATGAGGATAAGTGAGACTCAGAGAGGTTAAGGGACTTGCCCAGGGTCACACAGCGAAGAAGTAGCAAAGTGAAGGTTCAAATTCAAGTACCCCATACCCAGTTCTGAGCCCTTAGCCACTGCCCTTTACTGCCTCCAGGTCAAGGGCTTGAGTGAGGACAGGTTGGGCTGTAAATGATACCTACATTCAAAAGGGGCGTGGCAGTGGACATGGCCCCAGAGGAGCTGGAGATGGAGTCGAGGCCTGAAGGAGGGTGGGGCTTGATTGACCTTTGTTCAGGTGACCACAGACTGGGCTCTTCTCTTTGGGAGGCTTGTCCTGGGGACAGGGGACACTGATTGAACAGGAAATAGCCCCTGGCCTGGCTCAGTGTAGTCCACTGAGTACCTACTGCCGCCGTGCAAGGCCCCCAGGTCACGGAGGTGAAGTCAGGCTGTCCCTGCTCCCAGGAAGCTGTATCATTAATTTATTCCCCTGGCATGCATTTAGCAAGCATTTAGTTAGCACCTATTCTATACCAAGGCCTGTGCTGGGACTGAAGAGGAGAAAGGGGGTTCCCCGGACTCAAGGCACTTGCAGCTGGTGTTTGCAGGATGGGTGGGAGGGTCCTGGGTGATGGAATGGGGAAGAGGGGTGTCCAGGCAGGCAGCCCCCCACTCCCAGCCCCACCAGGCTGGATGTTGCTCCTGGGCCCCGCTTACCTCTAACCCTTGCTTTGCTTCTCCATTTCGGTCCGATGGAGCCGCTTATACCAAGCTGCTTATAGTTCACCCCCACGGACCCCGTGTCCTGTTTTTCTGCCCATGTCCCTGCTTTGTCTTGAGCTGGTTAACACCTTGTTGTCCTTTAAGACTCAGTGCAGGGAATACCTCCCCACCTGGAGGTTTCCCTGACCACCCCCAATGTGGGTTAGGGCCTTCCCTTCCTTGTTCCTATCATTCTCTGTTCTTACGACGTGTTTTAATGTACTTGTCTCCCCCTCTGATTTAAGTTCTTTAAGGGCAGGAGCTATCATTGATTTCTTTATCTCCAGCCTCTGACACAGATGTGGTATATAGTAGGTGCTCAGTAAATGGTTGATGGCTATTTAGACAGGCATATGTTGACTCATTCATTCTCCTTTTAGGGGATGGTGAGAACCTCCGTCTCCATCAATCCTGTTTCCTTTTTTTTTTTTTTTTTTTTTTTTTTGAGATGGGTTCTCCCTCTGTCACCCAGGCTGGAGTGCAATGGCACCACCTTGGCTCACTACAACCTCCCTCCACCTCCCAGGTTCAAGTGATTCTCCTGCCTCAGCCTGCCGAGTAGCTGGGACTACAGGCATGTGCCACCATGCCCTGCTAATTTTTTGTATTTTTGGTAGAAACAGGGTCTCACTGTGTTGCCTAGGTTGGTCTTGAACTCCTGAGTGTGAGCAATCTGCCCTCCTTGGTCTCCCAAAGTACTGGGATCATAGGTGTGAACCACTGCGCCCAACAATCCTGTACCTTCAAAGAATATTCCTCTGCAGCACCCCCAGACATTACATACCATTGTCCCTGAGTGGACTGAGCCCTGGAAGGACCTTCCCACTCTCTCTTTTTCTTTCTTTTTCTTTTTTGAGACAAGGTCTCACCGTGTCACACAGGCTGGAGTGCATGGCACAATCACGGCTTACTGCAACCTCAACCTCCCAGGCTTAAGCAAACCTCCCACCTCAGCCTCCCAAGTGGCTGGGACTACAGGTGAATGCCACCATGCCCAGCTAATTTTTAAATTTCTTATAGAGATGGGGGTCTCACTGTGCTGCCCAAGCTGGTCTCAGACTTCTGGGCTCAAGCAATCTTCCTGCCTTGACCTCCCAAAGTGCTGGGATTACAGTTGTGAGCCACCACACCCAGCCAGACTTTCCCACTCTCTAATTGGCTCCAGCCCTTGACTAAAAGGCCCTTGAGGGCTGGGATCCTGTGTTTTTTTAATGTTCTAATGTAGTCCCAGCACCTTTTGCATGGCATCTGGGACGTACAGAATGAATGAATGAATGAATGAATGAATGAATGAATGAACGAACGATCAGTAGTTTCTGTTTCTGTTGGATGGGCCTAGGCTGGATAGCATAATGGACCATGCTCATACCTGGGGGCGGGCCAGGCTGGGCTTGGTGCTGCCAGGATCTTCTTTGGTGACCTCGGTCAAGTCACTTAACCCTCTGTTGCTTGGTTCACCCTAGCTGTAACTGAGAGATGGATCTGTGGTTCTCCCTAAGTCACTTGCAGGGAAGAGGATACGCTTTATGGCCATCAGAGTCTTGGGCAGTACTGATGTTTATCGTTTGGGGAAAGCAGTTCCTGTGAGACGGGTTGGAGCCTGTCTCCTGAACTGTGACCTCAACCATGGGAAAATCTAGTATCCAGTAAGGAAAAATCATGACAATAGTGCCTTACCACGTACAGCATGGCGGGACTCGCCTTGTGCCTTGACTCCTCCGTCCCTGATCTGATTATTTTCAGATGCTCCTATTCACCCAGTAGGAGAGGACTGCTATTTTTTAAATGGTAAAGTGCATATGACATAAAATTTACCATTTTAAACATTTTAAAGAAAACAGTGCCATTAAGTGCATTCACAATGTTGTACAGCTATCAATTTCAAGACAGGGTCTTGCTCTGTCACCCAGGGGCTAGAGTGCAATGGTACAATCATAGCTCACTATTACCTTGAGCTCCTGGGATCAAGCAATCCTCCTGACTCAGCCTCCCAAGTAGCTGGGACTACAGGTGATCACCACCATGGCCAGCTATTTTTTTTTTTTTTTTTTTTTTGTAGAGAGGGGGTCCGGCTGTTGTTGCCTGAGCTGGTCTCAAACACTTAGCCTGAAGCAATCCTCCCACCTTGGCCTCCCAAAGTGCTGGGATTACAGGCATGAGCCACTACACTTGGCCCCAGAGCATTTTTATAGCCTCAAAAGGAAACCTTATACCCATGAGCAGTTCCTCCTCATTTCCCACCTCTTTCCAGCCTCTGGGAACCACAAGTCTGTTTTCTGTCTCCATGGCTTTGCCTACTCTAGACACTTCACATAAATGAGATGATAGAGTACGTGACTTTTCGTGCCTGGCTTCTTTCACTAGGCATATTTTCAAGCTTCATCCACATTGGAGAGCTCATGTCAGTGTTGGTCTCTGTTTTGCAGATGGGGAAGGTATTAATGATCAGGAGCAGGCGCTGTGGGGTAAACAGGAGTTCTAGTTCCCAACTTCCCTCCAGCTGTGTAACCTGGTGACAACCTCACCATGCCTCACTTTGCCCTCCTGTCAAACAGGCGGTGGGGAAATCACTGTTACTGAGTAGTTGTGAAGATGCCACGAGGAGATGCCTCTGCCATCTTCTAGAGACTGAGTCACTGGGGTTTCTTCTTAGATATGGACATTGGGAGGTCCCAGAAAGAGATCAGAGGGTGGTGGGAGGAGAGAGAGCTTGGAGGATTATTACCTTTTCCTCCCTCCCTCCTGGACCACAGTTTTGGCAGCTGTGTTTCTGTATGACTGCGGATCCCTCTGGACAGCCCCTTTTTAGGGGTGTGTGGCTTTCTATGCCTCCAATGTTCAGTTAACGACATTCCCTCTCTGGCTGAGTGCGGTGGTTCCCACCTGTAATCCCAGCACTTTGGGAGGCTGAGACTGGCGCATCACCTCAGCTCAGGAGTTCGAGACCAGCCTGGGCAATATGGTGAAACCCTGTCTCTACAAAAAACAAAATAAAAATTACCTGGGCATGGTTGTGCACACCTGTGGTACCACCTACTTGGGAGGCTGAGGCGAGAGGATCACTTAAGCCCAGAAACTCAAGGTTGTAGTGAGCCAAGATCACCCCACTACACTGCAGCCTGGGCGACAGAGCAAGACCCTGTCTCAAAAAAAAAAAAAAGTAAACAACATTCTCTTCTGTTCTTGCTCTTCAGACTTAACTGCTCCCGTCACTGGTTGGGTTTCTTTAATTCTGCACACATATCTGTAAACACTTTCTTTATTAAATGTTCCTGAGTTAATATCTTAAGCACACTGTTCATTTTCTGTGCCACCTGTTAAATGATGAGCATTTAATATGATTGTCAGCATCCAAAAAAGATCCTGCGTAGTGCTTAGTTCGGTGCCCAACACATAGTAAGTGCTCAATGAACGGTGGCTGTTATTTAAGCCAGTGAGGTCCGGGGAGGTAAAGTGGCAGGTCGGAGGAGTGGAGCTGAGATTTGAACCCAGAGCTCTTCAAAACTCCACAGTTTGGCCAGGTGCAATGGCTCACAACTATAATCCCAGTGCTTTGGGAGGCTGAAATGAGAGAATTGCTTGAGCCCAGGAATTTGAGACCAGCCTGAGCAACACAGTGAAACCCATGTCTCTACAGAAAATATAAACATCAGCCAGGCCTGGTGGCGCCCGCCTGTAGTCCTGGCTACTCAGGAGGCTGAGGTAGGAGGATCACCTGAGTCCAGAAAGGTCAAGGTTTCAGTGAGTCACGTTCACACCACCGCACTCCAGCCTAGGTGACAGAGTGAGACCCCATCTCAAAACAAACACAAAACCCCCCACAGTTGCAAAATAAAACATAGGCAGCTTGGAAACCCACTCTCGCCCTTTCTCCTCTTCCCACGTACCTGGAATATCAGTGAGGCCCAGGGTTTCCACTAAGACTCCAAGCTCCAGTTTCCCCATCTCTAACATGAGAATATTGAGTGCTTCTGTGCAATCTGTCTACCCTGGAGGAGGTCTGGAAGTAAGCTGGGTTCTCTGTCTGCAGACGTACTCTGGCCTCTTCTGCGTGGTGGTCAACCCCTATAAACACCTGCCCATCTACTCGGAGAAGATCGTCGACATGTACAAGGGCAAGAAGAGGCACGAGATGCCGCCTCACATCTACGCCATCGCAGACACGGCCTACCGGAGCATGCTTCAAGGTGAGTGAACTCAGGGCTGCACGGGGCCAGCTCCAGGGAGCCCCTCCTGTCCTGCTTGTCTGCAGTTCTTGCCAGGAATGTGGAGTTTGGCAGGCACTGCGAGGGACCAGGAGTTACTGTGGCTGAAAAAGGGAAAAAGCAAAAGGAACATCTGTGTTTGCAGCCTGGGAGGGTGAGGGAGAGCCAAGAGCTTGGGCAAATACGGGCATGGGCCCGCTCCAGCTCCAGCTCCGGGGCTCGCTGCCCAAGGGCCCCGTCGGGCCAGCTGTCTGCAAAGGATGGAAAGAGGGTGGGGAACAGCCCTGGGGCTGAGCCATTGTGGTCTGTGTTGACACCTACCTGTCCCTCAACCCCTGTGGGACTGTGGGTAAATATCTTTTCCTCTTCAGCCTCAGTTTCCTCATTTGTCAAAAGGGGTGATAGTCTCTATCTTGTAGCTTCTTGTGAAGATTGTTAATGCTGGTTTTTCCAAACTTAAGACTTGTGCCTATTACTTTCATGTTTATACGTTATTATTTTTACTATTGTTTTATTATTTTTGAGACAGGGTCTCACTTTCTCGCCCAGGCTGAAGTGCAGTGGTGCCATCTCGGCTCCCTGCAACCTCCGCCTCCTGGGCTCAAGCAATTCTCCTGCCTCAGCCTCCCAAGTAGCTGGGACTATAGGTGTGGACTGTCATGTCAAGCTAATTTTAAAAAGGTGGGTTTTTTTGTTTTGTTTTTGTTTTGTTTTGTTTTGTTTTTGGAAGTGACAGGATCTTGCTATACTGGTTGGTCTCAAACTCTTGGCCTCAGGCGATCCTCCCACTTTGGCCTCCCAAAGTTCTGGGATTATAGGCATGAGCCACTGCACCCAGGCCTTCTCACCTTCTATTTAGAACACTTTGGAGCCCCTGAAATAGCCACCCCCAAGTCAAACAGAGGGACTAGGCAGTTAATGCAAACAAGTGTACCAGGTCAGGCGAAGAGTACAAGAAACTCGAAAACTCACACCCCCTCTGAAAGGGCACCAACAGGTGGGAACCCAGGGATCTGAGTTGGGAGTTGAGAGGAGCCCAATTCTGGAAGTTCTTGAGGCCGGAATCCAGGTGTGCCTGAGAGATGCCACGACCCCGCCCCCAAGGTAGAGGGACTCAGGTATAAGTGCCCCAACTTTCTGACAGTTAGCCAGACTCCACAGGTAGGACCAGAATCTTGGCCCTTCTAGGCAGGGCCTGCCATTACCTCCAAAGACCAGCAGGTGGAGCCTTGCAAAGGCAATCTTGGAGCTGTAATCTCAGGTTGTAAAGTGATGGCTCCTGGAGTCAGGTATCTGTCTTTTTTTTTTTTTTGAGACGGAGTCTCGCTCTGTCGCCCAGGCCGGACTGCGGACTGCAGTGGCGCAATCTCGGCTCACTGCAAGCTCCGCTTCCCGGGTTCACGCCATTCTCCTGCCTCAGCCTCCCGAGTAGCTGGGACTACAGGCGCCCGCCACCGCGCCCGGCTAATTTTTTGTATTTTTAGTAGAGACGGGGTTTCACCTTGTTAGCCAGGATGGTCTCGATCTCCTGACCTCATGATCCACCCGCCTCGGCCTCCCAAAGTGCTGGGATTACAGGCATAAGCCACCATACCCAGCAATTCCTGGTTCTTTTCTGGAGCTGAGGTCCCACTAAGCACATTTTAATCTAAATACCAAAAAGAAAGAAAATTCTGTTAGCAAAGGAGAAGGAGGGGGAGCGACAGATGGGTAAGCATTTCTACAGTGCTCTGAAAAAATTTATTTGTAACTTGAAAAAGTCTTTAATATTGTATATTCATTCTAGAAAAACTTAAACATATATTTAAGTAAAAGAGAACTTGCTGGCACCTATGATTCTATCATCCAAAACTCATCACCATTAACATTTTGTTACGTGACCTTTCATTACACTAACTGAACTAAATGGCATGAAATGAAGGAAATTTTTACTATCTGAAGATAATTCGTTCCAGAAAAAGATCACTTAAAACAGAGACCAAAGTTTCACTGTAGATAGTATGTGTGTGGAGGAGGGAAAGAGAGTGGGCAAAATATTTGACTGAGCTTGAAAAATGACATTGCAGGCCAGGCACAGTGGCTCACGCCTGTAATCCTGGCACTTTGGGAAGCCCAGATGGGTGGATTGCTCGAGGTCATGAGTTCGAGACCAGCCTGGGCAATATGGCGAAACCCTGTCTCTACAAAAAATACAAAAATTACTTTGGTGTGGTAGCACATACCTGTAGTCCCACTTCTTGGGAGGCTGAGGTGGGAGGATCGCTTGAGACCAGGAAGTGGAGGTTGCAGTGAGCCGAGATCACGCCACTGCATTCCAGCCTGGGTGAGAGAGCCAGACCTTGTCTCAAAAGAAAAGAAAAGAAAACCAACATTGCAAATTATAAAAATAGGTTAATTTCAGCTTACATGTAATAAGAATTTTATTTTAATTACAAGTAGGTGCTAATTTGTAGATTCAGTATAAAATGAATTAAGAGTGGGTGTGGGGTTTTTTTCTGTAACTTTTTCTGGGCTGAGGGATGAAATCATGTGAGCATAAAACGACATCTTCATGTCATGCTTGACTTCTGCAGCCCGAGCTAAAAAGGATCATTCTTACAGATTTATTTGATGGGTCACCAGTTTTCCTAAGGGCTTCTTTTACTTCTTTAGTGTTTAAGTCTCTCAAAGCCCCTGTGGTCTTAGCGTTCATTCAGCTGTGAATTGCCCTGAATCTTTTTCTTTCTTTTGTCTTTCTTTCTTTCTTTTTTTTTTTTTTTTTCCGGATGGAGTTTCCCTCTTGGTGCCCAGGTTGGAGTGCAATGGTGTGATCTCAGCTCACTGCAACCTCCACCTCCTGGGTTCAAGCGATTCTACTGCCTCAGCCTCCCAAGTAACTGGGATTATAGGCATGTGCCACCACACCCGGCTAATTTTGTATTTTTAGTAGAGATGGGGTTTCACCATGTTACCCAGGATGGTCTCGATCTCCTGACATTGTGATCTGCCCGCCTCAGCCTCCCATAGTGCTGGGATTACAGGCATGCACCATCACACCAGGCTAATTTTGTATTTTTAGTAGAGATGGGGCTTTACCATGTTGGTCAGACTGGTCTTGAACTCCTGGCCTCAGGTGATCCTCCCACCTCGGCCTCCCAAAGTGGTGGGATTACAGGTGTGCACCACCACACTTGGCCCCTGAATCTTTTTTTTGGCCTTTCCAAGGCCACTGACTTTGCCAGTCACTGCACCTTGTTTTCCAGAACTGCCACTTTGTTTTGTGTTCATATCATGATGGTGGCTATTGATACCCAATAATTGGCAAGGTGAAGCCACTGAATCGTCGGAGAAGGAGGTTTCGGTGGAGTTTGATCGCTCTTGTAGTCATTGAAGAATACTTTTGTGTTGTGGGGACTTTTGCTTTCCTAGACCAGCAGTCCCCAACCTTTTTGACACCAGGGACCAGTTTCATAGAAGTCAGTTTTTCCATGGACCGCAGGGGAGAGATGGTTCGGGATGATTCGAGCGCATTACATTTATTGTGCACTTTATTTCTATGATTACATTGTCATATATAATGAAATCATTATACAACTCACCATCATGTAGAATCAGTGGGAGCCCTGAGCTTGTTTTCCTGCAACTAGACGGTCCCATCTGGGGGTGATGGGAGACAGTGACAGATCATCAGGCATTAGATTCTCATAAGGAGCACACAGCCTGGATCCCTCTTATGTGCAGTTCACAGTAGGGTTGGTGGTTCTATAAGAGTCTAATGCCGCCTCTGATCTGAGAGGAAGCAGAGCTCAGGCAGTAATTGGAGTGATAGGGAGTGGCTGTAAATACAGATGAAGCCCACTACTCACCTCCTGCTGTGCAGTACCAGTCGGTGGTTTGAGATGCCTGCGCTAGACCACCTCTTAACTGTGAGGCAATGTTGTAATTGACAAGGACACCCTGTGTTCATATATTTGATTCCTCATGGTCTCTAGGTTTTAACACAAAATTGCATAGTCAGCTCTCTTGAAACTACTTAGAAATGCTCACTTGACACATAGTAAGCTCCAATAGGAAATGACTATCATGATTGAGCACAGCAGCATGTCTTCAGTCCTAGCACTTTGGGAGGCCAAGGCAGGAGGATCACTTGAGGCCAGGAGTTAGAGACCAGCCTGGCCAACATAGTGAGCTCTTGTCTCTACAAAAAAATAATTAGCTGGCCACAGTGCGTGAGTCTGTAGTCCTAGCTACTCTGGAGGCTGAGGCAGGAGGATGGCTTGAGCCCAGGACTTCAAGAATGCAGTGTGCTATGATCGTGCTATGGTACTCCAGCCTTGGCAACAGAGTAAGACCCTGTCACGAAAGAAAGAAAGAAAATGAAAACCGTGAATATGCACATCCATAAAAGATAAACTCTTTACTTAATTTAAATGTTAACCAACACCTGCTATGCCCTCGTCTATTTTGGCATGACCTGGTGCTTTCTGGCAAATCATTGATGGCGGACTCCAAAAATAAAAAGAATCGGGCGCGGTGGCTAACGCCTGTAATCCCAGCACTTTGGGAGGCCAAGGTGGGGGGATCATGAGATCAGGAGATCGAGACCATCCTGGCTAACGTGGTGAATCTCCGTCTCTACTAAAAATACAAAAAAAACTAGCCAGGCACAGTGGCAGGCGCCTGTAGTCCCAGCTACTCAGGGGGTGCTGAGGCAGGAGAATGGTGTGAACCCAAGAGGCGGAGCTTGCAGTGAGCCGAGATCACGCCACTGCACTCTAGCCTGGGCAACAAAGCGAGACTCCATCTCAAAATAAATAAATAAATAAAAAATAAAAAGAATGTCAAAAATAATGGAGAAAAATTTAAGCTTGGGAAGAATTCCGTTCACCTGCTTAATTTTTTCTCCATTCCCAAGTAGGAAATTGGTTTTTGTGAAGAAACACGTAGGCCCAGTGTGTTGACTCCATTGATAAATGGCACGATCTCATTCTGTTAAGTCACTGGGCTGCGATCCACACTAAGCTTACCATGAAGGTGGAGAGAGAAAGCTAGCACATGTGGCTTCTTCCTTGAGTTCTTCATGGAAAAGATGGGGTGTGAAAAGGCGGGATTGAGGAGGGATGGGTAACACACATGCACTGAATATAAGATGAAGCATTGCAGTTGTGTCACATAGACAGTAAGTTCCTGAGGACCTATAAACTCCATCCTTCTTGCATGTGCATCATTGTATCTCCAGCACATTTTCTGGTGCCTGGCACATAGTAGCTGCTCAGTATTTGTTGAATCAATGAATTATTAGAGTTATTTATAGAAAAGAACCTACCAGGGTCAGGATGGATGGGGTGGGTTATTTGAGAGAGGTGGGGCTTTATAAGCCTCGAAGAATGGTTTGCTAAGGTGAGAGAAGGGGGCAGGGATGGCTTTCTAGCCAAGAATAATAAAAGCATAAATGTAGGGGTGAGAATGGGTATGATGAGTGTGGCAGGAGCTGGTTTAGAGGGGTTGACTAGTATACTGTGGCAGGGAGCTCAGAGCCAGAGCTCAGCCCTTTGCTGCCTCACAGGAGTTGGGAAAATGGGAGGGACTTTCTAAGAGATACTTCACAACATGGCACCCTCCCAAGTGGAAGCCAAGCCCCTTGAGGGTATGGGAAGAGAAGCTGATATTTAAAATATGTATCTTATATCTGCATATGCATAAATTATGTCATGTTTATTTTTTAAATTCTCCCCCCCTTTTTTTTTGAGGCAGAGTCTCGCCCTGCCACCCAGGCTGGAGTGCAGCAGCACGATCTCAGCTCAGTGGTATGATTTCTGCTCACTGCAACCTCTGTCTCCTGGGTTCAAGCAATTCTTGTGCCTCAGCCTCCTGAGTAGCTGGGACTACAGGCACACACCACCATGCCTGGCTAATTTTTGTATTTTTAGTAGAGATGGGGTTTTGCCATGTTGGCCAGGCTGGTTTCAAACTCCTGACCTCAGGTGATCTGCCCGCCTCAACCTCCCAAAGTGCTGAGATTACAGGCATGAGCCACTGCGCCCGGCCGTGGTTTGTTTTTGGAAAGATGTTACATACAAATTCAAAAGGTGAACTTCTCCCTTCAACCCTTGTGCATTAGACCCTTAGCTTCCCTCCCAAGAGACAATTATGGTTTCTAGTGTATGAGGTTTTCTCCTAGAGATATTTTTGCAAGTATAAGCAAATAGGTATCTATTTTCTTCCCTAAGATTTCCCTACAAATACTAGCATTCCATATATATACAGTCCTATATTTTGCCAGAGGATGTTACATATCAGTGCATGTAGGAATTCCTTGTTCCCTTTTTTAAAAAATTGGTTTTTATTTTTGTTAAAAGTATTCATGCAGACGGCTTAGAGTCAAGTAATTTTTGAAGGCTTATTAAGAAAAATAGCCATCCTCTGCTACTTCTCAACTCCTTTAATTGATTTTTTTTTTTTTTGGTATTTACCACCATATCTCTGAAAACAACACTTGATCATTGTGCTGCTATCTTAATTTTGTTTTCAATTTTAGGTATCATCTATTGACTTTCCTCCATGAAAGATGAAATTTAGCTCATTCACCCTCTGGATTTGCCCCTATTTCCTCGTTCCAACACACATGCCTCATATCAGAGTCCCAGTATAATTTTATCTTAGTTTTGACAAACTCAGTGTTCAGAGTTTCCATTATTATGACTATGTAATGCTATCTAGAGTTTACATTATTATGATTATGTAGATGTTATTCAAAGCTGAGCTTTGCACTGCTTTGTGACTATTTTTCTTCTTTCTGTATGACTTTTCTTTTTCCTGGAGTTAGCAATTGCCTTTTTTTTCCCCAATCTTGTTTTCCATGTATTTAACCACCAATTCTGCCCCAAAATCTCTTTCTAAATGTGTTAATCTCCTTTTAATATGTCCAGACATGTATTGGATATCATATTGATATCATCTCCTTGAATGTGATCTCTACTATAGCCTTCTGATCTGCCCTGGCTTTCTCTATAGCTAGTAACTGTCATATAGGATCTTTTTCACCATCCTTGAAATTCCCCTTAGTGCTTTCATAGTGGATTCCTTGTTTCCCAGTTTTCATGTCTTCCTCTTTCTTGCTTTACTCTCCTGCTTAAATCAAGCACTTTGTCCAGTAGCTTCCCAAGAAAGAATGTACGTGATCTTGAGGCATTGAGAACTTCCATATCTGAGAGGCTTGATGCTTCTCTAACACTTAAAGGATAGTTTAGTTGGGTTTAAAATTTCAGGCAAGAAAGTTGTTTTCAGAAAGTTATAAATAACTTTTTTTGCCTGAGCTTTTTAAGGCATTTGTGTTGTTGCCTTCTAGTTTCAGTTTTGAGAAGATGAAACCCAATCTGATTCGTATGTGTGTATGTTTGTGAGTGTGTGTGTGTGTGATTATATTCACCTTCCTGGCTGGGAATATTCTTGATCCTTTGTACATGACCAGTTTTTGTTTTTCCTCCTTCTCTAGAAGCTTTTAGACTGTCTTTGTACCCCTATTCAGGATGATGGGACTTGCTATGAGTCCATTTTTATTTGTTATCCTGGACACTTAGTGGCCCAATTAATCTATAAACTTGTGTCCACAAATTCTGGGAAATGTTGCAAATTATTTCATTGATGCTGTCTTTCTCCCTGTGTTCTCTGTTTCTTTTTCTTAGAAGTCTTTTTATTTCCATAATGGAATTCCTAGACCAATCCTATAATTTAAATCTCTTTCTTTTGTCATTTTCATCACTTTAATGTTTTTAATGGTATTTTCTGGGCACTTACCTCAACTTTTTTCCCTAACCCTTCCATTGCGTTTTAAATTTCTGGTATATATTTTATTAAATTCCAAAAATTCTATTTTATTTTTAAATGTTTCTTTCATATGACATTCTTTTTCTGTGGTTGCAATATCCTGTTTCTCAGAGGATATTTAATGCAGAGTCTATTTCCTCCAAGATACATATTTTCCTAATTGTTTTAACTTCTGTCTGTCATATTAGTGGATTTCTTCAGATGTCTTGGGATTCTTGGCTATCCATTCATCTTGGATGCTTTAGTACACAGGATACCAAATTGTTGATGGAAGCTCAGTGCTTATAGGATGGGCTTGCTGATGTGCTTGGCTATAATATGAAAGCACTGGGCTACCCCATTAGGACACTTCTGTTTCGTCTTTCAGTCTTTTGTTCATGGGCTAATCTGATTCTTCAGAGAAGGTTTGTAGAAAAATCTTCTGCCTGGAGGTTAAAGATTTGTCTAGCATCATTTTGAGGGTCTAGTTGAAAAGAAGCTGAGGGTTTCAAAATGTGCAGTGAAATTTGTACATTATACCTTCCTTCTTTCAGTATGGTTCCTGGTGTCCCCCCAGGACGGAGACCCTCTGTTTAACCCTCACCAGAGACTAAACCCACCACCTTCTGTGGGGTGTGAGAAGGGCAGTCACTTGGCTTCAGGGAGTGTAGAAGATATGGGAGGGGTCTAACAGTGCCTTATATTTGACCCAGTCCTTATGTTTTTGTCTCCTCCTTGATCTTTTCTTCCAGAGGCCCCTGGCATTGCCAGTTTCTGAGGTTTGGGGCAGAAATGGGGAATTCGGTGTTGAAATTAGGTCGTTTCTCACCTTTCCTCACTGCTCACCTAGACTTTTTTCTTGGTACCTTTTTTTTTTTTTTTTTTTTTTTTTTTTTTTTTTTGAGATGGAGTTTCACTCTCGTTGTCCAGGCTGGAGTGCAATGGCATGATCTTGGCTCACTGCAACCTCCACCTCCCGGGTTCAAGTGATTCTCCTGCCTCAGCCTCCCAAGTAGCTGGGATTACAGGCATCCGCCACCACACCCGGCTAATTTTTGTATTTTAAATAGAGATGGGGTTCAACCATGTTGGTCAGGCTGGTCTTGAACTCCCGACCTTAGGTGATCCACCCAACTCGGCCTCCCAAAGTGCTGGGATTACAGGCGTGAGCCACGGTGTCTGGCCTTTTTCTTGGTACTTTTCAACGCTTATCCCATTTTCTGTCTTCCAAGATGGCTTTGCTGTTCTCCCCTCTCTAGTTCTTTTTAAACTGCCTCATGTATTTTTACACTTTTTGGTTTGTTTGTTTTTTTTTGGGGGATGGAGTTTCCCTCTTGTCGCGCAAGCTGGAGTGCACGATCTCTGCTCACTGCAGCCTCCACCTCCCAGGATCAAGCGATTCTGCAGCCTCAGCCTCCTGAGTAGCTGGGATTACAGGTGCATGCCACCATGCCCAGCTAATTTCTGTATTTTTAGTAGAGACGGGTTGGCCAGGCTCGTCT
The DNA here is from genome assembly GCF_000001405.40 of Homo sapiens. Lineage (NCBI taxonomy): Eukaryota > Metazoa > Chordata > Mammalia > Primates > Hominidae > Homo > Homo sapiens. The sequence goes on along the minus strand of NT_187607.1, from coordinate 1,471,934 downwards.
CGAGCTCCTGACCTCAGGTGATCCACTCACCTCAGCCTCCCAAAGTGCTGGGATTACAGGCGTGAACCACCACGCCCGGCCTTTTTACACTTTTTTTTTTTTGCCTTTTCCCCCCTCTTTTGTGTGGAGAATGGGGTCTTGTTATATTTTCCAGGCAGGTCTTGAACTCCTGGGCTCCAGCTTTCCTCATGCCTGTGCCTTCCTAAGAGCTGGGATTCCAGGCATGAGCCACCATGCCCGGCTAAACTGGTTCATGTATTTTTGGAAAGTCTTTTACAGTTATTTTAGTAAGGTTTAGGAAGGAAGAGAGCTAAATGCATGCACTCAGCCTACCATCTTCTCATGGGAATTCTCTCATGCCTTCTTTTACAAAGAAGTGATAATAATAATCATGGATTTTTATTATATGCTTCCTATAAAGCTCAGGGCTTTACAGAAATATTCTCAGTTAATCTTTACCACAAACCTACAAGGTGGACAGGACCAGATTAGGAATTTTAAAATTAAGCCCTGAAACTATTAAGGTGCAGGCATATGTCATAAAAAAAAATTAAATTATAAAGTAAAGAAGGCTGACAAAATTGTTTTTGTTTTTGCTTTTTTTAGAGACAGGGTCTTGCTCTGTTGCCCAGGCTGGAGTGTAATGGTGCGATTGTAACTCACTGCAGCCTCAAACTCCTGGGTTCAGCAATCCTGCCTCAGCTTCCCAAGTAGCTGAGACTACAGAGATGTACCACCATGCTCAGCTAATTAAAAAAAAACAACTGTTTTTTGTTTGTTTGTTTTGAGACAGAGTTTCACCCCTGTCACCCAGGCTGGAGTGCAATGGCACGATCTCAGCTCACTGCAACCTCCACCTCCTGGGTTCAAGTGATTCTCCTGCCTCAGCCTCCTGAGTAGCTGGGATTACAGGCACATGCCACCATGCCCAGCTAATTTTTGTACTTTTAGTAGAGATGGTGTTTCACCGTGTTGACCAGACTGGTCTTGAACTCCTGACCTCAGGTGATCCACCCACCTTGGCCTTCCAAAGTGCTGGGATTACAGGCATGAGCCACCGTGCCCAGTCTTTTTTATTTTTGAGACAGGTTCTCACTTTGTCACCCAGGCTAGAGTGCAGTGGCACAAACACGGCTCACTGCAGGCTTGACCTCCTAGGCTCCAGTGATCTTCTCACCTCAGCTCCCCAAGTAGCTGGGACTGCAGCCATGCACCACCACACCCGGCTAATTTTTGTATTTTTTGTGGAGACGGGATTTCACCATGTTGCCCAGGCTGGTCTTGAACTCCTGAGCTCAAGTGATCCACCTGCCTAGGCTTCTCAAAGTGCTGGGATTACAGGTGTGAGCCCACTGTGCCTAGTGAAAAAACTTTTTTTTTTTTTTTTTTTTTTTTTTTTTTTAGAGATAAGATCTTACTGTGTTGCCCAGGCTGGTCTCTCATTCCTGGCCTCAAGTGATCCTCCTGCCTTGACCTCCCAAAGTGCTGGGATTATGGGTATGAGCCACCGTGCCCAGCCTAAAGTTGCTATTTTTCCCATGATGTTTATCTTCGTGGTGCTTATGAAATGGCAACTATGGCATTCTTCCTTCTCGTGCATGCCTGTGTGGGTGTGCCCTCAGCATATGCTTACAAGGTTTATTGGGTGATCCAACGCTAGCCGCAAGAGCTATTATTAGCTCCCTTTTACAGCTGGGAAAACAGACTCAGAGGAGTGGAGAACTTGCTGCAGATTTGTTAAGTGTCAGAGCCAAATATACACTTGGATTATCCTGACTCCAAAGCCGGAGCCCTGCTGGTCAGTCGGTGACACCGGGCAACCACAGGGATCCCCCTCAATCCCACGGAAGGCTGTCTACTGTCTTCATCTCAGAGTGTTGACAGCTCAAAGCTTAGGAGGCTGGAGCTAAGTTCAATAAATGAACGTGATGAATAGGAGAAAAGCGCCATTAAAGCCCTCCAGACAAGAACCACTTTGGAGCCCCTCCATGGGTCCCTGGGGTGTAGGAGGGGCAGGAAAGCAGATAAGATTCCATTCTGAGCCTCTGCACTTGCCCTATGCAAGATAGCCACAAGTAATGTTTTGTCCTCACCTCATTAGCAACAAATGGCCACACTCAGGGGATTAAAAAAAGAAATAACAGCCAGCCTTTATCAGCTTGGGGCTCTTGGCTAATTCCTCTTTAAGCTTAAGACAACTCTGCAGGTGGAGTGATCCAAACGACTTTCTCCACTTTGCAAGTTCCCACACTCGGCTGTATCCTTCTGCTTGAGATTGGCAGCCCCCTGGGGATGGTTCCTGCTCACCCAACTCCCCTGAGGCTGCTCCCCAGTAGAGGCAGAGAGAGGAAGGGCACTGATGTCCTCAGGGCCCCTGCAATAGGTCAGGACCTGGGTTCACTGCTCCATCAATCCCACATTGCTCGGCCCTCACTAGCACCACACAGGGTGGGTGGCAGCCTCCCCATTTGATCGATGGGGAAAACTCAGCACACCTACTTGGCCCCAGAACTGAGAGTCAAACCTGGGGACCCAGCTTCGCTGCCCTCAGAATGTTACTCTTCCCTCCTGGGTAGCGTGGTATAGATAGTGTAGTATTCTTGTCCCCATATAACGGAAGAGGAAACTGAGGCCCCCAGAAGGCTAAGGGACTAGCATAGGCCTTGTGTCTTAGCCTGTTAAGGCTGCTATATCGAAATACCATAGACTGGGTGGCTTTTAAACAGATATTTGTTTCTCGTGGTTCTGGAGGCTGGGAAGTCCAAGATCAAGCTTGGTATCTGGTGAGGGCCTAGTGCTGCCTTCTCGCTGTGTCTCACATGGTGGAAGGGACCTGCTAGCTCTCTGGGTCTCTCCCCCAATGAGGATTGAACCCCCATGATCTCATCACCTCCCAAAGGCCCCACCTCCTAATATCATCACTTTAGGGGTAAGGATTCCAGCATATGAATTTGAGGGAGACATGAGCATTCAGACCATGACACCTTGTAATCAGAAAGGGGTTAAATATCTTTGGTTGAATATCCTGTCCTGCCGATTCAGAATCACTGCTGTCTATAACCTCTTCCCTAGATCACTATTTTAGATGATGATGATAAAGATGATATTAACGGCAATTACCAAGCTCTTAAATGTGCTGTGGGTAAAACAATTTTAAGCTCTTTCTGAATCCAGTCTCTTTCAATCATCTTCATGCCCTTGAAAGGTCTGGATTTTTGTCGATTTCCCTGGTGAGGAAACGGGCCCTGGGGGCAGAGGTGATAGGGTGGAGCCAAGAAGTAATTCCCAGCTGTTTCTCTGCAGAGGCAGTGCTGCTACAAACACATCTCCAGGAAGGGGTACAGCCAAATGCTTCTCTGTCTCTTGTGGGTTTTGCAGTGGCTGTCAGCTATGTGTCTGGCCCGGTTGGGAATGATGGGGGACTGTGTGTGGGAATGAATGGCTCTGTCTGGCTGGCTCAGTCTTTACAGAGGTGCTAGGAGTGTCTGTTTGGTGCTCTGACTAATCATGAAAAGTTCACGTTTTTATCTTTATTTTATTTTTATTTTTGGTACCCATGGTGCATTACAGGGAAGGGAGACAGCAAAGGAGAATTATTTGTTTTAAAATAGTAAATATTGGCCAGGCACAGTGGTTCACACCTGTAATCTCAGCACTTTGGGAGGCAGAGGCAGGCAGATCATCTGAGGTCAGGAGTTCGAGACCAGCCTGGCCAATGTAGTGAAACCCCATCTCTACTAAAAATACAAAAAATTAGCCAGGCATGGTGGTGGGCGACTATAATCCCAGCTACTCGGGAGGCTGAGGCAGGAGAATCGCTTGAACCTGGGAGGTAGAGGTTGCAGTGAGCCGAGATTGCCCCACTGCACTCCAGCCTGGGCAACAAGAGCAAAACTCCGTCTCAAAAAAAAACAAAAACAAAAACAAAAACCGTAAATATTAAATTGAAAAAGGGACATACTTAAGGGAGTGAACCTGAAAAGCCCCAGCTGACACTTGGCAACACCTTCCTTGTTTGTTTTGGGCTTTTTTGAGACAGAGTCTCACTCTGTTGCCCAGGCTGGAGTGTAGTGGTGTGATCTCGGCTCACCTGAGCCTCAGCCTCTCCAGGCTCAGGTGATCCTCCCACCTCAGCCTCCAGAGTAGCTGCATACAGGCATGCACCAGTACAACTGGCTAATTTTTGTATTTTTTGTAGAGATGAGGTTTTGCTATGTTGTTCAGGCTGGCCTTGAACTCCTGAGCCCAAGCAATCCACCTACCTCGGCCTCCCAAAGTGCTGGGATTATAGGCGTGACCCACAGTGCCTGGCCAGCACCTTCCTTGTTAAATTGCATGTGTCAGCCACCTCCCTCGGTGTCCTCCCAGCCTCTGGGCAGTCTGGCTCCCCATTCCTTTCTTTATCCAACAGCATTTTTTTGTGAGACAAGGCCTTGCCCTGTTGCCCAGGCTGGAGTGGAGTGGCACACTCATAGCTCACTCCAGCCTCCAACTCCTGGGCTCAAGTGATCCTCCCCTCTCAGCCTCCCAAGTAGCTGGGACCACAGGCACAGATCATCACGCCTGGCTAATTTTTTGATTTTTTGTAGAGATGAGGTCTCATTATGTTGCCCAGGCTGGTCTCGAACTCCTGGCCTCAAGCAATCCTCCCGCCTCGGTCTCCCAAAGTGCTGGAATTACAGATGTGATCCACCACGCCCGGTCATTCTAACAATATTGATTATTAGATGTTGCCCTAGACACAGCCTACTGTGCGTATGTGTAAATACGAATTGAATCATCCCACAAGTAGCTGCTAAGTAGAGGAGGTCCAGAGAGTGGGGAAGTGTAGCCCTGGGGACCTTGGGAGGACAGGGGAGGCTTCCTTGGAAGGTGAAGTGTAGGCTTGGCTAGGGAACTTGATATAGGTTCTATGAGGCTGCTGGGGCTGGAGCAGAGAGAAGGGGGAGAATGTAGGAGGTAGGAGTGGAGGCCCAAGAGGGAGAGCGTTGGTTTTCCTGTCTCCTACACCCCTTCACTGGCCAGTTCTGCTTTCATGTTTTTATTTATTATATATTTTTTGAGACAGAGTTTCACTCTTTCACCCAAGCTAGAGCGCAGTGGCACAATAATAGCTCCCTGTAACCTCGAACTCCTAGGCTCAAGCAATTTTCCTGCCTCAGCCTTCCAAATAGCTGGGGCTACAGGCACACACCTCTGTCCACAGCTAATTAAAAAAAATTTTTTTTTCATAGAGATAGGGGTCTCGCTTTGAGTCTCAAACTCCTCGCCTCAAGCAATCCTTCTGCCTCAGCCTCCCAAAGCACTGGGATTACAGGCATGAGCTCCTATGCCCAGCCCAGTTCTGCTTTTACAATACCAGGGCTTCCTGTAGGTTTGGAAAACACCTGTTGGGTTGCAGCAAAGGCTCTCAAAGTATCTCTTCTTACTCAGCATGTCATCCTAACCAACTCTGCCGGGAGAGTAGAGTGGGGAGATGAAGGCTGGAGAAAGAGAAGGGCCCTCACTTACAGAATGGCTTAGGTCATGGGCTCTGGAGCTGGGTTCACCTCCCAGCTCTGCCCCGGCTATTACTTTGTGCCTCAGTTTCCTCACTTGTCCCGTGAGGATGATGACTGTGCTTACTCCAGTTGTTACAAGGGTGATTCGGTCAGTGTGTAGGGACACGGTGCATGGACAGGACAAGTTCAACAGGCATTAGCAGTCAGCTGCCGAGGACCCACCGTCAAGGGCCATGCAGTGGCCACCTTCACAGTCACACCACAGAAGATCCAGAACCTCTGGCATCTGCCTCCGTGCGGGGCATTAGGTAGAGAGCCACTTTTCTGCAGGCAATGGAGGCTGAGACCTTTCTTCTTTACTAGCCCAGGGGTATTGATGGCCCTGCAGAGACGGGTTTTGATTACCTCTCACTGGATCCCCCAGCAGCCTGTTACCAGAAAGAAGGGCAGACGCAGGGAGCCTGGGTCTGTGCTCAGTCCCCGCTGGGTTTTCTCCTTTTATGGTCAGCCTACAGTGCTCTGGCTTCCCAGACAGAATCCACCAGCTTGTGTTTGGGCTTGGGCCGAAATAGCTGGTCTGTGGGGAGCTGGGTACCTCCTGGGAGTCCTCAGGCCCACAGCGGGGGAGGAACCGCTGAAGCCCTTTATCTTCTCAGGAAACGTGCCTGGGGCCTTACACATCCGAGGCTGGGTGGGGAGTCTGGGGAGGAGGAAGGGAGAGAGGCATGTTTAAGGATGGGGTGTGAGGTGACATGAGCCCCAGGGATCTGGGCTGGGAAGCTCAGCCCCAGGCGGGTCCTGATGATGGCCGGCCGCCCCCAGCTCCAGCCTTCCCAGACTCCACGGAGGCTCGGTACTGTGTCCCCGCCCACTTTGGAGCTTCTGTCCCAGGCCCTCTGCTTGGGATGCTCTGCCTCGACCTCTCCCCAGGAGATTCTTTCACATTTTTCTTAATGCTGTTCAGTGGTCACCTCTGCCGTGAAGGCTTCCTGTCTTGCTCAGGTCAGTGTGAAAAAACAAACAAACAAAAAACCTGACGTCTATAGCACTTGGGTTCACATCCATCGTAGCACTGCTCATCTCTTACGGTCATTTCTTTGCCCATCTGACTCCCACCCTGGGTCATGAACTTCTCAAAAGCAAGGATAAGCAAGTCATGAAGCTCGGTGCATTGGCTTGAGCCTGTGATTTCAGTTACTTGGGAGGCCAAGGCGGGAGGATCACTTGAGGCCAGGAGTTTGGGACCAGCCTGGGTAATATTACTAAGTTACCTTACTAGGCCCTGTCTCTACAAAAAAAATGAAAACAAAAAACAAAAAAACCATTAGCCAGGCGTAGTGGCATGCACCTGTAGTCCCAGCTGCTCAGGAGGCTGAGATGGAAGGATCTGTTAGCCCAGGAGTTCCAGACTGCAGTTAGCTATGATCGTGCTACTGCACTTCAGCCTGGGCATCAGAGTGACACCTCATCTCTTAAAAAAGAAAAGAAAAAAAAAAGCAGATCTTATTGACTTTTGTGCTTTCGGTACCTGGCTCAGGACTCGTTTGTTGAATGAATATGTGAACACGTGAATATGCATTTTCCATTGCTTCTACCTTGGTTGCCTCTCTGAGCCAGAGAGCAATTCAAAATAACAAGCATTTCCTGAGCACCTACTGTGTGTCAGGCATTGTTCCTTGTACCTTCAGGAGCTCATTGGTTCAGGGGAAAAGCATTGAAAATGAACAATTTTGTAATTGTTGGAAACCTAATAGAGCTGCATGAAGTGGAAGAAGTCAGATTTATAATCATTCAGAGGTGGTATAAAATGAACATCATTTTTAAAAAAGGTTTATGCGGTATAATTTAAATAAATTCATTTTAAGGATACAGTTCACACCTAAAATTGCAGCTATGTCTGCATAACTGTCTAAATTCACTCATAATTTACATGGTTATGCAGCCATTGCTGCAATATAATTTTATATTTCTATCATCCCCCAAAGAAATCTTGTGCACATTTTTTTGTCACTCCATATTCCTACCCGCAGCTCCTGGCAGCCACGAATTCACAAATCTACTTTCTGTCTCTATGGATTTGCCTATTCTGGACATTTCATATAAATGGAATCATATGTGACCTTTTGTGGCTGGCTTCTTTTTTTTTTTTTTTTTTTTTTTTTTTTTTTTTTTTGAGACAGAGTGTCTCACTGCACTCGCCCGGGCTGGAGTGCAGTGATGTGGTCTCGGCTCACCACAAACTCTGCCTCCTGGGTTCAAGTGATTCTCCTGCCTCAGCCTCCCGAGTAGCTGGGACTATAGGCACGTGCCACCACACCTGGCTAATTTTTGTATTTTTAGTAGAGACGGGGTTTCACTGTATTGGCCAGGCTGGTCTTGAACTCCTGACCTCGTGATCTGCCCACCTCAGCCTCCCAAAGTGCTGGGATTACAGGTGTGAGCCACCGTGCCCAGCCGGCTAGCTTCTTTCACTTAGTATAATGTTGTCAAGGTTCATCCACGTTGTATCATGGATTCATACTATTTATATATTTTTTAAGACAGGGTCTGTCTCTGTCACCCCAGCTGGAGTACCGTGGTGCAGTCGTGGCTTACTACAACCTCCACCTCCTGGGCTCAAGCCATTGTCCCACCTCAGCCTCTTGAGTAGCTGAGACCACAGGGATTGTGCCACTATGCCCAGCTAATGTTTGCATTTTTTTTTGTAGAGATAGGGTTTCACCATGTTGCCCAGGCTGGTTTCGGACTCCCGGGCTCAAGCAATCCACCTGCCTCAGCTTCCCAAAGTGCTGGAATTTCAGGCATGAGCCATGGCCGCCGGCCATAACATCCTTTCTTTTCATGGCTGAATACTATCCCACTGTCTGGGTAGACCACATTTTGTTTATCCATCTACCCATTGATGAACATTTGGTTGTTTCTATTTTTTGGATATTATGAATAAAGTCCATAATTTTTACCAATATGGAAAAGAAAAACAAGAAAAACTCTGAATGCCATATCATGGATAGATGGCCTATTATCATTCCATATCATCTGTACCTTTTTCCGCCAGAATGTTTTGAGACATTTATTAAGTAAGGATCACAATGATGATAATTACTAAAATGGAGAGAACCTGTGGACCATGGGAACCACTAGGCCATGTGACACTCATGTTTATATTAGAGAAAGGCACCGTTTTCTCAAAGCACTTTTCCTCCATCTGCTGAAAGATTATTACAATAAATACACAATGCAATACAATAAATGACCAATGCAAATAGTTTCTCCATAGAGTTATGCAGTGTACAACATGCACCACGGTCCATGGCCATCCTGCAGGTAGGAGGTCAAGTGGAAAGGTCTCCAACTCAGCTCTAGAAAAGTGCAGAGTTAGAGAAGGTATCATAGAAGAGTTGACTCCCAAGACGATGTTTCAGATACAGATTAGGGTATGTACCCGAAGAATTGAAAAGGTACTCAAACTAAAACTTGTACAGGAATGTTCATAGCAGCACTATGCAGAATAGCCAAAAGGTGGAAATAACCCAAATGTCCGTCAACTGTTGAATGGATAAACAAAATATGATCCATCCGTACAATGTGATATGACTCAGCCACAAATAGGCATAAAGTCTGGGACCTGCTACAACATGGATGAACTTCAGCCACATGCTGAGTGAAAGAAGTCAGACATGAAAGGCCGCACATGTTATAATTCCATTTATGCAAAAATATCTAGAATAGGTAAGACCATAGAGACAGAAAGCAAATTGGCGGTTGCAAGGGCTTATGGGGGAGTGGCTGCTTAACGGGTAGAGGGTTTCATTTGGGGGTGACAGAATATTTTAGAACTAGATAAAGGTGGTAGTTACGTAACATTGTGAATGTACTAAATGCTCCTGAATTATGCACTTTAGTTATTTTTTTATCTTTATTACTATTTTTTGAGATGGAGTCTCCCTCTGTCACCCAGGCTGGAGTGCAGTGGCGCGATCTCAGCTCACTGCAAACTCCACCTCCCTGGTTCACGCGATTCTCCTGCCTCAGCCTCCTGAGTAGCTGGGATTACAGGTGTGCACCACCGCGCCCAGCTAATTTTTGTATTTTTGGTAGAGACGGGGTTTTGCCGTGTTGGTCTCAAACTCCCGACTTTAGGAGATCCAGCTGTGTCGGCCTCCCAAAGTGCTGGGATTACAGGCATAAGCCACCGCACCTGGCTTGAATTATTCACTTTAAAATGGTTCTTTTTATGTAGTGTAAATTTTACCTCAATGGAAGGAAAAAAGAGAGAGAGAGAGAGAATGGATTAGGCCAGAGAAGAAGTGGTGGTGGGTGCACTGGGCAGAAGAAATCACTTGTGCAAAGCAAGGAGGGAGTGAAACTGCTTTGTACGGTGGAGAACACTGCTTTTGAGTCCAACACAAGCTCAGGCTTGGGGAAGGAATCAGATAAAAATTTCCAGGATCTCAGAGTTCCCTGTGCTCCACACGGGTTGGCAGACAGCACCCACATGGAGTCCTTCTGCTCGTAACCAGCACCCTGCAAGCTTCCCACGCCTGGAAGTGGTGTGTTTTTGATGGGAACGTCAGGCCAGAGGTCTCCCAGCAGCCCCCAGCTCGGAGCCGCGCTGGCAGCTCCCAGGCCTTCTCCTGGAGCCCGCTCCCTCTCCTGGGGGCCCTGTGAGCATCTGAGCCTATAAATCTCTCCTGCTCTGGGCCTAGGATTCACAAGGCTGCCAGGAAAGCCTGCCTCTCTCCCTGAAGTAGTGGATCAACACAGCCCATCTGTCTGTCCATCTCAAAATCTTTCCTTAAGATAGTGGAGGTTGTCTGGGCCGGTCCCAGGAGGTTCTCTCTGTCTGGGTTCTAATCACAGGGTACCTGGTTCTTCTATCCTTCACCCTCTTTTAAAAAATCACTTTTTAGTACTTTGGGAGGCTGAGGCGGGCGGATCACCTGAGGTCAGGAGTTCGAGACCAGCCTGGCCAACATGGTGAAACCCCGTCTCTACAAAAAATAGAAAAATTAGCCAGGCGTGGTGGCACGCACCTGTAGTCCCAGCTACTCGGGGGGCCGAGGTGGAAGAATTGCTTGAAACCAGGAGGCAGAGGTTGCAGTGAGCCAAGATCGAGCCACTGCACTCCAGCCTGGGTGACAGAGCGAGACTCCATTTCAGAAAAAAAAAAAAAATTAAACTGGTTTCCCATTTTGCTCTGTCCTCGAGTGAATTTCTCCCCCTGGGTGGAAGCTAAAGGCACGGGTATCTGTCTGTCTCCAGAGTATAATGGAGAGATTAAAGTTTGATTGCTTTTTTCCTGCTTTTTTTTTCTTTGAGATGGGGTCTTGCTCTGTTGCCCAGGCTGGAGTGCAGTGGCAAAATCTCAACTCACTGCAACCTCCACCTCCTGGGTTCAAGTGATTCTCCTGCCTTAGCCTCCCGAGTAGCTGGGACTACAGGTGCCTGCCGCCATGCCTGGCTAATTTTTTGTATTTTTAGTAGAGATGGGTTTCACCATGTTGCCCAGGCTGGTCTCGAACTCCTGACCTCAGGTGATCCACCCACGTGCTGGGATTACAGGTGTGAGCCACCACGCCCGGCCTCCTTTCTCTTATAAATAGGGACACCATTGATTTAGGTCTCACTCCAAGCCAGGATGACCTCATCTCAACATCCTTCCCTTAATTACATCTGCAAGACCCTTATTCTAAATAAAATCACAGGTGGGATACAGTGGCTCACGCCTGTAATCCCAGCACTTTGGGAGGCTGAGGCAGGTGGGTCACTTGAGCCCAAGAGTGTGAAACCAGCCTGGGCAACATAGCAAGACCCAATCTCTACAAAAAATACAAAAATTAGCCGGGCATGCTGGCATGTGCCTATAGTCCCAGCTACAGGGGAGGCCGAAGAGGGAGGATTGCTTGAGCCTGGGAGGTTGAGGTTGCAGTGAGCTGAGATCACGCCACTGTACACCCACCTGGGCGACAAAGTGAGACCCCATCTCAATCAATTGGTTAGTCAATAACATCGCAGTCTGAGGTTCTGAGTGAACATAGCTTTTGGGAGTCACAGTTCAACCCACCCTAGTGACCTTGGGCAAGTTGCCTCACTTCTGAACCTCACTCTCCTTATTTGTAAAATGGAGGCAATGCCAGTGCCCACCCCAGGAGCTGCTGAGAGAATTCAGTGGGTCACTTCAACACAGAAGTTCAGCATACGCCTGCAGTGCAGTGAGTGCTCGGGAGATCGGAGCTGTTAGTGGGATCCTAATGCGGTGGCTCTTTCTTTTCTGTCTTTTTTTAGCTTTGTGGTCATGATGGTTTCATAAAGAACAATACCGACTCTTTTTCTATTGACCATTTTTGGTGGGATGAGGAAAAGATTGTATGTGTTCATAGCACAAACATAACCAGGATAGAAGTAGAATGGGTGAAAGTAGGTCTTCCTCCTGTCCCTTTTCTCAATACTTCAGGCTCAGGCCTGTTTGTTGGTTTTTTTTGTTTGTTTTGTTTTGTTTTTGGAGTCTCGCTCTGTTGCCCAGGCTGGAGTGTAGTGGCATGATCTCACCTCACTGCAACCTCCACCTCCTGGGTTGAAGTGATTCTCCTGCCTCAGCCTCCGGAGTACCTTGGATTACAGGTGCATGCTACCATGCCCAGCTAATTTTTGTATTTTTAGTAGAGACAGCGTTTCACCATGTTGGCCAGGCTGGTCTTGAACTCCTGACCTCAAGTGATCTGCCCGCCTCAGCCTTCCGAAGTGCTGGGATTACAAGTGTGAGCCACCGCACCCATCCCAGGTCTGTTTTTAGAGATAGGGTCTCACTCCATTGCCCAGGCTGGAGTGCAGTGGTGTAATCACAGCTCACTGCAACCTTGAACTCCTTGGCTCAAGGGATCCTACTGTCTCAGCCTCCCAAGTAGCTGGGACAAGGGGTATGTCTATCACACATAGCTAATTAAAAAAAAATTTTTTTTTGTAGAGACTGGGTCTTGCTATGTTGTCCAGGCTGGTCTGGAACTCCTGGCCTCAAGTGATCCTCCCATCTCAGCCTCCCAAAGTGTTGAGATTACAGGCATGAACCACTGCATCCTACCTATATATCTGTCTTTTTAAAACACAAAAGGTATAACACTATGCTACCTCATCTTTTATTTTTAGCTTAATATATTTTGGATATTTTTCTGTGTCCATCCACAAAGCTCTGCCTGGTTCTTTTCAATGGCTGCCTATTTTATTTATGTATTTATATCTTATTTGTTTTTGAAACAGAGTCTTGCTCTGTTGCCCAGCCTGGCATGCAGTGGCACGATCTCGGCTCACTGCAACGTCCGCCTCCTGAGTTCAAGCAATTTTCCTGCCTCAGCCTTCTGAGTAGCTGGGATTACAAGCGTGTGCCATGACACCCAACTAATTTTTGTATTTTTAGTGGAGATGGGGTTTCACCATGTTAGCCAGGCTGGTCTGGAACTCCTGAACTCAAGTGATCCACCCTCCTTGGCCTCCCAAAGTGGTGAGATTACAGGCATGAGCCACTGCGCCCGGCCTGCCTATTTTTAAATGTGCCATTATATAAACACACCAGAATTGAAACCCCAGAGCTGACTAGTCTTTAGGCCTTTTGTCTTGAGGATTTCGTTCAACCAGGCCACCCAAACATCCATCTATAATCCGAGGGAAGAGAGAGAGAACTGATTGGAGTTGGGCATAGAATCTGAGGAACGTGCCCACATCCAATCAGTTCTCTCTTAAGATTACAGATGGAAGAAAGAGTCATCTCTTTCACCTTGCCTTCTTCAGTCCCATCCATCCTCCCATTCATATTCCCATCCATCCATCCATCCATCCATCCATCCATCCATCCATCCATCCAACTCATTTACCGGCCTATACACTCTGTCCTCCCTCCCATTCACCCACCCATCCACTCTCTCATCCACTCACTCATCCTTCCCTCCTCCGTCCAACCATCCGTCCAACCAGCTATATACCCACCCATCTACCCATCTACACACCCTTCCCTCCTTTCTTCTTTCTTTCTTCCTATCTATCCATCCATCCTTCCTTCTTTCCATCCATCTATTCGTCCACCTACCCACCCACCCACTCATCCATTTGTCTTCCTGTCTCTCTACCTGTCCATCTATCCATCCTTCCATCCAGCCATCTGTCTGCCTATTCACCCAGCCTCCCATCCATTTATCCTCCCGTCCATTTACCTATCCATCCATTCTTCCATCCACCCATCCTTTCTTCCTTCCTTCTTTCCTTTCTTCCTTCCTTCCACTCACTTGCCCATCCACCTCTTCTTCCATCCTCCCATCCATCTACTCATCTATCCATCCATTTTCCCACCCATCTGCCCATCCACCCACCCACCTACTCACCTACTCATCTGCTTATCCACCCTCCCGTCCATCTGTCTATTCATCCACCCACCCACCCATCCATCTACCTACCCATCTACCCACCCTTCCATTCACCCATCTACCCTTCCTTCCTTTCTTCCTTCCTTCCGTCCACTCATCTTCCCATCCATCTACTCATCCATCCCTCAATCCATCCATCTAACAAGCATAATTCAGCACCTACCATCTATGTGCCAGTACTAGAGATACAATGTAAAACCAAGCCTAGGAGATTTTTGATGAAATGAAGCTTGTGAGAGCTGAGCACTGAACTAGTAGGACTGAAGCCAGGGAGTGGATTTAAGAAATGCTTGCCACTGTGGCATTGTCTACCAGCAGATATGATGCTGGGATTTCTACATTGTTAGGTGACCATTGAACGTATTGGTAACTGTTCTCAGATCTCTCTTTGGGAAGGAAATGGGTCTTCAGAGCCTGGCTCCACCTCAGAGGCCTCTTTAAGAGTAGAAGGTGATGGATAATGTCTGCTTAATCACATCTAGTTCTTTGATGACCTCTGTATCTTTTGGGTTTCTCTGGTGGTAAACAAGAGAGACTGACTCTGTCATCTAGTAGAGGAAAGGGATTTGTAGGGGAGTATGGAGGAGCTCACAGTTGCAGTGGGAACACTAGGAATCAGGCTAGGTAAATGACAGAAACTGGGCTGCTTGGGCCCAGGGGCAGAAAGGAAGTCTGCCTCAGGGCTCTGTCCACCTGCTGTGCTTCCCTGTCCTTGACTGAGCTTGGAGTTTTAGGCCAGAGAGTCTGACCAATGCAGCCTGGAACACATTCTTACCTCTTTGTTGAAGGTACTTATGAGGCAGTCCCACTAAGACTGTACATGACGGTAGGGGTGATGGGGGAAACCTCAAGGACCACAGGATGCTTCTGGAAGAAGAGGAAATGGATGCTGGATTTACAAAAAAACACAAATGTGCACAATACTATATTACAGATGAAGGAACTGAGGCATGGAGTTTAAGAATATTTGCCCAAGGCCACAGAGCGGAGAAGTGGCTAAGGGGGACCCCAATCTGTATAGATCCAACATCTGCGTTTGGTCCCTAACCTAATCTGGGTGGGGTGGGCCTCCCGGGACACCTCCAGAGCTGATGTGGCTGGATGCTAATGACTCCTGGATCAGTCAGGCTCCAGCATCTTTCTGGGGCTGCCTCTGGGACTTTGGGGCTGCCCTTTTGGCTTTGGTCGTGGCCCCTGTAGCCTGGGCAATGAGCCCAGCTGACCTGTTGTCACTTCCAATGAGGCCAGCATGGAGAAGCTTTAGAATGGGAGGGCCCTGGGAGGAGCCAAGTCCAGACCCTTAGCTCAGAGCTCATTTTAATTCATGGCTCTTTTTTCTTCTTTCTGTTTGCAGATCGGGAGGACCAGTCCATTCTATGCACGTAAGTGGAACTGCTTTTTCTTCTGTTTTTTTTTTGTTTTTTTTTTTTTTTAATCTGTAGTCGAGATCCAACCTATGAAAGAAAAGATCCATGAGTGCAGAGATCTTTGATTTGTTCATGGTTCCAAGTGCCTCTCTTTATACCTGGCACCATGTAGATGCTCACTAAACATTTGTGATATATGGTCTTCTGCGGAGGCAGGCAAACTTAAACTCTTAATGACACCTGCTATCATTTGGTTCCATACCTCTCCTCCTTCTAAAAAACTAGCATTTATTGAACATGTACTCTGTGCCAGGACTTGAACTAAAGATTTTATATGCAGAATCTTATCTAATTGCATAACAGCCATCTGTGTTGATAGGGAAGATGTTAAACTGTCACTTTAGTATTTCACATTTATCAAGCCACAAACACATCAGTGCCATATTTGGTGATTGGTATCACTGTTTCTTTGAAGACCTAGGTACATAGGCAGAAGATAGTAACTCAATTTTAGAATCATTGAGAGAGTTTTCACTATTGTATTTATATGCAAGTAACATATATTAATATATATTGTTGATTCATTGACATTGAACTCACAGCCAGCAGCTCTGTGGCTGATGCCTGGATGAAGTTTATCTGATGTGTATTTATTACATAATGGGTATCACAACTTTATTGTGCTTGGAAACATGAGCCAACACTTGAGCACTATGCTGGGGACATTTTTGTATGTGTGCTGCCGAAGGGAGCACATCTGAGGGGACATTTTAAACTGCAAAATAACTAACAAAAAGCCACAAAAATACAAAAAAAGGTGGCACTAAATACACTACAGAAAGGACACTTGTTTACAGTATGAGAGTTGAAACTAGAAGGTAGAGCATTCCCCTGTTCAACCTGAGCTGGGAACGTGTGCATTGGGGGAATCGAATTTTCCTTACTCTGCACATGTTCACAAATGACTACAAAAGTGCCATGAATATTGATTTTGGGGTTACAAATAACTTTCAGCAGGTCGGTGAATTTGAAAATATAGAATATATAAATAATGAGGATAGACTGTGCATATATATATTTACATAATATATAATATGTATTATATTTAATATATTTATATTTATATATATATATATTTGAAGGTCTGGAAGCAACTAAAGCTATAATCAACAGAGGTTATTTAAATAAAATATAGCATTTCCAGGTAGCCACTACAAAGAGTGAGGCTGATCTATTTATGCTGAGAGAGAACGCTCTTTATAGATAATACCGTTGAGTGGAAAACACAGGGGCAAACCAGCATATGCATAATGTAACCGTGTGTGTCTTTAAAAAGAGCAGGATTGCATGGACGTGCATATGTTTCCTATTTGCATGAAATTATCTGGAAGGACAATTAAAAACTAGTAATTAGAATTTCAGATGGTGATGGATGGTAGGATGGCAATGAACTGTATTGAGAGAAGATTGAAACAATTAATAAGTTTGGGGTTGATATAGATAGAAAACCTGGAAACAATAAAACAAAGGCAATTATAAACTCCAGGAAAAAACAAAAGTTGGGATGGAAGGAGAAGTAATCACATTGGACTAAGGAGCCCAGCTGTGCAAGTTTGGAGTATTTATCTAACCAGAATAACTCCCTGTGATGGACTTGGCTCTGTGGGGAAAGGGAAGAGGATTAGATGGGAACTGAATTCTCATATTCCATGGTAGGATGTACACATTTGATGTTTGACAATGAATAGTCTGGATCTAGAGATATAATGCTACCTAGCTATGAGGATATAAATGCTAAAACAACCTGCCGACTTGGTTTCCTAGTTTTCTGGCTTCTAGGGGTCACCTGCATTCCTTGGCTCATGGTCTCTTCCTCCATCTTTAAATCCTGCAGCATGGTATCTTCAAATCTCTTTCTCTGGTCCCCCTACCTCTCTCTTATAAGGCCCAGTACCTTTGTGGTTATATTAGCCCCACCTAGATGATCCAAGACAGTCTCCTCATCTCAAGCAAACATATTCACAGATTCTGAGGATAGGCCATGGACATTCTTGTGGGGGCTGTTTTTCAGCTAGCCACAGAGGCATTTGATCCCCTAGGAGCCAAACCCATGTGTGAGCCACATGTCATCTCCCCAGGAACCAAAATAGTGTAGCTCAACTGCCCTCTGTTGAGTGAATGAATTAAGTGTGGTAACAGAGAGGTGCAGGAAAGAGTAGGACTTTCAGATGGCTTCCTAGCTATGTAGCTATGCACGGGTCACTTGACCTCTCTGAGCTGAGCTTATGGAGAGGCTGTGAAGATGAAGAAGAGGCCACCCTGCTCTCATTTCCAGCACCCATGCCATCAGCAGGTGCTGTTTCATCTAAAACGGTGCTATCCAAAAGAACTTTGTGATGAGCACAAAGTTCACTTAAAAGTTCACTTAATTGAGCTCTTAAAAAGTGGCAAGTATATTGCAGAACTGAATTTTTAAGATTTTAGTTAATTTAGATAGCGGTTCCTGCCTTGGACGGTATGATGCTGAAATATTTCTCATCTCTGTCCATTCCTCTGACTCCACCGCCTCTTCCTAGTTCAGGGTCCCGTCACCTCTCACCAGGGCCTCTGTAGCAGTCTCTTAAGCTCCCTGCTCCCATTGCTTGCTTGCTTCCTTCCTTTAATAAATATACATTATAAGAATATTCACTCATTATTCATTGAATAAATATTCATTAGCATGCTGTCATAAAGTGTGGATTCCAGAACCTAACCCCTTGGGTTTGAATTCTGGCCCCATCATCGTCTAGTTAGTTGTATGCTCCAGGAAATAAGTCAGTTCACTTCTCTGAGCCTCAGTTTCCCCATCTGTAAAATGGGAACAATAAGCACCCCATTGGGTTGTTGGAAGGATGAAATGAGTCACTACATGTGAAGAACTGAGAAACAGGCCACTGCCCCATGGTGAGCACTTTGTAAGGATCAGCTGCTATTGTAGTGAAAGTGCTCACTATTTTTTAAAAATCCTTCCTGCAATCCAGTATCCATCTTGCAGTTTGTTTGTTTGTTTGTTTGTTTGTTTTTGAGATGGAGTTTTGCTCTCATTGCCCAGGCTAGAGTGCAATGGCGTGATCTTGGCTCACAGCAACCTCCACCTCCCAGGTTCAAGTGATTCTCCTGCCTCAGCCTCCCGAGTAGCTGGGATAACAGGCATGTACCACCATGCCTGGCTAATTTTGTATTTTTAGTAGAGACAGGGTTTTGTCATGTTGGTCAGGCTGGTCTCGAACTCCTGACCTCAGGTGACCCGGGGAGCCTCGGCCTCCCAAGTGCTGGGATTACAGGCATGAGCCGCTGAGCCTGGCCCATCCTGCAGTTTGTTGTTGTTGTTGATTTTTTTGTTGAGACAGAGTCTCACTCTGTTGCCCAGGCTGGAGTGCAGTGGTGCGATCTTGGCTCACTGCAACCCCCGCCTCCTGGGTTCAAGCAATTCTCCTGCCTCAGCTTCCCGAGTATTATGCCATCATGCCCAGCTAATTTTTGTATTGTTAATAGAGATGGGTTTTCTCCATGTTGGCCAGCCTGGTCTCAAACTCCTGATCTCAGGTGATCCACCCACCTCAGTCAGCCTCCCAAAGTGCTGGGATTACAGGCATGAGCCACTTCGCCCAGCCCATCCTGCAGTTCTGATTCTCCCCACACTGGTTCTAAAGTCCCGTTCCCCTCGTGAAATGGTTTCCTGCACCCATGAGAATAAAACTCAGATTCCTTACTGTGACTTGGAAGACTGAGTGTGATCTGCTCTTCCCTCTTCACTTCCTGCTGTCCTCCTCTGTTGTGGCCCTCCAGCCATGCTGGGAGCCATTCTGTCTCATACCTGGGCCCAGCATTTCCCTCCCTTGGACCTCTGTCCATACTGTTTGCCCTGCCTGGCCCACCCTTCCCTCCATCCTTCCCACAGGGCTCTCTTGTAACTTTCAAGGCTCAGCAACTCCCTGGCTTCCCCATCCACAGCCTCCCCTCTCCTCCCTTCCCCTCGATCTTCTCAGTCACATCACCCAGATGTAGCAATGATATCTCCACCACGAACTATCTTGATTATTTGTTTACTTGGCTATTGTGTATCTCCATCTCCTGGAATGCAGCGTTAGCAAGGACTTGGCACACTGCCCACACACAGCCAGTGCTGGAGAAGGAGGCCTTAGCCATTGTTAGGAAGGAAATCCCAAAACGATCAGACTTTTATTTGCAAATGCATCCAGTCAGCCCAGAACCACCAACATCTTCAGTCTCTGTATTCAATTTTATTTTGCTTGTTGTGAAATTCAGCCAAAGTGACTTGAAGGACCTACAAGTTGACAGCAGGGCTGAGCTTTTACGCGTAGTTGGTGCTTAAGAGAAGCCAGGCTGGAGCCAACTGTTTGGTTATGCAGTTAAGAAACTGAAAATTGGCCGCGCACTGTGGCTCAGGCCTGTAATCCCAGCACTTTGGGAGGCCGAGGCGGGCGGATCACGAGGTCAGGAGTTCGAGACCATCCTGGCTAACACGGTGAAACCCCATCTCTACTAAAAAAATACAAAAAAATTAGCTGGGCATGGTGGCGGGTGCCTGTAGTCCCAGCTATTCAGGAGGCTGAGGCAGGAGAATGGTGTGAACCTGGGGGGCGGGGCTTGCAGTTAGCAGAGATCGCACCACTGCACTCCAGCCTGGGTGACAGAGCGAGACTCTGTCTCAAAAAAAAAAAAAAAAGAAAAGAAAAGAAACTGAAAATTGGCCACGCACCGTGGCTCACGCCTGTAATCCCAGCACTTTGGGAGGCCGAGGCGGGTGGATCACGAGGTCAGGAGTTCGAGACCATCCTGGCTAACACGGTGAAACCCCATCTCTACTAAAAAAAATACAAAAAAATTAGCCGGGCATGGTGGCGGGTGCCTGTAGTCCCAGCTATTCAGGAGGCTGAGGCAGGAGAATGGCGTGAACCTGGGGGGCGGAGCTTGCAGTGAGCTGAGATCACGCCAGTGCACTCCAGCCTGGGTGACAGAGCGAGACTCTGTCTCAAAAAAAAAAAAAAAAAAAAAAGAAAAGAAAAGAAACTGAAAATTGGCTGGGTGTGGTGGCTTATGCCTGGAAACTCAGGGCCTTGAGAGGCCGAGGCGGGAGGGTGGCTGGAAGCCAGAAGTTTGAGACCAAACTGAGGAACACAGTAAGACCCCATTACTACAAAAAATTTAAAAATTAGCTAGGTGGGATGGTGCATGCCTGTAGTCCCAGCTACTCAGGAGGTTGGGGAGGGAGGATCACTTGAGCTTGGGAGTTAGAGGCTAAGTGAGCTATGATGGCACCACTGCACCTCAGCCTGGGCAACAGAGCAAGACCCAGAGACAGGAAGGAAGGAAAGGAAGGGAAGGAAGACAAGAAAGGAAGGAAACTGAAAGCTGAATAAATGTAATTTTTAGGCCTGAGTTGTATTTTGTCTAGCATGTAATCCATCCAGTATAATCAGTTTAATTAGAGGCCATGGGCCTGGCTGGAGATAGAGCTGTGTGATCAGGGGGCTAAAGTAAGAGGAGGAGGGTGGTTTCACATAAAATTAGAGAGAGGTAAGGGGGTGCTTCCAGGCCCTGGGGAGGAGTTTAAACTTTCGTCTAAAATGGATGACAGGCTGGGCATGGTGGCTCATGCCTGTAATCCTAGCACTTCGGGAGGCCAAGGCAGGCTGATCGCTTGAGCTCAGGAGTTCAAGACCAGCCTGGCCAACATGGCCAAACCCCCTCTCTACAAAAACAAAAATTAGCTGAGCGTGATGGCATGTGCCTGTAGTCCCAGCTACTTAGGAGGATGAGGCAGGAGGATCTCGGTTCACTGAGCCTGGGAGGCAGAAAGTTGGCACTGAGCCAAGACTGCACCACTGCACTTCAGCCTGGGTGACACAGTGAGACCCCATCTCAAAAAATATATATAACAATAAAATAAATAAATGAAATGGATGAGAACGTGCTAAGGGACTCAAGCCAAGGAAGGACAAAGTTTGACCAGTGGGTCAAATCAGGCCCTTGTCTGTCTGTTCCAGATAAAGTTTTATTGAAACACAGCCGCACCCACTTGTTTACGTATTTGCTTTTGTGCTGCAGTGGAGAGCTGAGCAGATGTGACAAAGAATGCGTGACCCTCAAAGTCTAAAATATTTACTGTCTGACCTTTTACAAAAAGAGTTTGCTAACTCCTAGCTTAAACAGTGGGAAAATGTGAATATTATTTATATTGTAATGATAGGATGAATGCTGAAAATCATTATACAAACAATATATGACTTCTGTGGAAGCAGTGGTTATAAAAGTAATAATAGGTGGGCACAGTGGCTCACACCTGTAATCCCAACACTTTAGGGGGCCGAGGCAGGAGGATTGCCTGAGGCCTGGAGTTCAAGACTATCCTGGGCAACTTAGCGAGACCCCACAAAATCAAAAAATTAGCTAGGTGTAGTGGCACATGCCTGTCATCCCAGCTACTCAGGAGGCTGAGGTGGGAGGGTCACTTGAACCCAGGAGTTCGAGATTGCAGTGAGTCAAGATTGTGCCACTGCACTCTGGCCTGAGCAAGAAGCAAAACTCTGTCTCAAAAAACAAAAGTAATAATAACTAACATTTTGGCATACCAGGCATTGTTCTAAGCATTTTATATAAATGTTCACTCATTTAATCCTCATAAGAATCATATAAAAGGTCAGGCATGGTGGCTCATGCCTGTAGTCCCAGCACTTTGGGAGGCTGAGGCTAGAGATCACTTGAGACCAGGAGTTCGAGACCAGCTTGAGCAACATAGCGAGACCCCTGTCTCTACAGAAAATTTAAAAATCAGCCAGCTGTGGTGGTGTGCACCTGTAGTCCCAGCTACCTGGGAGATTGGGGCAGGAGTATCACTTGAGCCTAGGAATTCTCAGCTGCAGTGAGCTATGATTGCATCACTGCACTCCAGCCTGGGCCACAGAGTGAGATCTTGTCTCAAAAAAAAAAAAAAAAATCATACAAGGTAAGTGTTTTTATTATACCCATTTTATAATGGGGTAAAGAAACTGAGGTATGGAGAGGCTAAATGACTTGCCTAAGGTCACCCAGGTAACTGGCAGAGGAGGGATTTGAACTTGAGCAACCTGGTCCTGGAGCCCATTATGCTATTCTGCCAATTGATGCTATAGGGGAGAGAGGCGTTGCTTCTGCCTGGGGTTTTGCAGGACGTGTAGGAGTTGTACAGTACAAAATGCCAGGGTGCTTTGCCAGTCACATAAAGACCAGGGACTGAATAGCTGTGAGGTTCATCAGAGACAATTTGGCTTTCCTACCAGTGGCAAACCACAGGCTGCAATGGACTTGGCAATATTCGACCCTGGGAGCCAGGACCAGCTGCAGAATTTGTAGAATTTTGCAAAATGAAAATGCTGGCTGAGTGCAGTGACTCACACCTGGAATCCCAGCACTTTGGGAGGCTGAGGCGGGCAGATCACATGAGGTCAGGAGTTCGAGGCCAGCCTCGCCAACATGGTGAAATCCCATCTCTACTAAAAATATAAAAATTACCCAGGCATAGTGGCGGGCACCTGTAGTTCCAGCTACTTGGGAGGTTGAGGCAGGAGAATCACTTGAACCTGGGAGGTAGAGGTTGCAGTGAGCCGCCATCACACACTGCACTCCAGCCTGGGCAATAGAGCAAGAGTCAGTCTCAAAAAAAAAAAAAAAAAAAGAAAAGAAAAAAAATGCAGAGCGTTTATAAAGAATTAGGAAGAATTTCCAGATGGCAACATTAGAGTATGAAGCACAGGGTGGTCCCTGTGAGACGGTACAGGTCACACTCATGAAGCCAGCCTGGCTGGGGGATTAAGTGGCCATTGGGTGGTTCTTCCCAGCTGCTGGGGCTGGACTGATTAAAAGGACTTGGCACTGGGGTAGTTACAAGGCCAGGAGGCCATAACGTGGTCATGAGTCTGGTCCTTCTCCGGGAAGAGGGAGCTCAGTACCAAATTCCCCAAGAAATAAGAAAGGAGTTTAGGGTGCTCAGACCAGGAAGGCATCTTCACCCCTAGAGGTCAGGGGTCAGAAAAGCCAAGCTATGAATGTTTCTAGAACCAGCTCTAAGCACATCAACCTTCAGACGCCCACGAGCCTGGAGCTTGGGATGTTTTCTTTGGCAGAACCTCCCAGGGCAATTTATTTTTCTCAACAGAACTTGGAAACAGTGGAGCCCAGCAGCAACATGGGAAGGGGTAGATGCCCAGAGTTTATGTCCCACTCCCCATCCCAGGCAAAGTGGGAGACCATAGCCACGGATAGGGCACATTGATGTCTTTGTTTTTTTTTTTGTCTGTCTGTTTGTTTGTTTGTTTGTTTGTTTTTTGAGATGGAGTCTCATTCTATTGCCCAGGCTGGAGTGCAGTGGCACGAGCTCAGCTCACTGTAATCTCCGCCTCCTGGGTTCAAGGGATTCTCCTGCCTCAGCTCCCCAAGTAGCTGGGACTACAGGCACCCACCACCATGCCCAGCTACTTTTTGTATTTTTAGTAGAGACAGGGTTTCACCATGTTGGCCAGGCTGGTCTTGAACTCCTGACCTCAAGTGATCCACCCGCCTCAGCCTCCCAAAGTACCGGGATGACAGGCGTGAGCCACCACACCCGGTGATGTCTTTGTTGTAAAAGGGAGGAGGTGAGAGAGGTTCAAGGCCAGGGTGGAAAGGAAGGAACTATTGTGGGAAAGGAGAAGTGAGCAGCAGCAGTCTAGGAGCACTGGTTTGTCAGCATGAAGAGTGTGATCCACACATGTTGTTTGTGCACACTGCTGTCCTGATTCTTGTCTTGGATCTGAATAGGTTCATGACCACCTACGCAAGTGGTTTCCTACATCCAAAAATTTCTCTCCTTTCTCTTGCTTTAATCAGAATCCAACCCCTTCACTTTAGAATGAAGTCAAGCAAGGTTCTGACGTTAGCCTGATTGAAGTAATTCATACTTAGGTGTGAATGACTGAGTGGCTTGGTTCATTGATTGGGGCAAGTAAAGCCTCCTGGAATATATGGCAGAATTCCAGTGGAGTGGGGCTGGGACTTCACTCTGTCTTTTCTCTTTGCTGATTTGTTAAAATAAAAGGGTAGGAGGCAGAACATGGGCCCTGGTGTCAAGTGGACCTACGTTCAAATCCTGCTTCTCCTCCATTTCCTATCTGTGTGAAAGCAGGAGCAATTGTGGGCTGGAGCAATTTACTTCAAACCTCTCTTTGCCTCAGTTTCCCCGGATGGGTGATGGGGATAATTAATAACTCTCTCATTAGATTGCTGGGTAGAGTAAATGAAAAGATCTGTGAGCCCAAAGCCTAGTACTGTGCAGGCCTTCAACAAATATCAATTCCCCTTCCCCTGCCCTTCTTCTGGCCTTAGAAAGCAAGTCCCTAGAGGGTTGGGCCTGTGTCATGGAACAACTTGGTGAAATGTAGTAAAAGGAATTCTGACTGCATTAGAATCAGAGACCTGACTTTCCATTCTGACTGTATCCCTTCTTTGCTGTGTGACCTAGGGAAAATTGCTTACCCACTCTGGGCAAGACTCTTCCTTCTATAATAACATGGAAGCAGGAAGAGGATAAAGGAAATAATTCATGTAGAGCATTTAGCAAAGGGACCCTTCCCCCTATATCCCCCCAATGACAAACGCCAATTCTTCTCTGTCTTAAGAGATGGGATCTTGCTATGTTGCCCAGGCTTCTCTCAAACTCCTGGCCTCAAGGCATCCTCCCAACTCAGCCTCCTGAGTAGCTGCTATTATAAACGTGGCCAGTTCTCTGCTGCACCTGGCCAGTTCTCCTCTTTTACACACACACACACACACACACACACACACACACACACACATATATTCTGGTCTTAGTTTCCCCTTCTGGGGAAATGGGGTAATGCCTTCATGGTCCCCATTTCATAAACTGCCTCTGAGGCCATGTGAAATAATGTGGCCATTGGGAAGGAAGGCCTCTAGGAAGGGAAGGGACCACACAAAGTCACCGCAAGATGTTTCATCATTCTTGGCCATCAGACACTTGATTTCTGGACAGTGGGACCTGTAGGATTAGGCACAGCAATTTGGGGCACTTTTTTTTTCTTTCTCTTTCTTTTTTCTTTTCTTCTATTTCTTTTTTAAGCCATGAGCCAAGTTATTAATGGGCCTTTGGCAGAGAAAATTAATTTCTTTATTTCCTAATTAGGAAGAAGAGCAGAGACTGTACTAGCTTTGGTGGCACTGGTTCAGCACAGAGAACCTTGGGCTGACCTCGGGGTGAACAAATTCTTTTTTCAACTTAAAAAAAAAACTCTCTTATATTTTAGAGTATTAAGTGAGCTCAGAAAATAAAAGAGATAAGGCAAAGAAAGGAAACACAAAAAACAAAAGTAAACTGAAAAATAGAAGAAGACGATAAACAAGTGAAGTTTTGGTCAAGGCACTGTCCTTATCTTTCACTAGGAGTGGTGGAACATAGAGGCAGTATCTGGATGGAGCGGTTCCATTGTGATGATTTCTGGTGGCCAAAACAGGCAGCTAGTGCACGAAAGCCATCTTGGTAAAAAAAAAAAAAAAAAAGATCTACCTTCATATTCCAGGAGGACATACTTTTTTGATACGACAAACCATGTCGTGCTGATCTAAACATATCAGTCATTTACACTTTAGTGTGAATTACTTCAACTGGGTTTATTCTTAGATACTTGGCTGAGATCATCAGCCAGCTTCCTGATACATGGGGTGGGATTCCTCAGAGGATAAAGGGGCTTGCATCTGCCCAGTGACCAATGGGATAACCGGTTTTTTGGTAAATTTTTCTTTCCATAAGGGAGCTTCTTAAACTTTAGGTCCTGGTACTCCAGAGGCACTTACATCCTTTCTTGAAGGCTGCCTTGTGCCTGGTCTTTCCATTTCTAGCAATGCTAATGATGTCTGCAGGCGGATCACGAGGTCAGGAGATCGAGACCATCCTGGCTAACATGGTGAAACCCCGTCTCTACTAAAAATACAAAAAATTAGCCGAGTGTGCTGGTGGGTGCCTGTAGTCCCAGCTACTTGGGAGGCTGAGGCAGGAGAACCAGGGAGGTGGAGCTTGCAGTGAGCTGAAATTGTGCCACTGTACTCCAGCCTGGGGACAGAGTGAGACTCCATCTCAAAAAAAAAAAAAAAAAAAAGTAGATAATTCCAAATAAACCTGTTTGGACCTATGTAAGAAAACTAAGGTTTTCTTGTTCACTCTATTTTTTTAGAGATGAGGTCTTGCTCTGTCACCCAGGCTGGAGTGCAGTGGTGTGATCATGGCTCACTGTGGCCTCAAACTCCTGGGCTCAAGCCATCCTCCCACCTCAGCCTCCTGAGTAGCTGGGACTACAGGCATGCACCACCAAGCCTGGTTAATTTTTCTTATTTTTTATAGAGTCAGGGTTGTGCTGTGTTGCTCAGGCTGGTCTTGAACTCCTGGACTCGAGTGATCCTCCTGCCTCAACTTCCCAAATAGCTGGGACTACAGGCATGTGCCACCATGCCTGGCTAATTTTTAAATCTTTTTCTAGAGGCAGTGTCTCTCTGTGTTGCTGAGCTGGTCTCACACTCCTGGGCTCAAATGATCCTCCCACCTCAGCCTCCCCAAGTGCTGGGATCACAGGCATGAGCCACCACATCCGGCCCACCTTTTCACTCTTTGTATCTGAATTCTTTTCTATGTCCTCTTGGAAGGAATAGATTGGGCATTGGACCTAGGCTGGGGACCCAGTTCCGCTCACTACCAGAGATGTGGCCTTGGGCAAGTTACTTCCCCTCTGGGAGCCTCTGTTTCACCCTCTGGGAAATGGTGGTGATGATCATTATTGTCCTGCCTGGCTCATGGAACTGCGGAAAGGTCACCATGGAACGTGTGCATAGATGATGTTCCCGTGTCTTTCAGAGGCGAGTCTGGAGCCGGGAAAACCGAAAACACCAAGAAGGTCATTCAGTACCTGGCCGTGGTGGCCTCCTCCCACAAGGGCAAGAAAGACACAAGTATCACGGTGAGTGGCAGTTCCCAATCAGAGGCCATGATTTAGCCAACCGGTCTCCAGCTTGCAGCCCAACCGAGATACAAACAGAACATCATTGCAAGAACTCAGGCCCCATCTGACTACCCCTCCCCTGAAGACTCAAAGAGGGACCGTCTTTTTGGCGAGCAGGCCTGTTGAGTGTGGGTGATTTCTTGGCTCAGCTAGAAGCATCCCTCCAGAAGGGGGCCCGTTTTGTGAAATGAGAATAAGCCCTTTCCTTCCATAGCGAGATCTTCCTCCACGTCGGGGCTTCTCAGTGGTGGCACTGATGTCATTTTGGACCAGATAACTCTTCCTTGGAGGGGCTTCCCTGTGGCTCGTAGAATGTTTCACAACATCCCTGGCCTCGACCCGCCAGATGCCGACAGCCCCCTTCCCTCCAGTTGTGACAACCAAAAATATCTCTAGACATTGTCAGATGTTCCCTGGGGTGGGACAGTTGCCCTTGATTGAGAAGCACTCCTTTCATGAATCTCTGTAACGTCCCAGGGGTTAAGGTACCTTTTGGGTTCCCGGATTCCTCCACGTGTCCCCCTGTCCCTGGGATGGAGATGCTGGTATCACTCGGCCCGTGGGCTTCAGTGCAATGCCATTCAGTAACTGTGGATTGAGCACCTACTGTATGCCAGGAACCACTTGGGGTGGGGACCTGGGGATAAGTCTGAGAGATGCTGTTATTCTCTTCTCTGAGCTTCCAGACCTGTGGAAGAGCATGTAGTTGTCAAAGAATCCCTCAAATAAACAGATGATGACACGGTATGACTAAGAGCTTGGGAGGAAAAGAAGAGCAGGTTTCTAGAGTCATCACCTCTAGGGCCCATCCTTCTCTTCCTCCTCGTGTGTCAGCCCTGCCCCATCTATCCCACAGGAGGGGGCACGTGGTAGGGCCGCTAGGACTGGCCGGTGCCTCCGTCTGCAGGTTTGTGGGTGGGAAGATGGTAGGATGGAGATCTGACCACGGCATGGGGTGTCTCCAGTGTTCGCCATTCCAGATGTCACTTTGCGTCCTCAGAGGGGACTCTGGGGCAGCCACCATGGCCGGCTTGTCTGGAGGCCCTTGGAGATCTAGGATGGGCGCTGGTCGTGGCTTTGGAGAACTTTCCTTCTCCAAACAAATGCAGGAAACTCAAGATTCAGCATCCTAGAATTGTCTCTGGCAAGTTGGTTTCCAGCCATAGTGAGTGGGAACAATGGCCCCAGAGGCTGTGTGGCAGTTTAAACACAGTTTCCACTGCCTTCCCTTTCCCTAAAGAGTAAACACAGGAGATAATACTTTCTAACAACTCATCGTTATCAAGGGCCTACTATGTGCTGCTTGTTTTGGCTGCATGCGTAAACACATCTCAGACATTGTCTCACTGGATACTGTTTTAAGGAGCCTAATGTGGCCCCAGTAATTATGAAAACCTTTGAAATGTCTGGATCTCTAAGAAATTAGAAAAAGGAGGGAATGGCTGAGCATGGGGGCTCATGCCTGTAATCTGTGTTTTGGGAGGCCAAGGTGGGAGGATGGTCTGAGCCCAGGAGTTCAGGACCAGCCTGGGTGACATAGTGAGACCCTGTCTGTACCAAAAAAAAAAAAAAAAAAAAATCAAGAGAATTAGCTGGGCCTGGTGTGCATGCCTGTAGTCTTAGCTACTTGGGAGGCTGAGGCAGGAGGATTGCCTGAGCCCAGTAGGTTGAGACTGCAGTGAGCTGTGATCGTATTCCTGCAGCTAAACAGAGAGAAAAGAAACAGTATCAAGGAAAAGGAGCTGACCAGTCTGTCTGGGAGACTCCAGGCTGTTTGGGGGGATCAAAGTCATATATTCTCCAGCCCCTGATGTCCATGTGATGGAAATAACGCTGACATTTGTTTTATACTGTGTTGTTCAACCACAGCAAGGCCCATCTTTTGCCTACGTGAGTAACTGAGAGTGTTTTCCTGGTGTGTAGGGGAGGCACGGAGTGAACTTAGATCTGCATGATCCTCTTGCACCCACCGAGTCCCGTAGCTGGTGGTAGAAATGGGGTAGGCCCTAGAGTTTCACAACTTAAATCAGTAAATGCACCAAAATACCATCCTGTGGGTGTCTGATGCCAGGGAAGGGTGTGGGGGTGCATTTACCACCCACGGGACGCCTATTGGAGTCCCCAGGGTTGCGCTCCAGCCTGAAATGGATTTCTCCGGTTCAGAATGAACCCCTGCACCCTTCAAAGCATCCGCTCCTGGTACCCTTGACTGGAACAACCTAGACAGAGATGTCTGTCCCATCTGGCTGAGTGTTTTAGGACTGTCAGGCCCCAAAGCTTCCCTGGCTCGATGGACAGTCGATGGCACAGCTGTGGCATGCCTCCCTCTTCTCTCCCTGCCATCATCCCTAAGTGTCTTCCCTCAGCCCTGTCCCTGGTGCACCAGTGTGTCCCTGTGCATGCGTGTGCAGTGCGTGTCTGTCTCTTGCATGCTGGTTGCTTGACTCAAGCCTCCAGAAACAGTCTTGGAGGTCGCGATGCACTAGCTTTGGTGGCGCGGTAAGGCCCCAGCTACGCAACGCATAACCTGGTCCTG
Organism: Homo sapiens; assembly: GCF_000001405.40. Lineage (NCBI taxonomy): Eukaryota > Metazoa > Chordata > Mammalia > Primates > Hominidae > Homo > Homo sapiens. The sequence continues at coordinate 1,442,036 of NT_187607.1, read as the reverse complement.
CTTGGACCTGTGCATATGTAAACTCATCTCTAACACAGAGCTTGGGGGGCTGATGTGTGGGTCCCAGCCTAGAAGAAACCCACAGGTGTCTTCCTTGGCTCCCGAAAAGATCATTCAATCCATCTTAGTTAGACCCTGGGTGACTGTGTTGCAGATCAGAAGGAGAATTACAGTTCTTATTTGGGATCTGCTTTTGTGTGACCTTGGCCGAGTCAGTTAACTCCTCGGGGCTATGGTTTCATCATCTATAAAATTGAGGGTTTGAACCAGGTCCCCCGATTTAAAGCTCTCTTGCCAAGACTTTTCAACCTTACCTGCCAGAATCCCCATTCTAGAAAGGGAGCCTTTTTCAGAGAGCATGGAGACCCCAAGTTTATGTGAACAAAAGTGATTCCTTTAGTCGTCTTCCCACCAACAAAGAAATGCCCGTGGTGCTCCTTGTAAATTTCCACCAGTCTCAGCTGTGGTGATTCCACTTGTAGCTGAGATTTGTATGCGGATGAGGCTTTTGCTTCATCTTTCTCTGGGAGCTACAAAAAGGAGGATGTGTGGACAAATCAAAACAGAAACAAATAGCAGCTTCCTGCTTTGTCCTGTAGACCAGGTACCCTGATGCCTTCCTAGCATGCGGAGGAATGAGGAGGAAGCCATGCCCATCCTTGTCCCCTCTAGACACTTTCCCGGCTCCTGTCCAGCCCAGCCCTGATGCCTGGAAAAATAAGGAAGGGAAAGCAGGAGGGGAGGACAAGGAGAAAAACTCCCAGAATCCAGGGCCTGGAGGCCTCGGGGCCCAACTGCAGCCGCCATGTTTTAGGGCTAGGCCAAGAGCAGCTCGTTTGCTTTCCCAGCTTAACTTACCACATTGGCCCTTTCCTGCCATGATTAATCACGTGACCGCGTTTGTGCAAAGGCATCCCGGCAGAGGGGGCCGGTGGGCTGTGTACAGTCTCAGCTTCCTTTAACCCAATGAATGGAGCTCAGGCAACCTGCTTTGAAGCTTTATTCCGCAGTCCGCTAAGAGGATTCCTGGTGGGTTTTGTGCATTCCTTACTTGTCTGCTGTAGAAGACTTCAGAAAACCAGTCCTGAGAAAGAAAAAATTGCAACTTAAAAAAAATTGCACTAAAATAATTAGAAGGAGGCTTGTAGTGGTTTAACTTGAAGAAGGCTGCTTGTTAAACATGAACAGCAGCACGACTGCCATGTACAGTGGGACAGGTGGTGCACTGCACAACTCCGGGGGGCACCATTCATCATGATGTAAATGACATCACCGACATTGTGCAAGGCAGTGGCTTTGAGTGGCAGTGATGTTGCACAGATGAGCAGGCCCTGGTCTTGAAAAAAGTGACCTTCCTAGGGAGCAGATGTCCTAGCTATTAGAGAGCTCAGACAGTTGCTTCTCTTCTGAAATCCTCCTGTAAATCTGAACATTAGCATCAGGGTCTAAGAGGAGGTAGGAGATAGGAGAGAACCTGTGGGTTAAGGGCAGAGTTTTGTGACAACATCCATCCAAGGTAGAACTGTCAGGACCTAGGTTGCTTTCTCCAATAACTAGATGTGAATGAATTTTAGGGAGAGCTGGAAAAGCAGCTTCTACAAGCAAACCCGATTCTGGAGGCTTTCGGCAACGCCAAAACAGTGAAGAACGACAACTCCTCACGATTCGTAAGTAGCAAAGCCACATGGATTTTCCAGAAAAGCTTTGGTGTCATCTCCTGCCTGGGGCTGCAGAGTGTTTGCGTGCAGAGGTGGGAGGGGCATCTGACCCTGGAGAGATGGGCTGTATCTCACAATCTTGCAAGGGCTCCTGCCTCTCACTCTCTCATTCATTCATTAATTTATTCACTATTCACTCAACAAATATTGATTGGCCTGGTGCGGTGGCTCACACCTGTAATCCCAGCACTTTGGGAGGCTGAGGTGGGAGGATCACTTGAGCCCAGGGGTTCTAGACCAGCCTGGGCAACAAAGCGAGATCCCATCTCTATTATTAAAATAAAATTTAAAAAATTAGGTATTGAGCACCTGGTATGGGCTAGACCCTTATATCCGATACCATTTTATGTAACAAAACATGAATTGAGTGCCAACTGTGTACCAGGCACACACCTCCTCCAAGAAATACTTAGTAAGTACCTACTGTGTACAATTACTCTGGTAGGCACTTTTACATGTACCACCATTCTCTTTGTTTTTTTCTCATTTGCTGTTTTTATTAAGTGCCTACTGTATACCAGGCACTCAGCGAGTCTCACAGGATTGCGATGAATAGTTCAGATATGGTTCCAGCCTTCATGAAGCTGGTTCTTCCAACTGAATAACAGAGAGTAAGTGAGGCAGGGGGTACTACCTTCCCATGCACACTCCCCCAGGCTCCAAAGCAAAAAGTTTTTGCCTGAGCCCAACAGGGCAGGGGAACTCTGAAAGTGGATGGTTGATGATAGGTAGACAACAATGGTTTTATTGTGCAAAAGAAGCGGTTGTCTCCGTAGGAGGGTCAGAAAGATATTTTAGTGAGAAAAGATGAAGGAAAAATTGCCTCTGCATTCCAGGAGAAGGGGGTCTCTGAACTGTTGCTCGCTGAGATGGGGCCCTGTGAAAGACTCTTTGCAGAAAGCTCTGCTCTGCTGAGCAAATGCACATGGTGGTCCCTGACCCTGTGATCCCCAAGGCCCATTTTAGTAACAAACAATTACATAATGTCTCCTTTCCTCGCCCGAAATTAGAATCATAGATAGTATCACCTCCTACACGTATTAGATGAATACACATCAGCATAATGCCCTAACTGGAATATGAAGAAGAAATAACATAAGACAATTCATAATGAAAGTGTGCATTTCAGGCCAGGCGAGGTGGCTCATGCCCGTAGTCCCAGTACTTTGGGAGACTGAGGCGGGCAGATCACTTGAGCTCAAGAGTTTGAGACCAGCCTGGGCAACATGGGGAAACCCCATCTCTACAAAAATAAATAAATAAAGTGCATTTCAGCATATCAATGCTCGGGCCAGGCCACACCAACAGAAGACACAGTAAGAGACAGACACTTAGGTCTATCCACGGCGACAGCTACAAATACAAGGAAAAGGGTCAAGTTCAGGCACTGATGATGTTGGCATGGGATTTTCCAGAATGGCAACTGACTCTCAGTGAAGCGCTGAACCAAAGAACAATCTTCTCTAGAGTCACACAGATGGGATATTCTTGTATTAGAACAACATTTTAAACACTTGTTAATGCTTTCATTTAAAAGCATAAAAATCTAGACCAGGCACAGAGTGGCTCACACCTGTAAACCCAGCACCTTGGGAGGCTGAGTTGGGAAGATCACCTGAGGTCAGGAGTTTGAGACCAGCCTGGCTAACATGGTGAAACCCTGTCTCTACTAAAAATACAAAAATTAGCTGGGCGCAGTGACACATGCCTGTATTCCCAGCTACTCGGGAGGCTGAGGTGGGAGAATTCCTTGAACCCGGGGAGATGGAGGTTGCAGTGAGCCAAAGTCACACCACTGCACTCCAACCTGGGCGACAGAGTGAGGCTCTTGTCTCAAAAAAAAAAAAAAAAAAAAAAAAGCGTAAAAATCTAAAGTCATAAAGGTTAGGTTCTAAGCCTGGCTAATTACAAACAGATTTTTACCTCCATGAGTGGCAGGTGAGACATTGGAAGAGTCATAAGGGATATAGACAAGGATTGGCATCAGAGACTCTCCAGGTCATTGCAGGACTCCCAAAATATCCTTGGCCCCACTGTTCACTAACAACAGCGGCCCCCCCCCAACATGTGACAAGCCAAATAATGGCTTCCACCGATTTCCAAAATCTCCATAGCAGATGTGCCGCCTCCACTGAGAAGCACTGCGTTTGCATGTTCCAATTCTGTGCAATGTTTCTAGCCTGTCATAAATGGAAGCACGTGCAAGACAAATCCCTAAAAACATCCTCCACTCACTGGCGTCCCTGCCATCTTGGGAAGGAGAGTGAAGAAGGTGCCTGGGCCTTGCCTGTGACCAGCCGGCTCTCCCTGGCTCCATCTGGGATATGGTCATCCCAAATCACTCTACTGCATGTTTCCCAATGGGGAAAGTTTGAAGGTTTTGTCAAGGACTGAGCAAGCCTAGGGGATTGTGTCCACACACGCCAACACTTCCCACCATGTTATGTCATGATGGGGGAAAAGGATGAAATCCTGTCTCACCTGTTGAGGAAACAGGAAAAGGGTTCATGCCAACAGATGGAGGATTGGGTTCCATCCTTGGTTTCATGGCTTAGCTGAGGCAGGTAGATAGGGCCATCTTTGGAGATACTTGTTGAGCCTCTAGGGCCAGGAACATGAGCCATTCCTGCCTAAAGGACATCCTACACAGGGCCTGCTTGGGCAGTGTGGCCAATGCATACTCACCTGTCCCACAGAAAAGGTTTAATCCATAGTTGGATGATGTGGATGTTTTGGAGCAGGGTGGGGTCTGGGGAGGGAGCCCTCTAGCCCCTGAATATGGAAAAACCTTCTTTCTGCTTAGGGCCCTACCTCTCAGGAGCAACGTCACGTTGGACAAGTCACTTGATCTCTTTTAGCCTTAGTTTTCCCAGCTTTAAAATGGGGATAGTGGGCTGGGTGTGGTAGTTTACTCCTGTAATCCCAGCACTTTGGGAGGCTGAGGTGGGAGGATTGCTTGAGTGCAGCAGTCTGAGGCCAACCTGGACAACACAGTGAGATCCTATCTCTACAAAAAAAAATTTAAAAATTAGCCAGATATGGTGGTGCATGCCTGTAGTCCTAGCTGCTTGGGAGGGTGAGGTCATGGGGAAAAGGGGATTGCTTGAGCCCAGGAGTTCAAGGTTACAGTGAGCTGTGATTGCACCACTGCACTCCAGCCCTCGCTGACAGAGCAAAACCTTGTCTCTAATAAATAAATAAGTTTTTTTAAATAGGGATAGCCATGATGGACTACGGTCATTGCAAAAGCCGAATGAAATTGATCTGTGAACATGTTTTACACGTTCTGTTGCTGTCAGGCCTGGGGTGGTTTCAGCTCAGCAGATGTTGGTTCCGCCTGACAACTTGACCTGTGGGGTTCTGAGTGTTCGCAAGAATCTCCCCGCCCCACCTCCCATCCTCTGTACCATCTGCCTCCTGCTTGCCCACAGCATGGGGTTAACGGCTGAAGTTGGGCAGCAAAGCCTGAACTGTGTTTTCCTGTTGGCAGGGCAAATTCATCCGCATCAACTTCGACGTCACGGGTTACATCGTGGGAGCCAACATTGAGACCTGTATCCTTTCCCTGAGCCTGGGCCAAATGGGTACCCCTGCCCCCTACCAATCTCCTGCCCAGAGGCTGGGAGAGTCCAAGAGCCACCTCTATCTTTCCAGCCTCTTAGGTTTCTTCCAGAACAAATCTCCCCTTAACAGCAGGCATTGTGGTGCAGTGGTTATACATGTGTGGACCGGACCCCTGGTTTGAACCCTAAACAAGCAGCCTAGGCTGCATGTGATGCTCAAATGATCTGTCCCTTAGCTGAGTGACCTTGGGCTGGTTACTCCACCTCTCTGTGCCTCATCAGCAAAATGGGGATGATAATGAATGGTACCTGCCTCATAGAAATGTGAGAATAGAGTGAATGAACTCATATAAAGCTCTAGGCACCATGCGAGGTGCAGAGTAAGGGCTGGCTACGTAGTGTCTATCGTATGATCTTCACTTCATCCTTATTCAGCCATTGTCCGAGGCCAAATTCTGGACCTGTCGTCCTCTTAGAGAGTTGGTCTGTGATCGGCTCCACTTCTTAGGTAGGAAATTGATGAAAACAGAGTTTACCCAGAAGAATGCTGGTATCGCAAGGAACAAGTAGAGCATCTCTTTCATGAACCTGAGCGGTGAAGTGGAGCCAAGTTAGAAATTTCTGGACGTGGGGGAACAACCAGGTCTAGAGTTCAGTGACTGATCAGCCTCAGGAGCTTTGCAGGCGGCCCTAGGGCTCAGGCTTCCTGTGGAACACGTGCTTGGCAATGTATAGGACCTGGGGGCCTGACTTAGCTTCTTTCTGCACCTGAGGTCCTCTAGCAGCACCTAGTGGTCCCATTTTTCCACGTTATGTGCCCTGGATAAGAGGGTGGGTTGTGGAGTAGCTTCCTCTCCACTGTACTTGTCTAAGCTGTGGGGATTTGGGAAAATCACTGAAGCTCTCTGGGCCTCAGTTTTGCCTCGGTAAAATGGGGGTGATTGCACCTAGTTTCTGGAGCTGGTGCAGGGGTTAAATGAAATAATATGCATAATAATATGCACAGCCCTTGGTACGGTACTGGGCCCAAAGTGAGCATCTCATAGGTGGTGGCTATTGCGTTAACTCAATGTTTTCTACGTTTCTACTTTAATCTGCCCAAACCAGCCAGGATTCCCATCCTGCAGCTAGGAGGGCTGTCAGGCTTCGGTCAAGTCCAGAGCCAGGGCCCTCTTGTCCTGCAGCCCTGCACACACCTCTCAGCAATTCATTTCCTGTGTTTAGAGCGAGCCCCAGGCATAGCCCCGTCCTTCTGGCCTCAGCCTTCCTTTTAGATCAGTGGTTCTCAAAGTATGTTTCCAAACCAGCAGCATCAGCATCACTTGGGAGCTCTTTAGAAACACACATCTCAGCCAGGCACGGTGGTTCACGCCTGTAATTCCAGCACTTTGGGAGGCCGAGGCGGGCAGACCACTTGAGGTCAGGAGTTCGAGACCACCTGGCCAATATGGTGAAACCCTGTCTCTACTAAAAATACAAAAATTATCCAGGCGTGGTGGCATGCACCTGTAGTCCCAGCTACTCAGGAGGCTGAGGCAGGAGAATTGCTTGGATCCGGGAGGCAGAGGTTGCAGTGAGCCAAGATCACACACTGCCCTCCAGCCTGGGTGACAGAGCGAGACTCTGGCTCAAACATACGTGCGTGTGTGTGTGTGTGTGTGTGTGTATGTGTGCGTGTGTATACCCATGTACACCATGAGAAAGTCTGAGAATCACTGCTTTCCAGATTGGACATGGGCTGTGGTAGCCCGGGCACTGCTAGCTGGCTTTAGGACTTGAAGAAGACAAGGTCTGCTGATCTAGCCCCATCATCCCGCACCATCATGCTTAGTGCTGTGGAAATCCACCCAGTACAGTAGCCCAGCCTCCCAGCTGCCCTCTCCCATCACCCCGGACCCTGTGATCTCCATGCCACCCTCACCTGCCCTCCCCTCTGCTCTCCCTCCTGCCACCCCGCATCGCGGAGAAGCTCTCCTGAAATTAATTAGTGTGGCGTGTTTACGGTCTCTCTCGCCTCCATCCCGTCAGACCCCACTCTTGGAACAGAGGGCATGGAAGACAGCTTTGCCACTTGTTAGCTGTATCATCTTGAGAAAGGACTTCTCTTCTCTGAGCCTCAGTTTCCCCTTATTGAAAACACCGATAATAGTTGCACTTATTTCCTAGCATACTTTGTGAGGCTTCAGTGAGACAATTTATATCAATCATTTCACACAGGAATGAATCATAAATCATAGGATCATAGATGGTGTCATTATTTGTATTCTGTCATGTCTGAAGACAGCTCATTTTAAAGAAGATTTGCTGGTGATGGCTGTTAGGGGAACATCTCGTTACCATTACCTTCTTCCTGGAGCCTTTTTATGCTTTTTCTTTTCACTCTATTCCCCTCCCTTTTTTTTGCATCTGAAGTCTGCTGGCAGCACCCAGCGGTTCCATTTGTCCATAGGGGCAATGGTCAAAGTTAGACATTACCGATCCCAGGGGTAGAACTGGAAAGTCATCCCATGTGAATTGGGTGTGACAGGGATGGAGGTGGAAGACCAGAGGAACACCCGCAGTATCCCCAGAATCCCTAACTCCCTCCAAACCAGATCTGCTAGAAAAATCACGGGCAATTCGCCAAGCCAGAGACGAGAGGACATTCCACATCTTTTACTACATGATTGCTGGAGCCAAGGAGAAGATGAGAAGTAAGTGACTAGCAATGACATGTGATTGGATGGCTTGAGCCTTCCCTTTCATCAGAATCCGGGGTTAAGGGATTGGCTATTAAAACAGTCTCAGATCCTGCCAGAAAGGACCATGTCTGTGAGTGACATATGAACAGTTCTTCATCTCCTCCCAATGAGTGAGTGTGGCTTGTGTTCAGTCATTCTCATTTACTGAGCACCTACTATGTGACATAGTAGCCATCAACTCCAATTAGACATTAGATCATTAATGATTCATGTCTCATTAGACCAGAGAGCATCAAGTCCAACTAGACACAATCTACGCCTTCAAGGAAAGGGAGAAAGACATTTGCCTTACTTGCCAATTTATAAAACTTGCAAATATAAAAGATGCATTCTGGTTTTATAAGGAATTTGCAGGGGCAGCAGGACTAAGCATTTTTCATTATACATGTTTTGCCAGTGACTTTGTAGAACAGGGGTCAAGACTTTTTCTGTAAAAGGCCAGATAGTAAATCTTCAGGCTTTGCAGGCCAGGTGGCTTCTGGCACAGCTATTCAACTCTGCCATTGTAATACAAGAGCAGCCACAGGCAATATATAAACCAATGAGTGCAGGCAACACATAAACCAGTGAGCTCAGGCAACACATAAACCAATGAGCACAGGCAGTACATAAACCAATGAGCACAGGCAGCACATAAACCAATGAACATAGGCAACACATAAATCAGTGAGTGCAGATGCATCACTGTGTTACAATAAAACTTTATTTACAAAAACAGGCAGTGTGCAGAAGTTTGCTGACCTCTGTTGTAGGGAAAAGTTTTTTTATGTAAATATAATACACTGTATACCAAACTCCAGTAGGAAGTTATGAGTTCTGGACCTGCAGCTGTTTACTAACTCTTAAAAATATATACAAATCGCATAGCTTAAAAAAGGAATGGATCAGTGACTATCTGTACATAGTAGAGTCTACATGTTAGTAATAAGTTTTGAGTCTGAAATTCTATGGGAACAATACAGACTTTGCTTCCCATCTCTTTTGTGGCCCAAGGTTAGTTATTTTGGTTAAGACAGTTACCAAAAGGATCTGTGTGAGCTCAGAACTTCGCTGTGTCGGAGTGTATTGTAGACCTCAGCTACTAGGGGGTGGCATTATCCATTATTTAAATTTCCAGGGTGGGGCAAAGTGGCTCATGCCTGTAATCCCACACTTTCGGAGGCAGAGGCGGGCGGATTACCTGAGGTCAGGAGTTTGAGACCAGCTCGGCCAAGATAGTGAAACCCTGTCTCCCCAAAAATACAAAAATTAGCCAGGTGTGGTGGCTGGCGCCTGTCATCCCAGCTACTTGGGAGGCTGAGGCAGGAGAATCACTTGAACCTAGAAGGTGGAGTTTGCAGTGAGCTAAGATTGCACCACTGCACTCCAGCCTAGGCGATAGAGTGAGACTCTGTCTCAAACAATAAAAATAAGTTTCCTTAATGGCTGGCTTTCAGGAACATAGGCTATGAGGTGGAGCAATTTTTGGTAAAGGGGGAATGCTGAATGGATTTTTTATGTACCAGCAAACATGGTATATTAGCAGTTACAGTGCAGGACCCTGTGGAATGGGCCAGGGAAAAATGTTGACATTCCTTTTCCTTTTATTTGGCACCCAAGAAAACAGTTTGGTTGTTTGGTACCTTGGGTTCCAGTTTTGTGCTTTGCCTCTGGTCTTCCAGAAATGGGCAAGTATAGGGCTCAGAACTAAATTCCCAGGGGCCGTTTGTATTCTAGATGATAGAACTGGAAAGATGTTAGGCTTTTAGAAAGAACCAAATATTGCTAAATGCATCCAAACTCGGGATAATGAAGTCTTGGCAAAGACCTCAATCCTCGTGACTTGAATCAGGCATTTCAAGTTAATCCAAAAGTTTGAGTTAACTGGTGCCTTCAGTCAATTTAACCTCGAGTTTATCAAGCAGCTTCCAAGTGACTTGACCCATAAAAGACCTTGATTTTGAAAGAAAAATATCTTGCTGACGTCTCTCCAAAAGTATAACCGAATCCATCCTAATTAAAGATTGATCTGGAAGAGGATCCTTGATGTATTGGAGGGTATAATAAAAGCAAATGGTGCAGGAGAAAGAAAGGCAATTATAAAGTTGGGGGTGGGGGAGAAGCTGAACAACAACAAAGGAAATGTAATCATAGGATACAGTTTGACACAGAATATCTAATTAATGTCATAAAAAGGGAGTTGGCAAACTGTTTTTGCTAAAGGGTCAGTAGTAAACGTTTTAGACTTTAAGGACCAGATGGCCTCTGTTGCAACTACTCAACTCTGTTGCCTAGTGAGAAAGCAGCCATGAGAAATAAACAAGGACATCAGAGCAGCTGTGTTTCAATAAAACTTTATTTACAAAAACAACAGGGGACCAGATTTGCCAACCTGTGATATAAGCCTTATATATTGATTCAACTAAAAATAGCTGGGGGTGGCTGGGCACGGTGGCTCACACCTGTAATCCCAGCACTTTGGGAGGCTGAGGCGGGTGGATCACCTGATGTCAGGGGTTCAAGACTAGACTAGCCAACATGATGAAACCCCGTCTCTACTAAAAATACAACAAATTACCTGGGCATGGTGGTGGGTGCCTGTAATCCCAGCTACTCGAGAGGCAGGAGAATTGCTTGAATCCGGGAGGCAGAGGTTGCAGTGAGCAGCCAATATCGCACCACTGCACTCCAACCTGGACAAAGGTGAAACTCCCTCTCAAAAAAAAAAAAAAAAATAGCTGGAGGAAAGGAAAGGTAGTATAAGAAAGCTGCATTTTTGCCTACCATAGCAGGAAGTCACTAGATACTATCTAAACTTGACATATCCAGAAATCGCCTATTACAGCGATTGTGCTTTGCCTCTGGTCTTCCAATAGGCCAAAAGCACCTGTTACTTTTGGCACTGAGGACTGGTTTCCTGGAAGAAAAGTTTTCCACAGACTGGGCGGGCAGGGTTGGGGGGATGGTGTGGGGATGATTCACGTGTATTACATTTACTGTGCACTTTATTATTACATTGTAATATACAATGAAATAATTATACTAGTCACCATAATGTAGAATCATTGGGAGCTTGTTTTCCTGCAGTCCCATCGGGGGGTGATGGGGGACAGTGACAGATTATCAGGCATTAGAGTGTTATAAGGAGGGCACATGTGCAGCTCACGATAGGGTTTGCGCTCCTATGAGAATCTAATGCTGCTGCTGATCTTATGGGAAGCGGAGCTCAGACAGTGATGCAAGCGATGGGCAGCAGCTGCAAATAGCGGATAAAGCTTCACTTGCTCACCTGCTGCTCACCTCCTGCTGTGTGGCCCAGTTCCTAACATGGACCGGTACTGGTCTATGGCCTATGGGTTGGGGAACCCTTGGCCTATGATATGTAATACATAATGGTATATACATTATAATAGGCTAGTATATATAGCAAGCCTATTGTACAGAGAGATAGTGGTAACTGCCAGATAAAAAGCAGCTAAAAGAGATAAAAGCAGGTATTATGGAGTAAGGTAGAGTTGGAGAAGGGATGTGACAGGAGAATGCTATTTTTCATTATAAACCTTTGGTAGTAATTGATTTTTAAAACTCATGTGCCTGTTTGAATTTGATAAAAATTTTATAAATACATGAATAAGGCCAGGTGCGGTGGCTCACGTCTGTAATCCCAGAACTTTGAGAGGCCAAGGTGGGTGGATCACCTGAGGTCAGGAGTTCAAGTCTAGTGTGGTCAACATGGTGAAACCCCATCTCTACTAAAAATACAAAATTTAGCCGGGCGTGGTGGCGGGCGCCTGTAATCCCAGCTACTCAGGAGGTTGAGGCAGGAGAATCGCTTGAACCTGGGAGGCGGAGGTTGCAGTGAGCCGAGATCGCGCCACTGCACTCCTGCCTGGACGACAGAGTGAGACTCCGTCTCAAAAAAAAAAAAAAAAAAAAAAGAGTAAAGGTTGATCTAACTCTTCTGACAGCTTTGTCTCTGAAGGCTGAAGGCAGGGTGCCTCTAGACAATTGAGGTAAAGGCATCCCTTCCTCCAGGTAAATGTAACTTCGTGCCAGGGATTGTGGCTTAGCAAGCAGAACCAAGGCTGGATATCAGCTGCAGTCACTGGAGCAGTGCACAACCTGCACCGCTGTGTAAGGCTGGCAGTGGTTGGTGAGGCTGTCTACGTGACGATGCGTGAGGGCTTTAAACGGTTCAAGCCTTGATAAAGGGAAAGGAATTATGATGGCCCAGACCCTTGACCAGATCTCGGTCTCATGTTGAAATTAGAAGTATGTCTTATTGACCCTGACCTGTCTTCCTCTCCTTCTAGGTGACTTGCTTTTGGAGGGCTTCAACAACTACACCTTCCTCTCCAATGGCTTTGTGCCCATCCCAGCAGCCCAGGATGATGAGATGTTCCAGGAAACCGTGGAGGCCATGGCAATCATGGGTTTCAGCGAGGAGGAGCAGCTATGTAAGCCTCACACCTTGAGTCTGGAGGGTAGCTTGCCTGGATACCAGTGGAACCTGTTAAGAACTCTTCTCTGGTCAGGACAGATTTCTGCTCTCTGAATTCCCCACCTTCCATTAAAAAAAAAAAAAAAAAGGAGGAAAATGAATTTTATTCTAGGTGGTTTGTTTGTGTTGTAGAAAAGTGGCTGTATAACTAGGGTTGCAAGTAACCCGAGCTGGCTTAAACCAAAGGGAAAGTGACTAACTCAGAATGTTGAGAAGTTCAGGGAGGTTAGGCACAGTGGTTCAGGTCTGTAATCTCAGCGCTTTGCGGGGCCAAGGTGGGCGGATCACTTTAGGTCAGGAGTTCGAGACCAACCTGGTCAATTTGGTGAAACCCTGTCTCTACTAAAAATACAAAAAAAAAATTAGCCAGGGCTGGTGGTGCACACTTGTAGTCCTAGCTACTCAGGAGGCTGAGGTGGGAGGATTGCTTGAACCCGGAAGGCAGAGGTTGCAGTGAGCCAAGATTACACCACTCCACTCCAGCTTGGGAGATGGAGCTAGACTCCATCTCAAAAAAAAAAAAAGTTCAGGAATTCAAGCTTCAGGTACAGTGAGATCTAGGTGTTCAAAAGATTTTTCTAGAACCTAATTTCTTGTCTTCTATCTCTCTCGACTACATTGTTTCTCTATAGGATGCAGTTTGTTGACAGCAACATAGCTGGGTTCCAGCCCTTATATTCTTTGGGTTTATGTCCAAAGAACAGAGTAGATTCCCGGCTTAAGTTCCTGAATGGAGTGTCATTGACTCTGATTGGTTGGCTTAGGTTGATATGCACATTCCTGAGCTATGCAGCATAGGCAGGGTTGTGGAAAGCGCAGGGTGGTTTCATTATGGTCCCTAAGAATGGATTCTTGGAGCTGAAGGTAGAGATGTTGGCCTCATCAGGAACATGTGGGCAGGGTTTAGGGGAGGGGGAGTGATCGAGGCAGTGGATTTACTCAGGCTTTTCCTGGAGGGGTTGCTCTGGTGATCAATTGATATTGATCAAAATCATCCAACCAATGGCCAAGAAACACACTGGGTCTTGAGAACAGGACAGCTCAGAAAGAAATTCTTGGTCGGGACACTGTGTTTCCAGAAACGATTTTCCTTCTGCGTTAGATGTGCCTCAGTGTTGAAGGTTAATCTCTTTCAGGAACACCAGGACAGAACTGTGGAAAGTTTCCCTTCCTTCCCACGCCTACGCCCGTTTGGAGCCCCAGAATAGCACTGAGGTTGCTGAAATGCTGCATAAGGGGAGGGGCAGCTCCTCCGAAGATAACTTGGGGTCTGGAAAATTAGGCTGTATGGGTCAGTTGACAAATGGATGGTGTATGTGGGTCTTGGCCAGGGTCCCACATCAGAATCTAGTGCTGATAGCCTCCTTGTCTGAATGACATAGGCCCTCCAAGAATGATTCATTTCATTTGGGACAGGGGTCAGTTTTGCTTCTAATCTTGCTTTTAAATAACAATGAACAATGGTTAAGTATTTGCTGTGTGCCAGGAATTTACCAAATCCTTTTTTCTTGATGTACTACACTGTTCAGTATAGTTTTATTTAAATAATAAAAAACTGGAACAGGCTGGGCACAGTGGCTCATGCCTGTAATCCCAGCATTTGGAGACACTGAGGCAAGAGGATTGCTTGAGCCCAGGAGTTCGAGACCAGCCTGGATAACACAGTGAGACTCTGTCTCTACAAAAAAAATAAATAGAAAAAAACTGGAACAAACTAAAATAGGTTGATTAATAGAGGGTTTATTAAATCATTGTCTGTCCTTGTGAAAGAAAACAATGAGACCATTTAAATTGTTTTGCTGGGCATGGTGGCTCACGCCTGTAATTCCAGCACTTTGAGAAGCCAAGGCAGGCAGATCACTTGAGCTTGAGTTTGAGACTAACCTGGGCAACATGGCAAGATCCCTTCTCTACAAATAATACAAAAAATTAACTGGGTGTGGTGGTGCACACTGTAGTCCCAGCTACTTGGGAGACTGAGGCAGGAAGATTGCTTGAGCCCAGGAGGTCGAAGCTGCAGTGAGCCGAGATCACACCACTCTGTCACCTAGGCTGGAGTACGGTGGCGCAGTCTCAGCTCACTGCAATCTCTGCCTTGCAGGCTCAAGCAGTCCTCCCAGCTCAGCCTCTCAAGTCGTTGAGACTACAGACATGTGCTACCACGCCTGGCTAATTTTTGATTTTAGGGTTTTTGTTTTGTTTTGTTTGAGATGGAGGCTTGCTATTGTCACCCAGGCTGGAGTGCAGTGGCACGACCTCGGCTCACTGCAACCTCTGCCTCCTGGGTTCAAGCAATTCTCTTGGCTGAGCCTCCTGGGTAGCTGGGATTATAGGCGCCCACCACCATGCCCCACTAATTTTTTTTGTATTTTTAGTAGATACTGGGTCTCGCCATGTTGGCCAGGCTGGTCTTAAACTCCTGACCTCAGATGATCCACCCATCTTGGCCTCCCAAAGTGCTGGGATTGCAGGCATGAGCCACCGTGCCTGGCCTGGGGTTTTTTGTTTTGTTTTGGTTTGATTTTTGGAGGGGTGGGTAGAGACAAGGCTTCACCATGTTATCCAGTATTCTCTGGTCTTGAACTCCTGGGCTCAAACAATCAGCCCACCTTGGCCTCCCAAAGTGCTGGGATTACAGGCATGAGCCACCATGCCCAGTCCCCAGTGTTCTCAATGTACTTTGGCACTTGTTTCCCCTTTAACCACAGAGACCAGACTCCAGGCCCAGCACCTTCGGCAGCCCCAAGCATCTAGCTAGAATTTGGTAATACTGTTTTCCTTGTATTTATATTTATAATTGCCATCTATTTATGGCAAGTGAAGATGATTTGTCACTGAAGATAGAGAAAGTTTTCTATTAAAACAAATGTAAGGAAAGAGAAGGAAGTAAATTTAAAGAAAATGATTAAGCAAATAATGGAGCAGATGGTACACAGAGCAAGCATTCAGACGATGGCGTGCAAATGACGAACTCTCATAGGAACCAACTTAGTCCTAAATGTACACCAACCCCATTTATAAACCAAGAGCTACTTCCAAACCCTCCATCAAGGGGCCTATGGAGAAGGGGGTGGGTCAGGCTTCAGGCTGGAGCTTCATGAGGCTCCAAGTGACCAGGGGACACCAGGATTTTCCCCACCACATTGGGTTCTGCAGCCTTGAACTCCTGGCCTCAAGATATCCTCATGCGCCACCATGCCTGGCCTGGTTATACTGCTTCTAATGTATTTTGAAGATAAAAAATAAAATCACCTAAATTGTCCATCCTGTGTATCCCTGGTGGTACACATGTCTGATGTTGGAAAGTCCTGTTTCTTATTCCTCAGCAAGAAGAGAGGTGTAAGGCCACTGTAAAAAATTAGCACAAACTTGATGCCTTAAAACAACAGGAATTTATTCTCTCCCAGTTCTGGAGGCCAGGGTTCTGAAATCAGGGTGTCGGCAGGAGCCGGGCATAATGGCTCATGCCTGTAATCCCAGCACTTTGGGAGGCCAAGGCAAGAGGATCGTTTGAGGCCAGGAGTTCAAGACCAGCCTGAGCAACATAGCAAGACCCCTTCTCTACTAAAAATTTAAAAAAAAAAAATTTTTTTTTTTTTAAAAGACAAGATGTTGGCAGGGGTTGTTCCTCCTGGAGGCACTGAGGGAGATCTGTTCCTTGCCTCTGTCCTGGCTTCTGGTGGCTCTGGCTGTTCCTGGCTTTTCCTTGGCTTGTCTCACTCCAGTCTCTGCCTCATCCTTCATGTGGCATTCTACTCTGTGGGTCTTCTCTTCTGTCCATCATAAAGACACTTGACATTAAATGTAGGGCCCACCAGGTTAATCCAAGATGATCTCATCTTGAGATCTTGTACTTGATTCCATCTGCGAAGACCGATTTTTTCCAAAATAGGCCACGTTCAGGCTGGGCGCGGTGGTTCACGCCTGTAGTCCCAGCTCTCAGGGAGGCAGAGGCGGGAGGATAGCTTGAGCCCAGGAGTTCGAGACCTGCCTGGGCAATATAGTGAGACCCCGGTATCCACAAAAAGGAAAAAAAAATAAATGTAACCCCCCAAATTAGGCCACATTCACAGGTTCCAGGTGGACATATTTTAGAAAGACCAACATTCAACCTAATATAGGTGGCTTCCACTCTTTATCACCTACTAGGCCAGGCCCTTGCTCAGCATCTTACAAGACCTAAACTTCACGAAGCAGGTACTACTGTTACCATCTCCGTTTTGCAGATAGGGAAACTGAGGCTCATGGGACTTATTGAGACTCATGTAGAGTCTCTATCCTCTATTCATCCATGATTCATCCATCAATCCATCCTCTATCATCCATCTATCCTCTACTCATCCTTCCATCACCCATCCATCCATCACCCATCCGTCCATCCATCTACCCACCCATCCATCCATGAACCCATCCTCTATACATTTATACATTCATCCATCCATTCACCCTCCATCTGCCATCCATCCATCTCCCTCCCTCCCCATGTGTATCTGGACCCGGAACTAGGATTTGGAAATTCAGAGATAATGAGATTTATAAGAAGCAAAGCTGGGATTTGAACTCAGGACTCTCTAACTGCAGAGCGCGTGCTTTGCACCAGCACACCAGGATGCTGCCAGCCGTCACCACCCTTGCTGTGTTGTGTCTCCTCACTGGTTTACTTCTTTGCTGTCTGCTAATTCTGCCCCAAGGTTCATCTCTTATGGCCTGGGAGTGGTGGCATTCTTTTGTCATTTCTGGAATTACATTTAACTATACCAGAAAGTGCAAACCAATGGTTCCTGAGCCCACAGGAGAGATCGGCCACTACAACCTTCAAAATTTTTAGAAATTGGTTCCTAAAGTTTAAATATGGGTAGGCCGGGCACTGTGGCCTATAATCCCAACCCTATGGGAGGCCAAGGCACATGGATCACTTGAAGTCAGGAGTTTGAGACCAGCCTGGCCAACATGGTGAAACTCCGTCTCTACTAAAAATAGAAAAATTAGCCGGGTGTGGTGGCACACGCCTGTAATCCCAGCTACTCTGGAGGCTGAGGCAGGAGAATTCCCCTGAACCTGGGAAGCGCAGAGGTTGCAGTGAGCCGAGATTGCACCAATGCACTCCAACCTGGGTGACAGCAAGACTCAGTCTCACACACACACACACACACACACACACACACACACACACACACACCAAAAAACATGGGTACACTTCACATAAAAACTCTGGGTTTCCATTATCTAGAAAAATCAGAAGTTCCAGCAACACTTGGCTTATATCCCCTGTGGCAATGACGGAGTAGCTGCTGGCCCCTTCAGATGGGTTTGTGGCCTCCTTGGGTCCCCACAGTCCTCATTAGTTGGCTTTGTTCATTTAGACCAGTGGTTCTCTGCCAGAGGTGAGTTTGCCTCCCAGGGGACATTGAGTAGTATCTGGTGACATTTGTGGTTGTCACAACTCTGTCAGGGTAACCACCACTGACATCTAGTGGTTAGAGGCCAGGGATGCTACTAAACTTCCCATGATACCCAGGACAGCTCCCCACAATAGAGAATTATCTGGCCCCCAATTTCTGCAGTGACAAGATTGAGAAACCCTGAGTTGGCCGGCTCGCCTGGGCTGTGCAGGCATTTCAGGAATCTTTAGTTTAAATTGACACTTTTAAAACTGTGAGTGCAACTCTTCATAGTTTACAAAGACTCTTTCATAGATGTTATGGTTAAAAGGAAGTGTGTTTCCAAGCCCTGTCAACAGCAGCTTCATTCATTTTGGGGAGAAGGCTTTCTACCATAGTAAGTGGGAGCAAATGGATGGGTGGTCAGCAGCTGGGTCCTTTTGCTGAGCTGGGCCAGGGACCCCATGGCGTGAGAATAGCTGTTGTGAAGGGCCTTGTAATGTCTGGTTTGGCCTGAGGAACCAGAGAAGTCTGGGATCTCTAGGCTTTGTTCCTGGAACATAGTGACTGATTTGAAGCCAGAACTCTGGGTGATTTGTACCTGAGTTAAGCTAAGCCAAGAATTTGCATTAATCATCATCCATCCATTCATCCATCTACCATCCATCCATCATCTGTCCATCCATCCATTCATCCATCCATCATCCATCCATCAATGCTGTATCCATTCCTCCATCAATTCTCCATCCATCTATCCATCGTCTATCCATCAATCCTCTGTCCATTCCATCTATCCATCTATCCTCTATCCATCCATCCATCATCCGTCTATCCTCTATCCATGAATTATTCATCCATCAATCCATCCTCTATTCATCCATCTATCCTCTACTCATCCGTCCATCATTCACCCATTCATCTACCCACCCATCCATCCATCCGTCCATTCATCCATGAACCCATCCTCTATCCATTTATTCATTCATCCATCCATCCACCTTCCACCTACCATCCATCCATCTCTCTCCCTCCCTCCCATGTGTATCAGGACCTTGGAATAGGCTTTGGAAATTCAAAGATGATTAGGGCAGGCCCTCCACTCTCCAGAAACTCATGGTCTTATGGGGATTTCAGACATAGAAACTATTTTAACAGTAACATGGCCTGAGTATGGAGTCAGAAAGGTTCCAAGTATTCTGGGAACACAGCGTTTTTGTTTGGAGACACCTGGACAACAAGTGGAAACAAATGTATATCTTCTTCATCCCAACATGGGCATCTGTTACACCCAGAAGAGTATGTAAGAAGCACAGGGTTTTTATTTCAAAAATCCTTTTATTGACATATGATTTACATGGAGAAAATTGTGTATGCCATAGCGTGCAGTGCAAAGAATTATTATAAACTGAACACGTCTGTGTAACTAGAATCCATTTTAAATAAGACAATGCCACCAGCCCCATGGAAGCTCCCACATGCACCTTCTAAGAACTTCCCTCAATTAAGGATAATCATTATCCTGACTTCTAACAGCATCGATTAGTTTTGCCTCTTCTTGAATGGACGGTCTATATATGGACTTAGACAGTATGTTCTTGTTTCCATCTGTCCTCTTTTGTTCGGTATTTGTGTCTGGAAGATATGTCAGGGTTTTTTTTTTGTTTTAGAGACAGGATCTCCCTACATTGCCCAGGCTGTATCAAGCTCCTGGCTTCAAGCAGTTCTCCCACCTCAGCCTCCCAAAGTGCTGGGGTCGCAGGCATGAGTCACTATGCTGGCCCCAATACATCAGTTTTGATTTGTGGTAGTTGTAGCTCATTCATTCTCACTGTTCTGTGGCAGGGGTTGCTAACACATTTTTCTGTAAAGGGTCAGATAGTAAATTCTTTAGCCTTTGTAGGCCAGACGATCTTTGTTGCAACTCATTAACTCTGCCAGTGTAGCATGCAAATAGTTACAGACAATATGTAAATGAATGAGTATAGCTGTTTTCCACTAAAACTTTATGTATAATAGCAAGCAGTGGGCCAGATTTGGTCCATGGGCTGTAATTTGCCAGTCCCTGCTGCGTGGCATTCCATTGTAATGCAAGGTTTTAAGCAACCATATGAAAATATTGAGCTCAGAATCTAGTTTCTTCAGAGGAAAGATGTAAGCTGGCTCTGGGTCCCCAGTGGCTTTAGGCTCCAAAACTCCAGGGTACCTTGGCATTGACCTTTGTGTCTGCTCTGCCCTTCTCTCCCCACCTCAGCCATATTGAAGGTGGTATCATCGGTCCTGCAGCTTGGAAATATCGTCTTCAAGAAGGAAAGAAACACAGACCAGGCGTCCATGCCAGATAACACAGGTACTTGCCACTTTTTCCTGATGACCAATGACTTTGGGGTTGGGGGGGTGGGGGAGGTGACATTTAACCACTGGTTATTTTTCAAGGTGAAGGTATCTGGGATTTTAACAACAGTTGGACTAGGTTCTTATCACTCACTTTTTCAAACTTTTCAGTGCTCAAGACCCTATGTGGAAAGTTATTGAATCAGAGCGCAGGGATTAAAAAAAAACAAACCTAATAGTTTTATTTATTTGTTCTTTTTTTTAAATACAAAATTTTACAAGTTTTAATAGAGACGAGGTCTCGCTGTGTTGCCCAAGCTGATCTTGAACTCCTGAGCTCAAGTGATCCTCCCACCTTGGCCTCCCAAAATGCTGGGATTACAGGCAAGAGTCATCACGTCCTACCCCTAATAGTGACCAGACAAGATCCCGAGGGACCATCTCTTCTAAAATACCCCACTTAATTGTTTTGTTAAAGAAATATTTCTCAAGCCCCTGCAATATGCCACTGGGATACAGCAGGAAATGACACAAGAATAGCTCTTCTTACGGTATCTGTGGTCGTCTTGGGGAGACAGACCTCAATTGCCCTGAGAATTAGGGGTGCCAGATAAAATACAGGATGTCCAGATAAATTTCAATTTTAGGTAAACAACAAACCTTTTTTTAAATTTTAATTATGTCCCTTGTAACATTTGGACCGTGATTATACCAAAAGAGTATTCTTGTTTATCTGAAATTCAGGTTTAACTGAGCATCCTGTAATTTTCCCCCTAAATCTGATAAACCTACCCACAAATAAACAGTATTTTGTGTTTTGAGAAGCTGGCCTGGCTACCACTATGCTTGTTGGTGGCTGAGCTGAGAGCAAAACTTAGGTTTCTTATTTCCCAGCCCAGGCTGTATATTGTGTTGCTTTTTCCCGCTCCCTAGAGCCCACCTTGATCAAACCTGTTGCAACCGCTTACTGGGTTTACCTTGCCCACAGCCTAGACAGAGCCAATTAATCAAGACAGGGGAATTGCGATAGAGTAAGAGTAACTCACGCAGAGCCGGCTGCATGGGAGAACAGAGTTTTATTATTACTCAAATCAATCTCCTTGAGCATTCGTGGATCAGAGTTTTTAAGCATAATGTGGTTAGGGGGAGGCCAGTGAGTTGGGGGTGCTGATTGGTTGGGTCAGAGATGAAATTACAGGGAGTCGAAGCTGTCCTCTTGCCCTGAGTCAGTTCCTGGACAGAGGCCATAAGATCAGATGAGCCAGTTTCTCGATCTGGGTGGTGTCAGCTGATCCACCTGGTGCCAGGGTCCGCAAAAATATCTCAAGTACTGGTCTTAGGTTTTACAATAGTGATGTTATCCCCAGGAGCAATTTAGGGAGGGTCAGACTCTTGTAGCCTCCAGTTACAGGACTCCTAAACCATAATTTCAAACCTTTGGGCTAATTTGTTATTCCTACAAAGGCAGTCTAGTCTCCAGGCAAGAAGGGGGTTTGTTTTGGGAAAGGGTTCTTGTGTTTTAAACTATAAACTAAGAGGCTAGGCGTGGTGGCTCATGCCTGTAATCCTAGGATTTTGGGAGGCCCAGGCAG
Organism: Homo sapiens; assembly: GCF_000001405.40. NCBI lineage: Eukaryota > Metazoa > Chordata > Mammalia > Primates > Hominidae > Homo > Homo sapiens. The sequence continues at coordinate 1,420,230 of NT_187607.1, read as the reverse complement.
GTGGATCACTTGAAGTCAGGAGTTCAAGACCAGCCTCGCCAACATGGTGAAACCCCATCTCTACTAAAAATACAAAAATTAGCCAGGCGTAGTGGCAGGCGCCTGTAATCCCAGCTACTCAGGAGGCTGAGGCAGGAGAACTGCTTGAACGCAGGAGGCGGAGATTGCAGTGCGCCGAGATTGTGCCACTGCACTCCAGCCTGGGTAACAGAGTGAGACTCTGTGTCCAAAACATAAAAAATAAACTATAAACTAAGTTCCTGCCAAGTTAATTCGGCTTACACCCACAAATGGTTCAGTGGAGCTTGGAGGTTAGAAGCAAGGTGGAGTCCGTTAGGTCAGATCTTGTTCAGTGTCTCAGTTATAATTTTGCAGTGGCAGTTTCATTCTCAGGTGTTTGTTATGTATTAGAGTCCCTAAATCTGGCAAATTAATGGAATCCGGATGCCAAGGAAAGACCTCAGGGAAAGAGAAATGAAAAAGTGCTCTTGCCAAGAGATGGGGAAAAAAAAATCCTAAAATCACTCTATTTACTCTGCCTTGCACATGCAAAGCAGCATGTAATGCTATTTTCATGTTAAGGGACCAGCTCGTGGTCACACCACTGCACTTCAGCCCGGGCGACAGGAAGACTGCATCTCAAAATAAAAGAAGAGCATTTAGGTTGACTCTAGCATTTTGCTATTGCAAACAATGCTGCAACACATATCCTAGAAGGGTGAAAGAAATATTTATTGAACAGTAACTGTTCAATAAATGTTACTATTAATAACTATTTAATACTTACTAAGTAACTGTTAAATAAATCTCAAGGGCCAGTGGCTCACGCCTGTAATCCCAGCACTTAGGGAGGCCGAGGTGGGCGGATTGCCTGAGTTCAGGACTTCGAGACCAGCCTGGGCAACACGGTGTAACTCCATCTCAACTAAAATACAAAAGAAATTAGCTGGGTGTGGTGGCAGGCACCTATAATGCCAGCTACTCGGGAGGCTGAGGCAGGAGAATTGCTTGAACCCGGAAGGCGGAGGTTGCAGTGAGCTGAGATCGCGCCACTGCACTCCAGCCTGGGCGACAGAGCGAGACTCTGTCTCCAAAAATAAATAAATAAATAAACAAATAAATAAATAAATAAATCTATCTATCTCAGGGACTTTACATACTTTACCTTATTTAGTCCTGGGTACCAACAAGGTACCGAAGAGCTGACCCTTTTTAAAGCTGAGAAAAGCAAGATGCTGGGAGGGTAAAGAGCTTTTCCAAAGTCACATGACTTGGAAGTGTGAAGGGACAGGGACTTGAAACTAGAACTACCTGACCCTAAACCCCCAACTGGGGCCTGCTTCAGCCCACCCCAATCATTGCCTCTCAGCAAAATACTGGGGAGTGTGACCACTAATGACAGCAGCCTTTAGGACACTTCAAGCTATATTCATGGTCAGCGGGTCCCATTTCCCCAAGAGAACCCGCTGTATTCACAGATCACAAATATCCCATGCGATGTGTCTTCTTGCCAAGCTATTTCTTTTGTGATGCACTCACGATGTTTCTTTTCTCCATCCAGCTGCTCAGAAAGTTTGCCACCTCATGGGAATTAATGTGACAGATTTCACCAGATCCATCCTCACTCCTCGTATCAAGGTTGGGCGAGATGTGGTACAGAAAGCTCAGACAAAAGAACAGGTAATGATGTACTTATCACTTATCCATCCATGCACCCACCCATCCATCCATTCATCCATCTATCCACCTGTTCACTCATTCATGTATTCATTAATCCATTCACCCATGGTCTGCCTCTGCATCTGTCCATCCATCCATCTTTCTACCCACTCATTCATCTGTCTGTTCATCCATCCATCCATCCATCCATTCATCTGCCCATCTATCTGCTCACCCATCATCTCTCCATCCCTCACTCATCCATCTGTCCATCCATCCATGACCCAGCCATCTGTCCATCTGTCCGTCCATCCATCACCCATCCAGCTGTCATTCCATTCATTCATTCATTCATTCATCTGTCCATGCATCCACCCATCCATCTCTTTATCCCTCATTTATTCAATACTAGAATATTCACAGTCCCATGTCAGGTTTTGTTTGTTTGTTTGTTTTTTGTTTTTGAGCCAGAGCCTTGCTCTGTTGCCCAGGGGGGGGTGCAGTGGTGCCATCGCAGCTCACTGTAGCCTCTGCCTCCCAGATTCAAACGATTCTCCTGCCTCAGTCCCCCAAGCAGCTGGGACTACAGGCATGCACCACAACGCCTGGCTAATTTTTGTATTTTTAGTAGAGAAGGGTTTTTGCCTTGTTGGTCAGGCTGGTCTTGAACTCCCGACCTCAAGTGACCCACCTGCCTCGGCCTCCCAAAGTGCTGGGATTACAGTGTGAGTCACTGCACCCGGCCAAGAATAAAAATCTTCACCACCAGCCTGGCTTATGTGAAAATGGAGCCCATTGAGAATAACCGGGTTCCCCTGGTTGCCCTCTGCAGGCTGACTTTGCTGTAGAGGCTTTGGCCAAGGCAACATATGAGCGCCTTTTCCGCTGGATACTCACCCGCGTGAACAAAGCCCTGGACAAGACCCATCGGCAAGGGGCTTCCTTCCTGGGGATCCTGGATATAGCTGGATTTGAGATCTTTGAGGTACAGCTCGGTGGGATCCTAAGAGCCATGGTCTTGGTTGTCTGAGATGGGCTTTTTCTTGGAGGAGTCATGATTTTGGAGAAAGGCATGTAGATGGCTACTGTAGGGTAGGAGGCTGTCTAGTTAAGGGTGGATCATTGAGGGTATAAGAGACAGAAATCCAACAGGAAATGCATTGGTTTCTGGAACTGAGAAGGCCAGACATGTAGCTGGATCCCGTAGGCAGGGTCTGATCTCCCGCCATCGTTCTCTCTCTCTCTCTGCCTTCCTCCATATTGGCTCCATTCTCAAGCAGGCTCTCCCCTCACGGGGGCAAGATGGCTGCCACAGCTCCAGACTGCCTCTCAGTAATCCTGGTAAAAAAAAAAAAAAAAAAAAAGCACATATCTCTTTTCTAACAGTTCCAACCAAAATCTTGGAATTAAGTCTCACTGACTCTTACTCACCTGAATTGGGCTACATGGTCACCTCCAAGCCAAGAACTGTTTGCAGGAGCTTGCAATACCTCATGTAGTAGAAACATGGATATTGGATCCTTTACCCATGGGTTTGAAGAAAGTTCTCAGAGAAAGGGAAGGTTTTTTTTTTGTCTTGTCTTGTTTTTTTTTTTTTGAGACAGAGTCTTGCTCTGTCGCCCAGACTGGAATGCAGTGTCACAATTTTGTCTCACTGCTGCCTCCGCCTCCTGGGTTCAAGCAATTCTCTTGTCTCAGCCTCCTGAGTAGCTGGGACTACAGGAGTGTACCACTGTGCCCAGCTAATTTTTTTTTTTTTTTTAGACAGAGTCTCGCTCTGTTGCCCAGGCCGGAGTGCAGTAGTGCAATCTTGGCTCACCGCAACCTCCGCCTCCCAGGTTCAAGTGATTCTCCTGCCTCAGCCTCTCGAGTAGCTGGGATTAGTGCCACCATGCCTGGCTACTTTTTTTTTTTTTTTTGGTAGAGACAGAGTTTCACCCTGTTGGCCAGGCTAGTCTCAAACTCCTGATCTCAAATGATCCACCAGCCTCGGCCTCCCAAAGTGCTGGGATTACAGGTATGAGCCACTGTGCTTGGCCAATTTTTGTATTTTTAGTGGAGAGAGGTTTCGCTATGCTTGCCAGGCTGGTCGCAAACTCCTGACCTCAAGTGATCCTCCCGCCTTGGCCTCCCTAAGTGCTGGGATTACAATCATGAGCACTACACCCAGCCAGGAGGTTTTAAGATTGATAGATGTCCCGAAAGAAGTGTACTACCGAGTCACTTTCTCTCTGCGCCTCTGTTTTCACATCTGTAAAATGTTTCCACATCTGTACATGCAGTAGCGTGCCTTACGAGGTTTGTCCATCCATAGATGGTTGTGCAGATGGAGGAGATAAGCATCTTTAAGGTGTGTGAGGGCCATGTGATATCAACTTCACCAGCCCTGGTGGACTCTAGGCAGCATGTTTTGGGGCCTCAGCCCTGTCTGGGTGCTGGGATGGCAGAACAGGATGTGGGCGGGCCATGGGGGCGCTGTCGGGTGGAGCTTCTGTGGGGCTCCTTGTCTTCTGACTTCATACCAAGATGCTCACGCCCCGCCCCCACGCCATGTGCTCAGGTGAACTCCTTCGAGCAGCTGTGCATCAACTACACCAACGAGAAGCTGCAGCAGCTCTTCAACCACACCATGTTCATCCTGGAGCAGGAGGAGTACCAGCGCGAGGGCATCGAGTGGAACTTCATCGACTTTGGGCTGGACCTACAGCCCTGCATCGAGCTCATCGAGCGACCGGTGAGGGGCACGTGGGCGTGCGGGGCTCCGTCACACCTTGTACACGTGTGTGGCCTCTGTGGAGCCGACGTGGACCCCACACTCTCCCCATGCACATAGCATTCCCCCACCCAATCCATCACCCAGTCCTGAAAGGCTGTAAGCTGAATCCTTGTGAACTCTTACAATTTCCATTAACCCACATTTTCATATCAAAGGTATTTTCTTTAATTTCTGCCTTCCTTCCATCCTCTTTTTTCTTCCTTTTTTTCTTCCCTACCCTCTTTCCCTTCCCTTTCCTTCTCTGCCATTGCTTTTTTTTTTTTTTTTTTTTTTTTTATGACATGGTCTGACTCTGTTGCCCAGGCTGGAGTGCAGTGGCACAATCTTGCCTCACTGCAACCTCCACCTCCCTGCCTCAAGTGATCCTCCCGCCTCAGCCTCCCAAGTGGCTGAGACTACAGGCGTGCACCACCACGCCCACCTAACTTTTGTATTTTCAGTAGAGACAGGGTTTCTACTAATTAGCCGGGCCTGGTGGTGCACGCCTGTGGTCCCAGCTATTTGGGAGGCTGAGGTGGGAGGATTGCTTGAGCCCTGGAGGCAGAGGTTGCTGTAAGCCGAGATTGCGCCACTGCATTCCAGCCTGGATAACAGAGTGAGACCCTGTCTCCAAAAAAAACTTTTCTAACAGGAACCCTAGGTGAATTCAAGTCAAGCAACAAATTCATTTGCAAGAATTATGAACTCGGCCGGGCGCGGTGGCTCATGCCTGTAATCCCAGCACTTTGGGAGGCCGAGGCGGGCGGATCACGAGGTCAGGAGATGGAGACCATCCTGGCTAACACGGTGAAACCCCGCCTCTACTAAAAATAGAAAAAATCAGCCGGGCGCCGTGGCAGGCGCCTGTAGTCCCAGCTACTCGGGAGGCTGAGGCAGGAGAATGGCGTGAACCCAGGAAGCGGAGCTTGCAGTGAGTCGAGATCGCGCCACTGCACCGTCTGCCTGGGCGACAAGGCAAAACTCTGTCTCAAAAAAAAAAAAAAAAAAAAAAGAGTTATGAACTCTTCATGATGTTGCCTGCGTGTTGCCCACTAGGGGGCGGCAGCAAACATTATGTTCTGCCTTCCATCCCTGTTACTGGTCCATTGGGCACAGGGTAATTTGAAGGTAGATTTGGAAGCATGGGGGTCATAAACTCATCTTTATATGTGGGCAAATACAGTATCAGATCTCGGCGGATGCCCATGCGTTGTGTATAGTTGGCCAGCTCTTCATGGAATGCCTGAGGTTGGGTGTTCTCTCTGATTCAAGCCCTACTTGTCTCCCACAGAACAACCCTCCAGGTGTGCTGGCCCTGCTGGACGAGGAATGCTGGTTCCCCAAAGCCACGGACAAGTCTTTCGTGGAGAAGCTGTGCACGGAGCAGGGCAGCCACCCCAAGTTCCAGAAGCCCAAGCAGCTCAAGGACAAGACTGAGTTCTCCATCATCCATTATGCTGGGAAGGTACCAGCCACAGGGCCCAGGGGACTCTGTCTCAGGGGACCCCCAGTGGCTGCTCAGCGCAGAGACAGTCTGAGAGTGGCAGAACCTTGGGCTGCCTGGAAACTGCAAAGCCATCTGCTGCTAAGCGAATCCCAACCAAGTCCTATTCGTAATTTGTCTACGCATCTGTAAGGCATCAGCTGTAGCCACTCTCATGTTTTCCAACCGTGACGTCCAGACAGTTATTTCTTTCTGTTTTTGTTGGAGACAGGGTCTCGCTTTGTCGCCCAGGCTGGAGTGCAGTGGTGCGATCATAGCTCACTACAGCCTCAACCTCCTGGGCTCACACGATCCTCCTGCCTCAGCTTCCCAAGTAGCTGGGACTACAGGTGTACACCACCATGCCCAGCTAAAATCTTTTTTCCTTTTTGAGATGGAATTTTGCTCTTGTCATCCAGGCTGGAGTGCAATGGCGTGATCTCTGCTAACTGCAACCTCTCCCTCCGGGTTCAAGAGATTCTCCTGCCTCAGCCTCCCAAATAGCTGGGATTACAGGCACCTGCCACCACACCCAGCTAATTTTTGTATTTTTAGTAGAGAAGGGTTTCGCCATGTTGGCCAGGCTGGTCTCAAACTCCTGACCTCAGGTGATCCACCCGCCTCGGCCTCCCAAGGTGCTAGGATTACAGGCATGAGCCACCGTGCCTGGCCGCCCAGCTAAATTTTTAAATTATGTATAGATATGGGGTCTTGCTGTGTTGCCCAGGCTGGTCTTGAATTCCTGGGCTCAAGAGATCTCCCTGCCTCGGCTTCCTGAAGTGCTGGGATTATGAGCACGAGCCACTGTACCTGGCCTCAGCCTGCTTTTCTTGTATAGACTCTAAATCCTTCCTGCTACAAGTTATACCCAACAGGCGGGGCCAACTGGAATGGGGTGACTAATACATCCACACCTGGCTTCAACAAAAATCTCCCATGTCACGGTCTTGAGTTTGCTATTGCCAGCCTGCTCTGGCCAGGGAAATCTATGATAGTTGTATTCATCATCATCATCATCATCATCAACATGCCTTGGCTGTTATTGTATAGGCCCTTGCCCTGTGGCTCTCAAGAGTCCTGGATAATGTACAAAGGACATAGCTTAGTCTGGCTTGCAGAATTGTAGTATTCTATTGACTCCTCAGTACCTCCACTGCATCATGGGCACAAACAATGCTCTCTACCAGGGCCTGGCAACAGAGTCCGATCTGGCCCACAGCTTGTTATTGTAAATAAAGTTTTATTGGAACACAGCCATGCCCATTTGTATGCATAATGTCTATGGCTGGCTGCTTTTGTATACTACAGTGCTAGAGTTGAGTAGCTGCGACAAAGACTGTATGACTTGGCTGGGTGTGGTGGCTCACGCCTGTAACCCCAGCACCAAGGCAGGTGGATTACTTGAGGTCAGCAGTTTGAGACCAGCCTGGCCAACATGGCGAAAGCCCGTCTCTGCTAAAAATAAAAAATAAAAAAAATTTAAAAATTAGCCAGCTGTGAGATTACAGGCACACAACTGTAACCTCAGCTACTCAGGAGGCTGAGGCAAGAGAACTGCTTGACCCAGGAAGTTGGAGGTTGCAGTGAGCTGAGACTGCACCACTGCACTCCAGACTGGGCAACAGAGAACCACTCTGTCTCAAAAACCAAAACAAACAAACAAACAAAACATTGTATGACTTGCCAAGCCAAAAATATCTACTATCTGGGCCTTCACCAAAAGTTTCCCAACTCCTAGCCTATATTCAAGGGGGTATATGTTCCTTTAAGCATATAGAGACAACACTTTTCTTTTCCCTACTTCATCAGTGGATTTTTTTTATTATTATTTTCAGTCTTCTCTCAGATCAAGCCTACCTATTATCCTGATAACCCACATCCCATGATAACCCAGCAAAGCTGTATTATCAGTTCCTTTCATTTAATATTCACCATAGTAAAAATTACGGCTTTGGGCATTGTCATTGTTTGAGTCAGGAATGTAAAAAGCCTATATGTCCTTTTTCTGTATATCCATATATCAGGATCTCTGAGTTACAAATTATGCTCATTAGAGAGTGGAAAATAGGATGCCATGCTTAATTAATTTATTTATTTAATTATTTTGAGACAGAGTCTCACTCTGTCACCCAGGCTGGAGTTCAGTGGCGCAATCTCAGCTCACTGCAATCTCCGCCTCCCAGGCTGAAGCGATTCTCCTGCCTCAGCCTCCCGAGTAGCTGGCATTACAGGTGTGCACCACCATGCCTGGCTAATTTTTTTTTTTTTTTTGTATTTTTAGTAGACATGGGGTTTCACCATGTTGGTCAGGTTGGTCTTGAACGCCTGACCTCAAATGATCCACCCACCTTGGCCTTCCACAGTGCTGGGATTACCAGTGTGAACCACCACGCTTGGCTGCCATGCTTAATTTCTAAACCAGGATGATTGGGAAGATGATGAGGGGGGAGTTTTGCATGTCGGCAGGAGGGCATCTGCCGTCATGAAATCTCTTAATAGTGTATAACTCACAGGTACTGTGCTGGCTTAGGAGGAGGGAGGCTACCACAGCAGCGTTAGTAGGAGAATATGGAATGGAAACTAGGCTTTCCCAGCAATGGCTATCACTGGCTGATGTCCTACTACGTGGGCACAGGTCCCTGGGCTGTTGGTCTCTTCACTGGTGTTTGTGGAGTCCCATCATGGTGGTCATAAACGTCATTTCCTCTCTGACCTCAGAAGATCTGGAAGGACAATGGGAGGGCTGGGGTCCTGGCCTTGGTTTCTAAGTTTCTAGTTTCCCAGGGGTTCTGACCAGCAGGGTGTCCTTGGCAGGTGGACTATAATGCGAGTGCCTGGCTGACCAAGAATATGGACCCGCTGAATGACAACGTGACTTCCCTGCTCAATGCCTCCTCCGACAAGTTTGTGGCCGACCTGTGGAAGGACGGTAAGGCCTTCTCTGCTCGGGTCCATGTTCTGCTTTGAGCTGGAGAATTGAACACCCAAGTCCCCCGACTCTCACACCTGCCCCAGGAGGGGAGGCCTTTACATGGGGGCAGGGGAAGGAAGAGCATTGGCATGGGCTGGTGATGTCTCGTTGAAACAATTTCTTCCTGAGTGGGGGTCCCTGAGCCCCTCAATCCTACATGTCCCGAGGGGATTGAGGTCCTGAGGTCAGGGCTCAGGCAATAGAGGAGAAACAGCATGCCAGGCACGGGGAGTTAGACTGCCCTGTCCAGAGTCAGAAGGACTTCACTGTATCTTGTCTCTGCCACCTCCTAGCTCTGTGGTCTTGGATGAGTCACTTGATGTCATTAAGCTTCATTGTCCTCATTAGTAAAACAGGAGATGCAATAATAGTTGCCGTCTCTACTAGAGGTATTATGAGGGTTAAATTAGACCAGTGATGCTCAAACTCAAGCAGGCATCATGACCCCCTGGAAGGCTTTGTTTATTTATTTAGGGACAGAGTCTTGCTTTGTCACCCAGGCTGGAGGGCGGTGGTGCAATCTTGGCTCACTGCAGCCTCCACCTTCTGGGTTCCAGTGATTTTCCTGCCTCAGCCTCCCAAGTAGCTAGCATTACAGGCACACACCACCATACCTGGCTAATTTTTGTATTTTTAGTAGAGACGGGGTTCCCCCATGTTGGCCAGGCTGGTCTCAAACTCCTGACCTCAGGTGATCCGCCCACCTCAGCCTCAAAAAGTGCTGGGATTACAGGTGTGAGCCACTGCACCTGGCCCTCTTTGGAGGGCTTTTTAAAACCCAGATGGCTGGGCCTACCCTAAGATCTAATTCTGCAGGTCTGGGGCCAGGGATGGGGCGGGCCTGAAAACATTCATCCCAGGTGATGCTGCTGGTCTAGGGACCACACTCCGGCTCCCTTTGAGAACCAGTGAATAGATGATCCCTGTGAAGAGCTGCTGGAGTGATGATGAGGGGAGGGGGTTTGCTGTTTGTCCCTGGCCATCAGTGTCCACAGCAGGTTTTATTCTTGGCACAGGGCCCATGGGCCTGGGGCTTACAGGACTGGTCTCCCCTTGTTTTAAGCATGCTAAAAAAAGGGCTCCAGGAGGGGCCAGCTGTGCCCTAACCATATGCCAGGCTCTGGGCCTAGGGAACAACATCGCACCCTGGGTCTGTGTCATCCCAGGACACATGATGAAGCCTGTAGTCCCTCCTCTGCGGGACCCACAGTCTTGTGGGAGAGATGAGACTCTCAAAGACAAGCAGAGAGACAAGCATGAGGCTGCGCATGGTGGCTCACACCTGTAATCTCAGCACTTTGGGAGGCTGAGGCAGGAGGATCAGTTGAGGTCAAGAGTTCGAGACCAGTCTGGCCAACGTGGCGAAACCCCATCTCTACTAAAAATACAAAAACTAACTGGGCGTGGTGGTGGTAATCCCAGCTACTCGGGAGGCTGAGGCAGGAGAACTGCTTGAACCTGGGAGGCGCAGGTTGCAGTGAGCTGAGATTGTGCCATTGGACTCCAGCCTGGGCAAAAGAGCAAGACTCTGTCTTGAAAAAATAAAACTAAAAATAAAAAATAAAAACAAAATTAGCCGGGTGTGCTGGTGGGTGCCTGTAATCCCAGCTACTCAGGAGGCTAAGGCAGGAGAATCACCTGAACCTGGGTGGTGAAGGTTGCAGTGAGCCAAGATCGTGCCACTGCTCTCCAGCTGGGCGACAGAGTGAGAGCTTGTCTCAAAAAAAAAAAAAAAAAAAAAAGATTGTTACACAGAATCTGAGTAGAAGGTGAAGAAATGGTGCCATCCATGGCCTGTGGGTTGGGCTTGGCATGTGCAGGACCTGCTGGGCTGGTAGAAAAAGAACCTTGGAGGTGATGATGATGATGATGATGATGATGATGATGATGGCCGGGCGCGGTAGCTCACGCCTGTAATCCCAGCACATTGGGAGGCCAAGGCAGGGGAATCACCTGAGGTCAGGAGTTCGAGACCAGCCTGACCAACATGGAGAAACTCTGTCTCTACTAAAAATATAAAAAAAATGAGCCGGGCGTGGTGGCGCATGCCTGTAATCCCAGCTACTGGGAGGCTGAGGCGGGAGAATTGCTGGAACCCGGGAGGCGGACGTTGTGGTGAGCCGAGATCACGCCATTGCACTCCAGCCTGGCCAACAAGAGTGAAACTCCGTCTCAATAAAATAAAATAATGATAATAATAATAATAATAATAATAATAATAATAATAATAATACCTACTTTTTGTTGAGCACTTACTGATGTGCCAGGCTATCTCGGAGTGTGTGCTGTATCTTCTGCCTCAGAATATTTCTTCCGTGGATACCTACATGGTTACCCACTCATTTCTTGCTGGTTTCTGCTCAAATATCAACTTAGCAGAGCCCACCACCTCCTTGTCTAAGAGAGCACCCTCTTCACTCTCTCTCCGCTTTACCCTATTTTTATTTTTCTACGCACACCTCACTACTCAAGATATTCCATACTTAACATCTGTGATCTCTGTCTGTCTCCTTCCCTGTGATATAAGCGGGGTGAGGGGGCCGGGTCTTTTTTTGTTCACAGCAGTGTCCCCAGGGCCTGGAGCACAGAAGGTCCTCAATAACTATTTGTTGGTGGATGAAAGATTGGAGGCTGGCAGGGAATAAGTGCCTTCTGTGCCTTATTTTTTTTTACCCCTGCCCTAGAAGGTAGACGGTATTATTACCTCCCTTTTGTAGAAAGGGAGACTGAGGCACAGGATAGTGCCAAGCCAAGGCTAGTCAGTGAGTGGACAGCGAGAGCAGGCTTGACTCCTAGGTCAGCGTGACTCCATCACAGGGAATTTGTTCTTTCTGCCACTCAGGTGCTCTCAGGATTTCCCCAATAGACAATACTTGGAAACCCTGACTGCCGAAGGAGGCGTTGGTGATGGAAGGAAAGATTGGAGTGGGCAGGTTGGTGGGTGGGGCTGGGGCTGAGCCTCTGGCCTATTTAGGGGTGGGTGGGCCAGAGGCTGATGCCACCCTGGCTGTGCCCCATAGTGGACCGCATCGTGGGCCTGGACCAGATGGCCAAGATGACGGAGAGCTCGCTGCCCAGCGCCTCCAAGACCAAGAAGGGCATGTTCCGCACAGTGGGGCAGCTGTACAAGGAGCAGCTGGGCAAGCTGATGACCACGCTACGCAACACCACGCCCAACTTCGTGCGCTGCATCATCCCCAACCACGAGAAGAGGGTGAGGCCCGCCGCCCAGACCCTGGGGCTCCCAGAAGCCAGGGCTGTCCCAAGCGGTCACAGCGTCCCCAGGGCGCCCTCTGCCCCCACCTACCCCGAGGACCCCATTTTCCATGTGGGGAAGGCTATCTGAATCTCAGACCCATTCCCCATCCCTGGAGGAAAAGGAGGAAGGGAGGATGCATCCAGAGACTTTTCAGTTGTGGAGTTGCTGTGCAGGTCATCCAGCCACTCATTCATTCATTATCCCAGGAAGTATTCACTGGGCTCTGCCCTGTCCTGGGTGCTGGGGAGCAGTGTTAGAAAAATTGTAGCCCTTCCCTGTGGGTTTCTCATAATCTGGTGCAGGCATCTTCAGCTTGGGGCGATTGTGTCCTCTATATGGACATGCTACAGACATTTTTGGTTGTCACAACCAGGAGGGGGCTGTTAGTCAGCATCTAGTGGGTAGGGGCCAGGGATGCCCTAAGCATTGTACAATGCACAGGATGGTCCCTCAACCCCCAGCACAGAATCCCTACAAGATGCCAGTAGTGCTGAGGTTATGGGAGACACGGGGAGAGGTAAACATACAGCTGATGATGGTGATGGAATGTGGTCAGTTAGGAGAACACCAAAGAGCCAGGGCTCCTCCCACAGCCTCAGGACTCAGAGAAAGCTTCTGGTGAACTTGAACGTTAAGAATGTGTGGCCATCAACTTGGTGACATGGAAGGCAGGGTGGGGCCTAGGATAAGCAGGGGGCCTAGGATAAGCAGAGGGCCCAGGCTAAGCAAGAGTGTGGAGGTGAGAAGTGAAGGAACTAGGTAAGAAAATGCTAGATAGTGTCCAGGCGTGTTGCTCACGCCTGTAATCCCAGCTACTCAGGAGGCTGAGAAACAAAAATCTGTTGAACCCAGGAGGCGGAGGTTGCAGTGAGCTGAGATTGCACCACAGCATTCCAGCCTGGGCAGCAGAGCGAGACTCCATCTTAAAAAAAAAAAAAAAAAAGGAAAGAAAATGCTAAATAGGTCATTTCATGTTGCAAATGTGTGATGGCATGAGGTAGGAATCAGATGGTGTGAGGTAGGATTGAGGCTGAATGGGTAGGCAGGGGCTAGATCGTGGTGCTCCTTGTGTTCTTTCTGGAGCTTGGCCTTCTCTCTCTAGGCATGCCATTGGGGGTGTTAAAGCAGGGCTATATCATGGTCAGATTTACATTTTAGGAAGTGAATGAGGGGGCTGGGCATATGCTAGCTCATGCCTATAATCCCAACACTTTGGGAGGTTGAGGTGGGAGGATCACTTGAGACCAGGTGTTCAAGGCTAGCCTGGGCAACATAGCAAGACCCTATATCTACAAAAACATTTTTAAAAATTTTCCAGGCATGGTAGCACATACCTGTGGTCCCAAATACTTGGGAGGCTGATTTGGGAGGATCACTTGAGCCCAGGAGTTTGAGGCTGCAGTGAGCCATGATCGCACCACTGGACTCCAGCCTGGCTGACAGAATGGGACCCTATCTCAAAAAATAAAAAGGACAAAGGGATTGAGGGGAGAGGCAAGACCAGAGAGAGAGACCAGGTGGGTGGTTTCTGTGGTTGTCCAGGCAGGAGAAGATAGTGGAGACAATGGTGGTGAAGAGAAGTGGGGGGGTTGGGAGATATTTGGGAGCTAGAAGCAATCAAACTGCTGATGGACAGGAAGTGAGGGAGACGAGGTGATGAGGAGGAAGCCCCAGGTTCCAGCCAGGCGATGCTAGTGTCACCAAGAACCAGAGAGATCATGAGGCAGCCATTGCCGAAGCAAAGAGATGAAAACCCAGAGGGGGGCACTGCTTTGCCCCTCGGCCCTCAGCTAAGCCCTCCTTGGGTGCTTCTGTTGGTACCCTCATGGCCTGGCCAGGTGGGTCATCCAGGTAGGAGGTTTGGGGCTTTGCTGCGCCATGGTTTCTGGCCCCAGGGATCCACTGCCCTCTTTGACCTTTGCAGTCCGGCAAGCTGGATGCGTTCCTGGTGCTGGAGCAGCTGCGGTGCAATGGGGTGCTGGAAGGCATTCGCATCTGCCGGCAGGGCTTCCCCAACCGGATCGTCTTCCAGGAGTTCCGCCAACGGTAAGTCCCAAGGTCTGGCCCAGGTAGGGCAGGGGGTGAGCGGGACTGGGTGGAGGAATGGATGCTGGAGGTACCCGGGGTGACTTCTGCTCTGTGTTTCAAGCTACGAGATCCTGGCGGCGAATGCCATCCCCAAAGGCTTCATGGACGGGAAGCAGGCCTGCATTCTCATGGTGAGCCCAGAAGTCCACCAGAGACCTCCCAACCTCTGGCCGCAAGCCACCTGCTGCTCTTGGTGGGACCGTTCTTACCCATGTCATCACTGGCCAAATGGCACAGTGGAAATCAGGAGCTCTTCCTTTCCTTCCTTTTGCAGATCAAAGCCCTGGAACTTGACCCCAACTTATACAGGATAGGGCAGAGCAAAATCTTCTTCCGAACTGGCGTCCTGGCCCACCTAGAGGAGGAGCGAGATTTGAAGATCACCGATGTCATCATGGCCTTCCAGGCGATGTGTCGTGGCTACTTGGCCAGAAAGTAAAGATGCTTTCCTGCATCCTAATACCTCAAACGCGAATCACAAACAGGGGCCTTTCTGTTCTGATTCCCTGATTCTAAGAGGCCACCTGTTTAAGATGCATCATTGACTGAATGACAGCCTTTTCTTGAAGGGGAAGAAATGCTTCTACTTTAAATAAATGTACCAAGTTACGAGTGCAGGAAGGGAACGAGTTTTAGACCTGGGTTCTCATCGTGGATGCCCCAGTTTTTGCTGATGAACCTTGGGCAAGTTACTCTACCTCTCTGAGCTTCCAGTTTTTTAGCTGGAAACTGAGCATAATCATTTTGACCTCAGAGAGCTGTTCATGAGGTGTCACTAAGATAACGCATGACGAGAGCTTAGAACAGTGCGTGGTTCTCAGGTCAGAAATGATTGTTGTTGTTTTTACCTCCCTCCCTCACTCCTTCCTTCCCTCCCTCCCTTCCTTCCTTCCTTTCTTCTTCCTTTTTGAGACAGAGTCTCTCTCTCTCTCTCTGTCGCCCAGGCTGGAGTGCAGTGGCGCAGTCTCAACTCACTGCAACCTCTGCCTCTTGGACTCAAGCAATTCTCGTGTCTGAGCCTCCCGAGTGGCTGGAATTAGAGGCGCCCACCACCACACTGGCCTAATTTTTGTATTTTTAGTAGAGACAAAGTTTCACCATGTTGGCCAGGCTGGTCTCAAATTCCTGGTCTCAAGTGATCCACCTGCCTTGGCCTCCCAAAGTGCTGGGATTATAGGCATGACCCACTGCGCCCAGCCTAGACATGTTAGAATTGGATAAACCATTGAGGAAAGAGGACTTGACGGTGTCTAGATCCCCGTGTCCCAGTGGGATTTATAAGGCAGGGTTTTGGAGGGTGTGATGTCCCAGCTGTTCTGTGAAGACTGGGAGCCGGGGAAGGGTTCGGGTTCCTTAATGAAAGTCATACCCCAGGGACTGCAGGGACAGGTGGGGTCGCTCTCTGTCTGGGGTGTGTGTTGTCATTGGGCAGAGACCACACCCTCACCAGTAGGACCCTGATGTGTCAGGTTCATTCATTGACACATGGACCCAAGATGGTCAAGGCCAGCTTTGGGAGCTCTTGGCCCTCCCGCAACAGACCTAACTTGTCAAGTTTCGTTACTAAGTTCCCTGTTGCTGTCCTTCCTGGATAACTGGGGCAATTTTATTCTTAAAGTTTTCCTGTGTCCAAGATGGCAGCCAAGCAGGGAAGACAGAATTACGTTCACTGTTCTATCGTTTCTCAATCTATCGATAGCCCTTAAACGGGAAGAGTGCTGGTTCAGGGTCACAGTGTGAAATTCCTAAAACAACCCAGGAGAGAATAGGTTTGACAGGGCTGGGTGTGGTAGCTGACACCTGTAATCCCAGGCACTTTGGGAGGCCGAGGCAGGAGGATTGCTTGAGCCCAGGAGTTTGAGACCAGCCTGGGCAACATGGCGAGACCCCTATCTCTACCAAAAAAAAAAAACTTTAAAAATTAGCTGGGCATGGTAGCATGTGCCCGTAGTCCCAACTACTTGGGAGGCTGAGGCAGGAGGATCATTTAAGCCCAGGAATTTGAGGCTGCAGTGAGCCATCATCACACCACTGCACTCCAGCCTGGGCCGCAGAGCCAGACCCTGTCTCTGAAAATAAACAAATAAATAAATAAGTTAGTCAGAAACAGCTGGTGTAGGCTGGGCATGGTGGCTCCTACCTGTAATCCCAGCACTTTGGGAGGCCAAGGTGGGTGGATCACCTGAGGTCAGGAGTTTGAGACCCACCTGGCCAACATGGGAAACCCCATCTCTACTAAAAATACAAAAATTAGCCAGGCATGGTTGTGGGCACCTGTAATCCAAGCTACTCAGGAGGCTGAAGCAGGAGAATCACTTGAACCCCGGAGGTGGAGTTTGCAGTGAGCTGAGATCGTGCCACCGCACTCCAGCCTGGGCAACAAGAGCGAAACTCTATCTCAAAAAAAAAAAAAAAAAAAAAAGAAAGAAAGAAAAAAGAAACAGCTAGTGCAGCTGGGGAGTACGGGAGCCCCCTTAGGAATGATGCACATAGTTGTGTTTTCTGAGTGGTGTTTGGATCTCAGCTAAGTCCAGGGCATGTTGTGAGCCCTGGGTCTTCCTTGTCCACTGAAAAAGGCTCTGTCCTGTAGATGATTTAAGTTGTTTGCAGCCAGACAACACATGTGTCACACAGGGTTTCTGGAAGAACCTGAGTTGGGGAGATTGGGGCATGTCCCTGTGCAGGTTCAGGATGCTGCAGGGCAGGGCTCTGTTGACAGCAGGGTGTGGCTTCATGACCCCCGCACCTTCTCTTCCCCCCTCCCTAGGGCTTTTGCCAAGAGGCAGCAGCAGCTGACCGCCATGAAGGTGATTCAGAGGAACTGCGCCGCCTACCTCAAGCTGCGGAACTGGCAGTGGTGGAGGCTTTTCACCAAAGTGAGTGCTCTGCCCCAGCCCCCTTCCCAGGGGCCCCCAGCCCTGCTTCTTCACTCTGGAGCCTTCACATTTGGGACAGGAGGTGGTCGCAAGTGGGTGTGGAATGGAGGGCTCGAACTCAGACCTTGAGCATTGGCGGTTCTCTGGCCCGAGGAGGCCCTGTCCTTTGGCACATAGGCTATAGCCAGGACCTTAACACAAAGTATTAATATTTCCATCCGCACTGGAATCCCTCGTGTGGCCCATTTATAGCCACACCCACTTCCTCCGTAGCCATGGAAACCACTCTGTTCTCCAGTTCTGTAATTTTGATGGTTCAAGAATGCTGCCGGGGGCGGCGGCTCACGCCTGTAATCCCAGCACTTTGGGAGGCCGAGGCAGGCGGATCACTTGCGGTCAGGAGTTCAAAACCAGCCTGGCCAACATGGCAAAACCCTGTCTCTACTTAAAATACAAAAATTAGCTGGGTATGGTGGCAGGCACCTGTAATCCCAGATACTCAGGAGGCTAAGGCAGGAGAATCTCTTGAACTCAGGAGACAGAGGTTGCAGTGAGCCAAGATCATGCCTGCACTCCAGCCTGGGTGAAAGATTGAGACTCTGTCTCTTCTTTCTTTTTTTTTTTATTTAAAAAAAAGGCCAGGCACGGTGGCTCACGGCTGTAATCCCAGCACTTTGGGAGGCCGAGGCGGGTGGATCACAAAGTCAAGAAATCAAGACCATCCTGGCCAAGATGGTGAAACCCTGTCTCTACTAAATGTACAAAAATTAGCTGGGCGTGGTGGCAAACGCCTGTAGTCACAGCTACTCAGGAGGCTGAGGCAAGAGAATCACTTGAACCTGGGAGGCAGAGGTTGCAGAGAGCTGAGATCGCGCCACTGTACTGCACTCCAGCCTGGTGACAGAGCGAGACTCCGTCTCAAAAAAAAATAAAACAAATATTCTATACATGGAATTAGAGAGCATCCAGACTGTTGCATGTATCAATACTGCAGGTTTTTTTTTTTTTACTTTTTGCATTTTTTGAAATGGAGTCTCACTCTGTTACCCAGGCTGGTCTTGAACTCCTGACCTCAAGCAACCCTCCTGCTTCAGGCTCCCAAAGTGCTGGGATTACAGGCATGAGCCACCTCATCTGGCCATAGCATATTATTTTTTATTTCTGGCAGAGTCAGGGCCTCCAGAGGACTCAACTGGTTCCTGTAGTGGCACTGGTTGCATTGTCCCCATGGCACAAAGACATGCTCTGTTGCAATAGACTAGGCTTCTCCTTATATGCCCTTGAGTGTATCCACTGGTGCAAGGCTTTTTCACCAAGCAAACAGACATTGAGTGCCTGCTGTATCCCAGGCACATGCTAGGTGCTGGGGGTGCAGCTGTGAACACACACCATGGTCCCTGACCTCCATGAATATTCTAGCCGAATTGGTGGGGAGTAAACAATAAACAGATAATCACAGAGACAGATACATAATGGCAAACTGTGATAAGTGCATGAAGCAAGCTGCTGGAGTACATAGCAGGGGCTTCCTTGTGCCAGGCAGGGGCTTGAAAACAAAGAGTTAGGAGGCAGCCCAGGGAAGGACAGCAGATGCTGCTTTTTGGAAATGTTCGTCCCCACTGAACCAACTTCTGAAAAACTATCCTAAGAAAATCGTCTTAGCCAGGTGTGGTGGCTCATGCCTGTAATCCCAGCACTTTGGGTGGCCAAGGCAGGAGGATCACCTGGGTTCACGAGTTCGAAACCAGCCTGGCCAACATGGCGAAACCCTATCTCTACTGAAAATACAAAAATTAGCCAGGTGTGGTGGTGGGCACCTGTAATCCCAGCTACTCAGGAGATTGAGGCAGGAGAATCACTTGAACCGAGGAGGCAGAGGTTTCAGTGAGCTGAGATCGTGCCACTGCACTCCAGCCTGGGTGACAGGGCGAGACTCCACCTGAAAAAGAGAAAAGAAAATCAAGAGTTAAGGGCATTCATTATGGCCTTATTTACAATAGCAGAATTTCAGTGTCCAGTCCTAGCTGAATGATGAGTTCAATAATGGTTCATCTATCAATGGAATGTTTTCAGCTATTAAAATGATGGCTTTGGCTACTGAATAGGTCTGCTAAAAAAAAAAAAAAAAAAGACTTCTACCTAGCTGTCTAGTTGGACACTGTGGCATGTGCCTGTAGTCCCAGCTACTCTGGAGCTGGGGTGGGAGGATCGCTTGAGGCCAGGAGTTCAAGGCTGCAGTGAGCTATGATTGTGTCACTGCACTCCAGCCTGGGTGACAAAACAAGACCATCGCTAAATAAATAAATTAACTTAAAAGATGGCTATGTAAAGTTGTAAGAATGATGTAACAGCATGGGGTAATACATATCTTATAATTTTTAAAAAAATTTTATTTGTGGAGACAGGGTCTCACTGTGTCACCCAGGCTGGAGTGCAGTGGCACAATCGTGGCTCACTGCAGCCTCAGCCTGCAGGGTTCAAGCGATCTTCCTGCCTCAGACCCCTCACTAGCTGGGACTACAGGCACACACCACCATGCCTGGTTACTTGTTTTTGTAGAGATGGGGTCTCATGATGTTGCCCAGGCTGGTCCCAAACTCCTGGGCTCAAGCGCTTGCCTCGGCCTCCCAAAATGCTGGGATTACAGGCATGCATCACTGTTCCTGTCTGTATCATATAATTTTAAATAATAAAAGCAGCCTCTACAACTAGGCAGCATGGTCTTAAGTCTATTTTTTAAACATAGAAAAAGAGCCAGGAAGGAAATGTAAACAATGTTAATAATGACTTTGATAGGGAGGTGGGTGGGATATGAAAGATTTTTTTTCTCCCTTTTGTCCTTGGAAGGAAATATCACTTTTCAGCAGTAGTTCTCTGTTGGGATGGTTCTAAAGTGGGGAAGATGAGACTTTTTCCTTTCACTTTGTACCTTTTCTGGTGCTCTGATTTAGAGCTCCTCAGTCTTGCCACTGTTGATATTTTGGGGTGACTAATTCTGTTGTGGGGGCTGTCCTGTGCACTGTAGGGTGTTTAGCAGTATCCCTGGCCTCTACCCACTGGATGCCAGAGGCACCCCCCACCCCAGCTGTGACAATCAGCAGTGTCTCCAGACAATATCCCCTAGTGGGGATCGGTGGGGGCAACATTGTCCCTGGCTCGGAACCACTGATCGAATTTATTATGACAACATATCCCTTTGCCACAAAAACAAATGATGGGCTAACCGTGTGTGTGCAGGTGAAGCCACTGCTGCAGGTGACACGGCAGGAGGAGGAGATGCAGGCCAAGGAGGATGAACTGCAGAAGACCAAGGAGCGGCAGCAGAAGGCAGAGAATGAGCTTAAGGAGCTGGAACAGAAGCACTCGCAGGTACCTGTATGGATGCATGGCTGGGGTTGCTGGGGAACAGGACTTGGCCCCGTGGGGCTCACCCGCCTCCTCCCCACCACCTGCGTGCAGCTGACCGAGGAGAAGAACCTGCTACAGGAACAGCTGCAGGCAGAGACAGAGCTGTATGCAGAGGCTGAGGAGATGCGGGTGCGGCTGGCGGCCAAGAAGCAGGAGCTGGAGGAGATACTGCATGAGATGGAGGCCCGCCTGGAGGAGGAGGAAGACAGGGGCCAGCAGCTACAGGCTGAAAGGAAGAAGATGGCCCAGCAGATGCTGGTAAGGTGTCACAGGGGCAGCCCGTGGTGGGTAGCAAATCACTTGACCCTCACCACAGGCCTGTGGAGGTGCATCCAGGGATATGTGTCCCTGCTGGGACAGATGATGAGACGGGGGCTTGGAGAGGGTTGGTCATCTGATCAAGGCCACACAGCTGGGATTGGGACTGGAACACAGTGAGCCCACTCTGTTCTATTGCCCTGCCTTGCATGTGCTAACCCCTTTTCTCCTAACAGCAAGCCTGAATGGAGGATAATTGTATTTGTTAGCTATTGCTACATAACAAAACATGCCAAACTCAGCAGCTAAAAATAAAAAGTATTGCATAGTCAGGAATTTGAGAGTGGCTTAGGTGAGTGGTTCTGGCTGAGGGTCCGGCCTGAGGTTGCAGTCAAGGTGTTGGCTGAGGCTGCAGTCATCTGAAGGCTCATCTGGGGCTGGAGGACCCACTTCTACTTGGCTTATTCACACAGCTGTTGGAGGAGGCCTCAGTTCCTTATCATGAAGGCCTCTCCCCTCAGGGCTGCTTGAGTGTCCTTCCAATATGGCAGCAGAGTTCCCCCAGAAGGAGTGATCTGAGAGAGGAGAAAGGAAGCCGCAATGCCTTTTATAGCCTAATCTCTGAAGTTACATTCCATCACTTCTTCCTGATTTTTGTTGTTGTTGTTAGAAGCAAATCTAACCCCCACTCAAGGGGAGGAGAATTAGGCTCCACCTTTTTGGAGTCGCAAAGAACTTGTGGATAGATTTTAAAACCACCATGGTACCTACTGTGCTCATTTTATAGATGAGGAGGTTGAGGTTCCATGAAGCAGAGCAGCTTACCCAGGTCTTTATTTTTTTTTTTTTTTTGAGACAGAGTCTCACTCTCTTGCCTAGGCTGGGGTGCGATGGTGCGATCTCAGCTCACTGCAACCTCTGCCTCTCGGGTTCAAGCGATTCTCCTGCCTCAGCCTCCCGAGTAGCTGGGATTACAGGAGCCCACCACCATGCCTGGCTAATTTTTTTTGTATTTTTAGTAGAGACGGGGTTTCACCATGTTGGCCAGGCTGGTCTTGAATTCCTGACCTCAAGTGATCCACCCACCTCGGCCTCCAAAAGTGCTGGGATTACAGGTGTGAGCCACCACGCTCAGGCCTTTATTTCTTCCTTTTAGGAGGCTACAGAGTTCTGGGCATCTTCAGGCCTAGCCCCTGTATTCATTAGTCCCCAGATCACCACGAGAGTAAATCTGTTATAACCAAAGCTGTTACTCTTTTCCCTCCACAACAAAGGACCTTGAAGAACAGCTGGAGGAGGAGGAAGCTGCCAGGCAGAAGCTGCAACTTGAGAAGGTCACGGCTGAGGCCAAGATCAAGAAACTGGAGGATGAGATCCTGGTCATGGATGATCAGAACAATAAACTATCAAAAGTGAGTAGGGGCCGGGTGCAGTGGCTCACGCCTATAATCCGAGCACTTTGGGAGGCCAAGGTATGTGGATCACTTGAGGCCAGGAGTTTGAGACTAGCCTGGCCAACAGGGTAAAACTCCATCTCTACTAAAAATACAAAGATTAGCCAGGTGTGGTGGCCAGTGTCTGTAATCCCAGCCACTTGGGAGGCTGAGGCAGGAGAATCACTTGAACCTGGGAGGTAGAGGTTGCAGTGAGCTGAGATCGTGCCACTGCACTGCAGCCTGGGTGACAGAGTGACTCTGTTTCAAAAAAAAAAAAAAGTGGAATCAAGTTTCTGCATTAAAAACAACAGGCTTACCAGGATCAGGGAGATTTTGGGGATTTGGGACTTTCAGTTCTCAAAGCAGAAAAGCCCTTAGAAAACCAGGACAAGCTGGTCACCGTAGTCAGTAGTCACTAACCAGCCCCACCTGCTTTTAGTTCTTTGAGCTGGATGTCAGCTTGGCCCCTACTGTGAGCCAGGCTCTGTGTTAGATGCAGGTATGCATGGTGAAGGAGGACCCTTCCCTTGTGGGGTTTATACTGTAGTGAGATGGCAAATAATCGTCATTTACCATGGTGATCAGGGCTCTGAAGGAAACGTTCACCATATTTTAAGAGTGCGGCAGGCCGGGTGCGGTGGCTCATGCCTGCAATCCCAGCACTTTGGGAGGCTGAGGCAAGTGGATTACCTGAGGTCAGGAGTTGGAGACCAGCCTGGCCAACACGGTAAAACCCCATCTCTACTAAAAATACAAAAAATTAGTTGGGTGTGTTGGCGGGCGCCTGTAGTCCCAGCTACTCGGGAGGCTGAGGCAGGAGAATCACTTGAACGTGGGAGGCAGAGGTTGCAGTGAGCTGAGATAGCAACACTGCACTCCACCCTGGGCGACAGAGTGAGACTCTGTCTCAAAAAAAAAAAAAGAATACAGCAGTGGGGGATAGAGGAAGGGTATTCATAGAAGACTTCCTGGAGGAGGTGACATTTAAGCAGAAACTTAAAGATGAAGGAGCAGTTAGAGGGGAGTAGAAGAGCATCTCAGCTGGTTGGCCCACTGTGCAAAGGCCCTGGGGCAGGGAAGAGCTGGCCAGTGGCAGGAATGGAAGGAGGGTACCTTTAGCTGACCATACAATATGAGGGACAAACTGGCACGAGATGAGAAATGGCCAGTTTTTGGAAATTGTTATGGGACTTCTCTTTACCATTTAAAACTCTAGTTGTATTTTGTTATAATGTGGGTTTTTCTTTCAACTGTTTACATGGAAATCACTAAAAGTGAAACATAGATTCTAGAGAAAAGAAAAATCCTAAAGCTATCTCTTTCTCTTTCCCCAAAAAGGAACGAAAACTCCTTGAGGAGAGGATTAGTGACTTAACGACAAATCTTGCAGAAGAGGAAGAAAAGGCCAAGAATCTTACCAAGCTGAAAAACAAGCATGAATCTATGATTTCAGAACTGGAAGGTAAACCAGCTACCAAGAGATTTATTTTTATTTTATTTTATTATTTTTTTTAGAGATGAGGTCTTGCTCTGTTGCCCAGGCTGCAGTGCAGTGGTGCGATCATGGCTCACTGCAGCCCGAAACTCCTAAGCTCCAGTGATCCTCCTGCCTCAGCCTCCTGAGCAGCTGAGACTACAGGCGTGCATCACCACACCCAGCTAATTTTTTTTTATTTTTTATTTTGTAGAGATGGGGTTTCACTATGATGCTCAGTCTAGTCTCAAACTCCTGGGCCCAAGCAGTCCTCCCACCTTGGCCTCCCAAAGTGCTGGGATTATAGGCATGAGCCACTATTCCTGGGCTTGAATGGGTATTTTTAAAAGCAGGAAAATCAGAAAGGAAATTTGAGGATGGCAGATCATCCCATGAGTGACAACTAACTCTATGCCACCTCTCGAAATCACCCTTAGTCATCACATGCACTAATAATATGATAAAAGGGCTGGGTGCGGTGGCTCTCGCCTGTAATCCCAGCACTTTGGGAGGCCGAGGTGGGCGGATCACGAGGTCAAGAGTTGGAGACCAGCCTGGCCAACATGGTGAAACCCTGTCTCAAAATACAAAAATTAGCCAGGCGTGGTGGCGGGCGCCTGTAATCCCAGCTACTCGGGAGGCTGAGGCAGGAGAATTGCTTGAACCCGGGAGGCGGAGGTTGCAGTGAGCTGAGATTGCGCCACTGCACTCCAGCCTGGGCAACAAGAGCAAAACTCCATCTCAACTAATAATAATATTATGACAATATAAGGTGCTGTTCATCGGGAGATAATGGTCCAGACCGTGACTATGATGGTTACTGATTGGGGGATGTGTTCATCTCCTCCGGGTAAAATGCCTGGGCAGGAAGGCTCATTTCCGGGCATCTCTCTGGGGCCTCCCCTTCCTGAAGAGCACCTTGGTTTTTGCAGTGCGGCTAAAGAAGGAAGAGAAGAGCCGACAGGAGCTGGAGAAGCTGAAACGGAAGCTGGAGGGTGATGCCAGCGACTTCCACGAGCAGATCGCTGACCTCCAGGCGCAGATCGCAGAGCTCAAGATGCAGCTGGCCAAGAAGGAGGAGGAGCTGCAGGCGGCCCTGGCCAGGTAGCGGGGCTGGCAAGGGGCATTTGCTGTGTGTCCATGTATCCCCTGGGCCCCTGCTCATTCGCTCATTCGCAGTGGCTGTCTTGGTCAAGGCGGCCCCAGGCCCTTGGCATGAACTTCGTTTCCCAGGCCAGGCCTCCCACAAGCCTTCTCGACCCTGTTCACTCCCCCAGATCCTCACCTTCGACTTTCTTCTCTTCCCTGCAAACACATCATGTCTTTGCAGTTGATCTCACCTACTCCCATGGTGTTGCTGCTGCCTCTTCGACATCCAGGCTTTTCTCATCTAGACCCCCTTCTGAATTTCCGATTGCCCAATGAGTCAATTTCCACCGTCATCTCAAACACCCCTGTCTAAGGCGGGAATGACCTTCCTTTCCCCAGCCCCTCCCTCTAAGGGCCCTCTTTTTTGTGAACACCAATCTCCTCCTTTGTTTCTGCCGACCCACAGCAAGCAGCAACCTTCAGATTCTGCCAGTCCTTCTAAATGTCCCCCACCCATTTCCTCTGGTTTTTCCCTCTTCCTGGCTCTTAGCTGGATTTACACTAATGCTAATACTGCAGCAGCCACTATGAATGATTATTTACCTGCTCACTCGGTGCTAAGTTCTTTTCAAGCAATACCTTTGCAGACACCTGGCCAGGTGTACTGCCGGTGTCTTTGAGGAGGAAGCTGAGCCTCCTAGGGGTAACGCAACAGGAGCAATGTCATTGCTTCTAAGAGGCAGAGCTGGGATTTAAGCCTCAAAGCTTTCTGATTGATCCCCTGGCCTGGCTCTTTTGTCGGCCAATTTGTGCTATGTTGACAGTGCTACGGTGATGAAGGGAAAGCATCTCTCTGGGGCAGGAACCTGCTCACAAAACTTTGCTGGCTGGATGCAGTGGCTCACGCCTGTAATCTCAGCACTTTGGGAAGCCGAGGTGGGGGGATTGCTTGAGGCCAGCAGTTTGAGACCAACATGGGCAACATAGCAAGACCCTGTCCCTACAAAAAGTTAAAAAATGAGCCAGGCATGGTGGTGTGTGCCTGTAGTCCCAGCTACTCAGGAGGCTGAGATGGGAGGATCACTTGAGCCCAGGAGGTTGAGGCTAAAGTGAGCTATGATCATGCCACTGCACTCCAGCCTGGGCAACAGAGCAAGACCCTGTCTCAAAACAATAATAACAACAAAACAAAAACCTAACTTCACTGGCTTACTAGGGAAAATCCAGTTTCCTTAGCCTCACCCTCAGAGCCCATCCACCCTCTGCAGTCTCACCCCAACCCAACTATTTCACTTTCTCTCTTGTTGCTGCCCTTTCACAAGTACAGTAAAATCAAAGTGCTTGCCTCTCCTGCAGCATTCTGCCATTTAACAGGGCTTCTTGCAGCCCACCTTGATCTCTGGTCACCACCTCCACCAGATGCAGAGCCCCAGTCTGAATATCCCCCGCAAGCAGTGGCTGGCCAAATGCTGTGCATGGGGCGGGTACTCAGTCACTGAGCAAATGCAGAAAGAACAGACAGTTGCCAGGGAAGAAGAACTGTCCAACATTCAGAAAGCATCTACACAGTCCCTACTGTGACCAGGTACCTTGCCAGTCTGGGGTCAATGCTTTGCATTCTTGCACACACATGCACACACGTGCATACACACGTACACACACCCATGCACATGTACAACCTGTTTTGATGTCAGACCTTGGCACTCACATCCTATGTTAATCTCATATAGTCTGGCATGTCAAGAAGCAGACCTGGGGACATGGATAGAAGGTGTTTGATGTCTCTGCAACATAACTGTCTGGTCCCAGAAAAGTTTTTGGCCACATTGTAAGAGAGGAAACCAAGGGACCTGGGGGTTCATTCTGCTGGGTCTCTCCCTGGAAGGCTTGACGATGAAATCGCTCAGAAGAACAATGCCCTGAAGAAGATCCGGGAGCTGGAGGGCCACATCTCAGACCTCCAGGAGGACCTGGACTCAGAGCGGGCCGCCAGGAACAAGGCTGAAAAGCAGAAGCGAGACCTCGGCGAGGAGCTGGAGGCCCTAAAGACAGAGCTGGAAGACACACTGGACAGCACAGCCACTCAGCAGGAGCTCAGGTGAGGGGCCCATCAATCCCACCATCCTGCTATCCCACTGCACCAATGGGATGGGGGCAGAAGAGGGGACAAACCCAAAGCAAATCGTGCATCAGCCCCTGTGCATTTACCTTCCTGGCCGCGGTTTGCTTTAACTTATAGAAGCATGGTTGGCTGTTTCTTTTTTTTCTTTCTTTTTTTTTTTTTTTTGAGGCAGTCTGGCTTTGTTGCCTAGGCTGGAGTGCAGTTGTGCCATCTTGGCTCACTGCAACCTCCACCTCTGAGATTTAAGCGATTCTCATGCCTCAGCCTCCTGAGTAGCTGGGATTACAGGTATGTGCCACCACACCCGGCTAATTTTTTGTTTTTAGTAGAGATGGAGTTTTGCCATGTTGCCCAGGCTGGACTTGAACTCCTGGCCTCAAGTGATCCACCCACTTCCGCCTCCCAAACTGCTGGTATTACATGTGTGAGCCACTGCACCCGACCCTCATCATCTTATTTCTCATCAGAAGAGTAGTATATACCAGGGATGTACAATCTTTTGGCTTCCCTTGGCCACATTGGAAGAAAAAGATTTGTCTTGGGCCACACATAAGATACACTAACACTAATAATAGCTGATCAACTAAAAAAATTTTACAAATTGGAAAAAACATCTCATACTGTTTTAAGAAAGTTTATGACTCTGTGTCAGGCTGCATTCAAAACCATCCTCATTGGTAAGCTTGGATATACTCAGAGAACAATTTGAAAACTATAGAAAAGCAGACATAAAAAAAAATCACCTTTAGGGTCGGGCTCACGCCTATAATCTCAGCACTTTGGGAGGCCAAAGACAGGTGGATCACTTGAGGTCAGGAGTTCAAGACCAGCCTGGCCAACATGGTGAAACCCTGTCTCTACTATAAATCCAAAAATTACCTGGGCGTGGTGGCGCATGCCTGTAAATCCCAGCTACTCAGGAGGCTGAGGCAGTAGAGTCACTTGAATCTGGGAGGCAGAGGTTGCAGTGAGCTGAGATCGCACCATCGCACTCCAGCCTGGGTGACACAGTGAGTGAGACTCCATCTCAAAAAAAAACAAAAAACAAAAAAATCACCCTTAGTCACACCAGTTAACATTCTTGAGAAATTCCTTCCTGTCTGTGTGTGTATCAGTCAGTCCCCAAGCTCCAATTCCCAAGTATGTGTGTGTATCACTTTTGTGTTAAATTTTAAAAATAAAATTGATCAGATTGGTTTTCAATTGAAGATTCACTTCAAATGAACAAACAATAACAAACTGCCTGCCAGATCACGAATCCTGACTCTAGTGAAACTAGGTCATTGATTCATTCAGTAAACACATAAATGTATTTTGATGCAATCTGTGGTGTTGGCATAGCATGTATCATAGCATATAGCTATGCTAGCTGTGCCAACACCATATACCCTGGGGTTTACTTCCCCCACTTTGGGTTTTGTGCAGTGTCACATGCACATAGAGCACAGCGTTCTGCTCCCTTGCCGCTTGGCCTTTGATACAGAAGAGCCCAGTGCATGGGCCAGGTATGGTGGCTCATGCCTGTAATCCCAGCACTTTGGGAGGCTGAAGCAGACAGATCACCTGAGGTCAGGAGTTCGAGACCAGCCTGGCCAACATCATGAAAACCTGTCTCTACTAAAAAGACAAAAATTAGCCGGGCGTGGTGGTGGGCGTCGGTAATCCCAGCTACTTGGGAGACTGAGGCAGGAGAATCCCTTGAACCTGGGAGGCAGAGGTTGCAGTGAGCTGACATCATTCCACTGTACTCCAGTCTGGACGACGGAGCAAGACTCGATAAGAAAAACAAACAAACAAAACAAAAAACCAGGCTGAGTGCGGTGGCTCACACCTGTAATCCCAGCACTTTGGGAGGCTGAGGCGGGTGGATCACCTGAGGTCAGGAGTTCGAAACCAGCCTGACCAACATGTTGAAACCCCATCTCTACTAAAAATATAAAATTAGCCGGGCGTGGTGGTGGGCACCTGTAATCCCAGCTACTTAGGAGGCCGAGGCAGGAGAATCGCTTGAACCCGGGAGGTGGAGGTTGCAGGGGGCCAAGATTGCGCTGTCGCACTCCAGCCTGGGCAACAGGAGTGAAACTCCATCTCAAAAACAAACAAACAAAACCATGGACTCAAGGTCAAGGTTTAGCTTCTAATTCTGGCTCCATCACACAATGGCTGTGACACCATGGGTAAAACTGCTTACCCTCTCTTAGCCTTAGTTTCCTCATTTGTAAAATGGAAATAATAACACACCTGCCTCTTTGGGTTGCTCTGAGGATTAGATGATGTATATAAAAAACTTAGCTCAGGGCCTGGCATATAGTAACTGCTCATTAAATAAGAGCCAACATTAATATTTAAGCAAAATTTTGCAGTTCACAGACATCCTTTCAATTCTATTACTTTGTGTATTTGTTTGCCAGTCATTACAGATGTCCTAGGCAGGTGATATGCTCCACATTTTGCAGCTGAGGAAATTTTAGGTCCAGAGATGTT
The DNA here is from genome assembly GCF_000001405.40 of Homo sapiens. NCBI lineage: Eukaryota > Metazoa > Chordata > Mammalia > Primates > Hominidae > Homo > Homo sapiens. Next base: position 1,390,868 of record NT_187607.1, on the reverse strand, counting down.
AGGTGAATGACCCAAGGTCACACAGCTAGAGAGGGGTGGTGATGAGGACTGCAGCTCTGGGTCCTGGAAGAGCTCTCATTCTTTTGCACGGCACTGAGATGACCCTCTGTCTCCACCCAACTGCCATTCACTGTGTTCCTCCCACCAAGGGCCAAGAGGGAGCAGGAGGTGACGGTGCTGAAGAAGGCCCTGGATGAAGAGACGCGGTCCCATGAGGCTCAGGTCCAGGAGATGAGGCAGAAACACGCACAGGCGGTGGAGGAGCTCACAGAGCAGCTTGAGCAGTTCAAGAGGGTAATGCTTTTTGGTGATGCTTTTTGGTGATGACACATAAGAGTGACATCAGCAGCCTCAAATTACTACAGGTCAGGGTCTGCATAAAGACAAAAAACAAGTTACATAAGATTCTAATGATGATGATAGCAGCTTATATTTATTTACAAAATGCTTCCCATACAGGCTGGGTGAGGTGGCTCACGCCTGTAATCCCAGTACTTGGGGAGGCTGAGGCGGGAGGATCGCTTGAGCTCAGGAGTTGGAGACCAGCCTGGGCAACATAGTGAGACCTTGTTTCTACTAAAATTTTAAAAAAGTAGGCCAGGCGTGGTGGCTCAAGCCTGTAATCCCAGCACTTTGGGAGGCCAAACTGGGTGGATCACCTGAGGTCAGGAGTTCGAGACCAGCCTGGCCAACATGGCGAAACCCTATCTCTACTACAAATACAAAAAATTAGCCGGGCGCGGTGGTGCATGCCTGTAATCCCAGCTACTCGGGAGGCTGAGGCAGGAGAATCACTTGAACCCAGGAGGCAGAGGTTGCAGTGAGCAGAGATCATGCCATTGCACTCCAGCCTGAGCAACAGAGCAGGATTCCATCTCAAAAAAATAAAATAAAATAAAATATTGGCCAGGCCTGGTAGTGCATTCCTGTGGTCCCAGCTATTTGGGAGGCTGAGGTGGGAGGATCGTTTGAGCCTGGGAGGTTGAGGCTGCAGTGAGCCCTGTCATGCCACTGCACTCTAGCCTGGACGACACAGTGAGACCTTAATCAAACAATAAAAATAGGCTGGGCACGGTGGCTCACCATGTCTGTAATCCCAGCAATTTGGGAGGCAAGGCGGGCAAATCACTTGAGCTCAGGAGTTCGAGACCAGCCTGGCCAACATGGTGAAACCCCATCTCTACCAAAAATATAAAGAATTAGCTGGGTGTGGTGGCATGTGCCTGTAATCTTAGCTACTCGGGAGGCTGAGGCAGGACAATCACTTGGACCCAGGAGGAAGAGGTTGCAGTGAGCTCAGATCGTGCTACTGCACTCCAGTCTGGGCGACAGAGTGAGCCGCCATCTCAAAAAAAGAAAAAAAAAAAAGAATGAATAGAAATGCTTCTCATACAGTATGTCAATTAATCTTCACAACCACCCTGTGAGACGTGTACTATTAAACTCATTTTACAAGCAAAGAAACTGAGGTCCTAGGTGCCTAGAGGTGAAGAGACTTACCCAAGGTCACACTGCTGGTAAGTGACAGAGCCATGATTTGCACCCAAACAGTCTGGTCCTAGACCCCACTTTCTGGCCTCTACAGGACTGAAGGCCTATAGGATGGGTGGGGCCTATCAATATACTGCCCTTCAGGGATAAGCAAAGGTGTAACAACACTTTCGGGGAGATTTAAATGAAACTTAAAACTGGGATCATTCTATCCACTTTAATTTCTCTGCAGACTGGAGGAAGGCCAGGCATGGCGGCTCATGCCTCCCGTAATCCTAACACTTTGGGAGGCCAAGGAGGGAGGATTGCTTGAGCCCAGGACTTTCAGATCGCCTGGGCAACATAGCGATTTTTCTTTTGTAAAAAAAAAAAAGACTGGAGGAAACTTGTCATTATTTGATTTCAATGGCAGAACAGCTCTCTCCGGCATAATTTGAGAATGACTAGGTCAAATCACTCTCCCGTTGTTGGAACTCTTTGCGGTGTATGGGAGTGGGAGCTGGTAAATAGCAGTACCGAATGCTGAATCTTGGGTGCTCTTCTCTCCTTTGGGGTAGTGCCTGTGCTTCATTCCCCAGGGTAAGTTTTTTAGCTTGCGACCTTCGGCCAGATTGTTTTCCTGAAAGCCTGAGTTACATTACCCTCAGCGTTGCAGCTCCTCCACATCCCCTTCAGTGGAAGCTTTTGGTTCTGCTAGATTAAGTGGGTGCAGCATTGCCTAAAAATTTTGGGGAATTTGCATTTGGTTCTATCACTAGTGTATTGGTCCGTTGTTGCACTGCTCTACAGAAATACCCAAGATTGGATTATTTGTTTATTTTTTGAGCAGTGGAGTCTTACTCTGTCACTCAGGCTGGAGTTCAGTGGCGTGATCTTGGCTCACTGCAACCTCCACCTCCTGGGTTCAAATGATTCTCCTGCCTCAGCCTCCCAAGTAGCTGGGACTACAGGCACACACCACCATGCCCGGCTAATTTTTTTTTTTTTTTTTTTTTTTAGTAGAGATGGGGTTTTGCCATGTTGGCCAGGCTGATCTCGAACTCCTGACCTCAGGTGATCCACCTGCCTTGGCCTCCCAAAGTGCTGAGATGACAGGTGTGAGCCACTGCACCACCCTGAGATTGGGTAATTTCTAAAGAAGAGAGGTTTAATTGGCTCACGGTTCTGCAGGCTGTACAGAAAGCATAGCAGCTTCTGCTTCTGGGGAGGCCTCAGGAAACTTACCATCATGGTGGAAGGCAACGGGGAGGCAGGCATGTTTTACATGACCAGAGCAGGCAGAAGAGAGAGAATGGGGAGCTGCCAGACACTTTTAAACAACCAGATCTCATGAGGGCAGCACCAAAGGGATAGTGCTAAACCATTAGAAACTGCCCCCAAAGGCCGGGCGCGGTGGCTCATGCTTATAATCCCAGCACTTTGGGAGGCTGAGATAGGCGGATCACCAAGTCAGGAGTTCAAGACTAGCCTGACCAACATAGTGAAACCCCATCTCTACTAAAAATACATAAAATTAGGCTGGGTGCAGTGGCTCACGCCTGTAATCCCAGCACTTTGGGAGCCCGAGGCAGGCAGATCACCTGAGGTCAGGAGTTTGAGACCAGTCTGGCCAACATGGCAAAACCCCGTCTCTACTAAAAATACAAAAATTAGCTGGACGTGGTGGCGGTCGCCTGTAATCCCAGCTACTTGGGAGGCTGAGACATGAAAATCACTTGAACCCAGGAGGTAAAGGTTGCAGTGAGCCAAGATTGTGCCACTGCACCCCAGCCTGGGCAACAGAGTGAGACTCAGTTTCAAAAAAAAAAAAAAAAAATTATGGTTGGAAGAGTGAGGCCCCAGACAGAATCACTGACCCTCCCCATGCTTGGGGTTCATTAGACGTGAACAGGAGCTAGAAGCCAAGCCCATTCCCAGCCAGGCCTCTTTGGGAAGACGCAGTTATTAAGACCACCAGCAGACGGCATGTCCATTACTGACCCGCACAAAGCAGGTAGAGGTGCAAACCTCTGCCCATCTCAGGTGCAGGGAAACAGAGGCCTTTGCCTCTAACAACTTGAATTCTGATGTAGAGACCTGGTTCCATCTGCTTGTGGGGGAAACGTTTAACATCAGCTCCTACCTGGGCTCCCCAGGCCCTCGTGCGGTTTGGCCCCAGTTCTGGGGTCTTAGGCTGGGCTAAGGTTTCTGGGAGCCCATGTCCCCTAGGGTCCCCGCTTCACTGCTTTGTTACCACCAAGAGACTCCCTGTCCCCATCTGAGGTCTGGCAGCTCTTAGTCATGTCTTGGAGGGAGGACGGGCATCCAGGGCTGACCGGTCAACGTCCAGCACCTCCCAGGGACTATGGGAAGACTGAGTGGTGGGTCTCGTCCTCTCGGGATACTTGCGCTTCTCTTTCCCCTTCTCTACAACCTGGAAAGAAGCCCCTCACCGCGTCCTACTTTTGCCCAACACGCTTTTTTTTTTGAGACAAAGTCTCACTCTGTCGCCCAGGCTGGAGTGCACTGGCGGGATCTCGGCTCACTGCAACCCCCGCCTCCTGGGTTCAGGCAATTCTCCTGCTTCAGCCTCCTCAGCAGCTGGGATTACAGGTGACTGCCACCATGCCCGGCTAATTTTTATATTTTTAGTAGAGACGGGGTTTCACCATGTTGGCCAGGCTGGTCTCAAACTCCTGACCTCAAGTGACCTGCCTGCATAGGCCTCCCAAAGTGCTGGGATTCTAGGCCTGAGCCACCGCGCCTGGCCCCAACACACTTTTTTTTTCCTGTAGGGCAACTCACATGCCTACAGGAGCTGGTTCCATAAAATAAGTTTCCCTTAACTAGGACAGAAGTAGCAGTGTCAATCACACGACACCTGTGAAGGACGGGGGCGGTGAAAGGTGACTGCCCCACCTGCAGAGCCAGCCGCTACTTAGATGTGGCAGATTGTTGCCTTGAAGGAAAGCAAGACCCTCTGTTTCCAGATCTTTCGTTGTTGTTGGTTTTTTGTTTTTGTTTTTAAGTTTAGGATTACTGAGGCATATGTAGTAAAATTTATCCATTTTACTGCTCCATTAATTTTAACAAATGTGTATTGTGTAACTACCACCACCACAGTCACCACATAGAATGTTAGTTATTGATTGATTGATTGAGATGGAGTCTCACTCTGTTACCCAGGCTGGAATGCAGTGGCATGATCTTGGTTCACTGCAACCTCCACCTCCCAGGTTCAAGCAATACTTGTGCCTTAGCCACCCCAGTAGCTGGGACTACAGGCGTGCGCCACCATGCCCGGCTAATTTTTCCATTTTTAGTAGAGATGCAGTTTCGCCATGTTGGCCAGGCTGGTCTCGAACTCCTCACCTCAAGTGATCCACCTGCCTTGGCCTCCCAAAGCTACTTATTTCTGAAACAGGGTCTCACTTTGTTGCCCAGGCTGGAGTGCAGTGGTGTGATCATAGCTCACTGCAGCCTCCAATTCCTGGGCTCAAGCAAGCCTGCCATCCGCCTCCTGAGTAGCTGGGATTGCTGGTGTGTGCCCCCCACACCCAGCTAATGTTTTATTTTAGTAGAGATGGGGGTCTCACTACATTGCCCAGGCTGGTCTTGTACTCCTGGCCTTAAGCGATCCTTCTGCCTGCTTCCCAAAGTGCTGGGGATGACAAGTATGAGCTGCCATGGCATGCCTTCAAACATTAAAGTTTTTTGAAAAAGAAGCTGGGAATCCAGATTTTTATGTGACATTTATTAAAATGTCGGCAACTCATTTTTTTAAAAGTAGTGAAAGGGTCAAAGGGGACATGTCAGCAGGTTGGATACCGCTTGTGGGATTCCAGATTGCAACCCATGAGCTTTAGGAAAATAGAATCCAAAATATCAGCTGGGTGCGGCAGCTCACGCCTGTAATCCCAGCACTTAGGGAGGCCAAGATGGGTGGATCACTTGAGGTCAGGAGTTCGAGAGCAGCCTGGCTAACATGGTGAAACCTCGTCTCTACTAAAAATACAAAAATTAGTCGGGCATGGTGGCGGGCGCCTGTAATCCCAGCTACTTGGGCAGCTGAGGCAGGAGAATAGTTTGAACCTGGGAGGCGGAGGTTGCAGTGAGCCAAGATTGTGCCACGGCACTCCAGCCTGGGTAACAGAGTTAAGACTCCATCTCAAAAAAAAAATAACAACAAAAAAACCCCAAATCTCTTACTGGTGATTGTGTGCCCCCTGTTGTGTGCCTTCCTGGACCTCTCTGAGGGAGGAAAGGGCAGGGCCTGAAACGTTCTCCCGGCCACAGCCTCCCTGTTATCCCTCCCCTCTGCTTCCTTCGCCAGGCCAAGGCGAACCTAGACAAGAATAAGCAGACGCTGGAGAAAGAGAACGCAGACCTGGCCGGGGAGCTGCGGGTCCTGGGCCAGGCCAAGCAGGAGGTGGAACATAAGAAGAAGAAGCTGGAGGCGCAGGTGCAGGAGCTGCAGTCCAAGTGCAGCGATGGGGAGCGGGCCCGGGCGGAGCTCAATGACAAAGTCCACAAGCTGCAGGTGAGGAGGTGGCGCGGTGGTGTGGTGGGCAGTGCTGGGTGGTGCCCAGTTCTGTGGGGAGGAGCCTCTTCCCGGCTCGCTGAGGTCTCTCTTGCTGCAAGGCAAGTCCTTTCCTCTAGTTGCGTTCCTGGAGGAGAGGCGATGATCTCCCTGTTCAATTAAATATTAAAAAAACCTTCTGGCCAGGCACGGTGGCTCATGCCTGTAATCCCAGCACTTTGGGAGACAGAGGTGGGTGGATCACCTGAGGTCAGGGGTTTGAGACCAGTCTGGCCAACATGGTGAAAAGTCTCTACTAAAAATACAAAAATTAGCCAGGCGTGGTCGTGGGCACCTGTAGTCCCATCTACTCGGGAGGCTGAGGCAGGAGAATAGCTTGAACCCAGGAGGCAGAGGTTGCAGTGTGCGGAGACCGCACCATTGTACTCCAGCCTGGGCTAAAAGGGCAAAACTCTGTCTCAGGAAAAAAAAAAAAAAAGAAAAAAAACCCTTCCTTTTCCAATTTGATAAGTATTTATTGAGCACCTGCTGTATGCCAGGCACTGTGCTTAATCCTGAGATCCAACAGCAAGGAAGAAGAGACACTGTCGCTGCCCCAGTAGGACTCCAGCCGAGTAAGGGGAAGGGAAGGGAAGGGAAAGACATGAATAATCACACAAATGAATGTCAAATGATGCAGCAAAGGGAAGGCACATGATGCCCAAGTGTAAATAACCAGGGGGCCTAACCTGGGGGAGGAGGAGCCACGAAAGGCTTCCCTAAGGAGCATGGATAAGTCTACCAGGCAGAGGGAACAGCGTGTGCAAAGGCCCTGTGGTAAGTAGAAAAATTAGGAGAGAGACATACAGCCAGTAGAGCTGGAGTGCCCAGCTGGGGTTGGGGGTAGGGGGAGATAGTACAGAGTGGGGTTGGAGGGGGAGCTTGTACCCAGATGATGTAGGGCTTTTGAGAACCTATTACATGTATGTTGATCCTTACTCTGGGCAATGTGAAGCTGTTGAGGGGTTTTAAGCTGCTGAATGACATGGTCTTTTTGTCTTTGGTCTTCTTTCACTTGGCATAGCCATTTACCCTGCCTTGCCACTCATGGGGACGTGGCCAAAGTTTTCACAAATGTTTAACATGTCCACAGCCAGGGACCAAGGGGCGAGGGAAGAATTAAGTGAGATGTTTTTTTCTCACATGCAGTTGAGAGCAGGGCTTTTGCCGCCCTCATATAAGCAGTGTCAAGATCATTCATATCCTCCTTGTCAATGGAAGAGATGGAGGGGTAGGCTAACAGCCTCAAAGGGACTTATGCAGAGACACTAGGGAGTAAAAGCCAGAGAATACAGAGAGGACGTTTTTACCTTTAGGGCCTGCGTCTCTGGCTTTGGCCATCAGGGTCAAAGAGTAGGAGTGAGGAAGGAAGGGATGGGACAGCATCCCTGGGACGTTCAAGTACCATCCTGGTCTCCCTTCTCCAGCCTTAGAGAGTGGACCAGCCAGAGCACCTCGTCTGGACTCTCAGACCTGCTGCTTTGTCTCTACCAACCTTGGCAGGGATCTAGGATCCATTTAGTGGGATCAGGTCCCAGTCAATACCATTGGGGCTCAAATAAGTTCTTAGAACCACAGAGTCTAGGGCCAGGGTCCCAACTCATAGGTGACGGAGTTCCCTTCAAGCCACAGATTCTGTTTTTTTTGTGTGTGTGTGTGTTTTTTTTTTTTTTTATCAGAGTCCCATACCTCACGGGTATTTTCTCAATCAGTGAACACCTCAAGTACTAGCCCATGTGTTTTGAGTAAAAAGGGCTCCTTTCAACGAGGATCCCCTTCTAGAGGCTTTGACTAACCAGTCTCTTGGCACCCTTAGAATGAAGTTGAGAGCGTCACAGGGATGCTTAACGAGGCCGAGGGGAAGGCCATTAAGCTGGCCAAGGACGTGGCGTCCCTCAGTTCCCAGCTCCAGGACACCCAGGTGAGTGTCCTGCCACATCATCCAGGGGACCTGGGGGGTGGCCTTCCTCGGGGCAGGTCCCTGGGACCTCTTTGCATCCCTTTTGCAGGAGCTGCTTCAAGAAGAAACCCGGCAGAAGCTCAACGTGTCTACGAAGCTGCGCCAGCTGGAGGAGGAGCGGAACAGCCTGCAAGACCAGCTGGACGAGGAGATGGAGGCCAAGCAGAACCTGGAGCGCCACATCTCCACTCTCAACATCCAGGTGCCTGCCCCGTGTCCTTGCTTCCTTCATGGGTCCTCTCAACTTCTCTGCGCTGAGATCCCCCGCAGGCAGATCGCGGTGGAGTGTTGGTGCGATGGTGCTTGACCCCCCAGCTTCCCCTGCTATTGGGTTTCTCCAACGAGGAGACATGGTCTTCGCTTCTCAGAGTCTGTGGGGCCAGGGACAGGGGCCACTCATGGTCCCCCTCTCACCCTACCCTGGACGCTGTCCTTGTAGCTCTCCGACTCGAAGAAGAAGCTGCAGGACTTTGCCAGCACCGTGGAAGCTCTGGAAGAGGGGAAGAAGAGGTTCCAGAAGGAGATCGAGAACCTCACCCAGCAGTACGAGGAGAAGGCGGCCGCTTATGATAAACTGGAAAAGACCAAGAACAGGCTTCAGCAGGAGCTGGACGACCTGGTTGTTGATTTGGACAACCAGCGGCAACTCGTGTCCAACCTGGAAAAGAAGCAGAGGAAATTTGATCAGGTAGAGGGCGTGGGGTGTCCCCCACTCTGGCCATGGACGCTGGGTTGGGGAATCAGCTCTGCAGAGTATGACGCGTGGCTCTGGCCTGTGCCTGCATCCCCTCTCCACTCTGTGGGGAGCCATGGGAGGCTGTCTTATCTTGTCTTGGGCGACCATGGAGCATTAACGCTACCAGGTCACAGTAAGGATGGCAAAGAAGCCTTGATGACTGTGACTTTTCTGGGTACCAGCACCATGAGGGTCACCTGCACACATGGTGATGCCTTAGTTTCTAGCCTGAAGAAGGAATGAGGTGCTTATTTATTCACTAAATGTATTTACTGAATACCTATTGAGTAGTATTCCAAGTAATTCAGTTTCTATACTTTTAATACCACTCTTCCCTAAGATTTCATTCTGTAAAATTCCAAGTACACAGCAAAGTTGACAGAATTGTACGGTGAACACCTTTAAGGCCACCACCTGGATTCAGTCATTGACACTGTATTATATGAACTTTATCAGATACTTATTTTGAGACAGGATCTAGCTCTGTCACCCAGGCTGGAGTGCAGTGGTGTGATCTCAGCTCCCCGCAACCTCCACCACTGGGTTCAAGCGATTCTCCTGCTTCAGCCTTTCATGTAGCCGGGATTATAGGAGCACACCACTATGTCTGGCTAATTTTTGTATTTTTAGTAGAGATGGGGTTTTGCCATGTTGTCCAGGCTGGTCTCCAACTCCTGGCCTCACATGATCTGCCTGCCTTGGCCTCCCAAAGTGCTGGGATTATAGGTATGAGCCACTATGCCCGGCCCACATATTTATTTATAAAGACTAATTCTATCTATCATGCCTTATCTCTTGGGTACATTTCAGAGCAAATTACAGATGTCAGTACATTTCCCCTTCCACACCTCAACATTGCATATTAATTAGAGTTTATTTTTAAACACAATTTTGCTTCTTTTGGGGTAAAACTTACATGTGATGAGATTCACAAATCTTAATTGTACGATAAATGGAGACCCCTGTATGACCCAAACCCCTAAATACCAACTTTTAAGATACATTATTATTTAGTAAATATGATTTAGTTTACAAGTGACTCAGGGTTATTCTAAAAATCAGTTTGAGAGGCCAGGCACGGTGGCTCACGCCTGTAATCCTAGCACTTTGGGAGGCTGAGGCAGGTGGATCACTTGAGGTCAGGGGTTTGAGACCAGCCTGGCCAACATCGTGCAACTTTGTCTCTACTAAAAATACCAAAATTAGCCGGGCGTGGTGGCGCACGCCTGTAATCCCTGCTACTCTGGAAGCTGAGGCAGGAGAATCGCTTGAACCCAGGGTGGGGTGGAGGTTGCAGTGAGCCAAGATTGCGCCACTACACCCCAGCCTGAGTGATGGAGTGAAAACCCTGTCTCAAAAATAAATAAAATGAGGATTGTACAGTGAGGCTAAATGCCAGATGCCTGCAGGTTCCCTACCCCTCCCTGACTGACCTCCTAGTGTCAGGATTCTAGATAACATCCCAGTTTCTCCTCTTCCCATCAGCTACCTCTCCTCTGGGCTGTCAGCTCATCTTCAATGCTTCGTTATCTGGTTGAAGGCCTGAGGTTGCTTTTATTTTCCTGTCACATAGAGTGTAGTGCAGTGGCACACATAGTGTGGGATTTTTGTGTTGACTGTGCCATTTAGAGGTCCCTGTCTTTGCTGAATACTGGAAGTTTGGCTTTTGGATGTTACAATTTATAATCTGCTCTGTTCTCTCTGAAGATGAGATTAACGTGAGCATGGAATGTTCTCTGAGTTGCTTCTCCAAGCAGAGAGATATGTGTGCAGGGCCACCCATGCTTACCATTTCCCTACTGAGGCTCTTAGGATACTTTTGTAAGATATTAATAGCTACTTGTGGCCATGAAACAAACTAATAACTAGCTTCTGGCAGCTTTAAATCTCACTTTGACCTCAGTGTGCTCTAAGCAACGTGGGCAGGTCTAGTGGTTTCGAAGCACAAGGATTTGGCCAGGTGTGGTGGCTCACACCTGTAATCTCCGTGCTTTGGGAGGCCGAGGCAGGAGGCTCACTTGAGGGTCAGGAGTTCGAGACCAGCCTGGTCAACATGGCAAAACCACATCTCTACTTAAAATACAAAAATTAGCCAGGTGTGGTGGTGGGCACCTGTAATCCCAACTACTCTGGAGGCTGAGGCAGGAGAATCGCTTGAACCCACGAGGCGGAGGTTGCAGTGAACCAAGACTGCACCATTGCACTCCAGCCTGGGTGACAAAGTGAGACTCCATCTAAAACAAACAAACACACAAACCAACAAAAAAAAACAAGTCAGCTGATTTCTGGCTCTGCATAAGGTTGATGTAGAAGTCAGAACGCCAGATGATTATATAAATTACTCCCATAGCTAACCTACACTGCTTACACCTGCACCTCAATACATTCAGCAGGACACAGGGCTTCCCCCGGTATTTACAATTCAGTGACGCTGACCCCGGATATGCCTAGAAGTCACCTCTGGGTCTTGTGTTGTAGTTGTTAGCCGAGGAGAAAAACATCTCTTCCAAATACGCGGATGAGAGGGACAGAGCTGAGGCAGAAGCCAGGGAGAAGGAAACCAAGGCCCTGTCCCTGGCTCGGGCCCTTGAAGAGGCCTTGGAAGCCAAAGAGGAACTCGAGCGGACCAACAAAATGCTCAAAGCCGAAATGGAAGACCTGGTCAGCTCCAAGGATGACGTGGGCAAGAACGTAAGTGGCTCTGGGTGGTTTTTCTCGTCCATGTTTCGCCTGCCCACCCTCTGTGCTATTCACCAGTCCATGCGAGGCTAGCTCCTGGCCTTTTTCATAGCGAACTATCATCGGAAATGGAAGGAGGTTTTTGGACTGGTGCAGGGGCTGGGAGGGGCTGAGAATGGCAGTCGAGGATGGGTCTGAGTTGGGGGGTCCGAGGATAAGGCTGGGGTCTGAACTCTCAGGGGTCATCTTGAGTCCCGGCCATGCATCCTGTGGGAGGCCAAAGCCACCTCCCTGATCTCCTGAGGTGCCGCTCACGGTGGGTTTCTCAATCGTCTTCATGAAGTTGAGCCTCATAGAATGGGGCTGCCCGCTCTGCCGGCAGGTCCATGAGCTGGAGAAGTCCAAGCGGGCCCTGGAGACCCAGATGGAGGAGATGAAGACGCAGCTGGAAGAGCTGGAGGACGAGCTGCAAGCCACGGAGGACGCCAAACTGCGGCTGGAAGTCAACATGCAGGCGCTCAAGGGCCAGTTCGAAAGGGATCTCCAAGCCCGGGACGAGCAGAATGAGGAGAAGAGGAGGCAACTGCAGAGACAGGTGCGTGCTGCCGGGGAGGCCAGCAGAGGGAGGTCGGGTGGCCTTTTTCATTCCTATCACCACTCTCATGGTTGGTGTGGAAACTTCGTTTTCTTTATTTTTTTTTGAAACAGAGTCTCGCTCTGTCGCCCAGGCTGGAGTGCAGTGGCGTAATCTCAGCTCACTGCAACCTCCACCTCCTGCCTCAGCCTCCCGAGTAGCTTGGATTACAGGCGCATGCCACCATACCTAGCTAATTTTTTTTTTTTTTTCAGTGGAGACAAGGTTTCACCATGTTGGCCAGGCTGGTCTTGAACTCCTGGCCTCAAGTGATCCATTCTCCTGTTGGCCTCCCAAAGTGCTGGGATTACAGACATGAGCCACCCACGCCCGGCGTGATTCCGTTTTCTCATCTGCAACTGGGGATGAGATGCCCACCTCACAAGGGGGCTGTGCTGGGGAAGGGGTGCAGTGATGTGCTGCCTAGGTGAGCCAAAGGACCTCCCAGGGGCAAGTGGGGCAGCACACATCTCTATTCCTCGCCCAGCTTCACGAGTATGAGACGGAACTGGAAGACGAGCGAAAGCAACGTGCCCTGGCAGCTGCAGCAAAGAAGAAGCTGGAAGGGGACCTGAAAGACCTGGAGCTTCAGGCCGACTCTGCCATCAAGGGGAGGGAGGAAGCCATCAAGCAGCTACGCAAACTGCAGGTGGGTGACACTAGGAGCTTGGGGCATGGGTGGAGGGAGGGCACAGTTCCCCTCAGGCCACCGAAGTCAGCAGAGCGGGCTCCAGGAAGCAAGCCTGCACCTGCCATTGGTGTGGGTTCAGCTGGGGTTTTTCTGGAACCATTCAGGATTTGGTGGCTGTCTCCTGCCCTGGGTAGGGCAGCATTATTAGGTATTTGGCCACTGCCCTCAGATCACATCAGGGGCTCAGCTTCTCAGGCAGGTCTGTGGAGCCCACCCAGAATGGTGCTCCCAGCGCACCACCAGCCACCTGGAACTGAGAGCCATGCTCGTGCAATGGGAACTTCTTTGTGGTCAACTGCAGAAAATCCAAGGGGTGGGTGTGCAAAGCTGAACTGGGCAGCAGAACTTGGGGGAGTAAGGACATCTGAGCTTGTCCTCCCTGTTGACTCATGCAGGCTCAGATGAAGGACTTTCAAAGAGAGCTGGAAGATGCCCGTGCCTCCAGAGATGAGATCTTTGCCACAGCCAAAGAGAATGAGAAGAAAGCCAAGAGCTTGGAAGCAGACCTCATGCAGCTACAAGAGGTAAAGCCTCGCCTTGCTAGGAGAGCCTCAGATGCGGGTGTCACGGTAGCACCCCTTGGCAGCTCCAGTCTGTGCATTCCCAGATTTCATTTCGTCCTCCTCTGGGGTCCACCTGTCTAGAAAGACACACGCTTCCCTCCTCTATGTATTCACGGGGCCTCCCCTGAGCTCAGAGGAAGAACATGTACTTTCAAGGGTGGCTGAGTTGTCAGGGTGGACTCTTGGTGGGGCTTGGCCTTTCCCTGGCAGACAACAGCCTTCCTCCCTCCCACCTAGGACCTCGCCGCCGCTGAGAGGGCTCGCAAACAAGCGGACCTCGAGAAGGAGGAACTGGCAGAGGAGCTGGCCAGTAGCCTGTCGGGAAGGTAGGAAACTGAATGGAGGAAGAGGGCTCTGAAGCAGAGGATGGGGGGACAGGCAGCATCCTCGACCCCCATTTTATTTTTTAAATTTTTTCGAGACAGAGTTTCATTCTGTCACCCAGGCTGGAGGGCAGTGGCACAATCTTGGCTCACTGCAACCTCCACCTCCCAGGTTCAAGCAATTCTCCTGCCTCAGCCTTCTGAGTAGCTGAGACTACAGGTGTGTACCACCATGCCTGGCTAATTTTTATATTTTTAGTAGAGGTGGGGTTTCACCATGTTGGCCAGGCTAGTCTTGAACTCCTGACCTTAGGTGATCCTCCTACCTTGGCCTCCCAAAGTGCTGTGATTACAGGTGTGAGCCACCGTGCCTGGCCCTGGACCCCCATTTCAATGCTGCTGCTGACGAAGCGTCCTCTGAGATTGGGGACAGACCCATGGTGGTTAGGTTTTCCGTCAGCGCTTTCATGCCTGTTTGGGGGTGTGGCTGCTTTCATTCATTCCCAATAAGTAGCTGTGTGGGGAGAAGGGGAGGCCAGGAAGAGTCAGGGAGGAGTGTGCTGGTCCCCATCCCAATCCCAGCTTTGCTGACACGGACCCGGCCTGAGTCCCGGCTGTCCACTTCCTGGCTGTGTAACTACAGATGAGTCTTCTAATCTTCTCCAAGCCTCAGTTTCACCCATTAGATGATGAGGGCAATACCCCTGAGGCATGACTCCAAGGAGGGGGCATCTTTTAAGGCGGGGGAGGGTAGAGGCCCCCACCATGGCCGCCCTTCCCCCAGGAACGCACTCCAGGACGAGAAGCGCCGCCTGGAGGCCCGGATCGCCCAGCTGGAGGAGGAGCTGGAGGAGGAGCAGGGCAACATGGAGGCCATGAGCGACCGGGTCCGCAAAGCCACACAGCAGGTGAGGGCCGCCTGGACACCACAGTCACGCTGCCTACTGTCTCTCCTGCAGCAGGATCCTGCACCAGTCAACACACGCGTGGCGGCTTCCTGTGTGCAGGCCCTGGATTGAGGGACAAGAGGGTGGTGGGGCCTGAGAGTAGAGATCCAGGGCCCTTACACCAGTGCCCAGGCTGCTGTCTTCAGAATACTCCTCTCCACGCTGCAGTGTCTCATTTTCCAGCCACGGCGTGGCTGGCTCCCCGTACCTCACGGCCATCCCTGGAGTCCGGGCCTTGGGATGCTCTTTCATTGCGTTTTCCCCTAGCTGAAGCTCTGACCTTATCCAGTGAGCCCTTGGTGATGTCACTGAGCACTAGTTCCATGGTGGGCACTAGGGACCATCCAGTAACCTGCAGCCCCTTGTGGTGTAGGGTGAACAGGCATCATTCTCCAGGCGACTCCAGGACAGAGAAAGCAAGGGACAAGTCACTCGCTCAGCCTGGGTGGCACTGACACTTGTGGAAGCACCTCTTTTTTTTGGAGACAGGGTCTCTCTGTGGCCCAGGCTGGAGTGCAGTGGCGCAATCTTGGCTCACTGCAACCTCTGCCTCCCAAGTTCAAGGGATTCTCCTGCTTCAACCTCCCAAGTAGCTGGGACTACAGGCACGTGCCACCACTGCCCGGCTAATTTTTGTATTTTTAATAGAGACGGGGTTTCACCATGTTGGCCAGGCAGGTCTCGAACTCCTGAGCTCAAGTGATTTACCTGCCTCTGCTTCCAAAAGTGCTGGGATTACAGGCGTGCGCCACCACGCCCGGCCTGGAAGAAGCTCTTGAGTGGAGTTTTACAGGATGAAGGAGAGGACAGGGTGCCCGGGATCAAGGGACTCGTGCAGAGGCCAAACAAGGCAGGAAGAGGCATGGTCTCAGTGCGCTCTCTTGGGCTTCCCTGAGTCCGCCTCATGGCCTTCACTCTCCTCCCCAGGCCGAGCAGCTCAGCAACGAGCTGGCCACAGAGCGCAGCACGGCCCAGAAGAATGAGAGTGCCCGGCAGCAGCTCGAGCGGCAGAACAAGGAGCTCCGGAGCAAGCTCCACGAGATGGAGGGGGCCGTCAAGTCCAAGTTCAAGTCCACCATCGCGGCGCTGGAGGCCAAGATTGCACAGCTGGAGGAGCAGGTCGAGCAGGAGGCCAGGTATGCGGGTGTGGAGTTCCGAACCCAGTTTGCAGGGGGGTGATGGACAGCAGGAGTCATAGTGAAGTCAGGGAACCTCTTCCAGCATCAGTTCTGGCTTGTAAGAAGCAAGCTCTGTGATGCCTACAGTGCAGGTATGTTGTGAGAACTGAACGTAAACACAGCAAAGTGCCCTGCTGGTTCCTGGCCTAGGGCAAGCACCTAAAGTGTGAGCTGCTCTTAGCATCTCCATGGTCCTCCTGACATTAACCTGCCTTCCCAGCAGTACATATGACTTTTCCCAGCCTCTGCAGGGATAGCATGCTGACAGATCAAAAATCCAACCAGGCTGGACGTGGTGGCTCACGCCTGTAATCCCAGCAATTTGGGAGGCTGAGGCAGGTGGATCACTTGAGGTCAGGAGTTTGAGACCGGCCTGGCCAACATGGTGAAACCCTGTCTGTACCAAAAATTAGCCGAGTGTGGTGGCACATGCCTATTATCTCAGCTACTCAGGAGACTGAGGCAGGAGAATCACTCCAACGTGACACGTGGAGGTTGCAGTGAGCCGAGATTGTGCCACTGCACTGCAGCCTGGGTGACACAGTGGGACCCTTCCACACACATACACACACACAAAAAAAACCCCAAAAAACAAAAGTCCAACCGGCAGCCCATTTGGTACACACACTGGAAGCCTTCTTAATTATGGGTCGAATGAGGCATATGATCACAGCACATTTCTTACCATTGGATTCTAAGGATTCTCACCCATTCTCTTCTAGTAGCTTTTTCAGTAATTCGCACGCCCTGCAATGCACCCATTTAAAGTGTATAATTCAAGGGCTATTCATATATTCACAAACATGTAAAAACGATCACCACAGTCATTTTGAGAACATTTTCATCGGCTCAAACAGAAACCCCAGGCCATATGTGGTATTTCATGCCCATAATCCCGGCACTTTGGGAGGCTGAGGTAGGTGGGAGCAGCACTTGAGTCCAGGAGTTCGAGACCAGTCTGGGCAGCATAGCAAGACTTTTTTATTTTTATTTTTTTGAGACATAGTCTCACTCTGTTTCCCAGGCTGGTGTGCAGTGGTGCGATCTCAGCTCACTGCAACCTCCGCCTCACCCTCCCAAGTAGCTGGGACTACAGGTGCACACCACTGTACCCAGCTTGTAATTGTATTTTTTAGTAGGGATGGGGTTTCACCATGTTGGCCAGGCTGGTCTCGAACTCCTGACCACAGGTGATCTGCCCACCTCGGCCTCCCAGAGTACTGGGATTACAGGCATGAGCCACCACGCCTGGCCAGAGACTCCGTTTCTATGAAAAACTTTTAAAAGTCTGAGCATGCTGGTGTACGCCTGTAGTCCCAGCTACTTGGGAGGCTGAGGTGGGAGGATTGCTTGAGCCAGGAGTTCAAGGCTGCAGTGAACTATGAACTAGGGTGAAGAGCAGGCATTGGAGCACCACTGCACTCCAACCTGGGTCACACAGCAAGACCTTGCCTCCTCCCCGCAAAAAAAATAGAAACCCCATGCCCTGTAACCACTCCCTTCAGTCCCTGGCAACCATAATCTACTTTCTGTCTCTATGAATTTATCTATTCTGGACACTTGATATCAACGGAATCACACACTATGTTGTCTGCTATGTGTCTTCTTTCACTTGGCAAGAATTCCAGGCTCATCCATGCTGTGGCATGCATTGATACTTTATTCCTTTTCATGGCTGAATACTATTCCACCATCTGACTGATTCTTGAGAGGAGTCCAGATACGGGGCTCAGGAAAGCACTCAAGATGCCACCTCCAGGTGACACACCAGCTACAAGGGGTGCCACCCTCCGCTGAAACCACCTGTTTTCCTTGCTGTTTGCAGAGAGAAACAGGCGGCCACCAAGTCGCTGAAGCAGAAAGACAAGAAGCTGAAGGAAATCTTGCTGCAGGTGGAGGACGAGCGCAAGATGGCCGAGCAGTACAAGGAGCAGGTAGCCCCTGCCACCCAGCCTCCCTCGAGCCCCCAGCCCCCAGCCGGCCTCCCCTAACCACCCCTCCAACTCTCCGCGACAGGCAGAGAAAGGCAATGCCAGGGTCAAGCAGCTCAAGAGGCAGCTGGAGGAGGCAGAGGAGGAGTCCCAGCGCATCAACGCCAACCGCAGGAAGCTGCAGCGGGAGCTGGATGAGGCCACGGAGAGCAACGAGGCCATGGGCCGCGAGGTGAACGCACTCAAGAGCAAGCTCAGGTGAGGAGCCCGTGGCCCGGGAGGACCCCGTCTCTCAGGCCAGAGAAAAGCACTGGGGGCTCGGGCTCCTTTCGGCCTGCAAATGCCCCTTGTGCCCACAGCCGCCACTCCCTTCTGTGGTTTATTCCTGCTTCTCCTTAATCACTAAGCTTAGTGTGGGCCAGGCACTGAGATCAGACCCGGGCCCTGCCTTGCCTGGTAGCAGCTAACCTTCTAGATCCTTTAACGATCGACCGTCTCCCATCCGGTCCTCCGGCTGAGGAGGAGGAAGAGGCTATCCCCACTGTCTCCTCCAGCCCCTCCTTCATTGCATCACTGAGTCTTCACGACATCCATTGAAGCTGCAACACCACCCCCCGCCACTTCACCTCCTTCCTGACATGCTCTGCTCCTCCTTTCTCCCCCTCAGCACTGCTGCCATCTGGGCTGCATTATTCTCGGGTATGGGGGCTGTCCGACATTCCCCATCAGAAGGAAAAAGATCCCTGAAAAGTAGCAGGTGCTTACATTTCTGGCCTCTACCCACCGGCTGCAGTAGTCCCCCACCACCCTGCAATGTGACAACCAAAAATGTCTCTAGATGTTGCCAGAAGTCCTCTAGAGATGGGAGGGTACGACTGCCACCCCGCTGAGAATTCCTGCTGTCACTGGAGTGGGGGCTGTTTTCTCTCCCATGCCTCTGGTACCTTGGGGGTCCCCCCTGCTCCCAAGGGCTGCTTCCACCACCCTGTCCATCCATCCCGATTGGCTCCCAGGAGGTTTTAGCTCCGGGCTTCCTGTCTCCCACACCACTCCTCACAGTTCTCCATGATTTCAACATCCAGGTGGGCGACGCAGCCTCTCGGTTCCTTGACCCTCTGGGTGATCCTGCTGCTTCTACCGGGCCAACCAGTACTCCTAGGAGCCCTCACAATTTGACCCTCAGGCATCCCATTGTCTGCCTGGTGCCACCTTTCTTTGGCTCTGTCCCCAACGGGGTCTTCACTCCATTAATGCCATCAGCCTCTGACCCAGCTCCAAACCAGCTGTCTAGTAACCCCCGTCGCGCATCCTCAACATCCGGTTCCCCCTCTTGCATTGCTGCAATCATTTGGTGAAAGCACAACCCAAATGAAACTCAAGCTTGGCTGGGCACGGGACTCACACCTATAATCCCAGCACTTTGGGAGGCCAAGGCAGGTGAATCGCTTTGAGCTCAGGAGTTCAAGAGCAGCAAGACCCCATCTCTACAACAAACAAACAAAAATCAGCCAGGTGGGATGGCGCAAACCTAAAATCCCAGCTACTCAGGAGGCTGAGGTGGGACGATCAGTGGAGCCCCAGAGGTCAAGGCTGCAGTGAGCCATGATCTAGCCAATGCACTTACCCTGGATGGACAGAGTGAGACCCTGTCTCAAAAAACCCAAAACCCACTCTCCACCTTTTCCCACAGAGCAGGCCTTGCTCAGGGGTCCTCCCACACCCCTCCCTCATCTTCTCACTCTCTGCTGCTTTTCACTTTTTCTTTGAACTTATGATCGCTCCTCCCCATTCTCTCTCAGCTGGGGACCTTACTTCCTACTTAACTCAAAAGCAGAAATGATCATGAAACGTGCACAAGCTCCCACTGCCTCATCATCCTACCTCCGTGCACCTCTGTACACTTCTATTTTTTTTCCATTTCTATGCTGAACCCTCTGGCACCAACCGAGGCCAACACCTCCATTGGACCCGACCCTCTTGTTCACTCAAGCACATAGCTCCAAAAATCCTTATTTTGCAAGGTTTTCTCTTTCATTTGCTCCATCAGCAAATGGAATAACCTCTTAGCCCCATGTCTACCTTGCTACCCTTACTACAAAACTGGATGTGAATGCCGAAACCCTGTCTCTACCAAAAAATATAAAAATTAGCCAGGTGTGGTGGTGCATGCCTATAGTTCCAGCTACTCAGGAGGCTGAGGCACAAGAATGGCTTAAAACCGGGAGAGAGAGGTTGCAGTCCAGCCTGGGTGACAGAGTGAGACTCGGTCTCAAAAAAAAAAAAACTGTATGTGAAGAGTTGCTGGTTCCCCTCGCCCCCACCCATCACTCTCCCAGAAGCCTCCCATGGGTGACACTAATGGCCAGAGGTCCCCTGACAGGGCAGCAGCACGTGACGCAGTCCATCATGCCTCTGGCCTAATTCACTTGCTTCCCTGGACTTCCCCGACACCATCCACACCTGCTTGTCCCCCGACCTGTGGGGTTGTCCCTCTTCCTCTCCTCTGCTGATCCCTCACCTCGAAACCTGCTTGCCACTAGACCGCCCCAGGGTATCAACTTAGTTCTCTTTTGGGCAGAGTCTTGCTCTGTTGCCCAGGCTGGAGTGCAGTAGCACTATCTCAGCTCACTGCAACCTCTGCCTCCCAGTTCAAGCTATTTTTGGCCTATTTTTATATTTTTAGTAGAGATGGGGTTGCACCATGTTGCCCAGGCTGGTCTTGAACTCCTGATCTTGTGATCCACCCGCCTCAGCCTCCCCACGTGCTGGGATTACAGGCATGGACCACTGCACGGCCTTAGTTGTTTTCATCTCTCCCCAGCGCTAGGTGAGAGGTCTCAACTAATCTTGGCGCTTTAGAATTCCATGTATATCTAATGACTCCTCAGTTCATCTCTGAGAAGCCCTAGCTTCTTCCTAGAACCTCAGACCACCCTCCCGTTCCCACATGGATGTCTAATAGGCAGCTCACACCAAACATGCTGCACCCCAAGTCCTGACTGAAACTCTTCACCCCCAAACTGGCTCCTCTCTCCAGCTCAGCAGCTAAAATGATGAAGTTGCCAACAATTCACATCACAAACCTCGTGGTCCTTCTTAACGTTTTGGTCTCCTTTATACCCCACATCCCATCTATGGGAGAATCTGGTCAACTTTCCCTAAAGAATCCTGCCCAGGCTGGGTGCAGTGGCTCACCCCTTAATCCCAGCACTTTGGGAGGCCAACGCAGGCTGATCACCTGAGGTCAGGAGTTCAAGGCCAGCCTGACCAACATGGTGAAACCCCGTCTCTACTAAAAACACAAAAATTAGCCGGGTATGGTGGGGCGTGCCTGTAATCCCAGCTACTAGGGAGGCTGAGGCAGGAGAATCGCTTGAACCTGGGAGACACAGGTTACAGTGAGCTGAGATCGCACCACTGCACTTCAGCCTGGGTGACAGACCAAAACTCGGTCTCAAAAAAAAAATCTCCAGTGTCTAGGACAGCACCAGGCAGAGTGAACCTTTATCCCTCGGGTCCTAGATATTTTCCCCGCTTCATTCTCATACCACCACAGCCATGTGCTGAGCCTCTTACTACCTTTAATACCAATGACTTGATCTTTTAACAGTTTTAATCATACATGAATATAACGGCAAATAAACATACCTCCTCTATATTTTTAAACCAGCATCACCTCTATCAACTGGTTACGATGAAAGTAATATGATAAAAATAGTATCAAGTTCAATATCTAGCTATTGTGGCCACAACTTGATCACCAAGACCTGAAGCCTACTTCTCCACTAAAAAGGGAGTGACAACAGCCATTAGCACCAAATAGACTCTCTCTGACATCATAATTAGACTTGTTTAAAAAGAGTTGGAAAGGAAATGACTTTCTCAGGGCCCAGTTCAGTTAGCGGATGGCATGCCCGGAAGCCATCTGAAATCACCTCTAGAGTTTGGGGACCACTGCGTGAGACAGGGAAAAGTCCAAACCCCTCTGAGAAGGGGAAGAGAGCAGCTGGCGCAGGGCACCAAGCCTTCAGGGAAAAGCCCCACTCGCTGCATGGTGAGCGCTTGTTGGTCCCCCATGGATAGGAGAGAAACCAGGCCTAGGCTCCCAAAGTACAGCAGGGGCCTGGAAGCATCTCCCAGGGTTGAGGGGTCAGTGGAGGAGAGCTGTTCTCACTGTGAAGACTCCTGGGGCAAAGCGCGGTGGCTCACGCCTGTAATCCCAGCACTTTGGGAGGCTGAGGTGGGCTGATCACCTGAGGTCAGGAGTTCGAGACCAGCCTGGCCAACATGGTGAAACTTCATCTCTACTAAAAACACAAAAATCAGCTAGGCGTGGTGGCAGATGCCTGTAATCCCAGCTACTCGTGAGGCTGAGACAGGACACTCCTTTGCAACCCAGGAGGAGGAGCCTGCAGTGAGCCAAGATCAAGCCTCTATACTCCAGCCTTCAGAGCAAGACTCTGTCTCCAAAAAAAAAACAAAAAACAAAAACCCTCAGATGTGCTCTGCTGGCAACCAGTCCCCCTGCCTCTCCTGAGTGGCTGGGCTGAGCGATGGGGATACAGCCACTCTGACTCCCTACCCCACTGCTGTCTCTGCTTCCCTTTCTCAGGCCCAGTGATTTCTTTTCTTTTTATTATTTATTTTTAGACGGAGTCTAGCTCTGTTGCCAGGCTGGAGTGCAGTGGCGCGATCTCGGCTCACTGCAACCTTTGCCTCCCAGGTTCAAGCGATTCTCCTGCCTCAGCCTCCCAAGTAGCTGAGATTACAGGTGCGTGCCACCACACCTGGCTAATTTTTGTATTTTTAGTAGTGGCAAGGTTTCACCATACTGGCTGGGATGGTCTCGATCTCCTGACCTCGTGATCCACCTGCCTCGGTCTCCCAAAGTGCTGGGGTTACAGGCGTGAGCCACCATGCCCGGCCGGCCCAGTGATTCTTTAGCACACACTGGACACCTCCTGTGGGTTCTGCCCCAGACACTTGAGCCTTCTTGGGCAGCCAAGGGCAAAGTGGAACAAAAAGACCATTTTTGCCAGTTCCGACACGAATACACACATAATGCAGGTGGAAGGTCTGTCCTGCCTTCTGCATCTTTTGGGTGCACAAAAACATAAAATCAGGCACTAGAGCCCTGAGGGAGGTTGGTAAGCATGCCTGGCTCCTCAGCCAAGAAGGAACTGTAGTGCGAGTTTCACCAAGTTCTATCAGCCAGACGCATCTCGACACAAGCCCTCTCTAAAGCCAGACCCACTTACCTACCACTGGCTACACTGCCAGTTACCTCCGGCAAGAGCTGTACAAGGCCTCCACCTCTCCTCTCTTGCTAGAGGCCCGAAAGCTAATGAAGAGCAAGTAATCATAAACCAAGGGACAGGCGGCTGCAGGTTCCTTGCCTGGGACTTCTTGGCTTCTGTTCCAACACTGATTTCTCAAACTAGCTTGCTCAAATGCTTTTACTTCCCTGAACCAGTATGCAATCATGGGATTTATAGGAGGTTCTTAAAAGTAGCTCTAAAGGACAGACATTTTCCTTTCCATTTAAAAAACTGAGCCGGGTGCAGTGGCTCACACCTGTAATCCCAGCTCTTTGGGAGGCCGAGGTGGGTGGATCACTTGAGGTCAGGAGTTCGAGACCAGCATGGCCAACATGGTGAAACTCCGTCTCTACTAAAAATATGAAAATTAGCCAGCCACGGTGGTGCATGCCTGTAATCCCAGCTACTCGGGAGGCTGAGGCAGGAGAATCGCTTGAACCCGGGAGGTGGAGGTTGCAGTGAGCAGAGATAGATCATGCCAGTGCACTCCATCCTGGGTGACAGAGTATCAAAAAACTGCTTATCCTTTCATCTACCAGCCTCACCAAATGCTCTTGGCGTCAGGTGATTCACTGCAACGTTGACTTAAGGGTGCTTTTAATGCCAGGTGCGGTGGTTCATGCCTGTAATCCCAAATCCCAGCACCTTGGGAGGCCAAGGCAGGAAGATCATTGACATCAGGAGTTGGAGACAAGCCTGACCAACATAGTGCAACCCCATCTGTACTAAAAATACAAAAATTAGCCAAGCACGTGGGGCCTGCCTGTAATCCCAGCTACTCGGGAGGCTGAGACAAGGGGATCACTTGAATCCAGGACGTAGAGGTTGCAGTGAGCCAAGATCGCACCCCTGCACTCCAGCCTGGGTGACAGAGACTATCTCAAAATAAAAAAGAGTGCCTTTAATTATTAAATCGAAGCAAATGTCTTTAACAATTAAGAATATACTTAACCGGGCTCCTTCTTGTTTGCTGATGGTAACCTCCGGGGATTCTCTCTCTGTTTCAGAGGGCCCCCCCCACAGGAAACTTCGCAGTGATGCACCAGGTATCATGCCTTCAGCTTCGCAGCTGTGTGTTGTCTCAGTATCCATTTCTTTTCTGCCCAATGCGCCCCTCTGCCCACCCCAATTTTTAAACCCTTGCACATTTCCACGAGATTCTTGCAAAATCTGGAGGCTTGGATATCTTTGTGCAAAGCTTTCATTGAAACCAAGATCAGGATGACAAATAGACCTCATCTCTTGACCCACTGTCCTTCCTGCCTCTGGGCAGCACATGTGACATGACACCCAACAGTGTGCGCCCTTATCACTGCATCTTGACGAGATGGCAGAGGCTGTGTGTGTAGCTTGGATTTTTCTTCCTTTCATACCAAAAGCCACTCTTACGTGGTTAGGGCACTCAGCAGTGCTGTCCTCCCTTGTCCAGTGAAGACACTGCACTGAATGAATATGACAGTTCCACTATCTGGGCACATTCCTGGAGAACGTACTTGGCTTCTAGTTGGCTGGTCTGGGTCACAAGTCAGAGATCACAAAGTTCACGGTAACTGCGGCGCGGCAACCAGTCCTCCCATGATTCAGCTTTCACAGGCTTGTCTGCGAAGGAAATGAGCTCACTGCGATGTCTGACAAATGCCGGGGGCTGCACGTGGCTTGAGTGATGTCTAGCTACAAACTGCATTTTCAGCACACGGGGTGGAAGCTGACCACCGCAAAGCCAAGCACAGTCCTGGCAGAGCCTTTTCTGGAGGCTTCACGGGCATGTACATGTTCAGGGACTGGGGAGTGGATACCCAAGACTCAAGGATGCACACAGGGCCCTTCCCAAGAAAGCATGAAGAGGTCTCTGCTGCTCTGGGATTTTGCTTTTTTTTTTTTTTTTTTTTGAGACGGAGTCTCGCTCTGGAGTGCAATGGCGCAATCTTGGCTCACCGCAACCTTTGCCTCCTGGGTTCAAGCGATTCTCCTACCTCAGCCTTCTGAGTAGCTGGGATTACAGGCTCCCGCCACCTCGCCCAGCTAATTTTTGTATTTTTATTAGAGACAGGATATCACCATGTTGGCCAGGCTGGTCTCAAACTCCTGACTTCAGGTGATCCGCGCGCCTTGGCCTCCCCAAATGCTGGGATTACAAGCATGACCAACTTTTCACAGGTGAAGTTAGGCCATGTGGATCTGACTTCACCTCATGGAGAGGCCAAACCAACCCTCATTTGTGTCCATCTTCATTTTTGGAGAATCTCAGCTTTGCTGTCACTACCAAAATACTTAAAGCGCAGGGTGAGGTCTTGTTAAGAGCCAGTTTTGTGGGGGAGCAGATGAGTTTCTAGGACACTTCAAGCAGCTCTCCTACCAGCTGATTGGGATCATAGGATAAGCCAAATTCCAGGGTGGGCTGAAGTGCAGAACCCACTGGTCAGTGGGAAACTGAGTCCTTGCAAACTAGCAGGTGCTTACACTCAAGATGATTCCCGAGGCCTTGGATAAGCTGAGTCCACGAATAGAATCCAAATGCTAGGCCAGGCACAGTGGGTCATGCCTATAATCCCAGCACTTTGGGAGGCCGAGGCGGGCAGATAACTTGAGGTCAGGACCAGCCTGGCCAACATGGTAAAACCCCGTCTCTCCTAAAAATACAAAAATTAGCCAGGAGTGGTGGCATGTCTGTAGTCCCAGTTACTTGGAAGGCTGAGGCAGGAGAATCGCTTGAACCTGGGAGGCAGAGGCTGCAGTGAGCCAAGATCACGCCACTGCACTCCAGCCTGGGCAACACAGCGAGACTCTATTTCAAAAAAAAATTCCAGATTCTCCAGGATCAGACCCTTTAAGAAAACCTTTAGGGGGGTCCCTTAGTTCCTGTAACAGGTATAGTTGGTGTCAACCTTGGTCTAGGATTTGAAACCAGTTCCAAGAAAAGCACTTCAGCCAAAACAGAGTATCTTGCAGGCTGACAGCCAAGCAAGGAGCTTCAACGGCCCAGGGCACAATGTATTTCTTAGGTCAAGGGAGCAAATTTATCCATTAAGCTTTTCCAGTTAGCAAATAGACTCTTCCAAGAGCCAAAAAGAGAGTGCCTAGAGCACTGATGTGGAGGTTAGGGACTACTTCCCAGCTCATCAGATTTTTTTTTGTTTTTTTTTTTGGAGACAGTCTTGCTGTTTCCCAGGCTGGAGTGCAGTGGCACAACGTTGGCTCACTGCAGCCTTCACCTCCTGGGTTCAAGCAATTCTCCTGCCTCAGCCTCCTGAGTGACTGGGATTCCAGGCGCCTGCCACCACGCACGGCTAATTTAGTATATTTAGTAGAGACGGGGTTTCACCATATTGGCCAGGATGGCCTCGAACAACTGACCTCACGAGTGATCTGCCCACCTCGGCCTCCCCAAGTGCTGGGATTACAGGCATGAGTCGCAGCAACTGGCCAACCCATCAGGGTTTGAACCTGGAGTTAAAACTGTGACGAAGAGAGCTGTGTGGGGAGCGTACAGGGAACAGTCAAACTGCTGCTCCTCTGCGCTGAATTTGAGCATCCTTCTGAGTCAAGCGCTTGGAAAACAGTGCTAAAAAAGAAAAAGACTTAAGGGTCACATCTAGAGAGAGAAGGATGGAGAGTTCTCTAGTAGGGCTGCAAGTCCAGAAGCTTCTCTGTGAAGCTGGGCTAGGAGTGTTTACTTTGAAGTGGCTGCAGCTTTAAGTATTTATTCCTGATCGCTGCACTGCGGGAAGTCCCATCCTTTATAGCCAGGTGGGCTTTCCCAGCCGGGGTCTCTCCCATCCTCTGTCAACAAAAGGGTCATTTGCGAATTCCTCTTCTCAGTGATCATGAATCTCTGGGCCTTGATTTTTTTTTTTTTTTTTTTTTGAGACGGAGTCTCACCCTGTCGCCTAGGCTGGAGTGCAGTGGCCACATCTCGGCTCACTGCAAGCTCCGCCTCCTGGGTTCATGTCATTCTCCTGCCTCAGCCTCCCTCCCGAGTAGCTGGGACTACAGGCACCCGCCAGCACGCCCGGCTAATTTTTTGTATTTTTAGTAGAGACACGGTTTCACCATGTTAGCCAGGATGGTCTCGATCTCCTGACCTCATGATCCGCCCGCCTCAGCCTCCCAAAGTGCTGAGATTACAGGTGTGAGCCACCATGCCCAGCCGAGTTGTTCCTTTTGACTAAAGAATTGGTCACTGAGTTGTGTTCATCCTTATGGCTTCTTATCCAACCCTTGCGTGGGGAGCAAAAGTCTGCTCTCTTCTTTGATGTCCTAAAATAAGACCTGTCTTCCGATTCAGGTCAAACAGGGCCAGATGGCCAGAGCCCAACATAATTATTTGTTGCGGTTGCTGAAAAGAGTTAAGTGTTTCTTCTGAACGGTGAAGGCTGGCAGCAGGCAGATCTGATTTTTCCTTCTTCTGCCCACTCTCTTCCTCCTACCCAAAGTCTCCCCTCACGTGACCAGCCCTTCCTGTGAAGTCGAGGTGATAAACTCAAGAGAGAACCAGCGCAGAGAGGAGATGGCAGCATTAAGGAGAGACAGGGGTGTCCTACTGGCTGGAGCTAAAATCCACCTCAGAGGCCAGGTGCACTGGCACACACCTGTAATCCCAACACTTTGAGAGGCTAAGACAGGTGGATCGTTTGAGGCCAGGAGTTCAAGACCAGCCTGGGTCACATGGCAAAATCCCATCTCTGCTAAAAATACAAAAATTAGCCAGGCGTGGCAGTGTGCACGTGCATGTAGTCCCAGCTACTCAATACTGAGGCTCAAGGACTGCTGGAACTCAGGAGGCAGAGGTTGCAGTGAGCCAAGATCATGCCACTGCACTCCAGCCTGGGTGAGAGAGACTCTTAAATTTCTTTTTTAAATCCACCTTGAAGGCCAGGTGTGGTGGCCCACGCCTGTAATGCCAGCGCTTTGGGAGGCCAAGGTAGGAGAACTGCTTGAGCTCAGGAGTTCCAGACCAGCCTGGGCAACAATATCAAGACCTCATCTCAATTTAATAAAATAATCCACCTTGGATTAACACGTATAATTTCCTTTTCTAATATTCACTGGGCACCTGTTTTACGCCATGTGCGGTATGTTCCACGATCAGCAAAACAGATGCAGCAGTCCCTGCAGTGGGGAAAACTCAGTCCATGAACATTCACACCAGCAGGGGGTGCTGTCTCGCCTTTTAACCAGGGAGCCCCTCTGTGTCCTTCTCAAGGCTGCCCTTGTCCATTTCACCTTCTTCCAATTCAAATCTTGAAAACTCACCTCTAAGGCGAATGGGGGTGAGGAGATACAGAAGAAAAACAGTATGTTCTCTCTTCAACTCTGCCCCATGGGCTATGAATAAAGTCAGAAGACAAAATCCCCTGCTTGGTTTTTGGCGTTTTTTTCCTATTCTAAATCAAAGACCACAGCAGACCAGAATCCTGTGGCTTCTCAAATGACCAAGCCTGACATATTGAAAAGCAGATCGTCTTGCTTTGAAAAACCTTCTCCACCCACCCCCGCAACCAATTTCAGCTGATTAAATTCAATCACTCATGCCTTAAGACTGGCAATGATTTGTTGACTTCAACTTGAATATCTGCATCTTATTTGTGCCGTGTGTGTTTTCTGCCATAAAAAAAATTTATATTGCAATAGGACTATAGCTACAAGTTTAAAATAGATTTATAAAAAATCTATCCCAACCATGAAGATTTCTTTGCTAAATAATGTGTTTTCTTACAACCCACAGGCGAGGAAACGAGACCTCTTTCGTTCCTTCTAGAAGGTCTGGAGGACGTAGAGTTATTGAAAATGCAGATGGTTCTGAGGAGGAAACGGACACTCGAGACGCAGACTTCAATGGAACCAAGGCCAGTGAATAAGCAACTTTCTACAGTTTTGCACCACGGCAAGAAAACCAAAAACCAAAACAAACAAACAAAAAAAACCCAACAACAACCCAGAACAAAGCAAAACCCAGCAGACTGTACTTAGCATTGT
Source organism: Homo sapiens (assembly GCF_000001405.40). Taxonomy (NCBI): domain Eukaryota; kingdom Metazoa; phylum Chordata; class Mammalia; order Primates; family Hominidae; genus Homo; species Homo sapiens. The sequence goes on along the minus strand of NT_187607.1, from coordinate 1,361,883 downwards.
CTAAATCCATTCTCAAATTCCAAATATCACAGACACCCCTCACACAAGGAATATAAAAACCACCACCCTCCAGCCTGGGCAACGTAGTAAAACCTCATCTATACAAGAATTTAAAAATAAGCTGGGCGTGGTGGTACACACCTGTGGTCCCAGCTACTAGGGAGGCTGAGCCAGGAAGAACGCTCCAGCCCAGGACTTCGAGGCTGCAATGAGCTATAATTGCATCATTGCACTCCAGCCTGGGCAACAGAGACCCTGTCTCAACCACCACCACCACCACCACCCCTACTACCCCTGTATTCAAGGTAAAAATTGAAGTTTGTATGATGTAAGAGATGAGAAAAACCCAACAGGAAACACAGACACATCCTCCAGTTCTATCAATGGATTGTGCAGACACTGAGTTTTTAGAAAAACATATCCACGGTAACCGGTCCCTGGCAATTCTGTTTACATGAAATGGGGAGAAAGTCACCGAAATGGGTGCCGCCGGCCCCCACTCCCAATTCATTCCCTAACCTGCAAACCTTTCCAACTTCTCACGTCAGGCCTTTGAGAATTCTTTCCCCCTCTCCTGGTTTCCACACCTCAGACACGCACAGTTCACCAAGTGCCTTCTGTAGTCACATGAATTGAAAAGGAGACGCTGCTCCCACGGAGGGGAGCAGGAATGCTGCACTGTTTACACCCTGACTGTGCTTAAAAACACTTTCACTAATAAATGGTTATAAATCACAATGTCGTTGGCTTTTCTGTTGAGCTGTTTTCTATAGAGGAAAAGGAGTTGGGGAAGGCTGGGTTTTGCTTCATCGTCCCAAAGATTCTCTGAAGTCAGGGTTAACGTCATGAATGCAGAAACTGAGGCCTAGAGAGGTGAAATCAATTGCCTACAACCCCACAGCCAGCCAGAGAGCAGAGCAGAGATGCAAAGTGAGACTGTCTAAGGGGGTTACTGGGCCGCTCAGCAGGGAGGGCAGGGGAGAGAAATAAGGTGATGTGTGGTCTAAGGGCCACTGCCCCCTGCCCTCGAACATGACTGGGAAGAACATCTTGACTCATCAAAACCAGTATCTTAAGAAAAATACAGGATTTCCTTGATTTTTTGAGTTAAAACACAAGGTCTTGTCCAATGAGTCAGCAAACACTTTCCACAAAACGTCAGATGGTGGCTGGGTACAGTGGCTCACACCTGGAATCCCAGCACTTTGGGAGGCTGAGATGGGAAAATCACTTGAGGCCAGGAGTTGGAGGCCAGCCTAGCCGAGAGAGACCCCCGTCTCTATAAAAAAAAGGTGTTTTTTTTTTGTTGTTGTTAGTAAGCCAGGCAGGATAGTGCACACCTGTACTCCCAACCTCTTGGAAGGCTAAGGCAGGAGGATCATGTGAGCCAGGAGTTCCAGGCTGCAGTGAGCTATGATCACGCCACTGCACTGCAGCCTAGGTAACAGTAACACCTTGTCTCTCACACCACCACCACCACCCACCCAGCCAGATAGTATTTTAGCCTTTACAGGCTACATATGGTCTTGCCGAATATTCATCTTCTTTAAAACAACCCTTAAAAACATAATAAATCATTCTTAGAGTAAGGGCCATAAAAACAAGCTGTAGGCCCTGTCCTTCTTTCAGCTTGAGTGTTTTAGACAGACATGCCTGCAAAGGCTCTGTTCAACACAAACGATGCCGTATACCACCAACTCCATGGGATCAGACAGATTTGGGAGACAGGAAACATGGAAACAAAGGACTCCATCTTGTGACCAGATGCTAATATGCCTTGAATGACGCACAAACACATCCCGGATACATTTCTAAAAACCTGGCTTGAATAGAAATTTTCAAAAAGATTTTTTCATATTTTTTAACTTGGTTAAAAAAAGTTTTTCACCACTCTGTGGGAAAACATTAAAGTATAAACATACAAAGCCTCTTTGACCAGAAGCCCAACAAGTTCAACATTCGTTTCTCTTGATTTTATTGATCTTTTAAAAAAATAAAAGGACATCTTCTGTGGATACAGGTTAGGATGTTTCTAGGGTAAGAAACCCACCATCGCAGCGTAATTCTCTGCGGAATTTCAGTAGCACTTGGAAAGTTCTGTTTTCAACCTGAAATTTTTGCTGTTCTTCCAGAAAATAACTTAGTAACAAAATGAAGGCCGTGAAGCTGCAGGCACACTCCAGAAATTAGTGTGTTCTTTTAACTCGTGTCCCAAAGAGACAGCAGTTCCTAACATGCAGTGATGAGTGGACACACCATGGTGCGTTGGAAATCCCACGTTCACGTCTTTGACAAGGAAGCCTCCTACAATGATCTTGTGCTTTAATTTTACTTGATGGTCACCCTGGTTACTTCATTATGCCTTTGAATGAAGTCCTGTTCTTAGTGGCTGCATTACCAAGGCCATCTTGCCCCAAAGACCCCTCAGGGTCCTGAGGCAGAATTCCCCCCACCCCACCAGGGGACTCAGGAAAATGAATGATCGCAGTTTGCCAAAAGAGGTCAGATTTCCCACTGACGCTGGTTGGTCTGGAAAATTACTCTGAAAACTCGAACGCACCTCTAGGAATCTCAATGAGAAGCTAAGAAGCAGGCTACAGTCTCAGAGGTTTATGACACCTTTTTTTTTTTTTTTGGAGACGGAGTCTCACTCTGTTGCCCAGGCTGGAGTACAGTAGCGCGATCTTGGCTCACTGCACCCTCCACCTCCCGGGTCCAAGCAACTCTCCTGCCTCAACATCTGGAGTAGCTGGAATTATAGGCACGCACCACTGCACCCAGCTAATTTTTTGTATTTTTAGTAGAGATGGGGTTTCACCATGTTGGCCAGGCTGGTCTTGAACTCCTGACCTCAGGTAATCCACCCGCCTCGGCCTTCCAAAGTCTTAGGATTACCGGCCTGAGCCACCGCGCCCAGCCTATTCCAGTTTTTAAAAAGGCATGTGACTGTTAAGTTCTCTGTTCTTAGACATGATTTCAGTACACCACAAAGCACTGGGAGATTTTGTTCTGGAAGACGATTCCACCTGGTTGGGAGTTGGGGGGAAGAGCCTCTGAGAGAAGCTCCATCCCACATTTACGGAGACTTGGGACATTAAAAACACCTGTCAAGACCAATCAGGGGCCAGGCACGGTGGCTCAGGCCTGTAATTCCAGCACTCTGGGAGGCTGAGGCGGGAGGATCACTTGAGGCCGGGAGTTCAAGACCAGCATGGCCAACATGGTGAAACCCCGTTTCTCACTAAAAATACAAAATTAGTGGGTGTAGTGGCACACTCCTGTAGTCCCAGCTACTTGGGAAGCTGAGATAAGAGAATCGCTTGAACCTAGGAGGCGGAGGCTGCGGTGAGCCGAAATTGCACCACTACACTCCAGCCTGGACAAGACAGGGCAAGAGCATGACTCTGTCTCAAAAAAGAAAAAAAAAAAAAAGACCAATCAGGACCTCCGCTTGGGTTAGTGCAACACAATGGGGCATGGGAACGATGGCTCATGCTTGAAATCCCAGCATTCTGGGAGGCCGAGATGGGAGGATCACTTGAGGCCAGGAGTTCAAGACCACACTGGGCAACATGGCAAAACCCCGTCTCTATTAAAAATACAAAAAATTCAGCCAGGTGTGGTGGTGGGTGCCTGTAATCCCAGCTACCTGGAAGACTCAGGAACAAGAACCGTTTGAACCCAGGAGGCGGAGGTTGCAGTGAGCTGAGATCACGCCACCACACTCCAGCCTGGGTGACAGAGCAAGACTCTATCTCAAAAACAACACGGTAGCCTCATCACCGACAACTTAGAGCCCTTCCCAGAGAGCCCCTTTTGTCCCTCTTTGCAATGCACACGGTGGCAGGTAAGGATGAAAAGACATTTCCCAGGGACAAACCCCAGAGCACAGGTGATGGCCTCGGTCATTGGCTTGGGCCGCAAAGCTAACTAACTATGGTGACTGCTCTTATTTCTCAAACTAACTTAAAACAAAAACCTAGTGTAAAAAGACGACAAAAGGTAACGACTTCCGCACCAACACCAAGACCTTCAGCTTCCGTGGTTTTCCTAAAGCAACATCTTGACTACCCCCTGGGCTGACGGCAGCGGCGATGAAGACATGTGTGAAGGCGGCTTCCCAAATTCCAGGCGCTTCCCCAACCTTCAGACAGAGCAAACCAAATTAAGCTGACATAACAGCTGTGACAAACTGGCTAGCACCGGGGCCCAGAGAGTTATAAGGGTGAACATCAAGAGTCAGGAGCAGGGTCTCACAGGGTCTCAATTTTCTCTCCTGTGAAATGAAGAAGAGGACACTGGCTACCTGGCTCTCAGATTCCAAGGTCACACAAAACGCCCAGTCTCAGACCCACTAGAAAAATCCATCTCTTACCTATTGTTTGTTTGTTTTACAGCCTACGCAACATAGTGAGACCCTGTCTCTATGAAAAATGCAAACAAAAATTAGCTGGGTGTGGTGGCCTGCATGTGTAGTCCCAGCTACTTGGTAGGCTGAGGTGGAAGGATCGCTGGAGCCCAGGAGGCGGAGGTTGCAGTGAGCCGAGATCACACCACCGCAGTCTAGCCTGGGTGACAGAGTGAGACCCTGTCTCCAAAAAAAAAAAAAGGCCAGGCATGATTGCTAACGCTTGTAACCCCCAGCACTTGGGAGGTCAAGGTGGGAAGATCGCCTGGAAAATTAATCTGAAAACTCACCTCTAGAAATCTCAATGAGAAGCAGACTACAGTCTCAGAGGTGTATTCTCAAACTCAAAGCCAGGAGGTTTGAGACCAGTCTGGGCAACATAGCAAGACTGTTTCTATAAAATATAAAAAAAATTAGCCAGGGGTGGTGGTGTGCACCTGTAGCCCCAGCTACTTGGGAGGCTGAGGCAGGAAGATGGCTTGAGCCCAGGAGGACGAGGCTGCAGTGAGCTATGGTCGCACCACTGCACTCCAGCCTGGGTGACACAGCAAAACCCTGTCTCGTAGAAAGAAAACAAACAAAAATTAATTTTTTTTTTTTTCTTGAGAAAGAGTCTCACTCTGTTGCCCAGAGTGGAGTTCAGTGGTGCAATCTTGGCTCACTGCAACCTCCACTTCCTGGGTTCAAGTGATTCTTGTGCCTCAGCCACCCAAGCAGCTGGGACTACAGGCATCCGCGACCATGCCCGGCTAATTTTCGTATTTTTAGTATAGATAGGGTTTCACCATGTTGCCCAGTTTGGTCTTGTGAACTCCTGGCCTCAAGTGATCCACCCACTTCTGCCTCCCAAAGTGCTGGGATTACAGGTGTGAGCCACTTCACTGCACCTGGCCTAAAAATCCACGTGTAAAGGTCTCAAAGTTATGTGCATGCCATGGAAAATATTCTTAATTTCCTGTCACGTGTCTGCTACAAACCCATCAAATTCCTACGGCTTGGGGCCCAGAGAGATGGTAGTCACACACCTTGCAGAATTCCTGAATCTGAAAGCTGCCCCTTTTTTTTCTGAGACAAGGTCTCGCTTCATCACCCAGGCTGGAGTGCAGTGGCTGGGAACACGGCTCACTGCGGCCTCAACCTCCAGAGCTCAATTGATCCGCTGCCCTCAGCCTCCCAAAGTGCTGGGATTACAAGTGTGAGCCACTGAGCCTGGCCCTGATTTTCTTTAGGCAAGAAAATTAATGACACTGTTAGAGATCAGATCTGCACTGTCCCATCGGGTGGCTGGTTTCAGGAACATAGTCTGGGCTAGAAGTTAGTGCCAGTTTCTCAAAGGTTCTACAGATTTAAAAAGAAAAAAAAGGGCTGGTTGCAGTGGCTCACGCCTGTAATCCCAGCACTTTGAGAGGCCGAGGTGGGTGGATCACAATGTCACGAGATCAAGACCATCCTAACACAGTGAAACCCCGTCTCGACTAAAAATACAAAAAATTAGCTGGGCATGGTGGCACACGCCTGTAATCCCAGCTACTCAGGAGGCTGAGGCAGGAGAATTGCTTGGACTTGGGAGGCAGAGGTTGCAGTGAGCTGAGATCATGCCACTACACTCCAGCCTAGGCGACAGAGCAAGACGTCTCAAAAAAAAAACAAAACAAAACAAAAAAAAAAACTTCAGGGGAAGCAGAGCCATGACTGATGCTCAATTCCCCAAATAAGGGCTTTATTTTTATTTAACTAATTAATTAACTTTTTGATATGGAGTCTTGCTCTGTCACCCAGGCTGCTGTGCAGAGGCACAATTTTGGCTCACTGCAATCTCTGCCTCCAGGGTTCAAGTGATTCTCCTTCCTCAGCCTCCTGAGTAGCTGGGACTATAGGCACATGCTACCATGCCTGGCTCATTTTTCTATTTTTTTTGGTGGAGATGGGGTTTTACCAATGTTGCCCAGACTGGTTTTGAACTCCTGACCTCAAGTGATCCACCTGCCTTGGCCTCCCAGACTGCTGGGATTACAGGCGAGCGTCACCACACCTGGCCCAAATAAGGGCTTTTATACAGGACATTCTCACAGTGTAACCGTGAGTAGCAGCTGTAGAATCAAATGATAAAAATGACCTTCTTGGCCAGGCATGGTAGCCCACACCTGTCGTCGCAGCACTTTGGGAGGATGAAGGGTGAGGATCACTTGAAGCTCAGAGTTTGAGACCAAACTCGGCAACATGGCAAAACCTGTCTCTAGAAAAAATACAAAAAATTAGCCGAGCACGGTGACACGCACCTGTACTCCCAGCTACTCGGGGGACTGAGGTGGGAGGATCGTTTGAGCTGGGAGGCAGAGGGTGAGCCATGATCCTGCCATCGTATTCTAGCCTAGGTGACAGAGTGAGACCCTGTCTCACAAAACAAGACCCTCTCTCTAGCCCTTTGTTCAAGCCACAAGACACCACCTAATGCTGCCTGCAGGGAGCAGAGGAGAGGATAAGGTTTGCTGAAATAATCCTATAATTTAAAAAGACACATGGCTGTGGGCTGGGGGTGAGTGTCTCTTGCCTGGGGCAGGCGGGTTCTCCCCGCCAGCGAGAGGTTTATTAGAAGGTACTGACCCCTTATCACCCAAAGGCACGCTGGTGCTGCTTGGCCGTCTCTCCCCGCCATCTCTGTTCTTGCTGCTCCGCCCAGAGGCTGGGCCACCTGTTCGGTTTGGGGACTGATCGTACACGAGGTTCCGGCAGGAAGCGAGTTTGGACTCCAGTGCCTGGACAGAAATACACTTTTATCTCTCAAGTTATAGGCAAGGACTATTCTGTCTTACCAGAGCCTGTACAGAAGAACGAACCCCAGACAGTGGTTCTCAAACTGTTGTGCACTGGAATTCCAAGGTGGGACCCCAAGAGGAATCCAACGTATATGCCAGTCTCAGAACCAAGCACCTTAAGTATTTGGGAGCTGGCTGGGCACAATGGCTCACACCTATAATCCCAGCACTCTGGGAGGCCAAGGCAGGAGGATGGCTTGACATCAGGAGTTTGAGACCAGCCTGGGCCACAAAGTAAGATCCCATCTCAGTTTTTTTTTTTGTTTTGTTTTTTACTTTTTTAGACGCTGTGTCACCCAGGCTGGAGTGCACTGGTGAGATCACAGCTCACTGCAGCCTCAACCTCCCAGGCTCAACCAATCCCTCCCACCTCAGCCTCCTGAGCAGCTGGAATTATAGGCATCCGCAATCATGCCCAGTTAATAAAAAAAATTTTTAATGCAAAAAATTTTTTTTAATTACGAAAAATTTTTTAAAATGTTTGGGAGCTGCCTGGAAAAAGATCACGGCTCACTGCAGCCTCAACCAATCCTTCCACCTCAGCCTCCTGAATAGCTAGGACTATGCACAATCATGCTTGGCTTAAAAAAAAAAAAAAAATTCTTTTTTAATTACAAAAAATTTTTTAAAATGGGAGCTTTCTGGAAAAATCACTAACCTACCAATTATCCAACTCCGCTTGTAGGAAGTAGGAAATCCACTTCTGGAATCCTTCACCCTTTGGTTTACCTTGTTAAACCTCTGCAGAATGGCAAGAAGTTTGGTAAGGACTTGGTCTGGCTACAACAGACCCTGAGGAAACCAAAAGGACACTGACAGCACCCCAGGCTTCTCTATACTCCAACTAGGCTAAATACTGAAATGCAGACCTGCTTCTAGAATAGCAAACCAGACAGCCAAAAACCAGAAGTAAAAACAAAAGAAATGAGTTGCAAGCTTCTATTAAGTTGTAGCTACAAATACACTGTGTACAGTGACAACTTGGTAGGAGTTAAATTATGTGGCCTTCTAGGCATCATTTTTAAAAATAAACTACAAAGAATACCTATGTTTTTACTTAAGCACAAAAGGATCCCTCCCTGTAATTAACATAAAAGCTGAAAGGCCAAATTCTTTGCCCTAGGCTTTCAAGATTTTTTTTTTTTTTTTTTTTGAGACCAAGTCTCACTTTGTCACCCAGCGGTGCGATCTCAGCTCACTGCAACCTCCGCCTCCCGGATTCAAACAATTTTCCTGCATAAGCCTCTCAAGTAGCTGGGATCGCAGGTGCCCACCACCATTCCTGGCTAATTTTTGTATTTTTAGTAGAGATGGGGTTTCACCATGTTGGCCAGGCTGGTCTTGAATTCCTGACTTCAGGTGATCCACCCATCTCGGTCTCCCAAAGTGTCAAAATTCACTTAAACCCCAAGAAACAAACCAAAAAAAAAAAAAAAAAAAAAAAAGGTGGCAGTTTTTTTCTCTTCTGAGACAACGTCGTGCTGTCACCCAGGATGGAGTGCAGTGTTGGAATCTCAGCTCACTCAGCCTCAACCTCCCAGGCTGAAGCAATCCTCCCACCTCTCAGCCTCCTGAGTAGCTGGGACCACCAGTGTACACCATCAGGCCTGGCTAATTTTTGCATTCTTGTAGAGGCCAAGTCGGGGCAGGGGGTTTCACCATGTTGCCCGGGCTGGTGTCAGACTCCTGAGCTCAAGTAATCTCCCACCTTGGCCTCCCAAAGCACTGGGATTACAGGTATGAGCACCCGGCCAAAAGAGAAGGCAGTTTCCAAGTGCTCCTTAATTTTTCGAGTTAAGGAAAAAACACACATATCACCCTAATTTCCCAAATTTCCTAGAGGAAAAACGGTAAAAGGAAAGAGACATACATAGGGTTCAGAGCAGGGCTTCGAGTCAGAGCTCTGAGTGTCTGGCAGTAACTCCCACAGGAAGCTCTAATGATTCCCAGGGATGCTAAAGGAGCAGCCACACCTAAAACTCACCACACTGCTATGAAAGGGGCTGGACGCATTGGCTCATGCCTGTAATCCCAGAACTTTGGGAGGCCAACCTGGGAGGATCACTTGAGGCCAGGAGTTTAAGACCAGCCTGGGCAACACAGCGATACCCACATTACTACAAAAAAATGAAAGTATCAGCCAGGCATAGTGGCGCACACCTGTGGTCCAAGCTCCTCGGGAAGCTAAGGTGAGAGGATCGCTTGAACCCAGGATTTTGAGGCTGCAGTGAGTTGTGATCATACCACTACACTCCAGCCTGAGCAACAGAGCAAGACCCTGTCTCTAAAAAAAAAGAAAAAAAGAAGAGAGGGAAGGAACTAGATCAACCCCCTTCACACATCCTGAAAGACAGGCAGGAAGGCACCAAACGCCAGGAAAGTGTGGTCTTACCCCGACTTTCCGCAGTAGGTCTCCCACAATGTTGAGGGCTGATATCCGGGCCGCAGGTGTGAGGGGGGTCCCCCCGGTGGAGTCGTCCAGGCCTGGGTGTGCAAAGGGAAGAGCATGTAACTCACCAACCTATAGTCATGTCTGTGCGTTAACATCGCTAGATCCAAAACCACGGGACAGGAGGGACACTGACGCCTTTCCTCGGATCCCAAAAGCTACCCTATTTCTTTCCGTAGTTAACCGCATCACACACCCAAGGCCCGTATGACAACCAATTTTTCAAGTCCTTGTGATGACTGCAACAAATACTTATTTTTACATGTTAGTCTTGCTCTGTCACCCGGACTGGAGTGCGGTGATGTGATCTCAGCTCACTGCAACCTCCGCCTCCCAGGTTCAAGCGATTCTCCTGCCTTGGCCTCTTGAGTAGCTGGGATTATAGCCATGTGCCACCACACCCGGCTAATTTTTGTATTTTTAGTAGAGACAGAGTTCCATCACGTTGTCCAGGCTGGTCTCGAACTCTTGACCTCAAATGATCTGCCCGCCTTGGCCTCCAAAAGTGCTGGGATTACGGGCGTGAGCCACCATGCCTGGCCTTTAACAAATTTTTTTTTTAATAGAGACAGGGTCTCACTATGTTGCCCAGGCTGATCATGAACTCCTAGTTTCAAGCGATCCTCCCACCTTGGCCGCCCAAAGGGCTGGTATTTACAGGCATGAGCCACCGTGCCCAGCCACATTAGTCTTTTTTAAACAAACCCAAAACAAATCCTTTTGAAATTGTAGAAAATCCATATAGTTAATTAACATAATGGCATCTGTGATAGATACAAGAACTATAGACAGGATGATCCAGCTTTACAAGGGTCCCGCTCTGCAGAGCCTCTCTTCTCCAAGTGGGGTCCATGCACCAGCAGCACATGAGAACTGTTAGAAATGCAGAATCTCTCGGCCAGGCACAGTAGCTCACACCTGTAATCCCAGTGCTTTCAGAGGCCGAGGCAGTTCGATCAGTTGAGGTCAGGAGTTCAAGACCAGCCTGGCCAACATGGCAAAATCTTGTTTCTACTAAAAATACAAAATTAGCTGGGCATGGTAACAGGTGCCTGCCTGTAATCCCAGCTACTCGGGAGGCTGAGGCATGAGAATCGCTTGAATCCAGGAGGCAGAGGCTGCAGTGAGCCAAGATCAATGCCGCTGCACTCCAGCCTGGCCGACAGAGCAAGACTTTGTCTCAAAAAAAAAAAAAAAGAGAGAAAGAAATTTCAGGCCCCACCCAAGACCCACTTGATCTGAGGTACATTCTACCAAGATCCCCAGGTAAGCTACATGCATATTGAAGTGTGGAAACATAGCCAGGCATGGAGTTGCATGCCTCTAGTCCCAGCTACTCAGGAGGCTGAGGCAGGAGGATCACTGGAGCCCAGGAGTTGGAGGCTGCAGTGAGCTATGATTGCACCACTGCACTCCAGCCTGGGCCACAGACCAAGACTGTGTCTCTAAAAACAACAATGAAATAAAGTATGCAAAATGGCTCTAGACTGGGGCTAGGCACAGTGACTCATACATGTAATACCACCACTTTCAGGGGCTGAGGCAGGCAGATCACCTGAGGTCAGTAGTTTGAGACCAGCCCGGCCAACATGGTGAAACCCCATCTCTACTAAAAATACAAGATTAGCCAGGCATGGTGGTGGGCACCTGTAATTCAAGCTTACTCAGGAGGCTGAGGCAGGAGAATCACTTGAACCTGGGAGGAGGGGGTTACAGCGAGCCAATATCGCACCATTGCACTCCAGCCTGGGCAACAGAGCAAAACTCCATCTCAACAAAACTAAACAGAAGGGCTCTGCACCGGAATTCTAGAAGTCTCACTGGTCTCTTCATGCCCAGGGGACAAGCTAAGGGATAAGGTAGTAGATGGTAGGGTAAGCCCTGGAGCCTGCCTGCCTGGGTCTGAATCCCAAACCATCTGCCATTCAATTGCTTCATGACTCTGCTTAACTCAGAGCCTCACTTTCATCAAACGGGGACAGCACCTGCATCCTGGGCCTGCGGCGAAGGCTGCAGGCTGGCCAGCACACACTGAGCACTCCTTAACTGTCTGTTATTAATATCTGCTGTAAAAGGCCTGATCGGAAGCTGTCAGCAGAGGGGCTGGGGTGAGAACTGAGATTCTTTTTTTCTGCCCATGCAGCACACGTTACGCTGAGTCTAGCTCTCGGTGGATGTATTACTAAACCCACAGAACGCTTTTTACTTTTTTGTATTTGGTCAGTGACATTTCAAATTTGGGAGGTTTTATATTCAACAAGAGGATTTTTGACCAGGCGCGGTGGCTCACACCTGTAATCCCAGCACTTTGGGATCAGCCGAGGTGGGCGGATCACTTGAGTCCAGGAATTTGATACCAGCCTGGGCGACATGGCAAGACTGTGTCTCCACCTAAAATACAAAAGTTAGCCAGGTGCCTTTAGTCCCAGCTACTCCGGAGGATGAGGTGGGAGAATCACTTGAGCCCACGATGAAGAGGTTGCAGTGAGCCAAGATCACGTCACTACACTCCAGCCTGGGCAACAGAGTGAGATCCTGTCTCAAAAAAAAAAACCCAACAAAAAAAAAGAGGATTTCTGGCTTTGAAGAATGGAAAAAGCTGCAGATGAAGGGCCAATCCTCGTAGCTGCAGAGTGGCAGCCACCCGCTCTGGGTGGGGTTTCCATTTCATCAGACTCCACTACTGCCTCTTACCCAGTCCTCACTGATCTCAATGCCCATCCCCAAGAACATCCCAGTCTACTCTCTGCTCAAAGCCTGAGAGCAAATCAGGCTCTGAGCCTGATGCAAATCATCACACCCCCAGGACCCACCCCAGATTCTTACCCAGAAACACTTTGTGAACCGAGAAAATCCTGCAATTCCCACTCCCCTTACCACGTCTGAAGCTCCCAGGTGTGTTTAAACTTGAGCTGGGTCCTCGGTGAGCAATGGGCGTGGACGGCACGGAGCCCGTGGCCTGCACAGCTGTGTCTGTCCTCTCAGCTTCCACTGAGCTGGGCATGGGGGTCCTGGGTTTCTCCTGCTTCTGCTGCACGGCCAGTTCCTGCCGCAAATCTGTGCCAGAAAAAGGATTCAGGAATTCAAGTCCTCAGCCAGGCGCAGTGGCTCATGTTTATAATGCCAGCACTTTGGGAGGCCAAGGCAGGTGGATCGCCTGAGGTCAGGAGTTCGAGACCAGCCTGACCAACATGGTGAAACCTCATCTCTATTGAAAATACAAAAATTAGCCCAGCATGGTAGTAGGCACCTGTAATCTCAGCTACTCAGGAGGATGAGGCATGAGAATCATTTGAACCTGGGAGGCCAGGGTGGCAGTGAGCTGAGATTGCTCCAGCGCACTCCAGTCTGGGTGACAAGAGCAAGACTACGTCTCAAAAAACAAAAAGGGAATTTAAGTCCTTGCTTAGGGTTGGTGGGGTGCAGGGAGAGAGGTTCAACAGTAGATACCAGTCAGAAAAAAGACCTACTGGGGTGAAACACTCCAGGTAGAAACCCCAAATAAAGGGAAACCCACAGGACCTTGCCTAGCAGACTTGGAACTCTACAGGATGTTTCTCTTGACTAACAAAATGGTTTCAGATTTTTAAAAAGCTATGACAGTGACACACTAATGCTTTTATTATTGAAAAAACAATTCCAACATAGCAGTGTATTTAGAACACTAAATGAAAATATGCCCGGGAGCAGTGACTCATGCCTGTAATCCCAGCACTTTGGGAGGCTGAGGTGTAAGAATCACATTAATCCAGTAAGTCGAGGCTGCAGTAAGCCATGATCATACCACTTCAGCCTGGGCGAGAGTGAGACCTCTGGCTCAAAAAAAAAAAAAAAAAAAAAAAAAAAAGAAAAAAAAAAAAAAGGCCAGTTGCACTGGCTCAAGCCTATAATCCCAGCACTCTGAGAGGTCGAGATGGGAGGATTGCTTGAGGTCAGGAATTTTCAGGCCAACATGGCAAAACCCCGTCTCTATTAAAAATACAAAAAATTAGCCATGCGTGGTGGTGAGCGCCTGTAGTCCCAGCTGCTTGGGAGGCTGAGGCAAGACAATCGCTTGAGCCTGGGGGACAAGCAGTGAGTGCAGTGAGCTGAGATCACGCCACTGCACTCCAGCCTGTGTGACAGAGCAAGACTGTCTCAAAAATAAATAAAGTATGCTTTCCAGACTATCCCCAAATGCTCCTCCTCACTCATCATCACCATAACATGTGGGAGAGCTTTTCAACCATTGTTCTCTGAATTTTTTTTTTTTTTTTTTTTTGAGATGGAGTTTCACTCTCTTGCCCGGGCTTAAGTGCAGTGGCACAGTCTCGGCTCACTGTAAATCTGCCTCCCGGGTTCAAGTGATTCTCCTGCCTCAGCCTCCCAAGTAGCTGGGATTACAGGCACGCACCACCACACCTGGCTAATTTTTGTATTTTTAGTAGACACAGGGTTTCACCATGTTGTCCAGGCTGGACTCTAACTCCTGACCTCAGGTGATCCACCCACCTTGGCCTCCCAAAGTGCTGGGAATACAGGCGTGAGCCACTGCGCCCAGCTGTTCTCTCCATTTTCAAACATAAACTTTATACATATGTATGTATCTACTGAGCATAAAACAAGAAAATTTTTTATTAAGCATTACTGGAAACATACAATATGTTGTCCTGTGTATGACTTACTCTCCCCACTTCAGTGGTATGTCTTGGCAATGATTTTTGTTTTAGAGACAGGGTCTGACTCAGTCACCCAGGCTGGGGTGCGGTGGCACAATCATAGCTCAATGTAACCTTGAACTCCTGGGCTCAAGTCATCCTCCCACTTCAGCCTCCTAAGTAGCTGGAACTACAGACATATGCCACCAGGCCTAATTTTTACAATTTTCATTTTTGTAGAGATGGGGTATCACTATGTTGTCCAGGCTCATCTTGAACTCCTAGGCTCAAGCAATCCTCTTGCGTCCGTCTCTCAAAGCACTGAGATTACAGGCATCAGCCACTGTGCCTAGCCTTGGCAATCTTTCTACCACAACATTTCTATCTACTGTTCATTTTAACCATTAACATTTCACAAAATACATCTATGTACTTCATTTAACCACTTCATTACTGATGGACATCTAGGAACAACTACTTTATTAAACTTAAGAATTTTTACTTTTTATCCCCCACCTACTGGTTACACATTAGAAAGCAAATCGACGTTATAAATAATTAATTGGGCCAGCAACAGTGACCCACCCCTATAATCCCAGCACTTTGGGAGGCCGAGGCAGGCAGATCGCCTGGGGTCAGGAGTTCAAGACCAGCCTGGCCAACATGGTGAAACCCCATCTCTATTAAAAATATAAAAATTAGCCAGGCATGGTGGTGCACACCTGCAGTCCCAGCTACTCAGGAGGCTGAAGCAGGGGAATCGCTGAACCTGGGAGGCAGAGGTTGCAGTGAGCAGAGATAGCACCACTGCACTCCAGCCTGGACAACAGAGCAAGACGCCATCTCAAAAAAAAAAAAAAAAAAAAAAAAAAAGGTAAAAACAACTTGGACAATCCACTAATGAATGTCTTTTTTTTTTTTTTTTTTTTGAGACAAGAGTCTCACTCTGTCACCCAGGCTGGAGTGCAATGGTGTAATTTTGGCTCACTACAACCTCCACCTCCCAGGTTCAAGCAATTCTCGTGCCTCAGCCTCCTGAGCAGCTGGGATTGCAGGCACCCACCACCATACCCTCATGTTTTCTATTTTTAGTAGAGATGGGGTTTCTCTATGTTGTCCAGGCTGGTCTCAAACTCCTGAGCTCAGGTGATCCACCTGCCTCAGCCTCCCAAAGTGCTGGGATTACAGGTGTGAACCACTGTGCCTGGCCAAATGCCTCATTACAGTTTCAACATTCTACCTCTGGAAGTGCCAACTGAAAAAGAGCAAATGCTGATGAGGTTTCAAAGTTTTAGCCAAATATATTGGTTGCCATCAAGTCACAAAAATAATAGGCTAGCTGGCAATTCCACCAGAAATTTCTCCCCACAACATCTTTGCTTCTTAAGAGACAGGGTCTCACTCTGTCACCCAGGCTGGAGTGCACTGGTGCCATCATAGCTCACTGCATACTCCACCTCCTGGGCTGAAGCAATCATCCCACCTTGGCTTCCTGAGTAGCTGGGACTACAGGCACATGCCATCACACCCAGCTAATCTTTAAATGTTTTTGTAAAGATGGAGTCCCACTATGCTGCCCAGGCTGGTCTCAAACTCCTGGGCTCAAGAGATCCTCGGCCTCCCAAAGTGCTGGGATTACAGGTGTGAGCCACTGTGCCAGATCTCCCCACAAAACTCTCTGTTCCTACTGAGCATCAGGGTAGTTTGCTGTGTTTGTGAATTACAGACCAGGAAGCATCTTTCTGGAAATAAATTCTGCTGCCCAGAGGCAGAATCCCAATACAAGGACTTCATCTGTGAACCCCAAAGCTATTTCTCTAAATACCCATAAGGGGCCCTTACAGGGCTGGATGTCTGACTGTTCTCAGCTCCAGCCAGGGCCCAAGGCAAGAGTCTGCCCAGTGCAGTCCGACACCCTCTGATTAGACAACCTGGGTGCAGAGCAGGGTGTGGGGTCCCTGTAAAGATAATGCTGGGAGAGCTTGTGGGACAAGATGTTGCTCAGGTAGGGAGAGGGGACCATGCTGGTGAAGACACCAAGGCCTCCTGACCTCTGGCTTCATCCTTCAGTCTCTGAACAGATTCCAGGAGATTCTCTTTTTCATCAAGTTCACTTTCCAGGAAGGCATTTCTTTCGATGGCCTGATTCAAGCGCTGCTCAAAGTCTTCGAGAGACATGATCGTGGCGCTGGCGAAGAGAAAAGCAGAGTTATCCAAGAGGACAAACCGCAGCATCCCTCCAGCACCGCGGATCCAGGAGGTGCGAAGGGTCAGACACACCTGGGCACAAGTCCCAGCCCCAAACTTCCTAGATGCCACAGAGTGGGCCAAGTCCCTTAACCTTCTGGGGCATGGGCTCTTTACCTGCAGAATGGGACTCATCATAGCTCATGGGGTGCACGAGGCTGTCATGAGGATTAAATAAGATGCTGCCCACACAGCACTCAGCAATAAGCCAAAGCCCTATCAGGACTGCATGTGGCATTTGGTGGTTTGAGAAGACCACTATGCTCCATCTTCTCTTGCAAGCTCACAATGCCAACCAGCATTAAAAATAACCTAATATGACTGGGCAAGGTGGCTCATGCCTGTAATCCCAGCCCTTTGGGAGGCCGAGGCAGGTGGAAGACCTGAGATCAGGAGTTCAAGACCAGCCTGGCAAGCTTGGGCAAATGGCAAAATCCTGTCTCTACTAGAAATACAAAAATTAGCCAGTTGTAGTGTAATCCCAGCTACTTGGGAGGCTGAGGTGGGAGAACTGCCAGGAAGCAGAGGTTGTAGTGAGCCCAGATTATACCACTGCACTCCAGCCTAGACAACAAAGTGAGACTCCATCTCAAAATAATAATAACCTAATAAACACATATAACAACATGATTTTTTAAGACACAGGTTTTTGCTGTGTCTCTCAGGCCGAAGTGCAGTGGTACAATCACAGCTCACTGCAATCTCAAACTCTTGGGCTCAAGAGATCCTCCCGCCTCAGCCTCCTGAGTTACTGAGATTACAGGCATGAGGCATTGTGCCAGGCATAAGATGCACTTAAGCAGGTGGAAGAGATCATATTTAACCTCTCAGTGGAAGTTCAAAATGCCCAGTACCAGCCCAGCTGCCCTGCTCACAACCCCTTCTTGTGAAGGGCATAAACACTGTGGTAAAGGCACTGCCAAGTGCTGTAAGAAAACAATCTGTTATAATTCTGGGAAAACCACCTTCTCTGCACCTCAGTTTTCTCTCATGCAAAACAAGGATAGTAATAGTAACCTTCATGCAGGATTGTGGTGGGGAAGGGGTGGCAAGAAGTCATACAGGCCCGGACACGGTGGCTCACGCCTGTAATCCCAGCACTTTGGGAGGCCGAGGCGGGCGGATCACTTGAGGTCAGGAGTTCGAGACCAGCCTGGCCGACATGGTGAAACCTCATCTCTACTAAAAATACAAAAATTAGCCGGGCATGATGGTGCACACATGTAGTCCCAGCTGCTCGGGAGGGTGAGACAGGAGAATCGCTTGAACCCAGAAGGTGAATGTTGCAGTGAGCCAAGATCATGCCACTGCACTCCAGCTTGGGCAACAGAGTAAGAATGTTTCCCAAAAAAAAAAAAAAAATCCTACAGGAAGCACACAACAGATGTTTTACACATAAGCACACATCTATAAATTTTCAGCAATTTTTATTATTGACCCTGTGTCTGTCCCCAGACCTTACACAACCTGCTAACTGTATCCCACAGTGGTCAGAAGCACGTGTTTGGAGAGGAACCCAGGAGTTAACACCCAGCTCCTCCTCCACCTAGAACTCACTGAGTATCATTGCGGAACTTGATCTCCTTCATCCTCAGTTCCTTCAATCACCAAATTAATAACTGCACTGATTAATGGCTGCATCAGTTCATTTATTCAACATATCCTACTATGTCTAGATGGAGTCATACAAGTACCTACCCTCACAGGGTCTTTAGAAGTAGTGGATAGGATAAAGTTACCACAGTACCGATTAAAAACAACAAAGGGACAAGCACAGTGGTTCATGCCTATAATCCCAGCACTTTGGGAGGCCAAGGTGTGAGGACCGCTTGAGGCCCAGGGTTCAAGACCAGCCTGGGTAATATAGAGAGACCCTGTCTCTACAAAAAGTAAAAAAATTAGCCGTGCATGATGCGTGCCTGTAGTCCCAGCTACTCGGAGGCTGAGGTAGGAGGACTGCTTGAGCCCAGGAATTCAAGGGTACAGTAAGCCATGACTATGCCACTGCACTCCAGCCTGGGTAACAATGCCAGACCCTGTCTCGAAAAACAAAAACAAAAAACACACTACTACCAACAACAAAGGGATAATACTTCGGAGTACAATACCAGAAACAGTTAAAACAGCCCTAAGGTTGACATATCAAAGATAAAATATTCACATAATAATATGTAGAGTAGTACAGAATGCTTGCAGAAATGCAGACATACTGAGTATATAAAGAGGAAGACCCATTATCATGCAGAAATTAATTCTCCACAAGTTAAACTGATAAATTTAACACTGTCTTAATACGTTTCTACTGGGGGAATAAACTGGACTGATTTGAAAGATCCTGTGACAATGAAACAAGAATGATCAGAGGAACTCTGTAAAAGAGATCAGGGAACTAGCTCTACCAGAGAGTCAGAACGCACTACTATAAAGCCTCAACAATGAAGAATAGTATGCTACTGGTTGTAAGAACAAAGGAACCAAAGGTCCAGAAATAGACAAGAGTTTAATTTATAATAAAGGTGGCATCACAGATCATTGGTAAAAAGATGGCAGGTTCAGTTCTAGTTTTAGGGACCACTGGGTACCCACCAGGAAAAAATTATTAGATTCGTACCTCATACTGTACCCTAACACAAACTCCGACTGAATCGGAAATTTTAACAAACTCCTTATTTGGTCAAAATCTATTTTGCTTCTGGAATGCTAGGGAACTGGGGACCAGCTTCAGTGCCTTTTTTTTTTTTTTTTTTAAGATGGAGTTCCACTCTTGTCACCCAGGCGGAGTGCAACCTCTGCCTCCGGGGTTCAAATGATTCTTCTGTCTCAGCCTCCCAAGTAGCTGGGATTACAGGCACGCACCACCACATCCTGCTAATTTTTGTATTTTTAGTAGAGACAGCATTCCACCATGTTGGCCACGCTGGTCTCGAACTCCCGACTTCAGGTGATGCACCTGCTTCTGCCTCCCAAAGTGCTGGGATTGTAGGTGTTGGACACCATGCCTGGCCCTTCAGTGGCATTTCTGAATTTCCCTGCAACCTCGACACCCTGGGTTTAAGTCATCCTTTCACCTTTTTTTTTCTTTTTTGAGATGAAGTCTCACTCTGTTGCCCAGGCTGGAGCGCAACAGCACAATCTCAGCTCACTGCAACCTCCGCCTCTCGGGTACAAGCGATTCTCCTGCCTCAGTCTGTCAAGTAACTGGGATTACAGGCGCCTGCCACCATGCCTGGCTAATTTTTGCATTTTTAGTAGAGACAGGGTTTCACCATCTTTGTCAGGCTGGTCTCCAACTCCTAACCTCAGGTGATCCGCCCACCTCAGCCTCCCAAAGTGCTGGGATTACAGGCGTGAGCCAATGCGCCCAGCGATTCTTTCACCTTCTTACCTCAACCTCCCGAGTAGTTGTGACCACAGGCACAAGCTACCATAGCCGGCTAGTTTTTATATTTGTTTCTAGAGACGGGAGTCTCACTATGTTGCCCAGGATGTCCTCAAACTCCTGGGCTCAAGCAATACTCAAGCCTCAGCCTCCCCAAGTACTAAGATGACAGATTACAGGCATGAGCTATCTCACCTAGCGTATTTACTTTGAAATAAAGGTCAGCATGCTAGTTGTAACTGGAGTGAAAATTGCTTTATGTATTTTATATGTTGAAATTCTGTCAACTAATGTATAAAAGCATATTTAGTGCCTGTAATCCCAGCACTTTGGGAGGCTGAGGCGGGTGGATCACAAAGTCAGGAGATCGAGACCATCTTGGCTAACATGGCGAAACCCCATCTCTACTAAAAATACAAAAAAATTAGCCGGTTCGTGGTAGCGGGTGCCTGTTGTCCCAGGTACTCGGGAGGCTGAGGCCAGGAGAATGGCATGAACCTGGGAGGCGGAGCTTGCAGTGAGCCAAGATTGTGCCAATGCACTCCAGCCTGGGTAACAGAGCTAGACTCTGTCTTAAAAACAAACAAAAAAAACCCATATTTAGTATAACAGCAAAATATTGCAATAATTTGTGACTATGAAAGCTGTTAATTTCATGTGCAGTTATTGAGAACCTGAAAATACTTAAATAGGAAAACAGATTTTCAGTAAATATAAAGAGATATACTGGTTAGATAACTAAGAACATATCCTTTTTGAGCCAAAAAATGCTTTAAAAGTCCATGGAATTGGCTGGGCACAGTGGCTCATGCTTGTAATCCCAACACTTTGGCAAGCCGAGATGGGAAGATTGTTTGAATCCAGGAGTTTGAGACCAGCCTGGGAAACACTGTGTGACCCCATCTCTTTAAAAAAAAAAAATGTGTAAGTTGGACTGGGTGTGAGAGCTAACGGCTATAATCCCAGCACTTTGGGAGGCCGAGGTGGTGGATCGCTTGAGGTCAGGACCATGGTGAGACCCCATTTCTACTAAAAATAGAAAAATTAGCTGGGCATAATGGCACATGCAATGTAGTCCCAGCTACTCGAGAGGCTGAGGCAGGAAAATCATTTGAACCTGGGAGGCAGAGGCTGCAGTGAGCTAAGATCGCACCACTGCACTCCAGCCTGGGCTACAGAGCAAGACTCTGTCTCAAAAATAAATAAATAAAATAAAATGAAAAACTTATGAAAAGAGTAAAACTAGATTAAATCTATTTGAATTTTTGTAAAACTTTTTGGCATCTTAGTACTCATATGAAACAAAGTAACCTTTAGGAAATGTATTTAATTTTTAGTTACTTCCAATTAGGTCCTGCACACTTTTCAAGGTTATTCTTATACAAAGTGCCTGTCCTCAGTTAAAAGTGAGTAGTTTCGTTTGAGGGACGTATAGAAGAAGGACCATGAGAGCAATCAAACAGCTGATGGTGCTGAGAAACTCTTGTTCTTGGAGAAGACTGTCAAACGTTCTAAATATAACTATTAAACTTGCACAAAATTGTAACATTTTCAAGTCTTTAAAATAAAGCTTTGGAGCCTAGGCAACATGGAGAAACCCGGTCTTTACAAAGAATACACAAATTAGTGAGTCATGGTGGCACATGACTGTAGTCCCAGCTACTGGGGAGGCTGAAGTGATCGTGCCACTGCACTCCAGCAGGGGCGACAGAGAGAGACCTTGTCTCAAAACATAAATACATAAAACTTTGGTGACCTAGAACTTTATTGATTCTATAATGGTGAACTGGGCTTCTACCTCATCCGATTTTTAACACTAAACTATTCAGCATTTGGCCAAATTGTATTAACAAAAACAATGCACGTTTAGTACAAAAATAAAAATAGAAAAGAAAGAAAAAACAAAAATACTACAAGAAAACACTTGGCTAATTGCTTTATAAACCTTGGAGTGCACAAGGCCCTTCTAACTATGACTAAGAAATCTGACTACAAAAAAATCAAATACCAGCCTGGCCAACATGGTGAAACCCCATCTCCGCTAAAAATACAAAAATTAGCCAGGCGTGGCAGTGGGCGCCTGTAATCCCAGCTACTTGGGAGGCTGAGGCAGGAGAATAGCTTGAACCTGGGAGGGTGGAGGTTGCAGTTAGCCGAGATCCTGCACCTGCACTCCAGCCTGGGCCATAGGGCAAGACTCTGACTCAAAACAAAACAAATCAGTAACTCTGTACAATAAAATATACATCAGACAAAGCTGGAAACAAATGACAAACTCCCAATACTGTCCATTCATGTCACAGACAAATATATAAAAATCTCCTAGAAATCATGGGAAAAAAAACAACGAACAACCCAATTTTAAAATATGCCAAAGGCCGGGTATGGTGGCTCATGCCTATAATCCCAGCACTTTGGGAGGCCAAGGTGGACAGACCGAGTCCAGGACTTTGAGACCAGCCTAGGCAACATGGAAAAACCCTGTATCTACAAAAAATACAAAAATTAGCCAGGTATAGTGGCACATGCCTATAGTCCCAGACACTCAGGAGGCTGAGGTGGGAGAATCACTTGCCCCAGGAGGTCAAGGCTCCAGTGAGCTGTAATTGCACCATGGCACTCTACTCTGGGCAATGGAGCGAGGCCCAGTCTCAAAAAAAAAAAAAAAAAAAAAAAAAAAAAAGGCAGTGTTTAACAGTGCTGGCACAACTGGGCTATCCACCTAAAGAAAATAAAAATAAAATTGAACTTGTATCTTATACTAGATACAAAAATAAATTCATTGCAGACTAAGGAATAAGGATACAAAAAAATTAAACAATTAAAAAATATTGCAAAAAAAACACAAAACACATGAACAATCAAGAACCAAGGAGACTTCCCTAGTGAAATCTGCAAACCTAGAAGGTATTTAAAAAAAGATGTAACTGATGACCTAAAAATGAAAAATACATGTATAAAAAATTTTTTTTCAAAAGAGAAAAAAGGAAATATTTGTATGGAAAATGATACAATAGACAAAGTCAACAAACAAAAGATTACCACGGAAAAAATTATTTTCAATGCAGGAGAAAAGATTAGTAGTAAAAATATACAAAGGGCCAGGCACAGTGGTTCATGCCTGTAATTCCAGCTTTGGGAATCTGAGGCAGGTGGATCACTTGAGGTCAGGAGTTCAAGACCAGCCTCTCCAACATCGCAAAACTCCGTCTCTGCTAAAAATACAAAAATTAGCCAGGCGTGGTGGGGGGCGCCTGTAATCCCAGCTACTTGGGAGGCTGAGGCAGGAGAATCACTTGAAGCAGGAAGGCAGTGGTTGCAGTGACCTGAGATCACACCACTGAACTCCAGCTCCAGCCTGGGAGACAGAGCGAGACTCCATCTCAAAAAATATATATATGCAAAGAACTCCTACAGATTGACAAGAAAGGAATTTCCACTTCTGGTAATGACCAGGAAACCTGTATCAGATCAAACCTCGTATAAATTCTAAGTAAAATGTTTACAACAATAATCTGAGTGCACTGGCAGGAACTGGAAAACAACGCTTAGAAAAACAGAACAAGACTGGGTGAAGTCTGCATCTTTACAAGATTTTTGCCTAAAGCTCCAGGGATAGAAATCTATCACCGTGGGCCCCCCCACATTCTGAATATAGTATCTTCCCACATCTCTGGCCTCCCCCAAACCACACGTGCACAGAGCAGACACAAAGCAGCCCAGTTACGGCTAAAAAAAGCAAAGAGATTTCAGCTACTGCCCATCAAAGGGGAGACAGAATTTGGGCTGTAAGCTCAGCCAAGTAAACCACCTAAGAAAACCAAATAAATCAAGAACATAAAAGAATTCATCATCTCTGGCTGGGTATGGTGGCTCAAGCCCGTAATCCCAGCACTTTCGGAGACCGAGGCAGGCAGATCACCTCAGGTCAGGAGTATGAGACCAGATTGGCCAACATGGTGAAATCCCATCTCTACTAAAAATACAAAAATTAGCCGGGTGTGGTAACACACACCTGTAATCCCAGCTACTCCGGAGGTTGAGGCAGGAGAATCACTTGAATCTGGGAGGTGGAAGTTGCAGTGAGCAGAGATCGCACCACTGCACTCCAGCCTGGGCGACAGAGCAAGACTGTCTTAAAACAAAAACAAAAACAAAAAACAACTAATAGTCTGTGGGAAACACCACGTGGGAAACACCACTCACACTGCCTACAATACAACCCCAAAGTTATTGAATGCGTGGAGTATAAAGAAAATGTGACCCAGATGTTGAAAACTGCACAAAAGGACCTCAAAGCAGCTCTTACAACTATGCTCAAGGATGTCAAGAAACCTCAATAGAACAGAAATTATAAAAGAACAAACACAAATCCTACATCTAAAAATACAATATATTGAAAATTCAATATTTCATCTGCTATAATGGCAGATTGGAGAGAGAAGAGGGCGTCTATCAACTTGAAACTGGATAAACAGAAATTATTCAATTTGAAGAACAAAGACAAAAAAATAATTAGGGAAAAGAAAAATGAAGAGAGCCTTAGGAACCTGCCTGACAATATAAAAAGGTTATGTGTATAGATGGCGTCCGAGACGGACAGGAGAAAAAGAATGAGGCAGAAAAAAAACTCTCTGAGGAGGCCGGGTGCAGTGGCTCATGCCAGTAATTCCAGAACTTTGGGAGGTTGAGGCAGGAGGATCACTTGCTCCCAGAAGTTTCAGGCTGCAATGCACTATGGTGGCACCACTGCCCTCCAGCCTGGGTAACAGAGCAAGACCCTGTTTCCAAAAATAAATAAAAGAAAAAACATCTGTGCTTTTTTTGTTTTTTTGTTGTTTTTTGTTTTGTTTTGTTTTTGAGACAGAGTCTAGCTCTGTCGCCCAGGCTGGAGTGCAGTGGCGCAATCTCGGCTCACTACACGCTCCGCCCTTCCCAGTTCACATCATTCTCCTGCCTCAGCCTCCCGACTAGCTGGGACTACAGGCACCCGCCACCACGCCCGGCTAATTTTTTGTATTTTTAGTAGAGACGGGTTTTCACCATGTTAGCCAGGATGGTCTCGATCTCCTGACCTCGTGATCCGCCCACCTCGGCCTCCAAAAGTGCTGGGATTACAGGCGTGAGCCACCGTGCCTGGCCACATCTGCGCATTTCACTGTATATAATTCATATATAAATTTTTTAAAAACAAGTGTTCTTATCCAAAAAAACTGCTTGGCTGAGAGTAATTCTTCTGTAAATGTTAGTCATTATCATTCTGCTAAACCACAGAACATCAGTTTAGGAATCACTGGGCTGGGCGCAGTGGCTCACACCTGTAATCACAGCACTTTGGAGGCTAAGGAGTTTGAGACCAGCCTGGCCAACATGGCAAGAGCCCATCCCTACTAAAGATACAAAAATTAGAATGGTGTGGTGGCACGTGCCTGTAATTCCAGCTACTCAGGAGCCTGAGGCATGAGAATTGCTTGAATCCAGGAGGCAGGGATTGTAGTGAGCCGAAATCACGCCACTGTACACCAACCTGGCGACAGAGACTCTCCGTCTCCAAAAAAAAACAAAAAACTGTTCTTTGAAAAAGCTTCCTTCCCACCTTAGGGGCTTAGCACAGGCTTGGTGTTCTGTCTGGAATGTTCTTGTCTCACACCCCTCCTGGCATCATGGCTACTCATTCCTCTGGTCTTAGCCTAAATAGCATTTCCCCTGGTAAGGCTCGCCTGACGCTCCCAGGCCAACAGCCAAATTAATACATCCTATTACACACCCCCACAGCACCCTGGGCTGCCAGCCTTGCTGCTGTAATGAAATTGCACTTCTTCGACTATTGTCCATTTCCCCCCGGGCACTAAAATCCAGAAGGGCACTGGCTTTGTTCTGCTCACTGCTTAGTTCCCTATACTCAGCACAGGGCCCAGTACCCAGCTGCTGGGGACAAAAAGCAGAGAGGAGAGTCTCCCACTCGTGCTTTTCCCTTCCACCCATACCGCTTGGCTCTTTCCAGGTCGTCATTTGCTTGCTCCAGCTCTCTGATGTATTTCTGCAATTGGTCTTTAATGGCTTTGGTCTGCGCGAGGTCATCCTCCAAGGCTGAGATCTGCCGGTAGCCTTCAGAGTGCTGCACTTCAAACTTCTCCTGAAGGACAACACAGACACTGAGTGAATGACTTAAGACTTCTGAGAAGGCTAGACACAGTAGCACACATCCACCTGGAGTCACAGCTACTCGGGAGGCTAAACTGGGAGGACTGCCTGAGCCCAGGAGTTAGAGGCTGCAGTGAGCTATGACTGTAACACTCCACTCCAGCCTGGGCAACACAGCAAGACTCCGTGTTTTTTTTTTTTTCTTTTGAGGCCGAGTCTCACTCTGTTGCCCAGGCTTGAGTGCAGCGGCAAGATCCTGGCTCACTGCAACCTCTGCCTCCCAGGTTCAAGCAATGCTCCTGCCTCAGCCTCCCAAGTGGCTGGGAATACAGCCACCCACCAACAATAGTGGCTAATTTTTGTATTTTTAGTAGAGACCGGGTTTTACCACGTTGGCCAGGCTGGTCTTGAACTCCTGACACCTCAAGTGATCTGCACGCCTCGGCCTCCCAAAGTGCTGGGATTACAGGTGTGAGCCACTGCACCTGGCCTGACCCTCTCTCTTTATGAAACTACTCCTCCCACCACACTCCCTGGGTGGGGCTCCAGGCTTTCTGTCCCACCCTCCCACCACAATCGGGAGACAAGCCAGGCTCAGTCAACAGAACCTTCTCTCCAGAGCTGACTCTTAGGCAAGTGATGTAACGTGGTGGGAACAGGCAGGTGTCATTCAAAGCAGGCACAACGGACCAACTGTTTTAATTATGTCCTGAGTGCCTCTGCCCCCTGAGCACCTTGAATCTTGCCTACTCTCAACAGGGTTGAGATTCCTATAGCCTCCATCATTCTTCAGACAAATCATTCTACCCAAGGTGTCCACAGCCAAAGCAAGCCACGTAAACCTCTCCAAGCCTCATCCACACGGCAACATGGGCCTCCTTCACACATATCATCAGTGTATTACAAAGAGAGTCACCAGCCCGGCTCACAGAGTGAGACCTGGCCTCTACAAAAAATAAAAACTAGCAGGGCATGGTGGCTCTTGCCTGTAGTCCTAGCTACTCGCGAGGCTGAGGTGGGAGGACCATTCGAGCCTGAGAGGTCGAAGCTGCAGTGGGCTGTGAAGGCACCACTGCACTCCGGCCTGGGCAACTCCCTGCTGCCTCAAAAGGAAAGAAATCATAATGACGTCCGTTGTTTGTGCCCACAACAATGGGAGGGCAGCATGAACTTGGTTTTAAAACAGTCCGCCATTCTGAATTTTTGATCCAGGACTCCCCGTTGTGACATGGAGAAAAAAGGAACAGTTTGATCTCTAGGTTATTTAAAAACATAAAGACAGGCCAGGCGCAGTGGCTCACACCTGTAATCCCAGCACTTTGGAGGGCTGAGGTGGGCGGATCACCTGAGGTCAGAAGTTTGAGACCTGCCTCGAAAACATGGTGAAATCTGGACTCTACTAAAAATACAAAAAAATTAGCCAGGCGTGGTGGTGCATGCCTATAATCCCAGCTACTCAGAAGGCTGACGCGGGAGAATCGCTTGAACACGGGAGGCGGAGGTTGCACCACTGCACTCCAGCCTGGGCAATAACAGCGAGACTCTGTCTCAAAAAAAAAAAAAAAAACCAGAAAAACAAAGAAAGAAAGAAAAAGAAGGAGGGAGAAAAGGAGGGGATAAAATGGGGGAGGGAGAGAGAGGAGAGAGGAAGGGAGACAGAGGAGAGAGGAAGGGAGGGAGAGGGAAGGAAAGGGAGAGAGATCTATGTTAATTACCAAAGGAACAGTCCAGCTGACTTCTCAATGATTCCCTGTTGCCAGCTGCAGCAATAACATCCATTACATACTTATTCTGTGCCACCTCCAGGCTAAGTACACCACCTATGTTGTCTCATTAATCCCACTTTGGAGACATGAACACTGAAGCTCAGTGACCTGACTAGCCCAGAATCAACTGGTAGCAAATGACTGAGCCAAGATCAAACCCCAGCCTCCTGAGCAGGTGTCCTTAAGCAATTATGCTAACCAGCCCCAAACCATTTCAATCCAGATCACCTGCCCACTCCCGAGCTCTCTTGATTCTGTTCCGGCTCTGCTTCCAAATTACTTTCCTTCACCAAACACCCAGAGCCAGGTGTGGTGCCTCATGCCTGTAATCCCAGCACTTTCAGGTGGCAGAGGCAGGATTGCTTGAGCCCAGGAGTTCTCGACCAGCCTGGGCAAGACTCTGCCTCTACAAAAAATGTGAAAACAGCCAGGCGTGGTGGCATGCACCTGTAGTCCTAGCTACTTGGGAGGGTGAGGCAAGAAGACTGCCTGAGACCAGGAGGTTGAGGCTGCAGTGAGCTATGATCACGCCGCTGCACTCCCGCCCAGGCCACAGAGTGAGACCACGACACTTAAAAAAAACAAGCAAAAAAAAAAAAAAACCCAAAATCACCAGCCTGGCAACATGGCGAAACCCCGTATCTACTAAAAATACAAAAAATTAGCTGGGCCTGGTGGCGGGCGTCTATAATCCCAGCTACTTGGGAAGCTGAGGCAGGCCAATCTCTTGAACCCGGGAGGCGGAGGTTGCAGTGAGCCCAGATCGTGCCATTGCACTCCAGCCTGGGCAACAAGAGCAAAACTCTCTGGCAGTGGTGGGGGACTGGGAGGGGGCGGGCAGGCAGGCACACTGAATAACTGTTTCAATTATGTCCTAAGTGCCTCCCACCTCCTGCCCCTTGAGCACCTTGAATCCTGCCCACTCCCAAACCTGGTTCCCACAATCTTCAGACAAATCATTGTCTGAAGCCCCCAGCAATCTTCAGACAAATCATTCTGCCCAAGGTGTCCACAACCAAAGAAAGCCACATGGACCTCTCCAAGCCTCATCCACAGGGGCAACGCAAGCCTGCTTTCACACATTATCACCGTATTACAAAGAGTCACCAGCGTGGCCCACAGAGCCAGACTCAGTCTCTACAAAAAATAAAAATTAGCAGGGCATGGTGGCGTCGCCTGTAGTCCCAGTTAGGAGGCTGAGATGGGAACACCATTTGAGCCTGGGAGGTTGAAGCTGCAGTGAGCCGTGATTGCATCACTGCACTCCAACCTGGGCAACAGAGTGAGACCCAGCTATCTCAAAAAGCAAAAAAAAAGGAATCTCAATGACTTCTGTTGTTTGTGCCCACAACAATGGGAGAGCAGCATGTACTTGGTTTACACAACAGTCAATTATTCTGAATTTTTGATCCAGGACTCTCCGTTGTAGCATGGAGACAGAAAGAACATTCCAATCTCTGGGTTTAAAAACAAAGACAGGCCGGGAGCAGTGACCCACACCTGTAATCCCAGCAATTTGGGAGGCTGAGGCAGGTGGATCACCTGAGGTCAGGAGTTCAAGACCAGCCTGGACAACATGGTGAAACCCCGTCTCTACCAAAAATGCAAAAAAAAATTAGCCGAGTGTGGTGGTGCGTTGTCTATAATCCCAGCCACTCGGGAGGCTGAGGCAGGAGAATCGCTTGAACCCAGGAGGCGGAGGTTGCAGTGAGCAGAGATTGTGCCACTGTTCTCTAGTCTGGGCGACGAACAAGACTCCATCTCAAAACAAACAAACAAAAACTAAGACAGAAGGGAGGGAGAAGATGGAGGAAGGGAAAGGGAGAGAAAAGGAGAGGAGAGAGACAGAGAGGGAGATCTTGTTAATTACCAAAGAAACAGTCCAGCGCACTTCTCAATGATTCCCTGTTGCCAGCTGCAGCAATAACATCCATTACATACTTATTCTGTGCTGGCCTCCAGGCTAAGTACACTTCCTATGTTGTCTCGTTTAATTCCACTTCAGAGACATGAACACTGAGACTCAATTACTTAACTAGCCCAGAATCAACCAGTAGCAAATGACTGGGCCAAGACCAAACCCCAGCCTCCTGAGCAGGTGTCCTTAAGCAATTATGCTAACCAGCCCTAAACCATCTCAATCCAGATCACCTGCCCGTTCCCGTGCTCTCTCGATTCTATTCCTGCTCTGCTTCCAAATTACTTTCCTTCACCAAACACCCAGAGCCAGGTGCGGTGCCTCATGCCGCAATCCCAGCACCTCAGGTGGCAGAGGCATATTAGCCTAGGCAACATAGGAAGACTCCATCTCTACAGAAAATTTAAGAACAGCCAGGCGTGGTGGCATGCACCTGCAGTCCTAGCTATGGGGGAGGCTGAGGTGGGAGGACTGCTTGAGGCCAGGAGGTTGAGGCTCCAGTAAACTATGATCATGCCACTGCACTCTAGCCCAGGCCAACGCTTAAAAAAAAAAAAAAAATCACCAGCCTGGGGCAACATGGCGAAACCAAAATACAAAAATTAGCCCGGCATAGTGGTGCACGGCTGTAGTTCCAGCTACTTGGGAGGCCAAGGCGGGCAGATCACTTGAGGTCAGGAGTTTGAGAACAGCCTGGCCAACACGGTGAAACCCCCGTCTCTACCAAAAATACAAAAAATAGCTGGGTGTGGTGGCAAGTGCCTATGGTCCCAGCTACCCGGGAGGCAGGGGAATCGCTTGAGCCCGGGAGGCGGAGGTTGCAGTGAGCCAAGATTGTGCCCCTGCACTCCAGCTTGGGTGACAGAGACCCCATCTCAAAAAAAAATCAAAACCGAAAACACAAAACACCCATCCTAGATTCTACAAACATAAGAGAAAACACTTCCCACAAGAAAGGCGCAAGGTCTAATTTAAAAGTTAAAAAAGGCCAACTTCTCTTTACTCAATCAAGTAAACAAAGCCGTTGCTAGAAAGTCCGGATGCACCCAGGGTGATGTAATGGTGCCTAGGCCAGAGAGGCGTGGCGAGAGCCATTGTGCAAGAAGACTCCAAAGAAAGAACAAACAGATGATTTACAGCGTTGGAAGGATGAGGAGGGCGGACCACATCCCTGCTGCCGCCCGCAGCACCCTCCCCATTTCCTGGCTGTAAGCAGAGAAGTATCTGCACCCAGCAAGTAGAGGCAGACCAGGCCCTGTTCCCAGGCGTGGCTCTCATCGCCTCACACCCTTTATTTGGGAACATCTCCAAATAAAACAGGATCTTAAGTCATTAACCTAAATTCAAACGCAGGCTCCAGGAGGACGCAGCGAGTGGGCTCCACCGACTGCACTGGCGATTGAGAGATCTCCTCGGAACCTGTGGACATGAAAACCTGTTGCTGAAATGTTGTGCTGCCATTTGGGGCTAATTCGAATAAGCTGTCAGCTGATGGGGGCATCAATAGATGCTCTGTTTGGTCCCTTAAAGGCTTTTTCATTCAACCCGTGATGAATAAGCCAGTTGTTAAGAAGTCCGGCCCAGCTGAATATATTTCTCTTAGGTGACTGACAAATACTTGCTGGTGGCAGGGTCCTCGTTATTCCAAGGTACCCTGTTTCTTCACTGTGCTGTGTGCTCTGAGTCTCCTGCATCTGACATGTGGCTGCAGTACAGTGGCGCAATCTCAGCTCACTGCAACCTCCACCTCCTAGGTTCAAGCAATTCTCCTGCCTCAGCCCCCGAGTAGCTGGGACTACAGGTGTGCGCCACCATGCCCAGCTAATTTTTTTATTTTTAGTAGAGACGGGGTTTCACCATGTTAGCGAGGACAGTCTCAATCTCTTGACCTCATGATCCGCCCGCCTCGGTCTCCCAAAGTGCTGGCATTACAGGCATCAGCCACCACGCCAGGCCCAAGAGCTCAGTCTTGAAGCAGAGAATTACTGAGTAATTCTCTTGATATTTTACTCAGGATCCATGGAGGGCCTGTTATCCTCTCCAAACTGCAGTTCATACCACTAATCTTCCTCCTACCCAGCTTTTCAACCCAGAGTCCCCTTCAATTTAGGAACTATAATCAGCCAGGCGCAGTGGCTCACACCTGTAATCCCAGCACTTTGAGAGGCCGAGGCAGGCGGATCACTTGAGCTCAGGAGTCCCAGACTAGCATGGGCACATGAACCCGTCTCTACAAAAAATAACAAAAATTAGCCAGGCGTGGTGTGGC